>NC_000005.10:10010000-11263424 GCF_000001405.40 Homo sapiens
CATCTATGAGTAAGCCACAGCCAACATACTGAGTGGGCAGGAAACATTCTCCTTGAAAACCAGAACGAGACAAGGATACCCTCTCTTACCACTCCTATTCAATACAGTATTGGAAGTGCTGGCCAGAGCAATCAGGCAAGAGAAAGAAAAGGCATCCAGAGAGAAAGAGAGTATGTCAAAGTATCCCTGCTTACAGAAAACATGATTCTATCTCTAGAAAACCCCATAGTTTCTGCCCATAATCTCCTTGATCTGATAAACAACTTCAGCAAAGTTTCAGGATACAAACTTAATGTACAAAAATCAGTAGCATTCCTATACACCAAGATCCAAACCAAGAGCCAAATCACAAATGAAACTGCATTCACAATTGCCACAAAAAATAAAATACCTAGGAATACACCTAACCAGGCAGGTGAAAGGCCTCTACAACAAGAATTACAAAACACTGCTCAAAGAAATCAGCAAAAACACAAGCAAATGGAAAAACATTACATACTTATGGACAGGAAGAATCAATATCACTAAAATGGCCATTCTGCCCAAGACAATTTACAGATTCAATGCTATTTCTATCAAATGACTGATGACATTCTTCACAGAACTAGAAAAACTATTAATATTTTAAAATTCATATAGAACAAAAAAAGCCCAAATAGCAAAGGCAATCCTAAGCAAAAATAAGAAAACTGGAGGCATCATGTTACCCAACTTCAAAGTATACTACAGGGTACTGGTAACCAAACAGCATGGTACTTGTACAAAAATAGACACATAGACCAAAGGAAGTGAACAGAGAACCCAGAAATAATGCTGCACACCTATGACCATCTGATCTTCGACAAACCTTACAAAAATAAGCAATAGAGAAAGCATTTCCCATTTAATAAATGGTACTGGGATAAATGGCTAGGTATATATGCAGAGATTGAAACTGGACCTCTTTCTTTTGCATCCAAAAAATAACAAATGTATACTTTAATTTCTAAAATAGGTGTCTTGACATGTGCACAACTGTATTTTCCTAGTGCAAACTTTCCCATTGATTATTATAATTTTTAAAAATTATACTTTAAGTACTAGGGTACATGTGCACAATGTGCAGGTTACATAGATATATGTTTCATGTTGGTGTGCTGCACCCATCAACTCGTCATTTACATTAGGTATTTATCCTAATGCTATCCCTCCCCCAGCCACACACCCCACAACAGGCCCCAGTGTGTGATGTTCCCCGCCCTGTGTCCATGTGCTCTCATTGTTCAACTCCCACTTATGAGTGAGAACATGTGGTGTTTGGTTTTCTGTCCTTGTGATAGTTTGCTGAGAATGATGGTTTGCAGCTTCATCCATGTCTCTGCAAAGGACATGAACTCATCCTTTTTTATGGCTGCATAGTATTCCGTGGTGTATATGTGCCACATTTTCTTAATCCAGTCTATCATTGATCAGCATGTGGGCTGGTTCCAAGTCTTTGCTATTGTGAAGAGTGCTGCAATAAACATACATGTGTCTTTATAACAGCATGATTTATAATCCTTTGGGTATATACCCAGTAATGGAATGGCCGGGTCAAATGGTATTTCTAGTTCTAGATCCTTGAGGAATCGCCACACTGTCTTCCACATCAGTTGAACTAATTTACACTCCCACCAACAGTGTAAAACTATTCCTATTTCTCCACATCCTCTCCAGCACCTATTGTTTCCTGACTTTTTAATGATCGCCATTCTAACTGGTGTGAGATGGTATCTCATTGTGGTTTTGATATGCATTTCTCTGATGACCAGTGATGATGAGCATTTTTTCATATGTCTGTGGGCTGCATAAACGTTTTCTTTTGAGAAGTGTCCATTCATATCCTTTGCCCATTTTTTGATGGGGTTGTTTTTCTCTTGTAAATGTGAGTTCTTTGTAGATTCTGGATATTAGCCCTTTGTCAGATGGATAGGTTGCAAAAATTTTCTCCTATTCTGTAGGTTGCCTGTTCACTCTGATGGTAGTTTCTTTTGCTGTGGAGAAGCTGTTTAGTTTAATTAGATCCCATTTGTCAATTTTGGCTTTTGTTGCCATTGCTTTTGGTGTTTTAGTCATGAAGTCTTTGCCCATGCCTATGTCCTGAATGGTATTGCCTAGGTTTTCTTCTAGGGTTTTTCTGGTTTTAAGTCTTACATTTAAGTCTTTAACCTATCTTGACTTAATTTTCATATAAGCTGTAAGGAAGGGATCCAGTTTCAGCTTTCTACATGTGGCTAGCCAGTTTTCCCAGCACCATTTATTAAATAGGGAATCCTTTCCCCAGTGCTTGTTTTTGTCAGGTTTGTCAAAGATCAGATGGCTGTAGATGTGTGGTGGTATTTCTGAGGCCTCTGTTCTGTTCCATTGGTCTATATCTCTGTTTTGGTGCCAGTACCATGCTGTTTTTGTTACTGTAGCCTTGTAGTATAGTTTGAAGTCAGATAGTGTGATGCCCTGGCTTTGTTCTTTTTGCATAGGATTGTCTTGGCTATGTGGGCTCTTTTTTGGTTCCATATGAACTTTAAAATAGATTTTTCCAATTCTGTGAACAAAGTCATTGGTAGCTTGATAGGGATGACATTGAATGTATAAATTACCTTGGGCAGTATGGCCATTTTCATGATACTGATTCTTCCCATCCAGGAGCATGGAATGTTCTTCAATTTGTTTGTGTCCCCTTTTACTTCATAGAGCAGTGGTTTGTAGTTCTCCTTCAAAAGGTCCTTCACATCCCTTATAAGATGGATTCCTAGGTATTTTATTCTTTTTGTAGTAATTGTGAATGCGAGTTCACTCACGATTTGGCTCTCTGTTTGTCTGTTATTGGTGTATAAGAATGCTTGTGATTTTTGCACATTGATTTTGTATCCTGAGACTTTGCTCAAGTTGCTTATTAGCTTAAGGAGATTTGGGGCTGAGACAATGGGGTTTTCTAAATATACAATCATATTATCTGCAAACGGAGACAATTTGATTTCCTTTTTTCCTAACTGAGTACCCTTTATTTCTTTCTCTTGCCTGATTGCCCTGGCCAGAACTTCCAACGCTATGTTGAATAGGAGTGGTGAGAGAGGGCATCCTTGCCTTGTGTCAGTTTTCAAAGGGAATGCTTCCAGTTTTTGCCCATTCAGTATGGTACTGGCTGTGGGTTTGTCATAATAGCTCTTATTATTTTGAGATATGTTGCATCAATACCTAGTTTATTGGCAGTTTTTAGTATGAAGGGCTGTTGAATTTTGTAGAAGGCCTTTTCTGCATCTATTGAGATAATCATGTGGTTTTTTTCCTTGGTTCTGCCTATGTGATGGATTACATTTATTGATTTGTGTATGTTGAACCAGCCTTGCATCCCAGGGATGAAGCCAACTTGATCATGGTGGATAAGCTTTTTGATGTGCTGCTGGATTCCTTTTGCCAGTATTTTATTGAGCATTTTTGCATTGATGTTCATCAGGGATAATGGCCTAAAATTCTCTTTTTTGTTTTGTTTCTGCCAGGCTTTGGTATCAGGATGATGCTGGCCTCATAAAATGAGTTAGGAAGGATTCTCTCTTTTTCTGTTGTTTGGAATAGTTTCAGAAAGAATGGTACCAGCTTCTCTTTGTACCTCTGGTAGATTTCGGCTGTGAATCCATCTGGTCCTGGAATTTTTTTTATTTGTAGGCTATTAATTATTGCCTCAATTTCAGAACCTGTTATTGGTCTATTCAGAGATTCAACTTCTTCCTGGTTTAGTCTTGGGAGGGTATATGTGTGCAGGAATTTATCCATTTCTTCTAGATTTTCTAGTTTATTTGCAAAGAAATGTTTATAGTATTCTCTGACGGCAGTTTGTATTTCTGTGGGGTCAGTGGTGATATCCCCTTTATCATTTTTTATTGCATCTATTTGATTCTTCTCTCATTTCTTCTTTGTTAGTCTTGGTAGCAGTCTATTTTGTTGATCTTTTCAAAAAACCAGATTCATTGATTTTTTTGAAGGGTTTTTCATGTCTCTTCAGTTCTGCTCTGATCTTAGTTGGTTCTTGCCTTCTGCTAGCTTTTGAATTTGTTTTCTCTTGCTTCTCTAGTTCCTTTAATTGTGATGTTAGGGTGTCAATTTTAGATCTTTCCTGCTTTCTCTTGTGGGCATTTAGTGCTATAAATATCCCTCTACACACTGCTTTAAATGTGTCCCAGAGATTCTGGTATGTTGTGTCTTTGTTCTCACGGGTTTCAAAGAACATCTTTATTTCTGCCTTCATTTCATTATTTACCCAGTAGTCATTCAGGAGCAGGTTGTTCTGTTTGCATGTACTTGAACGGTTTTGAGTGAGTTTCTTAATCCTGCGTTCTAATTTGATTGCACTGTGGTCTGAGAGACAGTTTGTTGTGATTTCTGTTCTTTTGCATTTGCTGAGGAGTGCTTTACTTCTAACTATGTGGTCAATTTTAGAATAAGTGCGATGTGGTGCTGAGATGAATGTATATTCTGTTGATTTGGGATGGAGAGTTCTGTAGATGTTTATTAGGTCTGCTTGGTACAGAGCTGAGTTCAAGTCCTGGATATCCTTGTTAACCTTCTGTCTTGTTGATCTGTCTAATATTGACAGTGGGGTGTTAAAGTCTCCCATTATTATTGTGTGGGAGTCTAAGTCTCTTTGTAGGTCTCTAAGGACTTGCTTTATGAATCTGGGTGCTCCTGTATTGGATACATATATATTTAGGATAGTTCACTCTTCTTGTTGAATTGATCCCTTTACCATAATGTAATGGCCTCCTTTGTCTCTTTTGATCTTTGTTGGTTTAAAGTCTGTTTTATCAGAGACTAGGATTGCAACCCCTGCTTTATTTGCTTTCCATTTGCTTGGTTGATCTTCCTCATTCCCTTTATTTTGAGCCTATGTGTGTCTTTGCACATGAGATGGGTCTCCGGAATACAGCACTCTGATGGGTCTTGACTCTTTATCCAATTTGCCAGTATATGTCTTTTAATTGGGGGCATTTAGCCCATTTACATTTAAGGTTAATATTGTTATGTGTGAATTTGATCTTGTCATTATGATGTTAGCTGGTTATTTTGCCCATTAATTGATCCAGTTTCTTCATAGTGTCAATGGTCTTCACAATTTGGTATGTTTTTGCAGTGTCTGGTACTGGTTGTTCATTTCCACGTTTAGTGCTTCCTTCAGGAGCTCTTGTAAGGCAGGTCTGGTGCTGACAAAATCTCTCAGTATTTGCTTGTCTGTAAAGGATTTTATTTCTCCTTCACTATGAAGCTTAGTTTGGCTGGATATGAAATTCTGGGTTGAAAATTCTTTCTTTCAGAATGTTGAATATTGGCCCCCACTCTCTTCTGGCTTGTAGAGTTTCTTCAGAGAGATCTGCTGTTAGTCTGATGGGCTTCCCTTTGTGGGTAACCCGACCTTTCTCTCTGGCTGCCCTTAACATTTTTTCCTTCATTTCAACCTTGGTGAATCTGACAATTGTGTGCCTTCAGGTTGCTCTACTCAAGAAATATCTTTCTGGTGTTCTCTGTATTTCCTAAACTTGAATGTTGGCTTGTCTTGCTAGGTTGGGGAATTTCTCCTGGATAATACCCTGAAGAGTGTTTTCTAATTTGGATCCATTCTCCCCATCACTTTCAGGAAGACCAATCAAACATAGATTTGGTCTTTTCATATAGTCCCATATTTCTTGGAGGCTTTGTTCATTTCTTTTCACTCCTTTTTCTCTAATCTTGTCTTGTCACTTTATTTCATTAATTTGATCTTCAATTACTGATATCCTTTCTTCTACTTGATCGAGTCAGCTACTGAAGCTTGTGCATGCGTCACGAAGTTCTTGTGCTGTGGTTTTCAGCTCCAGCAGGTCATTTAAGGTCTTCTCCACATTGTTTATTCTAGTTAGCCATTTGTCTAACCTTTTTTCAAGGTTTTTAACTTCCTTGCTATAGGTTGGAACATGCTCCTTTAGCTTGGAGAAGTTTGTTATTACCAACCTTCTGAAGCCTACTTCTGTCAACTCATCAATCTCATTCTCTATCCAGTTTTGTTCCTTTGCTGACCAGTAGCTGTGATCCTTTGGAGGAGAAGAGGCACTCTGGTTTTTGGAATTTTCAGCTTTTCTGCTCTGGTTTCTCCCCATCTTTGTGGTTTCATCTACCTTTGGTCTTTGATGATGGTGACCTACAGATGGGGTTTTGGTGTAGATGTGCTTTTTGTTGATGCTGATGCTATTCCTTTCTGTTTGTTAGTTTTCCTTCTAACAGTCGGGCCCCTCAGCTGCAGGTCTGTTGGAGTTAGCTGGAGGTCCACTCCAGACCCTGTTTGCCTGGGTGTCACCAGCAGAGGATGCAGAACAGCAAATATTTCTGCCTGGTCCTTCCTCTGGAAGCTTCATCCCAGAGGGGCACCTGCCTGTGTGAGGTGTCTGTCAGCCTCTACTGGGAGGTGTCTCCCAGTCAGGCTACATGGGGGTCAGGGATCTACTTGAGGAGGCAGTCTGTCCATTCTCAGAGCTCAAATCCCATGCTGGGAGAACCACTGCTCTCTTCAGAGCTGTCAGACAGGGACGTTTAGGTCTGCCGAAGCTGTCTGCTGCCTTTTGTTCTGATATGCCCTGCCCACAGAGATGGAGTCTACAGCAAGGCAGTAGGTCTTGCTGAGCTGTGGTGGGCTCCACCCAGTTTGAGCTTCCTGGCCTCTTTGTTTACACTGTGAGCACAAAACCGCCTACTCAAGCCTCAGCAATGGTGGATGCCCCTCCCCCCGCCAAGCAGCAGCATTGCAGGTTGATGTCATACTGCTGCGCTAGCAGTGAGCAAGGCACCGTGGGGCTGGGACCCACCGAGCCAGGCACAGGAGGGAATTTCCTGGTCTGCCGGTTGTGAAGACTGTGGGAAAAGCATAGTATTTGGACAGGAGTGTACCATTCCTCCAGGTACAGACTGTCACAGCTTCCCTTGGCTAGGAAAGGGTAATACCCTGACCCCTTGCACTTCCTGGGTGAGGTGACACACTGCCCTGCTTCAGCTCGCCCTCCATGGGCTGCACCCACTGTCCAACCAGTCCCAATGAGATGAACCAGGTACCTCAGTTGGAAATGCAGAAATCACCCTTCTTCTGTGTTGATCTCGCTGGGAACTGCAGACCAGAGCTGTTGCTATATGGCCATCTTGGAACTCTGAAATGGACCTCTTTCTTACACCACATACAAAAATAAACTCAAGATGGATTAAAGACTTAAATGTAAAACCTAAAACTATAAAAACCCAGGAAGATAACCTAGGAAATACCATTCTGAATATAGGACTTGGCAAAGATTTCATGACAAAGATGCTGAAAGAAATTATAACAAAAACAAAAATTGATGAATGGGTTCTAATTAACCTAAAGAGATTCTTCACTGCAAAAGAAACTATGAATTGAGTAAAGAAACAACCTATAGAATGGGAGAAAATGTTTGCAAACTATGCAAACAGGTGATGGCATCTTAGACTCAACAAAATACACAAGCATGTGTAAATCCATTTTAATCCACAACCTGGGAGTAGGGAGTTAATATTGTACATGCCTCAATCAAGAATCTACCCTCTTGGAGCAATTCCTTAGTATTTGAAAGATCCTTTCAGAAGTCGACAACCTAGAACTATTCAACCAAGAGCTATTCAACTATTACACTCTGAATCAGAGAGTTTGTTTTGCTAGAAATAATTTTTTGTTAGTAAAATGAATGGTTTCAAGGTATCTGAATTGGCTAGAAATATTTTCCAGGCACCTGTGCTCAGGCATGGCCAGGGCACAAAAGTCTCACTAGCAGTCTAACACCAGGCCTATGATGACATTAAGTCTTTGGATTCCACAGAATTGCTAAGAATTCTGCTGCGTGCTTTAACTTTCAAAGAGGCTACGGACAGAGAGTGGAAACTTCGCTGGGCTCCCAAGACAGGTTTTCTGCTTCCTTATTAAACAAAGCTTTTTGGCAATGAGGTGGGCAGAATTCATTCTAAGACTTGCTTTCTTTGTCAACACTTGGTAATAAGGTGATGGAGGATGAGAAGGAAAGCCCTCACCTACCTCTGCTCTTGGGAGGCAATCTATATCTCCCAAAATCACTGGACAAGTGTGAAGGCCAAACTGACCCATCTGCAGCTGGAAGCCTGCCCAGTTCCTGACCTCCGGTCACCACCGTCACCAAAGTCACTTCTATTAGCCACCCAGGGTACAACTGATTCAAGAACTGTAACTCAAGTCATGAACCTCTGCAATCATGAAAACCTCTCTTCTTCGCACAAATATATGAATAAAATGACATTGGCACAAGTTCAGCTTGTAGAAATTCATTTAATGTTGCCTCAGGTAATTAGTTTATTTGGTCTGTCAAAGTGACCCAAAGCTTATCCATTTGGAGTCTCTGTTATGAACAGACATATAGTAGTTGCTAAGCAACATCATGCATTGTTGTTTCCTCATCCAATTTAAAATTTTCAATTCACAGTAAAGGTCTTCAGAGAAAAGTTATTGTGCAGGGTGGGCCAAATACCATTTTTCACTGTAGCCCATTCAATTTAGAAAAGAAATTACAGCGTACCATTTAATCAACATAAAATGATTTGTACAGAACATTTAACATCTTCTTGAAATGCAGCTGTCTTCTTTTACTAATCAGATCTACTTAATTTATTTTAAACTTTCCCAAGGAGATTTTTTCTCCTTCAATCCTTGACCCTTCCTCCATTCCCTCAACTTTCAAGCCAATTTGCAGATACCCGTTAGCATGGGAACTGGGAGACGTGGGAAGGAAGATTTGGAAATATAAGATATACTCTTCTTATCTTGTAGTTTAGTCATGGGAAAGGAGTCTCAAGTAGTTGAGTCATTCTAATGAGTCACTTACATGAAATTCCAACTTTATTATAAAGAAGACTTATTTAACATAGTAGTTTCTGGCCAGGCATGATGGCTCCTGCCTGTAATCTTAGCACTTTGGGAGGTCAACTGGAGGATTGCTTGAACCCGGGAGTTCAAGACCAGCCTGGGCAACATAGGGAGACCCTGTCTCTACAAATATATTTTTTTAATTAGCTGGGCATGGTGGCAGGCTCTAGTGGTCCCAGCTACTTGGGAGGCTGAGGTGGGAGGATTGCCTTAGTCCAGGAGATCGAAGCTGCAGTGACCTATGATTGCACCACGGCACTCCAGCTTGGGTGACAGAGTGAGATTCCATCTCAAAAAAACAAACAAACAAACAAAAATAGTAGTTTTCTGATATGAATGCTGCAAAATTAATCAATTGTTTGCTCTAATAATACCTGGTATTACCTTCAAGTATCTTGAAAAAGTGTCTCTGAGGTTCCCTCCCAAAGGATAGAATGTCACATTTTTTCATTTCGCCAGTAATATTTCTTGGCATTAAGATTAACTTTTTGGCAAAACTCCTTGGCAAGGAAATACGTTTTCACAAAATACACAAAGCCATTTCTGCATAGTGACCCTCTCATTGCATGTTGAGTGTATTGAAACATCAAGTGAATCAAAATGGATTAAAATACACTCTTGATTATCACAATTTCTTGGAATGTGGAACAATCTAGAATTGAAACCTTGCAAATTTAGGCTAATGGAAGAAAAGAACTATGAACATGAATAAATGGACAAAATAAGTGGAATATTTTAAAGGAAATATAATTTTGTTACCATAACAATATGGAGAAAATCTGATTATCTCAGCAGTAAAATAGCTCCTAGGACAAGATTGATTTTTATTGGCTTAAAACATTATTAAGTTTCTTGGTTTGTGTGTATATGGTGGGAGGATATTCCCCAGGTAATATGTTTAAATTACAATAGAAGAGGGAACCAATAAGTTACTGGGGGTTGGGGGGAGGTCAGTTTATTCTTGACTTTAGGATTTGTTTTCATTATAGAGGCTTTCATTTTAGGGGACAGAGTATGGGAACAGGTAGACACATGAGAAAAGAAACTTTAGAGAAACAGTCCAGGGATTTAACTGAGGGGGTTTACTAAAGTTTGCTGTAGGTATGGCCCCACACTCTCCTCCCTAGTGATGCAGCTGAGCATGCTGTTTAAGGAACCAAAAATACCTGGGTTCAATTCTCAGCTGTGCTGTCATAAACCTATGATCTTGGACTAATCACATATACCTTTCTGTACCTCAACATTCCCATTTGTAAAATAGGAATGAGGATGGTAATACCTCAAAATGTAGTTATGCAGATTAATGGGTTAATCCACAACAGATCCAGCTTCCTGGGCTTATGATCTCTGCAGTCCCACAGGGCCTCGTGCTTAGTATGGTCTCCTTCTTGGTTTAATGCTCTGCTGTCATCTTGAAATTCCTAATCAGTTTAGAACAAGCAAGAAAACTTTGACCTGGGCCCCACAAATTCTGTAGCATGCCCCTAGATACATAAAATATTCAGAACAAATCCTGGCCCATCATCAGTGCCAGATGTTGTCTTTATTCTCCTTCTCCCACCAGAATTTTTGTTTTACTTCCCAGTATTCAGATCTAATAGTGATGCTAAAATTTAGGGGGTAAAAGGAGAGCAGGAGGTTGATAGAGGAGCCAGTCTGCTGCACAAAGTACTCACTTCTGCAGTATCCCACCAATGAATGAGGCAGGATAAAAACAGGGGCTACCCAAGGGGATCCAGAAAATCTGGGTTATTTTACTTGCAAGTTTGGATAGAAACTACATAGGCTGGTAAAACATGCATTGATGGAGAAGTCTTCATGAATCAAATTTAGTGAGTAGCTAATAGTATGTCAGCTATTATTTAAATCAATTATTTACATGTAAACAAGTACTTTAAAAGTACAAGACAACATCTGGTTCCAAAATGGCAGCATAGAAACAAGCTGGCTTCACTTCTCCACACCCCGACAGAAAACCAAAAACCAAATGTATAGCATCAAGATTATCACCAACAATATTCCAGAACTCAAATGCAAGGAGACAGTTCCTGGGGTCACAGAGAAGTGAATAAACTCCAAGAAGACAGTAAGAGAATCAGACTTTCAGCCTCTTGCCGCAGTTTATCCAGCACCAAATGTGTGGAATAATTCCCCACAACTCAGAGTTTCTACACTGGAAAAAGTGAAATCAAGGTAGAAAACCACCTTCCGCACCATCTTGGGTTCCCTGGGAGGAGACTTGTCCCTGCCCCAACCCACAGAAGCACTGGAGTATCTGAAAGGAGAAATGTCCCTGAGGACAGCCAGAGACAAATGGGGGAGCCCTGAAAACTCTGCTCTGTAGATAGGCCAAATCAGAATGGCTGTTGAGCAGCACCACAACGTAGGGGATTTGTTCTATGAGTCCCTCAGGCAGGAACCCCTACCCAACCTTCCCATGCTGCCAGAATATCTGAGACCTCCCCCACCTAAGATGGGTGGAACTCTGATTCTTTTCTAGGACTGAGGCAAACCTGGGCTTAACCACCATCTAGTGTTGAAAATGAGGCAGTAACATAGTGGGGGTGGTGGGAGAGAGAAAATCTGCAGGAAAATTAAAAAGAAACTCTAAACACATCCAACAAAAAAATAGTACAAGCCAGACAAAGAAGATTAGAATGAATAACTATTCAATCCAAAGGCACAGATGTACATCCAAAAGGAGCAAGAGAAAAAGAGAACCATGACTTCCCCAAAAGGACAAAGCAAGGTACAAGTGACTGACCCTAACAAGACAATGAAACATAAGCTTTCTGACCAAAAATTCAAAATAGCACTTTTAAAGAAATTTGGTGATCTCTAAGATAACACAGAAAGGCAGTTCAGAAGTCTATCAGAGAAATTTAACAATGAGATTAAAATAATTTTTTAAAAATCAAACAAATCTTGGAACTGAGAGACACATTGGCTGAAATGAACAATTTATTAAAGTCTCTCAACAGCAGGATTCGTCAAGGAAAAGAAAGAATCAATGAACTTAAAGACAGGCTATTTGAAAATATATAGAGAAGAAATTTAAAAAAAAGAATGAAAAGAAACAAAGATCACCTAAACATATAGAACATTACCTCAAAAGACCAAATCTAAAAATTATTGGTATTCAAGAGCAAGTTGAGTAGGATCCAAAGGTAGAAAGTTTACTCAAAGAAATAATAACAAGAAACTTTCCAAAACTTGAAAAAGAGATACATATGAGGCACAGAAAGGTCAGAGAACATCAAACAGATTTGACCCAAGTGAAACTACCCTAAGGCATATAATAAACAAACTCTCAAAGGTCAAGGACATATAGAAGATCTCAAAAGCAGCAAGATAAAAAGCAAATAACCTAAAGAAACTCCAATGCATCTAGCAACAGACTTCACAACAGAAACCAAACAGGCCACAAGGGACTCGGATGACATTTTCAAAGTGATATTAAAAAAAAAAAATAAGAACACTATCATCTGAGAATACCATATCCAGCAAAGCTATACTTCAAATATGAAGGAGATGGAAAGTCTTTTCCAGACAAACAAAAGCTGAGAGAATTCACTACCACCAGAACCATTTTACAAGAAACACTAAAGGGATTTCTGCAATTGGAGAGAAAAAAAAAAACCCACTAACATGCAGAAAGAAAACATTTGAAGGTATAAAACCCACTGGTATTAAGTACATGGACAAACCCAGACTAATGCAATACTGTAATTGTGGTGTGTAACCCACTCATATTCTAGTATGAAGACAAAAAGACAAACCTATCAAAAATAGTGATAGCAACAGCAATGTGTTAAGAGATAGGTAATATAAAAATATGTAAATTAAGTCAAAATATAGGGGTGGGATGGAGTTAAAGTGTAGAGTTTATTTTTCTCATTGTTTGTTTATTTCTATTATTTTCTTTGTGATCTAAGTAAAGTTACCAACTTTTTAAAATAACTTGTTTTATCTATAAGATGTTTTTGTAAGCCTCATGGTAACCACAATGCAAAAACCTATGGTATATTCACTAAAAATGAAAAGCAATGAATTAAAACATACTTTCGGAGAAAAATCACATAACTACAAATGAAAACAGTAAGAAAGGAAGAGAGAAGTTACAAAACAACCAGAAAACAAGCAATAAAATTGCATTACTAAGTCTTCACTTATGAATAATAACACTAAATATTAATGGACTCAATTCTCCAATTAAAAGACACAAAGTGGCAGAATGGATAAAGAAACAAGACCCAACTATATGTTACCTACAATAAACACATTTTACCTATTAAGACACACAAACACTGAAGGGGAAAGGATGAAAAACATATTCCATGTAAGTGGAAACAAAAAAATAGCAGGAGTAGCTATACTTAGATAAAATAGACTACAAATCAAACGTAAAAAGAGACAAGGTCATTATATAATGAAAGACGTCAGTTCAGTAAGAGGATATAACAACTTTAAATATTTCTGCATCCAACACCAAAGCACTCAAGTATATAAAGCACATATTAATATCTAAAGGGAGAGAGAAACTGCAATACAATAATAGTAGGGGACGTTAACATCCCACTCTCAGTAACGGGCAGATCATCCACACACAGAAAGTGAACAAAGAAATATTGGAGTTAAACCACACACTAAACCAAATAGGCCTAACTGACATTTACAGAACATTTTACCCACCTACAGCAGAATACACATACTTTTCATTAGCACATGACACATTCTTCAAAATAGACCATATCTTAGGCCATAAAACAAGTCTCAACAAATTCAAGCATGGGAAGATGGGCGGGGGGTGAGGGATGAGAAATTACTTAAAGGATGCAATGTGTAATATTTGGGCAATGGCTATTCTAAAAGCCCAGAATTCATCACTATGCAATATACCCATGTCACAAAATGACCCTTGTACCCCCTAAACCTATAGAAAGAAAATTTTTTGAAAAAAAATCAAGAAAGTAGAAATCACATTAAGTATCTTTTCTGGGGACAATGGAATAAAACTAGAAATCAATAACAAGAGGAACATTGGAAACTACACAAATGCATAGAAACACATAGAAATTCAACAACATGATCATGAACAACAAATAGGTAAATGAAGAAATTAAGAAGGAAATTTTAAAATTTGTATGAAACAAATGTAAATACATTTGTGTTGAAACAAATGCAAATGGAAATACAACATACCAAATTCTACAGGATACAGAAAAAGTGGTACTAAGAGGGAAGTTTATAGCAGTAAACACCTATATCAAAAGGCAGACAGACTTCAAATGGATAACTTAATAAGGTACCTCAAGGAACTTGAAAAACAAAAAGCAAACCAAATCCAAAATTAGAAAAAAATGAAATAACAAGAATCGGAGCAAAAATAAATGAAATTAAGACTAAAAAAAATACAGATCAACAAAATGAAAAGTTGATTTTTTAAAAGATAAATGAAATTAAAGCTTTTGCTAGACTAAAAAAAAGAGAGAAAACCCAAATAAATAAAATCAGAAAAAGATGTAACAAATGAGACCACAGAAATACAAAGAATCATTAGAAACTATTATGAAAAACTATACACCAAAAAAATTGAAAAACCTAGAAGAAATGGACAAATTTTTGAACACATATAAGCAACAAGATAGAACCATGAAGAAACAGAAAACAATTAGACTATTATTTACTATAGTCAACCTGTTGTGCCATCAAATAGTAGGTCTTATTCATTCTTTCCAACTTTTTTTTACACATCCCACCTCACCTCACCCCCATTCCCCAACTAACCTTCCCAGCCTCTGGCAAACATCCTTCTACTCTCTATGTCCATGAGTTTAATTGCTTTGATTTTTAGGTCCCATAAATAATTGAGAACATGTGATGTTTGTCTTTCTATGCCTGGCTTATTTCACTTAACATAACGATCTCTGGTTCCATCCATATTGTTGCAAATGACTGAATCTCATTCTTTTTTATGGCTGAATAGTACTCCATTGTGTATATGTAACAAATTTTCTTTATTCATTCATCTGTTGATGGACACTTACGTTGCTTCCAAATCTTAGCTATTGTGAACAGTCCTGCAATAAACATAGGAGTGCAGATGTATCTTTGATATACTGATTTCCTCTCCTTTGGATATAAACCCAGCAGTGGGATTGCTGGGGCCATATGGTAGCTTTATTTTAGTTTTTTGAGGAACCTCCAAACTGTTCTCCATAATAGTTGTACTAATTAATATTCCCACCAACAGTGTACAAGGATTCCCTTTTTCCACATCCTCATCAATATTTATTGTCTTTTGAACATGAACCATTTTAACTGGGATGAGATGGTATCTCATTGTAACTTTGGTTTGCATTTCTCTGATGATCAATGATGTTGCGCACCTTTTCATATGCCCGTTTTCCATTTGTATGTCTTATTTTGAAAAATGTCTATTCAAATCTTTTGCCCATTTTTTTGATCAGATTGTTAGGTTTTTTTTCTTACAGAGTTGTTAGAGCGCCATATATATTCTGGTTATTAATACCTTGTCAGAAGTGGGGGTAGTTTGCAAATATTTTCTCCCATTCTCTGGGTTTTCTCTTCACTTTGTTGATTGTTTATTTTGCTGTGCAGAAGCTTTTTAACTTAATGTGATCCCATTTGTCCATGTTTGCTTTAGTTGCCTGTGCTTGTAGGGTATTACTCAAAAAATTTTTACCCAGAATGGTATCCTGGAGATTTTCCCCAGTGTTTTTTTGTAGTAGTTTTATAGATTGATGTCTTGGATTTAAGTTTTTAATCCACTTTGATTTTTGTATATGGCAAGAGATGGAGTCTAGTTTCATTCTTCTGTATGTGGATATCTAGTTTTCCCAGAACCATTTATTTAAGAGACTGTCTTTCTCCAGTGTATGTTCTTATATAACGGTTGTCGACAATGAGTTCACTGCACATGTGTGCATTTATTTCTGGGTTCTCTACTCTGTTCCATTGGTCTCTGTGTCTGTGTTTATGCCAATGCCATGCTGTTTTGGCTACTATAGCTCTGTAATATAATGTGAGGTCAGATAATGTGATTCTTCCGGTTTTGTTCTTTTTGCTTAGGATAGCTTTGGTGATTCTGGGTCTTTTATGGTTCCATATAAATTTTAAAATTTTTATTTGTGTGAATAATGTCATTGATATTTTGATAGGGATTGCATTAAATCTGTAAATTGCTTTGGGGAATATGGACATTTTAACAATATTGATTTTTCCAATCCATGAACATGTAATATTTTTCCATTTTTGGGTATTCTCTTCAATTTCTTTCAAAAGTATTTTATAGTTTTTATTACAGAGTTTTTTTTACTTCTGTGGTTAATTCCTAGGTATTTAATTATGTTTGTGGCTATTGTAAATGAGATTACTTTTTTGTTTCTTTTTCAGATTATTCACTATTGGCACATAGAAATGCTACTGACTTTTTTTTGTATGTTGATTTTGTATCCTGCAACTTTGCTGAATTTGTTTATCAGTTCTAATAGTTTTTTGGTGGAGTCCTTAGTTTCTTCCAAATATAAGATTATATCACCTGCAAACAAGGATAATTTGACTTCTTCCTTTCCAATTTAGATGCCGTCTATTTCTTTCTCTTGTCTGATTGCTCTAGCTAGGACTTCTAGTACTACGTTGAATAACACTGGTGGAAATGGGCTTCCTTGTTGTGTACTAGATCTTAGAGGAAAGGCTTTCAGTTTTTCCTCATTCAGTATGATACTAACTGTCGGGTTGTTGTATATGGCCTTTGGTTATGTTGAGGTATGTTCCTTCTATACCCAGGTTTCTGAGTGTTTTTTACATGAAGAGATGTTGAATTTTACCAAATGCTTTTTCAGCATTAATTAAAATGATCATTTGTTTTTTGTCCTACATTCTATTGATATAATGTATCATGTTGATTTATTTCCATATGTTGAACCATCCTTGCATCCCAGGAACAAATCCTACTTGGTCATGATGAATGATCTTTTTAATGTGTTGTTGAATTTGGTTTGCTAGCATTTTGTTGAGGATTTCTGCATCAAAATTTATTAGAGATATTGACCTGTACTTTTCTTTTCTTGATTTGTCTTGTTTGAGCATCAGGGTAATACTGGCCTTGTAGAATTAGTTTGAAAGTATTCCCTCCGCCTCTATTTTTTGGAATACTTTGAGCAGGATTGGTATTAGTTCTTTAAATGTTTGGTAGAATTAAGCAGGGAAGCCCTGGGGTCCTGGGCTTTTCTTTACTGGGAGACATTTTATTCTGACTGCAGTCTCATGACTTGTTATTGAACTGTTCAGGTTTTGGATTTCTTCCTGGTTCAATCTTGGTAGATTGTATATATCTAGGAATTTGTCCATTTCTTCTAGATTTTCAAATTTATTGGCATATAGCTGCTCATAGTAGCCACTAATGATCCTTTGAATTTCTCTGGTATCAGTCATAATGTCTCCTTTTTCATCTCTGATTTATTTCAATCTTTTTTCTTAGTCCAGCTAAAAGTTTGTCAATTTTAACTTTTCAAAAATCCAACTTTTTGTTTCACTGATGTTTTGTATTGTTTCCTTCATTTTAAATTAATTTTATTTCTGCTCTGATCTTTATTATTTCTTCTACTAATTTTGGGTTTCGTTTCCTCTTGCTTTTCTAGTTCTTCCAGATGCATCCTTAGGTTATCTATCTGAAGTTTTTCTTCTTTTTTGATGTAGGCACTTATACTATGAACTTTCCTGTTAGTACCACTTTTGCCATATCCACATGTTCTGTTAGTCGTTGGATGAAATGTTCTGTAAATATTAATTAGATCCATTTGATCTATAATGCAGAGTAAGTCTGATGTTTCCTTATTGATTTTCTGTCTGGAAGATTTGTCAAATGCTGAAACTGGGGTGTTACAGTCTCCAGCTGTTATTGCATTGGGGGTCATCTCTTTCTTTATCTCTAATAATATTTTCTTTAAATATCTGGGTTCTCCCATGTTAGGTGCATATATGTTTAAAATTGTTATATCCTCTTGTTGAGTTGACCGCTTTATCATCCTATAGTGACCCTCTTTGTCTCTTCTTATGGTTTTTTGTCTTGAAACTTATTTTTTCTGATACAAGTATAGGTACTCCTGCTTTTTGATTTCCATTGACATTGAATATCTTTCTATCCCTTTATTTTTAGTCTGTCTTTATACATGAAGTGCATTTCTTGTAGACAACAAATCAAATGGGCTTGTTTTATCCATTTGGCCTTTGTATGTCTTTTTGGTTGGAGAGATTAGTTCATTTACATTCAGTGTTATTATTGATAAGTAAGGAGTTACTCTTGTTATTTTGTTATTTGTTTTCTGGTTGTTTTGTGGTCTTCTCTTCCTTTTTTTTCCTCCATCTTCCTTTTAGTGAAGGTGATTTTCTCTGATGGTATGATTTAGTTTCTTGCTTTTTATTTTTTGTGTATCCATTGTATTTTTTTTTTTTTTTTTTGGTTTGTGATTACCATGAGGCTTGCAAATTCTATCTAAAAACCCATTGTTTTAAGCTGATAACAACACTGTTGGCATAAACAAAAAGAAAACCAATAAAAGCTCTACACCTTAATTTTCTTCCCCTGCTTTTTAATTTTCTGTTGTTTCTATTTATATCTTATTGTACTGTCTGTCTTGAAAAGTTGTAGTTATTTTTGGTTGGTTCATCATTTAGTCTTTCTACTTGGGATAAGAGTAGTTTACACAACACAGTTACAGTGTTATAATATTCTGTGTCTTTCTGTGTATTTACTATTAGCAGTGAGTTGTGTGCCTTCATTCGGTGATTACTTACTGCTCATTAACATCCTTTTCTTGCCGACTGAAGTACTCCCTTTAGCACTTCTTGTAGGACAGATGAAACCCCTCAGCTTTTGCATGGAAAAGTATTTCTTTCTCCTTCATGTTTGAAGGATATTTTCACTGGACATACTATTCTAGGGTAAAAGGTTTTTTCCTTCTTCAGCACTTTAAATACTTCATGTCACTCTCTCCTGGCCTGTAAAAAGTCAGATGCTGGAAGTACTGGACCTCCACTGTATGCTATTTCTTTCTTTTTTTAATGCTGCTTTTAGGATCGTTTCTTTATCCTTGACCTTTGAGAATTTGATTATTAAATGCCTTGAGGTAGTCTTCTTTGGGTTAAGTCTGCTTAGTGTTCTATGACACCAAACCTTAGGTATCTAGGTTTGGGAAGTTCTCTGTTATTATTATTTTTTAATACACTTTCTACCCCTATCTCTTTCTCTACTCCTTCTTTAGGACCAATAACTCTTAGATTTGCCCTTTTGAAGCTATTTTCTAGATCCTGTAGGTGTGCTTTATATTTTTTTCCTTTTGTCTCTTCTGTGTATTTTCAAATAGTTCACTATTTGCAAATAATAGAATTAGTCTTTAAGCTCACTGATTCTTTCTTCTGCTTAGTCAATTCTGCTATTAAAGGACTCTGATATATTCTTCAACATGTCAACTGCATTTTTCAGCTCCAGAATTTCTGCTTGATTCTTTTTAATTATTTCAATCTCTTTGGTAAATGTATCTGATAATTTCTAAATTTCTTCTGTTATCTTGAATTTGAGTTTCCTCAAAACAGCTATTTTGAATTCTCTGTCTGAAAGGTCACATATCTTTGTTTCTCCAGGATTGTTCCCTGGTGATTTATTTAGTTTATTTGGTGAGGTCATGTTTTTCTGGGTTGCCTTGATACTTGATGTTCATCTGTGTCTGGGCATTAAAGAGTTAGGTATTAATTGTAATCGTCACAGTCTGGGCTTGTTTTCACCTGTCATTCTTGGTAAGACTTTTCAGATAGTCTAAAGGACTTGGGTGTTATGATCTAAGCTATATCTGCTTTAGGGGGTACCTCAAGCCCAGTAACACTGTGGTTCTTGCAGACCCATTGAGGTACCACCTTGATGGTCTTGAACAAGATCCGGTAGAATCTGCCTGGATTACCAGGCAAAGACTTGTTCTTTTCTCTTAGTTTCTCCCAAACAAACAGAGGCTTTCTCTCTGTTCTGAGCCACGTGAAGCTTGGCATAGAGTGACACTAGCACCCCTGTGGCCACCACCATTAGGACTGCACTGAGTTTTGCCCAAGACCTGTAACCACTCCCTGGCTACTGCCTAGGTTCTGCCAAGGCCCTGGGGCTCTGCAATCAGCAGGTGCCAAAGTCACCCAGGCCTGTGTCCTTCTTTTCAGGATGGCAAGTTCCCCTCAAGCTCCAGACAGGTCCAGAGGGGCTATCCAGGAGCCAGGGACCAGAGTCAAAAACCTTAGAAATCTATCAAGCGTTCTATTGTGCTGCAGCTGAGCTGGCACTCAAACCACAAGATGCAGTCCTTCCTACTCTTTCCTCCTCTTTCCAAAAGCAGAGGAGCCTTGCCCCACTGTGGTGGCCATTGCCACCCCTGGCAACAAGGAGTACTGCCAGACTACTGCCAATGTTCCCATAAGGCCCCAAGGCTCTTTAGTCAGCCCGTGGTGAATGCTGCCTAGCCTGGGACTCACCTTTCAGGGCACTGGGCTTCCCTCTGACCCAGAGCAGGTCCAGAAATGCCATCCAATAGTCAAGTCCTAGAATCAGGGAGTCCAAGAGCCTGCTTGCTGCTCTAAGCACCTGTGGCTGAGCTGGTACCTAAGGTGCAAGACAAAGTCCCCTTTACTTTTCCCTCTGCTTTTCTCAAGCAGAAGGAGTCTTGCCCTATAGCTCCCCCAACTGGTAATGTACTGAGTCTCACCTGAAGCCAGCAAGTCCAAGGCTCACCCAAGGCCCTCAACATAGTACCTGGGTATGGCTGTTGGTTATCCAGGGCCCAAAGGCTCTTCAGTTAGCAGGTGATGAATACTGCAAGGACTGAGTTCTTCTCTTCAAGGCAGTGGGTTCCCTCCTGGCCCAGAGTGTGTCTAGAAATGTTGTCCAGTAGCTAGGGCCTGGAAAAGGGGCCTCATGACTCTGCCTGGTACCCTATTCTGCTCTAGCTGAGCTGGTATCCAAGATGCAAGACAAAGTCCTCCCCACTCTTCCCTCTCCTCCCCTCAAGCAAAATGAAGGGGTCTCTTTTCGAGTGGGTGAGCTGTGCAGCCAGCAGTTAGGGGAGGGGTGATGCCAGCACTTCCTTAGCCACCCCAGCTGTTGTCTCAGTAGCTTATGTGTCCCCCCAGGCCACTGGCTCTGGGCCCAGGACTCACCTAGAAGTTGCAGTCCCTGTGGCCTACACTGCCTTTCAAGCTTATCTGGGGCCCCAGAGTATTTTAGCTCATGGTGGTGTGGCTTGCAAGAACCCAAGTTCTGACTGCTGGGATCAGTGATTCCTCTGTGGCTAGGGCTGGTTTAAATGTTCCATCAGTGGGCAGATGTCAGCTGAGTTTGTTCCGGTTTTCCTCTTTGCTGTAACAGGACAGCACTAAGTCCAATGCCTCACAATTGCTGCACCCTCCCTCCCCCAGTGCACAGAAATGCTTTCCACACCTCACCTCACTGCTAGATGGTGGGGGATGGGGGATGTCAGCAATTCAAGACTGTTTTTTCTGTCTCTTCAGTGCCTCTTTCAGCAATATGAAGTTAAAACAAGGTACTGTGAGTGCTTACCTGATTTTTGGTTCTTATGAGGTTTTTTTTTTTGTGCGTAGATAGTTGTTAAATTGTTGTCCTTGTGGGAGGGAATGATCCATGGAGTCTTCTATTCTGCTATATTATTCCACCCCTCTCCCCACTAAGTATTCTGAATATCAGGTGTATCCTATCATTCACAGGGAAAGAGAACCATGGAGGCCCACGTGCTTTTATGTCTAAATAGGTACACGTTATTCATGAATCAGGCAAACTCCTAAATAATCTTTTCTTATACTACTTTGGCAAATATAGCTTCAAATGACTCAGAAGGCCAAACTTCAAGTTTAAGGATTCTTTAAGCTCTCAAAATTGCTCATGTGCCAGCCTATGTATGACCACTCCCGCCTCTCATCCAAGCTTCAATCACTGCTTCTATCTATAAACAGCCAAACTTGAGCCACCCTCAGGGCTGGGGGACACATGCACCAGAGGTACAGGTACCCTCTACAGGACAAATCTGAGAAAGACATCTATACAGGGCTTGGAAGAAAATCTGTGTGGACAGGGAATACCAGGGCCTTGGATACCTAGAATGAGATCAAGAAAGTCAGGTAGGGGGTAAAGGTGAGAACCGCCTTTTTGTTCACAGACTGCTCACCTGGTGCAGAGGAGCATGGTTGGAATGGGGTTACAACAGGGGCTCTCTAAGTATAGGATGAACATCATCCCTGAAATCTTGGTTACCCTTTGAGTCTGTATTCTGAAGGGTCAACTTAAATTAAATTTTGCTTCATCTACATATTACTATACAGTTATAAATTCCAAATTATAGTTGGCTTTGTGTATACAGGCATCTAAATTTTCTAGACTCAAATTTATACCCCCAACTGTGCTCCCAATTACCCCCTCCAACTCCTACCCAGCCATCCTCCAATTCTTTCCAAATATTCCCAGCCAGCAATCTTCAATGCCACTCCTAACATGCTCGACAGCACTGTCTCCCTCAAACCCCTCAGTAAACATTTCAGATGAGCTGTTCATTTACTCTCTTTTCAGTGATGAGATCATGGCACATTTTCCAGGAACAAATGGGTTAATTTATATTGCTGTACTACTACCTAAAATGAAAATATTAGAAACCTATCTATTATAAATATGAAGGTCACGACAAAAAAGAGAGAGAGGGATGTCATCATAGCAAATGGAGCTCATGAGTATTCTAAATATAGCCTTAGTCAGGACTTGTACTAAGAGTCTAGGGACCTTTTAGAAAATCATTTTTCTCGTGTTGCTGCCCTTTGTATCTGACAAATATTGATTTCAGTTATGTTTTGAATAACAATGAAAACAGTGCCTTAGATAGAACTTTAGTCATAAACTATTTAACACCTTAGAAAGTTGAAAGAACTCTGGACTTACAGTTCTGAGGCTGGGTAGTATCTTTTTAGCAGCTGGATGTACCTCAGGCAAGCTCCTCAATCTCTCTTTCCTACATTGTAAAGAGTCATAGAATTTTGGAGTGGAAGACACCTTTCAGATAATCGAGTCTAATAAGCCAATTTTACACTTGAGAAAACTGAGGCTTGAAGTTATTACATAACAGTCTAACGTCACATAGGTCATTGGAGAAAGGTTGCAAGTTTCCACTAAAAATGGTTTGGATGCAGTCACTGATGGGGCTCTTTTAGTCTAAAAGTCATTGCTTTTTAATATCAGATCATTTCAGTAACATTTCTCAATTAGCACAAGCATAGTTCTCACTAAATACACTCTTTCTGTTAAAAAAATTGTTCTGTAAAAAAATCAGTTTTTTTTCATTAATTAGGAAATCAAGAGAATAATAGAAAGAACTAAGAGATAAACCAAGGAGGGAGCCTGAAGAATTGAGTTCTGGGTCCTGTTCTAGAACATTCCATCATGGACTTTGGATAGGTATTGTCAACTGACCTCAGTAATTTGTCATTGTACTTGAATGGGACCAGCAATGACAAAAGTCCTTGAGAGGCTGAGACGAAGACAATAAAAATCTTCCCTTGGAAAGAATCCTAGCATTTTTGTCAGAAGGAACAAAATAGAATGAGGTGGGTGTATATTTTGATGAAAAATAATCTGATCAATCATACACAGAAGGACCATAAACATGTGACACTATCTTAGTACACATTTCCAGGACACACACACCAAAGGAGAATGCCCGTAACCGGTGTGCTGACATTTTAAAGTAGGAAAACAGCTTTAATTAACACTCTTTGCTAAGCCCTTCTAAAAAGCCAACCTTTCCAAAATAAATCTTTAGTAATACACTGTTAATAGTTTTTAGAATTTCTGAGTGTTAAAATTTCAAAAGTGTTTATAAGGAGAGGTATGGCCATCAGGTACTATCTGGAGAATATATTTAATTAAGAATGGCTAATAATATTAAGGCCATGACTGAGCTGTCTGTAACACCAGGTATCAGGGTGAAAACTGATCCTTGTTATGTTAGCATGAAATGTAGGTAATAGAGCAAGAAATGTCTATAATCGGGACTGTTAGCCACAGAGCCCAAAATGGTCATGGTTAACTGGCCTGTCTCGAGCGCGGTCTTTCTGCCGGAAGCACTCAGCATCCTGCCTTTAGCCTGGCCCTGGCTGACACACTCCTCCTCATCCCCGTGGGCCCACTGAAAGCCTGCCCTTGCTGGGCAACCTGCCAGGACTGCATCCTTCTATTGACTCCTTCTCACACTGGCCTGTAGTGGCCCGTTTGCTTGTGTGCATTTCCCATTTGACTGAGGTAGGCCCTCCTACGGCAAGGGCTGTGTCTTGTTTACCATTTTATCCCCAGGGTGCAGCAGAGGACTCCATATAGCAAGAGGTCAAGAAACATTTGTTGGATGAGTACATGGTATGATGACCATCCTGGTTGTAAGAATGAGGATGCATTCCCCTCTTTTTTCCTATGAAAGGAATAGACCCTCACTTTAGCTAGTTTATTCAAGAGTTTTTATAAGGAGAAGGTTCCACAGGATTCTTCAGAAATGACAGCTTGTAACTAGAAAATGACCAAGAACTGGGAGAGCTTTGTCTTCCTCTCTTCTTTATCCCCCTTTCTCCCCTTGCATGCTCCATTCTCCTGCTCCTCACCACAGAGCAGCTTTCTTATTCTTGTCATCACAGTACACCTGGCTGCCTCAAGCTCAATTCCACATGACCTTCAGTTCTGTTGCTTAAAAGCACTGATGTAAAGCACGCAGATGTCCCAAGTCCACCAGGCTTAAAATCCAATGTACTCACTGCAGAAGGTAGGTAAAAGCCTACCACAGTGAAACATTTCTTTGTGTCTTCCCATCAAGGGGGAACCAGCCAAAACCCTTTGCCTCACATTTGCCTCCAGTCGCCTTCTAGACCAAGATGGCAAGCACCAAGACTCGGTTCCTTCTCTCACCTCAGCCCTGACCCCACCTGCAAAGAGCCACAGCCATATCTGTGCCTCTGTTCCATGCATCCTCTCCGCACCCTCACAGAAGAGAAGGATACAACACTATGGCATTATTTGGATGTTGCCTGATAGGGCAAAAAGAAGCCATCAAGGATGAGGAATATTTTGGTGGTCAGGCCACTAGTCTCTGATGCTGTGACATGTGTCCAGAAAGTGGTACTAATAGGAGACTCAGTCTCCTTATTCAAGCTTTCTGATTTGTGGTGTTAAGAACCAGAATCCTGGAACCACCCACTAGCTTCCCTCTGCAAATGGCCATCATGGCCCAAGAATAAGTCAAACCTGGAAGGATTGTGAGTCTCATTTCTTGCATTTTGAGGCTACAATGTCTGAAAGGTCCTCAGGCTTAGGGACCATGACTACTCACCACTGCAAGGAGCTATTATGATGGCCACTCTACAACACCTAGAGACTCCTACTAGCAGGTTTTGAAACCCATAGTCCAATGACAGCCTCTGTGTCATTCAATTACATTTATGAGAAAAAAAAAAAAAGGCTACCTAGGTACAACTTCTGCGGAGGTAAACTTCCAGAGAAGGTAGCATGGGCTTATTGATACTCCAAACATGTCTGTCAAACATGTACTTACATATCTAAAAGTAGATAGTTCCCTGGGCAAGAAGATCCTCTGGCAGACCACTGACATTGTGAAAGGTAGTACTTAGGGAAAGTTACCCTAAACACAGGCACCCAGGGAGAGTTCACTAAACACTAACTAGTACTGAAATGTTCAGTTCACTGAGGTTCTCTACACTAGTTCCTGGTAGAAGTAACTAACCATTACCAGTATCTCATTCATCTCTCATTTTGGCTAATGGAAGACTGCACAACTCGGCCCTTTGCATTTGGGAACTGGAGGGCCATCAGACTATTTTCTGGCCAATGGATTGATCTGAGGTAGCAAATAGCTCCAGTCTCTCTTCCCCTGCTGTGGCCACCTAGAGGTCCATGTGTTCCAGGTGGTGCAATCAAACGATGGTGAAGACACCATCAACCTGGGCCACAGATGACTGTCTAGGCACTATCATTCACCCGTCCTTGAATATGCAGTATATTGAGAATAAACTCTTATGTTAAGCCATTGAGATGTTGGGGTTATTTTTTAGTGCATGAAACCAAGCCTGTTCCCATTAAAACACTCAATCATCTCAATTAAGTTCCAGGTGAATCAAGCCCAGTCCTTAAGCCAACAAAAAAGGTTTGCAGGTCTTTGACCTTTGAGCCACCTTTCAGAATTAAGAGGACTTCTGGTTCTTCCAGAATTGGGAAAGAGAGAGTACCATGAACCATAAGATTATGAAACATAATTCTATAGGAGCTGAATATACAACAGCACTTGAGACTCTGCCAATTAATTTAGGACTGGAGAAACCAACCATGACTAATCAACCCAGAGCATGCCAGACCACAGCCACGAATGCTCATAAGAACGATCTTCACATTCAGATCAGTGGGCCATGCAACTCAATAATTTCTTTCAGACAATGACACAAAATTGCCTCCCCACTTTTCTGCCTTAAACTGAACACTGCTCTGACCTAATTTCCTACAATTTTGTTTCCAGTCACTTTTTTACCCTCAAACAACCTTATAATTGCGATAATGAGGCACATTAGAGCCCACAGAAGTTTTTAAGGGGAAATTAGATCAGTTCAGGGTATTGCCCTCCCAAATTAAGGTAATTATCTTGAAATTCAAATGCCACAACCAGAATTCAGAGCATCCTACTCACACCCATGTCACTCCTCATCATATCCACTGTGTTGTCATTAATAATTGTCATTCCAGAAACAAGCATGCCATCAGCCAAGGCAGGGGAAATCACAGTGTTCTCTTTAATTCAACTCCACACAAACATGGCAGCCCAGAAACCTTAGGATCCAGCAAGCATCTTGGTCTCACTTGACCCTAGGGACTGCACTAAACACTTTCCGTGAAACACTCTACTGCCTTTTCCTAGCAATAGGACTGACTCGTGGTCCTCCTCCTACCACTGTGACCACTCCTTCTTGGTCTCCTTAACGGAGACCTCCCCTTACCTCCCCTTAGTTATTGACATTCCCCAAGGGCCCATTCTCAGTCCATTGCTTTTCCTGTGCTCTCCTCGAATAATCTTACCTACTCTCATCTACCAAATACAATGATGCCCAAACTCCCCTCCTGAGATCTCAACTCATATACCTTCTGCACCTCTCCACCCAGATATTCCACAGACACTTCAGAACTACATGCTTGAAATAAACTCATCACTCTCTCCCAACCTCTTTCCTCATTGGTGTTCTCTATTCTGTTCAGATGACGTACTGGTGGAATGTGTACCTCCAAAAGACATGTCCACACGGAAACTCAGAATGTAAACTTACTTGAAATAAGCGTCTTTACAGATGTAATTAAGTTTAGGATCTCAAGATAAGATTATCCTAAAGTTGGGGTGGGCCCTAATCTAATGACTGATGCCCTTTGAAGAGGAAGACAGAGGAAAATTTGAGACATACAAAGGAGACGGTCACATGAAAACAGAGGCAGAAATTGGAGGGGTGCATCTACAAACCAAGCACACCAAGGATTTCTGGAGCCACGAGAAGTGGAGCAAGAAAGAGGCATTGGTTCATGAACACAAAAATACAGTTAGATAGAAGGAATAAGATAAGATCTAGTGTTCTGTAGCACAACAGAGTGACTAGAGTTAACAATAATTTATTGTATATTTCAAAATAACTAGAAGGATGGAATTGGAATGTTCCCAACATGAATAAATGATAAATGCTTGAGATGACAAATATCCCAATAAGCCTGGTTTTATCATTACATATTGTATGCTTCTATCAAAATTTCACATGTACCCCATAAATATGTATAACTTACGTATCCATAAAAATTAAAAATATAGAAAAAAGTTTTTTAAAGAAGGGGAACAGGACAGAGATATGGAGTGGATTCTCCCTCAGAGCCACCACAAGGAACCAATCCTGCGGATAATTTTGTTTTTTGGACTTCTAGCCTCTGGAACTGTGAGACAATAAATTTCTGTTGTGTTACGCCCCCAGGTCATGGTAATTAGTTACCGTAGCACAGGGACCCTAACACAGATGCCTGCCTCCAGCCATCTAAAACCTGGCAGACACCTTCCTCTCACTCCCTTCCCATTCCCAAGCAATCGCCAAACCTTGCTGGCTTTTCCTCCAACACATTGCCCACACCTGCCCTCCTATCCCACAAGTCTCCACCATCCTATTGAAATCCTCACCATCCTTGCCTGGAGTCCCATCAGAGCCTCTGCCCTGATCTCCTAGGCCTCGATCTCTCTCTCTCAAGTCCAGCCTTTACACAGACATCAGAAATACCTTCTTAAACAGAAAGAAGAGAGCCCTAAAGTAGTGCTTACAGCCCTTCCCTGCCTGGCCCCATGCACTCCTCCAGCCTCATCTCATTCCACTACTCGTTCCCATGACCCCCTGGACAGCACCTCAAACTCCTCCAGTACCTGAATTCCTGAGGTTGTTTCTCACCTCCTTGCATTTGCTCAGGCTTTCCCTCAGATCGGGATCACCTGTCTTTACCCCAAACCCTCTACATCCTTTTTACCTAAATAGCTCCTCAGTACTCATTTTTAATATTCCAGCAGGTATCACCTCCCCTAACAATCATCCTCCCCTGGCTGGGACCCAAACACATCCAAGAGTGTTGGCCATAATACTTACCATTTAGGCACCAATCGAGCACTGCTAATGCTGGCCACAACACTGGGCCAGGGTCCTGAGGCAACCTTATCCCCTGCGGCCTCACCAGGTTTAACCCTATCATTACTGATTCTGGTGGTGGAGCAACTGGAGCAGCCATACCAATGCATGCTCTCCAAATATCAGCTGTCTCCATTTATAATGTTATATCTACCAAATTGCATTATAATTACTTCTGTGTCTATCACCCCAGTAGGCTAGAAACTCCTCTAGGGCAAGTGTGGAGGTCTTAATTCATCTTTGTATCCCTAACAGCCAGTAAGCACAATATCTGTCAAAAGTAGATGTTCTATGAGGCTTAGCTAGGTGCACAAATCTGAGTGAATTGATGAGTGAATGAACACATGAGTGCACAGAATATAACAAGAAACTATTAGCTCCCATTAAATTAGAATAGAGGAGTGTGAGTTGTAGCAGAAAGATTTTGTGTTGATTCGAGGAAACGTTCTGGCAACATAGGACATGCCCTGAAACTCATGCAGCTGAGTGCTCCCAAATGGAGGGTTCATTCCTGAGGTCCTAACTGAGTTGCTGACCTCTGCCCAGCTGGTTCCGAGGAGCATAGAGGCAGTGCACTCCCCAAGAAGGAAGCATCAGGTGACCTATTAGCGGGAGCAGAAGTACAGCGCTCACAGCCTTGCATCCTGGATTGGGCAGTGATCCAGGCATGAGGGCAGGAGGAGGATGGTTAACACAATCGGGGTTTTGCCAAGCTTGGCTGCTTGGCAGTGGAGGCTCATTTTTTACCTTTGTGGGTAGCACATCAACTATGACCCATGTTTGGATGCTTATAACTTGTCCTCCTTCCCTAATATGTCATAAAAAGAAACTCCTGGGGAATTTTAAGGAGTGAGAAAATGCCGAGGTCCCATCTAGAGGCACTAGATGATCCCCTGAGACTGTCATGAGGCCTAAATTGTCCATGAAAGTTTAGCCACAATTACAGGATTTAGCAAATTTCATCTACACATATTTGCATAATAATACTTGCAATTACCTAGTAAAAGAGATACGCTAAATGCCTCAGAATGGAAGCTTGGAGCTCAGTGAACAGTAGAACAAGGCATACCTGACCAGGTGGCAACATGGAGATGAGGTTATCTGTGAGACTAAGGAGGAGGTACTGGGGCCAGCTGACCACCTAGCACGTCACAGGGTGACATGGCCTACATGAAAACCTACTTTAAAACAACCTTGATATAAACTATGTGATGTGGTTGTACAAAGGTATAATCTCAATACGGTTGCACAAACTTATATTCTAACCTGTACTCCAGCGGTGCTTAATTAGCATTTAAATGCTCCTATCAAAAACAACACTAGAGAGGTTAGTGACCAGAATGAGAAGCTGCTAAGAATTTTTTTATTGTGTAATATACATAACACAAAATTTACCATGTTAACTAGTAAATGTACAATTCAGTGGCATTAAATACACTCATATTGTTAGGAAAACATCACCATAATCCATTATCCAGAACATTTTTCTTCTTGCAAAACTGAAACTTTGTATCCATTAAACAATAACTTCCCATCACCCTGTCTCCCCAGCCCCCAGCAACCACCACTCTACTCTCTGCTTCTATGAATTTGACGACTCTAGGTACCTCATGTAAGTGGAGTCACACAGCATTTGACCTTTGTGACTGGCTTACTTCACTTAACACATTTTGAAAGTTCATCCATGCTGTAGCACGTGTCAGGATCTCGTTTCTTTTTAAAGGCTGAGTAATATTCCATTCTATAGACAGACCCCATTTTGTTTATCCATTCCTCCATCAATGGACATTTGTGTCACGTCCGCCTTTTGGCCATTGTGAATGATGTTGCTATGGACATGGGTGTGCAAATATCTGTTCAAGTTCCAGATTTTGAGTCTTTTGTATTTTGTTTCTGTTTGTTGGTTGGTAAAATCAATGACATTTGAGACTGATGGTTGGTGGGGCACATGCATAGCGCTCCCTGCCTGTGCAGAAATGGTCCGTAGAAACCAGGCAGGGCCAGCAGCCTGTGCCAGAAGAGCAGAGCCCTGGCCTGGAGGTCCATAGACCCAGGTCCCTGAGCTGAGCTGGCCATAGGACACCACAGGCCCCCAGCCAGAGCCTTACTTGCAAGTCAAGGCCTGCAGCCTGAGGACAGGAAGAGGGCGACACCCGTCTCCCTTCTTGGTTACCTCCTGCAAACCACAAGGGCCTACCTCTATTTACCCAGATTGGCTCAGGCTAGCCCATGACACAGAGAGAGCACCATATCAGTACACCATGGGTTAAATGAGATGGTAAATGAAGTGAGTACACACACAGCCCCTAGAACATTCCAGGAACTTAGTTAAGTGCTCACCAAATCCAAGCTATGATGTGCCAGCATAGCAGTAAGGCAAAGGTGTGATCCAGGCAGGGATCAATGTCACAGTTAGGGATGGGAGTCAGAAGATGCCAGGTCAGGGGCAGGAGGACAGACAGGACAAGTGTACAGGTTTCCTATGGCTGCTGTAACAAATGATCATGAACTTACTGGCTTAAAACAAATTTATTCTCTTACAATTCTGAAGATCATGATTCTGTAATGGGTCTCACTTGGCTAAAATCAAGGTGTCCGCTGGGCTGCATTCCTTCCTGGAGGCTCTGAGAGGAGAACTTGTTCTTCCCCTTTTCCAGAGGCTGCCTGCATTCCTTGGCTCATGGCTCCTCTTCCATCTTCAAAGCCAGCAACCAACCAGGTCTTTCTCACATTGTGTCACTCTGGTTTCCTCTTATACCTTTCTCTTCTACTTGTTATCACACAGTCCTGCCTCAAGATGGGTTTGGGCAAGAACATAATTGCCCCAAGTCCCTGACATAAACGGGTGTAGTATGCGCATATAACCTGCATCCTCCACATTGTCATCAATAGTGACAGAACCCTTGGGATAACACTGGGCCCACCCAGATAATCCAGGCTAATCTCCCCATCTACTGGTATGAAACCTTAATTCCATCTGCAACCTCCATTCCCCTTTCTCATGTAACCTAACATATTAATATGTACCGGTTCCAGGGATTAGGATGTGTACATCTGGGGTGGGGGTCTTATTCTGCCTTCACAAGTGATCTGGCAAAGGCAATACTGGGAGATCCCCGGGAGAGAGTCTGAATCAGGCAGCAGAACTCCAAGTACCAGGGAGAAGTATAAGAATCTAGCCTGGCCTTCCAAGAGCAAAGCAGAGTGTGAGGTCTGAGTTAACGGGGCATTATCATAGCAAAAACAGTGGCCTAGGAAGCCAAACAGGGGCCCAGCTGGTGAGACTGGGGTACAAGTGGAAACTTAGTCTTGAGAACAAGGTAGAAGGACATTTACAGTAGCAAGGGCAGGATAAGAGCAGCATTTCCAGCAAGGCTGATGGAATGTGTGGTTGTCTAAGAATGTAATCAATTATTAGAGCAGCCTCAAATTGTCCTGACTTTGAAGCAAGGCCGATCACATCTTAAAGTTAGAAGGCAAGAGTTTGTGGGAAACAGCACATTCTGGTTATGAGCCCCATGTTCAAGGGCAGAAGGCTGTTGGGGTATCAAACCCAACCAACAGGACAAGGGGAGGACAAGTACGATGGAGGACACAAACTCAGTGAAACAAGGAGATGAACCAATACACACAGGGCATGCTGAGGGGTGAAAAGCCAACGGCAGCCACTCAGCTACCCAGCTCGAGCTTTGCTGCAGAAGCATGCAAGCTGCCAGTCAAAACCCACCCAGACAGCAGAGGAGGACTGTAGAGGGGTCCTGGGAGAGAAAGCAAAGAACAACGTGGACAAGAGTTATCCAATGTGAATTTAATTCCATTTCTGCTGTGCAGCCAGTGATGTGAATTTCTTTGCCATCTCTTCAGAAAATCTAAGGCCAAGTATCCCCTTCTCATTAATGCAAGGTCCCATCAGATCTGCTTGGTGGATGCTTGGAAACACCCAGTCCTGCTTCAAGATGGGCTGGGGCTCGAGGACATAATTGCCCCACAGTCTCTTATGTCACCAAAGGGAGACAACTTACAGACACAACTTGCAGTTGTTCCTCAGTATCTGCAGGGGAGTGGTTCCAGGACCCCCAGAGATACCAAAATCTGCAGATGCTCAAGTCCCTGACATAAAATGGGGTAGTATTTTCATATAACCTTCATCCACCTATGTACTTTAAACCATCTCTAAATTGCTTATAATACCCAATTTTATGGTAGATGCACCTGACAGCAATAACTTGACTTGAGCATATCCTGAGAATGACTGTGTATGGCAGATGCACCTGAGCATGTGTTCAGCATTCTGAGCTAAGGATTCCGGGAGTGAACAACCCAGAGATCAATTCCTTATCTATGAGGAGCATCTGAGCCCCTGACCCGACCCATAGTATTATATATAAGCTGCATGTGTTCTGTAAGTGGTTGTGGTTCTCCTGCCCAGCCCGCCACCACTGGACTCTCTCCCTGTGTATAAGCCCCCCTATAAAAACCCATGACTCATTTGCTGCCTCTGAGTCTCTTCTTCAGACTCTTGAACCTAGTGCTATCCCCACTGCAGTCAATAAAGGTTCAGCACAACACCAATACGATGTAAATGCTATGTAAATAGTTGTTATACTGTATTGTTTTTGTTAGGTTCAAGTTCAGTTCCAGCCCATGTTGAGGTCTGAAGGGAGTGGGTGGATGAGTGGCAAACAGTTCAAAGAGCACTGGGTTGGGGGCGTAGGTAGGTGAAATATGGCTTTATTCAGCAGCTTTCTCATCAGCAGCTCTCTTACACTGTCCACTCTGTATCAGCTGCTTGAGCTGGCTGCTCCCACACACAGCTGCGCAGCCGGCTCTCCCTTACCTTCAGGGTCAGCAGCTTAACTCTCTCTGGGCACAAGTGCACCTGTACAGTGTCAGCAGCGCAATTATACCTTTTACAGACAATAATGGCTTAGAGCCAAGTGATGGTCTTCCAACATTATGGCTACATAGCTGTGATAACAAGTGGAGTTAGACGCCTGTGTTCTAAACTCGCTGAGTTATGCAGGATATTTACCTCAGCCCATGCCCACTTGGCCGCAGGGCAGCCATGTTCCTTACAGCTTTTAATTTGTATTTTGTATTGTTGTATTATTTAACATCTTCAATCCATGATTGGTTGAATTTGTGGATGCAGAATCTGCAGATACAGAGGACCAACTATACAAGAAAGTCAAATAAGCATAGAGTATGAAAAGGGACCTCTCTCCCCTTTTTATTCTCCTTTTGGGCTTAGATTCTGTTTTTTTCTTAAGGGACCTTCAGCACTGTTTTGTTTAAGCTGCCGAAAGCCCTGTGGTCCTGTGTTGTAATTAGTTTTAGCCATCAGCAGAAAGCACCTTTGTTTCATATCTCCAAAGTCAAAACCAATCAATACACCCTACACTTTATTCCTCCCCTGGTCAATCAGAAGGTCAACTGGAAAGAAACTCTCCACCCTGGGGATGATGGACCCTAGGACCACAAAGAAAGCTAAACGCATGCTGCCTTCTTCCACTTTCCCCTGAGAAGCTGTCAGAGGTGAACGAAAGGGCACTGCCGAGGATGGTAATAATGAATGTTACAAGTGAACCTCAAAAAGCGGGTGCTAGGACCCAGATGAAGCTCCAACACATGTTTCCGCATTGGTGGCTTTTCACAGCCTGGGGCCTCACTATTAAAAATGAATATATTAATTGGATCACAGCCAGCCCTTTTAACTAAAAGTTTCCGATTTGCAATTTAATAAACTGCTGCCACAGTGACTAGTTAATGAAAACTAGAGCATTAAGACCCCCCTCAAACACCTCCTTGCCAGCCTTATAGAGCTGGTTATCAACAGCACCCATTTTAAACACCGAGCCTCATTTCAGAAAGCCTCAAGATCACGTATGGTTTGCCATGCAAGAATTACTACTACAAAATGATTTTAAGTCTGCTTATAAGGTACAACGCTGCTTAAATCCAAAATGGAACACTGTTTTTAGATTACTCCTTCTGGAGAACAGTCACATCCCCCAGGTATTTACCATCAAATAAAATGATGGCCAAGCACACGGTGACCTGAGAGCAGAGACAGTCATTGGGTGGCTGTCAGGGAGCTTGGGAAGAAACTACTTCTGCCATTTTTGTGCAATCCCAAGGAAAGGAAAAGAATGTTCGGTAAGAGAAGCAGAAGGAGGTCGTGCCTTGGCATTAACTTCAGTGAATCAAGCATAGGCTGTAGTCTCAGTTCAGTTGCCACTCACCTCTAGGCTGGAGGAGAAAACATCAAGGTCCAAAATTAATGGAAGCCAGAGGCCTTCCCAAGCAAGTCCTAAAGTTGTGAAGCTGATTGGTGGAAGACGAGTGCCCGTGGGGCCACTGTCCCATAGTACCTGGGTGGCACTGGATTCATCCTCAACTTCACCCCAGAGATGGGGCTAGACAAGCAAGGCAGATACAGCTCCACAAAGAGTGAGCTCAGAACTCAACTGGATTTAGGTCTACAGACTCAGCCCGCAGGAATCTGTGCAACACTTTTCAGGTGACTGATTAAGGTAAGGCTGATTCCACTTAACAGTACTGATGAGTATTGCCTTCCACTGTGTCAAAATACCCTCCACCTGACTTTCAAGGCTCTGCGTGATCTGGCCTAGGCTCTGCGTGATCTGGCCTAGGCCTACCTGGCCAGCTTTATTTCTCATAAGCACCGATCTTCCCACTGTCCTGCAGATTTCCTGTCTTTTTCCTGCTCTCCTTTTCCAGAGGCCCATCCCTCATGGTCCATGAGATAAAACCATCACATATTCTCTGAGCCTGAGATTCTGAGTTGTCAGACCCCAGGGCGCCACAGGAATGCCAGCCTGAGGCCTGGGGAAGCTGCATTTTTACAAGGCCGTCATCAGGAGACATAGCTCGAGGTCCAGATCCAGACCCCTCCTCTACGTAGCTCCCTCATTATCCACCCAGGGTTTCCCAAGCTGCAGGATGTGGCCCCCTAGTGACATCAACTGGGGGACTTGAGAGGGAGGTGAGCATCTCTAATGAATTGCAATCGGATTGGAAGTGTCAGGAATTCGTGCAGAATCCCTCAGAAATATATTTTCCTCAGAGTGATCTCCCTGTTGGTGCACAGTCACCTACTCACAAGATAACGGTGTGACAGGTAGGCCCCAAGGTGGGTTGTTGCTACAAGAAATTGGAAAATGATGATCTCAACCCATAGGCTCCACCTGTTTTTAGTCTCACACTCCATGTTTAAAATGTTTGAAAATAAACTCTCAATATATGTTATCAACTATAGTATACCAATTATATGTATTAACTATATATATGTGTACTACTCTATAAGATGTACCTTATAAACATGCCCAAAAGTAGAAATTAAAGGTTACATAGAAAAATAAATAGAACATAACTTCCAATGTTTGCTATGTCCATGCCAGAACCTGCCCTTTGGAGATGATGACTCTGGCCCTCACCACTCCCTCACTTCTCTGAGTTCCTCCTTTTCTCCACCATCACAAAATTCAGCATTTAGAATATATGATCCCTGCCCACAAGTTTCTCAAAATCTGGTAAAGTGTCAGGTGCAGTGGCTCACACCTGTAATCCTAGTACTTTAAGAGGCTGAGGCGGCCAGATTGCTTGAGCCCAGGAATTCAGGACCAGCCTGGGAAACATGATGGAACCCCATCTCTACAAAAAGTACAAAAATTAACCAGGCATGGTGGTATGCACCTGTGGTCCCAGCTACTCGGGAGGCTGAGGTGTGAGGATCACTTGAGCCCAGGAGGTTTCAACTGAGACCGAGATCACGCCACTGCACTCCAGCCTGGGTGACAGTGTGAGACCCTGTCTCAAAAAAAAAAAAAAAAAAAAATCTGGTGAGGAAACTGATATACAAATATGTCAATATAATACAAGACAGAAAGTGCCAGGATGCAAATGTGAACAAAATGTTGTGGCATTACAGAAGAGGCAGCTCTCGGTCTTCCCGAGAGACGCAAGGAAGACTTCATCGAGATGGTGATGAGTGAGCTGGATCTTGAAGGCTGGATGGGTGGTGCCAGGCTGCAGAGGAGGTGGGCTCTCCAGAGAAAGAGAGCCCGTCGTGTTCAGCTGTTCCTGCCCTTCAGAATCACGTGGGCACTTAAAAAAAAATACTCTGAACTCCTCCTCTCAGAATCTGACTCAGGAGGTCTGCACAGGGAGGGCCCAGCATTTGCATAACACTCCCATCCCCTTCCTTCCTCACCCCTGCAGCAAGACAGCAAGAAGTCATGGAGGGGCTTCCAGTGGGGCTGCAACAGTAGCTAAAACTTGATTTAAAACTCAAAGCTTCTCAGTGTGTGGGAGTAGCATAAACATAGAAGCAAGCAGGTCACTAATGCAGAGCAATTTTTTCTTAAATTGATACAGTTCAGCCTCGAACCATATATTAGTCAGCTCAGAATACTATAAAAAAATACAACTCAGTGGCCTAAAGAATAGACATTTATTTTTCACAGCTCTAGAAGCAGGGAAGTTCAGAATCAAGGTTTAGTTCCTGGTGAGGGCTCTCTTCCTGGCTTACAGGTAGCCACCTTCTTACTGTGACCTCACATGGCAGAGAGAGAGTGCTCATGACTTCATCTAAACCTAATTACCTCTCAAAGGTCTCCATCACATTGGGAGTTGGAGTTTTAAAGTATAAATTTACAGGGCTGGAGAGAAGGCACAAACATTCAGTCCATAACACGCCACTTACACTGAAGTGGCAAAAGGCTTAATACCCCCAAATGCTGGTTGCCTGTACATCCTTTGTAGAAAACGTTGTTAATCATTTCTCCAGCTACCAGCCATTCCTCTTCATTCCTTTTTTTGGTAAACTTCTCATACTTTCTGGAGTTCTCACCTTGGCTCCAAAAGTAATGACTGTAGCTCCTAAGTGATTAATTTAGGGATAGAAATCCCCTCAGGAAATCCAAACCAAGGAGAGACAGAGACTCTGGAGACTTTGGCTGGGACTGCTAATGGAGAGACTAGGATCTTGTGTTATATTGACATATTTCCCTTCCCATTCCTACCTGAATGATGAGCTGGATAATGGTAGACAACCTATGGCAGTCATCTTGCTGTTATGGGGTGGGGAAGGGGCATTTCTGAGAAATAATTCATATAGGAAGTAGAGCTAATAACTGAAAAAGAAACAACCAGGGCATGGTAACAATGCCAGAGTCCTGGAGTCTGGTTCACCTTTTCCATTATGTAAATGAAAATTTTTCTACTTTTCTTTAGGCCAGTTGGAGTGGCATTTTCTATTACTTACAAATGCAAGGGTACTAATGATACATCTTCCATGCCCCAGACATACTATGAGCTAATTGGAAACTCCTAACTCCTGTAACTTCTATGAGCATGGTAGGAAATTGGCAATTTTTTTTTTTTTTTTTTTTTTTTGAGATGGAGTCTCGCTCTGTCTCCCAGGCTGGAGTGCAGTGGCGTGATCGCGGCTCACTGCAAGCTCCGCCTCCCGGGTTCACGCCATTCTCCTGCCTCAGCCTCCCGAGTAGCCAGGACTACAGGCGCCCACCACCACGCCCAGCTAATTTTTTGTATTTTTAGTAGAGACGGGGTTTCACCGTGTTAGCCAGGATGGTCTCGATCTCCTGACCTCGTGATCCACCCACCTTGGCATCCCAAAGTGCTGAGATTACAGGTGTGAGCTACCGCACCCGGCCAGAAATTGGTAATTTTTACTGATTAGGTGAACAAACAATTCTTTTCCAAAGCAGAAACATTCAAGTTACAATGGAAAATTTTATCTTTCCAAAGAACAATTTTAGACACAATTATCATTGTTTACATGATCATATGTTTAAATAAAGTCACTTTCTTTAGCATTTAGAAAAGAAACCATAAAATGTAAATGGCCAAAACGTATTTGATCTATATACACAGTATACGTAATAAACTGCAGTTACAAGAGGTTCCTCTGATCTTCACTAATCCGATTCTATAATTTTCTAAGATTCCCTTCCAAAACCCAAATGTAAAATTAAGATTAAGGGGTCATTACAATTAAGTTCAGTTAAACATGCATCCATTCAACAGTATGTCAACCAATAGGGACAATGTGCTTTTAAGTACCAAACCCCATACCAAGCATTAGATTCATGGACCAGATATAGATGTCTTATAAACTATGATGAAACTAGACTTGATAAGCAAAGGAGAAGAACGAATTATACCACATTGTTCCAGGCATTTTGTAGAAAGGAATTCCATCCTATCTGCAAAATTAGCCTTCAAGCCCTCTAAAATCCCTTCCAACCTAAATTTTAATTACTATTTTCAATGTTTCTACTTCCTATTTTGTAAGTTCTATAAAACTGGGAAAAAATATAATAAAAAAGATTAAAAGATAGTAATTCCTGGGTTGTCTAGGGGCAAACATACTGTATTAGGATTCTTTGGTTGTAATTGACAGAAATTCAATTAGAATAGTTTGGGCAAAAGAAGGAAAGCCCATTGGCTCACATTAAACACACTGTCCTTGCTAAAGGTGGGGAGAAACTAGAGACTCAAATGTTTTGGGAACTCTGTTTCCACCTTGTTCTCAGCAAGTACACTCTATTATTTCAGAGTAGCCAAGTCCTGAGGTCAGACGCAGAGCTGCCAGCTTCCCTAAACTTAATTTGTCACAGTTTTTTGACCAGAAGAAGAAAGACTCCATTTCCAGTCTACATCTCCCAGGAAGAACTCTGATTGGCCAGTTTAGGTTCAATGGAGGGCGACCAAACATCCCACTTTGCCTGAGACTGAGGAGGTTCCTGAGACATGGGACTTTCAATTTTGGAACTGGAAAAGTCCACGCAAATCAGAACAAGTTTAACCCTAGTTAAAAGCCACCTTCTAACCAATTACCGTGGCTAGCCGTTGCCAGGGAGTTGGAATTTACAGGGCCCATTCAGACCTCACAGTGGGATGAGGAAAAAGAACGACTTCCATCATAAAGGAATGGGTTAGACATGATCACTAAAATGTGATTACTCTCAGTCAGGCAGCTGCTCCAATTTGTTTCTATCATATATATCTAAAAATTTGGCAAGTGATTCCTGAAACCATTCCAATCAAATAAACTTGTCATGGAATTTTAATTTCTTAAACTCACCGCAATGAATCATTTCCATTACTGCTTCAATGTAATAAACACTACCCTAATGAACCAAAAGAGTTAATACACAGCTTAAATCACCTCCATATCTAAGAAGCCCAACTCATTTCTTAGAAACTATCCCACTAAGTACTACATTAATCATTTGTCATGTCTTCAAAACTACTATACTCTGTCAAAACACATCTTATAGTTTGATGTTAACAGTCTGAAGCATTTGTAACAATATAACACATGCATACTGTCAAATTGCATATTTCACCTTCTGGCAATTTTCTTCTCTTGAGAACTTAGTTTCTCCTCCATGTGCTTTAGAATTGCTTGAATTCTTTAGCTCATTCTTTCAGGAAATAGAATTAATATTTAAAGGCAGTAACAGTGTAATTTCAAGAATGTCTTAGTAATAAGCAGAGTTCTCATAACATAAATTACCCTATCCTTTCAATAGTCTTATTCCCTTTTCCAAGTCACACAATCAAGATAAGCTGGGAAAGGGGAATTTCAATTATATTAAATCTCCCAGGAACACTTAGGTTTGCTGAACCAGAATGCAAAGTCAACAAATACAGAGACACATGGACATATCTCAGTTGCAGTAGGTTTCCTGTGCTTTTAAGAAAATAGATTCAGTACCAAGTGAGCAAAGTAGTATAGTGTAAGAAAATATCCTGGATCATGAAGGCACAAAAAGTCATAACTGCCTACAGCTCTCCCACTCTCAGAATTTCTGCTGACCACTTTTGTTCCAGTTGTACAAACTGTTAGTCACTCTGGGGACCACTTATTGTCTCCAGGAACACACTGATGTCTCTAGCATGAAGGATCTTTTTCTCCTTTGATTCAACAGATTCAAGTTTCATATTTATCCAAAGAACATTTACTAGAAAAATAAAGGCAAATAAGCAGTAGAATATACAAAAGGACAGATATGGATATATTTACAGAGTAAAGGTACTTTGTTCTGAGGTTGCTGAAATAAGACAGGTCTTGGCTGGGCATGGTTGCTCATGCCATTAATCCCAGCACTTTGGAAAACTGAGGCAGAAGGATCACTTGAGGCCAGGAATTTGAGATCAGCCTGAGCAACATAGAGAGACTCCATCTCTACACAAAATTTTTTTTAAAAATTAGCCAGGCATGGTGGTGCACACCTATAGTTCCAGCTACCTGTAGGCTGAGGTAGGAGATTGCTTGAGCCCAGGAGTTCAAGGCTGCAGTAAGCCATGATCATGCCACTTCACTCCAGCTTGGGTGACAGAGTGAAACCCTGTCTCTTTAAACAAAAAGAAAGAAAGAAGAAAGAAAAGAAAAAAGAAAGAAAAGAAAAGAAAGAAGGAAAGAACAGAAAAGAAAGGAGAGAAAAGAAAAAAGGAAAAGAAAAGAAAAGGTCTTATCTCCTTCTGGGAAAAATCAGGACCCCCTTGTCCTCAGCTCTAGAGGACTTAGATGACACACTACTCACAACCCTAGTAGGAGACACAAGGCTCACATATTCCCTAACCCCCATTTCATCTCACACCCAACCTTTTCACAAAAATCAAACAAGACTAGGTATACTAGAAGCTGGAAGAGAGAATGGGGGAAGTACATCATTGAGAATGGACAGAAAGACCTAAAAAGAAACAGAAAGTCCTAGAAAAGAAGGAAAGAGGAGATAACAGGTTATGCATCAGCATTAAGAAAAAAAGTAGCACCAGCCTCAAGTCTAGAGAGCAATCAAGACATCCTGATGAGCACAGTGAGCCTGGGGGATGGAAGGAGCCCCCACATTTGGGCATAGGCAGAGTCCCCACTGAGTCTGAGGAGGGTCAGTGGTCCTACCATTCTAGGGTCTGGAGGATGGTGACCCTCTTCTCACAGCTCCACTAGGCAGTGTCCCAGTGGGGACTCTGTGTGGGGGCTCCAACCCCACATTTCCCCCCTGCATTGCCCTAATAGAGGGTCTCTGTGAGGGCTCCACCTCTGCAGCAGGCTTCTGTCTGGACATCCCGACTTTTCCATACATCCTCTGAAATTTAGGTGGAGGCTCCCAAGCCTCAGCTCTTGCACTCTGTAAACCCACAGGCTTACCATCATATGGAAGCCACAAGCCACCAAGGCTTATGGCTTTCACCCTCTGAAGTAGCAGCCTGAGCTGTACCTGGGCCTCTTTTAGCCAGGACTGGAGCAGGAGTAGTTGGGAAGCAGGGAGTAGTGTCCCAAGGCTGCACAGGTCAGTGGGGGCCTGGGCCTGGCTCATGAAACCATTCTGTCCTCCTAGGACTTTGGGGTTGTGATGAAAGGGGGATGCTGCAAAGGTCTCTGAAATGCCTTGGAGGCCTTTTTCCCATTGTCTTGGCTATCAGCACTTGGCTCCTTTTTACTTATGCAAAATTTTGCAACCTGCTTGAAACCTCCCCCAGAAAATGGGCTTTTCTTTCCTACCACATGGCCGGGCTGCAATTTTCCAAACTTTTATGCTCTTCTTCCCCTTTAAATATAAGTTCCATCTCCTGAGTTCAAGTGATTCTCCTGCCTCAGCCTCCTGAGTAGCTGGAACTACAGGCATGCACCACCACACCTGGCCAATTTTTTTCTGTATTTTTAGTAGAGATGGGGTTTCACCATGTTGGTCAGGCTGGTCTCAAACTCCAGACCTCAAATGATCTGCCCACCTCCGCCTCCCAGGTCATTTCTTTGCTCGTGCGCATGAGCATAGGTTATTAGAAGCAGCCAGGCCACATCTTGAACACTTTGCTGCTTAGAAATTTAATCCCCCAGATACCCTAAATCATCTTTCTCAAGTTCAAAGTTCCACAGATCCCTAGAGTAGGGGCACAATCCAACCAAGCTCTTTGCTAAAGCATAGCAAGAGTGACCTTTACTCTAGTTTCCAGTAAGTTCCTCATTTTCATCTGAGACCTCCTCAGCCTGGACTTCACTGTCTATATCACTATCAGCATTTTGGTCACAATAATTTAACAATCTTCTAGGAAGTTCCAAATTTTCCCTCATCTTCCTGTCTTCTTCTGATCCCTCTACACTCTTCCAACCTCTACCCATTCCCAGTTCCAAAGACACTTCCATATTTTCAAGTATCTGAAACTGCTGTACCATTTCAAGAGTAGCAATGCCCCACTCCTCAGTACCAATTTTCTGTATTAGTTCATTCTCACATTACTATAAAGGAAGACCTGAGATTGGGTAGTTTATAGAGAAAATAGGCTTAATTGGCTCACAGTTCTGCAGGCTGTACAGGAAGCATAGTAGCTTCTGTTTCTGGGGAGGCCTCAGGAAACTTACAATCATGGCAGAAGATAAAGGGGAAGCAAGCACATCTTACATAGCCAGAGCAGGAGGAAGAAATGGAGGGGGAGGGGCTACACACTTTTAAACAACCAGAGCTCATGAGAACTCACTCACCATCATGAGAACAGCACTGAGAAGATGGTGCTAAACCATTCATGAAGGATCCACCTCCATTAACCAATCACCTCTCACCAGGCCCCACTTCCAACACTGGAAATTACAATTCAACATGAGAATTGGGTGGGGACATAGACCCAAACCATATTACAAGCCTATGTGTGTGTGTATTTTTGAGAGAGATATATATATATATGATAATATGATATATGATCATATATATATCATACACACACATATGCAATATGAAACAATACACTGTAATGTTTTAAAAGTGATCTTAGGGTATAAATAAGGTGGGGGGTTTTCTTATTCTTATTTATCTGTATATTCTAATTTTCCAGGATGTTTACTTGCTGCATTTGCAATAATGAAAATTATATTTTAAAGAAAAAATAAAATCCATTTAGTACTTTCATTTTGAGCAGTATAAAAGAATAGACCACTCCCATTGAAACAACTAAAAGTGCTAGATAAGACATAAAAACCCCTTTTAAACCTTGTAGTCTGTTTTCACATGGCTGTAAAGAACTGCCTGAGACTGGGTAATTTATAAAGAAAAGTGGTTTGATTCACAGCTCTGCATGGCTGGGGAGGCCTTAGGAAACTTATAATCGTGGCAGAAGGTGAAGGGGAAGTAAAGAATGTCTTACATGGCGGCAGGAGGGAGAGAGTGATGGGGGAAACTCCCAATCACTTTCAAACCATCAGATCTCATAAGCACTCACTCACTATCATAAGAATAGCATGGTGGAAACCACCCCCATGATCCAATCACTTCCCGCCAGGTCCCTCCCTCCCTACAATTTGAGATGAGATTTGGTGGAGACACAGAGCCAAACCGTATCAAACATATTAATGAAAGAGAAAAAAAAAGACTTCTCTAAAGTGAAAAAAAAGTAAAAAAGGAAGCCAGTAAATTTACTTCAGTTGTGGGCATGTTAAAATTTCTAGAGTTGACACTAAAAGCATAGAAAGAGTGTAGAACTTCTAAACTAGTAGAGATGAAAAATAGAATAGGGCAGGAGAATCCGAAAAAAAAAAGAAGAAACAAATAACAAAGACAAAAGTGTATGGTAAATATTTACCCAAATATATGTTATGATAATAACGTAAGTGAACCAAAGGATTCAGTAAAAAAATGAAGATGACCAAATTGGATTAAAACATCTAACTACATAGTTTACAAAAGGCACATATAAAAGGATCCAGAAAGTTTCAAAGAAAAAGGATAGGAGAAAAGTCAGAAAAATAGTAGCCAAAAGAAAGCTGTCATCACTCTATTAGATATTTTATAGAATAGCTAGGTAGATAGATAATATATAAATATATAATAAAGATAAAGACATATATATGAATTTAAATATTAGATATATGAAAGAGGCTGGGCTTGGTGGCTCACACCTGTAATCCCAGCAATTTGGGAGGCCAAGGCAGGTGGATCACCTGAGGTCAGGAATTCAAGGCCAGCCTGGCCAACATGGCAAAACCCTATCTCTACTAAAAATATGAAAATTACCCAGGTATGGTGGTGCATGTCTGTAATCCCAGCTACTTGGGAGGCTGAGGCAGGAGAATAGCTTGAACATGGAAGGCAGAGTTTGCAGTGAGCCGAGATTGTGCCACTGCACTCCAGCCTGAACAATGGAGTGAGAATCCATCTTAAATAAATAAATAAATAAATAAATAAATAAATAATACATGAAAGAGAGCAAAAAGCATTTCTAAATATAGGATTAAAACAAAATAACAGTTTTTAATTTACCAGGAAGATACAATAATTTGAAATTTGTAGGCAACTCTTAAAATAGACTCAAAAGACAAAGCAAAAATGACAGAACTATGGGAGAAAAATTCAAATTGACAATTATATGGGAAATTTTCTCATACCTCTTTTAGCAATTGATAGATCAAATGGACAAATATATATATATATATAATGTATATGTATTATTAAAGCTGGAACAGATTTGAACACTATAATCAGTAAGATTTTTTTAAGGGAACTGCAAAGAACATTACAGCCAGAAAATTGGGAGATACAAACTCTTCTCAAGTGTACATGAAATATTTATAAAAATCAACAACATATTGGGCCATAAAGCAAATTTGAACATATTTTAAAGATTTGGGTTGTACAGACCAGAGTGCAATTGTTAGAAATCAAATAAAGAGATAAGAAAAAAATATTTTATTTGTATAACCATAGAGTTCAGACTGCCATAAATTTAGTTATAGTCTGGCAGGACAAGCTGGCCATAGAGAATCCTCTTTAGGGTTCTAATAGATGAGTATCAGTGAACGACCACCAATCATCCAGGACAAAATTAATGTTTGAGTTTGTGCATAAAGGGTTGATTTGGACTTCACAGGATTATTTCTTCTTTGAAATGTGGGAAATCATTTGTTCCTACGCAATTCACAAGGCTATCTGGTTCAACCCATGCTTTCCCAAGTCAAAATGTTCTTTCCCACAGCCCAGCAAGATAAAGTACTCAGGACAGCTGGATTTTAAGAACACCTTTGTGAGTTGGGTCTTTATTGGGATAATCAGAGAAAATGACTACATTTAGGTCTTCTTTCATATTTTATACTAGTACCAGAAAATACAAATTGGGTGCAGAAAACCTGGGTGCATGAACATTGCATGTTTAAACCAAGCTAAAAAGAGAATTTGTAGCCAAACTACAATGGAACTTATTGATGATGGCTAGAGAACTGCTATGTGGTAATTTTATGTTTGACATGATATGTAGTTCTCTTTACTTTTATTTGGAAAATATTCTGGACCTTGGAAAAGATGAGTGTGAATTTAACTATGTGAGGTTAGAAGCACCTCTGGGAGCCCTGTGGTCAGCAGACTCTTCAGGTTGTAACTAGAACCATGAATCACCATTCTGGACACATTTAGGGTTTTTAGGTCTGTTTCTATTGATTTACACAACACTCTAGGAGAAATCACAGACTCAGAGATAACACCATTTACCTTGAACCGTTTCATCTCCAGGTGCAAACAGAACCCTGGGCAATTGTTAAAGGATGTTATTGTAGGATATTGAGAAAAAGGGTCATTGCATCAAACAAGAGGTGACAAGATGACAGAAAAGGAATGGAAGGGGATAGTGAGTTTCAAAGTGAGTTTGAGTGTAACTGTGTACATTTGGCTCTTGGCTAGAGCCAGACTACAAGTTACTCAGTGGATAACTAACACTGAAAGAATCTTTTTATTGCTTGCCTTATCTGAGCTACTTAGTTCAGGAGCGGGAGCAACGGTGGGGCCGGCCTTAACACAGTGCTTCCCGAGCTGCTTCGCGCCATGGATTCAGAGAAGGATGATTCCTTTTCAGTGCACTGTGGGAGGCTGCCAGCCACCTGGACCAGCCTAAGCCTACTCTCTAGCCCAGGTCCTTCCCTGCACACACCCCAGGCTGGAAGAGATCAATATTGAGTCCAATATTGAGAAGCTGATGTTAGGACCCCCAAATGAAGAGCTGTGTTACAGGTATCTCAAACTTGACATCCAAAGCCCAATGCATGGGCTTCCCCCCATCGTCTACTTCTCCCACAGAGTTCCCACTGCAGCAGGCGGCAACTCCATTCTCCCAGTTGGCCAGACAAGAGCTCTGAGGTTGAATCCTGACTCAGCTCCTCTCCTTACACCCTGTTATGGGCTGAATTTTGTTTCTCAAAAAAGATACGTTGAAGTTCTAGCCCCGAATAACTCCAGATATGGTCTTATTTAGATCAGAGTCATTACAGAGGTCATTAGCGAAGTTTAGATAAGGCCATACAGAGAAGGGTGGATTTCTCATCCAGTAGGATGGTGTCCTTATAAATGGTGGAAATCTGAACACAGACAGGCACACAGGGGAATGCCATGTGAAGATGAGGCAGCGATCAGGGTGACACTTGGAAAAAACCAGCAAAGACTGCCCACAGCCCACCAGAGGCAGGACAGAGCCTGGAACAGACCTCACAGCCCTCAGAAAGAACTGGCCCTGCCAACACCTTGATTTTGGACTTCTGGCCTCCAGAACTGTGTGACAATCAATTTCTATTGTTTAAGCTACCCAATGTGTGGTATTCTGTTCCAGTTGTTCTAGCAAAGTAACAAACACTCCTCATTCAGTCCAACAGCAAATCCTCTGAGCACTGCCAGGCAGAGCCTGGTCATTCCATTCTGTTCCTGGCGAGGCTCCCACGATCTGGCCCCTCAGTATCACTCCCAGCTCACAGCCTCACTCCCCCCTCTTCCTTGATCATCCCTCGCACGCTCCCCACTCAGAGCTTTGGCACGGTGCCTGCTGTTCCTCCACCTGGAACATTCTTTTTGCAGGGATCCACGGACCTGGCTCCCTCATCTCCCCCAACTCTCATCTTCCCAGGGGGTTCTTCCTGAATCACTCCACACAAAGCCACAGTACCCCTCCCCAACCCTCAGTACCGACCCTCTACCCTCTTTTCACATACTATGCATTTTGATTCCTGTACACTGTGTAGCTCACCACATCAAGTGGTGACATTTATGAAGCTGGGGAATCTTATCTGCTCTTTTCACTACTGTAGTCCTAGCACATAGACAGTCCCTTAATTTATAATTATGGAATGATTAAAGGAATGAATGCTTCTTAACATCCACGACCTCCTACTCAGACCCAAGGGAACAACTCTCTACCTGTGCCATGGTGATTCTATAAAGCCTGGCCCTGATGGGTGGGGGCTGCAGATCTTGGCAGCAGAAGAGAAGGGTTGCCTGCACCATCCTAAACTGCTAAAAGGCCACGCAAGCGTGGTTTCAACAGGAAACATTTAAAGGTTCCTTACGATGGCCAAATAAGAAGAAAAAGGAAAAAGGAAATGGCTCATGAAACTACCTGCAACAAAGAAAGAGAAAAATAAGATCACAGAAGAAGCCCCACATGCCAAATGGCAGGTTTGCATAGCATGGGGTTGACAGAGATACACCAGGCTCATACAACATATTTTGGACCCAGTGTGAAAACAAAGAAAAGAAATAGAGCAACACTGTTAAAGCTTCCAAAAGCAACTATGATTTCTTTGTCATTCATATTATTATTTCATTATACTGTGGAAGCAAGGAAACTTACAAAACACATTAAGAGGCAGTTCGAAAAAGAAACCACCAAAAGGCAATAAACATATAAAAAAAAGTGTTTAACCTCACAAGTAATCCAAGAAACACACATTACAACAAAAACAAAACATTTTCCTATACACTGGGAAAGTTTAAATAATAATATCCAACGAATTCCAGAATAAGCATAGCAATATAAAATTGGCATAATCTTTCTAAAGGAAAAGTTGGCATTATGTATCAGAAGACTTTTAAAACTTATATTTCATTATTCAACAGTGCTTATAGTTTACTCCAACTTGCCCATAAAGTTTTTTGTATGTAAAAGATAATGGCACCCTCCAGTCAGCCCATCGCCATGGATTTTACAAGCTGGAATTGGAACCAAAGTGTGTCAACTCCAAAAATCATGGACTTAAGCTCTCAGCGTCCCACAAGAGGGAGAGTGGGCCTGCCAAACTTAAAAAAGACTTTAGATTCAGAACTACTTTCAGTCTATTGGCAAATGGGATGTAAAACACTTTCTTTTTTTTTATTGAGACGTAGTCTCACTCTGTCGCCCAGGCTGGAGTGCAGTGGCAGCGATCTTGGCTCACTGCAAGCTCCGCCTCCCGGGTTCACACCATTCTCCTGTCTCAGCCTCCCGCGTAGCTGGGACTACAGGTGCCCGCCATCACACCAGGCTAATTTTTTGTATTTTTTATAGAGACGGGGTTTCACTGTGTTAGCCAGGACGGTCTCAATCTCCTGACCTCGTGATCCGCCCCCCTCGGCCTCCCAAAGTGCTGGGATTACAGGCGTGAGCCACCGCGCCCGGCCCAAAACACTTTCACTCTATCTAGTAAAAGCCACGATTTGACCTGCAGAATGCCTGAACCTAGATAATTCTGAGCCAAATGAGACAGCATATGGAGCATTTAAAAACCCAAGCACAGAGGACTTCCGACTATAGGAACACATTACCAATTCACATCACAATGATGTACTTAGAAAGGTTATCTTAACAAGAAATTTTCTGACATTCACATGAATAAACGCATGTACACATCTGAATAGATTTAAGATGCGTGCTTCTAGAACTCTGCTAAAGAGCTTTAACTTGAGACACAAAACACCAGTTACCTTGCAGTCTCAAGCCTAAGCAATTTAGCATTATTTTGAAAGCCTTTGTCATAAAAGCAAACAAAAGACAAGCAGGGCTTTGCAGTGTCTCAGCCTGCCCCTCCCGTCAGCCCATTGCCACGGGATTTTACAAGGTTAGTTGCAAACGTGGACAAGACAACTCTGGTGGTGAGCTCTTCTCTCGGAATTAATACATTTCAAAGTCGAGAGCCAGGCAAGTGGCAATGCTAATCAAGCTAGTGACAGCATTAATCTCCTTTGGCTCAGCTCAAAATAGGATATGCCACAGGTGACCCCAAGTCCTTCCCTCCCCTTCTCAAGCCATTAGCTGAACATCATATTTCTTTCTGCTGCCAACGCCGGCGCCAGCAGCAGCACAATTCAAATGGGGGAAAGAGCACATGTGACAAGAACAGCTTATTAACTCTGTCCGGGAATTTCTGTGCTCACCTATGGCTGGTTCTAAGGTATTCTCTCCATTTGCCAAAAGTAATGAGAGGACAGCCCTTTGCCAATTACCCTACACACCTCACAGAAAGATGAACAGCTAAAAGTATTAAGATTCAAATTTAAGTTGTGTGTTACAACAACCAACGAAAGGTTTTTGCCAAGGGAAATTTCAGGAAGTGATTTAAATAGAAATGAATTGTCAAGAAAAACCTAGGTGTCGCTATTCTATTGCAGTATCTCAGTCATGACAAGGTGCCACAAATGATGTGAAATTACGGTCTGACAAGGTATCAGATCTGTTTAAATCCAGCCAAGCTCTACCATGAAGGAATGGCTTAAAGAACAAACCTGGTATGAGTGTATAAATCATTCTCCATCAACAAGCGTTCTATGGAGAACCTAGAAAACCCAATCCTAAGATCTGGAATCATCTGCGTAAGCAGGGAAATACCCCTTGATGCTAATTTCCATTCCTTAAAATTCTAAATGCCCCGTAATTTAAAGGCTAACAGGCTGTAAATCTCCCTTTTAAAAGTTCTTTACTATTACATGCAGATGCCCACGTGCCCTTCTATCCAGCTTATAAGAGTCCAGGATTCTTTCCCAGGTTCTCTGTTTTGATCACCTTGCAGAGACTAGGATGGTGCTGCAGAATTCGGATTCGCTTCTGTTGGCAGCTTCCCACTCTTGTCAAGCAGAGTCTAAGTCATTGCTGCTCATTTCCAGATCTGAAGCACATCTTTATTTCTCTTCTCCCTCCTGCAACATGTGGTCTTCAGGAGGTCGCCATGTTCTCCCCTTCTGAATTACAAATTCTAGCAAAAGTCTCTGAATCTATTCCTTTGGAGAAGAAAGTAAGGGAAGAAACTACCATGAAAGCACTTTCCCCAACTCCTCCACCATGAACACCTTGGATCAGACTGCAACCAGGTTGACCCAGTGGGGCCCCAGATTCTGCAGTGAAGAAGCCATGTTTAGGGACCCCTGACCCCACATTCAGCCACAGCTTGTTGGACCAACTGTGAACACATGACCCAAGAGCCATCAAACAGTGGGCTGGCAGGTGACTTGAAGCAGAATCCCAGCAGCAGGTGACAGGGAATATGTATACCTCAGAAAAGGGGGAGTAAGATGCAATTTAGAGTTAGAAATGCATGGCTGGAGAAAAATCACACCTGCTGTTTTCACAATACACATTATAGAAAGGAGTGTTTGATGACTTTCTGGGCCTGTGGAGATGCACAGGAGATAGTGATGTGAGATTTCAAGGGTGGAACAACACCAAAAAGAGGGTGAGAACAAGATAATCATGGCAGGGGTGTGGCCTTCCCCAGGCTTCTGTGTATGTGCATCCTACAGGAAAACCCTAAATACCTAAAGTAATACAAGTGAGTCACACCTCCTTAAAACCAAAGAGTCTATGGAGGACATTTTAAATGGCATTTAAATTAAATTAATAAAGGAGAGAAAGTGATATTAAAATTAATTTACCACTGAATTATCATTATACAATCATTTGTATATAACTTAAAACTATTTTCCCTAAAAATACTGCATTTCTAAGAATAACAATTATTTTATATGTATTCATATATATATATGATATGATATATATGATATATATATATATGACATGGTTTGGCTGTGTCCCCACCCAAATCTCCCCTTGAATTGTAGCTCCCATAATCCCCACATGTCACGGGAGGGACCTGGTGGGAGGTAATTGAATCATGGGGGCAGTTTCCCCCATGCTATTCTTGTGATAGTGAGAAAGTTCTCAAGAGATCTGATGGTTTCGTAGGGGCATCTGTTCATGCAGATGCCCATGTGCCCTTCTATCCAGCTTATATGACTCCAGGATTCTTTCCCAGGGTTCTCTCTTTCCCCCTTCACTAGGTTCTCATTTTTCTCTTTCCTGACACCACGTGAAGAAGGACATGTTTGCTTCCTTTTCTGCCATGATTGTAAGTTTCCAGAGGCCTCCCCAGCCTGGTAGAACTGTGAGTCAATGAAACCTCTTCCCTTTATAAATTAGCCAGTCTCAGTTATTTCTTCACAGCAGCATGAGAATGAACTAAAACAATATCCCTTGGACAATATGCAATCCCAGGGAAAGGACTAACACCACTACTAAAAAGTAACAAGCGGCCGGACTTGGTGGCTCACGCCTGTAATCCCAGCACTTTGGGAAGACAAGAAGGGCCGATCACGAGGTCAGGAGTTCAAGACCAGCCTGACCAACATGGTGAAACCTCGTTTCTACTAAAAATACAAAAATGAGCCGGGCATGGTGGCATGCTCCTGTAATCCCAGCTACTCAGGAGGCCGAGGCAGGAGAATTGCTTGAACCCGGGAGGCGGACGTTGCAGTGAGCCAAGATCACACCACTGCACCCCAGCCTGGGTGACAGAGCAAGACTCCGTCTCAAAAAAAAAAAAAAAAGTAACCAGCTTATGTACCATATGTAAATTTCTGTGGATTGTATCTCACTCAAAAATGGTCTGGTTAAAAAAAAAGGATAATAGAATTCAACATGTCATTAATAAAGTTACTTGAAACAACCAGTGCTAATGATTTCTTTTGAGAGACTGAATATATAAGCAGACAATTGCCAGAACATACATAAAAATAAAACTGTGCCCCACAACTGCAGCAACCAGCCCAGGTAACCAACTTATTATCCATAGCAACCAGCCCAGGAAGCCAGCCTGTTCTCTGCAAGTTAGACTTGCAGAAAGTCAGACCACTCTCCCTCCCTTGTAACAATTCAGGACGCCAAAAAATAATGCCTGTAATAATTGGCCCCAAATGGCTGGGACTTGATTCATAATCACAGTATTCCTAATTTTTACCCTACTTCCCATTTAGGACCAACCAGAGAAAGGCAAATATGCTCCCCCAACCAATCACACTGGATGCCCTGCTCCTGGTGAGCCGCCTCCAGCTTCCTCAGGCCAGCAGCCTCCAATCAGGGCACACCCAGAACCTCCCCTTCTTCCATCACGATGCTTTCCCCCTCCTCTGTCTGCCTCTGAGTCTCTGAGAAACACAATGATAGTGGCCAACTTCCTTGCTGTAGCAAGCTCAGAATAAACAGCCTTGGCTTGTTCTCATTTGCTTGGTCTTCATCTATTTCCACGCATTGATGGACATTTCTAAGAAGAATCTTTATAAACACAAGCAAGGCAGTAAAGCAAGGACAGCAAAGGAGTGGGGATACGTCACTGGGGCACCTGGATGTGAGAATTTCAAGGCTTGTCTTTTATACCATCTTGCCTGAAAGAATGTTTTGAGTCCTTATTCATATGACACATGGAAAAATTTGTGAGCCCATTTCTGTAAAGCATGGTTTCCATAATGTATAGATTTCATAATCAAAACAAGAATACTTTTCCAACCTAATGCAATGACACTTCCAAATGAAACAGTGAAAAGAAGATGATAAAATAAAGCTGGGCCAGCTGGGTGCAGTGGCTCATGCCCATAATCCCAGCACTTTGGGAGGCCGAGGTGCAAGGATTGCCTGAGCTCAGGAGTTCAAGATCAGCCTGGGCAACATGGTGAAACCCCATCTCTACTAAAAATCCAAAAAAAAAAATACAAAATAAAAGAAAGCTAGACCAATGCAGAGTTCCCCAAGCCATCCCAAAAATTAGAAATGGAAGAGTAGGGAAGTCATTGTTGCTCTATTGATCTTATCAATTTCCTTTAAAGAGCCTATTGAGAAAAAGGAAACTAATAATCTGGTTAAAGAGGTAAAAAGAAAAGCCAGACATCGGGTGTCCACAACTCACCCTTGCTCACTGAGCCTCAAGCCACAGGTCTTAAGGCCCCCACCGTGGGGGTTGAAAGTTCTCAGCCCAGTAGATGCCCTGAGCTGACAGCACCCCCAGGAATGGGAGAACAGGGAAGGATGTTCGAAAGTAACAGAGGTAAAATGACTTTCCTCCCTGCAACCATTTCCCATGGAACACTAGCCTTCTGGTACACAGACTCTCAGACTCAGAAATCAGCAAAACAAACAAAAATCCCCACAAAAAGGAAATTACAGAGAAGAAAGCACCCCGCAGATCCTTGTGCCACGATAAATTAGTTATCTAAGGAACACAAGCAGTTAAAAGTCAGGCACGCATCCTGTCAATATTCTGCAGGGATCTAGTTCTGCTGAAAAACTTGCTTTTCACAATATACCTCAAATCTGTCGGCAATAATTACCTGAGAATCAGAAAGGTGACATTTTAAATTTTAGTGACACATTAATGAACAAGGGTAATCCTCTTGACAGATACAGAGCAAGATTCGCCACAGGAAGCAAAGCAAGAGCTCCTCAGATCAAAACGTAAGCCATATAACCGGCCTTGGCAGGCCCGGTGCACATCAAGGCCGCACTTCAGATCATCGCGGCCCCTTCAGACCCCTCGCAGCCACTGACATGTTTACTACTTTTATTTTCCCTGGCAGATGTTTGGCAGACATCTCGTCTCAGAAGATTCGTGCCTTTGTCTCAGAGTCGAGGGTTAATAGGACCCTTAATTGCGGTCTCAGTTATAATAAGATCCTGCCTTTTTAAAAAGAAATGCCTTCTACAAGCTTAGTAATTGGTCTTCCCATTTGAGATGATATAATCTCCAAGTCACAGTACAAAGTTAGAACATGAAGGGAAATGGACAGGACCCTGTCCCCAGACACCGTCCATGGCATCTGTGGCTGGTCCCCAGAGCCAGTGAAAGGGAGGTAGGTGCTTGGACCAGTGCTCCCAGGTGGCTGTCCCCGGACCCCTTCAGGGTCCTCCTGGTGGCCAGGGCCCCTGCGGACAGTTTGAGCAGTAACTAAGCTCAGGGGCGCTGGTAAGAGCTGAATTTTATCCCTGAAAAACTCATATGTTTAAGTTTTATCCCCTAGCACCTCAGAATGTGACCTCATTTGGAAATAGGGTGATTATAGATGTAATTAGTTGAGATGAGGTCATTAGGGTGGGCCCGAATCCAGTACATCTGGTGTCCTTCCAAAAAGGGACGATTTGGACACACAGACACACAGCAGGGAGAATGCCGTGTGAAGGCAGCAGAGGTCAGGCTGCTGTTTCTGCAAGCCACAGAATACCAAAGACAGTCAATGAACCACCAGAAGCTACGGAGGCCTGGGACAGTCTCCCTCCAGTCCTCAGAAGGAAGAAAACCTTCTGACACCCTGACCTTGAACCTCCAGCCTCCAGAACTGTGAAACAGTAATTTTCTGTTGCTTAAGCCTCCAATGTGTGTTACTTTGTAAACATTATGTAAATTCCCAATAACCAGCCAGGTTGTCATCAGTACTAACCTTTGAACTCACGTGAACGAGACTCTTCTTAAACTTCTGAGAGGTGACAGCGTGCTGGCAGCCCCCACAGCCCTCGCTCGCTCTGGGCACCTCCTTGGCCTCGGCGCTCACTCTGGCCACACTTGAGGAGCCCTTCAGCCCACCGCTGCACTGTGGGAGCCCCTTTCTGGGCTGGCCAAGGCCGGAGCTGGCTCCCTCGGCTTGAGGGGAGGTGTGGAGGGAGAGGCCACGGGCGGGAACCATGGCTGCGCAGGGCGCTTGCGGGCCAGTGCAAGTTCCGGGTGGGCGTGGGCTCCGTCGGCCCCTCAGGCCCCCCACTCTGAGCGGCCGGCCGGCCCCAGCGGGCCGGGGCAGTGAGAGGCTTAGCACCCTGGCCAGCAGCTGTGGAGGGTGCACTGGGTTCCCCAACAGTGCCGGCCCACCAGCGCTGCGCTCAATTTCTGGCTGGGCCTTAGCTGCCTCCCCTCCGGGCAGGGCTCCGGACCTGCAGCCTGTCATGCCTGAGCCTCCCCTCCCCGCCCCCCACGCCCTGCCGTGGGCTCCTGCACGGCCTGAGCCTCCCCGAGGAGCGCTGCCCCCTGCTCCGCGCCGCCCAGTCCCATAGACTGTCCAAGGGCTGAGGAGTGCGGGCACAAGGTGCAGGACTGGCAGGCAGCTCCACCTGCGGCCCGGGTGCGGGATCCAGTGGGTGAAGCCAGCTGGGCTCCTGAGTCTGGTGGGGACTTGGATAATCTTTATGTCTAGCTAAGGGATTGTAAATACACCAATCAGCACTCTGTATCTAGCTCAAGGTTTGTAAATGCACGAATTAGCACCCTGTGTCTAGCTCAATGTTTGTAAATGCACCAATCAGCACTCTGTGTCTAGCTGATCTGGTGGGGACTTGGAGAACATTTATGTCTAGCTAAGGGATTGTAAATACACCAATCAGCACTCTGTATCTAGCTCAAGGTTTGTAAATGTACCAATCAGTGCTCTGTGTCTGGCTAATCTAGTGGGGACTTGGAGAACTTTTGTGTCTACCTCAAGGATTGTAAATGCACCAATCAGCACCCTGTCAAAACGGACCAATCAGCTCTCTGTAAAACAGACCAATCAGCTCTCTGTAAAATGGACCAATCAGCAGGATGTGGGTGGGGCCAGTTAAGGGAATAAAAGCAGGCTGCCCAAGCCAGCAGGGGCAACCTGCTCACATCCCCTTCCACGCAGTGGAAGCTGTGTTCTTTAGCTCCGCAATAAATCTTGCTGCTGCTCAGTTTCTGGGTCTACGCTGCCTTTATGAGATGTAACACTCACTGCAAAGGTCTGCAGCTTCACTCCTGAAGCCAGCGAGACCGTGAACCCACTGGAAGAAACAACTCCAGACGCGCGCCTTAAGAGCTGTAACACTCACTGCGAATGTCTGTAGCTTCATTCCTGAAGCCAGCGAGACCATGAACCCACAAGAAGGAAGAAACTTCGAACACATCTGAACATCAGAAGGAGCAAACTCCGGACACGCTGACTTTAAGAACTGTAACACTCCCCACGAGTGTCCACGGCTTCATTCTTGAAGTCAGTGAGACCAAGAACCCACCAATTCTGGACACACTTCCAGCACATTCTTTTTGTTTCAGCTACTTTGCCAAGCCAGCTGCTCTTCTTATATTGTGAATCTTCTCATTTCATTTTCTACAACATTAATTTATATTTCAGCTAAGGTACTATGGTGCCTGAACGCCAAATAAAAAGAAAAATGAGTGATCCCGAAATATAACATTTTGTTGATGTGAGGTCATAGGTTTACAAAGCATTCTGATTTAGAGAATCAAAAGGAAAAATTACAGAAAACAAGGAAGTGAGGGAAAATGTAAGGAAATTATAAATGGATGGCTTCTTCACCCACTGATCCTCATTAAAAAGGAAAATTGAGCTGCCGTCGATTGATGGTTCTGTTAAAATTCAAAACAGTGGTTCTCAAACTATAGCCCCCAGACCTATGTGGTCTGGGAGAGGTTCTCAAAGTGTGGTCCCCAAATTCCTCTGGCTTCGTCATCTGCACCTGCACATCATCCATCTTTCCCCAACCATTCTCTCAAGAAAGCCATTTCCATCAATAGCCAATTCTCGGGCTTCTCCCCAACCCAACTAAATCAGCACAGTGGGATGCTGTATCTGTGTTAGAACAAGTCTTCTGGGTGCTTCCACTAAATGAGAGAAACACTCCTCAAATCCAGGAGGCAACTTGATTCCACCTGACAGCAAATTCAGCGAAGAGTCACTGCCCCAGGGTACTATGTTCAAAAGGATTCTGAAGCAGATTTTAAAATGAAGAATCTCTTGGGCAAGAAAGAGAAGGGAACCGTGGCTGGCAAACCACCTATCAGTGATCTGGGAGTCTCAAGCTCACAAACCAACACCAATTTTTTTTTTTTTCATATCAGTGGTTCCAAATAAATGAGTGCTTCCAAAGTGCTAAGTGCCATCTTAGCAAATAAAAATCTCCCAAATTTCTGAAGTGACTTGGACCCTAGGTATACTGACATAAAAGTGAAAAGAATAAAAAAGTTTGCTTTCAGTTCTAAGACAAAACTTGAAATAAGAACATGGTGGCCAGGCACGGTGGCTCACGCCTGTAATCCCAGCACTTTGGGAGGCCGAGGCAGGCAGATCACGAGGTCAGGAGATCGAGACCATCCTGGCTAACCCGGTGAAACCCCATCTCTGCTAAAAAAAATACAAAAAATTAGCTGGGCATGGTGTCGAGCGCCTGTAGTCCCAGCTACTCAGGAGGCTGAGGCAGGAGAATGGCGTGAACCCGGGAGGCGGAGCTTGCAGTGAGCCGAGATTGCCACTGCACTCCAGCCTGGGCGACAGAGCGAGACTCCGTTAAAAAAAAAAAAAAAAGGAACATGGTAGCACTGCTCTTTCTTCCACTAAACAGATATTGCTCCCTCTCCTCCCCGTACCTGGCTCTCTTTCAGGATGGTGCTATTGTAGTGATGAGATACAGGAATTTGAGCTGGGCTTCGCCTAATTCAAGAAAACAAGCAACACACAAGACTTAAACTTAGAAGATAATTGAATTTTCAAGTTACTGTTTACGTTACACTATATGATGAAGGTTTCTCTTCACTTTTAAAAGGATTTTAAGAGTTCTTTAAAAGACTATGTTCCCCTGAGACATTTCATACCTGATTTGATTTATTTAACTATCACTTTCCACCTGAGCCCCTGGAAGCCAAGGGCGGTAGCTGAGTCTGCCCATCCTCCAGTCCCTTCTTCCTCCCAGCCCCCACCAACTCTACCTGCCGGATGATGTGGAACCTGTCAGCATATCTCTTTTTTTGTGGTTTTTTGGCTTGATTGAAGTATATCAAATAGAAACTATATACATTGAAAGAGTACCTACCACTTGATGTCTTGATGCACATACCCATTGTGAAATAATCACCACAATCAGGCTAACTAACATATCAATCAACTCACAGAGTTACCATTTTGAGGGGTGTGTGTTTGTGTGTGTGATTGTGTGTGTGAGTCGAGAATACTTAAGAAGCTGTTCCGTGCTAAGTGCGTGCCTTCTTAGCAAATCTCAAGTATTTCAGCATTGTTAACTATAGTCACGTGCTGTACCTTAGATCTCCAGAACTTATTCATCCTGAATTGAAACTTTGTACCCTTTGAGCAACATCTCCCCATTTCCCCTCCTCCCAGCCCCTGCAACCACCCTTCCACTCTCAGCTTCTATGAGTTTCACTATTTTAGCTCCCACATGTAAGTGAGATCATGCAGTATTTCTTTCCGTGCCTGCTTTATTGCACTTAACCTAATGCCCTTCAGATTCATCCATGTTGTCATGGCAGTATTTCCCTTTTTTAAAAGACTGGATAATATTCTGTTGTGTATACATACTACATTTCTTTTATTGAGACAAACTCTCACCCTGTCACCCAGGCTGGAGTGCAGTGGCGGGATCTCGGCTCACTGCGACCTCCGCCACCCAGGTTCAAGTGATATTCCTGCCTCAGCTTCCCAAGTAGCTGGGATTACAGGCATGCACCACCACGCCCAGCTAATTTTTGTATTTTTACTAGAGACAGAGTTTCTCCATGTTGGCCAGGCTGGTCTCGAACTCCTGGCCTCAAGCGATCTGCCCACCTCAGCCTCCCAAAGTGCTGTGATTACAGGCCTGAGCCACCCCACCCAGCCATACTACATTTTCTGTATCCATTCATCCATCGGTGGACATTTAGATTGTTTCGACATTTGAAAGTGCCTTCCTTTGTCCCTGCCTCTGCTTCTCCTGTTGCCACAGATATTCCCATCCTCTGTGCCCTGCTGTGTCCCTTCACCTTTCCAAATCCTTTCCTGTTCAATCCAGACTTGGATGGAGGGGCCCCTTCTCTGAACTTCCAGTAACTTTCCAGGGTCAGATGTCACTTGCCCTGAAGTCATATACTTTGCCCTATGGCTTTGTTATTTGCACCTGCACATCCATCTTTCCCCAACCACACTCTCCAGAATGCCATTTCCATCATATGCCCCACAGCAGTAATGCAATGATTCAACAGATTCATTTCATGAATAGATTCATTCTCAGGGGATTGCATCAAGTAAGTTCCTCTCATATTCCTTTTGGGAGCTTTGCATACATATATCAGTCTCCAATTGAAATAAGTGAATTTCTTACCTTTTAAGGGTCATTGCTGGCCTCAGGGAAGCACTCAGAGTGATCAGGCTACCAGATAATCGACATGATTATTTGGAGAGGTTATGTGACGTGCACAGACTAGAAAGCTAGAAAATCCAATTCTGTCACTCATCTGCCCCTAATGAATTGTGAGGTCTGGGGTATTGTGGTTCTTCTCTGGCCTGTGCTTTGACCACAGTTTCTCTCGATTCTTAGTAGTAAACCACATGATGATCAGCTAAAACAGCTTAAAGCATCAGCAACGTCAGCATGTTCTGAACAGTATTATTAATGCTTTGCCCTGTCCTCCTAAAATATTCCTCTGATCCTTATATTTTCTAGTACAAATGACAGGAGGCATCTCTATCTTATTTATAGCTCTAAATAAATTGGTATGAGCATCAACCAAACATATTTATTTTATTTCCCAAGAAATACACCACCAGAAAATGTCAAGGAAATGATCTTTGAAAAATGCACATCTGAATGCAATATGAAATATTTAAGGGAATCGCTGTGCTTTTGGCTTCCATTTTCTGTTAGATTATTCTACAGGCTCTTGTAAAAGTCAAGTCAGTGCTTTTAAAGGCAGAATGTGGCTGCAAGTTAAGAAAAGCCTTCAAAGCCCTGGGTTCTTGATTTCCCTTTTACTTTCAGCATTTTGCCTTGAATGAACGACCTCAAATAACTTAGATATTCAAAAATTGATGAATGGCACTTAGCAAGGTACAACTCAAATAAAGATGATGAGAACTAAGTCAGCCACCAGTGGCCTGAAAATTCATGGCAGCAGCATGCTTCCTGTGGAGGCATCTCTTCGTGACATTTTCAAAGGGTTCTTCCCATCCATCCACTTTCCCAAAATCCTCTGCAATTTAAGGAATATCTCCCACACTGGCCTGTGGTGTTAAACCAGCAAATCATGTTGGGTGAGCAAAAAGAACTCAAGAATAGAAGCTTACTCTTTAAATATCCCCCTAAATCCATTCAATTGAGTTGGCTGGGAAGCAAATACTCACATAGATTAATGCATTTAATCCTCCAACAACTCTGTAAGGCAACGACTATTTTACCCCCATTCCAAGATAAATAAATGGAAGCACAGAGAGTTGGAATAATTTGCTCAGCAGTCACACAGCCAGGAAGTGGCCAAGCCAGAATGGGACTCAGCTGGCCCCAGGGCCTGGGGTGTCCAGGCCCCATGCTACACTGTCCCCACCAACATGTTCACTCCACATGTGCTGATATTGGTCTCGCACATGATGAGTTACATGAAAATTTTGGTGAACTGAAGGTTATCAAATTCATTAGTAAATTGCATTGGTACAAATGGCTGTGGCCTAGGGAAGAAGGGTAAAGCCCATAAGAAATGAAGACTTGCTCAGGATCTATAAAAGTAACCCCAGGAAAACATGGCAAGACCAAATCCTGTTGTCTAAGCAGGCAAGGGAGGCCTCTACAGACAAACCTGAAGAAAGATCCACTGCTCAGGCAGCACCTTATCACAGCTCTGGGATGGCCAGTCGGGGGCCGCTATGGAGGACAAGCCTGGACAACAGTTTTGGACAGCTGTAGATAGTCTAAATCCAACATACATATAGCCACCTCGACAGACTGTCTCTGGTTAGCTGGGTAACTGAGGCTCCTATGCCAAGACCTTCCACACTGGCTTCTTATCACTGGACCATTGAAGTCAATATCTCTGCACTCACTAGCTACTGACCTTGAGAAAATTTAGTAACTTTTTGGGGCCCCAGTTTCCTTATCTGAAAGATGAGGCTAAGAAGACAGCTCCACTGGATTATTATGAGGAGTAGATGAGACAACCCAGAAAAGGTGTCTTATTAGCATAAAGTACTTGGAACAGTGATGTGCCCCACATAACAGCTGCTGCTGTTAGCACTGAGGTCACCTACAGCAGCAAAGGGAGCTGCAATCATAGGCTCCACTCCCCCTTTGCCATCTTTTGTTAACTGCCTTGTCTAGACTTCACTTTTAAATACTCCAGATATACAGTGCCATATGAAGTGTGCTGCAGGTGTCCTCACTGAGAATTCAGAGCCCATAGTAGACCCTGAAGTTCTATTCAGGAGCCCAGACGTGGGGCAGCTACTATGAGCACTCTTGTTATTAAAAAAGCTCTGTTGAATATCAAAAATGGTTTGATATCAGAAACACCAGAAATGAGCTATAATTGGTGACATTAAAAGTATTCAAACCATATGGTTTCTTAGTCCATTTCAGCTTCTATAACAACCTACCTTAGACTGGGTAATTTATAAACAACAGAAATTTATTGCTCACAGTTCTAGAGGCTGGGAAGTTCAAGATCAAGATGCTGGCAGATTCAGTGTCTGGCGAGGGCCTGTCTGGCATAATCGGTGGCTTGTTGCTGCAGAAAAGGTCAAATAGCTCCCTCAAGCCTCTTTTATGAGAGCATCCATCCCATCCATGAAAGCTCCACCCTCAGGACCTCATCACCTCCCAATGGCCCCACCTGTTACTACTACTGCATTGGAGATCAGGTTTCAACATGTTAATTTTGGGGAGAGGACATCAACATTCAAACCATAGCATAAGGATTGGTTAAAATATTCAAGAAATCTTCTCTACCCTTTGCAAGAAGTATCTAATAATGCCCAGACCCTTTTCCTTGGTGGAGATGTGTTATATAGCCTTATAAAATAGCCTAATAGGCTATTACATAAGGACTTTAGGTCCTTAAATTCGGAGGATCTCGTATGCCTGATGCCAGCTCTAGGGGTGACAGAATCTGTTTCCACAGCCTTGGCACTGCCTTCTGGCTCCCTCTCCTCAGTGGAACTCTGAGCACCTAAGAGACAGGGACCTGGACTTCATTAAGCTTACAGCACAGGTTGATGAGCACTTTGGGGCCTGCCAGCAAATTAATGTTCCTTTAATAAATGTTTTGTGTGAGCTGAAGCTGCTTTGAGAGTTGCTGTCACAAAAATTGAGGAGCAAAGAGTCAAGGGATGAGCCAGGTTTCACCTGCTTCAAACTTCCTTAGCTACTTCTTGAACCTATCAAAAAGAAACCAAGAGGTGTATGTGACCAAATTGGCTTGGGTACGTGACCAATTGACTTTTTCAGTGTGCCTGTGCCATAAGCTTCAAAAAGGAAGATGCAAGGCAAGTTTCCTCTGCTTAGTAGCCTCTCAGGGTAAAGAGAGCTGTAGCTACCCCCACGGATTAGCAGGCAAAAGCCACCAAGGTCAGGAGATCATAGTCAAGGTCATACCATGAGGAGGTGGACAGGACGAGAAAAGATTCAAGTAAGTAGTTGTTTCTCCCTGGTTGCCGTGAACATTAAGCGGCCAACTTGAAATAAGCTCTTTTTCTCTCCCCACAGCAAATATAATCCAAAATCCCCGTTAGAGGCAAATACGAGTATCTGAATTCAGATTTCCAGGTCCCCGGCTTGGAGAAGGGCAGCATGGGTCTTTATCAGAATCCAGCTTCGGGATTTCCTGGACTTTAAGGATGCTTGCTTCAACCAAATGCCCTGGGTGGCCCCTTTATATTGAAGAACCCGTCTTTGACTCCATCCTGACCTGCTCTCCTTATACTGGGAAGTGTGCGTATAAACGTACCATTTCATGAAAATAGCATGTGTCACCAAATGAGGGTTCCAGAGAGTCAGCAGCGTGCATTCATCCAAGAACATTGGCCTGAGAAACCCTGGCCACCATCTGCCAGAAACTTGAGACCAAGAGCTCATGGAAAACAGAAACTGCTGCTCTGTTCAGCCTCTGTAAAGTGCTCAGTGGTGCCAATGGTTCAGCAGGCTCAGAAGACTATGACATGGGGTGGGGACACAGGTGAGGACATCTCTGTCATTTGAACAAATTTCCAAATCCCAAATCCTGAGCAGAAGTGCAGAGCTGAATGTGCATAATGTGCATGTCAGTTGATCGGGGAAAATGCACTTCCTCTATTTAGATTCTCTGAAAATGACCTCAAAAGACATGAGCTTAGTTACAGCTCAGCGATGCTCGTTGCCACAACAAGAAAGCCCAGACTCAGTGCAGCAGCTTAACAGCAAAAAGGTCTCTTTGTTCATGGAGTCCGGTGGGCCATCAGTGCTCCTACATCCTGCAGCCATATGTACCATCTGGGGCAAGTGTCAGGTGAGGTTGCCACAGCCAGAGAAGAGAGGACAAGAGGGTCACTCGGGATGGTTTTAAGAGCTGGGCTTAATCACTTTTGCCCACACCTCTGGCCAGCCCCATCACTCATCCTGCCTGGAAGGAAGCCTGGGAAATGTGGGGGATGCCACAGGTAAGCGGGGAACCCACAGGTAAGCAGGAAGATGTTATAGTGTCTACCCCAAGAGGTAAGCCACTCTGGATGTGATGTGTGTACAGGACCTATCACAAAGCCCTGAGCCCCAAATCCTCCTCCCTGCTCACATCCTCACCTGCCACAGATTCCTTCTCTGTAGGATAAGAGACATTTGGGAATTCATGATACTCCTTCTGGACTAGACATGCCACCTGGAATGGATGAAACCTGTTTTCATAATTAATACCATTTCAAGGTGCTGGCATGTGAGCAGGAATGATAAAACTCTAGAAATTCTTCATGACCGATGTCAGAGTCCAGGAGGTACAGGTGAGTTACGAAAACCAAGAAGAGGTAGATTGAGAACCGAAAATGAGTATGAGCCCAAGTCAGGGTCAAGAAAAGGAATGAGCTGCTAAGCCCTCGGGGTGGCAGCAGGTGGTGGAGAGATGGCAAGAAGCTGTGGGAGGTGAGCACAGGGCCAGAAGCAGGGAAGAAGCAATCGAAGAGAGAAGCAGCACAAGGTGGCCAGAGGCACAGGAAGAAGGGGCTGCCTGCTGATCTGAGCAGAGGTCCTTGAGTATCATTACTGAGGACCCAATGGAGGACTCCGGAGGACCATGGGTGAATGGGAGGTGAGGGAGGCAGGGGAAGGGGCTACTTGTGCCTCCAACCAGAAATTGAGAGACCCCCAAGTATGTGGGCTCTACTCGAACTCCTCTGACCTCCCACAAGCTGAGCCCTGCCCCCCCACAAGCTGAGCCCTGCCCCCCCACAAGCTGAGCCCTGCCCCCCCACAAGCTGAGCCCTGCCCCCCGAGGCCAATTCCTAAGCCTGTTCACACCCCACTGCCTTCGCTGGCCTCCATGAATTTCACCCTTTTTTGGCCCAAAAGAAAAATAATAATAATTTACCAGAATCCTCCTTCTTAGCTAGTTCCTGGGCTCATAGTTCTGGCCTGGTCCTCTCTCTGTTCTGGTATCATCCACAACCTGCCATAAGAGTGAGGTTTATTTTATTTATTTGTTTATTTATTTATTTATATTTGACTGCCTAGGGTATGGGTCTTAAGCCCGACCTTTCCAAACATGTTCCTTTCCTCAGTCCAGGATCTTAAATCTTTCTTAAACCACTTCAAGAAAGTGGTCTGTTTCCTCTTCTGCCTATATTACTATACATATTAAAGACAGTCCTGATTCTCAGCATGAGAACATTTATCTCTATAGGTCACTTTTTCAAAAAGGTTAAAGCAATTGAAAAAAGCCTTTTCCTTGATATCAAAGCCATAGACTTAGATGATTTTTTAAGCCTAAGAAAGCCCTCTCTAAAAAAAAAATTAAAAATACAAAAGAAGAATTTCCTAAAAAGAAAAATACCTGCTGATTTTTCTTAGCCCAGAAAATTATTAGTTCACAAGGTGAATTTCCCCGTGAATAAACTCAAACGTGGATGGGGAAATAAATCATTTGACTATCCACAATTTTTCTTTGTAACCGTCATCTTGTTGAAAAAGGCCATTATTTTTTGTGCTAACGGAAGTGCCTTGCTAGGTAAAATGTATACACTATCTCAAATGTATAGAAAGATTCATCTTTCCAGTGCATTTACTTCTGTTAGCTAATAAATTCCGGCAGAAGTGCTACAAATTACATTACAGGTATAAATACCAGCATGTCAGTGGTGTGATTATTAAGACACCTGACTTGAGTTCACCCTTCAATGACCTTGACATTATCTTGGTCCCTCTTGCCTGCATATACTGCGCCAAATGAACCACCAGGGATGGGCCATTCCTTGATAAACACATGTCCCAGAGTTTCTATATTTTTTTCCCCTACACTACATGTTTTTAAAAATGTTTTTTTAAAGCTGTCCTCTTTTATTTTGGAAAATATGTCCATCAGAGCTATAGCCAGATCTGGTATCAGCTCTCCCTGCCTGCAGCCATTCCACTGGGCACATGCCCATTGCTATACCAGCTGTTAAGTGGCTTGAACAGACCTCCGGCTACAGCTGCTTTAGCACTCATTTCCACACACACCCTCTGCTCCCCTCTTCTCCTTGATCCCCTCCAGCCTGGCTTCCACATCCAATGCTCCATTTGGACTGCTCATTCAAGATCAGCAGGGACCTTCATGTCCTCACAGGCATGGAAGGTTTGGAGTCATTATCCTGAACAACAGCCAGCGGTAGGACAGTGCATCTCACTCCCTCTTTCTCCAAGTTACTCTTATTTTCTCGGATGCCACCTTCCTCTGGTTTGGCTTCTGCCACTCCAGCCCCTCCTCTGGGAGCTCCTCCCGCAAACCTGTCCTTGAACGTTTTGTTTCTCAGAGCTCTTCTCTTCTGCCTCCCCTACACAGCCTTATCAACTGTGACTCTCAGAGGATCATCTCTTGGGGTCAGTCAACAAATCTGAGTGAATGTCCCTCAGGAAGCTCAAACTCTATGAGTCCAAAATGGAACTCGACATCATTCTGCAATATTATTCATGTTATTCCAGCTGCTACTGAAGAAGAGAGCGCCCTGTCTAGTGCACCCTGGAAATGGTACCCAAAATGTTTGGCTTGCTCAGGCAAAAATGTGAACATCTTCCTTGCCACCTCCCTCCTATTTCACTTCAAGTAAGTGCCCTGCATCTGCCTCTTCAGCATATGGGTTTGCTTTGGCCACTCCCATCCTCACCACACTGCTCCGAAGGCCTCTCTTGCCCCTCCCAGCCCATCAGCCTCAATGACCTCCATGCCCTAGTTCATTCTCCTCCAATCTCACCTCAACACTGCAGCTGGACTGAACTTCCCAGAACTTAAATCTGATCTGTCACTCCACTGCTTTAAGACTTTCAAATGAGTCTTCGATATTTTTTAGGGTCTTTAGGATGAAATCTGAACTCTTAACTAACTCAGGCACTCCCAGTGGAGGAGCCTGTGTACTTCTGTAGCCTCGTCTCTCTGCTCTTCTCCTGGCATCCTCTGATGGGCAGGACCACGCCCCACTACCCTCTCGCTGTCTCCAAATTTTACACAAGCTGCTCCATCTGCCTCGAAACAATGCCGCTGCCTCTGCGCCCCCTCTCCTGACACCCACTCATTCAGGTGCACCCATGGGACCAGCTCCCACTACCCCTCCAGTTGTGGTTGAAGAAATATTTCGCTTTGGGAGAAGTTTCCTGACCTCATGGCTGAGATGGGTCTTCCTGTGGTGGGTTCCCTTGGCACCTTTGCTCCCCCATCAACATAATCATCATACCTTAATTTTTTTCCTGAATTGTATTTTTTTTTCCCGCTAAACCTTAAGAACTACTTTGGCCACAGAGCTACTTTGATTCATTCCCTGCTATATCTCCAGGACAAAACAGACACTGGGTAAGAGTAGGCACTAAATAAATATTGAACAAATAGAAGAAGGAATGAATGAAAAGGGAAATTAAACCTCACCTCCTCCATAAAGCCCGACCCATTACTTCCGCCCACACGAGGGTCTCTCCAGCCTAGCACTATCAGTATTTTGAGCAGGACAATTGTTTATTTTGGAAGGCTGTCCTGTACATCATAGGATGTTTAACAGCATCCTTAAATACCAGTAGTACAAGCCTCCCTGCAAGTTGTGACAGTCAGAAGTATTTCCAGATGGTGAGCCATGAGATGTGAGAACCATTGGCCCTCACTGGCCCCCCTCCCTTCTCTGACCCTCTTCACTGCCCCTTGCAGTCATCACCATCTGTTATCACATGGTTTTTCTTTGCCAGGGCCATGTACAAGTAGTCTTGTCACCCCAAAAGGAGGAAATCCTCCTTGAAAACAGGGCTCTGTCCTCTTGGCATCCCGTGTAACAGCTCATGCAGGACTGATTGTAGCAAACAGGATTGGCCTGTGTGGCCCTCCGTGGAAAGGGGGAACACCAACGTGGCCACATTGTACGTGAAATTCTGACTCTCTAGGCTAAGTCTGTCCTTTCTGTACAAATATCCTTAACATCTCAACATTGGAAAACAGCCTTATTGCAAGCTGCTACTGAATTCTTGATCGCATACAGTGCTGTTCTGTGTGCTTCGTAAAGAGGATTTAAAACATTGCAGAGTGAATAATCTCTTCATCTGGAATTCATTAAACTCTCATTTTCTAAAAATTCAACAACGTCAGCTGAACCCATAGCAAGCTGCCCATGCCTCAGTGGTCACTTGCTTGGAATGCCGCTTCCTCCCGGTAACTCAGTTTCACCGCCTGGCACATTCAGGACATAACCGAAGGAACTGGAGCCAATTTGCCCTTGACCCTGTAGCATGACATTTGACTTCCCTTAAACTATCTTAGATGTCTCCTGTGCTCTTTAAATAAATTATGATGATAATTAATATCAGCCAAAAAAATCAATGGTTAAAAATTAATTATTTATATTAAATATTTAGCAAGTATTCATATACTAAAGGTGATTTAGCACTGTAGTAGTCCTTAAAAACAATCCAAACATGCCATTTCCTATCATTAGAAAATTACATTTGTATTTAGAAAATCATCTTGATAAATAAATGTGCACACAGTAAAAACGGGAAAAAAAACACAGTTTACCTTCATCGTGTGCATATTCTCAAATCTACAATAAGTCAGTAAGTTCAACAAAGCCTTTTCTGTGAGTTCAGCCATGCAGAAAGAACACCTCTCAAAGTTGTGACTCTGCTCTGAGCCTGTTTCTGCCACAGTCACCCTGTGAGCTTGAGAACATTTTCCTATACATCTCCCTGGGCCTCAGTTTACTCATGTTTAAAATGGGGAGAAAGGGCCAGGCGCAATGGCTCACGCCTGTAATCCCAGCACTTTGGGAGGCCAAGGCAGGAGGATCACTTGAGCCCAGGAGTTCAAGACCAGCCTGGGCAACATAGGGAGACTCCATCTCTACAAAAAATAATTATTTTTAAAAAATTAGCTGGACATGGTGGTGCATGCCTGTGGTCCCAGCCACTCGGGAAGTTGAGGCAGGAGGATCACTTGAGCCAAAGAGTTGAAGCTACAGTGATCCATGATGTGCCACTGCACTCCAGCCAGGTAACAGAGCAAGACCCTGTCTCTGAAAATAAATAAATAAAATTAAAAAAAAAATAAACTGAGGACAAAAATTCCACATGAAAACCCAAGGTCCCTTTTGGAACTAAAATTTCATAGTTTTGAGCAAATCCCATGACACTCTTATTTATCCCCAAATTGACTTTTCTGTTCCTTATTAATTGACAAGTGACAAAATTGGTAAAATCATATCTACACTGTCCTGGAATTAAATGGCACAAAAGAGAAATCCATCATTTTGGCATAGGGACAAGTTTCCTGGACTCAGAAGTTAGCAACGAGGGGCTTACATAGAAATATTTACATAGCAGAAAGCTCCAGATCAGCAGACTTAAAAGAAAATATGCAGACATTCAGAAATAAAGGACGATAGAAAATAAGGTTGCAAGATGGAAGTAAGCTATTGTGAATAGTGCTGCAATAAACATACGTGTGCATGTGTCTTTACAGCAGCATGATTTATAGTCCTTTGGGTATATACCCAGTAATGGGATGGCTGGGTCAAATGGTATTTCTAGTTCTAGATCCCTGAGGAATCGCCACACTGACTTCCACAAGGGTTGAACTAGTTTACAGTCCCACCAACAGTGTAAAAGTGTTCCTATTTCTCCACATCCTCTCCAGTACCTGTTGTTTCCTGACTTTTTAATGATTAATGGGTGCAGCACACCAGCATGGCACAGGCATACATATGTAACTAACCTGCATATTGTGCACATGTACCCTAAAACTTAAAGTATAATAATAATAAAATTAAAAAAAAAAAGATGGAAGTAAGCAATAACTGTGAAACTCAGAGAACACATCCCCAAGAAAGGACCTGGCACCATCTTTGTTGTTCTCTTTGATGTGGTTGTTCCAAATTCAGGAATTCACTTTGGTAAACTTTCTCTTGGAGGGTTTCCTCCCTTTCCCAGCTCTCTCCAATGAGCATGGAAAATGACCACGGACAAACCTGAGCGTAGTATGTATTATAGAAGCAAGAAGTAGAAAATGCACTAATGAGCCAACCAGTGGATCAACTCCACATTTCTACAGTTATTAAGGCAGTGACATCAGTCAAGGCTCATTTACAGGAAGCAGAAACTAGTCTAGCTATTTTAAGCAGAACAAGACAAGGCAGGGAACTAAGTACCTATAAAATTGTCAGAAGGTTTGGAAGAGTGAGCTGGGCCTCCAGGAATAACTCCCGGAACCAGGGGCCAAACTGACCCTCGGAGGCCAGTTAGAAATACAGGAGTTAAAAGTGCAGCCCTAGTACAACTCGCCACAGGGAATATTGGCTCCTCCTGCGCCAAGCTGGGGACAGAAATCACAATACTGAGTTCCTCTGCCTTCAAACGAGCGATGCCCAAACACTGCACCGGCTGCCAACACTGCTGTGAAGTCTGCACCATCCAGCAGCTAAACCCTGTCATCTCCATGACCCTACTTGACAGCAGCAACAGCCAAAGCACAAGAATGAGTGTCCCTCTGAACCTGCACTTCCAAATCTCAGCAAGCCGCCTCTGAAGGCTGGAACCCAATTCACATTCATAACCAGAGTTGCAAGGGAGACTGGCAATGTGATGGTTTGCCTCCAGACTCTGCGGTAAAGGAAAGCTCATTCTGTAATGGAAAGAAGCTGGAATTCACATTGAGTTCCAGTCCACCATATCCACCAGAGTTGAGATGGAAGACGCAAGTAAAGTCCCCCATAAGATCCTAAAAGCAGTCACAAAGCTACTGTCCAACAAATCTCAACTGAGTTATAAGACTTCTCCAGGTCGACTTTTATCACTTTACCTCAAGGAAGACATAACATTTTGGGATCAATATTTTATAGATTTGCATATGCTATAAAAGTCTTAGCTCTTATATACTCCCTGTACAATGTTTAAGTGATTTTCCATAAGATGAAGAGGTAATAAAATAGAAGGAAGTCTGTGACTTTATTCACTCACTTATACATTTACCAGCCTGCTATAAATATTAGACCCAGGTGCTGGACCAGACATGGAGATGCCAAGGAGAAGGAGTCATGGGTTAAGATCACTCGCTTTAGCAGGAATCATTTCCAGTACAAGTCCCATTTCTGCCACTTACCAGCTATGCTACCTTGGGCAAGTTCTTAATCTGTTCTATGACTCAGTTTATCCACTTATCAGGTGAGAATAATGATACACTCTTTAGGAGGCTGTCACCCAAGGGTTAACTGAGATAATATGTATTACTTTTAGTATAGTGATTTGACCATATATTAGTCAGGGTTTGCAGAGAAACAGAACCAATAGACTATGTGTATAAATATATATACAGAGAGATTTATTTTAAAGAACTAGATAATACAATTGTGGGAGCTGGCTAGTCCAACATCTGCAGGATAGGGTGGGAGGCTGGAGACCCAGGAAAGAGCTGATCTTGCAGCTTGAGTCGAAGGCAGTCTGGTGACAGATTCCCTCCTCCTCTGGGAGGTCTGTCTTTTCTCAAGATCTTCAGCTGATTGGATGAAGCTCATCCACATTATGGAGGGCAATCTGCTTTAATCTAGGCCTACTGATTTAAACGTTAATCGCATCCAAAAAACAGCTTTACCGCAACATCCAGACTTATTTGATCACATATCTGGGTACCATGGCCCAGTCAAGTTGACACAGAAAATTAACCTTCAGAGTCCATTAGGAGCATTCAGAAAATGATGCTGTTGTGATTAAGCTATAATCAAAGACTTGAAGGAGTTTGCATCTAGTGGTAAAGATAGATAATCACAGTGCCATGTGATCAGTTCTATGAAACAGATGTTTGGGAGACCATGGGTACAGGCAACAGGGTGTATGTAGAAAAAAGAATGCCAGGGAGGGCTCTGAGAGGTAGGAAAGAAGGCTTATGTTGCAGGCTCTGGGATGGCCTCTGCCGATGCAGATGTCTCAAGAGTAAGAAGAAAATCCTATGTGGACACCAGAAAGACCAGAGATGTCCAGTTCCCCCTCACCAGGCCTAAGCACGTTAGGGTTCAGTGAAAATATCTTCCTTAAATTGGGAGGGTCCCCCACCGGTCTAGGTGGGGGTGAGTATTCAAGGTAGCCACAGGCAGCAGAGGTGGGGATGAAGAGTCAGAGTCATGGTCAGGAGGTGGTGAGGTCATGGTGGGGAAAAAAAGCAGGGCATTAAGCCCAAGGGAAAGAACAGACACCAGACCTCAAGCTTCCAGTCAGGAGATGGGACAGTCAACATGGAAAATAAGGAGTGAGGACAGGAGAAGGGAAAGCTTAGAATTCAACTGCAAACGCAAGCTTGTGCAAAACACTGCCCCGCCCCCACTCCTCCGCATTTACAGCCATGGCATTTATAGCCAGGTAGCACTAGAGCAGCAGTGGACTATAAGGGACCATGTGGAAAGGGACAAGTGGAATCACAAGCCCCTGGTGCCAACAAATGATTGACCATTGTTGGTACTAGAGCTTTGACCCCTGAAAGAATCCATTTGCCTGTGCACCATGGAGGCACAAAGTCCAGAAGCCAACGGCCTTGTCATGACGCTTTCCCAAAGAGCCATCCTTTCCTAGCCGCCTCGACCCACAACACCCAAGGGGTACAGATGTCCTCATCTCCAGTCATTTACCCCAGCCTGGTCCATTCCCAGTGAGGTTAAGGTTCACATTTAAGCCAAAATTTCCAGATGCATTTCTTATATCCTTGAGCCGTAAAAATTGAGTGCTTGGTCCAGGTTACATCCTGGGTGCTCAGAATGTTTTGCTGCCAACCATTTGGCCCAAGTCTCAAAGGCGTTCCTCCAGAGTGGAGATGCTAATAGGTTTTGAGCGAGTGAAAAACATTTGACAACAAACTGAAACTTGAACATATTGATATCTCCATCACTGACAGCAAGAGCCGGAGAGAGACAAGCGGGATTCATCTTGATTGGCGTGTGGCAACAATAGTGCATAGCCTCCAAGTTCTCCCGGAGCCATGTGTGCTGCCAATTGTAAAAGGGAGAAGGATGACAAGTGGACGGAGTCCTTTGAGATTGTTTTCCAACATAAACTGATAAAAAGGCCCACTGGGCATTGATGTTAGAAAGACTCAAGATAGTTAAACCTAAAAAAAGAGTCTAATGCAAAATCTTTTACCTGACGTCTCCTATATTTTTTACCCTTCTGCAAATTTTAGGTGGGTACGTGAATCATTTAAAGCCATTTCTGTCTTTTCTAAACTTCCAATTATACCACCCACAGCACCAAATGGAAGGGGAATTGTAATCAATTTTTTAACTAAATTCATGTAAAATAAAATTAGACCCAAAGGATCTGAATAACAAAGCCATTTTATTCAACCAAGAAATCAGATTTTGACAGCCAAGGTTTTTTTTTTAAAATCGAATCTATTTTCCAGAGAATTTATTCAAAATGCTCACCAGATACCACCAGGCACTGTAACAGAACTACAACTAACCCACTGTTCTCATATGGGTCATATTTGTAATGGGAAATAACACATTAGATAGATGGTGACATGGGTTATTCTCCCAGCGTGGGCACCAAGGAGCTGTACATCCTGAGAAAGTCACTTCATCTCTAAGCTTTGTTTCTGTACCTGTGAAATAAGGTGCTAAAGTTGATGCAACGATGACCCAATTCTTTACCCCTCTTATATGCTCACCCTTTAACAAGTAACTTACTAATGCCCCCCACTCTGACCCTAGGCTCAGCCACATGATTTCGGTCAATAGAATACAACAGAAACAATGCCCCAGTTCCCAGCCTAGGCTGAGTCCTTGCAGGTTTCTACTTACTTTCTTGAGCCTCTGCCATTGCCATGGGAAAGACAACCCTGGTCCAGCTCCCTGAGTCCTGAGAAGGAAGAGAGACAGGTAGAGCAAAGATGAGTCTCCCAGCTGAGACTCTCCAGCCAAATCCAGTCAACTCTCATTCCACATCAGCAAATGCAGCAGAGATCAGTAGAGCCACCCAGCTAAGCCATCCATGAAAATAAATAACTCAGGATGGATTGTTATACAACAAAACCTAAGTTGCACAGGACAATACAACCCACTCCAACTATCTTACTAGCGTGTTGGGAAGATCAACTGCAAATATATATATATATAATGCGTATATATATGTATATATATGCATACATATATACATATATGTATACATATATATACATACATATATGTATACATATATATGTGTATATATACACATACATACACTCGAAAGACTGCAAATCTGCCTCCCAGCCATAAGGAAGACCACATGCTCTGTAACCCATATGCCCTATTCCTGCATCTTGAGCGGTCTTTCCAGGTGGACCCTCCATTCTGAAATTAACTTCCTTGGAGGCTCAATTTCTATATGACACCTTATAAATATATTCTGCCTTTCTGCTCAGTCCCTTTAGATTCTGGTAGACAGCATGCTTCACTCATTCTTCTAACCCACCCCATCTCTTTCCCAACCAAAAAAAAGAAATTTTTTAACATCTCCCTTGGCTTCATGTTCTGCGGAATCTAGGGCCAGACAGTCCTCCTCCTCCTGAATCCACCTGCTTCCTGTACCCTCATCGGTTATTCTCCAGTCATGACTTAATCTGGGAGGGGACTCAAACATATGGTATATCATTATTACAAAAGGTCACAGCAAAATTAACTTTATGCCAGAGAAACTGTTTATTCTACTAATTGTCACTTAGATGGCTTATTGAATATTGGGTAGCTTAGTAAACAAACCCTTTCCCAAGGCTACTTAAATGTATGCTTCTTCTTGCTTTGTGCTGGGTTAAATGGAACCATAGTTAGCAGAGTAGAGAGTTGCTTTCCTTCAGGGTGGGCTCAGAACATGCCTGGAATGCTACCTTCCCTGGCACCCAATTTGGAGACAGGTAAGGGAAGGCTAACGGCTGTCCTGGGGTAAATGCTGTGCCCTTCATTGGTAAATTGTAGGGGTCCATGCCCTGACTAGCGAGGGACACCTGAAGGAAAACTGGCACCCAAGGCACAGCCACCAGCATAGAAACCAAGAAGGTTGTTGTGGGAAGGAGCAGCATATCCTACCACAGTTACTGACCACAGCCTGACCTGCTGCCAACTGAAGCACGGGAGAAACGGAATATCCAAGCAGCACTGGCACAGCTGATTATCTCTCCTTACTCAGCCTGTCTCCAGGATACAGGAGTGGAGCTGTGGTCAATGGACAGCTTGAAAAATAGATGATCTCTGTCCTAGATCCTTGGCTACGGGGCCAAATACTTATTACCCCAAGAGGTAATACGCAAGCCCACCTAAAATAAGCCAAGCAATACCTGTGAAAGACCATTGGTACCTGTGGGTGTCATTAGATAATATGGAGACTAGGAACATGAACCCTGAAGTAGCAAAAAAGGAATCAAAAGGAACAGCTGACAAAGGAACAAAGACCCAGGACCCACAAGAAAGGCAGAATTTCTTCCAGTAAAGGAAAATACTCTAAGTGCTTTTAAGACTTTTTAATTATCAGTTCACAGGCATCTGCTGAATGCCTGTTACAGGCCCATCACAAAGGCTAGGAGGAATACAAAGAAAATCAAGATATACTATCTGCCTCAGAAGATTATAAAACTGGTGTAAAATTTCTTACTAAAGCACAAGAAACAATAGCTAAGAATAACACAACGCAATATAATTATACGTCAGTTGTTCTCAATTTCCTGTGCAATTGAGAATCACTTAGGAGGCTTGTTAAATGTGTATTATATATATTTTATATATATATATATGAGATATATATATACGTGAAACATATATATGTCATATATATGTGTGTGTGTGTGTGTATATATATATATTACTGAAGCCAAAGTGCACCAAACCTCATACATCAGGATCTGCAGGAGCTGCCTAGGGACCACGATGCACACCTGGTTAGGGGACCCTGGGATGCACACAGTGCTCTGAGAATTCAGAGGAGATGGAGTCAATGGAACATCCTGGACTACTTGGAAACAGCAGCTACTCTAGACATCAGTGCTGCTCCCACAGGGAGAAGACTGACTCCCAAATCCAGCAAGGAAATGCTGGATCATGGGCCTGGCACACTAGGTGTTACATTTTAAGATAATGCTAAAATTACTTAACTCCTGTTTTCCAAGGCTGGCCTTGAGACTTTCAGAAGATGATGTTCACGCAATTTGCCCATGGCTCAAAGTAACAAGGTGTCAGATCACTAACAAGTGATCTGAAAGCTCCCTATCAGCTCAGAAAGAACGACATTCCTAAAAAGCATTCAACTATTTCAAACTATTGCTTAAGGCTACCTGGTGGACTTTGTGCTGTCAAAGATCCCTTCCACCTCAAATAGAAAGCTCCCCAAAATACATTTCTCTTCTGGTAAGTTATTATCAATAGGTGGGACCTGAGCAGTCTGATATCTTTCTGGCCTTGTATGAGTCACTGTGCAGAAGTACAGATTAAACTAAATGATGAAAGCTTTTATCAGATGATAAATGGGATCTCAAATAAGTACTCAGACAATACAACTGTACAATGGAAAATCCATACTTTAGTGTCCTAAAAGAGGCATGGCACTCTGCTTCAAATGTATTTTTAAAATAGGCATTCACCAAACAAATGCTGAGTGTCCCCTGTGCTTAGCACAGTATCAGGTGCAGGGGACACAGTGGAGAGCAACCAGACAAGGTCTTGCCCTGTGGTCCAGCGACCTAGTAAATGGAACCCCACCCAAGTTCTGAATGAGGAGGGAGGAGTGCCACTGGAAAGATGATGTGAAAATCATCCCAGAAACTGAGATCTTTCAAATCCAGGACACCTCCATCATTTCACTGTCTATGCCATCTTCCTTTTTCCTCCCAAATTACTTTCCAGAATAGTTGCCCTCACCCGCACCTCTCGCCAGCAGGACACAAAGAGTTCCCCATGTTCAAGTCAATGCTGATGTTTTCCAACTTCAAAATGTCTGACAGTTTGTTGATTATCTTGACTTAATTGGCATGTCTCTGATTGCTAATGAGATTGAGCATCTTTCCATATCCTGACAAGCATTTGGCTTTCCCCCCTGCAAATTTCCTACTCATGTCCTTTGCCTGTAGTTCTATTGGTTTCCTGCCTTTTTATATTATAGAAGCTAATCCTTTCTTGGTTGTGTGACTTACAAATACCTTCTCCCAGGGTATTAGTGCTGGCTGTGGTGTCCAGGGTAGGTACTCACTGCCCCTACCGGAAGGAGGATTACACACACACCTGACCCATTGATGAGAAGCTTGACCATGTGACTTGCTTTGGTCATTAAAATGTAAGCGGAAGTGATGTGATTTTTTTTTTTTAAGGAAAAGTGTTAAGGGCCATTTTATAAAACCACCGTGTAATTTAATTCAGAGAGAGCCTGCTCTTTCAGCCTGAATCCTGGAATAGAGACCCATGGAGCAGACCCATGGCCAGGCCACAGCCACCTCAGCAGAACTCAGCCTTTATTACCATAAGCCATGGAAATTTTGGTGTTTTTTGTTACCACAGAGAAGCTGAACAATTGAAAGACATACTGGAAGTGAGGTGCCAACACTAATAAAACACATGATAGGATTTAGGGCTGAGTAGCAGGTGGCAAGAAAATTGATATTAAAGGCTTTTTATGTAGTGGTGAAGCATTTGAAAAAAACTATTGCCTGTGATAACTAGAAGGCAAAAAATGTAACTAATAAACTTCTGGTTTCAGCAAAGAAATGGGAAAACAGACTGTGGATAACATTGGATATTTGCTAATGGCTGCATTTGACAAGACGCAGTAAGAAAGCAATAAGCTCACAAAAGAAATGGCCATTTTGCAAGAGGAATTCAAAGAGAGTTCAGAGAGGCCATAAATTTCAGGACTTGCAGGGTTAGAAAATGGAACTGTTTCTCATCTCCAATTGGCAAAAGATAAAACTGAGAAGACCTTGAGCTATGAAGTCCAATTAAGATTCATCCTTGGGGCAAAGATAAAGTCAAGTAGCCTTGTCAGCCCATTGTTAGAGCTCTAATTGGGCAGAAAGCGGGAGAGGAGATGAAGTATTGTAAGTGAACTAACTCCGCCATTCAGAAAAGGTGGAAATATTTGATGTCTTAAAATTAGTAATTCCATAAATAGCAACATAAGCATAGTATTCAGAAATATGGAGGTGTAATTGTTTCCCACTGCTGTGTAACAAATACCACAAACTTAGCTGCTTAAAGCAACATGTGCTTACTACCTCACAGTTTCCATGGTCAGGGACTTGGCATGGGTTAACTGGCTCTTTGACTCAGGATCACATCAGGCTAAATCGAGGGGTCAGCCAGGCCTGTGATCCCATCTGACACTTGGGGTCTTCTTCCAAATTCACTTCTTGTTGGCAAAATATAGTTCTTTTACAGTGGTAGAACTGAGGCCCTCAGCTCCCAGGAACTACCCACCACTCCCTGTCATGTGGTCCTCTCCACAAAATGGCATTTTGTTTTCTAAAGACTGGTAGAGAGGATCTCTGTTGCTTTGAATATCTCTGGCTTCCCCTGTCTCTTATCTCTAGACCTTCTTTTTTTTTTTTTTTTTTGAGACAGAGTCTTACTCTGTTGCCCAGGCTGGAGTGCAGTGGCATGATCTCGGCTCACTGCAACCTCTGTCCCCCAGGTTCAAGTGACTCTCATGCCTCAGCCCCCCAAGTAGCTGGGATTACAGGCACGTGCCACCACGCCCAGCTAATTTTTGTATTTTTAGTAGAGACAGGGTTTCACCATGGTGGCCAGGCTAGTCTTGAACTTCTGGCCTGAAGCAATCCACCCTCCTTGGCCCCCCAAAGTGCTGGGATTACAGGCGTGAGCCACCACACCAAATCTAGAGCCTCTAGACCCTGTTTGAAAGGGCTCATCTGATTAGGTCAGGCCCACTCAGGACAACCTCTTTCAATTAACTTAAAGTCAACTGATTAGGAACCTTAATTACCTCTGCAAAATCCCTTTACCTTTTCTATATAATGTAACTTCATCACAAAAGTGATATCCCAATCACATTGGCAAGTCCCACCCACACTCAAAGAGAGGGGATTAGACAGGCATGTCCACCATGTAGAGGAAATCCTGGGGCCATCTTAGAATTCTGTCTACCATGGAGGCAGTCACAGAATAAAAATTTTAAAGTGTTTTCCTCTGAGGAGTGAAACTGGTAAAGGGGAGAGGCAGAAGAAGAGCATAATCTGTACGATTTGGTTTTTAAAACCACCTACAAATATCATCTTGATAGAAATTTATCTTAATTTTAATAAGGTATTTTATATAGACCACAAAAAATAGCATGAGCAAAGAAATAAAAATGCACTCAACTTTAGAAAGCAATCAAAACAAATTTTCCCCTACAAAACAGACTAGCTCCATGAGGCAAGTAAAAACTTTTTTTAAATTTCTGATTCATATTTCAAAAACAGGAAAAGATACATTCTTTAATCAAATGAAATGATTCTACATCAGAAATATTGGTTTCAGATTTAAAATTACTTGCAATAAATTTAAAATGCAACACAGTTAAGAACAGAAGATTAGACACTGTGATGAACCAAATAAGTCATTTAGAAGATTGGTGTGGGAAATTATAAAACTCAGGATATCAGATAAAGAGATAAGATTTACCTTAAATCTACATATAAAGGAATCTATTGAATGAAAGAACAAAACAAAGTGCAAAATATAATATGTTATATCGCATGGCAAAGGTGAATTGGTGTTGCAGATGCAATTAAGGTTGCTACCCAGCTGACTTCAAAACAGAGAAATTAACCTGGATTATCCTGGTGGGCCAAATGTAATCGCAAAAGTCCTTAAAAGCAGAAGAGGGAGGCAGAAGAGGGAGGCAGAAGAGGAAAATCCAGAGAGAAGCATCAGAGAAATGCAGAGAGCAAAAGGAACTCAGCCTGATTTTTCTGGCTTTGAAGATAGAGGAAGGGGCCATGAAGCAGGGAATGTGAGCAGCATCTAGAAGCTGGAAAAAGCAATGAGACAGCTCCTCTAGAGCCTCTGGAAAGGAATGCAGCCCTTCCAAGACCTTGACCTTAACCCACGAAGATCTGTGTTGAACTCTAATGGCCAGAATTGTAAAATAATAAGTTTGCATTGTTTTAAGCCACTAAGCTTATGATAATTGATCACAGCAGCAATAGAAAATATAAGGGTTAAACATATTCAGGTGATTGACAGTTTTATATTTAAAGGCAAAGACAAAGTCTTACACCCATTTACTTGGGGAAAAATAATGACGCCTACAAATGAAAAGTGAAATCAGGCTGGCATTGGATTTATCTCCCATAGCACTCATGGCAGAGGAAAATGAAATGTTATCCGGTTATGGGGAAGGAGAAGTGAATTATGATCCAAAAATATTAAGTCCAAACCATTTGAAGTTAGAAGCAACAAAAAGACACTCTCAGGCATGCAGGAAAAGTATAAAGATTACCTATATATTTTCTCAGATTTAAACAAATACACAGAGGGAATAATCCAGTCATCCAATAAGTAAGTAAAAATGCATTCACTTATTCAACAAATATTTATTGGGAACCTCTTTCTCAAAAAATAGTATTCAGGGATACAGCAGCAGAGATGTCAACTGTCTCAGTAAGATCACACAGGTAAAATCTCAGTTCTCATGGAGTTTATATGCTAGGTGGGAGAGACAATCTATTAACAGGCAAACGAATAAACAAATAATACAATATCAGTTTGTGATAACTGCTAAAAAAAAAAAGTGAAACAAGACAAGAGTGACAAGCCTGGAGGAAAAATATTTTTGATAGGAGTTTCTTAGAGTGTCTTTCAATGACATGATTCTTAAGCAGAGAACTTAAGCCACTGAGGAAATAAGCCATATAAAATGTAGAATAAAAAAATTCCAGTGAAGCAACAAAATCTTTGAGGCTGAAACAAGCTTACTATGTTTAATGGAGAGCAAAATGTTCTATACGACTGCTTGGGCTTCCTCACTGTATGACTGCTAGGTTCTAAGACCAAGCATCCCAAGAGAACCATGTGGACACCATATTGCCTTTTATAGCCTAACCTTGAAATTACATAGTCTTCTGCTGTTGTCATGAATCCACCCACATTTAAGGGGGAGGGAACATACACCCAGTTCTGCATAGGAGAAGTGTCAAGGACCTACTGTAAAAAAATCATGAGGAACAGGAGCTAATTTTGGCCATTTGGGGAAAATACAGTTCGCCACAGCATACCGAAACAAAATGACATATCAAGGCCAAAAAATAAAGCAATGAGCAAAGACATCACAGAAAACTATAATTAAAAAAATAGTAAAAGAGATGATATGGTTGAAATAGAATACATGAAAAAATTTATAATTGGACAAGGAAAGTCCATTTATATCAATGAAAGGCAAACCTTGCAATAAAATTGTTGGTTTTTGCTGTATAACCAACCATGCCAAAATTTAGTAGCTTAAACAATAGCCATTTATTTAGCTCAGTATTCTATGGGTTGGCAATTTGAGTTGAGCTCAACTGGGCAGTCGTCATCACCTCAGCTGGGCTCGTTCTTCATGTGTGATCAGCTGCCATGACTCTGCAACTGTGGTTGGATGACTAGGCCAACAGGGCCAGTGGTGGAAATGTGGCCACATGGATCTCATCATCCAGCCTGCTGGCCAGTGCTTGCCTACCCAGCCGCTGCAGTAGGAGTCCCAAGAGCAATGAAAGAGCAAGCTCCACTAACAGGTGCTTTTCAAGCCTATGCTTCTATCGTGTCTGCACCCATGAATGTTTACAAGTTAAGTAACTTAGCATCAAAATAAACCACTAAAGCTAACAAAAGCACAAGAAGAAACTGATAAAAATCACAATGATAGCTTCATCTTGAGTTCTTAATCTTTAGACAATAAGCAAATAAAGAATTATGGTTCAAACAAATAATTAAGTCAACAAATATCCATTTTTTTCTGTTAAGAATATGCATCATTTTTCAACGTCCTTGGAACATTTACAAAAGTTGATCATACCTTTAGGCCTTAAAAGAAAATTTTTAAAGGATGTTAGGGGGTTTAGAAAAAAAGAAAATCTTAATAAATCTAAAAAAATTGAAGTTACATAGGCCATATTCTGTCTAAATGCAATAAAACTAGAAATTAACAAAATTATAAGCAAAAAAATTCAAATCATTAGGAAATGAAAATGCCTTCCTAGATATCTTTTGGGTCCTAATTATGGATGATTTAGAAAATAAAATAATCACAAAATTATATGTCAAAAACTATGAAATGCTTTATGTTAGGGATCAGCAAACTTTTCCAGTAAAGGAAGTACATATTTTAGACTTGTGGACCATAAGAACTGTCACACTACCCAATTCATACTGTGATTATGTAGAAGTACACATACACAATACACAACACATAAAGGAATGGGTGTAGATGTGTTCCAATAAAACTTTATTTATCAAAACAGGCAGCAGGCTGGATTTGACCCATAGTCTTGGTTTTCCAACCTCTACTTATATAATATTAATCAAGTGTTAAGCACTTACAAATTTCTAACTTTACATGTGTTTATTACTAAAAAAGGAATAAAAATCAATGAAATATTAATGGACTCTAGAAGCTAGAAAAAAGTCATCAGTAGCAAAATAAAGAAAGCAAGAATTAAAAAATAATGAAGTAAAACATAAATTAATAAAATAAAAGATAGAAAAATAATGACATTAATAAATAACTCCGATATTTGAAAATACCAATAAAATAAACAAAATCAAAACAAAGCAAATCAAGAAACATGAGGGGAAAAGCACAAATACATATCATTCAGTATTGGAAAGGAATAGCAATGACAGATGCAGAGAATTTTTAAAATCATAAGCTATCAACTAACACTAAAAACAACTGTATTGTAATAAATGTTTAACTCTCAATGAAGTAGTTAATTGTCTAGACATGTCCTATTGACTAAAATTGCCTCCTAAAAAGGGAGCAAATCTGAACAGATGAAGCAAGCATAAGAAAATGGCTAGGGGGAGAACTCAGCACAAGATGGCCAAATAGGAACAGCTCTGGTCTGCAGCTCCCAGCGAGACCAACGCAGAAGGCGGGTGATTTCTGCATTTCCAACTGAGGTACCCAGTTCATCTCATTCGGACTGGTTAGACAGTGGGTGCAGCCCATGGAGGGCAAGCAGACGCAGGGCAGGGTGTCACCTCACCCAGGAAGTGCAAGGGGTCAGGGAACTCCCTACCCTAGCCAAGGGAAGCCACGAAGGACTGTGCAGTGAGGGACGGTGCTATCTAGCCCAGATACTACACTTTTCCCACAGTTTTTGCAACCAGCAGACCAGAAGACTCCCTCAGGTGCCTACACCACCAGGGCCCTGGGTTTCAAGCACAAAACTGGGCGGTCATTTGGGCAGACACCAAGCTAGCTGCAGGAGTTCCTTTTCACACCCCAGTGGCACCTGGAACCCCAGCGAGACAGAACTGTTCACTCCTGTGGAAAGGAAGCTGAAGCCAAGGAGCCAAGTGGTCTTACTCAGCAGGTCCCACCCCCACAGAGACCAGCAAGCTAAGACCAACTGGAATGTAACTCTCGCTGCCAGCACAGCAGTCTAAAGTTGACCTGGGACCACCATTACTGAGGCTTGAGTAGGCGGTTTCACCCTCACAGTGTAAACAAATCCACCCACCCAGAAGGACTTGAACTCAGCTCTGGGCCCAGAGGACCTAATAGACATCTACAGAACTCTCCAACCCAAATCAACAGAATATACATTCTTCTCAGCACCACATAGCATTTATTCTAAAATTGACCACATAATTGGAAGTAAAACACTCCTCAGCAAATGTAAAAGAACAGAAATCATAACAATCAATGTAATCAAATTAGAACTCAGAATTAAGAAACTCACTCAAAACCACACGACTACATGGAAACTGAACAACCTGCTCCTGAATGACTACTGGGTACATAACAAAATTAAGGCAGAAATAAATAAGTTCTTTGAAACCAATGAGAACAAAGACACAATGTACCAGAGTCTCTGGGACACAGCTAAAGCAGTGTTTAGAGGGAAAATTATAGCACTAAATGCCCACATGAGAAAGCGGGAAAGATCTAAAATTGACACCCAAACATCACAATTAAAAGAACTAGAGAAGCATGAGCAAACAAATTCGAAAGCTAGCAGAAGGCAAGAAATAACTAAGATCAGAGCAGAACTGAAGAGACACGAAAACCCTTCAAAAAAATCAATAAATCCGGTTTTTTGAAAAGATTAACAAAATAGATAGACCACTAGCCAGACTGATAAAGAAGAAAAGAGAGAAGAATCAAATAGACACAATAAAAAATTGATAAAGAGGATATCATCACTACACCAGAGTAATACAAACTACCATCAGAGAATACTATAAATACCTCTATGCAAATAAACCAGAAAATCTAGAAGAAATGGATAAATTCCTGGACACATACACCCTCCCAAGACTAAACCGGGAAGAAATCAAATCCCTGAATAGACCAATAACAAGTTCTGAAATTGAGGCAGTAATTCATAGCCTACCAACCAATAAAAGCCCAGGACTAGAGGGATTCACAGCCAAATTATACCAGAGGTACAAAGAAGAGCTGGTACCATTCCTTCTGAAACTATTCCAAACAATAGAAAAAGAGGGACTCGTCCCTAACTCATTTTATGAGGCCAGCATCATCCTGATACCAAAACCTGGCAGAGACACAACAAAAAAGGAAAATTTCAGGCCAATATCCCTGATGAACATCAATGCGAAAGTCCTCAATAAAATACTGGCAAACTGAATCCAGCAGCACATCAAAAATCTTATCCACCACAATCAAGTTGGCTTCATCCCTGGGATGCAAGGCTGGTTCAACATACGCACATCAATAAACATAATCCATCACCTAAACAGAACCAACTACAAAAACCACATGATTACCTCAGTAGATGCAGAAAAGGCCTTCAATAAAATTCAACACCTCTTCATGCTAAAAAACACTCAATAAACTGGGTATTGATGGAACGTATCTCAAAATAATAAGAGCTATTTATGACAAACCCACAGCCAATATCATACTGAATGGGCAAAAGCTGGAAGCATTCCCTGTGCAAACCAGCACAAGACAAGGATGCCCTCTCTCACCATTCCTATTCAACATAGTATCGGAAGTTCTGGCCAGGGCAATCAGGCAAGAGAAAGAAATAAAGGGCGTTCAAATAGGAAGAGAGGAAGTCAAATTATTTCTGTTTGCAGATGACATGATTGTATATTTAGAAAACCCCATCGTCTCACCCCAAAAACTCCTTATGCTGATAAGGAACTTCAGCCAAGTCTCAGCATACAAAATCAATGTGCAAAAATCACGAGCATTCCTATACACCAATAATAGATAAACAGAGAGCCAAATTGTGAGTGAACGCCCATTCATAATTGTTACAAAGAGGATAAAATACCTAGGAATCCAACTTACAAGGGTTGTGAAGGAACTCTTCAAGGAGAACTACAAACCACTACTCAGGGAAATAAGAGAGGACACAAGCAAATGGAAAAACATTCCATGCTCATGGACAGGAAGAATCAATATCATGAAAATGGCCATATTGCCCAAAGTAATATATAGACTCAATGCTATTCCTATCAAGCTACCATTGACTTTCTTCACAGAATTAGAAAAAACTACCTTAAATTTCATATGGAACCAAAAAAGAGCCCATATAGCCAAGAAAACCCTAAGCAAAAAGAACAAAGCTGGAGGCATCACACTACCTGACTTCAAACTATACTACAAGGCTACAGTAACAAAACCAGCATGGTACTGGTACCAAAACAGAGATATCAACCAATGGAACAGAACTGATGCCTCAGAAATAACACTACACATCTACAACCATCTAATCTTTGACAAACCTGACAAAAACAAGCAATGGGGGAAAGGATTCCCTATTTAATAAATGGTGTTGGGAAAACTGGCTAGCCATATGCAGAAAACTGAAACTGGACCCCTTCCTTACACCTTACACAAAAATTAACTCAAGATGGAGTAAAGACTTAAACGTAAGACCTAAAACCATAAAAACCCTAGAAGAAAATCTAGGCAATAACATTCAGGACATAGGCATTGGCAAAGACTTCATGACTAAAACACCAAAGCAATGGCAACAAAAGTCAAAATTGACAAATGGGATCTATTTAAACTAAACAGTTTTTGCACAGCAAAAGAAACTATCATCAAAGTGAACAGGCAACCTACAGAATGGGAGAAAAATTTTGCAATCTACCCATCTGACAAAGGGCTAATATCCAGAATTTACAAAGAACTTAAATAAATTTACAAGAAAAAAACAACCCCATCAAAAAGTGGGTGAAGGATATGAACAGACACTTCTCTAAAGAAGATATTTATGTGGCCAACAAACATATAAAAAAACTCATCATCACTGGTCATTTGAGAAATGCAAATCAAAACCACAATGAGATACCATCTCATGCCAGTTAAAATGGCAATCATGAAAAAGTCAGGAACCAACAGATGATGTGGAGAAACAGGAATGCTTTTACACTTTTGGTGAGAGTGTAAATTAGTTCAACCACTGTGGAAGACAGTGTGGTGATTCCTCAAGGATCTAGAACCAGAAATATCATGACCCAGGAACCCCATTACAGGGTATACAACCAAAGGATTATAAATCATTCTACTATAAAGACACATGCACACTTATGTTTATTGCAACACTGTTTACAATAGCAAAGACTTGGAACCAACTCAAATGCCCATCAATGATAGACTGGATAAAGAAAATATGGCACATATACACCATGGAATACTATGCAGCCATAAAAAAGAATTAGTTCATGTCCTTTACAGGGACATGGATGAAGCTGGAAACCATCATTCTCAGAAAACTAACAAAGGAACAAAAAACCAAACACCACATGTTCTCACTCATAAGTGGGAGTTAAACAATGAGAATACATGGACAGAGGGAGGGGAACATCACACACCAGGGCCTGTCGGGGGGTGGGGGGCAAGGGGAGGGATAGCATTAGGAGAAATACCTGATGTACGTGAGGGGTTGTTGGGTGCAGCAAACCACCATGGCACATGTATAAACCTGTAACAAACCTGCACATTTTGCATATGTATCTCAGAACTTACAGTATAATTTTAAAAATATGAAAAAGAAAAAACAAAAAAGAAAAAAAGAGAATGACTAACATTTGTTCAGCGCTTGCAAGTATCAGGTATTCTCTGGCTAACTGAATACCTTGTATTGTCACAATCTGTCCAACAACCTTATGCTGTGGGCCTATTATTATGCCTATTTGTTCAGATAAGAACACAGATATTTATAAAGATTAAGAAGCTTCCTGTAATCTAGTAACTGAAGTTGGCACACTTTGACCCAAGCAGTCTAATGACTCTGGAACCTTTATGGCTTAGCATTGCAGAAGAAATTGAACAGGGTATCAAAGAGCAACCACCAAAATAGATAGTGGGACAACATGATATCCCCAGTGAGCTCCCTCAAACTCTTGAGCAACTGATAATTCCTATGTAATTTAAATTATTTCAGGGGAAAAAAAAAAGATAAAAAGAAGAAAGTGTTCCATTTTATTTTAAGAAGCTTAAGCCATCTAAAATTAAAACTTGACAAAGATAACTGCAAACTTATCTCACAAATATAGACGCAAAAATCTTCATTATATCAAATCTAGAAATATATTAAAATAATAACATGTCCTGAACATGCCAGTTTATAATAGGAATGTATAGATGGTTTATAGTGAGAATTAAATTCTGCACATAATTCATTATATTAACAGATCAAGGGAAGAAAATTATTCTCCTCAATAAATGTTAATGTAATCTGCTTTCTGATTTTTTAAAAACTTTAGAAAAATAGGAATAGACCAATAATTCTTTAACATGTTAGATATCTTTTAACCAACACTCAGCATAATGTTTACCATTAAAATATTGGAACAGTATTTCCCAAACTATATTTTGTTGACGATAAGCTGCAAAAGGTAGAAATTCTTGTTCTATCTCTTGAAGGAATGTGTTTCCATAAATACAAAAAAAATACTACATATTGTATTCTCATCTTAGAAATTCAAAATATACCTCACTGGATTAAGTCTAGAAGAATAGCAAAAATAGCAAGTAAATTCTGAAAAAGAAGACAAGAAAAACATATTATAAATCCACAGTGTTAAAATACTGTGGTTATAGTAACTGAAGGAATAGACATAATAAAACATTGCAAAAAAAGTAAATATGAGATTTTAAAATACAATAAATAGTCCATTTCAAAACAAGGAACAGAATTCAGATTATTCCATAAAAGATAATAAGACAGCTAGAAAAAAAATATATATATATATATATCTCAGACCTCAAGTTCATATTTTACTAAAAAGGTAAAGTTTTCATGGCCCAAAGAGTTCTATATCAAAAATGAAATTATAAAGATGGTTTAAAAAACATAGATGGACTTCAGGTATGAACATGGCTATCGAAGTCTATATATCTCTCTCCTCCTAGAAATCATACAAGCAACAAAAAGCATTACCAAAAAATGCAGAAGCTTCATTCTCAGTGAAACTTGGAAAAAAGGATAATTGAAAGACTTTAAATCACAGGTAATGACTGAGAAATGCAGCTGAAATAGAATAGAAACCACATAGAAGGAAATAAAAAGAAAAGTGCAAAGAGTAAAGAAAAGCCATAATGCTATCAGGACTCAAAAAATGCTGCACAAATCCATCTCCTTAAGCAAGAGCCACACTTTAGTATAATAGGTATGTCCCTTGTCTACAACAGTGGTTGTGACATATAGGAGATGAGCAGAGCCAGTGGCAAAAAAAAAACCTCTTTGATCAGGTTTGGTTGAAAGAAGCAGAGAAAGGTCTACATGAAGAAATTGTTTTAAGCCCTATTCAATGGAAGCAGTCTGTCTCTGAAACCATTCCCAAAAAGGGACCTCTAAGCTAGTGGAGGAAAATATGATCATTCAACAATGACCAATAAAATGAATTAGCACAGCATTGATATAAGGAAGATCTAGTGAATAAGGGGTAAAAGAGCCACAAAATTTATCATTAGGTAAGAACACTTGCCAGAAAAATGTTGCCACAGAGCAGATAAAAATTTTAACTAAATATTTTATCATGAATTTTAATTGATTAAATGAGGCCATTATCTTTGTAAAGGAAGAACAGAAATACAGGAACCTAGAAAAGATGTGATTATTCAACAAAAGAGATAAAACATGAGTTAATGATATATACTCCAAGAAAGAATAAATGAATAAATCGTGGAAGAAGCAAAAATGAGTCTAGATACTCTGGAAACACACTAAGAAACCTAGAGAATATTAAGGACAACCATGAACATCATAAAACAAAATTCAAGAAAGCATTTCTATTAAAGAAAAAATGTAGATCTAGAACACAGGTAAAGGAGGTGCAATGTATATATAATTGGAGCCCCTGAAGAAACCCAAACAATGCAGTGAAGCAAATATTTAATGACATTATTCATGAACCTTCAATGAAATAAAAAAGAATATAATCTGCATGATTGAAAGCACGCACTGTGGACCAGGATTTTTAAAAAAAGACCTAGAACAGTTAACATGAAGACTCAATCATGGTAGACTTTCCAGACTTTTTTTTTTTTTTTTTTTTTTTTGAGACAGAGTCTCGCTTAGTCACCCCGGCTGGAGTGCAGTGGTGCGATCTCAGCTCACTGCAAGCTCCGCCTCCTGGGTTCACACCATTCTCCTGCCTCAGCCTCCCGAGTAGCTGGGACTACAGGCACCCGCCACCATGCCTGGCTAATTTTTTGTATTTTTAGAAGAGACGGGGTTTCACCACATTAGCCGGGATGGTCTTGATCTCCTGACCTCGTGATCTGCCCACCTCGGCCTCCCAAACAGCTGGGAATACTGGCATGAGCCACTGTGCCTGGCCTCCAGACTTTAAAGAAAAATATTCTGAACATAGAAATCAATCTGGCTCCAGATTTATCCACTGTTAAACACCAAAAGACAGTGACACAGCATCTAAAAGATTCTCCTGGAAAAGTATGATCTGTCCTTCCAGTGTAAAGGCTCTGGTTATTTTTAATTGCAAGAAACTAGGGAATATTGGTATCATGAGTGCTTCTTAAGAAGCCACTAGAGGATAAACTTTAGCCAACCAGAAGATAATTAGGAAAACCACAAGCAGAAAATGCAGTGGTGAGCGCTGGATGGGTTTAATTGTGAATTAAGAGCAAAACAAATGTGCGGACTAGATGATAGAGTAGAAGTAAATGTTATATGCCATGACATTGTAAAAATGGTATGAAAATAAAACTTAGGAGAGGAAGGGAATGAGAAGGTGAAGGGCAGAGTAAGTTTGCCAGTTACCTCACTTATGAGACAACAGGCGTCATTCACAGCTGACAAATCAAGTGGTAGAGGTATAAACACATCTCCCTTTGGAAGATCAACTCTAAGACCAACAGGCATTATTGACTAAAACTGGGTGGAGAGCCAGGGGAGAAAGGAGCAAATGCATTAACTTCATCATTGTTTTATTAAGAGGAACAAATACACATTGTGTCAAAAATAGGGGATCAAGGGTATGTTTTTTTCTAGATGGGGTCTCACTGTCACCCAGGTTGGAGTGCAGTGGCATGATCTCGGCTCACTGCAACCTTCGCCTCCCAGGCTCAAGGGATCCTCCCACCTCAGCCTCTTGAGAAGCTAGGACCACAGGTGCAGGCCACCAAGCCCAGCTAATTTTTTGTGTTTTTTGTAGAGACAGGATTTCGCCATGTTACCCAGGCTGGTCTCAAACTTCTGAGCTCAGGTGATTCACCCCTCTTGGCCTCTTAAAGTGGATATTTATTTATTTATTTATTTATTTATTTAGAGATAGAGTCTCGCTCTGTCGCCCAGGCTGGAGTGCAATGGCACAATCTTGGCTCACTGCAACCTCCGCCTTCTGGGTTTAAGCGATTCTCCTACCTCAGCCTCCCTAGTAGCTGGGACTACAGGCACGCACCACCTCACCCAGCTAATTTTTGTATTTTTAGTAGAGACAGGGTTTCACCATGTTAGCCAGGCTGGTCTCAAACTCCTGACCTCAGGTGATCCACTCTCCTTGGCCTCCCAAAATGCTGAGATTACAGGCGTGAGCCACCGTGCCCGGCCAGCATATTTATTTTAAGTGAAATTATAAAAGTAACCATTACCATAAAAATACAAACCTTTCTAAACTTCAGAAAAAGTTTCAAAGGAAACAGACCACCTGGTGACTGACTTTATTTGAAGACATACAAATTAAAAAATATCAAGTAAAAGAATATGGAAAAAGTAAGATCAAAAGCATCTACCACTAATGAAGGTCAATGAGCTTCTTCAACTCCTTTCAACTTATCTTCGATGAATGAAAGGATGGAAGAAAGGGAGGAAAGAAGGGCTAATGGGAGGGAGGAGAGGGGAGACTGGATGACAAAGCAAAACCCAGCTGTAGGCTGTGCGTGGCAGCCATTCCAAAAACAGAATAATTCACAAGGATTTGTAAAAGATTTCAAAACTCAAATACTAAGAAAAAAGAGCAGAGGTTGTGATATTAACATCACTCAAGACAGACTGCAGATGACAAGGCATTGAAAAAAAAACAAAAATGCCCCTTTATTAGCTTAAATGGTGCAATTTCACAACAAATATATAAAGCTCTTAATATCTGTGGACCTCCCTCTGTCCTTGATATGTAAAATGGACAAAAAATAAATTGCAGAGTACCTAAATAGCATAATTAATAAAGGAAGTCTGGTTTATAGATACAGAAATACATACATGCATACATTCATACACACACCCTGAAAATTTAAAAAAACGCCTTCAGCTCAAGTGCCAATGAAAGTGGATAAAAATTGGACATGGTTAGGCCTGTCAGGCCTGTGAGCCCAAGCTAAACCATCATATCCCCTGTGACCTGCATGAATACATCCAGATGGCCTGAAGCAAGTGAAGAATCACAAAAGAAGTGAAAATGGCCGGTTCCTGCCTTAACTGATGACATTCCACCATTGTGATTTGTTTCCGCCCCACGTTAACTGAGCAATTAACCTTGTGAAGTTCCTTCTCCTGGCTCAGAAGCTCCCCCACTGAGCACCTTGTGACCCCCGCCCCTGCCAACAAGAGAACAACCCCCTTTGACTGTAATGTTCCACTACCCACCCAAATCCTACAAAACGGCCCCACCCCATCTCCCTTCGCTGACTCTCTTTTCGGACTCAGCCCACCTGCACCCAGGTGAAATAAACAGCCTTGTTGCTCACACAAAGCCTGTTTGGTGGTCTCTTCACACGGATGCGCGTGACAAGGCCAAAAACAAAATCTCCAGAAAGTAAAAACAGGGAAGAAAATTTTCTATGGTCACGATGCTACAAAAGTAGAAACTGAAAATCAAATTGAAATACCAAAAGGCCCTTCCACCTGGGAGGGAAAAACACACACACACGCTTTTAAACAATCCTGACTCAAAGGGACTAAACAGAACTGCAGAATGCCCAGAAAACCAGAATGAAGTGGTCACATGTTAAGAATCTAGAGGAAAAAGCTAAGCAATGCTCAGCATAAAACACTTAAATTCTATTGATTAAGAAGAGAAGAAAAACAAAGAATGAATTGAAACAAATGAATTAAGCATCCAACTCAAAAAGGTTAGGAAGAGAAGAGCAGAGCAAACAAAAGAAAAGCTAAATGGAGAATTATTTTAAAAGCAGAAATGAGCAAGTTAGAAGTCAGAAAAACAGTGGAAAATAAATCTGAAGGTTTTTTTCTTTTGGTTGAATAACTTTTTATAGTAGTGTCTGCATTTAAATACCTGCACAATGTCAAGTGGTCATGCAGTAGGGAGGAGAAGGAGAATTCTGAATAGAGGGAATTGACTATTTTAGGCGGAAGTTCCCGGGGCCTAACCAGCGGGGGCCAGGAGGACAAAGAGAGGACTGAATTGCTTTGTATAATAAAGTGAGAGGGCTCTGTGGGGAGCCTGAGACTGAGGGGTAAGGGTTCTAAAGAGGAAAGAACGCAGGAAATATGAGAAGTGGAGAAAGAGAGAGAGCAACATAAAGGGAGGTTGAGGAAGATGAAGTGCCTGGGCGGGATCCAGTCTCTCCTGCACTTTGCGTCCACTCTGTGGTTTACATGTCCGTTACACTTGGAGTGCGTCTTCAGTAACTCCCTATCACAGGAAAGTCAATCGTGTTCTTGCATGTCTGAAAATGTCTTTAAGTGTCCTGCAAACTTGATGATATTTTAGGCAAAGAATTCTAGTGTCATTCTTTTTTTTTTTTTTTTTTTTTGAGACAGAGTCTCACACTGTCACCCCAGGCTGGAGTGCAATGGCGCAATCTTGGCTCACTGCAACCACCGCCTCCTGGGCTCAAGCGATTCTCCTGCCCCAGCCTCCCGAGTAGCTGGGATCACAGACGCCCACCACCATGCCCGGCTAATTTTTTGTATTTTTAGTAGAGACAGGGTTTCACTATGTTGGCCAGGCCAGTCTCAAACTCCTGACCTCATGATCCGCCCGCTTCTGCCTCCCAAAGTGTTGGGATTATAGGCGTGAGCCACCACGCCCGGCCTCTAGTGTAATTCTAGTGTGAAATCATTTTCCCTCAGGATTTTCAAGGTATGACTCCATTTGTCTTCATATCCCGCACTGAGTGGTTAAAAAGAAAACAGCGATCAACATGCACTAAAATGGATAGCTCTCCAAGGCACAACGTTGAATGAAAACTACAACTCTTCAAGTAAATTATGAAGAGTGATACCTTTTATATCAAAGGAATCTGGAGGGGGACTCACCAGTGCTTCACTGCGGGGAGGGGAAGGGGCGCTGGAATTGGGGGGCCTGGTCAAGGTAGGCAACAGACCTATGGATTGATTATCTATGTACTTTTCAGTTTGTCTTATCAATGAAACTTCCACCCACCAGATGCTCAATAAGCACACAATTCTGTGTTCTTATAGCTTACCATTTTTACCACCTTTATATTTAACTTTTAAATACAACTGGAATTTACTTAGTTACATAGTATTTAGTTATATAGGACGGTTTACAAGAATATTTTTTCCTATTTCCTTTTTTCCTATTCCCTATTTCTTTTCCTATTTCCCTTACCATTTGTTCCTACACCATTTATTGAATATTCCTTCCCTTCCCTACTGATTTAAAGTGTCTCCTTGAGGCATGTATCAATTTGAAAAATATGTAGTGTAGAACCCAGGTGTCCTAATTCCCAGCCTGGTGATCATTTCACTCCATCACTGAGTAGTTTTTTAAATTATTTTTCTTTTAGACATTGTCTTTTTCTTAATTTTTAAAACATTTCAGATTTCTAACACTCTGTTTTGTTCTTGGATCTGACTCTAGTTGGATTTTTACCACCTGCATTTGTTCTATTTTTCTAGGGTTTGAGTAAGGGGTTGGAGGAACACTTAGGTTTGTTAATTCATTCACTCAGCAAGCGTGGCTTTAGCAGCAGCTATGTTCCATGTACTGTTCCCAGCACTGGGGATATTAGGACATGAGGGCAAGGGGTTGCCTCTTATGTTTTTCTTTTGTCTTTTGTTTCAAGCTATTTCCCCAAGTTTTTTCAGTTTAATTATTCACTTCATCTGCCCTATGGCCACAGTTCCATGGACTGGTAGCAAGTGACCAGTACCTGCTCTTTGGGATCATCCATAGCTTTGAAAACTATTGTCTTTCTTTGGCCACCCCACATCCCTAGCAAGCTACTTTTCCCAGGCCTTACAAAGACCAAACCTACTCCGCTCCTGTGACAGGAATGCGTTTCACTCTGTAGAAGTGGGGGTTCAAGATGCTGGCATCTGACTATGAACCCTTTTCCACCTCTACTTCTGCTAAAAAACAAAAGGACTAGATCATAAGATCTGCTGCGCACTTTCCAGAGGAAAAAAAAATGTTCTTTGTAGCATAGAGAACCGACCAGGAAGCATTGTGAGACCTTTTCCAGTCAGTTCTGATTTATTATACAAACTCCAGGCCTCCAAGAGCACCAGGTTTCATGGAACTCTCTGCGGTATTTTGAATCCATAAGCCAATGAATAGATATTATATCTAAACCACAGGAAGCATCTACTTATCTGTGGTAAGTGTTGCGATGTCCTTCATTTAATAAACCACTTAGAGACACCGTGTGACTGAAGTGAGGAGGACTCTGTATTGGAGTTTAACTTGCTCAGGTGAGCTAAACTCAGTGGAAATTAAAGAGAGATGGTATTTTGTGTTTGGATCCATGACAAATCTAAAAAAACTAAAATAAAAGTAGTATATAGTCATGATACTTCTGTGAGCAGCAGGTGATCATCTTTACTACTTTGACTGCATGCATGACTGTCATAGGAATAATGTTTCATACTAAGGTGCAGATACTCCACATAAAAAGAGTGATTTTGAACCTGAAACAGCCCTCAAGAAGACAGTTTCCCAAGTGGGATGCCATAGCACAGTGGAGTTTGTCAAACAAGTTAACCCCCTCCGCCCTCAACACCAGAGCCAAGACCTCTCACCTATCACCATGGACGCCCTCCTCTCAGTACAAATGCTGCCATTTCCTGACGATGCCATGACGCAGAAGAAAAGAAGAAAACAAAACCATAAAGCACTGCTACAGTATAACTTAAGCCAAGGACATTATGGTGTCAATTTTATAGAAAAATCGTTTAGCAAATTGTCAAAGTTGTGGACATTCCAAATATGCAATTGATTTTCCTATTTTCCTTGTAGTAGGTATGCTGAGAAGAAAAGTCTCCAGAAAGGAAATGCTTGCTTAAAAGTGAGCACCTGGTATACCGTTAGTGGGACCGTAAAATAGCACAGCTGCTGTGGAAAAAGTTTGGCCGTTCCTCAAAAAGTGAAATATAAAATTACCATATGACCCGTCAATTCCACTCCTAAGTATATACCCCAAAAAGTGAAAACTAGCACTCAGATATATATATACATACATATATATATATATATATGCATATTCAAAGCAATGCAATTCACAATAGCCAAAAGGTGGAAACAGCCCAAATGTCCACCAGCAGATTAACAGATAAGCAAATTGTGGTATAGTCATACAGTGGAATACTATTCAGCCATAAAAAAGGAATAAAGTTTGGATATATGCTACAATGTGGCTGAACCTCAAAAATGTTATGCTAAGTGAAAGAAACATAATACAAAATGTCACATATTGTAGAATTCCATTTACATGAATGTCCGGAATACATAAATGCATAGAGAAGAAATGCAGCTTGCTGGTTGCCAGGGCCTGAAGGAAGCAGGCGAAGCAACTGCTTCAGGGGTACAGGCCTCCCTTTTTGGGTGATGAGAATGCTTTGGAACTAGGTAGAAATGGTGATTACACAGTGTTGCAAATGTACTCATTGCAAGTGAAACTGTTCACTTTAAAATGGCTAAATTTTTATTATGTGATTAAACATTAAATAATTTTTAAAACAGATGAGAAAAGAACTGTAAGCAAAAATATAAAGTAAAACAGCTAGGGCACCAGACCCTGAGCATAACATCAGTTAAATGATAAGAACCTACAGTCTGCTCTTTCACACTTTTGTGCCTTCTCTTTTCTGCAGAAGCTTTGCAGAGTTTGATTTCTGCAAAATACCACACCTTACATGCATGCCACAATGCTGTACTCCTCATTGCTTCTGAGTCACTGATAGATGAGGAAATCTGTCCTCAAAGAGAGAGCTGGAAAGGAAAGGCAGAGGGGAAAAATAAACCTTACATCCTTATGCCTGCATAGAGGACATCGCATTCATGTTTAACAAAAACAGAAAACAAAACAAAAAAAACAGACAGCAATATGAAGACAGAAGTATGAAGAGAAGTTTTGCAGCATGAAGATAATTCCAGGCTGGTGTGATCATGGGAGCATTGTCATTTCTGGAGACTTGACATTTCCAACCGGCAATCGTTTAAAATCATGTACATGCCATTTGCAACTGAACATGCTAGTGGGTAATTTGTTATTTTGAGATGGAAAACAAAGGCACACAGAGGTTCTCATGACTTGCTGAAACAAGAGACCAAGAATTAGAACCCAGTGCCCCAAGTGATGAGTTCTGGGCCCTCTGCCTCTAGCAGGGGCTGTCTTGTTGGTGATTTTTCTAGAGCTGGTGGAGTTCGGCCTCAGCACAGAACCTGAGTGAAGAAGCTGTCCAAATGGGTTTCTCCTTTCCCTACCTGCAGGCTTACCCTTCATCTGACCCATCCTGTAAACTGATACTAAGACAGCAATTCTTAAATACCTCTTCCAATGTGTCAGGTACCTACCAGGACTTCCCACATCCTACCCCACTCCGTCACTTCTTCCTCTGTCCCAGCTCCTCATAGCCAAAGTCACTTCCCCTACCCCGGTCATCTACCCTCTGTTTGCTCAGTCCATGGGGAATGGCCTCCTACACCTCATCCTAGACTTTGGCTCTGCACCCTTCCCACATCTCTGCCCTTCCAAACCCTCCTCCTCCCCACGGCATGAAACACAGGGCTAAGAACTCCAGCAAATACTTAAGTCAGCTGCTTGTCTCTTAGGATTGAGGAACCATTGGCATCTCAGCTTCTGCGAGCCCACACCTCCTTTGAAATAAGCCTGAGAGCTCAGAGCTTCAAATCCAAAACCAACCTGTTTTCAGCCACACTGCTCACCACCTTGGGGGTGCAAAATGAGACCTCCCAGGCCACCTGAGAAGAACAAGAAGCTTCTTCTCTTGTAAGCTGCCCCCACATAGCAACCCCTCTTTTAAGAGGGTGAATTAGTTTCCAGGGCTGCTGTAACAAATGACCACAAACTGAGTGGCTTAAAACAACAGAAGTGTTCTCTCTCACAGTTCTGGGGACCGGAAGTCCAAACTGAAGGTGTCCGCAGGGCCGTGTTCCCTCTGAAGGCCATAGCGAGTCTCTTGCCTGCCTCCCCGTGACCTCCGGTGGGTGCCTGCAGCCCAAGCATTCCGTGGCTCCTAGCTGCAGCTCTCCACTCTCCACGTCCATCGTCACGCAGCCTTCTTTCCCCCATCGCTGTGTCTCTGTTCTCTCTTCTTAGGAGAACATCAGCCACCGGGTCAGGGCCCACCCTCACCCAGTACGCCCTCATCTTAACTGTTAGGTTGGTGCAAAAGTAATGGCGGCTTTTGCCGTTGTACTTATATCTGCATGACTCTATTTCCAAATAAGGTCACCTTCAGAGGCTCCAAATGGACCTGGATTCTAGGGGGACACTATCCAACCCAATACCAGAGGGAAGGTGGGGAGTGGGAAAGATTTGGAATTAGCATTGTAAGGAGGATCATTCCAGTTTCTGTTACTCCATCTCCTCAGCTCCCCTGAAGGACTCAAGTGCCAGCTCAGCCTTTGCCATCTTGTCGCTCCCTCTCTAGGCCGCCCCCAGTCCCAGATGGGCTGGCTGTCTACAGGCACCAGCTGCCTTTCCATCCTGAAGGAATTCCTCAGCCCTGGCCTGCCTCACCTGAGTGTAAAGTTTGCAGAGACAGATATTAAATCAGGTTTTCACCTGGTTCATTACATTCTGATGATTTTGAACTACTGGGATTTTCAATCTGAAAGAAAACATTTTGATACGGCAATGCCCACAGGACAGCTCTAGGATGAGCTGTTAAAGGACATTTAGTGCGTCCTGGGAAGCAGCAGAGTGTGAGGCTATGTACAGACGCGCCACTTAAAACCCACCAGTCGACTCGCTAGACGGCCCAAAGGGAGATGTAGTTATGTGGAAGAGCTTTAATCAGAATTTAGGCATAAAATGAAAAGCTCCAAAGGAAAGCAGGTCTTTCAGTCTCTGCACGGCATCCTACAGATTCAGCCCAGCTCCTTTTAATGCAAAGTTTACCAAGTCAAGAAGGAACAGGCAGCCCAGAGACACTGGGTACAAATCATGGCTTTGCCAACCTTGTTCCTGGCATTGAGCTTTGACTGGGCTGGACCATGCTGTTTCAGAGAACCCAGCTCTTTCTTTTTATTTATTTTTCTTAATAGGAAGGGCTACTTGCATCCTTCAGTCTACGAACTGTTCTGGAGCTCAGACTCGCCATTGCCAATGTGACACATCTATACGCTCATCTCTTCCCGAGTCTGCAGTCAGCCTTGTGTCAGAAGAGTCCTGGGTCTGACTTCCTTTTTGTCTCTTAAAGCCCTTGGCAGAGTTCCCCACAAAGTGCCTTGCTCTCCCGGGGGTTCAGAAAGTTGAGTGCAATGAGCAGAAGCAATGTGATGTGTTCACGGGATTGGATTTGTATACATAAGACAATATTCAGCACACACTGCATTCATATATAGTAACGAGTAATGCCTATTGGGCAGCAGAAGGGGATGCTGGGGAAAAGGGAGCATGTCCTCTGAGACCCAGGCTTCATCTCCTGACATTGGCAAACCAGCTGTGCTGTGCAGCCTTCAGCTGTTTTTCAGCCTCCAGGACGTCTCTACCAGAGGTTCCGAGGGGCGTCTCTCGTGACGTGTCTCTAGTGACAGGTTCTAGACATAAGAGAGAAAGCATGATAGAATTTTCTTACTAGGCCATTTTGCATTTTGCAGATGTGGATGCCTGGTAAGAGCCAGAGGAAAAAGCCCCAGGTCAGATTGTCACTGTGAGCCAACCTGGATGGAAAGGGAGCTAAACTATGAAGCCACATGAGACGGGAGCTCAGAGGGCCCAGAGCAGAAGTGAGGTGAGTCGGACCCCTACTGTGCCTGCACGTCCCCCGCCCCCACTTCCCCCACTCATATGCCAAGGTCCTAACCCTAGTATCTCGAAAGTGGCCTTATTTGGGGATAAGCTCTTCACAGAGGTCATCAAGTTAAGGTGAGGCCATTAGGGTGGCCCTCATCCAAGATATCCTGTGTCTTTATAAAAGGGGGAGATTTGGACACAGAGACAGGCACAAATAGAGAACCACGTGAAGATTCAGGGGGAAAATGGTCATCAACACGCTAAGGGCAAAGGCCTGGAACAGAGCCTCCCCTCACAGCCTCAGACGGAAGCAACCCTGTCAGCATCTCGATCTCAGACTTTCAGTTTCCAGAACTGTGAGACGATACACTTTTGTTTAATCCACACTGACAGTTAAGCCGTAACCTTGTTACAGCAACTGCCGCAAACGAATATGCCTGCAGTGACCGGTCCTGTATGCCTGCCCTGCTTTGCAGGTACATGGGGGCATTGAAAATGGAATCCATGCCCAAACCAGCCTCAACCAGTCCCCTTTGGTCAGGTCGTGGTGCTGTCAGCTTTCATCAGTGACACTCATTTCCATGACATTCTAGCTTAACAGATATGGTGCACCAGAAAGCTGCCTAGCAATTTCACAATATCAACCAAATTATTTTAACATGGCCATCTTTTCATTCAGCAATTGCGTGTCCAAGGATGTAGAGAATTTCCCCCAAGAAATACAGACAAGTCCTCAGAGATGCATATAAGGATGTTTGCAACAGCATTTTTCTGTTCCTCATTGATTGTTTTCATATTTTGTTTGAAAATAATTCAAATTTACAAAAAGTTGCAGAATAAAAATAGTAAATGCTTGTATGCCATTGACCCAGAGTTTCTCATTGTCCACAGTTTGCTTCATTTATCACCTTCATTTATCACCCTCTCTCTCTCACCCTCTCTCAACCATTTGAACAAAGATTGCTTACCTTTCAGCCCTTTAATTCTAACTATTTCAATGTGTGTTTCCTAAGAATAAGGATATCACCTTACATCACCACAATACAGTCACCAACTACAGTAAATTTCTCAGTAAATCAGGACATCCCCTCATCAAAACAGTGTTTTTATTCAATCTGCCTTCCACAATCCAATTTTATCAACTGACCCAAAAACGTCCTTTTTTTTCTCCACCACAAAATCCAGTCCAGGCTCAGGCATTGCATTTAGATGTCATGATTCTTTCATTTCCTTTAGTCTACAACATTTCCACAGCCTTTCCTTGTCTTTTATGACATTGACGCTATTGAAGAACACAATTTATTTTTAATAGACTAGCCCTCATTTGAGGTTTGTTGCATGTCTGCTCGTGGCTGGGTTCAGGTTACTCCAGTTCAAGGTGGAAAACCCCACAAATGATGCTCTGTCCTTCCCAGGGTGTCCCATCTGGAGGTCCAGGATAGCCACCTACTCCTCACTGGTGATGTCAATTTTTATCACTCAGTCAAGTATTGTCCAATTGCTCAATTGTGTAATTGCTACTTTTTCCCTTGTAAATAACACGCAGTCTGTAGGGAGACACTGTAAGACCCTGTAAATATCTTGCTTCCCTTAGGTTTAGCACACATGGATGACTTTTGCCTGAGCCAATCTTGACTCTAATGCCTATGAAACGATAGTTTTCCAGCTCCAGCATGCCCTCTAGAGTGACTGCCTTACTCAGCATCCTACTACAAACCTCACTACTCACACGTGTGCCAGAGGACAGAGACACACCCTGCAGGGCTTCCTGAGCCTGGCCTGGTAAGGAAGTTTCCAGAGCTTTCGCAGTCACGACATCTCCTCTATGACAAGAGACAAGTTCCTGCCCTTGCATTACTTGCCACGAAGAAAACGACACAATCTTTGCAGGCTGCTTTGAATTTTAGAGGCAAGACGAACCACATTTGAAAATGCTGCTTTAACTGTATAACCCAAAAGGTAACCCTGTCAACCCAGAACGTCTTTTCCCTGCCCCCAGCACTTCTATCAGACTCACCATTAGTGGAGTTACAGAATGCCTCCATGCCTGAACCAGTACCCTGGTATCCCGCGTAATATCATCTCCAACCAGGGAACATTTTACAATAAAGGAAATGATTCCATGGGCTCAGGCCTACAGAATTCCCTGGGTTTGCTACATGCCTAATACCAGAAGCCACTGGCTGGACAGAATGATGAATGGTCTGCTGAAAGCCTGGTTATAGTACCAGCTGGAAGAAAACATTCATTCCGTCTATGAAGTAACGGGCAAAATGCCCGCCTTAAAGTTTAGGGATTAAACCAATGGTCAACCTATGGTGTCATCATCCCTCATAGCCAGGAGCACAGGCCATGGAAACAAGGGGTGGAGGTGGAAGCACCCCCTCACTATTACGTGTAGTAACGCACTGGAGAAGTTTGCTTCCCATGCCTAGAACGTTGGCTTTGGTGGGTGTGGAGGTTGCCTTAGTCCATTCACACTGCTAAAACAAAATAGCATAAACTGATAGCTTACAAATGACAGAAATTCATTTCCCAATAGTTCTGGCAGCTGGGAAGTCCAAGATCACAGCAGATTCCGTGTCTGGTGAGGGCCCATGTTCTGGTTCATAGACGGCGCCCTCTCGCTGTGTCTGCACATGGTAGAAGGAGTGGGGAGCCCCCTAGGGCCTCTTATATAAGGACACCAATCACATCACAAGAGCTCTGCCCTTATGACTTCCCAAATGCCCCACCTCCTAATACCATGGCCTTGGGGGTTAGGATTTCAACATACAAATGGGGAAGAGAGAACATAGACATTCAGACAATAGCAGAGGCCCATGTCCAAAGCAGGAAAACAGGCATGGTTCTGAGTAACTGGAAGTCAAGATCTCCTTGTGAGGCTGTTTTGGCTTCCTTGTGCCAATAAACCAAGGACCAGAGTGGGGAGTCCAGCGGAAATTTGGGGGAAGGTACCAAGAAGGACTGTTTGAAACCTAGAGAATCCATGGGGTTCCTGCTTTGTTCTCCCTTGCCTCATGTTCCTGGTCAACAGAAAACTGCAGAAAGGTCACCACAATCTCATGTCCTGCAGGAATGCAGCCGTGGGTCACCTCACCAGGTAAAGAATCCATCCAGCATATGGCTGGCAAAAGGCAAGGGAACTAGGGAAAGGAATGGCTGGTGGAAAGGAGCGCTGGGCCTCTCAGGACCTCCTGACCAGCTGTCAAGCAGGATCGTAGCAGCTAGGTGTATGTACCCACTTGATTGTCACTGCCTCAGTCCTAAATCCTTATGTGAAGGGCATAGGCTTGGCTGACCTTTCAGGTTTCAAGTGGAAACACAAGTAAATTAACATCACTTTGCAATAAGAGTAGTTGATGGCACTTCATGCATTCCCTGTGCTGGGGACATGAGCTTTTTATCCAAAAGAACAGAATAGATGCTGGGGGCAAAGGGGTGGGCTGGGCCAGATGCCTTCTGTTTGCTCTTCCAGGTTTGTCTCCTCCTGCTGCACCTTGGCCTCGGCCCCAGGAGGCTGGATTGCTCACACTCTATGACAGGCCCCCAGAAAGTCTGTCCTCTAGTTGGGTTTGCTCAGCGGGAGCCCCAGCAGCAGAGGAAAGGGAGTGAAGTCAGGGTATTTCTTCTCTGGTTCCTCCCTGAGGTCACCTCGGGCTGGTATGTCACTGTTCCTCCCTAGGTGGCTTGCTCCAACCACTGTTTCTTCCGGGTTTCAGTGACCTCTCCTATCCTTCAGCCCAGGCAGGAATGGCTTCACTGTCACAACCCTAGTTCCTGCACTGGGCTATGGTTTCCTTATACCTGCCACATCTTTGATTATTTTCTTTATAAATAAAGCCTCCTTGATTTATCCTAAGAGAGCACACCATCTGTTATCCCTTGGCGCCCTAACCAATACACAGAGTTTCAATAGTGTGCCCAGGGTCCTGCAACTGTGAAGCAGTAGGGACAGCAGTGACTTGAGACCAGGCTCCCGGCCCTGATGCTCGTTCCTGCCCCAGCCCCTTGGCCCACCCAGGAGGATCCTGCACCTTAAAGGACAATCCACCTGTGCTCACAGCTGCCAGCTCCCAGCACCCACATCCTGTACATGGGGCAGGCAGAAGGGCTACACACAGAAGGCCCCACACAACCCCTCCACCCACAGGTATGGAACAGTTGATAAATGCCCAGTGTCCACCCCCTCAGGGGGGACAATACACATTCCCTCAGAGAGCTGCAGCAGGATCCATCTCCAGCCACCCATGAGGGTGACCAGCAGGCCCTCCACTGTTCACCCCCATTTCCCAACTCTTTTCCTCCCCTCTTGGTGTCTCCTGGGAGCACCTCCCCACACACTACTCACACCCAAACCTTTGTTTCAGCAATTAAAGACACCCAAACTGACATAGCACCCGGCCTGCACTCCCTCCTTCTGTGCAAGCCACCTCCCTGAGCTACTGAGCACTCAAAGGCAAGGGTGTAGCCTTCAGAGATGGAGAAGAAATCATTTTCACATTAGAATGGCACAGCCAGCCAAACGGTCAATGAAGGGAAATAGCAAAATGGTACATCTTCTGAGACACACAGAATGTGGTTGACAGGGCTGAGCATGGTGGCTCACGCCTGTAATCCCAGAGCTTTGGGATACCGAGTCTGGCGGATCACTTGAGGTCAAGAGTTCAAGACCAGCCTGGCCAATACGGTGAAACCCTGTCTCCAATTTAAAAAATTAAAAAAAAAAAAATCCAAAACTTAGCCCAGCATGGCGGCACATGCCTGTAATCCCAGATGCTTGGGAAGCTGAGGCAGGAGAATTGCCTGAACCTTAGAGGTGGAAGTTGCAGTGAGCTGGGATTGTGCCACTGCACTCCTGCCTGGGCAACAGAGAGAGACTCCATCTCAAAAAAAAAGGGGGATGTGGTTTACAGGATAGCAGCTCCCAAAGACATCTATGCTCGGGACCTGTGAATATGCACCTTACGTGGCCAAAGGGGCTTTGCTGCTTTGGTTAGGGTTACAGGAGCCCTTAAAAGCACAGGACTTCCATGGGCTGGAGGACAGAGGCTGGACGCGTAGAGAGGAACTCGACCGCTGTTGCTGGCCTTGAAGACCAAAGAAGGGGGTCAGGAGCAGGGAACATGGGTGGCTTCTGAATGCTAAGAACAGCTCCCCCCACCCCAGCCAACAGCCAGCAGGGACACGGGGACATCAGTCCCACCCCTGCATGGAAAGAAATTCGGAACTTTAAGGTAAGAAATGGATATTGTTGTTCTCACTCTTAGGTGAGAGCTAAACAAAGGTACACATGGACATACAGAGTGGAATAATAGACACCAGAGACTCCAAAAGGTGGGAGGGGGCTAAAGGATGGAAAATGATCTGTTGGGTACAATGTACACTACTCAGGTGATGGCTACACTAAAAGCCCAGACTTCACCACTACACAATATATCCGTGTAACAAAACTGCACTTCTACCCCCTAAATCTATTTTTTTAGAAATGAAAACAGTTTGTGATGCATCTTTAAAACAAATAAATAGATGTTGTTTTAAGCTCCTAAGTTTGTGGTAAACTGTTATGGTAAAAAGAAAACGAATACACAGAATGACAAAAATTTATTTCCACATGCCACATCTTAGAAAACTGCCTGAGGATGCACTCTAGCAAAAAGAGGGAGTAAACAAAGAAAGGGGGTGGTGCAGGGGCTAGAAAATAGTGTCCTCCACTGAGGACAGTGGAGACCAAACACAGATCCCACAGGGGCGGGAGCTCTCCAGGGCAAATTGGGGAAGCGGGGCTGAGCCCACCAAGGGTACAGGTAGGGATCAGCCCTCAGTCTCCAGCAGGGCCAAGCCAGTCTGTAGAGGGGAACACATAGAAGAGCAGCTGCCTTAGTCAGTGACCCCAAAATACTAAGGTGGGAAGAAAGCCCCAGTTGCCTGCTGGTGATAGCGGGCAGCCAGTGGTGCCTCCATCATCACTCTCAGTGGAAGGATGGCGACTTGGCCCAGGCCTTAGTGGAAGACTTGTACCTCAACTGTTTTCATCTTTTCTTTGGGTCCAGATAATGAAACATCTGTGGCAAGAGAGAGAAGAGAAAGAGAAAGAGAAAGAGAGAGAAGATGTGTATCTCTTGTGTTGATGAAACACAAGAATTAGATGTTTAAATATATTATTTAGAGTTACACAGCTAAAGAAAAGTGGAACTAAATAAGTGATGTCGTTATAGGAGGAGGAGAAGCAGGGGTGGGGTGAATCCTCATCTATTTCAGCAGGAAGCTAGTAGATGGTGTTTAAAGTTGATAAATCAAGAGAGAGCCACATAAGTGCATTGTTTACAGACATGGAGGTAACCACCAGATTTAAAATGAGACAGTTAAAAGCAGTTTTGTTTCGAGAACTGAACTGAGGAGGAAGAATAGAGCAAAAGCCTGTTATTTTTCACTACATGCCCCTCTGTACTATTTGGTTTTCTAATCCCATGCATGAAATCCTTTTATATATATTGTTTTTACAAAAGAAGAAAAAGAGAGAGAAGAAGGGAGGGAGGGAGGGACCCCTGCCTGAACATGCATCACCAAAGCCAGAGCCAGCAGGAGGTTGCAACAAGCTGGAACTGCTCAGGCTGTGCCCAAGGAGCCCCCAGCACTGCTGCCCTCCTGCTGGTGTGGGGCACATTGCTCCAGAGATCAGGGTGGGGTCAGCTGGCAGCATGGGAGACAGGCTCAAGGATGGGGAACAGCCTGGGTCAGGAGAGTATGATGGTGTTGAAGCTAGCCCCAGGGGGTCTATCAAGGCAGGTGTAGCAACTGTTCCAGACACTTCCAGGGTTTGGCCTAAGCCTGGACATCTGTGTTTGCTAAGGAGATTCCATCATTTGGGGGACAACTTGAACAGATCACTCAAGGAATGAAAACTGGGCATATGACCAGCTGACTCTTCCTCCTCTTCTTCCCAATGTCCTCAGAGAAGTAAAATAAAGCCCAAACTCTCCAGCAGAGTGCAAGGTACTTGTTGGAGGAAAGGAAGAGAAGGCTGCTCTTTAGGCGACTTGTCCATAGCAAGGCCAGCTGGGGCCACCTGTGGGAGACCTTTGTCCAACCCAGAATGAGGTGTCAGCTGGAGCTTAGGGTCATATTGACTCCATATAAGGGTCATACACAGAATTTGAGGGTTCACAAAACACATTGCATGCATTACCTGATCTCGTGCTCATAAGCACCCTGCAAGTATAGAAGGCCAATATAACTTCCTACTGACAAGTAGGGAAAGCTCAAGCTCACAGAGAGTAAGTAACGAAGCCAAAGTCAACTGTCCTGAGTAGCCGTGGACCGAGCTCCCTGTGTCCCTGCTGGCTGTTGGTCGGGGGGATTGTTCTTTGCATTTAGAAGCCTCACACATTCCCTGCTCCTGACCCCCTTCAAGGCCAGCAGCAGTGATCGAGTCCTTCTCTATGCTTCCAGTCTCTCTGAGCTCCCTTCTGCTTGTGAAATTCTGCTGCTTTTAAGGGCTCCTGTAACCAAACTAGGCTCACATGGAAAATCCAGGATTCTCTCCCACCTCAGGTTTTATAACTGCAACAGCAAAGTCTCTTTGGCCACGTAAAGTGCGTATTTACAGCTTCCAAGAATCAGAGCGTGGATGTCTTTGGGGGCTGCTATCTTGTCAATCACATTCTGCGTGTCTCAGAATATCTATCATTTTGCCTTTTCCCTTAGGGAAAAAAGAAGGAACTGGAAGATTTGCTGGGCCTGCCTGGGCCACCTGGGGCCAGCTGTTTTCTAAACACCAGCTCCATGACAGGCTTCATCCACAGACATGAACAAACAGGCTCTAGGGACAGCGGCCCCGCATCTAACAAGATGCCCATGCTGGCTGTGACCTCCTAGACATGCTCAGCAGCAAATGATTTGGAGATGAGAGCTGGTTTCTGCCATGGATAAAATGTAAGTGCTGGTGGGCTAGGGACCATGGTCAGCCTGCCCCTGGGCTCACTCTTTCCTTTATATGCAGAGAGAATTGTTTAAGCCCCCATAACCCAAAAGTGGGCACCCCCCGCATCTCTCAGGGTTCTCGGGGCCCCCACAGGTCTTCCAGTCCCTGTTTTTTCTCTTTCCTCCTTCATGAGTCTCATCATCTTTCATGCAGATACCCCTGGACTTGCACCTCTTGCTTTCCCTGCCACAAACACCCACAATGTGCAGAGCCTTCCCCTTCCTTTCTCCAAAAGACAGCTCCTCCCAAGTAATAAAATTGTACTAAACACTCAGAGTCATAGTGAGCAGTTACCTCACAGAAGATAAATTAAACATTAGACATTTCCAGTTTTATAAGGAAGAGTCATTCTCATTTGAGGAAATAAATTACAAGCCAAATTTTTTTCCAAATCCCTCAGGCCCTGCATTGCATTTCTCAACAGTGCTCAAGACCTGTTCTGGTCACTGTTTCTTTCTTTCTTTCTTTCTTTTTTTGATATAGAGTTTTGCTCTTGTTGCCCAGGCTGGAGCGCAATGGCACGATCTTAGCTCACTGCAACCTCCGCCTCCCGGGTTCAAGCGATTCTCCTGCCTCAGCATCCTGAGTAGCTAGGATTACAGGCATGTGCCACCAAGCCCAGCTAATTTAGTATTTTTAGTAGAGACAGGGTTTCTCCATGTTGGTCAGGCTGGTCTCGAACTCCCTACCTTAGGTGATCCGCCCGCCTCGGCCTTCCAAAGGGCTGGGATTACCGGCATGAACCACCACACCTGGCCACTGGTCACTGTTTCTATGTCACAAACCAACCTAAACTAAGTGGTAAAAAAAACATTTTATTATGCTCACAGATGTGAGGGATCAGGAGTTCTGACAGGGTAGAGTGGGGCCAACTTCCTTCTTGAAGTCCTCTTCTGGGAGGACTTCAAGGCTCAGTGTGATTTAATAGCTGGAGGTAAAGTTATCGTGAGACGTCTTCACTCATATGTCTGGTGGTCTTGGCTGATTATTGCCGGAGATTGTTGGTCATAGCACCTTCCCATGTAGTCTCTCTACCTGGGCTTCCTCACAACATGGCTGCTGGGTTCTAAGGGCAAGTGTCCAGAGAGAACTTGACAGAAGTGCCCGGCATTTTTATGACTTAGCCTTGGGAGTCATACAAAGGCACTCCCGCTATGCTCCACTGATTGAGGCAATCACGAAGGTCCATCCAGGGTCCAGGGGAAGAGGACACAGACTCCACCTCTTGACAGAAGAGCCAGTGGGATGGGAGATATGACTGGGGCTCATCTTTGGAAAATACAATATGCCTTACGACCACTTCACATTTCCAACCTCCTCTCCTCCATCCTTACCAGGTGCTCAGAAACCCCAAAAGCTTCCCTACTTGATGTTGCAAGGCAATCCATTGCTCCCTTTGTCTCTCCTGGCCATGCCAGGTGATATGGTTTGGATCTATGTCCCCACAAAATCTCACGTGGAATTGTAATCCCCAATGTTGGAGGTGGGGCCTAGTTGGAGGTGATTGTGTCATGGGGGTGGTTTCTAATGGCTTAGCACCATTCCCCGAGTGCTGTTCTCCTGATAGAGTTCCAACAAGATCTGTTTGTTTAAAAGCATATAGTCCCTCCCATCTCTCTTCCTCCTGCTCCTGCCATGTGAGACATCTCACTCCCCCTTTGCCTTCGCTATAATTGTAAGTTTCCTGAGGCCTCCCTCGGAGCCTCACAGATGCCAGAATCATGTTTCCTGTACAGCCTACAGGACTGTGAAACAGTTAAACCTCTTTTTATTATAAATTACCCAACTCAGGTATTTCTTTGTAGCAATGCAAGAATGAACTAATATACCTGGGAAGCTATCCCTTTCATACCAGAGCATTTTCCCAAATAGTCAGCACTATTTAACAGCATGCAGGTGCTCAAATCTAGGTATTATTGAGAAATACCTAGCCAAAAGAGTATCTTCCCCAAGATCGATTATGTGTTACTCAGGTATAGAGAATTTGTTTCACCATGATTTATTGAAGCCATGTCTGCAAAGCTATATTAATACTTTACCCGTATTGCAGGAGAAGACAGAGGGGGGCAAAAATATTTAGAGTGAAGGGATAAATAAATGAATGAATCAAATATGGATCATCAGCCAAGACGTGGAAATAACCTCATTACTTGAAATTGAATGTTTTAATGTTATTCATTAAAGTAGATTTTGTCTGTATTTGTGACATATGTGTGCTTAAAATTCATGGAGAAAATGAGCATTTTAATTACAAAATGCTGAAATCATTAATAATTTAAAGATCATCATTCAGCCTCCCTTTCTAAGTAATCTAGTCTATGCTAAACCCTCACAGACACATCAGACAAGTCAAGGACACAGTCAAAGGGCAGGTCCAAGGGGAAGGGCGAAGGGGTGGGGCCAATTTCTCCTTTACTCATGCACACAGAAGAATTTAAGCCCAACCTACCAGAATGTATGTGGCTTAGGATGTTGCAGGGGAAGTAAAAGAACCAGAGATCACATAGATGGTGTGACCATCTGGGTGATCTCACCCTCTCTGTTAAAGGCTACAGCCACCATCCGCCCCTTCTCTCACCCAGGAGCCCACACCAGGCAAGGCAGCCTCCCCTGGTTGCAAAGCAGCCTGCTTCCTTTTTCGCCTTGCTTCCTTCATCCGCTTGTGTGCACCCCCAGGAAGGCGTCTCTCCTCAAGTCCCATCCACTAAAGCAAACCCACCCATTAAGACCTCGTCAAATGCCACATCCTCCAAGAAGCAAGAGGGGCCCCCAGCACCCAGCCCAGTCTTCATTTCACCTCCTCTGTGCACTCCCGTTCTCAGCACTGTCTCTGTGACTGTGCTTACCATGTGCTCTTGTCTCTAAAGAATAATGAAGGCCCAATATTCAGGATGCATTTACCATGTGGTCTCATGGCCAGCTCACACCTCCTCCACTCAGCCACCCTCAAGGCAGGGAGAGTATCCTCACTTTACAGAGCGAGCCGAGGCCAAAGGGTAAGTGACTTGCCCACCGTCCCACAAGCAATGTTGGAAATACAGATGAACGCTGATGCACCCACTCCGTCCAGGGGGCCACCAATCACATGTTCACCTGAGTACAGGATACTCTGGAAGGCTGAGCAAGGCCACACTAAGGAGGATATGGTTCCCCCACTACCATCCTCCCCTGCGTTGGGGTTCACTTTCAGGGTCTGATGGTGAATTGTGAGTTACATCTGCCCCATCTGGGAGATGTACAGGTTATACGCCTGATATGGTTTGGCTGTGTCACCACCCAAATCTCATCTTGAATTATAGCTTCCATAATTCCCATGTGTTATGGGAGGGAACTGGTGGGAGATAATTGAATCATGGGGATTGTTTCCTTCATACTGTCCTCATGGTAGTGAATAAGTCTCATGAGATCTGATGGTTTTTTGTTTGTTTCTTTTTGAGATGGAGTCTCGCTCTTGTTGCCCAAGCTGGAGTGCAATAGCATGATCTCGGCTCGCTGCAACCTCTGCCTCCTGGGTTCAAGCGAGGCCTCCTGGGTTCAGCTACTCAGCCTCCCAAGTAGCTGGATTACAGGTGCACACCACCACACCTGGCTAATTTTTTGTATTTTTAGTAGAAACGGGGTTTCACCATGTTAGCCAGGCTGGTCTCGAACTCCTGACCTCAGGAGTTCTGCCTGCCTCAGCCTCCCAAAGTGCTGGGATTAGAGGCGTGAGCCACCGAGCCTGGCCAAGATCTGATGGTTTTATAAGGGGTTTCCCCTTGGCTTGGTTCTTATTCTCTCTTGCCTGCTGCCATTTAAGACGTGCCTTTGCCTTCTGTCATGATTGTGAGGCCTCCCCAGCCATGTGAAACTGTGAGTTCATTAAACCTCTTTTTCTTTATAAATTACTCCTTCTCAGGTATGTCTTTATCAGCAGGGTAAGAACAGACTAATGCAATGCCTTTAAATAACACAGTGTGTAATGAAATAGGGAACCACAGATACCTTCTGTTACTGCACAAAGATTTGCCAGTAAGGGCAAGGTACTTGTAACAGTTGTCAAACATAAAGAGTTTAGTTACACTTTATTTGCACCCAAAACACAAGTTTTCTAAATTGGCTTGATTTTTTATTTTGAAGACAAGAAGTAAGTATTCAGCTATCATACAAATATTTTTGAAAAATAAACACATTCCATCTGTCCCTTCAAAGTGAAAGTAACATTTTAATTAGTGCATGAAAGAGAGTAATGCTATGCAGAGTTTCTGAAAACAGATACCTGGGAATGTTTTCATTATTACATGACTTTGCTGCCCAAAACAAGATAATATGTAACTCTCATATCCGCACACTTAAAACTGAATTTTCTAATCCATTTAAAAGACTTCCAAATGCATTTTTGAGTGGATTTTGATTCCCTATGTTTAAAATTGCATAACTGGTGGATGGGATTTTTAAAATGAATTTCATGGTTTAGTAAGCACACTCATGTGGATCTACATATATCTCTGAGGTGTCACTCCCAGCTAAGACAGCTTTAAACCATGTTAAAATGAGCTCATCTTAGAACCAAGCTTCAGATCACTATATCACTATATATAAAACAAGATTTTTTAATAAAGCATATTTGATCATATTGCTATTATTAACATTTTTAATGTATTTTAGTAAGAAAAAAATGGTACCAAAAATTTCAATACCATAATGGTATTAAAATTCCATAAATGGAATTTATGTAATGTAATTCCATAAATGGAAATACAGGCCTGGCATGGTGCCTCACGCCTGCAATCCTAGCACTTTGGGAGGCGGAGGCAGGCAGATCACCTGAGGTCAGGAGTTCGAGACTAGCCTGGCCAACATGGTGAAACCCTGTCTCTACTGAAAAAAATACAAAAATTAGCCAGATGTGGTGGTGGGCACCTGTAATCGCAGCTACTCGGGAGGCTGAGACAGGAGAATGGCTTGAACCCAGGAGACAGAGGTTGCAGTAAGCTGAGATCGCGCAACTGTACTCCAGCCTGGGAGACAGAGCAAGACTCTGTCTCAAAAATAAATAAATAAATAATAAATGGAAATACATTACTTTGTAAATATTGTATATCTTATCTTTAGTTCATTTGTAGTTTCTATTTTTATATACTTTATGTATGTGTATTTTTGATGCCTTTTAGCCAAAGACCACCAGGAAAACTCACAGCGAGGGGTCTCAGCCACAACTACATAGGAGTTGTGGAGTGAATTCTAGTCAGAATGATCACAGTGAGAAGAAGCACAATCCTGGCCTTGTGGCTACCATTTTAACACCAAAAAAGCACCATTCTAATGCCGGAAAACCCACCACTTCTGCAATCTCTGCCTAACTCCTGCAAACTAGATAGTGAAGCCCCCTCTCCCAGGAAGCCCTCCTGGACTGATTGTCTACTCTGGGCAGAGTCTCCTCATCATCCCCTCTGCTCTGCTTCTCCCACTGTGTTTTAATGATCTGTAAACTCAAATGGCTTCTTGCTAAGGCCAAAGGCCTTAGACGCTAAGGGCTGTGTTTTATCCACCACCACATTGCCAACCCCTATCTCACTGAATAGTCCATAGTGTTCTGTGAAGATTGTATGTTCTGTGAAGGCCTGGAGAAGTATATCCCTGGAATATCCCTGGAGTGGCACAGCCCTGGAGCCCACTCCTCCCCTGCACTCAAGGAAGGGCAGTGCAGCTCCCCCCACTCCGCTGTGCAGAAACGCAGGCCTGGTTGAATTGGATTCTGCAATCTAATGAGCTCCACTGGCAACCAGCACGCAGGCCTGGCACCAACTCTCGGCACCTGATTTTCTGTCACATAAAGTATATTTTAAGTATACAGCCTTTGTTTGTGTCCAGCTTCTTAGTGATAGGCCCACTGGGAACTGCTGCTTCCTGGCTTTCTGCAGCATGAGGGAGGCCAAGGCCCTGCCAGAATTTTCCCTCCGGGGGCTTGCTTGCCTCTCTCCACCAACTTTCCTGTCTTCCTGTCCTGCGACAAGGGTCACCTTCCCCACCCCTAAATCCACACCCAATGGCTACATTTGGTTTGAGTGTTTTTAAATAAAACTTTCAAATCTCTATAGGACGAACTGACAATTTTCTTTGGAACCAAATCCATTATATATCATAAGCCCGGCCCTCGTACTTCATAAACAATGGGCATTTTTCACCTTTACCAAATAATGATCAAACCTTCCCTCACTTTTGTATGTCATGATCAGTGATAGGATCTTTCAGCATCAGAGATGAGGCTGACAGTTGGTATTACTTTATTTCAGCCTTACTTGGAGCTCATCCCTTGGGCAGATTGCAATAAACCTCCTGGCACTGCAATACAGCACAGCACCATTGTTCAGTCGACAACAATTCCATGGAGAGCATCCAAAGTACCAAGCCTGGTGCCAGCAGCTGGGCTGGAGAAGAGAGTGGGGCACACAGTTCCCCAAGGCCAGCAACCCGGCAGTGAGCAAGCTGCAGCTGTGACTGCACAGCCTGGTGATGCTGGCTGCAAAGACTTGACACAGATGCGTGGAAAATCAAAGAAGTCACTTGTGATACGAACCTCGTGATGCTGGCTGCAAAGACTCGACACAGATGCGTGGAAAATCAAAGAAGTCACCTGTGATACGAACAAACCGCACTGTGTTGAGCTGAACTGTGTTCCCCCAAAAAAGATATATTCAAGTCCTAATACCCAGTACCTCTGAATGTGACCTTATTTGGAAATAGGGTCTTTGCAAATGATCGAGTTAAGATGAGGTCATGAGTGTGGGTTTTAATCCCATGTGACTGTGTCTTTATCAAAAGGGGAAATTTGGGCCAGGCACCGTGGCTCACACCTGTCATCCCAGAACTTTGGGAGGCCGAGGCGGGCAGATCACCGGAGGTCAGGAGTTCAAGACCAGCCTGGCCAACATGGTGAAACCCCATCTCTACAGAAATACAAAAATTAGCCAGGCCTGGTGGCAGGTGCCTGTAATCCCAGCTACTCGGGAGGCTGAGGCAGGAGAATTGCTTGAACCAGGAAGGTGGAGGTTGCTGTGAGCCAAGATCACACCATTGCACTCTAGTCTGGGCAACAGAGCGAGACTCCGTCTCAAAAAGAAAATTGGGGAAGGGGGAAATGTGGACATAGGGGGAAGACGAGTGAAGAAGGCCCTGTGATGACCGAGGCAGAGACTGGAATGGTGCAGCTGCAGGCCAAGGAACACAGAGGATTGCTGGCCCCCACCAGCAGCTGGGAGAGAGACGAGGAGGGATTCTCCCCAAAAGCCTCAGAGGAGCGAGGCCCGGCCAGCACCTGGACTTCAGACTTCTAAACTCCAGAACTGCAGACAACACACTTCTGTTGTTTTAAGCCACCCAGTTTGTGGTACTTTGTTGACAGCCGTAGCGAACTAATACATCTACCACAAAGTAGAGGGTGGCAGCCATCCAGTTATCCAGTGAGTAATTGCTAGGCACCCTCTAGACATTGAGGAGACTTTTCTAATCATGAAGGGGTGCACAGGAGAAGGATAACGGACAAAGAAATGCCTAAGACAATGTCAAGGACGAATGCCACTCAGAGAATTGCCACAGCGAGGGCCCAGTGGCTCCTGTGGACTGGACGGTCAGGAACAGTGCCTCTGAGGAGGGACACTTAGGCTGAGAGATGAAAGAAGAGAAGGGGCCGTTCCTGGCAGAGGGAATGGATAAAACAAAAACCTTAAGGTTGCAGCTGGGCGTGGAGGCTCACACCTGTCATCCCAGCACTTTGGAAGGCTGAGGCAGGAGGCCCTCTTGAGGCGCTGGACGTGGAGGTTCACACCTGTCATCCCAGCACTTTGGAAGGCTGAGGCAGGAGGCCCTCTTGAGGCGCTGGACGTGGAGGTTCACACCTGTCATCCCAGCACTTTGGAAGGCTGAGGCAAGAGAATCTCTTGAGGCCAAAAATTCGAGAACAGCCTGGGCACATAGCAAGACCCTGTCTCAACCAAAATTTAAAATCAAAACCCAAAAAAGCCTTGCAGTGGGAAACAGGTGGCATACTTGAGGAACGGGAAGCAAGGTTCTCCATCTGGAACAGAGGGGAGGAGATGCAATCAGAGATGGGTAGGACTCAAACGATGTGCTCCAGGGCGTTCAGATCCTACAATCCCCACAGGCAGGGCATTTCCAGACACCACCTGTGTGAGTTTCCTGGGGCTGCCGTGAGAAATGACTCCAGACTGGGTGCCTTAAAACAATGGAAATCTATTATCTCACAGATGAGGAGGCCAGACGTCTAAAACCCAGGTGTCTGCAGCGGGAGCTCTGAGAGAGGGCCTGTTGCATGCCTGTCTTCTGCTCCGTGGCCGCAGCCGTCCCTGGCACTCCTTGGCTTACAGACGCTCATTCCCACTCCAACTCCACGTGGCCTTCTCCTCCCCATGTCTCTCTTGGTCTGTGTCCAAATTTCCCTCCTGTAAGGACCTCCATCATTGGATTAAGGCCCATCCTAATCCAGCATGGCCTCATCTCAACATGGCTGCATCTGCACAGGGCCCCCTGTGTTTCCACATTCAGAGAGCAGGGGTTAGGATTCCAACACACCTTTCCCAGGATACGGTTCAACGCACAACACTACCCAAGGCCTGCTTTCTCCTCAGGGCCCCACTGGTACTAGCAGTGGATGGGGAAGGCTGAGTGCCCTCCCATATGGCCAAGGGAGGCCCAGATGCAGCCCACACACGGCACTGCCATGGCCCAGACAGCCCATGGAGGGGGGAGCCCCACCTACTACAGCTGGCCACTGATGGCCAGGCCTCCATGGTGCCAGGGAAGAAGATGACAAGGACTGACAATTCTTCCCCCACCAGCGCAGACACAGACAGCCAGGGTTGCTCAGCACTGCACGCCATGCAGCCCCAGACAAAGGGAAGAAGACCGCAAACCAACTGAATTCACACATCAGGCACCTAGCAGAGCAGGGCCCAGGCAGACAACAGAGCTGCAGGCCAATCGCGATGGCCCCTGGCCTGCACCCCTGTGTATGGTGGGGTTCTGCCCTCCTAGGGAATCTGCCGCAGCCACAGCCCTGCTGGGAGTCAGGTGTATCCGGCACAAGGGTGGGCCCTGTGTGAGACTCATCTCCTGGGACCAGAGTGACACAGGCTTAGTGGCACTACCTGGTGTGCCCTCCCCCACCCCAACTGGTCCTGTTCCCAGATCCCCCAGGCATGATGAAGGGGATTCAGTGGGGAGGGGAAGGACAGGGCTCTGTTATTCAGACCCACAAGACACTGGGGCAGGCACACCACAGCACAAAGGGAGTGCAGGGAGAGGGGCTTTCTCCCAGCTCCCGGCCTCAGGGAGCACAAAACCCTGGGCACCCCGAGGGCTCCAGCATTTCCGTGGAGCAGTAGAGGTTCCCGAGGCACCATGCCCGGGAATGGCAGTGCCTGAGAGGTGGTGGCGCTGGGGAAGCGAGGCTCACTTGGGGACCCTCCACGCAGTGCAGGAGGCCGCCAGCTCCAGGAGCTGCTGCAGAAGAAGGAGATAGACTATGGGGAAGAGGGTGGGACTGCTTCATGAGAACCAAGGAAAAGCCCCCAGACTCCCAGCAACAGAAGGACCTTCAAAGTCCCCCGGCATAGCAGGAGATAGGTGTCATCAGTGTGCAGGCAGCTCCGTTAGGACTTCACGGCACAGCCTGGGGAGCCCAGAATAAGCTCCCATTCCCACTGCTTAGCTGCACAATTGAGCTCATCCGTTTCAGGTCCAGCATGGAGCCAGTTTCCAAAATGCCACCTACATATTCTATGGTTCAATCAACATCATGGCAAACTAAACAGTAGGCAGCCACCTGGCTGTCATTCTGCCCTGAAGGGTAAGATGACGAGGTCTGTTGTTATGAACTGAAGTTTGTGTCCCCCCAGAATTCACATGCTGAAGCTCTAACACCCAGTGTGGCTGTATTTGGAGAGGGGGCCTCTAAGGAAGTAATTAAATGAGGTCATCAGGGTGGGGTTCTGATCTGATAGGATTAGTTCTTATGAGAAGAGACACCACAGAGCCCACTCACTCTCTCTGCCTGCACCCAGGATATGTGAGGAGGCACACGGGTTGTCCACAAGCCAGGAAGAGAGCCCTCGCCAGGATTCGAAGCGGCTAGAACCTTGATCTCGGACTTCAGCCTCCAGAACTGCGAGAAAATAAATGTCTATGTCTTAAACCACCCAGTCTGTGGTATTTTGTTACAGCAACCTGAGAGGACTAATACATCTGTCCATCCAATACCTCCCCAAGGCCAGTCCCTGGAGGGGCTCCAGAGTGGCAGCTTTAGCACTGTTGAGAAGAAGAAATGATATCCTCGGCCAACCGCACCCAGAATCTCAGGCAGTTATGGGGAGGGAGGCTCAAATGCAGATTCCCCTTGAGGCCAAGAGATCCTGATTCTGGGGTCTGGACGGGAGCTGGGTCTGTCCGTTGTTAGCCAGGCCTCACTGTCTGCCACCGTGACTCTGATGCAGAGGACTCCTCAGCACACTTCAGCCAATGGCTGGAGTGAGAAAAGGGAGCCCCAGCGGCGGTTGGTGAGGTGTGAGTGTTAGGTTCCTAACAGGATGAGGGATAGAAAGAGCTGAACTTCCAGAGAAAGAATCAGACCATGAGAAGACAAACCTCAAGAGCACTCTCACTTCCTGTGTTTCTCCTTCATGAAATTAATCTTACACAAAGAAATGATAAATATTTGAGGTGATAGATACTATGATTTGATCTTTACACATTGTATTCATGTCTCAAAATATCACATCTACCCCATAAATATGTGCAAATATTATGCATCAATTTTTGAAATGAAAAAAATAATTTTTAATGACAAAGTAATATATGATATAATATATGACATTAGTTTGGTTGAAGCATTGACATTCTGATAACATTAATATCTTTTCCTTTTTCCAAAGGAAATGGCTATTAGAAATTGGGGCCAGGCAACCAACCCAAATGTCCATCAATGATAGACTGGATTAAGAAAATGTGGCACATATACACCATGGAATACTATGCAGTCATAAAAAAGGATGAGTTCATGTCCTTTGTAGGGACATGGATGAAGCTGGAAACCATCATTCTGAGCAAGCTATCACAAGGACAGAAAACCAAACACCGCATGTTCTCACTCATAGGTGGGAACTGAACAATGAGGACACTTGCACACAGGATGGGGAACATCATACACCAGGGCCTGTTGTGGGGTGGGGGGAGGGGGTAGGGATAACATTAGGAGATATACCTAATGTAAGTGACGAGTTAATGCGTGCGGCACACCAACATGGCACATGTATACATATGTAACAAACCTGCACATTGTGCCCATGTACCCTAGAACTTAAAAAAAAGAAAAAAAATAGAAATTGGGGCCAGGCATGGTGGCTCATGCCTATAATCCCAGCACTTTGGGAGGCAGAGGCAGGTGGATTGCTAGAACCCAGGAGTTTGAGACCAGCCTGGGCAATATGACAAAAAGCCGTCTCTACAAAAAATACAAACATTAGCCAGGTGTGATAGTGCACACCTGCAGACTGAGGTGGGAGGATCACCTGAGCCTGGGAGGTCGAGACTGCAGTGGGCTGTGATTAAGCCACTGCACTCCAGCCTGGGTGACAGAGCAAGACCCTGTCTCAAAAAAAAAAAAGAAAAAGAAAGAAATCGGTGCATAACCTTTCAGACCTGTTACATACCTTTACATACATACAAATTCCCATATGAAATATACAAAATTATTCAGTGTGTGTTTTTGATACAAATTATATCCTACTTTACGTATTATCCTCTAATTTGCTTTTTTCATGCAACAGTACTTCCTGAAACTCTATCAATGTCAGCATATTAAATTCCATTTATACCTTTAACTGCTGTATAATAGTTCAATGTATAAATAAAATGCATTATATATTTGACTATTGGTGGGCAGTTATCAGTTCCAGTTCTTCTCTATTACAAAGATTCAATGACCATTGTTCTACATGTTTCATTGTTCACATTATAAGTGCTTTCTTTTTCTCTTTTCTTTTCTTTTTTTTTTTTTTTCTTTTGAGACGGAGTCTCGCTCTGTCACCCAGGCTGGAGTGCAGTGGTGTGATCTCGGCTCACTGCAACCTCTGGCTCCCGGGTTCATGTGATTCTCCTGTCTCAGCCTCCCAAGTAGCTGGGACTACGGGCGCCCGCCACCATGCCCAGCTAATTTTTTTATATTTTTAGTAGAGACAGCGTTTCACTATATTGGCCAGGCTGGTCTCGAACTCCTGACCTCGTGATCCACCCGCCTCAGCCTCCCAAAGTGCTGGGATGACAGGCATGAGCCATCAGGCCTAGCCCCCAGACTGCACATTTAAGCGGCTGAACGGGGGATACTTCCCAACACTTTGTCCTCTCACTCTAGCTGACATTAGAAAGCTTTTCATCATTTGATGATCTGATGAGTAAAAGAGACTTCACTGTAGTTTTAATTTGCTTTTACCAGATTAAAAATGAGATTGAGCATTTTCCCATATGTTTAATAGCCATTTGTATTCACGCTCCTATAAATTTCTTTTCATATCTTTTGACCATTCTTCTATTGGATAGTTTTCTTTTTCTTACTAATTTATGGAAGTTCATTGAATATTCAGCATATTATGGCTTTATCTGTTGCATATATTTTTCCTCGGGCTGTCAATTGCCTTTTAACTCTGTTTACAGTACATTCTTTATGATACCATAGTTTTAATTTTTATCTAACCAAGTTATTCATGCTTTCCTTTACAATTTGTGCTTTAAGGCCTCTACTTGGGGAAAATGGATCATGGCTCCTGCAGGTGTGTCTGTATCCTAGTCTGGATCCTATAAATATTACCTTATCTAGAAAAAGGGTCTTTGCAGATGGGATTAAGTGAGTGATCTTGAGATAAGGAGATGACCCTGGATTATCCAGGTGGCCCTAAATACCATCACCAGTGTCCTTATAAGGGAGGCAGAGGGAAGTCAGACTCACACAGAGGAAAAGGTCATGTGAAGACAGAGGCAGAGACTGGAGTGCTGTGACCTCAAGCCGAGAGACTCCTGAAGCCCTGGGCATTCCAGAAGCTGAAAGAGGCCAGCAACAACGCTTCCTAGAGCCTCCAGAGCGGGCATGGCCTTGAGGACATCAAGATTACAGACTTCCTGCCTTCAGACTGAGATAATAAATGGATGTTGCTGGTTTTAAGCCACCAAGAAGCTCCAGTTTATTGTACAATTTGTTGCAGTGGTGATATAGGACACTAAAGTACTACTCAAGGTTTGGGGGGGTGGGGAAAGCCTATATTTTCTTCAAGTGGTTTTAAAGTTTTACTTCTGCATTCAAGTCTTTAATCCCTATGAAATTTATTTCTTTGGGAAATTAAATTCAAGCCTTTTTTTTTCCTGCAGATAACCAATGGTTCCCATAGTACTTATTGAATATCTGTGTTAGTCTAGGTCCTCTGAGAAGCAGGAGCCAGGATGAGATGAAATGAGCAGGGGTGGCTGGGCGCGGTAGCTCACACCTGTAATCCCAGCAATTTGGGAGGCCGAGGCGGGCGGATCACCTAAGGTCGGGAGTTTGAGACCAGCTGACCCTCATGGCGAAACCCCGTCTCTACTAAAAAATACAAAAAAACTAGCCAGGCTTGGTGGCACACACCTGTAATCCCAGCTACTTGGGAGGCTGAGACAGGAGAATCACTTGAACCCAGGAGGCAGAGGTTGGGATGAGGAAGATCACGCCATTGCACTCCAGCCCGGGTAACAAGAGCGAAACTCCATCTTAAAAAAAAGGAAAAAAAATAAAAGGGAAAAAAGAAATGAGCAGGGGGACTACTGGGTATTACTGGATATCTACCCAGAGGAAAAGAAGTCATTATTCGAAAAAGATGCTTGCCCACGGATGTTTATAGCAGCACAATTTACAATTGCAAAATCGTAGAACCAACCCAAATGCCCACCAATCAACAAATGGATAAAGAAACTGTGATATATATAGATATCATATATATCATATATGATGGAATACTACACAGCCATAAAAAGGAATGAATTAACAGCATTTGTGGTGACCTGGATGAGATTGGAGACTATTATTCTAAGTGAAGTAACTCACGAATGGAAAACCAAACATTGTATGTTCTCACTGATATGTGGGAGCTAAGCTGTGAGGACACAAAAGCATAAGAATGATACAGTGGACTTTGGGGACTTGGGGGGAAGAGTGGGATGGGGCCAAGGGATAAAAGGCAACAATAGGGTGCAGTGTATACTGCTTAGGAGATGGGTGCACCAAAATCTCACAAATCACCACTAAAGAACTTAACTCATGTAACCAAATACCACCTGTTCTCCAATAACTTATGGAAAAATAAGATTTAAAAATAAGAATTAAAAAAAAATGAGCAGGGGTTTATTAGGGGAATCACCTTTGAGAGATCGGGGGTAAGAACGGAGGAGGCTGGTGGAGGACAGCTGGAAAGAGGATGGGAAGGAGGCATTCTAGATGCCCACAGTCTAAGGGGGAGCCCCTAGTCAAAGGCACCCATCAGAAGAGGCCTGCGTCTCCCAGGAAGAGCCGGTCCTAGCTCCCCTGCTCGCAGGCAGGAGCTGGTGCAATGGACTTCCCAGAGCGGGGCCTTGCTCATTACCCTGTGTAGCTGAAGCTCTGCAAGGTGCATTCCCGTGGCCACCAGCCCACTTTTTCCCACTGACTTGAGAGCCACCTCTGTCACCAAATCTGCTCATGCACAGTCAATCACTTCCTCACCCTCGCCAGTGTCCCACTGCTTTCGCCACTGCATCTTAAGAGTCCGTCCAGGTCCTCGGGAAGAAAAGCATCCTGCCCTTCTCCTTCTCCTGGGACCCAGTAGCTTTGGCTTTTATTCTGTGTTTACTCGTTCGTATGAAATCTAGAATGGATTTATCAACTTCCTGGAAAAATCTTGTAGAGATTTTGATTGGCAACTCATTGAATTTATAAGCTCGTTTGAGAAAATGTGACCTCCTTACCACATGGAACCTTCCCATTTTTTAACATAATTCATCTCTCCTTTTATTTAGGCTTTTTTTTATGTCCTACTATGACATTTTGCAGATTTCTCCATCTAGGTTTCACATTTTTTTAAAAAGACTTTTTTTTTTAAGAGCAGTTTTAGGTTCAAATCAAAATTGGGAGGAAGGTACGCAGACTTCCCTTATCCCCTCTGTCCCCACACACACGCACAGCCCCTCAGACACAGCTGGCATCCACACCAGAGCATATGTTTCTTACACTCCATCCACCCACACTGATATGTCAGTATCACCCAAAATCCATGGTTTAAATTAGGGTTCCTCCTTGGTGCTCTTCATTCTATGTGTTTGAACACACGTATAATGACATGTATCCACCATTACAATAACACACAGAGAATTTTCACTGCCCTAAAAATTTTCTGTCTTCCACCTATCCATCCATCCCCCCAACCCTAGGCAACCACTGGTCTTTCTACTGTCCCCATAGTTTTGCCTTTTCCAGAATGTCATATATTTGGGAGCAGATGTATGTAGCATTTTCAGGTTAGTTTATTTCACTCAGCAGCATGCATTTAAGTTCTTCCATGTCTTTTTATGACTTGATAGCTCATTTTTTAACACTGAATAGTATTCCACTGTCTGGATGTACCACAGTTTGTTTATCCATTCACCTACTGCAGGACCTCTTGGTTGCTTCCAGGTTAGGGTAATTATGAATAAAGCTGCTATAAACATCCATATGCAGGTTTTGTGTGGACAGAAGTTTTCAACTCATTTGAGTAAATACCAAGGAAAGTGACTGCTGGATCCTATGGTAAGAGTATGTTTTCTTTTATAGGAAACTGCCAAACTGTCCTCCAAAGTGGCCACACCATTCTGCATTTCCACCAGCAATGAATGAGAGCTCCTGCTGCTCTACGTTCTCACCAGGATTCAGTGTTGTCGGCATCCTGGATCTGGGCCATTCTAATAGCTATGTAGTGACATCTCATGGTCATTTGGTTTTAACACTTTTTTGTTAGATTTTGCATCTGGGCTGTGTTCACTTGTGAGTTAGAGGAAATCTAAACACCAATGGCTGTAACCAGTAAGGTCCCCTACCTCTTTGTCTCTCCCTCCCAACCTCACCCTTCACCAAGAAGCCCAAGGTAAGGCAGCCCAGGCCAGTGATTTGCTCCAGGAGATCATCAAGGAACTGAGCATCTTCTGTCTTTTCCTCCACCATCTTCAGCAGAAAGTGGTCACAATGTGATCCCAAGAAGCCTGCTGTACCTCCTGGTATCTTGTCTGTATTCCAGGCAGGAAGAAGGTGGAAGAGCCAACAGCAGCTTCTTACCAAGTGCTGTCTTCTTATCTGATGAGGAGCCCCCTCCTGCAGGAATTCTACTTACATATCATTGAGCAGACCATCACACGGCTAACACCACCTGCAAAGATGCTGAGAGATCCTTTATCTTTGGTGAATATATTGACAAGCCAAGCAAAGCTTAAGGGGATTTTTTAGTAAAAAAAAAAAAAAAAAAGTTAAGGCCGGGTGCAGTGGCTCAAGCCTGTAATCCCAGCACTTTGGGAGGCCGAGGTGGGCAGATCACGAGGTCAGGAGATCGAGACCACCCTGGCTGACACAGTGAAACTCCATCTCTACTAAAAATACAAAAAAAAAAAATTAGCCGGGCGTGGTGGCAGGCGCCTGTAGTCCCAGCTACTCAGGAAGCTGAGGCAGGAGAACGGCGTGAACCCAGGAGGCAGAGCTTGCAGTGAGCCGAGATCACGCCACTGCACTCCAGCCTGGGCGACAGAGCAAGATTCCATCTCAAAAAAAAAAAAAAAAAAAAAAAAGTTAAAAAAAAAAGAGGATGGCTAGGCCTTTGGCATGGTTGCCAAAGGTGTAGTCTCCAATACCCAAAAGATTTTGTTAGTATTATGTATTGTGTTAGTATTATGTATTGTTAGTATTATGCATTTGTTAGTATTAATAGGATCATTTTTCCTATTGAAATTTCTAATTGGTTTTTGCTGAAGGAAGAAAAGTTGCCAATCTTTATATGTCCAACTCACATTCAGCACTCCCGCTAAACTAATTAATTGGTTTTAATCATTTGTCAGGTTATTCTTCGGATTTTCCAAACTGAGCAATTATGGCCTCGGAAAATAACAAGAGTTTTGTTTCTTCCTTTCCAATTTGTATTTCTTTTCTTGAATTTGGGCTAAGCTGTGATATGGGAGATGTGATTTGACTTTAATTTTGTGGCACCGCTAGGCATGGTGGTTCCTACAGTTTCCTGGTTTACATCCTTTAATAGTTCAGGGAGTTCTCCTTTATTCAGTTTTCTAGGTGTTTGTGTCATGAATGAATGTTTATGGGAGCTGGACAAATGGCAGGATCTACTGTGAAAATTATGGGGATTTTTTTCCCCACTAATTTAGTAAAGCATTGACAAATTGACAATTTGTCCATTTTTTGTTGTTGTTGAACCAACCCTAGTGGCTCGAGTTATATTATATTATTAATAAATTATAGGATTCAATTTACTAATATTTTCTTTGTGGTTTTTACATGTACAAGTATAATGATCCTTTGTGTGTGTTTTTTTTTCTTATGCTTTCCTTATCTTATTTTGATAATAGTGTTTTTACTAACTTCACAAAAGGAGTTGGTCAGCTTTCCATCTTTTTCTAAACTCTAGAATAGTTTCAGGGGATTTAGGTTATTTGTTCCTTAAATACTTTATAAAAATCATCTTTTAAACTCTACGGATTTGTTGCCTCTTTGGTTATTGATCTTTGTCTATCATTTCCATTTATCTAATGATTGTGTCTCTATCCAGGTTTTCTACTTGCTCTTGGATCAATTTGTTTATATATATTATCTTAGAAAGTTTTCAACATCAGTCATTCTTAGTGTATTGGTATAAAAATATTCAATTCTTTTATAATTTTTGAAGGTTGATAGTATCCGTAGTTATAAATCCTTTTTTGTTTACTCATGATATTTATGTCTTCTCTCCTTTTTATTGATTATACCTGTCAAAAATTTGTCTATTGTGTTAATTGTGTCAAAGAACTTGCTTTTGGTTATGTTGATGACTGGAATTTCTGGCCTTCTGTTTCATTAATTCCTGCTTGTATATTAGTTTTCTTCTTCATTCTACTTTCTTTAGATTTTTGTTATTCTTTTTTATAGTTTCTTAAGTTGAAAGCTTAGCTCATTTATTTTTAATCTTTCTTGTTTTCTAATAAATGCACTTCTGGATCTAAATTCCCCTCTGAGTACCACTGTGGCTTTATCCCATAACTTTTTATGTGCAGAACTTTTACAGTCATTCGGTTTTAAGTACTGTACTCCATTATGATTTCCTCTTTAAAACGTGAATTATTTAGAAGGTTTTTTTTTAACCTCCAGATGTTATGCGGGGATATCCTGTCTATCTTTATGTTGTCGGTTACTATTTTTACTCCCCGGTCCCCATTGGAAAAAGGACTTGATGACTTCAGCCTTTGAAAATTGTGGATTTTTCTTTGTTGCTTAGTACATAGTTAATTTTTTATAAATTTCCCCATGTACTTAAAACTAATGAGTATACTCACTTGGATGTAGAGTTAATTAAATTCTTCAAATCCTTTATTTTCTTATTAATTATTATTCTACTTGCTATGGTAGCTTTTGAGAACTCATTTCTTGTGGCCGCGGTAACAAATTATCACAGACTCGGTGGTTTAAAACAGCAGAAATTTGTTCTGTCCAAGTTCTGGAGGCCAGAAATCCAAAATCAAGGTGTCATCAGGGTGGTGGTCCTTCTAGGGGCTCTAAGGGAGTCTGTCCCTGGCCACCTTAGCTTCTGGTGGCTGCCCACCTTCCTGGACACTCCGTGACTTGTGCCAACTTATTACAATGTCTACCTTCCCCTTCCCATGGCCTCCCCCTCTGTGTCAATTCTCTGCCTCTCTCTTAAAAAGATACTTGCAATGACATTTAGGAACCACCTGGATAATCTAGGATGATCTCATCTCAGTGTTCTTAAATTAATTACATCTGCAAAGACCCTTTTTACAAATAAGGTAATATTTACAGATTCCAAGGATTAGGATGGGGACATGTCTTTGGAGCCACCATTCAGCCCGCTACAGGAAAGATGTGTCAAAATCTCTCCAGGATTGTCAATTTCTCCTTGTAATTCAAAGGAATGGCTGTATTTCAAAGGTATTGTATTAGGTGCATACAACGTCAAAACTATTATATCTCCTTCGTGCATTTTCACTTGTATTAATATGAAATGGCTGTCTCTGTCCTTAATACTTTTCATCTTGAGATCTAATTTATCTGTTGGAATATTGCTACGTTCTTCTCTTTTATTAATTTTAAAACTTTCTGAGTCATTATGTTTCATCCTGATTTTTATTTCATTGTTTACGTTGTCACAACTGATAAGTTTGGGCTTATTTAGCCATTATAACATATTTTCTCTCTTCCCCCTGATTTCTCTAGGTTTCCTTTCCTCATATCTTCCCTAAATCTGACCAGCGGAAGCCACGGCCTGGGGTGTTTTCTGGTTCAGTCACAATTTCCAGGGTAGGACTGTATTGTAAGAAGAATGCGGTCACTCTCCCCAAGCGCACATTATCACACTTCTTTTAAGCAGGAGATCTTAGGACTGTGTGAGTGGCCAGTCACATTTCCATTTTGCCAGAACTACCATTATTCCCACAGCCTCTGGAACAAAACCTCTTGCTCGAGAAGGTGCTTCAGATGAACTCACTATTTGAAAATGCATCTTGTTACGCTGTTTTTTTGTTTTTTGTTTTGTTATAAATAATTAAGTTTTGAGGGATTCTGCAGATGCGCCAAAAAACACGTGTCCGGGGTAAAAGCTGTGGAAGGTGCTCGGTTCTAAGGAGAGGGAAGGAAAGCCAAGTGGACCCTGTCATCTGAAATTGTTTTGTCATCCACTGACTTTTACAAATAAAACAGCCGGGCGCAGTGGCTCACGCCTGTAATCTCAGCACTTTGGGAGGCCAAGGCGGGCGGATCACGAGGTCAGGAGATCGAGACCATCCTGGCTAACACGGTGAAACCCCATCTCTACTTAAAAAAATACAAAAAATTAGCCGGGCGTGGTGGCGGGCGCCTGTAGTACCAGCTACTCGGGAGGCTGAGGCAGGAGAATGGCGTGAACCTGGGAGGCGCAGCTTGCAGTGAACCGAGATTGCGCCACTGCACTCCAGCCTGGGCGACAGAGCGAGACTCCATCTCAAAAAAATAAATAAATAAAAATAAAAAAATAAAACAAGCTGTGGCAGAGTAGGTTCTGAAAGGGTCAGAGGGGACAGTGTGCTCTGAGAAAGTGGGCCCACGAAGGTAAACAGCGCTGCCAGCCTGCGGTGTTGCTTTGCCACCCAGGGCAAGCATTCTTGGCACATTTCAGCTGCAGCTGCTGAGCTAGTAAAATCTGAGAAAAGAAGGAACACAGTGAATAAAGAAGACAGAAGTGAAAGAAGAGAGCGCAGCCAAGAGAGGCTCCAGATAAGGCCGCGATGCTAGGGAGAAAAGGAATTTATAACACAGAGAATACACGGCGCTGGGGCTTTCTCGCATTTCTGCTATCGCCGTTAAAATTATCCGGGTTCAAATAGAGAAATGCTCTGTCCTAGTCATTATTCATGTTTCTTTCCAAGGCACAAATTCCAGCATAGGCAATTTTGGCAGGAACTGAACTATTTATTTACTGGATTCTTGCTTACGACCAGGCAAGCAGAAAGCCCTCCAGCACGCACAGAACTGGGGCTGGCTTCCTCTCTCCGATGGCTCCTAGGAGGATCTGCCTGACCCAAATGAGTGCCAGCTATAAAATCTCAGCAAGGCCAAGGGCAGAGGCAGCGCCACTCAGCGAGGGAAGCCATAAACTAGACAGAAAGACCTCCTTGCTCCACACTCTCCTGGATCACATCCTCAGGTGGAGTTTAAATCACTGTGTCCCAGTTTCCACGTCTGTGGGCAGGTGATCCGGCACCCGCAAATTCAGAGCTGCTGGCATGAAAACCCTATAAGGTGATTAGACACACTGGCTTCAGGAGTGTTTGATACAGACACCACGTTCGCCGCCCACGAATCGCCCAACCTCATATTCTGTTTTGCTCTGAATGTGCCACAGCGATCCATCTTCCAGGTCCGATGGGACCTCTCTCCAGCCCCCCGCCCCTGACCTGAACCCTCCTCCTGGTTTTACTTGAAATCACAAACTCAAGACTGCCCCCACTCCCCCCAGGTCCTAGGCTGTGCCCTTTATGATTCAGCCCGAGTCCCTGGGCTGCTAGTGAGGAGGGCACCTTGCTTCCCGGCCCTCAGAGACGCCTCTCTCCCAGGCTTCAGGCTTCATGGCACCTGGTTATGACCTTTTCTCAAAAGGACCTGCAGATCTTGGCCTAAAACGGGGAGGAGCCCCTTGGGGAGATGTAGAGGGAACTTGGGTGGAGAGCAGAGGGAGGAAGGAAGGGTCCCTGGGGAACCAGATCAGCTGATTCTGTGCGGGAAATCCGCAGGGAGCGAGCAGTCACTCAGCTGTCCTAAAAGCCAGCACAGCTCATCTTCCCTCTAGAATTTATAACTCTTCAAAATTCTAGCCTTGGGCCAGAAGTGGTGGGCTCCCACCTGTAATCCCAACACTTTGGGAGGCCAAGGTGGGAGGATGGCTTAAGGTCAGGAGTTGGAGACTAGCCTGGGCAACATAGTGAGACCCCCATCTCTACAATAAATAGATAGATGATAGATAGATAGATAGATAGATAGATAGATAGATAGATAGATAGATAGACAGATACAGTCTAGCCTTGTTTAGGCCCTTCTCTCTCAGAACATTTGCTTTGTTGAAGTGTGAGCATTCCCCAGTAAATTATGAAAGTTGGTTGGCTAAGCTGGTTCCTCTAGACAGCTGCTATGGATGGAATGCTTGTGTCCCCTCAAAACTCACGTGTTGAACTCCTTGCCCCCAAGGTGATGGTATTTGGGGGTAGGCTGTGGGGAGGTGATTAGGTCATGCAGGTGGACTCCTCATGATTGAGATTAGTGCCCTTATAGAAGGGATCCCGGAAAGCTCTCTCAGTCTCCTTCCACCATGTGAGGACACAGTCAGAAGGCAGCGATCTGCAGCCAGGAAGAGGGCCCCAGCCCTGCTGGCACCCTGATCTCGAACTTCCAGCCTGCAGAGCTGTGAGATAGGTGTTTATTGTTTAGGCCACTCAGTCAGAGACAGAAGCTCAAGCAGACAAAGGCAGTGACCATGCCACACAGCCTCCCCTGACCCCTGGCCCTACGGGAAGGTCACTCTATGCATGCCTGCACTCTCTGTCCAGTGAGCCCTGAGTCCCTGTCTTCTCTCTGAGGGGCACTTCCAGCCCCAAGCCCATGCAGGACAAAGATGATGGGTATGTGGTGCCCCCAGGGCCTGGCAGCCTCCCCTGTGCACAGCAGCAGGTCTGCCCTGTGTGCCCTGGCCCTGGGGCCCAGTGTTCAGGGCATCTCAGAGGTCCTGCCTTCCGCAGGACTCCTTGCCCTACACACCACCAGAGGGCACATGACCTGAAAGGAAAAGATCCATGTGTCCAGTTGTTCCTCAGTAAACATGTATTGAGCACCTGCTGTGAGCCAGGCACAGGCCCAGCCCCCAGGATGATCAGGCATGCAGTGTCCCTGAGCTGGGGAGCCACTGTCTGTGAAGGAGACTAGAACAAACAGCTGAAGCACAGGGCAGCACGGATTCCACAGAGCCTCCCACAGCCTCCTCCCATGTGTGCAGGGAAGGCCTGGAAGGGGGCCAACAGCAGCCAGGCAAGGAGACCCAAGCCTCCCAAATACACCACCAGGCCCCACCCTTCAGGTTCAAGGAGCCCTGGGCTGGTCAACAGCCAAACATCTGCCCTGCTTTGCATGGTGGATTCAGGTCAACAACACACCCCGTTGGTGTGCACGACCAGCCTCAGCCAGGCTTCTTGTACAGCGCCTCGATGTCCAGTCCAAACCAGGCCACCTCAAGCCCCCAGGCCAGAAGCATTGCAGAGAACATCCTTCTCACCTCCTGGGCTGTCCAAGGGGCTGGGTCCTGCCAGGCTCCCTGGTTTTTCATGGCTCCCTGTGGGTAAGCAACACCTTCTTGCAAGGACAGAGAGGGTCCTGTACACGCCAAAGCTTCTCAAACTCCCTGTGGGCAAAGACCAGGTTTTGCTTTCTAATCTACCACAGACTGTCACTTGTATAAAATTTAAAATAATTTTTAGAATAGTGAAAGGCAAAAAGACATACAAAACATACGCCTCAACAGAGTAAAGAGACAACTTATTGAATGGGAGAAAATATTTGCAAACTATTTATCCAACAAGAGGCTGATTTCCAGAATACACAAGCAATTCAAACAATTCAATGGCAAAACAAAACCCAATAATCCCATTAACAGGTGGGCAAAGGATCTGAATAAATGTTTCTCAGAAGAAAGATAAAAACGGCAACCGGTATATGAAAAGATGCCAAATATCGCTAATCATCAGGAAAATACAAATCAAAACCACAATGAGATATCATCTTACCCCAGTTAGAATGGCTGTTATCAAAAAGACAAAATATTTAAAATGCTGATAAAGATGCAGAGAAAAGGGACTCTGAAACACGGTTGGTGGGAGTGTAAATTAGTACCATCGTGGAAAACAGTGTGGAGGTTTCTCAAGAAACTAAAATATCCAATGACGGACGCAGTGAAGCTCCCTGACCTGCCACAGTGCAATATATTAATGTAGCAAAACTGCACTTGTACCCCATGAAAATATACACTTTTTAAAACGAAAATATTTTTAAGAACTGAAAATAGAACTACTATACCATTCAGTAATTCCACTACTGGGGATTTATCCAAAGGAAAGGCAATCAGTATATCTAAAGGATAGGATACCTGACCCCAATGTTTATTGCAGCACTATTCACAATAGTCAAGATGTGCAATCAACCTGCATGTCCACCAGCAAATGAATGGATAAAGAAAATGTGATGTATACACAATGAAATACTATTCAGCCATTAAAAAGAATAAAATCCTGTCATTTGTAGCAACATGGATGGAACTGGGGATCATTATGTTAAGTGAAATAAGTCAGGCACAGAAAGACAAATATCACATGTTCTCATTTATATGTGTGATGTGGTTTAGCTGTGTGTCCCCAACCAAATATCATCTTGAATTGCAATACCCCAGGTGTTAAGGGAGGAACCTGATGGGAAGTGATTGAATTAGGGGACAGTTTTCCCCATGCCATTCTTGTGATACTGAGTGAATTCTCATGAGCTCTGATGGTTTTACAAATGGTAGTTTCTCCTGCACTCTCACACACGTTTCTCTCTCCTGCCACCATGTGAAGAAGGTCCTTGCTTCCCCTTCACCTTCCACCATGATTGTAAGTTTCCTGAGGCCCCCCAAGCCATGTGGAACTGTGAGTCAATGAAACCTCTTTCTTTTATAAATTACCCAGTCTCAGGAAGTTCTTCATAGTAGTGTGCGAATGGACTAATACAATGTGGAAGCTAAAAAAAGTGGATCTTAGGGAGGCAGAGAGTAGAATGATATTTACCAGAGGGTGGGGAAACACGGGGAGGAAGATAGGTTGGTTAATGGATACAAACATACTGTGATGGTTAATACTGAGTGTCAACTTGATTGGATTGAAGGATACAAAGTATTGATCCTGGGTGTGTCTCTGAGGGTGTTGCCAAAAGAGATTAACATTTGAGTCAGTGGTCTGAGGAAGGGAGATCCACCCTTAGTCTGCTGGGCACCATCTAATCGCAGCCATCGAATATAAAGCAGGCAGAAAAACGGGAAAAGGAGAGACTAGCTTAGCCTCCCAGCCTACATTTTTCTCCTGTGCTGGATGCTTCCTGTCCTCAAACATCGAACTCCAAGTTCTTCAGTTTTGAGACTCGGACTGGCTCTCCTATCTCCTTAAGCTTGCAGACAGCCTATTGTGGGAACTTGTGATGGTGTAAGTTAATACTTAATAAACTCATATATATATATATATCATATATATGATATATATATGAGTTTATACATATATCATATATATGATATATATATGAGTTTATATATATATCATATATATGATATATATGAGTTTATATATATATCATATATATGATATATATATGAGTCTATATATATATATATCCTGTTAGATCTGTCGCTCTAGAGAACCGTAATACATATACAGTTCTCGTGTTCAATAGCACAGTTGATTGACTACAGTTAACAATAATCTATTGTATATTTCAAAATAGCTAGAAGATTTGAAATGTTCCCAACACAAAGAAATGATACATGTTCAAGGTGATGAATATCCTAAATACCCCAATTTGATCATTACACATTGTGTGCATATATCAAAATATCACATGTACACCATAATTATGTACAAATATCATAAAATGTACATATGCAGGTAAATATTTTGCCCTTAGCTTCAACGGATATAAAATTACTCTATCAAGTTGCTACAAAAGTTTCTAAACACTCTCCATTTCAGCACTTATCTCACCACAGAAAGTAACAAAGAGTTCTTGGACTGGCATAGCCCGTGAACTACCTGGAATTGTGCTGCCCCGGACTGAGGGTCAGCAAACTCCTGCCCAAGGGCAGGCCAAATCCATCATCTTGTCATTTAAGTATTGTCTGAGGCTGCCTTTGGGCTTTCGTGCTACAAAAGCAGACTTGAAACAACCACTTACTAAATGGCCTTTTATTGAAAAATGTTTGCCAACTCCTGCCCTAGTCTACTTCAAAAACACTGCCCACCCATCTCAGTACCTCCAGTCTTCCCAAAGCCACAGCTGCTTACCTCCTCCAGTAACCATGAGAGAATTTCTTCAATAACGACAAGAAGATAGTATTTACCAAGTAGATCAGCTTCCTAGGGCTGCTGTAACAAATTACAGCAAAGGGTGGCTTAAAAACAGAAATTTCGTTTCCCACAGTTCTCAAGGCCAGAAGTCCAAAATCAAGGTGTAGAGATGGCTGTACTTCCTCCAAAAGCTCTAAGGGAAACACCTTCCTTCCCTCTTCCAGTTTCTGGTAGCTCCTGGTATTTCTTGGCTTCTCCCTGCATCACCCCAATCTCTGCCTCCATCTCCACATGGCCCTCTTGTCTATGTCTGTGTCTTCTCTTCTAAGTCCGCCTGCCATTGGACTTAGGGCCTATCTGGATAATCCAGGATGATCTCATCTCAAGATCTTTAAATTGATTACATCTATGAAGACCCTTTCTCCAAATTAGGTCACATTCGCAGGTTCCAAAAGTTGCAACATTGATACTATGGTTTGAATGTTTGCCCCCTCCAAAACTCGTGTTGAAACTTAATCCCCAATGTAATATTGTTAAAATGAGAGGCCTTTAAGAAGTAACACCAACATGGTACATGTACACATATGTAACAAACCTGCACGTTGTGCACATGTACCTTAAAACTTAAAGTATAATAATAATAAAATTTAAAAAAAAGAAGTAATTGGATCATGAGGGCTCTGCTCCAAGTCATTAACGGGTTAATGAATTAATGGGTTATCACTGGAGTGAACCTGTTAAAAAGCCAGTTTGGCTCTCAGTGAGCCTCTCTTGCCCTGTGATGCCTTCACCATGTTATGACACAGCCCAAGGCCCTCTCCAGAAGCCAACCAGATGCAGCCACCTGATTTGGACTTCCCAGCCTCCGTAACTATAAGAAATAAATTTATTTTCTTTATAAACTACCCAGTCTCCATTATTCAGTTACAGCAACAGAAAATGGACTAAGACGGTGGACATATCTTCTGGGTGGGGGCACGGTTCAAGCCACGACACTGAGTGTTTACTCTGTACCAGACGGTGTTCTCATTCTCTAATCTCAACCTCACAGCACCTTTATGTGGAAAACACTGTCCTCATTTTACAAATGAGTAAATCAAGTCCCCAAGAAGAATCCACATATAATTTTCCAAGGATTACACAATGAGACAGAGGTAGGATTCAGGCCCATACCCATAACCACTGCAACCTGCAGCCCTGAGGGTCTTGGGAGCATTCACTGGGTGCTCTGCGTGTGTCAAGCAGCAGTCTCAGCACTCTGCACATATCATGGCCCCTTAATTCTCATAATAAATATGGGAGATTGCCGTTATTATTATTATTATTACTTTATAGAGGAGAAAATAGAGATTTAGTCTTAAAGACTAAGATCACCCAGCTAATCAGTGGCAACATTAGGGCTTGAACCTAGGTCTATTGGAAAACAAAGCCAGACTCATTTCTACGACACTAAGCAAAACTTTGTATAACAGCAGGGCAATTCCCAAACTCAAACTCCATCAGCCTCAGAGAGTAAGCCCATGAAGTTATCATGAGCCACTGAGATTGTCACCTCCTATCCTTGCTGAGTGAGTCCTGACGGGCCTCAGGGCCCCAGGCTCCCTTGGTCCTGTGGCTCAGACTTCACCAGGCCTTCAGGTCTTGCGAATCCAGCCAGAAGATGGGGAAGAGGGGAGGAGAGTGACACACTCACTTCTTAACTTGCCTTGGAGGTGACAATGCACTCTTTTTCACATTCCATTGGCCAGAACTAGACACATGCAAGGGAGGCTGGGGCACTCTACATCATGGAAGGAGGCCCCCAAATTTTAAGCAGACAACTAGTCACCTCCCTATATTAAAAAGCTATTTTATAAAACCTTCGAAATTCTCAGGGTTTTGGCACATAGCAGTAATTCAGTAATTTTTTGAATGAATGATTGAAGCTAACTGGGGAAAAATAAAGCTGGCTCCACAAGCTGGACAGCAGAGCTACCGGAGCAGTAAGTCCGCAGTGGTCAGGTGTAGTGCAAAGTACTACTGGCCTCTATGACCCTTTCCTACAAATGACTAAAAGGCACCTCTTCTTTAAGACTTCCGTCTATCATAAAATCATCACACTCTACTGATTTTTGTTAGAACAAGGCAATTTACTGCCATCTGCTGGAAATGTAACATACACAAATCCGCAATGTCTGTAATGTGAGTGGTAACTGCCGGCAATGGGCACCATTGTGCAATGCACAACCTGCACAACTGTACAGAGCAGCTCTGAGTGCTGATGGTAAGACCAGAGGAGCAACAGAGGAAAGTGAGGTCCTCACTGTGTGGATAAGAGTCCTCTGCATGTGGGGAGACCGCAGGATGGACCCAATGGTGCTGATACTGGCTCCTTGTATTTTGCTTGCTGGTGGAGGAAAGATCTGGGGGCCAAGGCAGGGGCACAGGCCTCCTCCGTCATCAGGAGGGACAAACACCTCTTCTGTACAGGCCTGGGTCTCAAAGGCCAATTCAATAGAGTTCATAAGGAAGGCAGAAACTTTATGGTTCTCAGTCTTGCTGACAAGCCAAGAATGTAAATTGCCTGAGAGCAGGGGCCACTTCCACAACATAGGGTCAGTCAGATGCCCCAAGAAGCTCCCAGACTCACACCCCTGGAGTGGGCCTTGTCCTGAGCCAGGAGGGCAGCCTGGCCAGTGGATCACTCCCACCGGGTGGGACACATTGGTTTCAAGGGATTGTGCCATACTGGGCTCCCGGAATGGTGCTGATGTGCTGACTTGGGAGGATTGCTCACGGCAGACACGGGACAAGCTCAGGGCTCTGAGCCCCTGCAGAGCCCCTTTTGACTCTGGGACAAGAGTCGAGTGTGTGGGTCTGTGCATGGCACTCACCCGTCTGTTCTAATTACAGGGCCACCTCGGGGCCACAGTGCTTGTGGAGCTCGGGTGGTGGAAAGCATCCTTAACCCTGGCAAGCAAGGAGGTTACCCCAACTCCTTTGCAGGCTCTGTGTTGCACCCCGCTTCCAAGACTTTCCAGACCAGCAGCCATGGGGCTTTGGGATTGATCTCCTCTCCCATTTCCAATTGATGCGGTGATATCACACTCATCACACCTAGAACAATTTTTTTCTTACATTGTTTTACCCCTTTTAAATAAGCTTTATTTTTTGTATCAGCTTTACGTTTACAACAAAATTGAGCAGATACTAGAGAGAGTTCCCATATTCCCCTACCCCACACAGGTACAGCCTCTCCCACTATCAACCTCCCTGATTTTAAGTTGTTTATTTTGGGGGTTTTGTTTTTTTGAGACAGGATCTCGCTCTGTTGCCTAGGCTAGAGGGCAGTGGCATGATCACAGCTCACTGCAGCCTCAACTTCCTGGGCTCAAGAGATCCCGTCACCTCGGCCTCTTGAGTAGCTGGGACCACAGGACCCGATAGCAACACTATACCTGGCTAACTTTTTTTTAAGAGATGGGGTCTCCCTATTTTGCTGTTCTTGAACTCCTGGGCTCAAGTGATCCTCCTGCCTCAGCCTCCCAAAGTTCTGGGATTGCAGGTGTGAGCCACCATGCCCAGCTAAGTTTTTAATTTTTTTGTTATATTTTTATAAAAGAAAAATAACATCAAGACACTTCATAAATGGGTGCAGAAAATTATAACAACTAAACACTTATATTTAGTCCCATATACACATGTACAATGGCTGGAACAGACAGAATGCTATTTTTACAAACCATCAGGTTCTTGGACAATCCAGGATTTCTCAAGGTTCCCAGATCTCTGAGAATACCTGGTGGATTATCTCTGGGATAACACACAGAAGCTGTCTGCAAACCTTCAGATGGACTTTTTTTTTTTTAACTTTTATCATAAGTTCAGGGGGTATTAGTGCAGATTTGTTATGTAGGTAAACTTGTGTCATATGGGTTTGTTGTACAGATTATTTCATCACCCAGGTATTAAGCCTTCTACCCATTAGTTACTTTTTCTGATCCTCTCTCTCCTCTCGCCCTCCACCCTCCAAAAGCCCCCAGATGAACATTTTTATAGAAGTAACGGGAAATACAGTGGGAATCCTTGAGTTGTATTTTCTAGGGTCAGTCTTAAGCTCCACAGGATGAGGGGAGGATATTTCTTGCACCCACAGCCCACTCCCACCACACCCTGGGCCCCTCATGATTAACATTCAGCAAGATCACATCCTAGGAATGCAGCAATCAGTGTCTAAAAGAAAACGTGGCTGGGAGATGTGCTGCTCTACCTTTATGCTATAAAATCTGTACATTTAACATGGTCAGAAATGAATTCTCACTCACATTTTACTGCTTTCTCTGGGGAAGACTTGCATTTGTGGTCATCATTGACAGAACGCAGTCATCATCTCGAAGAGTGTCTGGAAGCCAGGGTCCCCGACCAGCACAAGGGATGGGACAGTGTCATGAGTAACGGTGTCACCAGCCTTAAGTAAATGGACTGGGGACATTCAGAGGCAAGATGAGCTATGCCATTTCAATGCAAACAGCTTGCAAAGAGCCAAAGAGGTTATGAGTGACAACCTTAACGTAACAACCAGGTGACATGTGGAATTGTTTTGGAATGTTGTCTTTGGCAATAAATACTAGGAAGCTATGGTTTCTAGATCTGAACAGAAAGAGATGGCACCTGGGGAGGAGAACAACTTTCACATGCCTCAATTGGAAAACATGTAAATACATAAGTACCTCTATGCTACTTATTATTCTAAATCCTTATTGATAAATCACTATGCCCCACATGGGCCCATACGTCTTGTCACACATTTATTAATCAAATAATTACTACAGACAGAGACCTCATATAAGAATATTTTCCTGGGATCCCACACAACCTAGGGAAAGCCCAGGTGAGTACCCCAATAAATACTGCTTGAAGGAGATTAGGAAAAGAAATGAATGGGCTCAAATAGGAAAGTTGGAAGAATTCAAGTATATACATCAGGAGGAAAGGGGGGGAGGGAAATGAGTTAATAAAACAAATAAGAATTGATCATATGTTTCACATTTAAAAATAGTTATAATTGACCCGGCGTCTCATATTTTGGATAGAAGAGAAGAAATTCAGCTCCACACCTTGTCAGAAAAATATAGCATTGAGATTCAGAAAATACACACACAGCCGGGGCATTTCCCTTTCCAATAACGTGTTACTAGTTAGAGTCGACATAACCAATAGAAACATTAATATAGGTTTAAACAAGTGTATCTCCTAGGCAGATCCTTAAATTCCTTTAATTTTACATTAGGATATAAAATCGCTCATTCTAATGGGTTAGTAAATGCATATAGTCCTTCAGAAGCCTCATTGATGAAAACACAGCACAGGCAGAGGGAAATAGACTGTTATTTCTGCTCTGGCTGTATTTCCATTTCCTAATAACAGTAATGAACTTGAAGCATCGTATTTGCACACAAATAGGTCTAGATTCCAGTTTGGCTGCAGCTATACAGTTAAGCGTGTCACTGATGTGCACTTCCCAGCCTCAAAACACAATTTAAAGATCACTTTATGGAGAGTCGAATTACAGCAATGTGCTTAAGCATTAGGGCTGTGGTATTTCTAAAAACTGTTGGCAACAGGGCCAAGTTCTATGGCTCATAAAAGTCGATCACAAAGTTCTGAGCTACTGCAGCTCATTGATTGTGGTTATCCTTTAAGTTTCTTAATGTTCCCACCCATGGTATACTGGCACCCATTCCATTTCTCAAGCTTTGACACTGTTCTTTCCTTCCTTCCCCTTCTCCTTGCTCACACGTTTACAAACGACTGCTCTGGGCCATGCCCAGGTAGAGTCGTGCACAGGTCCTACCCTCCAGCAGCTCAGAATGTGCTTAGGCCGACGCGAAAACAAGTAAGTACAATGTGAATATTGATGCGTACCAGTCACCATGAAAACACAGAACGGGGAACACCTGCTGCCGCCCACCTGAACTGAGCCTTCGTGAACATGAGTTCAACAAGCAAACCATGGGATGGGGGGCAAGAAATGGCATTTCCAGCAGATATAAACGAACACAGGTACATTTTAAAACAAAGCAAATGCACCAATGCACAATGTCCTCAGGAAACAGGGGCGTGATAAGCGGGTGGTGTGGCCAGATGGTAAAACAGGGGCGGGGCTGGAAAGTTAAGGCCGGACGCTGAGTGTCCTTTACTACTAAGCTTAAGAGTTCATACTACAGGCACCTGGGGGCCACCAAGAGGTTTTACTGGTCTGGCTGGTTGTTATTGCTGCTGTTGTTGTTGCTTCGAGTAAGCGGAAGAGATGATAGCAGTGTGGAGGACGACTGTGACGGGGTAGAAAGGTGGGTAGTGGAGGCCGGGAGAGCAGCCGAAAGTCTCTCCCTGCACTTAGGCACAAAACCCCGGTTCTGAATGAAGCAACTGCAGGAGAAGAGGTAAGCAGCTGGCTTCAAGTGGTCTGTAAGCAGGGGCTATACCCCGGGCTTGGTGTCCAGATGGATATAAACAGCAAGAAGAAGGTGAAATAACGGCACAAAATTTCCACCCCAAGGAAACAGACAGAAGCTGATGCCAGTCTTTAAAAACTCAGGAATATAAAAGGAAAAACTGTTTAGGAGATCAGAATTAATTTGACTTTGGACGTTACGTTTGCATATCCATAGGGAGAAGCCCACAGGCCACACCGAGGCAGAAGAGACTGTGGGTGTAGAATTTGTGAGGGTCCCAGGGAAAGAGGAGAGGAGGGCTCAACAATCGGGTAGTGGTCGTGTCCAAGGAAGCCGCAGCTGAGACCCTGGAAGGGGAAGCCTGAGTTCAAGTCAGCATGGAGTGCCAACAGGCTAAGCCAAAAAACATCTCGTGCTGTTGGCAAAGGGCTGGCCCAGAAGAAAGCGTCGCAGGTTATGTATGGGCCTCAGCGGAACTGGGCCTTCCCAGAAAAGGGAGAAGAACGAGGTCACAGGTGAAGAGAGGAGGTGCTGGCACCTGTCAGAGTGGAGGCGGAGGACCTGAGATTTGCCTTATCAGATGGGGTGGGATGGGATGAGCTCAACTGAAGATGCACCAACAAGATAGGCACCAAGGCCAGGCACAGTGGCTCACACCTTAATCCCAACACTTTGGGAGGCCAAGGTGGGAGGATCACTTGAGCCCAGGAGTTTGAGGCCAGCCTGGACAACATGGCAAAACCTTGTCTCTACTAAACATTTTTTTTTTAATGGTCGGGGGTGGTGGTGTGCCCTTCTAGTTCTAGCTACTCTAGAGGCTGAGATGGGAGGATCACTTGAGCCCAGGAGGTTGAGGCTGGAGTGGGCTGTGATTGTACCCTCAATTCCAGCCTGGGAAACAGAGTAAGACCCTGTCTCAAAAAAAAAAAAACATAAAAATAATTAAAATAAAATATTTAAGAAGATGGGCACCTAAAGGGCAAATGGAAATGAGTCTGGAATTCAGGAGAAAAGTCAGAGGAACAGGGACAACTACACTGGTTCCCAGAGTAGTTTAAAGAAAAGGTGTTCTGGATGTATAATCAGGAAGAAAAGTTGCATTTTTCAGCAAAATATTGACATCAAGTATTTAATTCTTTCTTCATATATAATAAAGATACCAAGGAAATCTCTTTGTGAATCTATATGATTTCAGTTTTAATTTTAAATAATATTTAGTAATAAAGAAAGTACTCAGATGATTATAAACTAATAATCATTTTTCAAAAAAAAAAAACCATGTTCCAATTAATTTTATGTAGATGTGGTTTATACTGAATGGGCTGTCTTGGAATCACCAGGGAAGGCCAGCACGGGCACCAGGAAAGCTACCATAGGTGGCATTTACCTTGGTGAATTCTCCATGGTCTGATGCTGGCCTCTGACTGGGCACCCCAGAAGCTTGATCTGTAGAGTATGACTCATGCTAACAAAGCAATGATGTCTAAAACTAAACCTGGACTTGGCAGTTCACAACAGAAATACAATCGTCAAATGGCCTAAATACCCTGTTTAGTGTAGCCACTGCATTCTTCCTCTATGGGGAAATTGGGGAGGAAAACTATGAAAAGGTTACCTGGGGAGCAAGGAGCCGGTTCCCATGAGCAACCTGGTCTCTACATGTGGTAGAAACAGGCTGGTAGAAATAGGGGGTTTTGGTGGGGTTTTTTGTTTGTTTGTTTGTTTGTTTTTTAGTCAGGGTCTCACTGTCACCTAGTCTGTAATGCAAAAGTGTGATCATAGCTCACTGCAACCTTGACCTCCTCCTGAGCTTAAGTGTTCCTCCTGCCTCAGCCTCCTGAGTAGGAACTATAGACATGCACTACCACACCTGGCTAATTTTTTTTTTTTTTTTTTTTTTTTTTTTTTTTTTGCAGAGATAGGGTTTTGCCATGTTGCCCAGGCTGGTCTTGAACCCCTGGCTTCAAGCCATCCTCCCAATTCAGCCTCCCAAAGTGCTGTGATTACAGGCATGAGCCACTGCACCTGACAGGCTGAGGATCTAATGCACCCAGAACCCCCAGGTCACCCACAACCTACCCTTTGCCCTGGACATATTTGTCTTCCTATCTCCTTACTCTTTGTTCCACCCCTGACTAGATCTCTGTTTTCTTTCCACTGAATCACTCCCTAAATCCTGTACTAGCACATTCATCTTCAAGAGTCTTCAGTGCTCCGTAAAGCCAGCAGAATAAAGCTCAGATGCTTCCACGTGGCTGAGACCGGGCCACTTCCCAGACTCACCACCTCCCACATCAGTGCACATGCCCCATTTACCACAGGTGGTTGGTGCTTCTCCCACTCTGTAAGCTTTGAGTTCTCATTTCTGTGAACTTGTGTTATTGGTTCACATTAACTATGTACCTTCACTGTGCAGGTACCATGCTAGAGTATGCATATCTATTTGTGCATCCAGTCCCCAACCCTGGGAAGTCCGTACCATCATCATACCCACTTGACAGATGAAAACACAGAGGCTTGGGGAATAAAGACACTTGCCATACAGCAATCGAGAGAGGTGCAAGCCTGGAGTCTGCGTGCTGGAAGATTCCACCACACATAACTGCTTCCCAAGGCACTCACACATGGTCTGCACTTCACAGTGTTTGTTTATCAATACACGAAGAGTTTATATTTGTACTGTGGAAAAATGTGGATCAGAATAAAGTAAGCAACATCTTAAAATAAAATACCTTATTATTTTAAAGAACAAACATTTTTGATCGGGCGCAGTGGCTCACGCCTGTAATCCCAGCACTTTGGGAAGCCGAGGTGGGCGGATCATGAGGTCAGGAGATCGAGACCATCCTGGCCAACGTGGTGAAACCCTGTTTCTACTAAAAATACAAAAAAAAAAAAAAAATAGCTGGGTGTGGTGACGCACGCCTGCAATCCCAGCTACTGGGGGTGCTGAGGCAGGAGAATGGCTTGAACCCGGGAGGCGGAGATTGCAGTGAGCCGAGATCACACCACTGCACTCCAGCTTAGCGACAGAGCAAGACACCGTCTCAAAAAAAAAAAAAAAAAAAAAAAAGAACAAACATTTTTGAACAAGTAGTAAATGAGATCAAGACTCTTACCTAACTTTAAAACCTAGTTGAGTTTGTCTTCTTCAGCATAAATGCCGGCTCTACCACAAAATTGCTGGGTGACCTTGGGCAAATTGATTACCCTCTCTGATTCATGTTCTTCATCTATCAAATGGGAGTAATCATCATGTCCCATCCATTCTTCACTGATGAAGTACCCAGATAACCTGGGTACCACTGGCACAAGCACTTAATAAATACCAGCTATTATTATTCTACACTATGTCCTAAAGACATTGTTTATTTTGTCTGAATTTTAAAGTGGAAAATCCGGCTGTCTTTGCTCAAGCCTATTTTTAAAACTCTTGGGGAAATTGTAAAATATAAAGTTATTAAATTAAATTAAAATCATGAGCTTGCTTTGGTCGGGTGGCCAATCTTTTTGTTTTCTTCTTTGTGTCTCTGTAGGAAGAAGGGCGCCACTGTATGCCTGGGCTGCCATCAGCAGCATTGACTCATTGCTAAAAGAGGGGAAAGCTCAGGACTCTAAATCCTGAATCCTTCAGACAGTCCTGCCATTTCCCAAACATTGCACCAACATCATGAAATACTTTAAAATCAATAAAAATGCATGTGGCAGAAGGCAATTATTCATACATTATCTGAAAACAATAAAGGAAGATATACCTTCCATTCAATTTTCAGGATTATATATATTACAGGTGAGTATTTTTAGCAGACTTTTCCCCCTTTCTCTCTTTTTGCTCCAACTGTTAGTTTCATAGGGTCAGAGAGAGTTCAGTTGTATAGAGAAAGTACTAACTGCTGAATGGCTCTGTCAGGCTCCTGTATTTAAGGAGACAGAATTGCATATTACAAGAAAATGATTGTTCAGCTACCTTTTCATTAACAATTTGTCTACAAGGAGACAGGCTTAACTGCTTCTATTGAAGTTGGGAAGCAACAAATTGAATGTGTTCCATAAGGATTATGTCATACTTCAAACATATGGTGAGCTACAAACACCAAGATATCGTATTTGGAAATAGTGGTGGGTTCACTATTGTTTGGTGGCTGTTTAATTGAATAGTCATAAATAATACTTTTTTTAAAAAAACTTGTCATCTGCATAATCTCAAGTGAAATACTGTAATAATTTTCTTTTATATATGTTTTTGATCCTTGACACATTAAAGAAAAATGTCTTTTCTTTAGGGGAAACTACACTGAAGGTTATTAAGGAAACATCAGCTATAAAATGCATCCTAGGTCAGCTTCTTGTAATGGGGTTCCACTTTGGAGCACAGAGAAGACATCCAAAGGTGTGGAGGGGAAAAATTCTAGCTGAGCCCAGGGTTGATGCAGAAGAGCTTTCCCTGAATGCACCCCGAGATTGAGGTCCTGGGGTCAATAGGCCAACCAGGCTTCCTTCTGCCTCTGTCTACTGAACAGAAAATCTAGTCCCTCCACCTCCCACCCACAATGTTCCAAACTGAATGCTCGACATTTTAACACATCAAGTGACAACACTAACTTTAGACACTTTTAGAAAGCACCATGTCAGTGTTGGGTTGTCATCATGTATATGGCCAGTAAGTCCACAACAGGTCAAAGCCCTGGAACCCCAGCCATGGTTTCAAGGAGTCCAGGTTTATTATGTCGTGTCTGTGACACATGTCTCCACCAGGAAACCCACTCTTGCTCAGTAATGGAATATTATTCATGAATGCTCACTGTATATAAAGTTCATAGGCTTAATGCCAAAACAATATTCTGTTTTCCTACTTAATAGAAAGAGATCACTAATTACTAGTGCAGAAGGAAAAATACCTAATTCCACACAGAACAAAGGATACCCATGGAGGCCATGCTGGGCAAGGCTGGCTCCAAGTGTCAGCTACAGGTGTAAATGCATTGATAGAGAGGAAGAAGGGGAAGGTTGTTTTCTAACAAGTTTTTAAAGGTTGACCTGACTGTTGTTAAGATTACGAAGAAAGACACTGGAACAGTCATTCTCAACTCTTCAAACTCAATGCCCTCTTTTTATAACATGATTTTGTACATACCCCTTTACTGTCTTGAAATGTAATTCATATAAAAGATAATCTAAGACAATACTCATTAGGATGGCTACTATTAAAGATACAGGAAATAACAAGTGTTGGTGAGGATGTCGAGAAATTGGAACCCTTGTACACTGTTGGTGAGAATGTAAAATGGTGCAAACCTCCCTGGAAAACAGTAAGGTAGTCCTTAAAAAATTAAAAACAGAATTCCCATGTGACACACATCCCACTTCTGGGTGTATATCCAAAAGAATTCAAAGCAGGGTCTTGAACAGATGTTTGCACAGCCACGTCAATAGCAGCACTATTCACAATAGCCAAGAGGTAGAAGCAACCCACATGTCCATTGATGAATGAATGGATAAAAAGAATGTGGTATATGCATAGCATGCAATATTATTTAGTCTTTAAAAAATTCTGTTACATGCTACAATATGAATAAACCTTAAGGATAGTGTCCTAAGCGAAATAAGTCAGTCACACACAAAAAAACTAATTCTATATCATTCCTCTTATAGGCAGTATCTCAAGGAGTCAAATTCATAGAAACAGAAAGTAGAGTGGTGGTGGCCAAAGGTTGGATGGGAAGGGTAACAGGGAGTTGTTTAATGAGTATAAAGTTTGCAATGAGTATAAAGATATGCAAGATGAAAAGACCTGGAGGTCTCTTTCACAATAATGTGAATATGATTGACACTACTGAACTGTATGCTTAAAAATGGTTAAGAAGTTTTAAATATAGATAGCTACAGATAGATATAGATATTAACCTGTTTTATGTTACTATAACAAAATACCATAGGTAATTAGTAAAGAAAAGAAATTTATTTCTCACAGAGCCCTCGTGACCTAATCACCTCCTATTATGCTCCAGCCTCTAAACACATTTGCATTGGGGATTTCCAACACATCAATTTTGGGAGACACATTAAAACCATAGCATTCTGCCCCTGGCTTCCAAAATTCATGTCCTTTTCATAATGCAAAATACATGCATTTCATTCCAATAGCCCCAAAAGTCTTAACTCATTCCAGCACCAACTCAAAAGTCCAAAGTTCAGTCTTATCTGAATCAGATATGGGTAAGACTCAAGGCACAATTCATCCCCAGGAAAATCCCTCTGCAATCTGCGAGCCTGTGAAATTAATAAACTGTGTGCTTCCAAAATACAGTGGTGAGACAGGCATAGGACAGACATTCCCATTCCAAAAGGGAGAAATAGGCAAGAAGAAAGACGTGATTGGTCCCAGGTAAATCCAAGACTCAACAGGGAAAACATCAAGTCTTAAAGCTAATAATAATCCTCCCTGACTCCATGTCCCACATTCTGGGCACACTGGGACAGGGGCTGGACCTGTAAGGCCACAGGCAGCCCTGCCCCTATGATTTTGCTGGGCTCAGCCCACCCGGCCACTTTCATGGGTTGGAGTCTCATGCTTCCAGCTTTCCCAAACTGAAGTTGCATGTGGATGGCCCCACAGTTCTGTGATCTCTGAGATGGCCTTACTCCCATAGGTCAACTAGGCAATGTGGCAGCTTGGACCCCACATTTCGGCTCAGCATTGCCCTAGTAGGGGCTGTCTGTGTTGTCTCCACCCCTGGGAAAAGTTTCAGCCTGGGCCCTTGAGCTGTCAAATACATCCTTTGAAATGTACAGACCCCACAGTTTTTGCATTCTGTTCATCTGCAGAGTCAACACCACATAGATGTCATCAAGACTTACTGCTTGAGCCCTCTGGAGTGGTGGCACAAGCCATACCCGGACCCATCTGAGCCACGGCTGGGACAGCTGAGGAGTGCTGTGCCTGAATGCAGGGAGCAGAGTCCCAAGCATCTCTGAGCAGTGAATGTTGAAGTCCCACGGCAACCTTCCTGGAAACCTTCTCTGGAAGGCCCTGTTCTGGGCCTGTGATGGGAGGGGCAACCTGCTGAGCCCATCAAATGCCTTTGATGTCTTTTCCCCATTGTCTTGATGAATGGCACCTGGCTCCCTTCTATCCATGCTAATCTCTTTAGCAAACAGTCTCTTGGCCACACTCTTAGTTTACTCTCCTAAACATGCCTTTTCACTCTTTACATGACCAAGGCTGCTCATTTCCCATATATTTTGTTCTGCTTCCCTTTTAATTATAAATGCCATCTTTAAATCATTTCTCTTCATTCACATCTTACTATATGTGGTTAAAAGTAGCTATGCAGTTCCTCCAGTATTTTGCTTAGAAATTTCTTCCACCAGATATCCAAGTTCCTTGCTCTTAAATTCTACCTCCCATAAAGCCCTCAGTTGTGGACATGATTCAGCCAAGAATTTATAATAGTTCTTTGTGAATTTATAACAAAGATGGCCTTTACTCCAGTTTCCATTACTTTGTTTCTCATTTCCATCTGAGATCTCATCAGATTAGCCTTTACCATATCAGAAATGTTCATATTTCTACCAGTATTTTGATTAGGACCACTTAAGTAATCTCTAAGAAGCTTCAGACTTTCTCTACAAGTCTCTCCAGAATCATGCTTAATGGTCTGTTCACAGCAATATAGGCTGTTGCTTGCCTGCTCCTCCACATTTTCCCAGCATCTAGCCATTACCCAGTTCCAAAGGTGCTTCCACATTTTCAGGTATTTATTATAGCAACAGACCTACTTCTCAGTGCCAATCTTCTTTCTTGGCTCATTTTTTGTGGCTATAACAGAAAAATACAGACTGGGTAATTTATAATGAACAGAAATTTATTTGGCTGGTGGTTCTGCAGGCCAGGAGTCCAAGAGCATGGCATCTGATGAGGACTTTTGTGCAGCATCATCCCATGGCAGAGGTGAAAGGGCAAGAAGTATTGAGAGCAAAAGATCAAGAGGGGGCCAAAGGTTTTGTAACGAAGTCACTCTTATGATAACTAACCCACTCCTGGAATAACAACATTAATCCAGTCACGAAAGCAGTCCTTGTGACTTAATCAACTCTTATGACACCCTACCTCCCAAAACTGTTGCACTGGGGGTTGACAACACATAAACTTTGGGGAATACTTTCAAACAATAGCAATATAAATACATAAATTCTAACACAAATATGATTTTAGAAATAACACAATACCCCAACTGAAATAAAAACGTAAAAAGAAATTTATAGTATAATGTGCATAGAAATGTACATTATACACATTTAGCACAGAAATGCTCAGAAAAGCCAGCACTGGAGGTTGTAATGCAGGAGTCAGGTGCTTGCTGCTGTCCTTAGAATCTTCAAGAACATGACAGCCACAGAGGCAGACGGACAGGGCTGGGCTCCACTGGTAAGTTAACCACCACAGGTGACTTTCTAACTCCAGTGAAGTTCCAAGCAAAAGGATTTACACAATGGTTTCTTTCCTGGAAAATTTAGGGTACATCACAACTATTGGAATACAGGTTTACCCACATGAAAGTCCCACAGTACACTTAAAAAATTATTCAATGGGCAATACTGCCCCATGAATGCAGGATATAGAGTGTTCCCAGGCCATGCCTACTAAATGCAAGCAAAGCCCCCAAGTCTTTGTCACAATCAAAACTGCCCCTCCAAATTCCATAATATAGCACCCCCCAGGGAGAATCACCCCTAGAGGAAGCAGTGAGAATTGCCTCACTAAACTATGAGATCCAAAAAGAAAATCAAAGAATGAAGCCTTTTATTCAGGGCTCTGTCACCTGCCAATCAAACAGCTCAGGGCCCACCCCAGGCCATTGCCCAGGGGAGATTTCACCAGGTCTTAGAACACAAGCAAAGATTCATCTTAGCAAATCCATCTCAGAACAGAACACATGGATATAGGGAGGGGAACATAACACACCCGGGCCTGTTGAGGGGTTGGGGGAAGGGGAGGGAGAGCATTAGGAAAAATACCTAATGCATGCAGGGCTTAAAACCTAGATGACGGGTTGATAGGTGCAGCAAAGCACCACGGCACATGTATACCTATGTAACACACCTGCACATTCTGCACATGTATCCCAGAACTTAGAGCAAAATAAAAATAAAAACTCCATCTCAGAACAAAAGTTGGATTTTGGTTCTTAATTTTTTTGACATTCATTTATCTCCTCCTACACATGTTCTCTGTCCTAAAGAATTGGGTATTTTAAAGTTAGCTTTCTGGAGTTTTATTTTACTTAAGACTCTTGAAAATAAAAGTTTCAGGCTCAAAGGAGCGAAGCACTAATGGTGAAAACTGATGTCCTGTTAGATTTCTGAGAGAATCATCTCTGGTCTTCCTGATGACCCCAAATAATCCCATGCCTGGAGCCACCCATTCTGCCAAGATCTTGGCACTGATTCCGGACTGAACACTAACGTCCATGTATTTTCACTTGGTGATTGGCAGCTCCCTTCTTGCTTTGTTGCATTATGCAGCTGCCTGGAGGCTCAACTGAGCCACCACTGCTACAATGGCACACCCACCTTCTCCAGGTTCCTCTGGCCCATAGCACTTACCTGCATTCAGTGGAAACAGAAACAAAAGGCCTAAGGAGGAATGATGTTGTCAGAGGTGTTCGAACCAAAGCGACTCCATCTTGAATACTGGCTGGGTAAGACAAGGCTGAGATCTACTGGACTGCATTCCCAGGAGGTTAAGGCATTCATAGTCACAGGATGAGATAGGAAGTCAGCACAAGATACAGGTCATGAAGACCTTGCTGATAAAACAGGTTGCAGTAAAGAAGTCAGCCAAATACCACCAAAACCAAGATGGTGACAAAAGTGACCTCTGGTCATCCTCACTGCTCATTACATGCTAGTTACAATGCATTAGCATGCTAAAAGACACTCCCACCAGCGCCATGACAGTTTACAGATGCCATGGCATCATTAGGAAGTTACCCCATATTGGTCTAAAAAGGGGAGGAACCCTCAGTTCCAGGAACTACCCACCCCTATCTCTGTAAACTCATGAATAATCCTCCCTTGTTTAGCATATTATCAAGAAACAACCATAAAAATGGCCAACCAGCAGCCCTGAGGGAGTAGTCTATAGAGTATGGAGTAGCCATTCTTTCATTCCTCTACTTTCCTAAAAAACCTCCTTTCACTTTATGGACTCACCACGAATTCTTTCTTGAGCAAGATCCAAGAACCCTCTCTCGGGGTCTGGATTAGGACCCCTTTCCAGTAACAATGTCACAAAGAAAATAATACTTAAAACACCAATCAGACACTCATTAACATATTAACTACATGTCTTGCACATAAGGAGAGGGGCAGTGGGCTTCCTCACAGGAATAAGACTGCATAAGAAAGATGCTTTAGAGGTTCTTATGTCAGCCAGTTCTCCCTGTACTCATGTATTTAACATACATTTACTGAGCACATACTGTGTGCTGGTACTAAAACAAAAAACTTATTACAACAATAAGACCCAGTGCCCATGTCTACACAGTTCCAACTTGGGGTGCCGGCTGCCATAACAGAGCATCTGACTGCCGTAACATCATCTTCAAGAACACTGAGGGTAGGATAAAGACAGGAGTTAGCTGTTGGCAGTGAAAATGTCCCCAAAAATAAAATGTCTGAGATCCTGAGATAATGAGGGCAAAGGGGTTTTATGTGCCTGCATGACAGAAAACATTAAAAACTGTAAGCAAGTTTTGTGTCTAGACAGAGCCAAGTCGAGTCTAGGAACCATTATTTGATACGCAATTTTCTACTTAGCAGCACAGGTATGCAGAATTCAATTTGGGAGTGATCTGTATTCTATTCAGTTTCCACAATAGCATTAAAATGTACTCAGGAACAGGGGAATTTATCTTCCTGCAAATTCACTCCCTAGGGGTCCTGTAGCTCACCAATGGGTTTCAGTGCTAGTGAGGTGGGCGGCAGAACAGACAACAGTGAGAAATTACAGCCACAAATCGCCCGCATGAACCTTGCTGCTGGAGCTGCTGGCTTCTGCCCGCTCCTGTAATTGCAGACCCAAAACCACTGCCAAAAAAGGGATAACTAACCTGCAAAAAAAAAAAAAAAAAAGCTTCGCCAGCTAACCAAGGAGGTGGCCTCGCTCTAGTCTAGAGCAGAAAATCTTCTTTTCTAACATATTTCCTTGAGCTAAAACATTTTACCATTTCACCACATTTTATCATTTCTAACATTTGTATTATGTTTTGCAGTCAAGTTGTATTTGTTATATATGGTAGTATTTCTTTGTTTCCCTGCCAAAAATACTCTTATTAAATTGATAATGCATTTTACAATCAGTGTGCTAGTTTAGAATCAAGGAAATTCAATAATTACCGTGATTTAAAATGCCTTTCCATAGAACAACTAGAAACAAAGCTAAGAGGCTAAGCATTGCTTCCCACACACATCCATGTAATCAAATGTCTTTTGTTCACATCTCATCAGCCACCCAGAGGTTCAACTTTTGGAAGCCCCAGGGAGGTAAGTCTTCCCATTAGGCCTAATCCACACCAAAGCCCCAGCAAGGCACGTCGGCTGGCCATGCTTTCCCTAGGTAGAAGGCAGCCCGCCTCTCATTAGTCTTAGGGTACACTCAAAGACTAAGCCAGGTGGAGTCAAAACCCCTGCACTCATCCCCATATTCCAATTGTCAATTTTAAGAAAAGTGTGGCCCTGGCACCCTGACTTCTGCCTTTCCACAGCCAGTGGGGAGAGTGAGTTAGATGTGCCAGGGCCAGTGTTTGTCCCAGCAACCCCCCAGTGCTATAGACAGCTCAGTAGCAGCCTCCTCATTCAGCAAACGTCATGAATACCCAGGAAGAATTATACATTTCAATGATTCCATTCTGGGATGTCGCTAGTTCACTGGGAATCCCTCACTGCTTGATAGTTACCTTTAACCTCTCAAGTACTTGTTCATTGCTCCTTCATGGCTTTTAAATTTGAGGTCTCCCATCTGGGGCCCCGAAGGGGCTCACTAAGAAAGAATCAATGATGATAAGCTGTAAACATTTCCTTTCAAAGTCTTGATCCTAGAACAAGGTAGAATGTTTTTCTTTTCCTAACCACTCTAGGATCTTCACGACCAGCAGCTAAATGTGGAACAAGGTTCAGAGAGCTTTAGGAAGCACAAGAAACATCACTAGCTCTGGCAGACAAGCCTGCAAAGGCCAGGGGTGACTTGAGAGCTGAGTCTTGGTGAATCCACTTAAGGAGCTGTTAATAGCCCAGCAGTAACTCGAAACTGCCAAGAAGCGTCCATTCTCCATGGGATCTTGTTGAAGCCAGACATCTGTCACCACACCTACAGTAGCAACTGTCAAAGTGAGCAGTGAGAAGGGAGGAATGCAAAAAGCAGATCGTGTCAGGAAATGCAGTTTTACTGGTGGGGGGGCGAAAAAAAGCTAAAGGAAAATAGAAGGCTAATATTTGGGAGTCAAAAAACGCCAACTGGATGCTGCAAGGTACACATGGAAAAGGAGCCTAGGAACAAAAGCCACCCAGCAACTAGGAGCAGCCAGATGGGGCTATCGCATGACAACAAATGTCTATGTATTAGGTGCTGAAATTTAGAGATTTACTTGTTACAGCAACTACTGTGGCCCTAAATGAGATTTTGCATCGTCCAGGCGCGGTGGCTCACACCTGTAATCCCAGCACTTCGGGAGGCCAAGGCGGGCAGGTCACGAGGTCAGGAGATAGAGACCATCCTGGCCAACATGGTGAAACCCTGTCTCTACTAAAAATACAAAAATTAGCTGGGTGTGGTGGCGCATGCCTGTAATCCTAGCTACTCAGGAGGCTGAGGCCAGAGAATCGCCTGAACCCGGGAGTCAGAGGTTGCAGTGAGCCAAGATCGCACTACTACACTCCAGCCTGGTGACAGAGCGAGATTCTGTCTCAAAAAAAAAAAAAAAAAAAAAAAGATTGTGCATCAGGTGGGGCACAGTCACTCATGCCTGTAATCCCAGCACTTTGGAAGGCTGAGATGGGAGGATCACTTGAGCCCAGGAGTTTGAGACCAGCTTGCACAACATAGCAAGACCCCATCTCTACAAAATAATTTTTAAAAAATAGTCCAGCATGGCAGTGTGCACCCATGGTCCCAGCTACATGGGAGCTGCTCCATCCAATGAAGCCATCTGCATCTAGTCACTCTCCAGCCCAAACTCATGCCTTTCCATTATTCCTGAATCTCATCTTTTTCTACAAATATACTATGCATAGATGTGTTGCATGTGTGATTTAGATCTTTTTATATTGCCTTGCTACACTATGATTGATGCATAATCTTTTTTGTTGTTCTTAAGACAGGGTCTCAATCTGTCACCCAGGGTGGAGTGCAGTGGCATAATCACAGCTCACTGCTTCTCAACCACCTGAGCTCAAGCCATCCTTCCATCTCAGCCTCCCATGTAGGTGGGACCACAGGAGCATACAACCATGCTTGGCTAATTTTTTTTCTTCTTTTGTAGAGACAATGTCTTACCGTATTGCTCAGGCTGGTCTCAAACTCCTGGGCTCAAGCAATCTGCCCACTGGCCTCTCAAAGTGCTGGGATTAAAGGTATGAGCCACCTAGCCTGATACATGATCTTTTTTTTAATTTAACTTTTATTTTAAATTCAGGTGTACATGTGCAGGTTTGTTACATAGGTAAACTTGTGTCATGGGGGTTTGTTGTACAGATTATTTTATCACCCAGGTATTAAGCCTGGTATCCATTAGTTATTTGTCCTGGTCCTCTCCCTCCTCCTACCCTCCACCCTATGAAAGGCCCCAGTGTGTGTTGTTCCTCTCTATGCATCCACATGTTCTCATCATTTAGCTCCCACTTATAAGTCAGAATATGTGGTATTTGGTTTTCTGTTCCTGCATTACTTTGCTAAGGATAATGGCCTCCAGCTCTATCCATGTTCCCACAAAAGACATGATCTCATTCTTTTTTATGGCTGCATAGTATTCCATGGTGTATATGTACCACATTTTCTTTATCCAGTCTACCACTGATGGGCATTTAGGTTGATTCCATGTCTTTGCTATTGTGAATAGCTGATGCACAATCTTAATGAAGGTCTCTAAGTTCTCTAAGCCTCAATGTCCTCATTCATAAAATGAAGATACTAATAGCACTTTACAAGTTTGTTGTGATCATTAATTAGGAAGGAGGAGTTGGGAACATGAACCTGGAACATTATAATTCTTTTGGATTTGTTTTTGCCTTTTTCCAAAGAATAAAGGCTAAGAATGACCAGGAACTTCAAGAAGGTAAATCAAATTTAACATCACTAATAACAAGAAATTAGCTTGCTAGAAACAGATATGAGGGAAATAACACTTTTAAACACAGCTTTGTTCTACATAACAGGGGGCATTCCATCTTTGAGTTTTTTTCTTTTTTAGAAGTCTTTAGGGTTGGGTCCAGTGGCAATTGTGAAGTGCAGGATGTGAGGTAGAAAAACTATTGCTTAAAACCAGTTTCTCCTCTGCCTGTTGTTCACATGCTGGTCTTTTCCATTAAACCAGGCATATCCTCAGAAAACAGCCAGGAACTTTCTGGAAGGAAGGAATGAGAGCAGAAGGGATGAGTACCTCCTCCAGGTTGGGTTCCTGAAACCTTGCAAGTGGCTCACCTCCAACATTCTTTCTCCCCTTCCTGCTGACTGGAGTGCCAATATCTAGGGTGACCTTGAAAGCAACAACTGCAAAGCCATTGTCATCCAAAGTCCCTGAGTGACCACATGGAGCAGAGTCACTCATGAACCTGAAGGGCTCTCCTGAGAACCATTACAAACTCTGATGTATTATTCAGTGTCTCTGTTTTGAGCTCTCTTTGTTATAGCAACTGGTGCTACCCTAGCTAAAGCAAACTTACCCACCTTAGTATCCCCAGTGCCTACAACAGGGCATGGCTCTGTTCTTAAGGTGCTTAATGAATAGTTGTGTCATTGAATAACCCACATACAGTATCTATACCTGGGAGGCAACTCTATCCAGAATTTCTCCCAATTGTTGGGGGGAAAAATAAGATAAAATAAAACATACACCTCCCATTATGAAGAAAAAGATAATCTCATAAAAAATAAGAATGCTGATGTCTGCAAGTATCTGTTCCAGCCATCTGGAGGGTACATACAATCTAGACAATATCAACGCCTGAAATAGATATCTTCATTTCTTCCCCAGACAGTGTCTCCCTTCCTTTAAGGTGCAACGTTCCAAAATAATTTGAGGAAACCTCCCCTCCACCACTCATTGCATGGTTGAGTGAGACTGACTCCACCTACCCTGCCTCATTCAAGATTTATGTTGCATCTCCCTAGCCATAGAGATTGATTTGGGGATGGTTTGAGGAGTTTGGCTAGACCACAAAGTCTGGCCAAGGTATTAAAATTGAATAGAATCAAAGGTGTGAACTCAGTTCAAGATTGCTTTCACTTCTATATCCTACTGAGATAGCAAACAGTGCAAAAGATATTCCTAAGATAAAGTTACATGTACAACCCATGGGTTTCCTAGATACTGAAAGAGGCAGAATCAAAATTAGAAGTCAGTGCAGCCTTTGCAGAGTGAGCAATGCATCAGGTTAGAGTCTTCAGCCTGGAATTCATCACCCAGAATTCATCATTTTATACTATGAGGTCGGAGGGCTGCATCAGCAGACAAGGGCCTGAGTACTACCACAGAAGGAAACTGTAGCTGTAGTTTCCTATTCCCTACACTATGCTCTATGAGGCACTGGGCCTACAGTAGGCTTGGCCAGGGCCCATCACAGTCCACCCCTTTGTGGGGATACAGATGGACAGTTCTCATGCCCACCTTGTCTAATCACTCCCAGTGTCACAAACAACTGTTACTAGGACGCAGCATCACACAAAAACAATAATGATAACCCAAAACTAAATAGTATATGATACTAATTACAGGGTAAGCCCCTGCTCAGAAAAGGTCAATTACACAAATCTACCAGTGAGTATTTCCATCTTGAGCCCATTGGAGTATGTGAACATCATTTATGAGGTTACTGTTATTTGTCCTTACCTGAAAGACAGCATCTTGAGTTTTCCTAGTGAGGCTTCTGTCAGTAGAATGCGCTTTCAAAAAAAAAAAAAAAAGTGTGTTCTTGGAGCCTTCAGCTGCTCACAGATGTTGCTGCCCTTCTAAGATGATGATGTCATGGGATCAGCAGTCCTTGCTGGGAACCCTGGGCTCCAGGTCCCTTTGGTGAGCCCAGCCCCTCCACCCCAGCATCCTCTGTCATCTGAGGAAATAGCTGGAGGGAATCACTAGCTACACCCATTACAATAACCCCCACCAGGAGAACACTACTTCATGATCCTTGACCTCTCTCTGCCACTCAGTCTGTAGTGGGTTGAGTGGAGGCCTCCCAAAAATTCATGTCTACCCCAAAATTCACGATGCGACCTTATTTAGAAATAGGGTCTTTGCAGACACAGTTAGTTAAGTAACTTAAGACAAAATCATAATGGATTTCTAGGGTGATCCTTAAGTCCAATGGCTGGTGTCCTTACAAGAGGAGGAGACACACAGGGAAGAAGGCCATGTGAAGATGGTGGCGGAGACTGGAGTGATGCAGCCACAAGCCAAGGAATGCCTGGGGCCACCAGATGCTGGGAGGATCCTCCTCTGAAGTCCTCAGAAGAAGCATGACCCTGCTGACACCTTGAATCTGGACTCCTAACTTCCAGAAGTGTGAGATAATAAATTTCTGTTATTTGGTGGCACATTATTACGGCAAACCTAGGAAACTAATATGAAATCTGTCTTAGTCCATTCAGGCTGCTATAACAAAATACCTTAGACTGGGTAGCTTATAAACAACAGACATTTATTTCCCACAGTTGTGGAGGCTGGGCTGTCCAAGATCAAGGCCCTGGCAGATTCGGTGTCTGGTGAGGACCCGCTTTCTGTCATTTCCTAGATGATGCCTTCTAGTTGTGCCCTCACATGGTGGAAGGGACTAGCTAGCTCTCCAAGGTCTTTTATAATCCCAGTCAAGAGGGATCTCCCCTCGTGACCTAATCACTTCCCAAAGGCCCTACCTCCTGATACCATCACTTTGGGGGTTAGAATTTCAACTTATGAATTGGGGTAGAGGGGATCACAGCATTCAGACCATAAGGCAGTCCATATTTCCCAGAGGATCTTCTCAAACTGTGTCTGCCTCCTCAGCCAGCAGTGCCTCAGCAGGCACCATACAGCCCCAAATGCTGCCTCACTGGCTCAGGTCCTTGGGCTTCCACCCCTTTTGTTTTTCCCCTAGAGAAAAGTGGCAGGAGCAGCCAGGTGGCTTTATCCCCTCTGCCACTCCAAGAACGAGTCTGACATTCTGTAACCATACCACTTCCTCCTGACAGTGGGAATCAACCCCACCACCTCAAAGGTGCCAGGTAACTCAAGGGGATGTGCCAGGCCATCCCTAGGAAGGTGAGTGCTGTGAGGCCTGTCCAGAGTCCAGTCTTCTCTGAGGACCAGGCAGCAAGGTCCCACCTGCAACCTTACAGTGAGGTGGTAGTGCAGCCTACAGTCATTTGGGGAAACATTCTCCCACGCTGCTCATCAACTGTTCAGCATGCTTTGACTTTCTCTGCCCAAACTGGCTATAGCCAGTTTGCCTATGACAGGAGAGGGCTTCAGCCATTTACCCTCAGAGGCCACCTTGTGAATGGTCCTTTTTATTCTGGGCAGTGGGGGTCACCCTTTCCCCTGCCACAGCAGTCTGCTTTCCCCTTAGGTCAAGTCCTGAGATTTTTAGCCCTCCAGGGAGGAGTGTGGCCATCACTCGTCGCCTGGGTTAACAGCAGGCAAGCCTGTAAGTTTCACCCAGCACCTTGAGACACTTACTTCTGAAGCTTGCAGTATGAACCTGGGCTGTATACCCAGCAACCCAGCATCCTCACGAAGAACAAGTGAGAGTGCAGACATGAGGACATCCGTGCAGTGAGCACACAGCTGCATCAAATCGCACCCCGCCAGCCCACAGCCTATGGCTTTGGAGCAGGGCCCTGGAGTGAGGTACTACCTCTTGCCACCCCTGGGTGCCACCAGGAAACACCCTCCCTCCAGGGATGCTCAGGCAGCAGCCGTTAGTGTAGGCTTATTTCTGACAGACCCAGCTGTAATCCTAGTACAGGAGCCGGGCTGGCCACCTCGCCCCTGCCACTGGCACAGCAATTTCCCCTTTCCCTACTTCGACCTGGCTTAGACTTCTAAGTCTATCGTCCTTAGATGATACACCCACTACACCAGGAGAGGGCCCTTTCCAACTCCCAGGCTGTTTTTGATTGACCAGATGGACAACTGGATTTGAGCAGAATTCAGAGGTGACAGCAATAAACCCACGATTAGGCAGGGGCAGCACCTGTGGGTCTGGGCTCCACACCATGCCTGGACAGTGCAATTAGAGGAGTGAGAGGCATTGAGATGATCCTGGTCCTCACCAGGTATTACCAGCATCTGAGCAGGGGCTAAGCAGCAAATTCCATGTGGTTTCGTGTGGCATGGACATGACTGGGAGCAGGGCCAGCCTGCTCCTGAGACCCCCCTCATGCTCCAGCATGGCTGGCTGCCCCTGCATGTTGGCTGATTCACAGAAGAGCCTGGATTGTGCCCAGGATGGCAGGTCCCATTTGCTAGGCTTTGTCCCCATGACTAGAGGGCAGGTGTCCTCCAAGTTTCACCTCCAGAACCTATTCCAAGATAGTTGTTCCTCCCTCCACTCCTGGCCCAAGGGAAGGTGTGCTGAGTGCTCAGGTGACTCTTCCATCTCAGCAAACCCCCTTCCACAGGCCCTCATGCCCCCATAGAGGACCCCACAGTGCCTGCAGCTCAGGACCCTCAAATGCCCTGGGCTCCAGTCAGGCCTCCCAGGAGACAGGGCTCTTGCCTGTATTTCCCTCTTTCCTCATTTTCCACATAAACTTGAAGTTCTTCTTATCAATACTTTTAACTATGCCAAAAGCTAGCCCTAACCATGCTGTCTATCCAGGCTTAAATTTTGGCAAGAATAAGGCCAGGGTCTTATTGAAGATTGCTTTCACTTTGGTTTATCACCAAACCAGCCAACAAGCAGTGGTGAGTACACATGAGATAAGGACACAAAGGAAGTCGAGACGCTCCCCGCGGCCCCACAGTCTCTCCTGAAGATGGGCCTAACGTCATAGTCAGCATCTGCATGGAGTGGCATGGGGTGAGCATTGCCCAGGTCACAGACGCTCAGAGCCTTGGGCTCCAGGAGGCCAGGAGAGGGGCCATGTCAGCACCAAGGGTTTTCTTGCCACTGTAAAGAGGGCCATCACTGCACTCATGCTTCCTCTTTCCTGGTCTAGTTGTCCCAGAGCAGGCCTGTACAACCTCCCACCATACATCATAAAAGTGACAGAGAATACTTGTTAAATGCTACATGCATACGTATGAATGCACTGAATCATTACAGCAATTGTTATTACTCCTATTTTCCATATGAGGAAACTGAGGCACAGAAAAATTCAGTGACTTGCCTAGTCCAGCTCTCCTCAGGCATGGAGAAGAGGGACAAGTGAGTCCTCCAGCTGTTAGTCTGGGGCACCACAGCATGCATCCTGCTTTCAGAAATCTCCTGATCCAAAGACGTGCTCTTTCCCAATCTTCTTGAAATGCCCCTAAACTTCAGGAAGTTATGTCCAACATTCTCTCTCTCATGAAGTAAAAAGAGGGCTGCTGAAGTCAGCCAACAAATTTGGCCCCTCCCCAGTTTTTGCTTTGACGTCCCTCCCCTAGTAGAGAGAAGGAATACTTGGTCCTTTCGGTTTCCTCCACAATCTTCATCTTCCCTGGCAAAGTTTCCACTGAGCCCACCCACTGAACATGGCCAGATGATAGCCACAGGTCTGAGCCCACCCATCGAACATGGCCAGATGATAGCCACAGGTCCAGCTAGCTGTTTGAAGCCTCAGATGACTGCCACAAGTAAAATGATGCCCTGCGGTCCAGCAAGGGTAAAGCCTTCTCCAGAGTACCTCTTCCAGAATGTTCTCATAAGGTTGAACCTTTCCTGGGTACGCTACGAGCTACCCGAGCAATGCAAGTGATCACCAGGAGTGGCTGGCAACAGGAGATAGGGAGACAGGAATGTTTGTGTTAAAACACCCCCCAAGAGATTTTGACAGCAACCCACCCCTGGGTAAGCTCCAGGAATAAAAATGTGAAATCTCACCTTCCCAATCTGGTCTTCGTATTTTTTACTTTTTTCTGATGATAGAAAATAAAATATACTCATTATAAATTTTTAAAATTAAATTAAAAGTGAATAAAGTAGAAAGTGGAAAGCCTCTAAAGTCTAGCCTCCTCAAAAAAAAATCCTCAAGTAATAGATGGGTGCATATCTTCTAGAGCTTTCTATACCTACATAAATAGATGTAACATTGACCACTTAGCCAAGCTATCATGTGTCTTAATGTTCCAGCAGTAACATGGGCTTCTAACACATTGAAAATGTAAATTAACCATTATAGATACTTAAGGTGAGTTGATTTTTATAATAATGGCTGGCTTCTGTATTTTTCCCTATAGTTTTGTTCTGCTATCTCCAGCACAACTCTTCCTGTTCCTACATCTCCAAGCATGAGGTAACAGTTCTGCATGAGTTGGTCAGGTGACACAGATTAAACTGGCCCAACCATGTCCCAGATGACAGGAATTTGTTCTGAATACTGGGATGTCACCCGCCTGGGTGCTTGCTTTAGTGAGATGACAGCATGATACCCTCAGGTTGATGACAAGTGATGGTGCTTATTGTTCAAGAGAACAGATCCAGGTGTCTTGGGTGAGGGAAGGAGGTCCTAGAATCCAGAAATTCCAGGAAGTCTCTTCTTCCCCTATTAAAAAACAAGTGCACAAGGTTTGACAGGATTCATGTGATGGCCATGGGCCCAGCTTGGTAAAAGCCTGCCCTGGAGAATCTAATGGGTCAGCTTAGGGAGATACCACAGTGCAATCTATGAATCAGGAAGCAGGCCCTCACCAGACACTGAATCTGCTGGTGCCTTGATCTTGGACTTCCCAGCCTCCAGAACTGTGAGAACTAAAAGTCTGCTCCTTATGAATCACGCAGTCCATGACATTTTGTCATAGCATCAAAATAAACTAAGATACCGCCTCTCTTGTGTACAAAACCTGCCTATGGACCTCTCAGACCTCCATGAATTCCAGGCTAAGAACCCCTGCCTTTAATTAGAGGAAAAAATATTCAGCAATTCTCTGCCATCCCACACAGTTGCCCAACTTTTCCTGGGTTAAAGTGCACTATTATAAAAAAAAAACCTGAAAGATGAAGAACTAAAATGAAGAAACAGCTCTCACTAGGAGAACACCCCATCTAACATCCATAAGTAAGACATGTTTTATCTGTACGGTTGCCATTTATTTTTCTAACTTAGGTAATTCATCTGAACATATTTTTCTTTTCATTTCCAGTCAGTATATGAAAGAAGTTTTAGCTTCATAATTTTAGTTCTTGGGGAATTTGGTAAAACGTACTAGCCATCATATTCTTGGGTTGAATCTTCTCCATAGCAATAAATCTCAGAAAAAAATAAAAGAAAGATGATGCACTGCATCATTTCTAATTCCAATACTATTTCTGGTTTAACATATGACTTTTAGGTCTTTGTTAACATTTTTGTCTAGCTTTGTGCAAATAGATGGGAAAATATCTAATGTGGTACAAAAATATAACTGTAAAATAAAAGCTCTAGGTAAAGCCATAAGCAGGAATAATCAGCTACAAAAATATCTCTCAAGTTGAATAATAGAGTTTTAGCTCAACTATCAATTTTGAATACAATTACAGCCCAGTAGTTAGCAGATCATTCAGAAATGGATATTTTACTGTTCTACTTTTCAAATTACAATGTGGAACTTTTAGCAATAAAGGGCAGTTTGAAGAAGTGAAAAGTCATAAAATGGGAAATGGAACATATCTAGCAGGAGTAAGGGGAAAAGGGAAGTGTGAGGAGCGTTTAATGGGGCTGGCATCACTATGGCTTTAGGAAGAGAATCACTTCTGATCTGAATGTCCCAAGAGATTGGGTAATAAAGGAATGCTGGATGAGTTCAATTTAAAAAAAATAGAGTAAATGCTCTGAAATGAATATTGAGGAGAAAAATGCACACTATGTCTGCTAAAATTAAAATTAGTATTGGTAAATTGGAATCATCAATAGAAAAATGCTATGCCAACTGCAATTTAAGGATATGACCACCTGGAAGCAAATACATACTCAAGACAAGTTCATTAAAGTGATTATTTCTCTAAATCTGGTAAAATTCCTATCCAGAAGATATTCCCTATGCTCCAAGCCAAAACAGACAAAGTTGGGCTCAAAAACATCTCCTATCTCACACAAGAAAGAAATTTTAAAATTTCAGTTCATTGAGGAGGGCTGAAGTCTCTGAGGGAGACACTATCTCTAACCTCCAATGCTCTGAGCAAACCTACCATTTGCTCCAGAAGAAGACAGCATCCCTATCTTGCCATACAAACAGCCTTGAAAAGTTGGTCCAGAACAAAGGCTGTCAGTGCTGCTTTTGCAAAGACATTCAGAAACGCAAATGACAATTGCACTGACACAGAGTCCTCTTCAACAGCAATAGGTGTCAGAAGACAATGGAACAATATCATTGACGTAATAAGAAAAAGCTTAGAATTTTATCCCCTCAAGAGTGAAGGCAACATAAAAGTATTGTCAGATAAATGTAACCATTATAACGAGCTATCAAAATTTGGGGATATATGGCTGGGTGCAGTGGCTCACACCTGTAATCCCAGCACTTTAGGAGGCTGAGGCAGGCGGATCGCCTGAGGTGAAGAGTTAGAGACCAGCCTGGCCAACATGGAGAAACCCTATCTCTACTAAAAAATCCAAACATGCACACCTGTAATCCCAGCTACTCAGGGGGCTGAGGAAGGAGAATTGCTTGAACTCGGGAGGTGGAGGTTGCAGTGAGCTGAGATCACACCACTGCACTCAAGACTGGGTGACAGAGTGAGACTCCATCTCAAAAAAAAAAAAAAAGTGGGGATATAATCATAAAGCAACTGAAAATTACTAATTTCTGCTTCTCATTTTCCCTTTAAAACTACTAGTCGACAAGTCCTTCTACTTCTGGATAAAAACAGCCCTGTGAATTTTCTGCTCACTGTGAGAATGAAAAACTTTTAAAGACCTAAATCACAAAACAAAACATCAATTTCACATTTTAAATATTCAATAAGCATCAAAATTCAAAGTTTGATTCCCAGTTGAAGTTTTTCTCCCTCCCCCAGGTCAGGGTGTTGCAGGTGAAAAACTTGTAGTCAAGGAAGAGGGTAGCATAGGCTCTTCTCCTTTCCCCAGCTGTACTTCTATGCCTCCTCCCTAAATATGGCTTCTGATCCCTCCAGGTCAAGCAGAAAAAAGAAGAGGCAAGGGCAGCAGGAAGTCTCCCACTGACTAGTATGGGGAAGTGAGCTAGCATCTGTGCTCTCAGGGTTGTGCAAGTGTTTATATCTGACTCTTTTTGTCATGGTGCTTTCAGGGGTCTTCTGAGACTTCCCTCTGCCATCCATAAAAACTATTCATGAAGTTCCCTTGATGAGCATGAGTCTTTTCCAGCAGGTAAAGACCCTTTCATGTCCATCAAGAGAACTACATGAGACTTTCCTGCTCATCAAGGGAACTCCTGGAGACCCCTTCTCTGGTCTCTAGGAATATGGTGAGACCTCCATTTTCTCTCTTCTTGGAGACAATTTTCCTCTCCATGTGGCCTCTTGGGCAAGACTTAAAAGGCCACACACTGGCTTTCTTAGGTATATAGTCCATATCTAGTCCACAAAATGCATTCAAACATCCTTTGCCTCCACAAACTCTGGGAAAGTAATGATCTTCCAAAGACGCCCTCTCCCTTGTTGCCAAAAGCCACATTAGCCTGTCTTAGCATTGCAGTATCACCAACCTGACTCAGTCACCATCTATTCTATCTTCCAAAATGCAAGGCATTCATACTACTCTTTTTGGCAGTCCTCTCAAAATGCTTCTTAATTTGCAGTTAGGAAGTTATTTAATAAGGTACAGCACTTTCCAAAAGTAAATTATGATCTTCAAAACTCTTCATTTGATTTTTATTCTTCCGTTTCTTGTTCTCTCCAACTTCTTTATAAGACATTGATTAGTAATCAAATTTGAATAGAGTCAAATCTGAATGAGTAGAAAAGTTGGTTTTCTGCCATTTTGTTTTACAGTCCTTTGGAATATAGCTTGTGTCATCTTCATGGCTGGGAAATGTTCCATTTTACCACCTTGTTACACATCAGGTAACTCTTCCTGAAGAGCTATGTATTCAAGCAGGAAAAAAAAATGAACCCACAGAGAAAGCCTTGTATACAAGGAACAGAAATTGATAATGTCAATAAATTTAATCATTAATTACCTCAAAGTTACTAATACTGCCATTTTTAAAAAGGATGGGAGTTCCCAGTTAAACATGTGAATTAAACAGATTTATTTATCTTGATTTGCTATTAAAACTCCACTATAGGGACAATAAAGACATTTTTAAGGTCATAAATACACAAGGACAGTGGGGAAGGCAATGACAGCTGAACAGAGATATCAACAAAATATTTGAAGCCAGAAAGCAGATGTATGTGTATAACGAATTTAAAAGAGCAACGGAAACTGAAATTGATGTGCTTATGAGTGAGAACATGAAAAAGAAGCAAGCTGATTCAATACACACCTCCAAAGACAGGAATTGGGGGCACCTTTGCCGACAGGGCTTGGAGACAAGGATGAAAACAGAAAACTTGGTTGGAAGTCTTTAAAAAGGCCTGTAGACATGAAGTTTCTCTTTAACCCCAGATAACCAGGCAACTCTACCTCCCTTACATTGGCAGTACACTACAGCTTTGCAGCTCTGACCTCAGTGGCACTGCTGAAAACAGAGGTGAGACCCCTACTGAATTAGGGGATTCAGTGCAAGTGTAAGTCCTGAGTTGAGACCAGCCTCCTTCTCCATTTATCTATCAGATTGCTGGAAGTAAGGTTTCTGAACTCCAGTAAGGGACAAGGGTAACCCAGGAAAAGTGACAGCACAGTAGCAAGATCTGCAGACACTGACATTTGAAGGCTCCCAGTGAAATGACCATGTCACTGCATACTCACCATGAAGTCAACAAGCTCCGTCAATGCACAGAGTCCCAATTACCCCATCTTAAAAAATGAGCCACCAGTTTTTCCTAAGAAAACTAAGGAGGCTTTCCTTATATATTTAGAGATCCTTGTCTAGTGGTTTATATTTATTGCTACAGTAACCCTGCATGGCAAATAACCACCAAACCTTACCAGAACAAGGATTTGCTTTTCTTTTCCACAGATCCACAGGTCAGCCATAGTTGAGCTAGGCTCACCTGGGCTCAGGGGGACACTAGGCACTAGAAATCTCTGCCACGTGCTCTTTCTCAAAGGCTGCAGTTGCCGGGCGCAGTGGCTCACACCTGTAATCCCAGCACTTTGGGAGGCCAAGGCGGGCCGATCATGAGGTCAGGAGTTCGAGACCAGCCTGACCAACATAGTGAAACCCCGTCTGTACTAAAAATACAAAAACTAGCCAGGCGTGGTGGTGTGCGCCTGTAACCCCAGCTACTCAGGAGGCTGAGGCAGGAGAATCGCTTGAACCCGGGAAGTGGAGGTTGCAGTGAGTCAAGATTGCACCACTGCACTCCAGCCTAGGCAACAGAGTGAGTCTCCATCTCAAAAAAAAAAAAGGCTGCAGTTGATACAGTATAAATCAATAAAAGGCAAAACATAAAATCTAGCAAAGAAAAAGGAAATTCCTAGGATGCTAACAGTTGGAAGTACAAGCCCAATAGCTGTAATGCAATAAGAATAGAGTGGCTATAGTCAATAATAACTTAACTGTACATTTTAAAATAACTCAGTGTAATTGGATTGTTTGCACCTCAATGGATAAATGCTTGAAGATATCAATACATGTGATTATTATGGCTTGCATGCCTTTATCAAAACATCTCATGTACCCTGTAAATATATGTACCTACTATGTACCCACAAAAATTAAAAACATAAACAAATCACAGGAATAGAAAGCAAACAGACCTACTGGAACAGGAAGATAGGGCTTATTTTAACAGTTTGAACTAATGGAAACTTGAAATAAAAGGCCTTTTTATAAAAGAGCTGGTTGAGAGTGTGGAAAGCGAGGAATGAGAAAAGATGCAAGGGAAGAAGAAAACAAACAATTCCTAATAGAAGGAACTAAAAAACGCACAGGAAAGGAAACGGAATCACTAAAAAATTATTTGGCTCATCTGTGAACAGGATTTACATAGCTAAAATAAAACGCTGAATATGCGAACCCTTCTATCCCTAAATGTGGAAGGTGGAGGGGAAATTATATATAAACCTAAACATGTAATATCTATAACCTCATATATACATAATCAACATTTTACAGAGAGAAGATGTGACGAGGGGAAATGCAGGCATGTGAGGGTTGTATAATAGTATGGCAAAGCTAAATCCTGATCTTTCATAGTATAAAGTCAACAGTAATAAAACTGTAACCTAAAACTGAAAAGCCAAGAAATAGCATTATCTGCATCATATTTAGAATTATAGAGGGAAAGACATGAGAAAACAGCAACAAGAATAGAAAGTGTTTGCTGATGGGAGTGGTAAAAGATGGAGAAAAGGAACACCTTTTTCATTATATAAATTATGCAAAATGCTAATTGCCTTATGTAAAAATTAAATTTAAAAAAAGCAAAATTAAAACCCCAGACAAAAGTAATAAGCTGGGAGGGTATCAATGAGTAAGCAATTTTTTGTTGTTGTTGTTTTACTAGGGAGGAGGAAGAAAATACAGAATAATTCTAACCTCTGTTAGAAAAATGTATAGTCGGAGGTGGCTGGCAAGATGGCTGAATAGGGACAGCTCCAGTCTGCAGCTCCCAGAGAGATCAACACAGAAGGCAGGTGATTTCTGCATTTCCAACTGAGGTACCTGGCTCATCTCATTGGAACTGGTTAGACAGTAGGTGCAGCCCGCGGAGGGCAAGCAGAAGCAGGGTGGAGCATCGCCTCACCTGGGAAGCACAAGGGGTCAGGGAACTCCCTCCCCTAGCCAAGGGAAGCCATTAGGGACTGCAACGTGTACTCCAGCCCAGATACTACACTTTTCCCACGCTCTTCACCACCGACAGACACGAGATTCCCTCCAGTGCCTACACCACCAGGGCCCTGGATTTCAAGCACAAAACTGGGTGGCCGTTTAGGCAGACATCGAGCTAGCCACAGGAGTTTCTTTTCATACCCCAGTGGCGCCTGGAACACCAGCGAGACAGAACTGCTCACACCCCTGAAAAGGGGGCTGAAGTCAGGGAGCCAAGTGGTCTAGCTCAGTGAATCCCACCCCCACATACCCCAGCAAACTAAGACCCACTGGCTTAAAATTCTCAATGCTCCAGCTTGGTGGAGGGAGGGACATCCACCATTACTGAGGCTTAAGTAGGCAGTTTTCCCCTCACAGCATAAACAAAGCCACCAGGAAGCTCAAACTGGGCAGAGCCCACCGCAGCTTGGCAAAGCCACTGTAACCAGACTGGCTCTCTAGATTCCTCCTCTCTGGGCAGGGCATCTCTGAAAGAAAGGCAGCAGCCTGAGTCAGGGACTTATAGATAAAACTCCCATCTCCCTCGGACAGAGCACCTGGGGGAAAGGGAGGCTATGAGCGCAGCTTCAGCAGACTTAAACATTCCTGCCTTCCAGCTCTGAAGAGAGCAGCAGATCCCCCAGCACAACATTCAAGCTCTGCTAAGTGACAGACTACCTCCTCAAGCAGGTCCCTGAACCCCATGCCTCCTGACTGGGAGACACCTCCCACCAGCAGTCGACAGGTATCTGATACAGGAGAGCTCTGACTGGCATCTGGCGGGTGCCCCTCTGGGATGAAGCTTCCAGGCAAAGGAACAGGCAGCAATCTTTGCTGGTCTGCAGCTTCCGCTGGTGATACCCAGGCAAACAGGGTCTGGAGTGGACCTCCAGCAAACACTAGCAGACCTGTAGCAGAGGGGCCTGACTGTTAGAAGGAAAACTAACAAACAGAAAGGAACAGTATCAACATCAACAAAAAGGACATCCACTCAGAGACCCCATCCAAAGGTCACCAACATCAAAGACCAAAGGTAGATAAGTCCATGAAGATGGGGAGAAAGCAGCACAAAAAGGCTGAAAATTGCCAAAACCAGAACGCCTCTTCTCCTGCAAAGGATCACAACTCCTCGCCAGCAAGGGAACAAAACTGCAGGGAGAATGAGTTTGATGAATTGACAGAAGTAGGCTTCAGAAGGTAATAACAAATTCCTCCGAGCTAAAGGAGCATGTTCTAACCCAATGCAAGGAAGCTAAGACCCTGAAAAAAGGTTAGACAAATTGCTAACTAGAATAACCAGTTTAGAGAACAACATAAATGAACTGACAGAGCTGAAAAACACAGCATGAGAACTTCGTGGAGCATACACAAGTATTAATAGCCGAATCAATCAAGCGGAAGAAAGGATATCAGAGATTGAAGATCAACTTAATGAAATAAAGCATGAAGACAAGATTAGAGAAAAAAGAATTAAAACAACAAACAAATCCTCCAAGAAATATGGGACTATGTGAAAAGACCAAACCTACATTTGATGGGTGTACCTGAAAGTGACAGGGAGAATGGAACCAACTTGCAAAACATACTTCAGGATATTATCCAGGAGAACTTCACCAAGACAGGCCAACATTCAAATTCAGGAAATACAGAGAACACCACAAAGATACTCCTCGAGAAGAGCAACTCCAAGACACATAATCATCAGATTCACCAAGGTTGAAATGAAGGAAACAATGTTAAGGGCAGCCAGAGAGAAAGGTGGGGTTACCCACAAAGGGAACCATCAAACTAACAGCAGATTTCTCTGCAGAAACGCTACAAACCAGAAGAGGGTGGGGGCCAATATTTAACATTCTTAAAGAAAAGAATTTTCAACCCAGAATTTCATATCCAGCCAAACTAAGCTTCATAAGTGAAAGAGAAATAAAATCCTTTACAGACAAAGAAATGCTGAGAGATTTTGTCACCACCAGACCTGCTCCTGAAGGAAGCACTAAACATGGAAGGGAACAACCGGTACCAGCAACTGCAAAAACATACCAAATTGTAAAGACCTTCGATGCTATGAAGAAACTGGATCAACTAAGGGGCAAAATAACCAGCTAGCATCATAATGACAGGATCAAATTCACACATAACAATATCAACCTTCAATGTAAACAGGCTAAATGCCCAAATTAAAAGACACAGACTGGCAAATTGGATAAAGAGTCAAGAACCACTGGTGTGCTGTATTCAGGAGACCCATCTAACATACAAAGACACACACAGGCTCAAAATAAAGGGATGGAGGAATATTTACCAAGCAAATGGAAAGAAAAAAAAAAAGCAGTGGTTACAATCCTAGTCACTGATAAAACAGACTTTAAGCCAACAAAAATCAAAAAAGACAAAGAAGGGCATTACATAATGGTAAAGGGATCAATACAACAAGAGGAGCTAACTATCCTAAATATATATGCACCCAATACAGGAGCACCAAGATTCATAAAGCAGGTCCTTAGAGACCTGCAAAGAGACTTAGACTCCCACACAATAATAGTGGGAGACTTTAACACCCCACTGTCAATATTAGACAGATCAACGAGACAGAAAATTAACAAGGATATTCAGGACTTGAACTCAGCTCTGGACCAAGCAGACCTAATAGGCATCTACAGAACTCTCCACCCCAAATCAACAGAATATATATTCTTCTCAGCACCACATCACACTTATTCTAAAATTGACCACATAATTGGAAGTAAAACACTCCTCAGCAAATGCAAAAGAACAGAAATCATAACAAACAGTCTCTCAGATCACACTTCAATCAGCTTAGAACTTAGGATGAAAAAACTCACTCAAAACTGCATAACTACGTGGAAACTGAACAACCTGCTCCTGAATGACCACTGAGTAAATAACAAAATTAAGGCAGAAATAAATAAGTTCTTTGAAACCACTGAGAACAAAGACACAATGTACCAGAATCTCTGGCACACAGCTAAAGCAGGGTATGAGGGAAATTTATAGCACTACATGCCCAGAAGAGAAAGTAAGAAAGATCTAAAATTGACACCCTAACATCACAATTAAAAGAACTAGAGAAGCAAAAGCAAACAAATTCAAAAGCTAGCAGAAGACAAGAAATAACTAAGATCAGAGCAGAACTGAAGGAGATAGAGACACAAAAAACCCTTCAAAAAATCAATGAATCCAGGAGCCAGTTTTTTGAAAAGTTAACAAAATAGATAGACCACTAGCCAGACTAATAAAGAAGAAAACAGAGAAGAATCAAATAGACACAATGAAAAATGATAAAGGGGATATCACCACTGATCCCACAGAAATACAAACTACCATCAGAGAATACTATAAACACCTCTATGCAAATAAACTAGAAAATCTAGAAGAAATGGATAAATTCCTGGACACTTAACACCCTCCGAAGTCTAAACCAGGAAGAAGTCAAATCCCTGAATAGACCAATAACAAGTTCTGAAAGTGAGGCAGTAATTAATAGCCTACCAACCAAAAAAAGTCCAGGACCAGACAGATTCATGGCCGAATTCTACCAGAGGTACAAAGAGGAACTGGTACCATTCCTTCTGAAACTATTCCAAACAATAGAAAAAGAGGGAATCCTCCCTAACTCATTTTATGAGGCGAGCATTGCCCTGATACAAAAACCTGGCAGAGACACAACAAAAAATAGAGAATTTCAGGCCAATATCTCTGATGAACATCAAGGCAAACATCTTCAATAAAATCCAGCAGCACATTAAAAAGTTTATCCACCACAATCAAGTTGGCTTCATCCCTGGGAAGCAAGGCTGGTTCAACATACACAGATCAATAAATGTAATCCATCATATAAACAGAACCAATGACAAAACCACATGATATCTCAGTAGATGCAGAAAAGGCCTTTGATAAAATTCAACACCCCTTCATGCTAAAAACTCTCAATAAGCTAGGTATTGACGGATCGTATCTCAAAATAATAAGAGCTATTTATGACAAACCCACAGCCAATATCATACTGAATGGGCAAAAACTGGAAGCACTCCCTTTGAAAACCAGCACAAGACAAGGATGCCCTCTCTCACCACTCCTATTCAACATAATATTGGAAGTTCTGGCCAGGGCAATCAGGCAAGAGAAAGAAAAGTGGGTATTAGAATAGGAAGGCAGGAAGTCAAATTGTCTCTGTTTGCAGATGACATGATTGTATATTAAGAAAATCCCATCGTCTCAGCCCAAAATCTCCTTAAGCTGATAAGCAACTTAAGCAAAGTCTCAGAATACAAAATCAATGTGCAAAAATCACAAGCATTCCAATAGACAGCCAAATAATGAGTGAACTCCTGTTCACAATTGCTATAAAGAAAATAAAATACATAGGAATACAACTGACAAGGGATGTGAAGGACCTCTTCAAGGAGAACTACAAACCACTGCACGAGGAAATAAGAGAAGGCACAAACAAATGGAAAAACATTACATGGTCACGGATAGGAAGAATTAATATCATGAAAATGGCCATACTGCCCAAAGTAATTTAAAAATTAATGCTATCTGTATCAAGCTACCATTGACTTTCTTCACAGAATTAGAAAAACTACTTTAAATTTCATATGAAACCAAAAGAGAGCCTGCAGAGCCAAGACAGCCCTAAGCAAAAAGAACAAAGCTGGAGGCATCACGCTACCTGACTTCAAACTATACTACAAGGCTACAGTAACAAAAACCAGCATGGTACTGGTACCAAAACAGAGATATAGACCACTGGAACAGAACAGAGCCCTCAGAAATAACACCACGCATCTACAACCATCTGATCTTTGATAAACCTGACAAAAACAAGCAATGGGGAAATGACTCCCTATTTAATAAATGGTGTTGGGAAAACTGGCTAGTCATATGCAGAAAACTGAAACTGGACCCATTCCTTACACCTTATACAAAAATTAATTGAAGATGGATTAAAGACTTAAACATAAGACCCAAAACCATAAAAACCCTAAAAGAAAACCTAAGCAATACCATTCAGGACATAGGCATGGGCAAAGACTTCATGACTAAAGCACCAAAAGCAATGGCAAGAAAAGCCAAAATTGACAAATGGGATCTAATTAAACTAAAGAGCTTCTGCACAGCAAAAGAAACTACCATCAGAGTGAACAGGCAACCTAAAGAAAGGGAGAAAATTTTTGCAATCTATCCATCTGACAAAGGGCTAATATCCAGAATCCACAAAGAACTTAAATTTACAAGAAAAAAAACAAACAACTCCATCAAAAAGTGGGTGAAGGATATGAACAGACACTTCTCAAAAGAAGATATTTATGCAGCCAACAAACATATGAAAACAAGCTCATCATCACTGGTGATTACAGAAATGTAAATGAAAACCACAATGAGATACCATCTTATGCCAGTTAGAATGGCGATCATTAAAAAGTCAGGAAACAACAGGTGCTGGAGAGGATGTGGAGAAATAGGAATGCTTTTACACTGTTGGTGGGAGTGTAAATTAGTTCAACCATCGTGGAAGATAGGGTGGCAATTCCTCAAGGATCTAGAACCAGAAATACCATTTAACTTAGCAATCTCATTACTGGGTATATACCCAAAGGATTATAAATCATTCTACCATAAAGACACATGCACATGTATGTTTATTGTGGCATTATTCACAATAGCAAAGACTTGGAACCAACCCCAATGCCCATCAATGATAGACTGGATAAAGAAAATGTGGCACATAAACATCATGGAATACTATGCAGCCATTAAAAAAAGGATGAGTTCATGTCCTTTGCAGGGACATGGATGAAGCCAGAAACCATTATTTTCAGCAAACTAACACAAGAACAGAAAACCAAACACTGCATTTTCTCACTCATAAGTGGGAGTTGAACAACGAGAACACATGAACACAGGGAGGGGAACATCACACACTAGGGCCTGTCAGTGGGTGGGAGGGCAGGAGGCTAGGGGAAGGATAGCATTAGGAGAAATTCCTAATGTAGATAACGGGTTAATGGGTGCAGCAAACCACCATGGCACGTGTATAACTATGTAACAAACCTGCATGTTCTGCACATGTATGCCAGAAATTAAAGTATAAGAAAAAAATACATATAGTCAATTATAGTTTTTAAAATAACCACTAAAAAAATGGAAATATAATCTATGGATTTCAAAATAACAGAAAGGTTAAAGGAAGACTATAGAAAACTTTATTGATTCAACAGAAAGAGGAAAGCAGCAAGAAAATGGGATAATAAACAGAAAACAGAAGCCAATATGGTAGTAATAAGTCCAAACATGTCAGTAATAACAAATAATGTAAATAATATAGTCGCTTATCAAGAAAGAGACTTACAGTTTAGATTTTTAAAAATTTAACTTAACCTACCTAAAGGTAGGATTGACAGCAAATTAGAGTGTTTAGCAGTGGTTTTTGTGATGCCTGAGGCTATACTCATTCTTCTTAAATTACCTAGAATGGCAAAGATCAGTAAGTGGCCTTTGGCCCTTCCTCAATACATAGTAAGAGCAGAGATGCTGATACCCCAAGAAACAAGAGCTTAAAGGCCAAGAAAAGTCATTTTTTTCTTTTTTTTTTTTTTTTTTTTTTTTTTTGAGATGGAGTTTCATTCTTGTTGCCCAGGCTGCAGTGCAATGGCACGGTCTCAGCTCACTGCAACATCTACCTCCCAGGTTCAAGCAAGTCTCCTGCCTCAGCCTCCCGAGTAGCTGGGATTACAAGCACCCGCCACCATGCCCGGCTAATTTTTGTATTTTTAGTAGAGATGGGGTCTCACCACGTTGGCCAGGCTGGTCTACTCCTGACCTCAGGTGATCCGCCCACCTCGGCCTCCCAAAGTGCTAGGATTACAGGCGTGAGCCACTGCGCCCGGCCCCCTTTTTTTTTTTTTTTTTTAAAGACTGAGTCTCACTCTATTGCCCAGGCTGGAGTGCAGTGGCGCAATCTCAGCTCACTGCAACCTCCACCTCCGAGGTTCAAGCAATTCTCATGCCTCAGCCTCCCAAATAGCTGGGATTATAGGCACCCGCCACCACGTCCTGCTGATTTTTGTATTTTTAGTAGAGACGGGGTTTCACCGTGTTGGCAAGGCTAGTATCAAACTCCTAAGCTCAAGTGATCCACCCGCCTCAGCTTCCCAAATTGCCGGGATTACAGCCGTGAGCCATTGTTTATTTTTTAAAAGAAAACAAACTTGAAAACATACATTATCTGAAGGAGAAGGATTATTTAAAAAGATACAAAAATTTTAAATAGATGTAAGTCAATAAAAATAAGCAATGAGGAAAAGACTCCCTATTCAACAAATGGTGAATGGTGCTGGGATAACTGGCTATCTATATGCAGAAGAATGAAACTGGACCCCCACCTATCACCATATACAAAAATTAATTCAAAGGCCGGGTGCAGTGTCTCATGCCTGTAATCCCAGCACTTTGGGAGGCCAAGGCGGGTGGATCGCCTGAGGTCAGGAGTTCGAGACCAGCCTGGGCAACATGGCAAAACCCTGTCTCTACCAAAAATAAAAAATTAGCCAGTTGTGGTGGCACATGCCTGTGATTCCAGCCATTTGGGAGGCTGAGGCAGGAGAATCACTTGAACCCAGGAGGCGGAAGTTGCAGTGAGCCGCAACTGTGCCACTGCACTCCAGCCTGGGCAATGGAGTGAGACTCTGTCTCAAAAATAAATAAATAAATAAATAAATAACTCAAGATAGATTAAAGGCTGGGTGCGGTGGCTCATGCTTGTAATCCCAACACTTTGGGAGACCGAGGTGGGTGGATCACTTGAGCCCAGAAGTTCAAGACTGGTCAGGGCAACATAGCAAAACTCCATCTCTACAAAAAATATAAAAATTAGCCAGGCACAGTGGCATGTGCCTGTAGTCCCAGCTACTCGTGAGGCTGAGGTGGGAGGATCACTTAAACCAGGAATGCAAAGGTTGCAGTGAGCCGAGATCACACCACTGCACTCCAGTCTGGGTGACAGAGCGAGACTGTGTCTCAAAAAAAACAAAAGATAAATTAAAGTCTTAAATGTAAGACCCCAAACTATAAAAATCTAGAAGAAACCCTAATATCGTAATACTCTTCTCAATATCGGCCTTGGCAAAGAATTTATGGCTAAGCCCTCAGAGGCAATTGCAACAAAAACAAAAACTGACCAATGAGACATAATTATACTAAAGAACTTCTGAACAGCAAAAGAAACTATCAATAGAGTAAACAGCCTACAGAATGGGAGAAAATATTCCCAAACTATGCCTCCAACAAAGGTCTAATATCCAGAATCTATAAGAAACTTCAAACTACAGCAAAAAATAAATAACCCCATTAAAAAGTGGACAAAGGATATGAACATAACAGACACTTCTCAAGAGAAGACATACAAAGGCCAATAAACATGAAAAAAACGTTCATCAACACTAAGCGTCAGAGAAATGCAAATCAAAACCACAATCAAATACCATGTCACACCAGTCGGAATGGCTTTTGTTAAAAAGTCAAAAAATAGCAGATGTGCACGAGGCTACAGAAAAAAGGGAATGCTTATACACTATTGGTAGGAATATAAATTAGTTCAGCCACTGTGGAGAGCAGTTTGGCGCTTTCTCAAAGAACTGAGAGTTAAACTACCATTTGACCCAGCAATCTCACTACTGATTCTTTACCCAAAAGAAAATAAATTGCTCTACCAAAAAGACACATACTCATATGTTCACAGCAGCACTATTCACAGTAGCAAAGACATGGAATCAACCCAGGTGTCCATCAACAGCAGGCTGCATAAAGAAAAGATGGTACACATGTACCATGGAATACTACACAGTCATAAAAAAGAATGAAATCATGTCCTTTGCAGTAACATGAATGCAGCTGGAAACCATTATCCTAAGTAAACTAACACAGGAACAGAAAATCAAATACTACATGTTCTCACTTCTAAGTGGAAGCTAAACACTGGCTATTCATGAATATAAAGATACCAACAGACAGTGGGGACTACTTGAAGAGGGAGAGAGGGAGGAGGCAAGGGTTGAAAAACTACTGGGTACTACGCTCACTACCTGGGTGATGGGATCAATCATACCCCAAACCCCAGCATCAAGCAATATACCCATGCACCAAACCTGCTCATGTATCCCCCGAATCTAAAATAAAAGCTGAAATTATTTTTTTTAAAAAAGAAAGAAGATTTAGAAAAAAAGAATAAAGTTTTCCATAGGGAAAAATATATAGAAGTCAATTTCTTCCTTATGCTATACACAATAATAAATTTTGGGTGGATTAAATATCTAGCTGCAAAAAGCAGGAGGTGTTTTCCCCAAGGAAAATTTCTAAAGTCTATGTAGGCAGTTGCCTGCTCAGACTAGAATGTATGTCAACAATTCAGAATTACTTTTTTGAAGATCCCAATCTCTAGGTACATTTTTAACTGTAATCAAACAACTCATATATGAATGTAAATCTTCTCATTTGCTTATAACCAATAGCAGAGAAAAGCTTGCATTGGTTTTGAATCACAGAGCTCGTGAGTCAGAGATAGGAGGGTTAGGCTGTGTAAGGACGAAAAAGTGGTATCTGCTCCTCACCCATTACAAGAGTCAGAGCTGACACTCCTATAGCAAAATGTTAACAAGAGGAAAGCATAGCAAATGTATTTAATAAAAGGTCTACAGGACACGGAAACCTTCAGAAATAAAGACCCCAAGACCCAGGTGAGAGGTGAAGCTAGCTGGGTCGGGTGGGGACTTGTGGGTCAGGTGGGGACTTGGAGAACTTTTCTGTCTCACAAGAGGATTGTAAAATGCACCAATCAGTGCTCTGTAGCTAGGATTGTAAAACACACCAATTAGCTCTCTGTGGCTAGCTAGAGGTTTGTAAAATGGACCGATCAGTGTTCTGTAAAATGGACCAATCAGCACACTGTAAAATGGACCAATCAGTGCTCTGTAAAATGGACCAATCAGCACTCTGTAAAAGGGACCAATCAGCAGGACATGGGTGGGGACAAATAAAGGAATAAAAGCTGGCCACCCCCGCCCCCGCCCCAGCCAGCAGCAGTAACCCGCCCAGGTCGCGTTAGGCAGTGCGTAAGCTTTGTTCTTTCCGTCTAAACAATAAATCTTGCTGATGCTCACTCTTTGGGTCCCCACCACCTTTAAGAGCTGTGACACTCACCGTGAAGATCTGCGGCTTTATTCTTGAACTCAGCAAGACCACGAACCCACCGGAAAGAACCATCTCTGGACACACGGGAAAAACCGTGTGTTTCTATGCTAAATCTGATGAAAGGAGTGGATAGTTGTGGAGAAACACAATTGGATAAAAGGGTATGACCTAATGCCAGTATACTAGGCGGAGGGGAGGAGAACCTAGCAAGGCTTGTCCGGATTTTTCTTGGCCTCTCTGTGTGTTGCATTCTTTCCCCTGGATAGGGGACAGGACTCCTCTGTAATGAGGGTTTTCTACCTTCAGGGGAGTGGCGTCTCTAGGTTTTATGACTTGCTTTGCGGGAGAGAAGTTGTTTCTATGACTTACGCAGGAAAAGAGGAATTCTTAGGGAAGATAAGAGGAAGAAAGGAGAGTGAGGTGTCAGAAGGACCTTGCTTCTGAGGCCCTCCCAATCTCCTTCAGTTCAAAGTTTTCAGCACACCAAGGTTACATAGTTTGGGGTACCATGTTTTAAGTCCGAACAGCCATTAAGAACTCTGGTTCTGGGCCAGGCATGGTGGCTCATTCCTGTAATCCCAGCATTTTGGGAGACCAAGGCTGGCTGATCTTTGGAGACCAGCCTGGCCAACATGGTGAAGCCCCATCTCTACTAAAAATACAAAAATTATTCAGGCGTGGCAGTGCACGCCTGTAATCCCAGCTACTTGGGAGGCTGAGGCACGAGAATTGCTTGAACCCAAGAGGCAGAGGCTGCAGTGAGCCAATATCACGCCACTACACTCCAGCCTGGGTGACAGTGAGAATCTGTTAAAAAAAAACAACAAAAAAACAAAAAAAAAAACACCTCTGGTTCTGGAACCAGACATTTTTCAAGCCCAGTTCTGCCACTGTCAATTCTTGTGACCTTGAATGAGTTGTCCAATTTCTTTAAGTCTCAGTTTCTTAATTGTTAATATGGGGATAATAGCAGCTGACAGACTAAATGAGAAAATACCCACAAAATTCACCCACAGCCCAGCGCATCCTGAACTCAACAAATGTTAGCTCTCATCATTGAGCCATGGGAGCCAATAAAGACACATGGTCTCAGATGTTGTCTGGGGTCTGCTGAGGAGCAGAAGCTGAACTCAAGCTCTCCAGGCCCCCTGGGGATGCACCTTTCTCACTCTGGGAATGCTACCAAGAGTCCTGATTTGAAACTTGTCCCTAATTCATATGGCGGCTGCCCACCTGGCCCTGAAGAACATCCAACAGATGCTTGGAGCTCAGGCCAGGAGTGTGGCAGCCACCTCCTCCTGGGCCCCCGCTGCTCTGTCATCTGCCCCCACCCCCCCAGTCTACTCCCAGGTCAGACTTCCCAAATCACAGCTTTCATCAACGATTGCAATTCTCTACTCAAAAACCTGTTCCAGGCTGGGGACCGTGGCCTGTAATCCGAATGCCTTGGGAGGCTGAGGTGGGCGGATCACATGAGGCCAGGAGTTCAAGATCAACCTGGGAAACATAGCAAAACCCCATCTCTACAAAAAGTTCTTAAAAATTAGCCAGGCACAGTGGCACATGCCTGTATTCCTAGCTACTCTGGAGGCTGAGGTGGGAGGACCACTTAAGCCCAGGAGTTTGAGGTTACAGTGAGCTATGATCACACCACTGCACTCCAAACTAAGTGAGACCTTAAAAAAAAAAACCTGTTCCATCTTGTCTTGTGCCTGATATCGAGGGGCTTCTATAGTATGGCTCCATCTTACTGAACCAATCTTATTTATTCCCCTACTCCACATCATCAAACTTCTCCTTAGACCAATTACTCTTACTCCCTGCTCTGTGAATATGCCACCCTCACTTCTGCCTCTCAGCATTTCCCCAGCCTGAAGTCTCTCCCAATCCTCTGTCTCCCCAAACTGATCTAGTAGCATAGGTACTGCTAGAACCTATAGGCAGAATGTCTGGAATCTGTAACCTCCCGAAAGCATTAAAAAGAATAAAATCTAATGTAGAACCCTCTGCTTTTCTTTATTTGTAAAATATTAGGGTGTATATCCACAATACTCATCATACCAAAGCAAATTAGAAATGGATCAAAAATTTAAATTTTTTATACAAAAAATTGGCCGGGCTCGGTGGCGGGTGCCTGTAGTCCCAGCTACTCGGGAGGCTGAGGCAGGAGAATAGCGTGAACCCGGGAGGCGGAGCTTGCAGTGAGCCGAGATCACGCCACTGCACTCCAGCCTGGGCGACAGAGCAAGACTCCGTCTCAAAAAAAAAAAACAATTTAAATTTTTTAATGCACAAAAATAGTTGAAAAGAAACATGAGCAAATTCTCTTATGCTCTCAAAGTAAGTAAATCCTTTCTAAGCATGACACAAAATTCATCACTCTACATTCTTTATCTGTTGTCGATTCTTTTTCACCACCCCTCCCTTCTAAAGATTCTTCATTCAATAGAGAAGCAAAGAGCACCTTGCCCAGAACTCTCTCCCCACAGCACCCAGTGTGGTTCTGAGTTATCGTCCTCCAGGGAGAGGCCCTGTGGGGGATGAGAGACAGACGAGAGGAGACATTATTTTCCAGAGAGGACTGGGACCAGACGCACTGGGAGACGTCAGACTGGCGCTCCTGGCCAAGTCCTGAGAAGCAAGTGCATTGCGTTGCGTGCGGATACATGATGAAAGCTTCCTAGAGATTCCCGGGAATGAGCATGTCGGAACCTTCCACTGCAGGGCTTCTGGCTGAGATTTTTGGTGCCATCTTCCCTGACCTTTCAGGTTTTTGAGTAGAGAACTGCAATCATTAGCCAGGCGCAATGGCTCACGCCTGTAATGCCGGCACTTTGGGAGGCCAAGGCAGGCGGATCACGAGGTCAGGAGATCGAAACCATCCTGGCTAACATGGTGAAACCCCATCTCTACTTAAAAGTACAAAAAATTAGCTGGGCGTGGTGGCGGGCGCCTGTAGTCCCAGCTACTCGGGAGGCCAAGGCAGGAGAATGGCGTGAACCCAGGAGGCGGAGCTTGCAGTGAGCGGAGGTCGCGCCACTGCACTCCAGCCTGGGCGACAGAGCGAGACTCTGTCTCAAAAAAAAAAAAAAAAAGAATTGCAATCATTGATGAAAGCTGTGATTTGGGAAGTTTCACCTGGGAGTAGACTGGGGGATAGGGACAGACAACAGATGAAGGCCTGACTTCCCGAGGCCTTCCAAGGATGTGTAAGCCCTCACTCCTTTTATTAAAACCTTTAACACCAGAACTACAGAGAGTAGCTTCTATTTTCCTGACCAACGCCTGTCTGATACATTTATCTTTTGGGAATTTATCCTACGGTACTCTCACACACATATAAAATCACGTATATTTAAAAAAAAAAAAAAAACTCGGCTGGGTGCGGTGGCTAATGCCTGTAATCCCAGCATTTTGGGAGACAGAGATCATCTGAAGTCAGGAGTTCAAGACCAGTCTGGCCAACATAGCGAAACCTCGTCTCTACTAAAAATACACAAACTAGCCAGGTGTGGTGGTGCCTGCTTGTAATCCCAGCTACTCGGGAGGCTGAGGCATGAAAATCGCATGAACCCTGAAAGGCAGAGGTTGCAGTGAGCCGAGATGGTGCCACTGCACTCCAGCCTGGGCAAAAGTGAGACTCCGACTCAAAAAAAAAAAAAAAAAAATCATTATTTATAATAGCAAAAGATTGGAAACAGTCTTAAAGTATATCAATGATGGGCAATTTAAAATATCATGATGCATCCATAGGACAGAATGCTATTTGCCGTTAGAAAGGTACAGCGCTTCATGTAGCCATGTGGACTGATCTTCAAGGTAGGGGGAAACCCACAAAATTCAAATTAGCTTACATTGTATGCCACTATTTGTACAATGTGTACAATAAACAAAGGCACAGAATATCTCCCGGAATATACATAAGAAACCAGTGAGCCTGAGTGCCTTGCGAGGAAAGTTATGGAATTGATGTCCAAGAGTGGGAGGTAGAGCTACGTTACTCCGTACACCCTTTTTCACTCCTGAAAATTCTATCATATGGATATATTTGCCAAAAATAAAACAACTAATTAGTTATAAGATTACATGATCTTTATGAAATGCCAGCAAGGCATCTATAGACAGAACAACATACTTTCTTCCCTTTTTTTATTTCTCAGATTTTAAATTTCTTCCTGAAACTTAAAACAAATTAGAAATAAGGAATTTGACCTTCTTGTTAGAGTATGTGGGAATAATGCCTGTTGGCCTTTTGGAAGATTAATTTCCTACATCCACTTACACTGCCTAAAGCATATGCCCCAACAGATGAGGGAGAAGCTGGATTGAGATTTAAATGCTTCCTTGTCTTGTTCCAATACAGGATTACTTAAATTTCAAATCCATGCACTTTAACTTATTGAGTGGAAGTGCCTACTGTCTTCTGGGTAATAAATTCTGGAGATTGATTTGGTTCTTCTCATATCTTCTAATTTAAAAAGAATAAACTAAAGCAGGGATAACCTTGATTACTTGGGAACAAAGTCCAATTTTTTTTAATTTGCCACTACTCTCATCCTTGCCTAAAAATTGGAAGTCCGAAGTGGATACCCTCCACTGAACAGTGACCATTTACATTCCAAGAACACTACTAAGGCTGGAGCTGAATATCATGAGTCCTAAAAATTCCAGATTCACTATTCACGATCCCAGAGCTGTAATAAAATATCTCACATGATTCATCATATAAATATCGCTATTTTAACTCTTCTGTAAGACCTTTTCTAACTATTCCAGCAAAAGCCTCTTCTTCCTTCTTTAAACCCCTGTAATATTATATATAATTACAGTAATTATTAATATTTTGGTTTTATATCACTTAAAAAATTGGCCATTCACCAGTATACTCAAATATATTTAGATGGCCACTTTTTAGTATTATTACTATTAATAGTTTCTAGACTGTGATAAAGAGAAATTTTCTGGCTACTTCTGATAGTTCCGCATAAAGAAAACAGATATGTTTTCTTCTGCTCTGTATAAAATATCTCCTGTCTTTCCAGTTACATGTGTCAATAACTCCACCTGCCTTTTTTTACTTAAGTAGTTTTGAGCTGGGTTTCTCTTGAAAAGGCAGGATCCTTGACAGCTCCCACTCCCACCCTTCTTCTGTTGAACCAGAGGTGCGTGCAGCCACACACAGCTCTCCTTGGAGCCATTCTCCTCACTCAAATCCCAATAAAATAGTCCCCCAAACACTGATGATAACTTCTACACCTCACTTTGGTTGTTCTTCCTTCAAATTCTGCCTCAGGTGCCTTCCTGGCTTATCCAAGTGAAACTGCAAGGGACCTAAACCACTTTCAAGCACTGAAGGAAAAGGGTATATTGCAAGAGATTAGGGTTGAATTGTGTCACCCAAAAAGATATCCCCATGACCTAACCCCAAGACCTGTGAATGTGACCTTATTTAGAATTATGGTCCTGCTGGGCCCGGTGGCTCACACCTGTAATCTCAGCACTTTGGGAGGCCGAGGTGGGCAGATCACTTCAGGTCAGGAGTTCAAGACCAGCCTGGCAAAACCCCATCTCCACTAAAAATACAAAAATTAACTGGGTGTAGTGGTGCGTGCCTGTGGTCTCAGCTACTCAGGAGGCTGAGGGGGAGAATTGCTTGATCCGGGGAGGCAGAGGTTGCAGTGAGCCAAGATCACACCACTGCACTCCAGCCTGGGTGATAGAGCAAGACTCCATCTCAAAAAAAAAAAAAAAAAAAAAGAAGAAGAAGAAGAAACAGGGTCTTTACAGATGTAATCAAATTAAGATGAGGTCATTAGTGTGTGTCCTAAATCCAACATGATTGGTGTCCATATAAAAAGATAAGAGACACAGATACCCACATATGTAGAGGAAAGACAATGCGAAAAGATGCTGGGAGGATGCCACATTGCAACAGAGGCAGCGATTGGAGTTCTGCATCTACAAGTCAAGGAATGCCAGCAATTGCCAGCCCTCACCAGAAGCGAGGAGAGGCACGGATGGGACAGATTATCTCCCTCAGAGCCCTCAGAAGGAATCAGTCCTGCTGACACCTTGATCTTGGGCTTCCAGCATTCAGAGCTGCGAAAGAATGCGTTTCTGCTGTCTTAAGGCACCCAGTTTGTAGTACTTTGTGACAGCTGCCCTGAGAGACTCATACACAAGGGTGCTGGGCTGCCTTCTCATGCTCAAAGGCAGTATGAACTTGTCCTTGACTATCACAAGACCAGGTGGCCACACGCAGCCAGGCCCTTGAGCACTGCAGGCTGCCTTCTTTTCCTCTAGGCTCTATTCCCCCTTCCACATCTGCTTCATTCCTTCCTCTCTCAACACAACTTTCCAGAGGGGCAAGGCCATTCTGTCAACAACTCCATGCTTTGTCTCTTAGAACTTCTGCCACTACATAGAGACTGATTCAACTCTGTAAACACTGGGTAAAAAAATCTAGGGAAGGGCCCAATTTGGGTCAAGAGCCCTCTTCAGCCAACCAGTTGTGGCAGGGGAGACATGATCACACTGCACAAAATAGTTTCTTGAGCAAATGTGGCAGAAGACATCTTCCAGAAGCTTCTTGAGGAAAGGGACAATGCTTTTAGACTTCGGTGCTACCTTCTCCCTCATATGCAATCCTTCCCAAGAGTTCCCTCTTCAATCTCTCCCCACCCCCTCACACACACACACACACACACACACACACACACACACACATCCTTGAGGTCCTTTGCTTTCTGAAGTATTGTTAGAGAGAGCAAACATTCAACCATACAATGGACAAAAATGTATTCCATTCTATAGAATCTTTTAAGCTAATCTTAACTTTTTATTATAGCAGTATACCAGACTATATTCTTAGAATTTTATCAATAAGCTAGTGGAATTACATGTGCTAAAAGTTTTTTATAAATCTTATTACTTAAAAATGTATGCAGCAGGTATTTCTCCGGTCACTATACCTCGATTTTACAACTGTTGATGGCTGCCCTTGTTCCTGGTTTGTGGTTCATGTTTGCTCAAGCTAAACATGCTCTAAAGATCCACTGGAGGACTCTGCCTTCTTAGTATCAATTCTTCCTGCTCATCTGTTGCAGTCCAAAGCGAATGGAACTGACATTGTGGATCTGAGGCTCAGGCTTGGCTCTGATGAATATATAACCCTTACCTTACTAGAGGCAGCCGAGTGGAGAGCCATGAATGGTTTTAAGAGAATCCATCACCACTACTGACAAATTAACTTAAAGCATGTTCTTCTGACAGAGATTCAATAGCATCACCTTTTAATACAAAGCACAGCTCAGTGATTGGTGGGCATCCTCGGATGTCAGCTCTACTTCTTTATTTACTGAAGGACAAAACCCAATACATTGAATTAATTGATCACACCATACAACTGAATTCTATGAGGATTTTGGAAATTTTCCCTACCGTTAATATTGATTAGATCAGTCAAAATAGACTAGATTATGCCACAGTAATAAACAATTCCAAAAATTCATTAACTTTAAACATTATTTCTCACCCATGCCCACAACTATTGCAGATTGGCTGGAACTCTGCTCCATGTCATCTGCATTCAGGAACACAGGCTGGCTCACACTCTACCATCTGGAATGTCACAGATTGCAGTGACAGGAGGAAGGGAACACGGCAAATTGTACTTTAGCTCTTAAGGGATTGATTCTGCCTAGAAGAAACACCTGTCATTTCTGCTTACATTTAATTGGCCACGTGAGCCACATGACCATTCCTACATCCAAGGGGACATGGAAGTATAATCCTGCCATGCTGGAATATTGGTGAATGTCTGGAGTCCTCATGTAGCTACAATCCACCTCTCCAGTCACCAAATGATCAGTTCAGTGTTTCTTTCTTGAGCAAAATTCATTTATTCTCTCCCCAGGAGAGACAACTCAAAAGTCTCATTCAGTCACGGATCAAGTACCTCTGGGTAATGCATGGTACTATCTTCATCAGGAGCATGTTAGTTTGCTAGGGCCCCCATAACAAAATACCACAGACCGAGAAGCTTAATAAAACTTTCTCAAAATTTTGGAGGGTGGAAGTCCAAGATCAAGGTATCTTCAGGTTTGGTTTCTCCTGGGTCCGCTCTTCTTAGCTTGCAGATGGCCGTCTTCTCACCATGTCCTCACATGGCTTATTTTTCTGTGTGCATGCATTACTGATGTCTCTTCCTCTTCTTATAAAGACACCAGTCCTATTGGATCAGGGCCCCCCCACTTATGACTTGACTTCATCTTAATGACCTCCTAAAGGCCCTGTCTCCAAATGCACTGGAGGTTAGGGCTCCAACATATGAATTTGGGGGGACACAATTCAGCCTGTTCAGGTGATACCCAGTCACTAAACTGGGCCTGGGTGTGGCTCCTCTTGTTCTGGAGAGTTATGCAGTAAAAAGACAAGTTACCTACCCCACACACACCTAACTTACAAAGATGAAACAGGGAACAGATGACTCCAACAAACATTCCTCTTTGGAAAGAGGAAAAATGAGAGATATACAGCAGACACTGGCCTTTAGCAACTCTGAAATAGCTTGAACCGATATTGGGAGGTCTACCCTAGGTCTGAGGATGTCAGCTCAGCCCTTAAATACGCTCTGTGCAAGAAGCCTCATTCTCCATAATTCTCCATGGCCCCAGCTTTCTTTTCCATCATACTATCTGACACATCTAAAGTAGGCATCGGGGAATACATTTTGCTTGATGTCCATACAGCTTTCTCAGACCACTTCCAACCCTAAATGTTTGGTGATCCAAGGGTTCTTTTAAGTCTTTAATACTTGGAATCTCTTTTAATTCAGTCTGGTGATTCCTTTGGAGGTACATCTCTTACAACAACTTAATCTACTTCTTAGCATTGGATTTCAGAAAATTCCAGGTGCCAACAGCCACATTCATGGTTCCCTTCAAGACATATTGTAATGGATAATATTAGGCATCAACTTGATTGAACTGAAGGATGCCTAGATGGCTGGAAGAGTATTTTTCTGGGTGTGTCTGTGAGGGTGTTGCCAGAGGAGATTGACATTTGAGTCAGTAGACTGGGAGAAATAGACCCACCCTCAGTGTGAGTGGTACCATCCAGTTTGCTGCCAGCATGACTAGAACAAAGTAGGCAAAGGAAGGTGGGATTCGTTTGCTTGCTTAGTCTTCTGAATCTTTCTTCTTCCCATGCCAGATGCTCGCTTCCTTTCCTGCTGCCCTTGGACATCAGACTCCAGGCTCTTCAGCCTTTGGACTCTGGGACTTGCACTGGTGGCCACTCAGTGGGTCTTAAGCCTTTGGCCTCAGACTCAGGGCTGCGTTGTCAGCTTCCCTGGTTTTAAGGGTTTTGGACTTGGACTGAGACACACAACTGGCTTCTCTCCTCCAGCTTGCAGACAGTCATCATGGGACTTCACCTTCTAATTGTGTGAGCCAATTCTTAATAAACTCTGGTTTATATATACATATATCCTATTGTTTCTGTCTCTGTGGAGAACCCTAATACACATGTCTTATGTGGATCTTTACTCTGGTACATGTTAGTCTTTTCAGAGGTTTTAATAATGGTGTGATGGCCATGGAAATATATTCAGTTGAATGGTTTTTAATAGTAGATATATAGATCATGCCCTTCTCTGCAAAACTCAGTTTTAATATTTTTTATTGCCAAATGGTTCTCTCAATTTTATCCTATACTGTTTGAAATCTAAAATCAGATTGCGCACAGTGGCTCATGCCCGTAATCCCGGCACTGTGGGAGGCCGAAGTGGGCAGATCATCTGAGGTCAGGAGTTTGAGATCAGCCTGGCCAACATGGTGAAACCCTGTCTCTACTAAAAATACAAAATCAGCTGGGCATGGGGTGTGTGCCTGAAGTCCCAGCTACTCAGGAGGCTGAGGCAGGAGAATTGCTTGAACCTGAGAGGCAGAGGCTGCAGTGAGCTGAGATCGCACCACTGCACTCCAGCCTGGGCAACAGAGCAAGACTCCACCTCAAAACACAAAAAAGTAAAAAAATAAAAATAAAATCAGTCAACCTTTCCAACATTGCAATTCTGAAATGCCCCATTAATTCCTGCTTGGACTCCAGCTGATTCTTTCCTGAACATGTCTTTTGTAATACCTTGTCAAATGCAGCCAATAGAAACCAATGCACATTACTAATATTGTGTTTTCCTGCCTCTTTCCCTAGAGCTATAAATTTATTAGCATATAATCTGCCTTCCAAGTCACTGTGGGCAACGTTTTAACCAAAGTTTTTGTCTTTCAGACTTTATAACAGTTTCTTCACTGCCTACCACTTGTCCTGCAAGCCAATGACAAACTGTAATTTTTTGTTATGTTGGCACCCCACTCCTGGTAGCAATATTTGTATTAGAATAAGCTAAATTATACTAGTAAGAAACAACCCCAAAATGTCCATGGCTAGAAATAATAAATAATTCTTTCTGTCTCAAGTTACATGTTCATTATACATCAGCTGGTGGGAAGCACAGAGCAGACTCAGCTCCACGTCACCTTCACTAATTGATGGAGTTAACCAAAGACTCCACAACCTGGAACTATCATGGCAGGAAGAAGTGAATTTAGTTGCTGCACTAGATCTCAAAGACTTCTTCCCACATTTTACTGACCAAATCAAGTCACATTGCCACACCTACTTTCAAGAGGTTGGGAAAGTCTAATCTTACATGTGCCTGGAAAATACAGTATCAAAATAGTAAACAGTCCTTATGTTTATCACCGTTTTTTTTTTTTTTTTTAGATTGAGGTTCTTAAGAATAAGCTCCAAATGAACTTTCCACAAGACTACACCTAAAAAGGGAACACCAATTTTCATCTGTGTTTCTACATGCGTAAGGATACCTAGGACCATTTCCCGACTGATCTTAAAAATGCATGTTCCACTGGTTTTGAGATGCTATGTAAAACCAGAATTGTGTTTCCTAATAGTTTTTTTTTTTTTTAAGGTGGGTAAAAATTTCAACAGACTTCTTCACTGCAGAACTACTCAGGAGCATCTCTTGGAGCCAGAATACCTTGAAATACACTTTAGAAAAAAAATGGCTTTCATTTTGAAAAATATAATTCAATAAGTGAACTTATTCTGTGTTATATAATAAGTTTTGTTTCTCAGGTGACTTTACCCTGAGATTGGTTCTTGTGGAAGATACGATCCATGATGTCCAAAGAATTACCTATAACTAGAGAAGATCTCTCTGTGTGTTGTGGAGCCAGCTTTAGCATGCCAGAGTTACATATGCTGCACTTCTGTGACTTAAGGAGGCATCTGCCGGCTAGTGTAAAAAGACTTGATGTTTCCATATAGATAATTATCCCATGACAGATTCTCTATGCTGTCTACTTCTGACCATAGATGAGGCAACTGTGTGAGACTGAGCCTCTTCTCTTCTACACAATGCTGAGGTTGCCCTTTTCAAAGTTCTCTTCCCATAAAGATTACCTTACCATTTGTATTAATGAGATTTTATTCACTTAACAATAGAAGAAAGGTACACCTATATTCCATAACCTCCATGGGCCTGACCCAAACTCACCTGTGCAGCCTCATTGATTCTAACCTACTCCACACATCTTATCTATTACTGGAGGCTTTCTTGGCTTTTGGCCACAGTGTAAGTACCATGTACTGGATTTCTCTATGGAGCACAAGGAGGTTATCTACTCACTTAAAGCTAGTTACCATTGTGTTTATGACTTTAGAAATGCACGACTGATTTATCTCCTGATACTAAACTGCATTATGAACAACTTAATGTTTGACACATTTTCCAGAATGAATTTCCTCTCTTTCTGTTGTCTTGCTTTATTTACTTCAAGAAGAACATCGAGAGCTTACTCAAGAAGGATAATGCTCCATGGTTATGTCTTCTCTGGGAGTTGCAAACAAGACTCAGTCAGCCTGCCAAGCATATGCATATGGGTATTCCAATGTGAAAGAGAAGCTTCACTGATCAGTGAACAGAATGAACCACAGCTGCTAGTTTAGATCTGGCTCAAATCAGAAGTTGTGACTTTTGCCATCTCCAAGGGCTGGTTAAAGCTCTGATTCATGCATGAACCACCCAGTCCATATGGGGTGGGCAACACAGCTTGAGCTGGAACATTCTATTCAAATTTTATTGAGTCCAGGAAAATAGTGCTTCTCATACCAATCCATCCTCATTTTTTGATGATTACATGAATAGATGAATAGCATAATTTAAAGCTACATGCTTTTAATCTCTGAAGATACAATCAGATTTGCTTTAGGTAAAATCTGCAGACAGCTGCGAAAAATCACCCTTCCAACCAAATGACCCATCTTTATCTCTTTTAAATGAAGGCATTAGTCTCTGGCAGTCCCCTACCTTGCATTAATATGCCCTCAGGAATAAGTCATCAAGCCTATGCTTCTCAAACTTTCCCACTAAGGCACCCCTGACAGACAGTAAGGTGTATTAGTAAGAAGAGAGTATGGGTGTATTAGTCCATACCTGAAACTGGGTAATTTATAAAGGAAAGAGGTTTAATTGACTAACAGTTCGGCATGGCTGGGGAGGCCTCAGGAAACTTAGAATCATTGTGGAAGGCGAAGGAAGCAAGACACATCTTACATGATGGCAGGAGGTGGTGGAGGGGAACTACCACACTTTAAAACCATCAGCTTCAGCTCTCGTGAGAACTCACTCACTATCACGAGAACAGCAAGGGAGAAATCCACCCCCATAATCCTATCATCTCCCACTAGGCCCCTCCTCTGACATATGGGGATTATAATTTGAGATGAGACTTGGGTGGGGACATAGAGCCCATAGAGCCAGACCATACCAAAGGTAGCCAAAAGGGAACCCACTCCATTTCTGAAGAGGGCAGAATTCCTCTGAAGAAGTTCCTCTTTTATCTTCTTTTTTTTTTTTTTTTTTTTTTGAGACAGTCTCGCTCTGTCATCCAGGCTGGAGTGCAGTGGCATGATCTTGGTTCACTGCAACCTCTGTCTCCTGGGTGCAAGTAATTCTCTACCTCAGCCTCCCGTGTAGCTGGGATTACAGGCACCTGCCGCCATGCCCCACCAATTTTTGTATTTTTAGTAGAGACAGGGTTTCACCATCTTGGCCAGGCTAGTCTTGAACTCCTGATCTTGTGATCCACCTGCCTTGGCCTCCCAAAGTGCTGGGATTACAGGCATGAGCCACTGCGTCCGGCCCCCCTTTTATCTTATAAATGTAAATAAATTTTGTGTTCTACTCTGTAAATATTTATGATTATTTTAGTATGATATTAAATACTGACTGAAGTACATCTATCACTCAGAGTCAGGTCAAGAAACAGAAACCATGCCCATTATTTTAACAGAAAATTTAATAGAAAAAGTTGATAACCACGTATTGGTGACCTAAAAAAAATGTAGAAAGAGGGTACTGAGGTAGCAATGCAGAAAACAAAACAACTAACACACTAGGGCTGGGGAACAAAGGGAAGATTTAAGGATTATTAAGCCCTGGAAGAAGAAAGGAGGGGCCCCTGAGGGCTTGGCCATGTCTCTGAGGAGGGGACATGAATGACTGGTGTGGGTGTTTCTGTGGGGATCAATGAGGCTGGTTCTGAGCATGTGGGAAAAACTGCAATGTGGAAGCAACCGCTGCTACTGAAACATCTGTTTTTTCCAGCGAGGTAAACAATTGTCACTGGGCTTTGGGGTCAGTCAGTAACAGGAAACAGACCAGAAGAAAGAGATCCCTTCCTCCTTTTTCCTCCAACTTGCTGGCACTATCTAGCTCCCCCTCTTGGCAGAACCGAAAAGGGAGCAGCTGGTAAAACAGAAGTGTATTTCCAGAGTGTCAGCCACAGTCTCACAAAGCTAAAACACAATAAAGCAAGGTTGAAGCTGAGAGGCAATAACTTAATCATCAGCCCAGTACTCAGTTGTTTTCCAATAATAGTTCTAGTTGAATTGATGCACCATATTTATTCAGCCTATGCCTTCATATGCCTCTGCCAAACATTTTACAGACTTGACAATGCACTGGCTTTGTCTATTACCAGCCTAGCATGAATTAGCTTAGAAGGCGTTTAGCAAGGGCCAAGGACACCAGTATTCCCATTCCAGTTCAGCCACTTTTTTATGACCTGGGACACACCACTTTCTCAGTTACCTCTTATTGAACACGAGGGAGTTGCATCAAATTCTCTTCAAGTCTGTTCCAACTTTGTAATTACTGGAGATTATTATGGGAAAGCTCACCTTTTATAAGCATGGCTTTTGTGGAAAGGGAAGTCCAAAACACTGAGATTTCTAAGACTTTGTTGCGCATCCAGACATAGCTAAAGGGTAGGGACTGGGAGGAAAAGAGCCTTAGAAAGGAGATGTGGGAGAAGGAAACAAAAGCGGGATTAGAAAGGTGCTGAAAAGAAACCCACAGGGGTGTTAAGGGGAGAGCAGGTATGCAGAGCAGAGGAGAGCACCTGGCATTTCTGGGATTTGGATTACCTGAATTTTGCTTGATAGTTCATCTTATGATTTCTGGTGGTTGTGAAATGTAAGCTTTGTGTGCTCTGTAATTCTGTGCAGCAACAAGATAGAATGGCACAGGTCTACTCAGGTGACAGCCAACCTTTCTTTTGTAGTAAGGAATTAGAGTCCCAGTGTTGAACACCTAATCCTCTCTTCCCTTGAGGGCTGTAAAAATGGAGAGAGAGACCTGCACATCTTGCCATCTGCCACAAGGCATTTCTTAATCCAACTCCCTTCATCTAGATGAAATACTTTGTGCTTGGCAGAATGGTGTTATTTCAATGTAATGTATGTGTAACCTACTCCCTTGCCAAGGAAAGATTGCTTCTAACTAGATCACAGAAAAGACAGGTGTGAACCAAATGATAGACAACATTTCGCCAGACTTTGTGTGTTTGGTGTTAATGCCTGAATGCTAACAATTCCCCCTAGAACTCTCCCTTGAACTTGGTTACAAAACACTCTGTAATTAAATATCCCCTTTAAGATATCATGGCTAATTTAATGAGGGCCAACCCCACTATAACAGATTGTTAATCTGAGCTGGTAGAGTTTTTTTCTCTTTGTTGCATCTTCAAGAATTTTTATTACTGTAAGATAGTTGGTAATATTCTTTATTAGGCTGATACGTTTTGAATTGCTTTTCATTTTATTATCACATTAGTTCCTTCTTAATGGTTTTACTAGGACTCAGAAGTCTCTGGAGTTTTAATAACCTCTCTTTTTTTCTGTACTTATAGTCATGGAATTAATTTTATAAAATCACGATCCTTCACTGAATATGTCATTGGGCCAAAAGAATAAAATTCAATAAGAAGAATTAGACCTTGAAGAGTGACTGACGATTCATCATGCTACTGATTTTTCACTTTGAGACTTTCATTTGCTTTGCAGCAGCACAATTTCTGTTCTTTCCACCTCTAAGAATATACTTTAGGCTGAGGAATACTTTGGAATTCTTTGAACTGAGGATTATTAAACTTTTTTATATAAGCTGAATTTTTTAAATATAGGAAAGTACATATTCTTACTCATCTAAGAAAATACAACTCTTTTGTAGCTGGCTTTGTTTAAAGAACAGATAACAATAAGGTGAATTTTTAAAATCATCAAATTATCAATCAACCAGTTTTCTTAGGATCTTATTTTCATGTTTATCTTCCTTGATCCATAGTGGTAGCAATTCTCTCAAAAATAAATATCTACTAATTAAAGTCCTGAGATCAAAACTCCTTTATTAAATATAATTTAATTGGTGTGAATTAATATTAAAAGAACAAAATGTCACCTATAACATAGTCTGAAAGAACAAAAATTGTAAATCACTTTTTAACTTAGCCATTGCCAAGCAATGAGACTATCAAGTGGAAATCAGTAGTCAAATTTTCAAAGAGGAATAAATAATTAAGTGCCTGATAACAATATTAAGAATTGGGTGAATTAAAATCATAGTTACAAAAGATTCATTATCAAACGAAGGATTATTTCAGGTGATAAGAAACTTCTTTTACAGGTATATAACTGAATACATACATTGCTGCTACAGTCTCTCTGGCACCAGCAAATTAGAATATTATTACCCTTATGTCACAATTTCTCCTCTAAATCTAACACATAATGGATGTGCAATAAATGTCTACTGAATGAATGGTTTTGTGCAGTTAATGGGTTTAATCAGTTAAAAGAGAACTGAGCTTTTCAAACATAACTCCTTGGTCAGACAAAGCCGCAAATTTTGCAGCTTGTCAATTATTGATGGATTTGATCTTTTAACAATTCATTTGGGAAGCTGAATTATCTCTAAAGATATTTAAATAAGTAAACTATTAAGGTGATAACCAAACTAAGACACAAACTATTAATATGTTGGTTCTTGACACATATAAAACTAAACACAGATTTTAATTTCTTCAAAAGCATCAGGTATCCAAATAGCTTCACTGGTAAAAATCTACCAAATGTTTAAAGAAGAATTAACATCAATCCTTCACAAACTTTAAAATAAACTTCAAAAAAATTGGAAAGGAGGGAACACTTCTGAACTCATAAGCCCAGTATTACTGTGATTCCAAAAACAGGTAAAAAAGTCATAGGAAAAGAAAACTACTGACCAATATCCTTTATGAGTCTACGCATAAAAATCCTCAACAAAATACAAGAAAACTGAGTCCAGGAACATATAAAAAAAATATTTACCATAACCAAATGGGCTTTATCTTAGGAGTATGAGTTGATTCAATATATAAAAAACAATCAATGTATTAAAAATACACTGTACTACTTAAGAGAAGAAAAAAACACCATATGATCTTCTAACAGAAACGGAAAAAGTATTTGACAAAATTTAACACCCTTTTACAATAACGATGTCCCATAAATCAGGAATAGAAGATAACTTCCTCATCCACTCACCACTTCTATTCAACATTGTATAGGAAATTCTAGCCAAGGCAATTAGACAAGAAAAAGAAAAAAAGACTCCAGATTAGATGACATAACGTTATGTATAGGAAATCCTGAGAGATCCACAAATAAACTATTAGATCTAATAGATGTGTTTAGAAAGGTTACAGGACAAGGCATGGTGCCCTATGCCTATAATCCCAACACTTTGAGAGGTTGAGGTGAGAGGATCACTCAAGCCCAGGAGTTTGAGACCAGCCTGAGCAACATGGTAAGACCCTATCTCTATAAAAAATAAAATAAAATAACTAGTCACACAAGGTGGCACACGCCTATGGTCCCAGCTACTCAAGAGGCTGATGCAGAATTGCTTGAGCCAGGAGGTCAAGGTTCCAATGAGCTATGACTACACCACTGCACCCAAGCTAGGGTGACAGAGCAAGACCCTGTCTCAAAAAGAAAAAAGAAAGGTTACAGGATGCAAGATCAATATGCAAATTGCATCTCTATACACCAGCAATGAACGATCTGGAAAAGCAATTTGGAAAATAATTTACAATAGTATATATTTAGGAATAAACTTAACAAAAGAAGTGGAAGATTTGTATGGGAAGCCTACAAAACATTGTTGAAAGAAATTAAAGACCTAAGTAAAGGGAACAACATCCAATTTTTGTGAAGCATAAGACTTAATACTATGAAAATCTGGTTATGTTTTAAAAAGTGTATAGAAGGTTATAGCAGTTAAGCAAAGATGAAAATGAAAACTCTAAAAATCATACTTTGATTAAAGTCACATCTATTTTACTTAGGGAAATAATTTTTATCATCACTTTTCTTTATCATAGAGTGTTAACACAAAAATGTATCACATCAAAGCTACATTTCTGTAGGGCAATGGCTAATAAAATGACCCCAAATATCACTCTATCTTCCTCTTTTGTTAGGATAATTATAATAAAATATTCTGCAATTTTTTTTCATTAGCAGCTAAATCACAAGTATTCTTTTGTTATTATTATTATTATTATTATTATTTAGAGACAAGGTCTCACTCTGTCACCCAGGCTGGAATACAGTGGTGTGATCACGGGTCACTGCAACCTCAAACTCCTGAGCTCAAGCAATCCTCCCATCTGAGCCTCTCAAGTAGCTGGAACTACAGGCATACACCACCATGCCCAGGTAGATTTTTTTTAGCAATAGGATCCCACTATGCTCTCCAGACTGATCTTGAACTCCTGGCCTCAAGCGATCCTCGTGCCTCACCCTCCCAAGTAGGCGTTTATTCATTAATTTTGCGCCACTGACTCCCTTTTCTCAGCAAGTTTTACCATTTTACAAAATATTAATATTTGATCAGTGATGTTTAAATAAAGCGCCAGCCACAGTAATGACACTATTTTCAGAGACGGAGTTCTTTTCTTCAGTTTCTGCACCTTGCATCTATTGACTGACTCACTGAAAATTTTACACATTTTACAAATTTTACCATTTACACATACTGTCTGTGTATGTATGTGCCTAATTTTGTAAAAACAATTACAATCAGGTCAAGGAAATAACTGTAATCTAATGTTCATTAAAGTGAAGATCGATCTCAAAATATAATTATAAAAGTACAGCTTAATTCTCTCATAACCTCAGATGTACAAATTGACTACAAATCTAAAGACCAATCTTTTATTCTTCCCCAAAGGCAGTGAAAAAGACTAAAGAGGCTCCTGAAGGTTTAAAACACTGGAGGATAAAATTTCCATTATGTTTAATATCATTCTAGCAGTGATACTCTGGATCTGTGATAGATTTTAGAGGGCACTGAACGTATTGGATTTGAATTATAATGATCAAATCTATCAATCATTATCATAATAGATTTCTTAATTAAAACACATTATAACTATAATGGTTATAATACCTTTCTTATAAGAAGCCTGCTTTTCAGACTTCCATCACTAATCCATGTAAAAGGAGGGAGGCAACAGATACTATTAATAATATCTCCATTTCATATTTTAAATAGACAGAAATGAAATGCTTAGCACAATGTCACCTGACATCACAAACATTTTTAACACTAGGCCAAAGGAGAGAGAAAACAAGCATAACAAACTAAGCATTTGGCACCTGTCATTTAGGGACTAAAAATTTCTACTCTAGGTCAAAGATTTTACAGGTTGAATGTGAACATAACAGTACTAAAGTTCATACAAGTATCTCTGAACTGGAATGACATTTAGATGTTACTAATACAAATGGGATAAAAACACTGAAAATGCCCTCTTTGAAACAATAGCAATGAAAAATACAGCAGTTCCTACAAAGTTTAAGAAAGTTGTTCATAAGGGCCAGGCACAGTGGCTCAAGCATGTAATCCCAGCACTTTGGGAGGCTGAGGGAGTTCGAGACCAGCCTGACCAACATGGAGAAACCCCGTCTCTACTAAAAATACAAAATTAGCCAGGCATGGTGGCGCATGCTTGTAATTCCAGCTACTGGAGAGGCTGAGGCAGGAGAATCGCGTGAACCCAGGAGGCAGAGGTTGCGGTGAGCCAAGATCCCGCCATTGCACTCCAGCTTGGGCAACAAGAGCAAAACTCCGTCTCAAAAAAAAAAAAAAAAGAAAGAAAAAGAAAGTTGTTCATAAAGACTTGAAGTTGGCAACAGGAGAATTTTTTGAAAATAAAGGAGATAAAGAAAAAAATATTTAGAGCTAGCACATACCTACATATTTTCTCACCATCCCACTATCTAGCATACAGTCAGAGAGCTTTTTTCTGCAAATGGAAAATTTCACATGAATATAGGCAAATTGGAAACCTAATTCAGTGATGACACTATTTTCACACTTTTTAAATTTCTTATGGTATTGATAAAAGATATATATTTGTCTGGTAGTTGCCTTTATATATTTATAGTGCCTTTACACACCTTTCTTCTTACCATTTTACTATCTGCTTTTCAGTCTTCACTGGAATCCTTTGACTGCCACATATTAGCTGTATAATAAGCAATGGTCTTTTACCATTTTCCCCTTTCTCTCTTTTTTCCTATATCATGGTGACATTTTTTTCAACTTTGTCAGAACCTATGACTTTTGCATATTTTTTCTACTCACATTTCCACTCTAGTTTTAATCTTAATTCTACAATAAAATATATTAAATTGGCATCATTAGTCCTTTTGCTAAAATTTCCCTAGTTGTTTGTAAGTTTGATGAAGCTCCTCTTCTGGTAGACACGTCAGAAAAGGTTCCTGAGTACAGTATTCCCTGAGTTCCTGTACATGTAGAACTATTTTTATACAGCTTTGATTCTTAATGAACAGCTCAACTGAATGTAGAATTCTTGGCTTGCACTTTCTTTCCTTGAGTTTCTTAAAAATGTTGCTTCACTGTTACTTTGTTTGTACACTGCTATTGAGAAAGCTAATGCCAGCCTAATTTCCTTACCCTTCTAAGTAATATTGTCTTTTTGCATGGAGGCCCTGGGGAATTTTTTCTTTGTCTTTAAAATCTAAAAATTTTACTACACTATTATAGCCTAGAGTTGATTATTCCATTCCATTGTTCCAGGCATATCATGGGCCATTTCAATATTTAGATTAAGGTTTTCTCTTATTTCCAGAAAGTTTTCTTGAAATATAGTTTTAAGTATTAGACCTGTTTCATTGTTTTATTTTTCTTCTTCTTCAAATATGCTTTCATTTATTCTTCTTTCTTGAAATATAGTTTTAATATTAGTTCCGGTCCATGGGTGGTAGTAAATCTTCTTCTCTTTCTCCTCCTTTGCTTCCTCCTCCTCCTTCTTCCTCAGTATCATCTTCTTCATCTTCATTGTCTTCTTCTTCTCCTTCCCTCCCTCTTCCTCTTCTTCAGTTTTACAAATGTTAGATTTGCTTTGCCTCTCTTCCAATTCATTCACTTTCTATCTGACGCTTTTTACTCCTGTCTTTATCTCATTATATTCTTGGTTGTTTGCCTACCTGTTATATTCTTGGTTGTTTGCCTACCTTTATTTAATGGTCTTATTAAAATTTCCAGGTACAAATAGCTTCACTAATAAATTTTACCACTGCTTAAAGAAGGAATAATAGCATTTGTGTGTCTAATTCTACATAAACTCTATCAGAAAAGAGAAAATAAGGAAACACTCCTGAACTAAAATGGCCAGCATTGCCCTGATACCAAAACCTAAAAAAGACCTTTGCAAGAAAAGAAAACTAAAGATCACTATTCTTTATGAATATAGGATACAAAATTTATCACCAAAATATTAGAAAATGAAATCAAGTAATCATAAGAAAGATTATTCATTATATCCAAGTGCAATTTATCTTCGCAATACATGGCTAGTTCAACATTCAAAAGTCTATTAATGTCATTCATCATGTCAGCAGACTAAAAAAGAAAACATGCAATCATCTTGACAGAAACAGAAAAAGCATTTTGAGGAATGCTTTTAATCAAATGATTGACATCAATTCATTATTTGTAAAACCTCAGCAAACTAGGAATATAATAGAACTTTGTCAAGCTGATAAAGATCATGCTCAAAAAAACTACAGCTAAAGTTAACATAAAGCTTCATGGTGAAAGATTGAATACTTTCTTCCTAATACACGATAAAAGGCATGGATGTCTTCTTTCCCCGCTCTTATACAACATCAAAGTGAAGATCTTCACCACGGCAATAAGGCAAAAAAAAAAAAAAAAAAAAAAAAAAAGAAGGCGTACAGATTAGAGAGGAAGAAATAAAACTGTCCCAATTTGTAAACAAAATTGTGTATATTAAAAATCACAAAGACAGCTTGGCCAACATGGCGAAACCCCATCTCTACCAAAAAATACAAAAATTAGCTGGGCATGGTGGCACATGCCTGTAGTCCCAGATACTCGGGAGGCTGAGGTGGGAGAATCGCTTGAACCCAGGGACAGAGGTTCCAGTGAACTGAGACCACACCACTGTACTCCAGCCTGGGTGACAGAGTGAGACCTTGTCTCAAAAAAAAAAAAAAAAATCATAAAGAATCTACAAAGGAACTACTAGTAAGCTTAGCAAAGTCATGCTCAATATATAAAAATATATAAATATATAAGTATATAAAAATCAGTTGTAATTCTATGTACAAGGAATAAAACAATTCTAATTACAAACTGAAGTTTTTTAAATACCATTTACAATAGTACCCAAAACATAAAATACTTAGGTATAAATCCAAAAAAAGTGCAAGATTTATATACTGAAAACTATAAAACACTGATGAAAAATTTTAAAGACCTAAATAAATGTGAGATAGACCACGTTCATAGATTAGAAGACTCAATATTGTTCAGATAGCAATTCTCCCGGTTTAATAGATTTAATGTAAACCCTTTCAAAGTCCCAAATACTTTCTGGTAGAAGTTGATAAGAAATGCCAATGAAAAGACAAAGCAATTTCAATATCGAAAACAATGTTTAAAAGGAACAAAGTTGGAGATGCACCATCCAATTTCAAAATGTACTATAAAGCTGCAATACTTAAGACTGTATAGTATTAAATAAAGGATAGACACATAAATCAGTGGTACAAAATATACAGTTCCGAAGTAGACTCACATTTACTTTGGCCAATTAATTTTCAACACAGATGCAATGGCAATTCAACGGAGAAAGAATAGTCTTTTGAACAAATAGTACTGTACCAATTGGGTAGCCATATGCAAAGAAATAAACCTTAATCCATATCTTATCCCATAAAAACTAACCCAGAATGAATCATAGGCCTAAACCGTAAAACCTAAAACTATAAAACTTCTAAAATTACACATAGAAGAAAATCTTTGTGACTGTAGCAAAGATTTCTTAGATACGACACCAAAACACAATTCATAAAAGAAAAGACTGATTAAATTTGACTTCATCAAAATTAAAGACTTCTGCTTTGCAAAAGACACTATTAAGTGAATGAAAAGAAAAACTAGGCTGGGCACAGTGGCTCATACCTGTAATCCCAACACTTTGGGAGGCCGAGACAGGAGGGTTGCTTGAAGCTAGGAGTTCAACACCAGCCTAAGCAACAAAGCATGACCCTGGTCTCTATTTTAAAAAGAGAAAGGAAGAAGGGAAACAAAAAAAAAAAGAAAGAAAAGCCCACAAACTGGGAGAAAATATTGGCAAAACACATTGAGCCAAGCGTGGTGGCTCACATCTGTAATCCCAGCACTTTGGGAGACTGACGCGGGCAGATCACCTAAGGTCAGAAGTTTGAGACCAGCCTGGCCAACATGGTGAAACCCCATCTCTACTTAAAAAAAATTTATATATACAAAAATTATCTGGGCATGGTGGCACACACCTGTAGTCCCAGCTACTCGGGAGGCTGAGGCAGGAGAATTGCTTGAACCTGGGGGGTGGAGGTTGCAGTGAGCCAAGACTGGGCCACTGCACTCCAGCCTGGGTGACAGAGTGAGACTCCATCTCAAAAAAAAAAAGTCTGATAAAGGATTTGTATCCTAAATATATAAGGAATTATCAAAACTCAATAGTAAGTAAACGAACAACCCAATTTTTAAAATAGTCAAAAGATCTGAACAGACACTTCACCAAGGAAGATCCATAGGTAGCAAGCAAGCATATGAAAAGATGCTCCACAGAGTATGTCATTAGGAAAATGAAAAATGAGACCCTAATAAGAAACCAGTACATCAGGACAGAAGGGAGAAAACTAAGAAAACCAAGTGCTGATGAGGAAGCACAGCAACTGGAGCTGTCGTACACTGCAGGTGAGATTGCCAAATGGAACAGCACACTCAGGCAGCTTGGTGGGCCAGGCCCAGGGGCCCCTGCTCTGTGCAGCCTGGGGTGGAATTGTATGGTTTGGCTGTATCTTCACCCAAAATCTCATCTTGAAATGTAATCCCCATAATCCCCACATGTCAAAGGTGGGACCAGGCGGAGGTAATTGGATCATGGAGGCAGTTTCCCCTATGCTGTTCTTGTGATCATGAGTGAGTCTCACGAGATCTGATGGTCTTATAAGCGTCTGGTATTTCCCCTGCTTGTACTCTCTCTCTTCTGCCCTGTGAAGAAGGTGCCTGCTTCTATTTTGCTTTCTGCATGATTGTAAGTTTCCTGAGGCTGCCCCAGTAACGCAAAACTGTGAGTCAATTAAACCTCTTTACTTTATAAATTACCCAGTCTTGGGTATTCTTCATAGCAGTGAGAGTGCAGACTAATACAGGTAGCAGGCAAGCATATGAAAAGATGCTCCACATAGTATGTCATTAGAAAAACACAAAATGAAACCCTAATAAGAAACCAGTACATTAGGATAGAAGGAAGAAAACTAAGAAAACCAAGCGCTGATGAGAATGCAGAGCAACTGGACTGTCACACACTGTTGGTGAGAATGCCAAAGGGTACAGCACACTCAGGCAGCTTCTCATAACATTCACATACAACCCCACTTACTTACCCAACGTCAACAAAAACTCACGTTCATAACAGAAAACCTGTACGCAAATGTTTATAGTGACCTTATCCATAATCATCAAAATGGGGAAAATCCAAATGTTTCCCTACTGGTGAATGGATAAACAGACAGGTACATCCATACAATGGACCGCTACTCATTGATGAAAAGTAATTAACATGCAACAATATGGATGAAACTCAAATGCATTATACCAAGGGAAAGAAGCTGGACTCAAAGGGCAATCACATTCTGTGTGATTCCACTTATGCGGCCTTATAGAAAAGGCTAAACTAATTGCACTCCAGCCTGGGCAACAGAGTGAGACTCTGTCTCAAAAAAAAAAAAAAAAGAAAGAAATAAAAGGCTAAACTATAGGGACAGAAAACAGATCAGTGGTTACCAGGAAGTAGGAGTTAGAGACGAGCTGACTTAGGGGGCACAATGGAATTTTGTGGATAATGGAATTTGTCTACCTCTTGATTGTGGTGATAGTTATGTGACTGTATGAATTGTTAGAACTCACAGCACTGTAAACCAAAAAAGGTGAATTTGTCTCTATGTAAATCATACCTCAGTTTTTTTAAGTATATGACTTTCATATTCTTCTGTTAACACCTGGAAACATTAAACTAAAACATTCCTACATAGCACTTACATAACTTATCATTATCAACCTACACTCAGAAGATATTTCTATTTTCTCAGGACAGAATATTGGTTTTTCTGAACAAACGATTGAAAACTGAAAGCAAATACTATCAAGCCCACTTTGAAACTTTCTCCTGCTGTGGGGAAAAATTGCCTATAAATTGCAAATCACTGTCCTTCATCATTCCCCTTCACACACAAATTGAGCAGTAAAATCCTCTTTCTTGTTTTAATTTCAGCAATAGTTCATTTGCTTCTGGGAAAGAATTCATCATAATCAATCTGATTATTTTCATGTTTGCTAGCAGTTTGCATGATTTGACCAATAGTCATATGGATAATTTGAAATATGTTTGTTCATATCAGTCTAACAATAATCCATTATGTTCTGTAGCAAAGTAATTCTTTATGCCTGAAAAAAAAAAATCAGAATCATCTGTTTTAATGCAAACTCACCTGACACAGGATAAAATTCGTCTTAAATGGCACTGAGTAAAACCAACCTGAAGAAATAATCACCAAATGACTGAAGACACAAAACACCTACTCGTGAGCCAAACCATGAAGCAGAATAAAATGTAAATCACGTACTTATCTCATCTCAGAGAACAGCTGAGCACTCAAGCTTTTCTTCTTCTTTTTGCCTAAGTGAGTGGAAATGTTTTCCTTTCATTTACTGGAAACAAAAGTGATGCCACATCAGCAGATAGGCTACGAAATAAAACATTAAAAAAAAAAAGATGATGCCTAGTTAATGGAAACAAGGCACACGACAGGAGACTCCATTAGGGCATGAATTTTGCAATAAAAAACTGTATTGGGAGCCGGGCTCAGTGGCTCTCACCTGTAATCCCAGCACTTGGGGAGGCCGAGGCGGGCAGATCGCCTGGGATCAGGAGTTCAAGACCAACCCAACCAACATGGTGAAACCCCGTCTCTACTAAAAATACAAAAATTTGCCGGGCATGTTGGCAAGTGACTGTAGTCCCAGCTACTAGAGAAGCTGAGGTAGGCGGATCGCTTGAATCTAGGAAGTGGAGGTTTCAGTGAGCCGAGATCGCACCACTGCACTCCAGCTTGAGTGACAGAGTGAGACCCTGCCTCAAAAAAAAAAAACAATTGTATTGGGGAAAATGTACATGTGGAAAGAAAAGGCCTATGATCCTATCAAGGACAGAAAGAGCACACAGCACATGCCAGGACCCACGGGGTCCAAGATGCAATATAGATAGGACAGCCAAAAATACACCAAGTTAGCGGTGGAGGGAGCATGAGAGAAGTCAGCTCAGCCAACCAGTGAACAGGAAGAAAACCATTAAGTGGAAAAGAATTCATAAATTGTAAATAAAATCAGAAACATGATCAATGTGAAATAAAGAATTCTATTTTTGGAACACACCCTCCCCAAAAGACATGTTTTGACACATCATAAATGAAAAATGTTAGTAGAGTGAAATGTTCTCTCAATTAGTCATTATGCTAAGAGAAAATTTGTTATTAAAAATTCCATTTTGGACTAATTGGACTTTAGGAAGGTCCTTATAGACAAAAGAGAGAAACAGAAGCTAGAAGAGAGCATCACTGAGTAGATTATTAGCTAAATAAACAATCAACCAGGTGCGGTGGTCCCAGCACTTTGGGTGCCCAAGGCAGGTGGATCGCTTGAGCCCAGGAGTTTGAGACCACCCATGGGCAATATGGAAAAACCCTGTCTCTACAAAAAAAAAAAAAAAAAAAAAGCAAAACTTAGCCGGGTGTGGTGGCGTATGCCTATATAGTCCCACCTACTCAGGAGGCTGAGGTGAGAGGATCAATTGAGCCCAGGAGGTAGAGGCTGCAGGGAGCCATGAACACACCACTGCACTCCAGCTTGGGCAACAGAGGGAGAGCTGTCTCAAAAAAATAAATAAGTATATAAATAAAAAATCTCCTAAGAGTGCTTAACAACAGCACAAATCTGATACAATTTGTCGGCTAGGGAGGTCTCAGGTGTCTGATCACAGCCCTGTCTCAAAGTTTGTGTCTGTTCCTCTCAAACAACATAGACAAGAACACTGATCACATGGTTATTAAAGTCGCATGTGGCATAAAGTACTCAGAGATAACCAAATGATTGATTAAATTTACACCCCAAAAGCCCTAAATAACCCATAGCAATGGGGCAAATCTAACACGATGAAATTTAAAAAGGAATATATTTCAGGTTCCTCACTTGCTTCAAAAACATAAAACCCACTTGGGTCAAAAATAACTCCACTTAACGTGGTTTATATAAGATATATTATGTGGCATATGTGGCTTATCAGAAGCACAAACAGAAATTCCACAGAAGTTGAGAGTGTGATGTCCCAGCCTCATTCAAGAGCAAGGAAAGGGGTGGTCTGTTCTCCTCTGCACTAGGTGGGCCACACCAGCGGCTGTGTCTGGCTCTAGGAGCCACATTCCAGAAAGACGATTTACAACCTAGCTTCTGTTAAGGACAGTTACCAGCCTAGGGGACCATTGGGTTATGTAAAGAACTGTAAGAACAGAAGACTGGGGACACGAGAGACCTTCTGGCATTCCAAGTTCTAGCCCATAGTAAAGTGTTAGATTTGCTCAGCGTGGTCCCCAGAGGGTGAAATTAGGGCCAGTGGGTGGCAAATGCTAGACAGCCAGGTTTTAGCCAGGTATAGGAAGACACTTCCAAGCTAGGTGTGGTCCCTGTAATCCCAGCACTTTGGGAGGCCGAGGTGGAAGGATCACGTGAGCCCAGGAGTTCAAGGCCAGCTTAGGCAACATAGTGAAACCCCATCTCTATAAAAACTTTTTTTTTTAAATTAACCAGATATGGTGGTGCGTTCCTGTAGTTCCCAGCTACTCAGGAGGCTGAGGCAGGAGGATCTCTTGAGCCCAGGAGGTCAAGGCTGCAGTGATTGCACCAATGCTCTCCAGCCTGGGCAACAGAGCAAGACCCTTTCTCCAAAAAAATAAAAAAGAAAAGAGAAAAGAGGACGACATTTCTGACAGGGGTGCCTCAAGGTAAAACAGGCTGCCGTAAGAATTGGGAGCAAATTGCCAGTTTCTGGACACATTTCTGCAGAGGCTCCAAAACCACAAAAGAAATATTTTAGATGAGGGCTGATGGTCATTTGGGGTTAGGAACCTAAAGGTTCCTCTAGGTGCTGTTTGTGTGTGTCATTTGCTCTTCACCCAATATGTCCACTTTCAGACAATACAAAAAGCAAAAGAGAACGTGTCTTGGCTTTTATCTTGCTGTCAAAATCTGGTGCGGGGCATAACCAGTTCTAAAAGGTAGCATTAAACTTTCAGAGAAGGCAAGAAAGGACAATGGGGGCTAGGGGACAGGGAGGGCCACTGGAGACCAGACATCACCCACCATGGCCAGGGGATGGGAAGGACCCACCGAGAAGGGGGGTTCTGCCCAAGGCTGCTCCCTCACTCCTCCACGCTGAGTCTGAGGCCTTTCCCTGCCCACCCGCTGTCTGCCTCTTGCTAACTTTTTTGGTTCTTTAAGCTGCTGGCCTAAATCTCACAAATAGTGTGTTTCTGTCTTTTTATTTTATTATAAAAACATAACAGAAAAAAAAGGGAAAAGACTAGTTTAAAAAAAATCAAATCATGAACTATTTGCCCAGTGCAAGTCATCTGAAATGCCCTTCTCCATCTTCGGGAAAGCTTCGCTCTGAATGCTAGTGGATTTGCCCTGAACTACCCAAGCTCTGATTTCCGGAGCATTATTTACTACTGTACATGGTCGCGACAGTTCAGTCTATTTCAGTCCCACAGCAACACTGAGTATTTCTCTCTTCCATACTTGCTTTAAAAAGTTGCAACTCACATGTGAATCAAAGCTAATCTTCTATGTAAATGTGCAAGCCTTCAAAACTTTTTATTGAAAAGTCATAAACACAGTAAAAAATGCAGAAAATATTTTAAAATATATAATGAAGAAGAAGTCTTCCTCTCAGGTCCCAATCCCCATCCACCTTCCCCAAAGGCACAAGTGATGACCAATTTCTTGTATTAATCTATGCATAGATTATTTCTTTATTTATTTTTGTTTGTTTTTTTTGAGATGGAGTTTTGCTCTTTCACCCAGGCTGGAGTGCAGTGGCATGATCTTGGCTCACTGCAACCTCTGCCCCCCGGGTTCAAGCAATTCTCCTCCCTCAGCCTCCTGAGTATCTGGGATTACAGGCGCTTGCCACCACACCTGGCTAATTTTTGTATTTTTAGTAGAGATGGGGTTTCACCATGTTGGCCGGGCTGGTCTTGAACTCCTGACCTCAGGAGATCCGCCCACCTCAGCCTCCCAAAGTGCTAGGATTACAGGCGTGAGCCACCGCGCCCAGCCTGCACAGATTATTTCTAACATGATATGCAAGTGCATGTGTATGCTCACACACACACATATATGTGTGCATGCATCAACACGTGAACACTCTTTTTCACATAAATAGAAGCAACTCTCACAATGTTCTGCCCTTGTTTTTGCACTCAAGGTGTGCTACACTTGTCACTATAACACCAATTAACTCACACACCACTGGCATGCAGAGGAATGATGTCAGAGTAACCTGCAAGTTGCGTTGGTTCACAGGCAATTTTTTCTAGGCAAGGGGAGCTTAGCTTTGAATTACGAGTGTAGAATAAGAACCTTCAGCAAGAAAGGAAATGGCTCTCCATATGAAGATCTTTCAGTAGTGTCTTAAGAAAATGTAAAAGGAGTGCCTGCACGGCCCCAGAGAGGGGCACCCCACCTTGCCAGTTCCTACCTTGTCGGTCCTGGGCTTGCAATAAGGTGTAAATCCTTCAGTGCTCATGTGCCTGTCATCCCCAAAGCAGCATCCCCACGCCATTATTACTATTAATAGTATCATCATCCCCTCAAGCAGTTTCAGCTCCACTGAGCTACCTGCCCGGACTGCCCAAGTTACCTCCCTGTGTACCAGGATTGCTTCTGTCAGTGTTCAGGTTTGGAAGTTGCACATGTCTCAAGAGGGGTCCCAATAACGCTGCCTTTTCTGTAGAGCTGGTTATGTTTAATGTGTGCCGGGCAGAGTGCATGTGATAGCAGAGAAGGCTGTATCTTGGGAATCCCATGTGAACTGGTGCAGGTCACTGGACAGTCTTCCTCACAGCTGCTCCATACACTAGCTGTGTACTTCACTAGTCTCCAACCAATGCCCGTCTAGGCTGCATGCAGTGACTTACTAATTAAATGATGCTGTAATTAACCTGGAAAGACATGGTTATGAACTGAATTGTGTTCCCCTCCAGAATTCATATGCTGAAGTCTTAACTCCCAGGACCTCAGATCGTGGCTGTATTTGGAGACAAAGTCTTTAAAGAGGTAACTACGGGGCCGGGCACAGTGGCTCACGCCTGTAATCCCAGCACTTTGGGAGGCCAAAGCGGGTGGATCATCTGAGGTCAGGAGTTCCAGACCAGCCTGGCCAACATGGTGAAACCCTGTCTCTACTAAAAATACAAAAAACTTAGCCAGGCACGGTGGCAGGTACCTGTAATCCCAGCTACTCGGGAGGCTGAGGCACGAGAATTGCTTGAACCTGGGAGGTGGAGGTTATAGTGAGCCGACATTGTGCCACTGCACTCCAGCCTGGGTGACAGACTGAGACTCTGTCCCACAAAAAATAAAAATAAAATAATAAAGATATAATTAATATAATATATTAAATATAATAAAATAAAAATAGCAATATGTAATCTAACACTTAAATCAAAGATCAGTGGGCATGTGGGAAAAAAAAAAAAGCCATGGGATAAAATCACAAAGATTAAGTGCCTGGGATGAGGCATAGGAAAGCAGAAAGGGAAAATCCCCTGCAAGGTGGCAGCTTTACCTGCCTCACGATCCTGCTAACTGCTAGCTGTGCTTTACCTGGATTTAGCCTAATGCATCACGTCACCCCGTCGCTCCTTTAACTCTCACAGTCCATGCGAGAAACACTACAAAGCCACTTCACAGCAAACCCTACCTTACCGTGCACTTTCATGTACCACCCAGTGTGGGATGCACATGCATTTTGTGAAATTATTCTGACATTTGGATTCTTTTAAAAAATAATTGTGCGGCCCACTTTTTCATCCCACGATATTAGAGAAGAAAGCTAACTTGATTCCTTCTTTCCAGCTTTGAATTAAACCTAGTGATCAATGAATTATTGTTTTATCAATCTTTCCTGGATAATGTTCACACCATAATATTAAATTAGAAAAAGACATCTAATTTCCCTCACCTATAAAAGTTATATGATCTTTCTGCTCATGTTCAATTTGCATCAGTCCATTGAGTCACAAGTGTTCCAACTCCAACACAATCGTGACGTGTCGTTATTACAGAAGCAGCTCATTCTGAAGGAACAAGGTGTTCTGCCTAAGAGGAGTCCCAGATAACTCAAGTTTGCTATTGGAGCACAGGAACTTGATTGTGTTATTTAAATGCAGCTATCCTTACATTTATATCAATGTACATTTTTCTATTTAAACATATAGCCCGCATTGTCTTTGGGAGATAATAAGTTCCTTGTGTTTAATAATTGCCATGGCAAGTGGTATTTCCATTCATCATAAAATCACTTATTTCATAGTGGAGTTCTTCCAGGAACATGACACTCGATGTAATCAGATGAGGAGACAAGCCGAGACGTTCTGAGGTTCAGTGGCAGCTCTGCTCCTGCTGAACTCAGGGCCAAGGCCCCACTGGCCAGGGGATGGAGTGAGCCCCTGGCTTAGTCTTATGCCTCAGGACGGTGGCCTGCTCCCTGGACTCAGAGAAAAGCCTGACTGTTATTCTCCCATCTCTCTCACAGCCATTGCCATTCCTCTGGCCTCAATCTCATGACCTTAATTCTATGTGTTCAATCTTTCTGTTCCCTAAATTCTCAACATGGAAGCTGACATCTCATCTCTTCCTGCCAGCCACTTTGCTGGCCAGCCTACAGCCTGGCCTGCTTTGGCTCAGAGGCCCAACACTGATCCCATCAGTTGGGGAAGGGCTGGAAAGGGGCAAGGTTTGGTCCTCATAAGGCTGCTCCCTTGGCAATGAAGCAGTGTCACTTAAAAGAGGATAAGACACCACTAGTGACATATTCCCACCAGGGGCTTCAAGAACAGTCCCTCAGTTCTAATTGGCATGGAGTAAGCATCACTGTGTTAGCTCCAGCTAAACCCTCTGGGATCTGACAGACGCCAACTTTCTCTTCTGAGCATCCACACTTCCTGGCTGGATTCTGATACAGTTTACCTTCATCCATCACCTTTGCCAATATTTTGGCTACTTTGTTAGGCAATACCAGAGTGAAAAATTGCCACAGCGCCCTAATGTCTGGGGGGATGCTAGGTTTAGATGGAGTTACGTGACACACTTTTATTGCCAAAGGCTGCTTTAGTGCCTCACAGATCTTCCGCGGAGGTCTGCCGAAAGGATTCAGGTGGCCCTGCTCAGACTGGAAAACTCCTCATCGTTCAGGGTAATTTTAGGACTCCATGCCTGCCTGTGGATGGATCCCTTCTACAACATCCCCACCAAGTGGCTGTCCAGCCTCCGCTCTGCATCTCCAGGCAGAAGGAACTACACCCACAGGCAACGCATTCTAACTTTTAATGACTTTGTTAAGACGGTACTTTGTACTGAGCTTAAATTTCATATCCCTTCAACATCCACCCAATGACCCTACTTTGCCCCCCAAAGCCAATCAGAACAGGTTTACTTCCAGGGGAGCAACTGAGTGTAATAAAGACCTGGTGCTCCTGTGTCTGGCTGTGATTCTGAGCAAGTTAACTACCCTTGATTTAAAAAAAAAAAGGAAGACAGGGCTATGTCCCTGCGGAGGAGAAGGGTATACAGTGCATGGAAACCCCTGGCACACAGTCGTGTCCACTACCTTCCTTTCATCTGCATGGCAGCCCTGCAGATATGTGAAAATATCTGCCTCCAAACATCCTCTCGTCCAGAGTAAACATTCACAGCCTCTTTAATTGTGCCGCCTAGGATATGTTTTCAAGGCATTGACCATCCGGAATGTATTTCTGTTGATCAGTGTGGCTTCTGTTCCTTTTTTCTATTTCTAGTTTTTTATGTCATCCATTCTAAACCATTATTAGTTTATGGACAGGCCATACCAAAGGCATCCCCCATTGTGAACCAGGAAGGGGAGGCTCAGAGGAGACCCCACCCAAGAAGACCCCCCCATGGAGGGATGGTGCCAAGTCTACCCCCAGTTGCCACCCACAGGGACAGTGGAACTTCTGGAGCCTGTTTAGCCAACCAGCTGGACTGTCATGCTAGAGGTATGGTTGGCCTCTTCCCGGCCATCCCACTGGAGAATCCTTTGGAAGTATGGCTCCCTCCACTTCCCATCCTAATGAGGGCTAAGGAGATGTTGACTAGAGCTGGGAGAAGTGTGGATAGTGCCAGTGCTCAGGACTGGGCGTGGCTCTTCTAAGTTACCAGCTCCTATACTTGGTAACCCTATCTGCCAAGAATGGCAGTCTGAAAGTGACCTTGGTTTCCCTAATTCCTTTTCTAATCCTGAGAAATAGTCTCCTCGCCTATAAAGCTCCCTGTGGTATGAGGACATGGCTGAGGCTATGCTGTGGCTTGCCCATACCCCTAAGAACAGGAAGACCTCCTGGGGTGACTGGTGTTCCTCAGGAGCCATCTGATCACCTGGGAAGTCTGGTCCAAATGCACGGCCCTCTTGACTTGGTAGAGTTCCCCCAGACACCACTCCTAGGAACTACTCTGTGAGTGGGGCTCCCTCCCCCGGGAAGTCTCCATCCTTCACATGCTCCAGACGCACCTTCCAGTCCTCTAGTCCTCTCTGGGTGGAGACAGTGGCCTCTCCATGCCTGCACTGCACACTGTCGGCTCCCCTTGCCCCAGGTCAGCCTTACAATCCTCCTTCCTCCTTCAGGATGATGTAGGGTGCAAATAACACAACATTCATGTAAAAGCAGCATAAAACATGGGCTTATTACTTCACATAACAAGACGTCTTGCAGTACGAGGCTCAGGGTCAATGCAGCAGCTCAGCAGCATACCCAAGACCCAGGGTCGTTCCGTCTGTCTGCTCCACCAGCCTCGGTATCTTGGCTTCCATCTTCACTTTTCCCCGCATGGTTACAGAGTGGCTGCTAAAGCTCCAGGCATTACCGTCCTACATAGCATGTCCAAAAACAGGAAGGATGCTTGCTCCTCATGTAACACCTTCTATTAGCAACAAAAGCCTTTCCCAAAGCTCCGAGCAGACTTCCCCTCAAATCTCATTGGCAGGAACCAGGTCACATGCCCACAGCCCACCCTAACACCCATGGCAAAGGGGAATGGAATTGGGTAATTGATAGGGCCTCTCTTCACTGAGCACATTGATCCTGACACCTGAGAAACGGAGGGCTCTGCTGGCAAGACAAAGAGGCGGGGGTAGGAGGCAGGCAGTGTCTGCACACTGCCTTCCCAGCCCCCTAGTGTCCCTGCTCCAGGACAGGCGAGCTGGGTCAGAGGCCTACAGATGTTACTGCACAGCCAGGTGAGAACAGCTCCATGGTCCAGATGACTTCAGGCATCTTAATGAAAGGCTGGTCACACTAAGGCACATAGGGCCCCAAGGGTACTTCTTGTTCTTCTGTTTGTTGACTTAAGCAGACTCCTGAAGTATGCACTGCAATGACTACAGTTTTTCCCAGAATGTGCTCAGCCAGTGATAAGCTATGAAATAAATGCAACAGCACAAGCTCAGAAGACTCCTGGACTTCAGAACACTTATTTCTTCACAGCCAGGTCTTTAACACCTTTGGCCACCAGAGAAAGTACTTTGGGAGGGGAATGGAATCCAGCTGCATGGCTTAAATGTCAAAAATCTTGCATTTCTTCTATTCTGTTGAGCTGTAATGTATGTTGTGCATACCATCTCCCAGCAATGATGAACACAGTGTATCTGGAAGAAAGTCTCATTTCTTAACTCTTTTGAACTTGCTCTCTCCTGCACTTAATGGAGCTAAGCATCTGAGGGAGTCTGAACACCAGAACTAACCGAGGGTCTGAGGAGCCACCTGAGACACCTGGGGAACACAGGGTTGCATTCCTGGGGGTCATGCTTTTGGAGGAAGATGCATTCAGATGGGAGATTGCTTAAGTCATCAGCCCAAGTGTTCATGGAAACCCCCATGTCTGTTTATCACAGGTCCTGTTAGGCTACATCACCCCTAAACTATACTTCTTTTGTTTTCAATCTTATCGAGTTAGCATTGGCCCCTGATTTCAATCTGTACCTGCATTTATAAATCCTATTTTTGACAGCCAACACAGTAGCTCTCATTCCCTGATTCATGTCACGTACAAATTTGATCGATGTCCTTAACCTAATAACTGATAAAAATTTAAATCAGAGAAGCCACACTAACCTCTGCAGGAAAATCCTTACTGTACAGTTTACTTAACAAGCCACAATTTCAAAAAGCAATTAAAGATCCTGCAGACTCCAAATCACAACACTTCTATGAAACAGCCCGTTTGAGGTTGAGAGACAAGCATCATCTAATTCTTGTGAAACTAAATGCTAAGTTATTAATAACTTAATTAAAAACAAAAATGCTAAGTTATTAATAACTCTGCACATAGCTTGATGCCTGTATTAGTCTGTTGCCACGCTGCTGATAAAGATATACCTGAGACTGGCCAATTTACAAAATAAAGGGGTTTAACTGGACTTACAGTTCCACATGGCTGGGGAAGCCTCACAATCATAGCGGAAGGCAAGGAGGGGCAAGTCACATCTTACGTGCATGGCGGCAGGCAGAAAGAGCTTGTGCAGGAAACTCCCCCATAAAATAACCATCAGATCTCGTGAGACTTACTATCATAAGAACAGCATGGGAAAGACCTGCCCCCATAATTCAATTACCTCCCACTGGGTCCCTCCCACAACACATGGGAATTCAAGATGAGATTTGGGTGGGGACACAGCCAAACCATAGCATTCCATCCCTGGCCCCTCCCAAATCTCATGTCCTCACATTTCAAAACCAATCATACCTTCCCAACAGTCCTCCACAGTCTTATCTCATTTCAGCATTAACTCAAAAGTCCACAGTCCAAAGTCTCATCCAAGACAAGGCAATCCCTTCCACCTATGAGCCTGTAAAATCAAAAGCAAGTTAGTTACTTTCTAGATAAAATGGGGGTACAGGCATTGGATAAATACAGCCATTCCAAATGGGAGATATGGGCCAAAACAAAGGGGCTACAGGCCCCATGCAAGTCCAAAATCCAGCACAGCGGCAAATCTTAAAGCTCCAAAATGATCTCCTTTGACTCCATGTCTCACATCCTGGTCACACTGATGCAAAAGGTGGGTTCCCATGGTCTTGGGCAGCTCCACCCCGGTGGCTTTGCAGGGTATAGCCTCCCTCCTGGCTGCTTTCATTGGCTGGTGTTGAGTGTCTGTGGCTTTTCCAGGTGCACAGGGCAAGCTGTCAGTGGATCTACCATTCTGGGGTAGGCCCTCTTCTCACAGCTCCACTAGGTGGTGCCCCAGTAAGGACTCTGTGTGGGGGCTCTAACCCCACATTTCCCTTCCGCACTGCCCTAGCAGGCCTCACTGCCCATGAGGGCCCCGTCCCTGAAGCAAACTTTTGCCTGGGCATCCAGGCATTTCCATACATCTTCTGAAATCTAGGCGGAGGTTCCCAAACCTCAATTCTTGACTTCTGTGCACCCAGAGGCTCAACACCACACGGAAGCTGCCAAAACTTGGGGCTTCCACCCTCTGAAGCAATAGCCCGAGCTGTACCTTGGCCCGTTTTAGTCATGACTGGAATGGCTGGGACACAGGGCACCAAGCCCCTAGACTGCACACAGCACAGTGACCCTGGGGATGGACCACAAAAACATTTTCTCACAGGCCTCCAGGCTTGTGATGGGAGGGGCTGCCATGAAGACTCTGACATGCCCTGGAGACATTTTCCCCATCGTCTTGGGGATTGACATTCAGCTCCTTGTTACTTATGCAAATTTCTGCATTCAGCTTCAATTTCCCCTCAGAAAATATGTTTTTCTTTTCTATTACATTGTCAGGCTGCGAACTTTCCAAACTTTTATGCTCTGCTTCCCTTATAAAACTGAATGCCTTTAACAGCACCCAAGTCACCTCTTGAATGCTTTGCTGCTTAGAAATTTCTTCTGCCAGATACCCTCAATCATCTCTCTCAAGTTCAAAGTCCCACAAATCTCTAGGGCAGAGGCAAAATGTCACCAGTCTCTTTGCTAAAACATAACAAGAGTCACCTTTGCTCCAGTTCCCAACAAGTTCCTCATCTCCATCTGAGACCACCTCAGCCTGGACCTTATTGTCCATATCGCTATCAGGCTTTTGGTCAAAGCCATTCAACAAGTCTCAAGGAAGTTCCAAACTTTCCCACATTTTCCTGTCTTCTTCTGAGCCCTTCAAACTGTTCCAACCTCTGCCTGTTATCCAGTTCCAAAGTTGCTTCCACATTTTCGGGCATCTTTTCAGCAACATACCAATTTACTGTATTAGTCTGTTTTCACGCTGCTGATAAAGACATACCTGAGGCTGGGCGATTTACAAAAGAAAGAGCTTTAATTGGACTTACAGTTCCATGTGGCTGGAATATCTTACGTGAATGGTAGTAGGCAAAAAGAGCTTGTGCAGGAAAACTCCCCCCTAAAATAACCATCAGATCTCATTAAACTTACTCACTATCATGAGAACAGCACAGGAAAGACCTGCCCCCATAATTCAATCACCTCCCACCAGGTCCTTCCCACAACACGTGGGAATTCAAGATGAGATTTGGGTAGGGACACAGCCAAACCATATCAATGCCTCTATAAACCCACCAGGAACACTTCTAGAAAATGTTGAACACCTCCGAGGCCCCACAGAACCCTCCTCTACCCACATCTTCATGGCAAGGAGCTACCATGGATCCCCCTCCGAGTGTGCCCAGACCAGTTACAGGACTGGTTACAGTGGAAGGCAACTGAGAGGCATAGAGCAAGAGCTGCCCTCCCACTAAAGTCACACACCACAGAAAGAACTCATTCTTCATAAGAAGACTGGAGCTACTGAAAAAGGGACAGACACTAGCTGCCAAAAACCTGGCTGAAGTCCACAACATCACATCCCCTCATCTCAGACTCACACAGGTGCTCTCTACACCATCACACTGTTTACTTCAGAGAACTCCACACACACTAAGATTCCCTTGCTTATTTGTTTGTCTCTCCTTTCCAGAATAGGAATTCCATGAGGCCAGGGGCTTTGCATGTCTATTTACCGCAGAATCTCAGAGCTTCTTCTACAGTAGATACTGAATACATATTTGTTGAATGAATGAATGTGTCCCCAGATGTTTCTCATTTAAATGAAAATGATCAAACTGACCAATTTTTATAAGTTTAGTTAAAGATGTGACCATCTTACTTCATTACATCTCCATTAAGACAGTTTGGTATTTCAGTTACAGGTGTATGACTGGGAGTTCAATTCTTTTCTGTGATAAGTACGAATGACTCAAGCTACCATTCAATATTCACTTTACAGATATATGAAGCTTGTCTACTCACGTTCAAAGGTTTTCCTTAATTCGTCTTTTATCTAAATCAGTCAAGTCTCTTCTCATAAATGAGAAATATTAAATGAGTGGCAGCTCTCAAGAAATAAAAAAGTGACTAGCAGAAATAATCTGCAACTTCTGTGAATAAGATTTTTCTCAGTGTCTAAAATAACAAACACCATTTATGGACCAAAGACTAGGTGCCATGAGTTTTAGAAATTGGTCCCCACTCCACTGTTATGTGTACCATTATCCCAGTGGCAGAGATACACAGAAAGCCAAGGCTCAGAGGCAGTAAGTCATGGGTCCGAGGCCTCTTGCTGATGACAAAACTGGAATCTGAACCCACGTCAGGCTTACATTTACACATACATGTATACAAATGTACACATATACAGCTTAGATTCCATAAAATACAGTAATCTAGTGGTGGAACAAATTATTTCTAATAAATGTTATAAAATATAAACGCCTCTCTGAATCCTTTAGAAAATTAATTTTGCCATGAAGTACAAAAAGGAAAGAGATACAACTTAAGTATGAACAAAGTTATAGGATACTACAAACAGTTGGTAATATATACTGTCTTTAAAAATCATTTCTCCTTATCGAGGCATTAAGCCATATTGTTTATAATGTGAAGAGCTATTGGCATCTTATTTTCCTACCCATAACCATGACCATCACTTATTCATCTTTTCATGCATCCAGGTGCATGGAAAGGCAGTAAGTACAATTTTTAAGAAAATAGCATCAAAAGCAGATTTTAAATCTACCTGTTTTTCTTCGTTTGTTTTCTCCAACAGTTAAGGAAAGTAATAGTAATTTCTCATTCCAAACCAAAGACAATTATGCTCCTTTGCTAAGGACACAGCTGTAAGTCTCTACAAGATCAGGGAAGACTACAATATTTCAGAAAAACACTCCCAGTCAAGTTTATGCTTGAATGGGCAGCTGGAAATGCATCGATGTACAGGGCCTCTTTTCACGGCCTCTAAAAGTGCTTGCATCATATGCCCACACTGTGTCTATCCCCTCCCCCGTGACGTGGTCTGGAGTCCAATGTGGGAAAGGGAACCGGCAAGCAATAACTCGTGCATCATCCTCAAGTTCACGTTCAAGTTTCTTCTCCAACTGCAGCATCTGTGGAGAGTAACAGCTATTATTTTAGTGAGCAGTGAGTCAGAGGAAATGATCCCAAAATTTCCTGTTTTTAAGAGTCCCTGAAAATACCTGAGCAAAAATTACTACTTGTTAAAAAGAGCACTCTGGGACACAAACACATAAACAAACAATCCATTGAAATACAGAAGATACACTGACAGCAGTTGTAAGAACACCTTCTAGTATTAATTATAAAATATGCCATTTTTAGCAGATGTCTATCATAGATTTATAGTTTTCTAAATAAAATCAGGATGTGGCAGTAATTTTAATAAGAAGCAGTTTTAAATAACGCACTTCAACACTTCAATATACCTAGTCTCATATATTTAAGACATTATTTTTCCACCATTTTTTAAGAGAGAGGGGTCTTGTTATGTTGCCCAGGCTGGTCTCAAACTCCTGGGCTCAAGCAATCTGCCCACCTCGGCCTCCCAAAGTGCTGGGATGACAGGCGTGAGCCACTGCGCCCAGCCACATTTTTGCACATTTTTAACATCTCTGAAATCAGGACACATCACACAACACTAATTGTCTTAGAATTATAATTAGCAATTTTTTTGTTTCTCAATAGCAATGGTGCATCCTAAAATCAAGATCTACAGTCAATGAAATGTGGTATAGTTAGACTATGAAAAAATATGCACAATTCTACCAACTGGAAATATCATGAAATATTTCATAATTTTTAAAAATGTATCCATAATATACTGATAATGAATTTCTTGATAGCCTAACTTATACCACCGTTGTACCATTTTATTATCAATCTACCAATAAAGAGTTTTTATTATTTGCTAGAAGTATTGATATTTTAATTACATCAGCAAATTAACAACTACTTAAAAACTTATCTGCAGATCCTAAAAATATATTACCACCTTCACCACCTTCACATCCTAAAAATAATTTTTTTCTACTTTCTTCTTTTAACTTGCTATTTTGGGATAATTTCAAACTTCCAGAAAAGTTGCAATAACAGAACAAAGAACTCCTGTATACCTATACCCAGGTTCAAATAATTTTTTTTTTTTTGAGACAAGATTTATCGCCCAGGCTGGACTGCATTGGTGTGATCTTGGCTCAATGCAACCTCCGCCTCCTAGACTCAAATCATCCTCCCACCTCAACCTCCTAATTTTGTAGAGATGGGGTTTTACCATGTTGCCCGGGCTGGTCCTGAACTCATGAGCTCAAGCCATCTGCCCACCTCAGCCTCTCAAAGTGTTGGGACTACAGGCGTGAGCCACTGCAGCTGGCCTACAGGTTTACCGATTTTCAACATTTTGTCACATTTGTTCTCTTCCTCTCTTTGAACATTTTTTTCCTAAACCATTGCAGAAAAGGTTGCATACAATATGCTCCTTTACTTCCTTAATACTTCAGTGTGTATTTTCTAAGAAAAATATTTTCATACATAATCCCAGCACAGTTATATTCAGGAAATTTAACATTGTATTCCAATATAATAATTCCAAATAACACTGCGATTCTGTCATTGCCCCAATAATGTTCTGTATAACATTTCCCAAGGGTATGATCCAGTCCAGGACCATTTTTGCATTTAGCCATAACATTCCTTTGGTCTCCTTAGACGGAAAACAGTTGCTCAGTCTTTCTTTGGTTTTCGTGACAATAACATTCTTCAGTTATCGGACCGAGTGGCCCTGGCGGTGGGTCCTCTGATGTGTGCTCATGAGCAGTGCGGTGTGTGGTCTTTGGCAACACCCCACCTGTGAAGCTGTGAACTTACCAGGGCTCCACAGACACCCAGGAGGCCCTTCTGCTCTTGATGATGGCAGTAACCACACAGTGAAGGTGGGATCCGGTGTCTCCATTGTGCAGTTGCTATTTTTGCTTTTATAATGAGTAGTTTGTGGGGAGATGCTTTGGGATGATGTAAATCCTGTTACTCATCAGAGAGTCCCTACACTTGAAATAGCACTCACGGATGATTCTGGCCTGAATCAATCTGCTAATTCTGTCCTTTCTTCTAGATGTACAGTTGGCACTCTACCGTAAGGAACAGCTTTCCCCTCACCTGCTCTGCCTCTCTCTGTCTCCTTATCTACCGATCTGCTATAAGGACAAACACCTATATTCTTATTTCATTTGATGGGTTATAATCCATTACTGTCCTTGTGTATTCGAATGCTCGAATTCTCCTAATTTGGCCACTGGGAGGCTCTTGCCGCTGGCTTCTCTGTCCTTTGGACATGCTGTTATCAAATACTGTGAGCACTCCTTACATTCAGGCTTAACAAAATGTTCCTGGCTTTTGTATCTTCCCTTCCACAGTCCTGATTCAGCCTTTTTCTCAAAGATTCCTGGTTCCTCTTAGTGAGAAGTGATATTTAGAAAACAAGATCTAAGCAAAAATTATTCCTCTAAAAAGTAACCAAGATGAAATTGATAGGGCTTCTATGATGGTTTTATTCCTGGCCTATATCTTATAACCAAGTGCTCAGAAAAACTTCTACATGACCTACAGCTGGAATGAACTAAATTCTAATTCTTCATTAGAATCAATGCGAAGATAACACAGAATAAATTCTATTAAGGATGGAGGAATTTCTATTCTTTTAACAGCCAGTATAGATTAAAAAAAAAAAGTTTTGTTCCTTGAGGGAAAAATTAAATAAGCAAAGAATGAAACAATATGTGTTTTTCCAAAATATCAGAGATTTCTTATGGTAATTTTGTTCATAAAAAGGATAATTATAAACTTATTCATGATGCTATTATTCTTTTCTCTTTTATAGTTTCTTTTATTTCCAAATGATTGTCATATGCTAAGTCAAGATAAACCTAAAAATGAAAGGAGCTATTTCCATCATAAGAAATTAACTGACTAAATTACACATAAATATGCAATGAATCTGGTGCTTGATATCATACGCAAAGAGAAGCCGTGATGTGTCATGTCTGCGTAAAGGAATTCAAAATTATTCATACAATTATAGGTTTCAAAGTGGCATGAACTCATCCTATTCTAATTACATCTACAAAACTTTAAACATAGTTCTGAAAGGTATAAGATAACCCAGCCCTGCCACACACACACATCCCGCCCCCCAGGAACCCCGGTTTCACTGGGCCGCCAGTGTAACTCACTCCTGGCACTTCCTCCTCCCCAGGCTCCCCTCTCAAGTCCTACTGGTTGCCCCTAATTTCCTAGACCTCTAATGCCAGGGTCCAGAGCTCATGCCTTCAACAGCTCATCCTCGTGCTCCCCATGGAGTCTCAGCTACTCCCAGGCTCCATCTGTGCGGATGCCCAACAAACCTACATCTCCAGCCCACCCTCTGGCCCGAACCCCAGACTCCTTCTCACCCACCACTGCCAGCCTGATGTCATGTACACCCAAACTTCACATGCCCATGCTGACTTTCCCAGCCAGCTCCGCCTGCACCTTCCCCAGCATAGTTCAAAGCAACTCCAAGCGTGTGGCAGGATGGCCCGGTGGTCTAAGGTGCTAGACACAAGCTTCCACTTCCCAAGGCAACTCCAAACTTCCAGTAACTTGGGCCAACACGCTGGGGCTGCCTGTGACCCCACCTTTGTCTCTCTCCCCAACGTTAGATCTGCCAGCTAGTCCTGTGGATTTTATCTTCACAATGCACACAGAATTTGATGCTTCTCACCAGCTACTCCGTGGCCTGGACACCTGCAAGAGCTTATAACCTGTCTCCCAGCTTGTACCCACCCCTGCCTCCACATGGCAGCCTGTGACCCTTCTCAAGCCCAGCCAGCCCTGCATTCCTCTCTGCTCACCCAAGGCTCCTGCCCTTCCAAGGGCTGGTGTCCTTCCCATCCTGCTTCCTCTCTGACCTCCCCACGCACACTCATGCCACACCTGCCTGCTTGCTGCACTGCCCCCCACCCTGCCCGAGGCGCTCTTCCCTGCACGCCCCCTCCCTAACCTCAGAGGTCACCTTTGCAGGGATCCTGTCCCTGCCCCACCCCGCCCTTGCTTTGCTTTGCTCCACAGCACTTTTGCTTCTGCTGTATGATGCATCTTCTACAGGCATCTCATGTAATATCTGCTCTCCCCACTAGCATATGAGCACCTGGGGCAGGTGTGTTTTCTCTTGTACTCACTGAAGTATTCCAAGCGATTAGAACAGGGCTTGCTATAGTGGCCACACTTGTCAAATGAATGAAGGAAAGAAGGAAGAAAAAGTGATTCAGCTACGAGTTATTTTTCTTCACTAGAACATAATGATAATATTTTTGTTCATCAGTTCATAAAAGCCAAGCATGGTGGCTCACACCTGTAATCCCAACACTTTGGGAGTCTGCAGCCGGAGGACTGCTTGAGCCCAGGAGTTTGAGACCAGCCTGGGCAACATAGTGAGACTCTGTCCCTGCGAAAACTAAAACCATCAGCCGGACATGGTGGCACACGCCTGTATTCCCAGCGACTTGGCAGGCTGAGACAGGTGATCGCTTGAACCCAGGAGGCTGGGGCTGCAGTGAGCCAAGATCACGCTCTACTGCACTGCAGTCTGGGCAACAGAGTGAGACTCTGTCTCAAAAAAAAGAAAAAAAAAATTCATAACAGAATTTGTAACTAAAATTGGTCATTCTTTGAAGTTATGAAAGTAGATAGCTTTCTGGGAAAAGTATAAATAATGGGTATATTTAGACCACATTCATTCATTCAACAACCGTTTACTGAGTGATGCCTGTGCCAGTGCTGCGGTGCTGGAGGCCTGGGCCAGCTAGAAGAAGAAAGGCCTGGTCCCTGCCCCTGAGCTGATGGTGCAGTGCACACAGCTAGCAGTGTCGAAGCCTTCAGACAAAGAAATGCACAATAACCCATCTAAGGACAGGGCAACAAGGTACTATATGAGAGTAAAGCGGGCCGCTGGAGCTCGCCTCATTGTCATCAAGGACTGCCTTGCAGAGGAAAAGACAGCTGGCCCATGAGTGGTCAGTGCTGTTCGACGAAGTCCAGAGCCAGGGAGACCACAGTCAGAAGGAAGGAAACACCCCAGGCTCTGGGAAGAGCAGCAATGGCGAGGTCCAGGGGGCCGAGAGAAGGACGGAGGGCTGGTGCAGAGAGCTGAGGGCAGCATGGCCCAGGGGAGGCTGGAGGGGAGCAGGGGCCCCTGCGCACCAGCCTCAGGGCCACAGTGAGTATTTGGGCCTTATCCCTAAAAACGGCAAGAAGTCACAGAAGGGTTTTACACAAGAGCAAGGCTGATCTGCTCTGCACTTTGAAAAGATGCTCTCAGTGCGTAAGCTCATGTTAAACATGGATGTTCACAACCCCACAACTGGCTTGACCAGATCCAGATGGGATTCCTGCTCCTTTTTAGATAGATACATACTTGTGTGGAAATGCTAGGGCACCTCTGATTTTGAGCTACAACCGCACAGAGCTGTTAGGGATCATCAGTCTGGTATCAGAAGCAGGGGTGAGGGTTTACAGCCCCAGAGATTCCTGGCTCTGGGCCTCCCCAAGGCTCCCCTGGCTCTCTGAGTATCTACCTGGGCATCAGCAGGGAACGTCACATGGCATGCTGGCTTTGTGGAGTCACCCAGCCACGGCTGGGATGGTCGACTGGCACAGCACACGCCCCCTCCCCTCATGGCCTCCACTGAGACACAGCTTGATGAAGGCTGAAAGTAGGGGCCTCCACACACAAAACTTAGCCTTCCAAACCAACAGAAGCCATCCCAGCCTCCGCACCCCTGACCGACCCACCAGCATGAAGACAGCAAGCTGGCCAAATCTCTATTACAGGGAACGTGGACACTTTGTATCCTTCAGCTGCTCCCCTTTCTCCTTGGGAATAGTGAAATGGTACATGTTCCTTATTTCAGATTTCTCTACATACAGAAGAATGGACAGTAATCACAAAAGTATTCATAAATAATAAGACTCTTATTTCCCCTGATTGAACAGCTCCATAAAGTGAGTCAGTCTACTTCAAACATGGTAAGAAGCACCCGGAGTCGGCTCCACAGGTCCTGGAGTGACGATGACTACCAAAGGCCACTGCTGCCCCCCGCTGGGACAAGTAATCCTGATTTCATCATCCTGCCTCTCCACAACGCATGGAATTTCCAGTAAATGCTAACATTCTATTTTTATAAAGCACAGATTCAAATTAAAGTTACTTGTCTCCAAAAAGCTAACAATTCCATTTTAGAACGAAAGCCCAAACATCACAGGTAATAAATCACCATCAAAATTGCGTATCAATCTATGATCCCAATCAGTTTTTTAAAAATGACCAGGGAGTGTGCCCTTCTACCTCATTTCACTTCTATAAGAAAAGGCTGAATACCAAAGTTTGGTCTTAATTTTAGGCCTAATGAGAATTATAAATGTACAGGATACTGTCACTTTCAAGAACATTTTACAAGACTGGGCACAGTGGCTCACACCTGTAATCCTAGCACTTTGGGAGGCCGAAGCAGGCAAATCACTGGAGGTCAGGAATTCAAGACCAGCCTGGCCAACATGGCAAAACCCCACCTCTACTAAAAATATAAAAATTAGCTGGGCGTGGTGGCAGGTGCCTGTAGTCCCAGCTACTCAGGAGGCTGATGCAGGAGAATTGCTTGAACCAGGGAGGTAGAAGTTGCAGTGAGCCGAGATCATGCCACTGCACTCCAGCCTGGGCAACAGAACAAGACCCTGGCTCAAAAAAAAAAGAATATTTTACAAAAGCATTTCTAAATTATATTTTAAAAGTAAAGAATATGGCATTATACTGAAGGTCTTAGTAGTAGAAATACATTTCTCAAGCACTGAAATGTCTTATACAAAAATTTGGGTATTAATTAAAAAACAAAATAAAAAAAGGTAAATTGTCTTTTTAAAAAATTAAAACCCTATCAGCTATATCACAGCATTTTAGCAAACATTCAATTCTGCCAATTTTATTATGGCTACAATGATAGACTTTGAAACGTGAAAAGGGATTTCTTTCCATGGTCTGTGCACCAGCAATACAGCAAAAGCTTCCCACCATGACCATCCTTCCAAAGGCTAAGGAGGGCCATTTTCAGTACAATACTGTGGCATTTTCACTTTTGAAAGTACATAATCAAAGTTCAATATGCCATCCTCTAGCAAATCAGTAAACTGAGGTAAACTGAAACTACTCAATGCTCATCCACCCAGAAAATTATCTTCCTTCCAAATGGGAGGAATGATCAATTCAGAGGGAACATCTCATTAACTTTCCGGAGCGATTTCAGCGAAGTGGAAGTGAGCGGCTGTGAAAACTGCAAACTACATTAGACACGGGACCTCAGAAAGCAGTTTCCAAACTGGAATGTTTAAGGCTTAGGGAAATCATTGAGAATTTAATCTGAAGCCAAAGTTTAAAAGTATGACTGAATCTTTTATGATTAAACTTCTAAGACTCTGAAGTATTTTATTAAATCAATGAACTGAAATCCAGTGTTCCCTAAAATCTCTGGGAGGCCATCACCCTCACACGGGTGAGTGGTGGTGTTGTGGCTGGAAGGGCCTTCAACATCATCTAACCCCAAACAGAGAGCAGGAAAGTGCATACTCACCATCTGAGGCACACCGAAAATAACAACGTTCGAGTACTGCGAAAAAGTAACCTGAACAAGGTGGGAAAATAATCAGTAGATTAAGTGCAAAAAGCCAAACGTGAAGCTTAACTTGTTTTACAGAAATGGGTAGCAGTTTTCCATTTTACCAAACGGTGGGTTTTGATGAACTCCTAAGAACAGCGGCCCTCCTTAAGATTTCACAAGGAAAAGAATAACATGTTCATGCTCTCATTCATTTTAATTCAATCCACTGCAGTTTTCCAAACGCTTCCCTGTAAGTCATCCCATCTCATCCTCAGGGTGACTCCATCCAGGGCACGCCCCAGTGGTCATGCGTCAGACAGCTAGTGACCACACTGTGACCCCACTGTGACCAGCTGGTGGCACCGGGGCCACGTGTTCCCGCACCAGTCCACTCTATACCACCAGCTTCACCAGAACACAGGAGACTTCAGAACCATCTGTTTTTTGTTGTTGTTGAACCATCCTTAAAATTTGAGTCCCCCTCCTCTTCTCTAAAATACTATGTAAAAAAGTGCAATAAAATGGTCTTTAGTTGAAAAACTGGGGGGAAATGTGCTTTGCCAGTTAAAATTCTTATTGCCCAATAAGTCTTATTTACTCTATAGAGAGATCGTTTATGCACATATGGCATAAAAAAACAATGCAAGCAAAACTCAAGTGAATTTTTGTAAGCTACTGATGACAATATTACAATGGAAAATTCTTATTTAAGAAAAAGCATTTTATGGAACATTCCTAAAGCAAAATTACAGGGCATTTTTAGAGTTTTTAGAGTACAAATAAATTTGGAAGTATCTTATACTTTATGAGGATAAGAAATAACCGTGATAGCACGATTCTCCAGCAACCATCTCTGTGTCTCTCTAAATATACGAATATGCATACACACACTCACACAGGCACACAAATGGAAAAGTCTAATATTTATCAATAATAATTTATAGGATTTCCAAATGAGATGAAAAATCTCATTATTTTGTAAGAAACAGAAATGACAACATTTTAATTTAGTAAATAAATTCTTGGAATTCACAAGACCTATCATATAAAAACTTTAAGCTTCTCTCTAAAGGAGACTATTTGTAAAACGTATCAATTTTACATATTTCATTATGCCAGAATATTCACTTGGATTTTAATTATTTTTCTTTTAATACATTTTTCAGTTCTCAGTCATACTAATTTTGAATAATAAAATTTTCCCTTGGATTTCTCTAGGGCCATTCTCTGCCTTACATACCTTCCACAAATCTGAAATATAAAATTTGGCAGATCCATGCACACCTTCTCGCCAAGCGCGGTATCTGGAATACCAAACTAGCCATGGGTTTAATTCATAACCAACTGCTGTGAACCCTTTCTTCGCAGCCGCTATGACCTGTGGAGAGAGGCAGGATTTATTCAAAATAAGAAGAAAAAATGAACATACATGGTCAAACAATATGAATATTTCCTATCAATGGTTTAAACATCCAATCAAAAAGCACCTCCCGTGACTAAGACATCATTTTAAAATGTGTCTCTAAAGCGATATAGCTTTGTGGACAACGTAATAGTCAACCCATGCAACTTAGTTTCCTTGATTGGTTAAAGACTTCACCTCAAGTATCAGAATAGACATTCAGGTTCACTTGGAACACCTCCATAATTGATTCTAGGTCAGCCAACCCCCGGGGAGGTCGAACAAAACATTGCTGAAAATCCACTGCATCTCTCCATCAGTGGGCTAGCACAGCAGCAGTGAAATGAAAGTGTCTGGGAGGATGGTTTTGTGAACAAGTAATAATATGCAATAAAAATAACCTGTCAATGAAAAATCTGCAATTAGTTACATATTTCCTTTGTAGTTAATGACTGTTTACTCAAAACTGAAAACAGGTAAAAGTAAAATGAAATGAATCCCAATAACGTCAACTGTGGAATCCCACTGGCCTCCGGAGAGTGGGAGGGATGTGGGGCAGTCCTGGGTTCTCTCTGCCTGTTCTGTCCTGCCCCATTCTTTAAGGGAGCATCCCTTGACTCAGCTGTCCCACCTAAGATAGTTCCCAAGTACTACAGTGCTGCAAGAAAACATTTTCTCAGAAACCACAGATACTCTTCAAATACGTAAAGCATTCAAATATGAATTTCAAAACTTTCTCCTTGATTTATTGATATGGTTTGGCTCTGTGTCCCCACCCATATCTCATCTTGAATTCCCATGTGTTGTGGGAGGGACCTGGCGGGAGGTAACTGAATAATGGGGGCAGGTCTTTCCCATGCTATTCTCATGACAGTGAGTAAGTCTCACAAGATCTGATGGTTTTATAAGGGGGAGTTTCCCTGCGCAAGCTCTCTCCTTGCCTGCCACCATCAATGTAAGACATGACTTGCTCCTCCTTGTCTTTCACCTTCCACCATGATTGTGAGGCCTCCCCAGCTGTGTAAAACCGTAAGTCTAATCACCTCTTTCTTTTGTAAACTGCCCAGTCTCAGGTATGTCTTTATCAGCAGCATGAAAACAGACTAATATATTTCTTTTTTTTTTGAGATGGAGTCTCGCTCTGTCACCCAGGCTGGAGTGCAGTGGCGTGATCTTGGCTCACTTCAGCCTCCGCCTCCCAGGTTCAAGCGATTCTCCTGCCTCAGCCTCCTGAGTAGCTGGGATTACACGCGTGCACCATCATGCCTGGCTAATTTTTGTATTTTTAGTAGAGAAAGGGTTTCACCATGTTGGTTAGGCTGGTCTTGAACTCCTGACCTCGTGATCTGCCCACCTCAGCCTCCCAAAGTGCTGGGATTACAGGCATGAGCCACCACACCTGGCCACTAATAAATTTCTTAGAAACAAATAGTGGCTCCCAGAGGGTGAGGGGAGGAGAGGAGTAGAAAGTTATTATTTAATCGGGGCAGAGTTTCAGTTTTGCAAGATGAAAAGAGTTCTGGAGATGGGTGGTGGTGATGGTGGCACGGCAACGTGAATATGCTTCACACCCCGAACCGTACACCTGCACATGGTTAAGATGGTAAACACTACGGTATGTGTATCTTAACACAATTTTATAAGTAAAAAAAAAAAATTAAATTAAAAATATCTTAACTTTCTAACCTCCTCGTGATTATTCTAGCTCAGAATCACAAAATCAGTCTCTATGTCTGTAGGAGCCGGTGAAAGGTGATAGAGTCCTGCTGGCCTTCACACTAAATGCTTCCATAGCACCAGCCTTTCCCACTGCTGCTGGAACTTTTCAGCTTATCTCTGGGATGAGGCTAAGGATGGTGCCACCCTGCCCACAGAGGAACCTGCTCTGAGACACCCACTTGCCCATCAGTGGCCTTTTATTTATAGGTGCCCAACTGCGGTCAAGTGAGAGAAGTTCATAAAAAGACTGATCTTCGGCTTAGTGAGGGTTAATCACTGGCTCTTTCTTAACTCTGTATTACCCCAGGAATTATTACTTATACATGGATAAATACAGACAAATGCAGAAGCAAACAACTATGGGGCAAAAATGTAAAGGAGTGAAATGCCATGATTTAACATATTTCTTCTCATGCCACCTCTGTTGGCCCATGTATTTTAAGAGACAATTTGATAATTACCAGTTAACTGTTCTTTTTCACCTGGCATGTTTACAGCACACTTCCTCCTTTAAGAACAAATTAAATCTGGGAAAAATGAATTCCAAACACACTGGTAGTTGAATAGTTTGGTCAAACAAACATAAAATGAAATGAGCACTCTTTCAAGCTGTCAGATTTAGTTAAGTCTTTGTGTAAGCCTTACTAAATGTAAAGCAGAAATTTTAAGTTCTGGTTTCAAACCTTAAAATGTTTTAGCAGAACTCACAATGCGTCCGTCCCCACTACCGATGTCCACAAGGGATCCTCTTCGGCATCGCAACATTTTCACAACATTTTCAATCTGCTTCGTAGTTGCAGGTACAAACGGCAAACAGACTTTTCGAAGGGCTGGCGTTACAAACGGCGTGGCTACAGCGTACACAGCCACCAGGGTGCCACCCACAAGCCCAGTAAGTAAGAACCCCCAGTTGCTTTTCTGCAAACTGTTGACTTCAAAACTTGCAGGTAGAACATGTCTTGACTGACTTTCTTCTTTAAGTGTTTCTAGGGGTATACCTAGATTGAAAGCAAGCAGAAGAGACACATGTAGCACCAAATCTGAAATCCAAGAGAGCATTTTTTTCTACAATTCTCATTGGCAAACAAACTCATGCTTTTTAAAGGATAATTTAGCTGAATACAAGCTAAATGTCAACTGTAGGATCCCACAATTAGTTCTAAATCCTATTAAGGTATTTTGAAGAACATTATTCAATACTATGAGAAGACTAAAATCTTTTCTTTCCAAAGTACTGATTTTTTGTGTGTCTAGGAGTCATCCTTACAAAACAATGTATTCAAACTTATCGAGTAATTTATTAATTTAATATCCATTAGTGCAAGTTTTAATCATGCACTACATATTTTTATGTTCTGAACTAACAAAGCCTCATAAACAAATAAGCATAAAGATGTCTAATTATTACCCAATTTCAAGTAGAATTAAAGGATTCCACATCAAATCTGGTCTGGCATCTACAATCCAGTTTCACCAATACAATTTTAAAGTAATAGAAGAGACAAAAATCAGGTTTTACCAAATATCTTAAATAAGTATGGTAATAAAGAGACTTTTACAGCGGATCCAAAAAGAACAAAAAATAAGGCCGGGCGTGGTGGTTCACGCCTGTAATCCCAGCACTTTGGGAGGCCAAGGCGGGCCGATCACGAGGTCAGGACATCGAGACCATCCTGGCTAACATGGTGAAACCCCATCTCTACTAAAAATACAAAAAAAAAAAAAATTAGCCGGGCGTGGTGGCGGGCGCCTGTAGTCCCAGCTACTCAGGAGGCTGAGGCAGGAGAATGGCATGAACCCGGGAGGTGGAGCTGACAGTGAGCCGAGATCGCACCACTGCACTCCAGCCGGGGTGACAGAGCGAGACTCTGTCTCAAAAAAAAAAAAAAGAATAAAAAATAAGATCATCATTTTAGTACTATCATAAACATAAAATAACGCAGACCCCAATCACTGATTACAAAGAAATGAATGGTACCTTAAATATCCTTTTGAGATTTGTCCTTTAAAATGCATTTAAATGGGATCTCAAGATTTTGAAATTAATATTGACAAAATTGATTTTAAAATTGATTAACAAGGAGCACAGTACAGGAGGTAAAAGCAGGACTCCTCCAGAGCCAGCCAAAGTTAGGATCCCAGCTCTGCCACCTCACTAATGATGGGACCCTGAATCCCTGGTCCTTGCTGAGCCTGTTTTCTCATCTGCAAAGTGGGGGTCACAGGGATATTGTGAGGATGAAATGAGTGTATGGAGGTAAAGCACTTAGAACAGGGTCGAATGCAGTTATAGGTTTCCTATAACTGCTGTAAGAAATTGTCACAAAATTAGTGGCTTAAAATAACACCATTTATGGCCAGGCGCAGTGGCTCACACCTGTAATCCCAGCACTTTGGGAGGCCACGGCGGGCAGATCACCAGAGGTTGAGAGTTTGAGACCAGCCTGACCAACATGGAGAAACCCCATCTCTACTAAAAACACAAAATTAGCCGGGCGTGGTGGTGCATGCTTGTAGTCCCCAGCTACTAGGGAGGCTGAGGCAGGAGAATCGCTTGAACCCGGGAGGCAGAGCTTGCAGTGAGCCGAGATCACACCATTGCATTCCAGCCTGGGCAACAAGAGTGAAACTCCATGTCAAAAAAAAAAAAAAAGAAAAGAAAATCACCATTTATTATCATACAGTTCTGGAGGTCAGTCTGAAATGAATTGGCAGGCCTGCGTTCCTTCTGGGGGCCCTCGGGCAGGTTTTCTTGTCTCTTCCTGCTTCCAGAGGCTGCCCACATTCCTAGGCTCTTGACCCCACATCACTCCAATCTCTGCTTCTGTCCTGACATCACCTTCTCTCACATGCCTGGCTCCCTCTTAATTTATAGGAACCCTCATGATAACACTGGGCCCACATAAATAATCCAAAATAATCTCCCATCTCAAGACCACTGATTACATCTGTACAGGTGCAGGAATTAGAATGTGGACATTCCTGGAGAGGACATTTTTCTTCCCACCACACCCATGAACTACGGCAATCTATTCTAGTGCAGTACAAATTTGAACCCAAGACACACAGAAAGCTGGCACACAGCAGTGGGTCACCCTCAGGGCAGCCAGCCAATCGCCAGCATCCCCCACTCAGCGCAGCTTTGTTCTTGATTCCTGAAGCCCCTTAAAATGAGTTGTAAAACTGATTTCACAGTGGAAAACGAACTGGGTCGGCGGAGGGGGCGGTGGGAGGAAGAATGCTACTAATGCTAGTGCTAGTATTAATGCTAGTGATGGGGGTAAAGAAAATTAACTTTAAGAAGGTGATGGCATTTGATAGAAAGCAAAAGCTTTAAATAATTTCAGTTATAATTTTGGCATTTTACGGAGGAACTTACAGGCATACCTTGGAAATATTTAGTTCCAGACCACTGCAATAAAGTGAGTATTGCAATAAAGCAAGTTACACAAATATTTTTGGTTTCCCACTGTATATAAAAGTTATGTTTACACTATACTGGAGTCTATTAAGTGTGCAATTGCACTGTTCAAAAAACAATGTATGTACCTTAATTTTAAAATCCTTTATTGCTTGACATTTTGGTCTGATTTATCTTCGAAAAATTTTTTTTAATTTTTAAAAAAGAGTTTATTGCTAAGAAATGCTAATGATCATCTGAGCCTTCAGTGAGTCATAATCTTTTCACTGGTGTAGGATCTGGCCTTGACGTTAATGGTTGCTCAATGATGAGGGTGGTGGTTGCCGAAGGTTGGGGTCGTTGCGGCAATTTTTGAAAATAAGACAACAATGAAGTTTGCTGTATTGATAGACTCTTCCCTTCATGAAAGATTGCTCTGCGGCATGTGATGCTGTTTGATAGCATTTTACCCACAGTGGAACTTCTTCCAAATTTGGAGTCAATTTTCTCAAACTCTGCCACTACTTTATCAACTAAGTTTATAAAATATTCTAAGTTCTTTGTCATCATTTCAACAATGTTTACAGCATCCTCACCAGTAGTAGATTCCATCTCAAGAAACAACCTCCCTTGCTCATCCATAAAAAGCAACTCCTCATCCACTGATATTTTATCATGGGGTTGCAGCAACTCAGTCTCATCTTCAGGCTCCACTTCTAACTCTCTTGCTATTTCCACCACATCTGCAGTTACTTCCTCCACTTAGGTCTCAAAGTCATCCATGAGGATTGAAATCAACTTCTTCCAAACTCCTATTAATGTTGATACTCTGACCTCCTACCATGAATCATGAATGTTATTAATGGCATCTAGAATGGTGAATCCTTTCCTGAAGGTTTTGAATTGACTTTGCCCAGATCCATCAGTGTAATCACTATCTATTGCATCTCTAGCCTTACGAAATGTATTTCTTAAATAACAAGACTTAAAAGTCAAAATTACCCCCTTGATCCTTGGGCTACAAAATGAATGCTGTGTTGACAGGCATGAAAACAACATTCATGTCCTTGTACACCGCCACCAGAGCAATTGAGTAGTAACTAGGTGCATTATCAATGAGCAGTAATATTTTGAAAGGAATCCTTTTTCTGATCAGTAGGTTTCAACAGTGGGCTTAAAATATTCAAAAATCATGCTGTAAAGAAAGGTGCTGTCATCCAGGCTGTGTTGTTCCATTTATACAGCAAGGCAGAGTAGATTTAGCATCATTCCTAAGGACTCTGTGATTTTCAGAATGGCCAGTAAGCATTGGCTTCAACTTAAAGTCACCAGCTGCACTGACCCCTAACAAGAGAGTCAGCTTATTCTTTGAAGCTTTGAAACCAGGCATTGATTTCTCTCTAGCTTCCAATAGAAGGTTGTTTCATCCATATTGAAAATCTGCTGGCCAGGCACAGTGGCTCGCGCCTGTAATCTCAACACTTTGGGAGGCTGAGGTGGGCGGATCACAAGGTCAGGAGTTCAAGACCAGTCTGACCAACATGGTGAAGCCCAGTCTCTACTAAAAATACAAAAATTAGCCAGGCGTGGTGGCACGCCCCTGTAATCCCAGCTACTCGGGAGGCTGAGGCAGGAGAATCATTTGAACCCGGGAGGCAGAGGTTGCAGTGATCAGGCCACTGCACTCTAGCCTGGATGACAGAGCGAGACTCCGTCTCAAAAGAAAAAAAAAAAAGAAAATCTGTTTAGTGCAGCAACCCTCATCAACAATCTTAGCTAGATCTTCTAGATAACTTGCTGCGGCTTCTCCATCAGCACTTGCTGCTTCACCTTGCATTTTCATGCTCTGGAAATGGCTTATCTTTCCTTAAACCTAATGAACCTACCACTGCTAGCTTCAAACTTTTCTTCTGCACTCTCCTCACTTCTCTCAGCCTTCAGAGAACTGAAAAGAGTTAGGGCCTTGCTCTAGATTAGGCTTTGGCTTAAAGATATGATGTGGCTGGTTTGATTTTCTATCCAGACCACTCAAACTTGCTCCATACCAGCAATAAAGCTTTTTCACTTTCTTATCATTTGTGTGTTCACTGGAGTAGCACTTTTAATCTCCTTCAACAACTTTCTCTTTGCATTCACAACCTGGCTAACTGTTTGATGCCAGAGGCTTAATTTTCAGTCTATTTCAGTTTTCCACATGCCTTCTTCACTAAGCTTAATAATTTCTAGCTTTTCATTTAAAATGGTAGAAGTGTGACTCATTCACTTGAACACCTGGAGCCCATTGTAGGGTTATTAATCAGCCTAATTTCAATGTTGTTGTGTCTCAGGAAATAGGAGGGCCCAAGGAGATGGAGAGAGATAGAGGAATGGCCAGTGCAGCAGTAGGAAAACACACATTTATCGATTAAGTTCACTCTTATTTGGGCATGGCTTGTGGAGCCCCAAAACATTTACAATAGAAACATCAAAAATCCCTGATCATAGATCACCATAACAGACATAAAAATAGTGGAAAATTTGAAATATTGCAAGAATTACCAAAATGTGACACAGAGATAAAAAGTGAGCATGATGCTGTTGAAAAAATGGTGCGAACAGACTTGCTCCACGTAGGGCTGCCATAAACCTTCTGTTTGTAAGAAGCACACTACTGAATGGGGCATGTTGGTTCATACCTGTAATCTCAGCTACTCAGGAGGCTGAGGCCAGAAGATCGCTTGAGCCCGGGAATTTGAGACCAGCCTGCGCAATAATAGCAAAATCCTATCTCTAACAACAACAACAAAAAAGTGCACTATCTGCAAAGTGCAATAAAACAAAGTATGCCTCTGTTTGCTCAAGTGGTAGTCATGCATTTATTTAAGAAAAGTCGGCCAGGCACAGTGGTTCATGCCTATAATCCCAGCACTTTGGAAGGCCGAGGCAGGAGGATTGCTTGAAGCCAGGAGTTCAAGAGCAGCCTGGGCAACATAGCAAGACCCCATCTCTACAAAAAATAAATTAGCCATGTGTGGTGGCATGCACTTGTAGTCCCAGCTTTTTGGGAGGCTGAAGCAGGAGGATCGCTTAGGCCCAGGAGGCTGAGGCTGCAGTGAGCCGTGATCGCACCATTACATTCCAGCCTGGACAACTGAGCAATACCCTGGTTGTCAAAAAAAAAAAAAAAGAAAAGTCAAGGCACATTTGTACATGTGTCATGCCCTCTGTAAAAAATTATCTTGTGGACATTCCAGTTGTACAGTACAGCAGTTAAGAGGATTTGGGTTACACAGTTCTGGAGTCTCAGAACTTAATTAGTTGTTTAACACAAGGTAAGTTGTTACTAAGGCATGGTTTTCTCCTCAGTAAAATTTGGAAATAATTTGTTTAAACACAATTCAAGCTGGGCATGGTGGCTCACGCCTGTAATTCCAGCACTTTGGGAGGCTAAGGCGGGCAGATCATGAGGTCAGGAGATTGAGACTATCCTGGCTAACACAGTGAAACCCTGTCTCTACTAAAAATCAAAAAAATTAGCCGGGCATGGTGGTGGGCGCCTGTAGTCCCAGCTACTTGAAAGGCTGAAGCAGGAGAATGGCGTGAACCTGGAAGGCGGAGTTTGCAGTGATCCGAGACCGCGCCACTGCACTCCAGCCTGGGTGACAAAGTGAGACTCCGTCTCAAAAAATAATAATAAAATAAAATAAATAAACACAATTCAAAATTGGCCAGCCACAGTGGCTCATGCATGTAATCCCAGCACTTTGGGAGGCTGAGGCGGGTGGATCACCTGAGCTCAGGAGTTTAAGACCAGCCTGGGCAACATGTCAATACCTCATCTCTACCAAAAATGCAAAAAATTAGCCAGGCCTGGTGGTGTGCATCTGTGGTCCCTGCTACTTGGGAGGCTGAGGTGGGAGGATTGCTTAAGCCTGGCAAGTGGAGGTTGCAGTGAGCCGAGATCACACCACTGTACTCCAACCTGGGTGACAGAGTGAGACCTCATTACAAAAAAAAAAAAAAAGATTTTGCAATAATACTATCCTCATAGGATTCTTGGAACAGGTAAATAATGTAAACAAAGCATTTAGCACAAGCCTGAGAGGCTAAGTAATGACTATTAATTGCTATTATTATTCTCAATACTATCATATGCAAGGAGGGGCTCAATTTTTAACAGCTTTGAGATATAATTCATATACATACAATTTGCCTGCTTAAAGTATATAATTTAATGTTTCTTTTTATATTCAGATACATGCAACCATCACTACAGTCAATTTTTGAACATTTTTATTACCTCAAGAGGAAACCCCTTATCCTTTAGCTATCACCCCCGCATCCACCCTCTATCCCCCAGCCCTAAGCAACCACTAATCTACTTTTTGTCTCAAGAATCCCCTATTCTGGGGCCTGGCACAGTGGCTCACGCCTGCAATCCCAGCACTTTGGGAGGCCGAGGTGGGCGGATCACTTGAGGTCAGGAGTTCCAGACCAGCCTGGCCAATATTGTGAAACAACAACTCTACTAAAATACCAAAAAAAAATTAGCCAGGCATGGTGGTGCACACCTGTAATCCCAGCTACTTGGGAGGCTGGGGGCAAGAGAATCACCTGAACCGGGGAGGCAGAGGTTACAGTGAGCCAAGGAGCCAAAATTGCACCACTGCACTCCAGCCTGGGAGACAGAACAAGACCCTGTCTCTCAAAAAAAAGAAAGAAAAAAAAAAAAAAAGAATCCCCTATTCTGGACTTAAAGGAATGGAATTGTATAGTGTGTGGACTTCTGTAACTGACATTTTTTACTTAGCATGTCTTCAAGATTCATCCAGGTTGCAACTTGTATCAGTTCTTTATTTCTTTTTATGGCTTAATAATATTCCATTGTATGGATATGCCATATTTTTGCTTACGCATTTGTTCACCAAGTTTATTAAACAAACACAAGTCAGATGACCCAAATTTCATTTTTCACCTGTGTAGATATGTACCTTTCAATTCAACCAGCAAAAGATGTAATAAAAAGTTCCTGTTCTTCACGGCCTCCCATCTAGGCAGATGAGGGGTGGGGTCCAGGAGAGGCAGACACAGGGCTGGTTGTGAGAAATGCTATAACACAAACAAAACGCTACAGGCATATGGGAGAGGCGGAGGAAAGACTGATTCCAACAATGGGACCAGTGAGGTGTTGGCAGAGAGAATATTTGAGCTGGAGCCAAAAGCAGCAAGCCTTGGAACCAAGGTGTGGAAGGCAGGGAAAGCCTTTCTGGAGCACAGAGTGAGAGACAAACAGGAAGGCAGGCCTCTGAAGGCCAGGCTGAATGTGTATTTTATTCTATGTGCACTGTGATGAAACTTTTTGAGCAAAGTCACCATAATATTTGTGTTTTTAAGAAAGGCAACACAGGGGCAATGAGTCTCTTGATGAAATCATTCTATTTTCTGTCCCAGGTTTTGATGCCTGCAAGTCTTGCAACGTAACAAACATTTGCATGGGGAAATCAAGATCCATACCCATTGCTGGAGCTTTGGAAGAAGTTACTATGTACATCCAATATAGGATGTACAATATAGGAACTACATTGTTAGCTCCATTCAGGAAAAACAATTGATTCCTTTTTGCGATGGGGTCTCACTCTGTCGTCCAGGCTGGAGTGCAGTAGCACAATCACAGCTCACCACAGCCTTGACCTCTCAGGCTCAAACGATCCTCCCACTTCAGCCTCCCAGGTAGCTGGGACTACAGGCACATGCCACCACACCCAGCTAATTTTTTAAATTTTTTTCTTTAGAGACAGGGTCTCCCTATGTTGCCCAGGCTGGTCTCAAACTCCTGGGCTCAAGCAATTCTCTCGCCTCAGCCTCCTAAAGTGCCTCCATGCCAGGACCTGTATTGATTCTTATCAGTAAAAATCAGGCCCTGAATATTCAAAACTAAAATCAAGACTGTTTCTACAAATCCTTCTAACGGAACATGTTCAGACTCCCAGACTATCCTATATATAAATGGCAAGAACTTTCTTTCAGGTGTTCTTTGGAACAAGGAGCCATTCTATTAAATAATGGCTGCAGTGGCCACTGGCTACTTTCATTGAGCACTTAGTAGTCCATCCTTTAAAGTCAAACACAGAATGAGGTTAACTTCTACTGTGTCCGGGCCCTGCTTGCTTATTGACTTCTAATATTGGTTGAAAACTTCAATTTTTAGTGGCAGATTTGGATCAGCTGAAGCTAGAGGCAGTGACAGATGTACAATAAGGTACCCAAGGTTCTTATCCAAGTTCAAGCCAAAAGAAAAAGGCCAAGAAGAGAGAAGGAGCCTGTTAGGAATAGTAACTAGCCACGTGTTTAAAGCGGGCTTATATCAGAATGTCACAACTCATAAGGACTGTTCATTGTGCACTTGTATGTGCATACCTGTTTAATAACTACAGCATATGTTATGTCCCTTTAGCATATATTCTTATGTCCTTAAGAAGCCTTTCTTATACTAGTCTAATGTCATTTGTGTCCTTTTGACATACATGAGCTATTGATATTAGGAAAAATCCTCTCTCACTCCCCAGTGTTTTGACAGGGAATCAACTACACAGAGGATGCCATAGGACATTCTATTTTTCACAACAATCGAAGGAGCCAAATGAATTGCAGAAGTCACCATTTTTAATGAGGAAACACTGAATTGGCAAAGCTAACGTGAAATAAGACCTGACTCCAAAATCTAAAATGTCCTTGAAGAACACTTCAAGGTCTAGCGCGTAAGTATGCCAAGCATGAAGAGTTAACAGATCACCAACCATCCCATGACAGTCAGTCCTCCCTGTTTTTAGAGACAGAATCTCGCTCTGTCGCCCAGGATGGAGTGCAGTGGCGCGATTATAGCGCACTGTAAACTGAACTCCTGGGCTCCACCCATCCTCCTGCCTCAGCCCCAGAGTAGATGGGAACACAGTCGCCAAGTCTGTTCTTGAGTTTCAGGACAGGGTCAAATGTTATAGTGCATGTATTCATTTCAGCACTTATTGAGTGCCTAATAAAGTCTGGGAATAATACAACTTTATTAGTTAAGTCCCTGCCCATGGCAGTAGGGGAGAAGCAAGGATGGAAACCCTCAACAAATAAATCTAAACCTATCAAATATTAAGTCATGATCTTGGAGGGCGGGGAGGAAGGCAGCATAAGAGATTTAGAGGACAGCTGCGGTTGCCAAGATCTTTCTGAGGCAGCATAATACAGGGCTTAAGAGTGAGACCTGCCGGGCACCGCGGTGGCTCAGGCCCAACACTTGGGGAGACCTAGACGGGTACATCACTTGAGGTCAGCCGTTCGAGACCAGCCTGGCCACTACGGCGTTAACACCGTCTCTACTAAAAATACAAAAATTAGCGAGCGTGGTGGTTCTGTGCCTGTAGTCCCAGCTGCCTGGGAGGCTGAGGCACGAGAATCACTGGAACCCGGGAGGCGGAGGCTGCAGTGAGCCGAGACCGCGCCACTGCACTCCAGCCCGGGCTACAGTCTTGTCTCAAAAAAAAAAAAAAAAAAAAAGAGTGTGGGACCCATTGCATCAGGCTGTGTAACTGTTTCTTACTAGCTGTATACCAGTGGCAAGTTACTGAACCATTTGTGCAAAATGTTAATTTATTTACCAACACTGTGTTCAGCTTGCCAGGCACCGTTCTCCTTGAATCTCACAGCAGCCCTGTGAGTAGGCACTACTGTTACCACCGTCACTTTGCAGACAGGGAACCCGAGGGACAAAGAAGTTAAGGGATTTCCTCAAAGCCACAGCTAGGAAGAGCGGCAGAACTGCGATTCCAATCCATCAGTGTGCCTCCACTATCCCTATTCCTTAAGATCGTGCCAAAGGCTGAGTCACTTGCACTAAGTAGCCTAGAACAGTCTCTGGGGAAACGCGCCCGCCGACAAGGATCGCCAGAACCGGCGCGGGCACCGCGCGGCGACCAGGAGCTCTGGTCACCGAAGGCCAGGCTGGAGGCCAGAGCAGCCGCCCGCACCCGGTCACCGCCTCGACAGTGGAGACCTCAGCTGACCGCGAGCCCCCGGCCCGCCCGCACCCCTTCTCATGCCCCCAGGAACCCGCCAAGCCGCTCCAGCCTCACCTCCTCCTCCCTCCATCGCGAGATTTCCAACAGCGTTTTTAAAAAAAAAAAAAAAAAAAAAAAAAAAAAAAAAAAAACCGGAAATGGGTCCTACCATCTTCTCGGAGCCGGAGTGCGAAGAAATAAAGAAATAGTGCTTTAAGTCAATGAATTCCTCCTTGGGACCCACTATCGAGAAACTATCAGTGGTAACGTTTTAAAAAATGACAAATTCAATCTGCTCTTGACTTGTGTGTCCTAAGATTTCCACTAAGTGTCTTCAAACCTCCCCCTCCCCGGCTTCCTGGATAATAGAAGTTCCCGAAGGCCGCCGATTCCAGAAGATACTGTCTGGCGTGAAATTAGTCTCAGTAGAAACATAAGTCCCGCGCGTCTTGTGCTGCGCGTGCGCAAGCTTTTGGGCCCTCCCGAGAAAGGGAAGTGCATTCTCGCTTCCGTAGCGGTCTCCGCCGGTTGGGGGGAAGTAATTCCGGTTGTTGCACCATGGCGTCCATGGGGACCCTCGCCTTCGATGAATATGGGCGCCCTTTCCTCATCATCAAGGATCAGGACCGCAAGTCCCGTCTTATGGGACTTGAGGCCCTCAAGGTAATGGCACAGGGACCTGCTCGCGGTGGGCTAAGGGGAGGTGGCCGAGGCCGTGGCTCTGCGCCTGCGCGAGTTGAGGAGCGGCTCTGCCATGTGCTCCCCGGAAAGGTCGAGAATCTCCGTCTCCCTGCGGTCTCCGGCCGCTCAGCCCGCTTACTGAGCTCGGGAGACGCCGGCGCCTAATCCTGGGCTCGGAATGTGGGGGCCAGCCAGGCTGGGCCGCCAGCGCCCTTCGGAGCTGGGTGGGGCCGCTCAGTCCGGTCGCCCGCGGGAGCAAAGCGGGACCGCCTCCCCGCCCGGCTCCTCCAGCCTGACGGCCGCGTGGGACTGCGCTCCAGTGGGAGGGCGCCGGGGAGATGCTCTGTCACCTGTCGGTTAAGGCGCTGCTGCTTAACCTTTCGCTGGTCCACCCGCAACGGCCCTTCCGTTTTCTTTGTCACTCGTAAAGGTGTGGTCACTTAACAGGGTATTTCATTTCTGAGTGCTTTTTTGCCCACCCTTGAGGAAAAATAGCGAAGAGTGAAAAACGGACGCACATAACCGTAATACAAGGTGGTGTGCAGTGAGAAGGACAGCTACGGAGAGGGTGCACATAAGCGTGGTGCTGGAGGACAGCTTTAGATCGGGGTGAGAGGTAGCATTCTAGGGAGAGGAAACGGTAGAAGTAAAGGCTTGGGCAAGAATGCGCATGGCACGTTGTAGAATGGAAGAGCCATCCGGTTTTAATGGAGCACTGACTTCTTTAACTTACAATAGTTCCCGAAGGTGGAAGCTATTGAATGCCCAACATGGAAAATACGACGTTATCTTTGGGGAAGAAGGGGAGCCATTGAGGGGGTTTTGAGCAGAATTTCAGTAGAGCTGCACTTCAGGCAGCAAAGCTTGAGATAGACCGAAGGGAATAAGGAAGACCAGAGGGGTTAAAGAAACCAGGGCAGGGGTGCAGGTAAGAAACATCTGAGCACCAGACGTTGACAGAAAATGCAGAGGAAGGGACACTCCGAGAGGGCCTTCAGGGTTTGTTATAAAGTGAATTCATAATAGACCATTCCACTAGGTCTCTCAGGTGTCCCTGTTCACTTAGTGTCTTGGAGGTTTACTTACGCAAAGTTAGAAACAATACAGTTCCCCTATGGACTCTTTGTTTGACTTAGTGCTAGTTACACAACCTCGCGGAACCTCCTTTTCCAGGGGGAGGTGATAGGCCTCCGTCAAGCTGAAGACTTGACAGTGATATTAAATGGAGTGACTTAGAGGGGCTGCACAGTGGTTGATCCACGGTAGGCACTCAGTATTTGTTTCCTTTCTAGAAAGAAAAAGTTTCAAGCTAATTGTATTATGTATTCCATTTTATTTTCCACTTAACAGGGACCTGCAGAGAAAATAACATCCAATACACACACCTGGTGTAACAACATAACTAAAACTAGGTTGTTTTGCATCAGCCATTTTGTTCAAACTGCATGCATTTGTGCCCAGAAGTCGCACACTCTGAGACAGGGTTATTTTACAAAACTGGGGACTTGGGCCCAGAGCAGTTGAGAAATTGTTCTGAAGAGCAGTTGCTACTAAAGAGCATTACCATGGTCAGGGCCACCGCTGTCAGAGTCAAAGCCAGTGGTCTAGAGCAGCATTCTCAAGTTTGGCATATTGACATTCGAGGTCGGATCATTCTTTGCTGTGGGAGCTCATTTGGACAGTAACCTGGGTGTTTAAGTCTCTTAAAAGAGTTGGATGCTGTTGGTAGGCATCCTGTGAGTGTTGAGGCTCAGCAGTTTAGGGATATACACTTGCTCCCTGACCTCATAGAACGTCCAGCTAACTTGAAGAACCAAAATATATGGAAATTGAAGGCAACGGTAAAAGAAATGTATAGGCCAGGACGTGAACGTTTTAATGGTAATGGTCACAGTTCTTTCTCTCTGGTCATTTAGAGCCTTAAAGGTAATATGTATTTTGTTGAGATTCTTCACTTGTTTAACACTTAACTGTATAATATTTCACCTTAAAAATGCAGGCATTGACTGGGCGCGGTGGCTCACGCCTGTAATCCCAGAACTTTGGGAGGCTGAGGCAGGAGAATCGCTGGAACCTGGGAGGCAGAGGTTGCGGTGAGCCGAGATCACGCCACTGCACTCCAGCCTGGGTGACAGAGTGAGACTCCGTCTCAAAAAAAAAAAAAAAAAGGTGCAGGCATTAGTTGGCTTAGGAAGGAATCATATTCTAAAATCCTGTAACCTAAAACAGAGCAGGCTAAGTTTCCAGGCCAGCCAGCATAATTCTGTTTTATCCATAATATGTATTATGCCTTGATGTTTGATACTCTTCCCTCTGGAAACACACAGAACTAGCAGAAGGAAGAAAAAGGTTTTTTCCACGTTGCCGAGCAGTAGGGCAAAATAGATCTCGGGATTTCGGGATCTCTCCTATTTGCCAAATTCTTTACATCCTTTTCTTTCTGCCTCTTGCTTTCTCCTTAAAAATAATAATAATAATAATTCTATTACTCAATTTGGTAGCTAAATGTGAAAAAAAAAACAGGTAACTTTTTTATTATCACTTTGACAGCTACTTACCTTCCTTAAGAGGGCCAGTTTCAGCCGGGCGTGGTTGCTCAAACCTGTAATCCTGGCACTTTGGGCAGCCAAGGCAGGTGGATCACCTGAGGTCAGGAGTTAAAGACCAGCCTGGCCAACATGGCAAAACCCTATCTCTACTGAAAATACAAAAAAAAATGAGCAGGGCGTCATGGCGCGTGCCTGTAATCCCAGCTACTGGGGGGCTGAGGCAGGAGGATCGCTTAAACCCGGGAGGCGGAGGTTGCAGTGAGCTGAGATCATGCCACTGCACTCCAGCCTTTTTGAGACACAGCAAGACTGTCTCAAAAAAAAAAAGGCCAGTCAGTAACTTTGATCTATAAATATAATTATTGGGATTTCAGGTGGGTGGAGGAAGATTTTTAAAGCAAGAGCAGTTTTTCTTTTTATTTTGTAATGGGGTCTCGCCATGTTTCCCAGGCTGATCTCAAACTCCTGGCCTCAAGCAATCCTCCTGCCTCAGCCTCCCAAGTAGGGGGGGTTGCAGGCTCTAGTACTGCATCCAGCTCAAAAGATTACAATTCTGCAGTAAATCATAGTGTGACAGTAAGGTGTTGTATGTTTACAGTTGGACTGTTTCTCATGAGTACAGGCCCCTCCTTGTCTGCAGATGGGGAACCCGCAGATGTACAAGCCTAGATGCAAGGGACTTGAGCATCTGTGAATTTGGGTATCCTCGGGGGCTCCTGGAACCTGTTCCCCATGGATGCTCAGGGAGAACTGTGGCTCCTGGAACCAATTCCCCATGGATGCTCAGGGAGGACTGTGTTGCACAGTGGTCTTGCAACGCCTGTAAGGTCATAGTCATACTGTCCCTCTTCTCAGCTGTAAATGGGCTGGTAAAAGAATCTGTCTCATTAATGTGTTGAAAATTCAGTGAGATAACACAAAGCACTTGGTTCTCTTTCTTTACGTAAGAATTGCTTATTAAAACTGGAGTCGTAAATGTTATAATACTTAAACCTGTCTGTTGCCCCTTAAATGTAGAAGCTTCTAGACAATAGAAACTAAGTCATAAGTGATTTTTGTAGTCATCAGATGTGTGCTTTTAACCATTGAAATTATATGTAACAGTGTTTGCTTTTTCTGTTTGTTTCATTAGTCTCATATAATGGCAGCAAAGGCTGTAGCAAATACAATGAGAACATCACTTGGACCAAATGGTAAGAGTCCACCATTCCGTGTTTTTTAGCAAAAGATTTAAATTATAAAACTGTCAATATAAACCTCTCTACAGAAAGGTGGAGTATTGAGGGGAGGCATCTTACTTCCTTAACACAGCCAAAATTTTTTAGTGTATTTCAGGTTTCTTAAACATGGTTATAATCGTGTGCAATATTAGGTCGGACCTTTTTTTTTTTTTTTTTAGCATGTAACATCATTTCATTAGCATTTTCCAAATCATAGTTGTCTTTTGAGATTAACATTATACTTAATGATGCTCCATAATGTTTTGCCAATTATGTTAGCCAATCTAAAAATGCCTTCATGCAGCTACTATTTTGTGTATGTTGCATTATTTGTATATAATAAATTGCACAGATAAGAGCTGGGTCAGGAGGTCTTGTTTTATAGTTTGTGATATTGGTTGCCAGTTTTTTGCGCAAAGCCTACTAAACGTTGTTTTTTAGGGCTTGATAAGATGATGGTGGATAAGGATGGAGATGTGACTGTAACTAATGATGGGGCCACCATCTTAAGCATGATGGATGTTGATCATCAGATTGCCAAGCTGATGGTGGAACTGTCCAAGTCTCAGGATGATGAAATTGGAGATGGAACCACAGGAGTGGTTGGTAAGAAAAGACAAAACATCCTTTCTCATTTAAGAGACGTCATTTAAGACCACAGGGCTAACATGCCTGCTGAGATTGTTGTCTCTGAATCAGAGCATGAGGAGACAGACAAATCCAAGTTGAAAACATGCTACAAAACAAATGTCGGACTTTCAAAACTGACAGTGTTACAAAAGAACAGAAAGAGGGCTGGGGATTGTTAGGCATGGAGAAATGTGTAATGATTGATTGGACACTGATTTTGCTTGTCTTTTAAGCTATAAAGGATGTTTGGGAAACGTGGAAGAATTTGATTTTGGATCATGTACTGCAATGCTGAGTTTCCTGAGTGATCTGTGACCATTATATTGCAGATGTGTAGGAGAATGCCCTTCTTCTCAGCTGTATACCTAAATACTTAGGAGTGACATGTCATGGTTTCTGTAACTAATTCTCAAATAGTTGAACAGAAACAGTATGTACATGTAGAGAAAATGTGGCAAAATGTTAATAAGTAAACTGGTATTCGTTTTAGTATTGTACCTTTTTTTTCTGAAGATTTGAAATCTTTAAAAAGTTGGGGAGATTGAAGACAAAATATCAGTAAGGTTACCTTTTCTGCAGATGAAATTTGAATTCATTCAACAAATATTTATTGGATACTATTGTATGCCAAGCACTGTTCTCGGTGCGCTTGGAGAGCTGTAGATTTAAACAAAATTCATCTTTGCGACCCTAAAATGAGGAGAAAGGAGGATGGGGGTGGGGGGAATAAATAATAAACACGTTTTAGTCTCATCACCAGGCTGAATTTCACTGAGTAGACCCTGGCCCAGGAAACATAATAGCTTTTTACCTCTTAGAAAAATGTTCTTTTTACATTATATTCTTTAGTTACGTTCTTCACATCACTGAGGGTTGAATGTTCATCTGTAAGGGGACACATGTCCTATTCGACCTTCGCTAGAACTAAAACGAGGCTTTCTTTTAAAAATAGAGGGCTTCTGCCTCTAAGATGACTTGCAGCTTAATTCTAGAAGCTGCTTCTTTCCATGATAGCATCTAACTTGTGCTGATTATACTAAAAGTGAAGTTTTGTTGTTTGCCTGAACTGATTGTCTGCTGGCTTATTTGCAGTCCTGGCTGGTGCCTTGTTAGAAGAAGCGGAGCAATTGCTAGACCGAGGCATTCACCCAATCAGAATAGCCGATGGCTATGAGCAGGCTGCTCGTGTTGCTATTGAACACCTGGACAAGATCAGCGATAGCGTCCTTGTTGACATAAAGGACACCGAACCCCTGATTCAGACAGCAAAAACCACGCTGGGCTCCAAAGTGTACGTTTCAGTAGATGATATGATTACCCATTTGTAGAGGAGGCAGTTTGTTTGCCATTTCTTAAAGGCAACACAAAATGACCACTGGTGGATTTGTATCGATTTGATTATTTGTTTTGATTACTTGGTTTTGCTTTGTTTTTAATGTAGATGTAGACAGATGCATTTTGTATTTAAGTTGAGAACTGAATTTCTAAGTTCAGGTATAAATCCCCTTGACAATATTTGCAAAATATAGTTATTTTAATTTAGCAGAATAGGTTGTGTTAAAAATCAGCTAAGGCTGGATGCAGTGGCTCATACTTGTAATCTCAGCACTTTAGGAGGCCAAAGCAGTAGCTTGCTTGAGCTCAGGAATTGAAGACCAGCCAGGGCAATGTAGTGGGACCCCATCGCTACAAAACAAAAAACTAGCCAGGCATGGTAGCACACACTTCAGCAACTCCAGAGGCTGAGGTGAGAGGTCGAGGCTGCAGCAAGCCATGATCATGCCACTGCACTCCAGCTTGAGCAACAGAGCGAGACCCTGTCTCAAAAAAAAAAAAAAGTCAACTAGAAAGGGTCCTACCTGGAGGATATGTGAATTTTCTTAACACTTCTTTCTATAATTTCTTTGCTGGGGAGCCATTGGGGGTGGGTTCCACTTTTTATTCAGCAAATTGCCGATCCAAAATTATAATTTAGTAAAGAGAGTCTTGAAAGCGACTTGTCTCTGGTGTTTTCAGCGTTCGTGTAATGTCCGTTTGCCAGGCTTACTGCCAGGTCTTATGGGCACTAAGACACAGCTCTTCTCCCAGGAGACTCTAAGCAACCTCAGCCAAGGGGTGCGCTGATTATGTACAATGCCAAAGACTTAAGGTCTGTTGCCGTAATATAACATAAAAATCCAGTGTAAGCTGCTTTATTACATTATATTAAATCAGTGAGAGATGTTTTCAATTGTGTGCTTGTGGTGGTTTTAGCAAAAAGGAATGAGGGATCTTCTAAACTCAGAGTAGTCAGGGAAAATGCAGGAAAAGTGTCTGCTTCTGTTGCCTTTTCCCCTGAGCAAAGCCTATGTTAGAGCAGAAGCCTTCAGCAATGCCTGCTGTCCTCCTCTAACCACAGATCTCAGCAGAGACTAGCTCCCTAGGCAAGAGTGAGTACCCTAGGGGTAGCCTCTTGTCACAAGTATAACACTTATTTTCTCATGAAAGGAGGACATCATCATTACTTGAAGTGTACAAATCAGTTTTCTTGTTGCTTTATAAGTTGGCCTTGTTCTGTTTGCAAGTATTAAGTCATCTACTTAAGATACAACATGTTTACTTTCATGGTTCTCTTTTATAGATAACCTGTGATTTCAGACATTATTTCAAGTGCTAGGTTTCCCTAGTTGTTTTTCTTGGCTCAAAAATTAATTTATTGAACTGTCTATTCACATGTTTCAAAGCTTTCAAAAAGGTAACACCCTCCATCTATAATGGATGTTGTGGTGAATTCTTGGAAAGTTTAAATGCCCTGTCCAGTCCTTTCAGTTCCTGGTTAGTGCTACACTTCATTGAGATAAGAGTGACTCTTCCTGAGTGATTACTTACCTTTCCCATTCTGTTCTGAACTTGTAAAATAGTAACAGTATTCTGTAAAAGTGCTGCATTCTAAGAAGACCTTAATTCATGCCAGACTACAGTGGTTTCTTGAGTACATTCATAATGGAAGGAAATAGTAAATTTCAGAGTTAGCGAAAATAAAGATGTAATTTTTTCCTATCTAAGTATACAGTCCCCTTTAGGGCCCATGGATCACAGGTTAAGAATCTGCCCCAGACTGTTGAAAATGCAGGTTGAGATGGCATTCCCCTCTAGAAGACTCAAAACATCGTTTGATTTATATCTTTGAGTAACATTGTGTTATGTGGCCTGCTTTGGTTGCAGTAATTGTGAAACCAATGAAGTTTGTTTTGTGGTGTTTTCCTCAGGGTCAACAGTTGTCACCGACAGATGGCTGAGATTGCTGTGAATGCCGTCCTCACTGTAGCAGATATGGAGCGGAGAGACGTTGACTTTGAGCTTATCAAAGTAGAAGGCAAAGTGGGCGGCAGGCTGGAGGACACTAAACTGATTAAGGGCGTGATTGTGGACAAGGATTTCAGTCACCCACAGATGCCAAAAGTGAGCCATTGCATCTCACAGCTTCGCACTGTTGGTTAACTCTTAATTCCACCAATTAAAATGTCTTTATGTTCCCCCATAGAAAGTGGAAGATGCGAAGATTGCAATTCTCACATGTCCATTTGAACCACCCAAACCAAAAACAAAGCATAAGCTGGATGTGACCTCTGTCGAAGATTATAAAGCCCTTCAGAAATACGAAAAGGAGAAATTTGAAGAGATGATTCAACAAGTAAGTCTTACCAGAGTCCTCAGTGGAATTTAAACTCCCAAAGGGTACAGTTAGTTAGGTTTGGTTAGTAAATATGTGTAGTCTTTCTTCAGTTCTAAAACATACACAGGAAAAAACCAAATTGCATAGAAAGGCATAAACAGGGAAGAATTCTAATTTTGTCTTAAAATGGTAGCGTGTTCAGGCCAGGTGCAGTGGCCATGCCTATAATCCCAGCACTTTGGGAGGCTAAGGCAGGCAGATCGTGAGATCATCGAGACCATCTGACTAACACGGTGAAACGCCATTTCTACTAAAAACACAAAAAATTAGCCAGGCATGGTGGCAGGCACCTATAGTCCTAGCTACTCAGGAGGCTGAGACAGGAGAATCGCTTGAACCCAGGAGGCAGAGGTTGCAGTGAGCTGAGCTTGCACCACTACACTCCAGCCTGGGCGACAGAGCAAGACTCTGTCTCAAAAAAAATGGTAGTGTGTTCAGGGTCCTGAAAGAAGTGACCCTGTTACCTAAAGCCGTGCTTTCAATTGTACATATTATATTTGCCGTCCTGGACAAATTTAACTTAGCTTACCTTGCCTTTAAGATTTCTGACTATACCTTTTAGGCAAGAGTTAATGAGTAACTGGAGTTAAACCAGAATGCACTCATAGTAATCCCAGTTCTTTGCTCAGTTAAGTCTAGTTTGGGTTCATGAATACCTTAGCGTAGGTGTGCTTTCTCTCTGACATAGCAACTCCTCTTTGGGGGCTGCGTCCTTGGGAGTTGAAAACACCAGTACTCAAGAAGACAGGAACGTGGGTTGGTTAGGGTATTATTTATCATAGCAAACCAACTAGAGACTATTTTCATGTCTGTTCTTGGGAAAGTTGTTGAATGTACTCATTGATGATACGGTTCTTGGTGCCTACGACATACCAGGCTCTGTTGTAGGCACTAAAGGTACAGCAGGGAATGAAGCCAAGCTCGTGCTCTTGAGACACAGATAAGAGAAAGGTGGGTACAGCTCCATTACAGACACTGGTCAGAGAGGTGACCTGTAAGGAGAGGCCAACATAGGGTGAGAGCAGTGCCCCTGGGGGAGGAGCATTCCAGGCTGAGGACAGATGGGGATGCTCCTGAGCCAGGAACATTGTTGGCTTGTACAAGGAAGAGCCAGCCTCAGGGATTGAAGCATGCTGGCGGGAGCTTATAAATAAAAGGCCATCATCTGGGCCGGTGGGACAGTTTTCATGAGAATGGTGCCTCAGCTGTGCTGGGGGGCCACAGATAAATTGAGAGGCCAGGGATGTTACTGGATCGTGCTGGTGAGGCGCAGGTTGCTGAGAATGAGAAGGGAATGACGATGGGGCTAGATAGTAAAATGTTAAAGAATGAGAGGCAGGGACCCAAAGAGGAACACTGCAGGTGACTGAGGAGCAAGAAGGACCCTCTCCTGTTCTGAGCATGTGAGAGGGAAAGCAGCTGCCATCTGAGGAGGGTTGCAGGGGCAGGTTGGTTTTCCGGGGTTGTGACGGAGAGATTGTATAAGGAGGCTGCTGTTCTGGACTGAGTTCCAGAGGGTCAGGGAAGGAAGAGAGGGAGAGCCAGGCAGTAGCAGGTAGCCTGGGAGGCCTGATGGAGACAGGTAAGCCAGAGTTGTGGGGCACGGTGTGGCAGTCCCAGGTGAGCACCAGAGGTGGGGTGGGCAGCCTGATCGTTGCCCTCCTAATTGGGAAAAGTGACTTTGCCATTTGCAGGTCGGGGTGAGGGTGCTTCTTACTGGAAGCAGGGTTGCCTCTGTGAGTGCCCGAATTAGTTTATGGATCCACTGAGGATTGTCCACTCAGGTGAGACAGTCAAGTTGCAAGTGGTTCATAACATTGTTTGTTTAAAACATACTCAGGTGAAACTACTCTGTAGGTGTTTGTGACAGGACAGAGCTGTTAGCCATTTCCCCATGGTTGGGGAAGGGTGTTAGCTTTGTTGACGTTTCTGTGGGTTTTGCCTCACTGTAACAATAGGGTTCAGCAGAATTACTGCTTGTGGTTTTTAAAGCATAAACAATGAGGTGATCCCCATTGATAAAATATTCACTATTTAGAATTTGGAACTGACAGAAAAGTGGACACTTGTCTATTTCCTTCCTTCTCTTTCCTTTGCTTTTGTGTTTGAGTGCACCTGCCTTACACCCAACTGTGCCTCTCCTTTTTTCAAACATTGTAATGAAGAATAAATACCCACTTTCTCTTAATACGATTGTGGTGGTTCTTTTCCCAGATTAAAGAGACTGGTGCTAACCTAGCAATTTGTCAGTGGGGCTTTGATGATGAAGCAAATCACTTACTTCTTCAGAACAACTTGCCTGCGGTTCGCTGGGTAGGAGGACCTGAAATTGAGGTAGGATGTTCCACGTGAAGAGACTTTGAGAAGTAGGGGTTCATCTTATGTGTTGAGGGGTGTTTTGATAGCCCTGCCTTAAATAACTGCATCACACCAAGGCTGGCAGATGAGGGGAGGGTGAGCTGGGAGAGAGGAAAGCGCTGGAATCTTTGTTACTGTTTGGATAACAGTGCTGTGTGTTTCTGGTGTTCCCTGGCATTTTGAAATTCTCTCCCTGTGTTGTCTCACTTGGCCCTGTCGTTGACTTACTAAGGCTGGAAGACCTGGTCTCATCCAAATACTAATGGCAGTCCCAGGCAACGGTGCCTCGGTGGTTCTCACTGCAGCGCAGTGCAAGGAACATGCAGGCTGGGTTCCCAGAGTGAGGGAGGGCTGCACAGATGGGAGATGAGGGTATGAGCTTAGGGGACGGGCGCCGGGTGATAGATCTGGGCAGCACCAAAGCCCCAATCAAGACGTCCAGCTCAAGAGCCTTGTTACCTAGCAAGGTGCTTTGGGTTGAACTGGAGATGTCTCGGTCAAAGTGGGGCAGCAGTTCTAGTGAACAAGTTGGTCTTAGATCAAGTTTTGCTCATTTGTGGCCCAGTTTTGAAAGTTAACTTCACCAGTACTGTCTTCATCCTTCTCCCTGACCACCCCAATTAGCTGATTGCCATCGCAACAGGAGGGCGGATCGTCCCCAGGTTCTCAGAGCTCACAGCCGAGAAGCTGGGCTTTGCTGGTCTTGTACAGGAGATCTCATTTGGGACAACTAAGGATAAAATGCTGGTCATCGAGCAGTGTAAGAACTCCAGAGCTGTAACCATTTTTATTAGAGGAGGAAATAAGATGGTGAGAATTCAACTATTTGTCCTATACTGTTGCTTATTTTGCTTCATGGTCTGGCTTTTTTGCCTGTGTGTATTTAACAGAGACACAGTCACCATAAGAAAAATAATCGTGGTTCTCAAACAATGACGTATCATGGTGTAAAATTACTGAAGACCATGTTAAATTGTTAATTTCACAAGGCACATTTGCCTTTCTGCTGTCCCTTAGAGTATACAATATACACTATGAGATTTTTATATCTTTTTAAATACTTAAACACAGTTTAAATATTCAAGTCCTGGATTTTAGAATGTTTGATACAGTTACATTAGGGGTTGGTTAAACTGCTAGCCCTAGCAACATAAGACTCATTTTAATTACAATATGGTATTATTACCAAGGATGACTTACATCTGTCCCTTAGGTAGAAAAAGGGAACCCAAGTGAATAACCATTGACGATCTCTGTTCTTTGAGAATGAGTTTTTAGCACATTGTGATAAATCTTTGCGAGTTTTGTCAGTTTTTGACTCTTGCTTGACCGTGTATCCTAGAATGAGTCACTGGCCGCCTCTGCCTCTTGAATTTTGTTAACTACATTGCAGGAAGGAAAGCTAGAAAGATAAATATTATCCGATAGTGGAGGCCATCTAAATATTAGAGCACAGCCTCTCTGTCTTTAAAAAGGTGCCAGATACTTGGCTCTAAATTGACTAGATCTTGATCACATTAATTCAGGCAAAGCTGTTTTCCTTAGATCATTGAGGAGGCGAAACGATCCCTTCACGATGCTTTGTGTGTCATCCGGAACCTCATCCGCGATAATCGTGTGGTGTATGGAGGAGGGGCTGCTGAGATATCCTGTGCCCTGGCAGTTAGCCAAGAGGCGGATAAGGTAAGGGATCTGTGCAGACTTAGTGAAAGATTCAGGCCTCGCTGATGGTGGAGACTGTGAAGCTGCGGAACAGCGAGGTGCTGGATGCAAAACAAGCATCGTGAGCTGTGTGTAGGTGACAGGTGTTTTAATCTAAGTTAATTCCCACGTTCCTGTATTCAGATTCTGGTTACCATAACCTAGCATTTCTCAGCTGTTTTCAGCCAGTTCGTCCTTGAAATAATAAATCTATAGTCTTTTAATGTTATTTGAAATTCAAAATTAATATTATAACTTAAAAATAAAGCCATAAGAGCTGCTGTATTTTGAGACATCTCTCACATGTATGTATACCCTCTGCCTGTATTCTGTGGTGACATTATAATATTCTGATAGATACAAAAATAAAGACAGCCTGTTCTTACAATTCTTTGTGAGCTGACTTTTCAAAGTATGTGATACAGTTGTGTTTTCACGGTGCCGCTGGGTTGTTTTGTTTCGCCAAGTGCACTCACCATACTTCTGTACCTTTCCAGTGCCCCACCTTAGAACAGTATGCCATGAGAGCGTTTGCCGACGCACTGGAGGTCATCCCCATGGCCCTCTCTGAAAACAGTGGCATGAATCCCATCCAGACTATGACCGAAGTCCGAGCCAGACAGGTGAAGGAGATGAACCCTGCTCTTGGCATCGACTGTTTGCACAAGGGGACAAATGGTGAGGAGCTGTCACGCCTCTGCGTGGAGGGGGGGGGATGTCTGATTTAAACTGAATAATCATCCACTGTATGTGCTGTGAGATGATGGTGTCTTTTTAAATATGTAAGCCCACTTCAGGTGTTCAAGTCCTGAATTTTAGAATGTTTGATTGCCGTAGGAATTGGTTAGACTACTAGACCTAGCAACATGAGACTCATTGTAATAACAGTAAAGTGCATATGGTACTATCACCAAAGATGACTTAGGTTTTAATCTCTGGTTTTTGGGAAGTAATGCCTTATTGCTGTTTTTACACAGATGTCTGTCAGTGGGCAGCATATATATAACAGCTCTGAAGTGGGCTTTAGTTCACAGTTCACTGTGTGGTTAATCCTGCACACTGTGGAGTGTTTTCTAAATGTAATATATAACCTCTGTAGCCACTTGTGTAGCTCGGCTCCCAAAAAGATATGGTGGCTGTAGCTTGTTGAAACAGTGGTCTCAGGCATTTCTGTACTAAATCAGGCCATGTCTGTAATCCATCCACAGAATGACAGCTTTTGCTTAAAGGTATAGGTACATTCTGCTTTCCATGCTCAAATTCCAAGGGTTTCAATAGTAGCAACTCTTTGTGAGGCAAACATTTAATGTTTCTAACTTGAATGCCTGGTTGTGCTCAAATTTAGCATTTCTAGGGCCGGGCGCAGTGACTCATGTCTGTAATCCCAGCACTTTAGGAGGCCAAGCCGGGTGGATCACCTGAGGTCAGGAGTTTGACACCAGCCTGACCAACATGGTGAAACACCATCTCTACAAAAAATACAAAATTAGCCAGGCCTGGTCAGGGCAGGCACCTGTAATCCCAGCTACTCGGGAGGCTGAGGCAGGAGAATCGCTTGAACCCGGGACGCAGAGGTTCCAGTGAGCTGAGATCGCACTGTTGTATTCCAGCCTGGGTGACACCTGTCTCCAAAAAAAAAATTAGCATTTCTAGATCTTTCTTGGAAATATCTTACATTTCAGCTGTGGTCAGATGGACTTACTTTAGATTTCCTAAGTTAGGGTATGGATACTTTGTGGGATAAGATGTTCCTGAAAAATGTCACCCTGTAGCTAGTCATTGAAGACAGTGCCCTCCCAACAGCTCTCTTTACCAGGTGCGAGTTCCAGAGTGTCCTTGGAAGTAATGAAATTACATTCATCTGAAAATGAAATATAACTGAAATTAGTGGCTTCCTGCTTGGCTTCCAGGAGTTTGTATTTCTTAAGTCTTACTGTGATTCCCTAAATCAGAAAGAGTTGGTTATTGATAGTTTATTGTATGCTATTTTAGGATAATCAGTGTCCTTGTATTTTTCAGATATGAAGCAACAGCATGTCATAGAAACCTTGATTGGCAAAAAGCAACAGATATCTCTTGCAACACAAATGGTTAGAATGATTTTGAAGATTGATGACATTCGTAAGCCTGGAGAATCTGAAGAATGAAGACATTGAGAAAACTATGTAGCAAGATCCACTTCTGTGATTAAGTAAATGGATGTCTCGTGATGCATCTACAGTTATTTATTGTTACATCCTTTTCCAGACACTGTAGATGCTATAATAAAAATAGCTGTTTGGTAACCATAGTTTCACTTGTTCAAAGCTGTGTAATCGTGGGGGTACCATCTCAACTGCTTTTGTATTCATTGTATTAAAAGAATCTGTTTAAACAACCTTTATCTTCTCTTCGGGTTTAAGAAACGTTTATTGTAACAGTAATTAAATGCTGCCTTAATTGAAGGGGTTTGGGTGGATTTTTTTTTCTCAAAATAAGCTGTAGGGACTATTTTAACAGCTTAAACAGGAGCTCTCAAGATGCACTTTCATATTGAGAGGAATATGGGCTTGATCCTCTTCCTATCTAAATGGGTGGGCCATTTGATTGTAGAGGGTCCACCACAGAATTATGGGATGCCTTAAGTGCTGTTACTAGGTTGCTCACAGCCTAACCTGGCGTGTTGTTTAGGGCTGATGGAGACCCATGTGAGCCTTTGCTTTCCTCTGGCCCCGGCCCCACCCTGAACACAGCTCATACACAGAATCAGGACCAGCATGTGCAGAGCTGGCCACCAGCACAGGCTTAGGGCAGTTCAGAACCCACTTGTTTCCCTATCAGAGGGACACAGTGAAGTGGAGGTTAAAGTAAATTACAGGAAATAAGGGAGAAATCTTGCAGTTACCATGTTCAGATAGAGTGACTGAAATTAATTGTACTTACTAAAGTATTAACTAGCTAACAGTGATGGGCCAAGACGCTCCGAGAACTCTACCGGGATTGTCTGTTCTGACAACCCAGTGAGGCAGATACACTTTCTTACTGCTCACATCTTACAGGTGAGTACTCATAATTGGCCAGCATCTCACCACCAGCAAGTAGTAGGGCCAGGTCAATCCCAGGCAGTCTGACCCCAGAGTGGCCCAGCTCATCCCCTACTCTGTTATTTGCTTGTTAATGATTCTCTAGATTTTCTAAAATAATGTTTCTTAGCATTGTGATGATAAAGCTCATGATGAACTTTATCACTAGTTATGCCACCTTAACTAGTCAGATTTCCTAGAATTAGGAAATGGTGACTCTTGTCTAAATTTGGTTAAGTGATGAATTTGGGTTACCGTCTCATGTGAACCTGGAGATTCACCAGTCTTAACTTTTGGGTCATTGTGTTTTCTCTACATTCATGCATTGGATGTTTTGCTAAATAACTCCTGTGGATTTAGGAATGTGTGCTAATAGCAATCTTCCTAATTTTCATGTTTATATGGAACTATGCAGTTGAGTATTGAAAGCTTTAAACTGAGTTTATTTACAAGGACTGAGTCTAGCCTACAGAGAACATACAGCAGCCTTCTTTGGACCACAGTCTTATCCGAGGGGTCTGTGGTTGTATCAGAAGAGCCACTAAACCAATCCCCCTTTCCAAAATTGAACCTCACAGACGTTCCTGTTTTTTGTGATTGAGAAACTGGTCAATGAACAGGAAGACTTAGAGATGTTTCACAAGCCTTTGATTTTTGTTTCATTTATTTGTAATAAACCTCTTCCACGTGATGTCTTTTATTTTTCACGTTCCAGATCACTCAAGTTTTATTTTGCTGGTACTTTGGCCACACCCTCTCCTTCCCCATGTGGAGCAAAAGCAACTTAGGGTGCTTGACCCAAAGGCTAGATTCCCATGTAAGTCCCCATGTATTACTGCTGGTTCCCGATTTCTACACCTGCTAGATTCATTGGAGGTTTGTTAAATGTCCTGTTTTTAATTTCAGCCTACTCAATTTCTATGTGGGGGCAGTTCCAGGATGTCCTGTAGGTGCCAGATTTCATGGACGCTCAAGTCCCTGATAAAAATCGTGGTATTTGCATATAACATACATCCTCCTGTATACTTTAAATCATCTCTATTATTCATAATATCTAATATAAATGATATGTAAGTGTCATACTGTATTTAGGGAGTAATGACAAGAAAAAATCTACATGTTCAGTACAGATGCAATTTTTTTCTCTGAATGTTCTCAACCTGAGGTTGGTTGAATTCAGATGAGGGTCAACTCTGCAAGCAGCCGCTGTGAGGCACAAATGTCACAGGGAGGGCTAAGAGGCCCATCTCTCTGTTACATTGGACTGAATTTCTTGACTCTCATTTTCTTTCTCTAGGTGAAACAGCTCCAACAGATTGAGGGTTGGGGGGTGTGGCCAGAGGAAGGTGACACGGTAGTAACTGACTAATCAGTAATTTGTAAGCATGGAGAAGTTTCTCCAACCTAGGTGTTCCTTGCAGGCAGTCTTGGCAGAATGGGGTCATCTAAAAGCACCAGAAAAGTGGGGACCAAAGGCAAATGGCCGAGAAAGTGTTGAAGGGCAGGAAAAGTGGGGAAAACACGACAAGGTAGTAAAAATATAAATGTGTGTGCCCTATCACTGCTCTAAATGGTTTATGTACATTAAAACTGGTTTTCAAAGTCTGCTCCATGGATCCCTCGGGGTCCTGGGTCTTTCCAAGGGGCCTATGAGTCAAATGTATTTTCCTACACTGAAGTTACTGCCCTTTTCACTGTGTTGACTTTTGCACTGATGGTGCAAAAGCAGTGACCATTAAAACCACACCTTAGTGTGAGTCAGGTAGTGGCACCATACACTTTCAAAAAGAAAATCATCTTTTTGGCCAGGTGCAGTGGCTCGCACCTGTAATCCCAGCACTTTGGGAGGCTGAGGCAAGAGGAGTCGCTCTAGCCCAGGAGTCAGAGACCAGCCTGGGCAACATACACCCTGTCTCTACCAAAAATAAGTTAGTTGGGCCTGATGGCATGCTTATATGGTCCCAGCTACTTGGGAGGCTGAAGTGGGAAGATCCTTTTGAGCCCAGGAGGTTGAGGGTGCAGTGAGCCATGGTCACACCACTGCAATCCAGCCTGGATGACAGAGCGAGACTCTTTCTCAATAATAAAGTATGAATCTTTGACATTGCATAATGAAATGTGTCAACAACCGGAAGATCTGCTCACTAGACCAATATTTGCCAAATATGCATATGATGTTACAGCATCATGCATAGGTACCAGACCTTTTCAAGATGCAAGATGGACCAGTGTGACAGAAGAAAGTGTATTCAGTCTATCACTTGTTGGGTTTTGGTGCAATATCGAAGAATATCCAGTTTTGTGAAAGGCAATTAAAATACTTCTCCCTTGTCCAACTACATATCTGTGTGTGGCCAGATCTTCATATTCCAGAACATGCTGTGGCCAGACACAGTGGTTCATGCCTGTAACCCAAGCACTTTGGGAGGCTGAGGCAGGAGTATCGCTTGAGCCTAGGAGTTCGAGACCAGCCTGGGCAACAAAGTGAGACTCTGTCTCTACACAAAAAAAATTGTTTAATTAGCAGGGCATGGTGATGTGTGCCTGCAGTCTTACCTACTTGGGAAGCTGAGAAAGGAGGATCCCTCGAGCCCAGGGGGTTAAGCTGCAGTGAGCCATGACCATGCTGTTACTGGCGTTGAATCTGCACAGGTCTGCAACAGCCTCAATTCTCGCCTCCTCAGAAGAAAGAATTCGGCTGAGGGGCATAACGCAGGAGAGACCAAGGCAAGTTTTAGAGCAGGAGTGAAAGTTTGTTAGAAAGCTTTAGGCCAGGCGCGGTGGCTCACGCCTGTAATCCTAGCACTTTGGGAGGCCAAGGTGGGCAGATCACTTGAGGTCAGAAGTTTGAAACCAGCCTGGCCAACGTGGTGAAACCCCGTCTCTACTAAAAACACAAAAACATTAGCCGGGCATAGTGGCAGGAGCCTGTAACCCCAGCTACTCAGGAGGCTGAGGCAAGAGAATCGCTTGAACCAGGGAGGCGGAGGTTGCAGTGAGCCGAGATCACGTCACTACACCCCAGCCTGGGTGACACAGCAAGACTCCGTCTCAAAAACCAAAAATAAAAACAAAAAGCTTTAGAGCAGGAATGAAAGAAAAGTACACTTGGAAGAGGGCCAAGCGGGCAACGAGAGATCCAATGCAGGGTTGGGCCTTTCAACTTGGGGTTTTATATGTTGGCGTACTTCCAGGGTCTTGGGTTACTTCTCCCGATTACACCCCAGGCATGGGCTGTCGCATACACAGTGGCCTGCCAGCACTTGGGAGAGGAGCAGGGCAGTGTGTTTACTGGAGTTCTACACATGCTCACTTGAGGCCTTCTTCCCTTACCAGTCTAGCATTCCAGTTAGATGACGCCATTTTGCCTCTTAATGCGCATGCTTGAGCCCACCTGTCCAACTCCTGAGATGTTGTCAGGAAGCTGCTCATCACCAGTTTCAGGTGTTTTCTATCTATTGGGAGACTGCCCTTCCCAGGCACCGGCTGTGACCAATTGTTATTTTAGGGAGACAGTTAACAACCGCCTGACCATCACCTGAGGGTCAGCTGGCATCACCTGAGGGGGCAAAGGGTTAGGGGCCACTCTTTCTGCCCTGCTCATGCCTGACTAGCTACCTACTGTTAACAGTGTCACTGCATTCCAGCCTGGTCAACAGGGTGAGACCCTGACTCAAAAAAAAAAAAAGTGTAAAAGAATCCTAAAACCAAAACATTTGATCCTCATCATAATCCTAGTCATTGACAAGTCCAAGAGACACTGCATAATTTGAATGGACCACTCCCTTATGGAAATAAACTTTTTAACTTTATATAGTTTTCAGTATAAGCAGCTGAAAATGTGCACTTAGCAGGATGTCTTATTTATCACATGATCTTGACGCCTACTGCAAAGACGCAACTGAAGCCAGCAGTGTGGTCTTTCAGCTCCTCGGCTCCCACTTCGTTTGCAGCAGTTCATCGTCCCTCACCTCCTGTGAGAGGCAGAATTCTAAACCTGTGCTCCCAAGAGCCCATCTGGTTATTCCTTCAGGCACTGATCTAGATACTGTGAGAAGGGACTTCACGGATTTCATTAAGGTTACCAATCAGCTGACCTTAAAAGAGGGCAATTATCCAGGTGGTTCCAATGCAGTCACACAAGCCCACAGGGGCTCACAGATAAAGGTGAAAGATACAGCAGGAGACTCAAGAGATGGCGGCCTTGGCAAGGTGCGGGCGCCCACACCTGTAATCCCAGCACTTAGGAAGGCCGAGGCAAGTTGATCACCTGAGGACAGGAGTTCAAGACCAGCCTGGCCAACATGGCAAAACCCTGGCTCTACTCAAAATGCAAAAATTATCCGGGCATGGTGGCAAGTGCCTGTAATCCCAGTTACTCAGAGGCTGAGGCAGGAGCATCACTTGAACCCTGGAGGCGGAGGTTGCTGTGAGCTGAGATCACACCACTGCCTGGGTGACAGAGGGAGACTCTGTCTCAAAAAAAAAAAAAAAAAAAAAAGAACACCCTGAGGATTCCACATGCCATTGCTGGCTCTGAGATACAGGGACCATGTGCAAGGACTGGAAGCTCTGGGAACTAAGTGTGGCCTCCAGCTGACAGCCAGAGAGAAAACAGGAACCCTGATACTACAGTCGCAAGAAACTGAATTCTGCCAAAAACTCAAATACACTTGGAAGAGGCTTTTTCCCAGAGCCTCCTGACAGGAACCCAGTGAACCAACACCTTAATTTTGGCCTTGTGAATCCCACAGCAGAGCAACCAGCCAAGGCTTCTGATCTACATAACTGTAAAGATATAAATTTGTGTGGTTTAAGTTGCTATGTTTGTGAAAATTTGTCACAGCAGCAATCGGAAACGCATATGCTTCTGTCTTGCCTCAGTGGGGGAGGGGAGAGGGAAGGGTATCTTCCTCCTGCCCGAGACAATTCCAATGTCCCATTGATTCCATCTCTCAGAGCTTGTTTCTCATTTCTGCATCTGAGATTGTCTTTAGTGCTCCTCAGGATGCGTTCTGGACTTATAGTAGGATTGCACTGCCCAGATTCCTTGTGGTTGGATGGGGTTCTGTGACTAGTGAGGGTCTCAGAATACAACACCCCAAAATGAAGGCTTCAGAAGCAGCTCTCTCTGACCTCCTTCCCTCCTGTTTCTGGCCCTTCATTCTGCCCTGAAGCTGAAAACCAGAATCCCTCTTCCCCTAGGTGGTCATAGAAACCAGAACCTCTTTCCCTCAAAGCCAGCCACAAAACCTAAAACTATTACTCTAAAACCACCCCCTGTTGCCACTTCCCTGTAAAAACTGGCCATAAAGAAATTATCTGACCTATCTTGTTTGCCCGTAATTCATAAGACCCCCATTCCAGAGAGGGTCCTGTCTGATAACCAGAAGGAAGAAATGCTGCCCTGAGAGGCCAAGAAGAGTCTCACCAGGCCTTGCTGGGGCCCCCACTCAGTCCACTGGCATTAGATCAGACCCTTTTTCTCCAACCGTATTTCCACGTGCTGCCCACACTTTGTTGAACCTAAGCAAAAAAATGGACAGTTTTGTGGCTCATGACTGTAATTCCAGCACTTTGGGAGGCTGAGGTGGGAGGATCACTGGAGCCCAGGAACTCCAGCCAATCTGGGTAACATAGTGAGAGTTCATCTCTACAAAAAACTTAACCGGGTGTGGTGGCACGCACTTGCAGTCCCAGCAACTTGAAAGGCTGAGGCTGGAGGATTGCTTGAGTCCAGGAGTTGGAGGCTGCAGTGAGCCATGATCACACCACCGCACTGCAGCCTGGGTGACAAAGCGAGACCCTGTCTCTAAAACAACCAATCAGTAAAGGACAATTTCCCCTGTGTCTTTGGGTCATCGTTCTGATGGCTCCCATGTCACATAAAACTATGATCAAATAAATTTGTATGCCTTTTTTCCTATTAATCTGCCTCTTGTCAGTGACTTTCAGAGGGTGATACGGAAGTTTTCCCTTAACCCCTACGCTAGTACAGTCCAGCGTCTGTGGCAGCAGTATGATTTCCAGGTTAGAGCATGTACATGCCAAGGCAAGACCCTTCAAGGCTCACTCTTCTGAGCACACAGCACAGTGCACTATTCAAGGCAGTGGCTGCCCCATCCGCTGAGGCTCCCCAGAGGTGAAGATGATGTAAGTCCTCTGGCAACACGCAAGGGACATGGAACATGGTAAGAATCCAGCTCTTTGCTGGTTTAGACCCTGAGAATAGGCTCCTCCTGTCTGTAAATCTCTCTTACCTACACACACAGCCTCCCCTCCTCTGTTAGCACTTTCCAGCATGAATCTCACCTTAAAAAGCAAAAACCAGCCGGGTGCAGTGGCTCACACCTGTAATCCTACCACTTTGAGAGACTGAGGCAGGAGGATCACTTGAGTTCAGGAGTTCGATACCAGCCTGGGCAACACAGTGTGACTCTGTCTCTTAAAAAAAAAAAAAAAAAAAAAAAAAAAAGCCAGGTGTGGTGGTATGTACCTGTAGTCCCTGCTACTCAGGAGGCTGAGGAGGGAGGTTTGCTTGGGCCTGGGAGACAGAGGTTGCAGTGAGTGGTGATTGGAATACCGCACTCCAGCCTGGGCAACACAGCCAGATCCTGTCTCAACAAAAAAAAAAAAAAGAAAAAAAACCAAAGCATAGGAAAACAAAACCCTTCAATTGTGTCCCCTGGAGCCATCTCTTCCTGTTCACTCCGTTACTCTGCAGCACTGTTGTCAGCCCCGCTTCCTCTCCTGCCTTCCACCTTCTGCTCCCTCCACCCACAGCGATGGTCTGTGGACCCCACCCTGCATAGAAACCACTCGTGCTGCAATCACTGTGTCCTTCTGCTGCAAATCCCTGGGGTGCTCTCTGAGTTGGAGTCCTCTTTCTCACACACACAACCTTTTCCTGTCTTTTTTTTAAAAAAATTCTCTTCCTTTGTGAAGCTCCTCTGGTGACTTTCCTGGAGCTCTGCCCTCTAGTTGCTCCTACATCCCTGGCTGCTCCCCACCTCTGGCCGTCCCCCTCTGCGGTTGCCACTTAATATGCATTCAGGGAGAACTACCCTGGGTCCACCAGCATTTACTCAAGGGTGAGGCATGCTGATGACACTTCACCTACTGTTACCAGTGTGAATCTGAAGGGTCTACATCAAATCAAATCCTTGCCTCCTCGAATGAAAGAATTCAGCTGCGGGTCGTAAGGCAGAGGGACAGACTGAGGCAAGTTTTAAAGGAGGAGTGAGAGTTTATCAAAAAGTTTTAGAGCAAGAACGAAAGGAAGCAAAGTACACTTGGAAGAGGGCCAAGTGCCCTGTTTGGTCTGTGACTTGGGGTTTTATACGCTGGCATGGTTCCGAGGTTTGCATTTCTTTTCCCTTCCAAGGGAAAACTCCCACCAAGTCTCTCCCATGACACGTGGGGATTATGGGAACTACAATTCAAGATGAGATTTGAGTGAGGACACAGCCAAACCACATCAGTCAGGCTCACATCTCTGCTTCCTGTTACTGTGCTCCTTCCCTCTCCAGAGGGGCCGAACTTTAATCTTTCTAAAATGCAAATACCATTGATAAGTTCTGCTGCTCTCATCTAAAGGCCTGAAAAGCACATCCCCACCTTGGGACTCAGAGGGGCCAGCCCTACCGGGACTGGCTGCCCTTTTACAGAAGAAGGGGTGGGGTGATCCTGAGGCCGCAGGCATCCTTCTTGCTTGGTCTTCTAGAACAGGAATGCACTGAGTTTGCAGGTTGCTGGCGCCCCAGGACTGATAAGACTGCCCACGTTGGCCAGGCATTGGGATAACTCTTCCCTTGGAGCAGGCTGTCCACCATCTTGCCTCTTAGGGTGCATGCTTGGGTCTGCTTGCCCAAATCCTGAGATCTTATCAGGAAGCTACTGATCACCAGCTTCAGATGTTTCTCTCTATAGGGAGACTGCCTTTCCCTGGTGCTGGCTGTGACCAAGTATTATTTTAGAGAGACAGTTTAACAACCACCTGACCATCGCCTGATGGCCACCTGACATTCCTGGGGAGGTAGACCTCTCCTGCCCTGCTTATGTCTTCCTGACTACCTACTCTAACAATGCACCCCTGCAGAGTTATGTTATTTTACTGAGTTTATAGCTTTTACATTGAGAAAAACTGAGGGTCAGAGAAGCACATTGCCCAAACCCACAAGCTAAACATGAAGCATGGATACACCCAGCTTTTCCCTCCTGAGCCTCCTCTTCTCACCCTCGTCTTCCTCACACTCTCCCTCTGCCATACCCGCCACAGCCACCTCATGGATGACTCCCAACGTTACAGAGCCACATGGGTCTCATACAACTGCCCCCCACAACCAGCCTCCACACTCCTCTTCATAGCCCACCAAAGCCCAGCTCTGTCCAGAGGGAGCGCACCCCATCCCTGGCTAAGTGAGTCAGGGTCTAATCCAATCCCGTCACCAATTCCCCTTCAGCTGATGCCCAGGTCCTCGGCCTCTCCCATGACACAGGGGGCACACAGCTGGGGGATTTCCCTCCCTCTCTAAAACAGAGGTGCAGGAGAGAGCTCCTTCCTTCCCTTCCTGTTGTGGCTGGGATTTGTAAGGCCCTAGGGCCCAGAGAATGCAGACACCAACCCGGGTCCTGACACCAGGAAACCCCCAAACCACCTGAGATCCCTGGAGGACTGTGTGGGAGATACTTAAATGTTACCCTCTTAGCCACTGTCAGTCAGGTTTTCTGTTATTTGCAGCCCAAGAAAACTCAACTGATATTCCAGGCTGAACCAAACTTAAATTGTTTCCTCACAGCCCGCTTCTCTTCAGGATTCTGTGCTGGATAATTTGTGCTGGATAATCTCTAAGCCAACCTCAGGGTCTTGCTTCTTGGTGTCCTCTCAGTCTCTGCAGTAAAAGCAGTTGCATCTCTCAGCAACTCTCCACTCTGCTGCCTCGGTCAGTGTATTAGTCTGTTCTCACGCTGCTACTAAAGACATACCTGAGACTTGGTAATTTATAAAGAAAAGAAGTTTAATTGACTCACAGTTCAGCATGGCTGGGGAGGCCTCAGGAAACTTACAGTCATGGTGGAAAGGGAAGCAGGCACATCCTTCTTCACATGGCAGCAGCAAGGAGACATACAGTGCGAAGTGGGAGGAAAGCCCCTCATGAAACCATCAGATCTTGTGAGAACTCACTCACTTTCATGAGAACAGAAGGGAGGTAACTGCCCCTATGATACAATTACCTCCCACCAAGTCCCTCCCATGACACGTAGGGATTATGGGAACTACAATTCAAGATGAGATTTGAGTGAGGACACAGCCAAACCACATCAGTCAGGCTCACATCTCTGCTTCCTGTTACTGTGCTCCTTCCCTCTCCAGAGGGGCCGAACTTTAATCTTTCTAAAATGCAAATACCATTGATAAGTTCTGCTGCTCTCATCTAAAGGCCTGAAAAGCACATCCCCACCTTGGGACTCAGAGGGGCCAGCCCTACCGGGACTGGCTGCCCTTTTACAGAAGAAGGGGTGGGGTGATCCTGAGGCCGCAGGCATCCTTCTTGCTTGGTCTTCTAGAACAGGAATGCACTGAGTTTGCAGGTTGCTGGCGCCCCAGGACTGATAAGACTGCCCACGTTGGCCAGGCATTGGGATAAAAACAGCCCCAATCTGGAACTCAAGGAGAATTAAGGTCTCACCTGATGGAGGGAGCTGCCTGTAGGGCCCAGGCCTGCATGGGAGGGAAAAGAAATGGCCTTTTTGGTGTCTGCAGACATGGAGAGGGGCTAAGCGGAGGCACAGATCTAGGCTTGAGGAGTTTGCCAAGTAAATAAATGATCTGGCTGTAATTGAGAAAAACCATGTTAACCAAAAAGCGACCAAGGCAGCTGTCAATCCACAGAGGTTTATTTCGCCAAGGTTGAGAACGAGCCCACGAAAACAACCACAAGCCACAGAAACATCTGTGAGCTGTGCTTTTTCCAAAGGGGGTCTGGGGCACGGCAATATTTAAAAAGGCAAGGGCAAGCAGGAGGGAAAAGACGGGGGAGGGACGCAGTGAGGCAGATGGTCGCATTCTTGTGAGGCTCTGAGTCTCAGTAAATCTACATTTTACACGTGAAGAAAGGAAGCACAGGAAAAGTCAATTATGCATTTGTCTCAGGGATGATTTCTGGTCTTGTCTTTGTCCTCTCTGTGAGGATCACCTGGTAATTGACATCGTCAGGGTGAGATCCAAAAAACTTGTTTCAGGGCTAGTTTATAGGGGGTGGATATAGCCTGAAAGATCTAGCTGCTCACAAGGAATTTCTGTGTGAGCGCTTTGGGAGGGAGGCCATCTGGGGAGATGTGTGGCCTTCCATGGTTGTGGGATCCTGGCTTACGGACGAGGCTCTAACACAGGGTTGTGACATTGCAGCTGTCTGTTTGGGAAGGAAAGGAAGGCAGTATTGCGCAGTTCCCAAGCTGAACTTTCCCTCTGGCATAGTGACTTTCGGGTCCTGAGCGTCTATTTTCTTTCACAACCAGCTGCAGGGCTGCCATAAGGCGGACAAACAGGATTAATGGAAAGTCAACAGGATGCAGTTGGGGATGCGAATCTTCCTCGCCAGTATAGACTTGCAGGTGTGGCCAGTGACTACCCTGCTACAGGGTTAGCACTCCTGGGGAGGTCAACTTTTCATTTCATTTTAATTCACTTAAATTAAAAAACTGAAGCAGTGTAAAATACTTCTCCTGGGCTGGGCGCGGTGGCTCATGCCTGTAATCCCAGCACTTGGGGAGGCCGAGGTGGGCGGATCACTTGAGGTCCACTTGAGACCAGCCTGGCCAACATGGTGAAACCCTGTCTTTACTCAAAATAGAAAAATTAGCTGGGCGTGGTGGTGGGCGCCTGTAATCCCAGCTACTCCGGAGGCTGAGGCAGAAGAATCACTTGAACCCGGGAGGCGGAGGTTGTAGTGAGCCAAGATAGCACCACTGCACTCCAGCCTGAGCGACAGAGCAAGACTCTGTCTCAAAACAAACAAACAAACAAAAAACTTCTCCTGAAAAAACGACAAGAAAAAATATTGTGGAAAGCTCTGTTGATCCCACCACACTCGGATCTCTGTTCAGTGTGTGCTAGACCCTCTGACCTCGATGCTGTCAGCACTGAGATGACAGTGACACAAAAGCCAGTAAATTCACTTAATTTAGATTGACGTCATTTTGAAACGGATACGCTTTTGCTTCAAAGTCAAATCAATTGTTCTAAAACAAATGAAGCAGTTTTGTCAATGTGGGAGGTGAACTGTAAAGGAAATGACTTTTGATGCTAGACTCAGTTATCGGAAAACTTAAATATGTAAATCTACTTTTCTCAACTGTAAATTTTGTGAAATCTAAACATAAATCAAGTACTTTTTTTTGTTTTTTTTTTTTTTGAGATGGTCTTGCTCTGTGGCCCAGGCTGGAGTAAAATGGCACCATCTCAGCTCACTGCAACCTCCACCTCCGGGTTTAAGTGATTCTCCTGCCTCAGCTTCCCAAGTAGCTGGGATTACAGGTGCCCACCACCATGCCTAGCTAATTTTTGAATTTTTAGTGGAGATGGGGTTTCACCATGTTGGCCAGGCTGATCTTGAACTTCTGACCTCAAATGATCAGTCCACCTCAGACTCCCAAAGTGCTGGGATTACAGGCATGAGCCACTGTGCCTGGCCAAATCAAGTACTTCTGATGAAAAGTTAGCATCCAAATGGAGATATGTGTAAGCAGAAAATACACACCAGATGTCAAAGATAGAGGAACAAAAAAAAAAAAATACAAAATATCTCACTCATGATTCGTTACATTGATTACACACTGATGGAACATTTGTGATAAATTGGGCTAAAATGCATTATTAAAATTAATTTCACTTGTGTCTCTTTCCTTTTTTTAATGGGGCTATAAGAAAATTTAAAATTACATACATGGGGAAAAAAGCTAAAGTTGCCATTTTTTCCCTTTACCTTCATTTATCTGTTTGTCTAATAGTCACTGAAGAACATATCTTTTTAAAGAAGTACGTGTGTGACTTACATTATACTTCTATCTGCAGTGCTGGTTCAGAACACCATGACATTTGACCAAAGGACTCAGCAGAGGGAAGGCTGCCCAGGCCCCAAGCTCACCATGAAGGATACAGCCACACCCTTGGTTCATTCTCGCACGAATTTCAGACCTCCCACCTATGTTGAAGACTCTGGCTACTGGCCACATGCTCACCGACACCGTTCCACGGCAAAAGCCCAGCACATCTCAGGGGTTTCCTGGGAGGCCGGATGAATGTGTGAGGCCTCCTGGGAGCAGCCCTCAGCAGGCAAGGGCTTTGGCCTGTTGGGGTCCACAACTAAGTGTCCACAGTAGACCAGCCCTGCTCAGGCTTGGATTCTCTCAACATTAGGCAAAGGGTCTCCCCATACCCATTTGACAGATGCAAAAACTGAGGCTCAGGAAGCTCAAGTTTGGGAATTCTTTGAATTTTATGTTTCCTGAGCATCTATTTGAATGTAAGTTGGACTTTCTCATACTAGAAGCAGGGATTAGTAACACAGTTTCCAGTTATACAACTTCTCACTGTTCCCCAAGGTGGTCGATCCAGACATCTGCCTTACAAAACCGCCTCCTGGGACCACCTTCCCATGGACAGCTGGATACCACCTGCTTGACTTGTCCCACTGACCCCCACACCCACATGGACCATGCCGATATCCTACCCACACCGACCCCTCTCAGTCACAGCGTGAGTCCCCGGGGCTCATGCCTGCTTGCTCTAAACCCCCCAGTTAGAACCTCCAGGGGAAACCTGCATAGATGACACCCTGGGCCCCAGTGAAGGCTTTGGCTCATAGCTCCCTCTCTCTCTCGTTCTCCACCTTCTGGTTGAGCCCATGTGTCCTGAATGGCTCCCCCTTTTTGCTGGCCCTGTGAAGCGTGCTGCCCTCTGTTCTCTGGATCTGTAAGCAATAAACTGCTTCTGTCATTTCTTGGGTTCTGATGAGTTGCCTCCTCTACCCCATCCTAACTTCTTTCCCGGTCAGGGCTCTCCGGGAGAGTGGCTGTCTCAGTAGGAATAAACTGGACACAGGTCAGATGAGAGCCACAAGGTCATGTGCCAGGATAAACAAGCTTCCTGCGAGAGGGACACCTGGCCACAGGTTGGACACTCAGGAATCAGGCCGTCTGTGAGGTCAAAGAAGGATCCCATGAAAGGCACATGGGAAACACCCACGACCACATCCCCAGGATCCCCGTCAGGGCAGGGCTAGAGTTTACAGCCACTCTCTCCTGAGAAGGACGTCAAGACAAAATTAGGAAAAAAACTACAACATCAAGTCACTTGCCCAAAGTCACATGTACGCACCCCGTAGGTGCAGGTGCAGAGTTTCTCACCGGCTCTCCCCTTTACGCCACCACCAGAAACACAGGAGATATTTCTGAGGTAGCCTCAGGCCCTGGGACCCAAAAATGCCAGTGCTTGGAAATCCACTGCTTAGGAGACAACAGCTGGGTGACAACTCTAGCCCACCGTTCTCTGCTATCTTTTTAAAAAAGCTGCAAATTCAAAAATTCAAAAAATTAGTTTATTAGCTTAATATAATTAGGTCAATGGAATCCTGTTTTGATCTCAATACTTCCCATATTGCAATATATAAATGTGACAAATTCAGCTGTTTTGTGGCATAGATAAGTGTCTAAGCTGGGCAGTTAGTCTACCCGTTTATAGTTCATGTTCTTCATGGCTTTGCAGCATTTGTCACTTTCTATGATGTGTTCAAAGACCAGAAAAGGCCACACTTGACCTGTCAGCTGGTCCTTGAACAGCTGTAGGTTTTTTTTTTTTTTTGAGACAGAGTCTCCCTCTGTTGTCCAGGCTGGAGTGCAGTAGCGCAACCTCGACTCACTGCAACCTCTGCCTCCAGGTTCAAGTGATTCTCCTCCTCAGACTCCTGAGTAGCTGGGATTACAGGCACATGCCACCATGCCCGGCTGATTTTTATATTTTTAGTAGAGATGGGGTTTCACCATGTTGGCCAGGCTGGTCTTGAACTCCTGACCTCAAGTGATCCACCCACCTCGGCCTCCCAAAGTGCTGGGATTACAGGCGTGAGCCACCGCACCCGGCCTGTAGGTTTTAACTAATAATTAGGGTATTACTCTATCATTCTCTATCATTCAAATTCTCCAGGTACTGACCTGGTTTTTATTTTATTTATTTATTTATTTACTTATTTATTTTTGAGACAGGGTCTCACTCTGCTGCCCAGGCTAGAGTACAGTAGTGGCACAATCTTGGCTCACTGCAGTCTCCACCTCCTGGGTTCTATTGATTCTTGTGCCTCAGCCTCCCAAGTAGCTGGGACTACAGGCGTGCACCACCACACCAGGCTAATTTTTGTATTTTTTGTAGAGATGGGGTCTCACCATGTTGGCCAGGCTGGTCTCAAACTCCTGACCTCAGGTGATCCACCCACTTTGGCCTCCCAAAGTGCTGGAATTACAGGCATGAGGCACTACACCTGGTCAGACCTTGTTTTTAAATTATGATTCGATGTACATGTCAAAAATTAAATTATTTCATGCATTACGTCCTACTGAATTTGTGTTTCAAATGAAATAATCAATTTTAGGATTCCTACACTTATTTTATAAAAGTGAAAATTAAATCAAATGATCTAACTATTTCCAAGCAAATTTTGGGATGAAAGCTATTCTAGGAAGGCTTGCCCTTGATTCTTGCTACATGTACTTGTTCAGCCACTCAATTAAATTCCTTCTGGCCTCGTCAATGTAGGGCTTGTCTGCAGGTGAGCAATCTTCTCTCTTCCGATGCACGAACCCATGAGTCTGCCCAGAAAATGTTTTAATTTGATATTCAACTTTGCAGTGTTCTTTCAACTTCTGAGTCAGCAAAGATACCTGGTGTGCAAAAGATTTCATGATTTTAACCCTTTAGTGATACTTTCCATTCTCCAAATCTTTAGTGAGCGTTCATAACAGAAATTTAACATCAATGCTTTAAATCAGAAACAAGTTCCACAGTTACACTGAATTCTTTCCCACTAATTTTTTTCTTTTTAGACAGGGTCTCACTCTGTTGCCCAGGTTGGAGTTCAGTGGCGCCATCTCAGCTCACTGCAACCTCTGCCTCCCACATTCAAGTGATTCTCCTGCCTCAGCCTCCGGAGAAGCCGGGATGACAGGCACCCGCCACCATGCCCAGCTAATTTTTGTATTTTTAGTAGAGACAGGGTTTCACCATGTTGACCAGGCTAGTCTCAAACTCCTGACCTCAAGTGATCTGCCTGCCTCTGCCTCCCAATGTGTTGGGATTACAGGCGTGAGCCACGGCGCCCGGCCTCTACTGCTAATTTTATAACTAACACAGTCCTTATGTCTGGCAAAGGAGAGATTTCAGGGAAATGGAAAAATGATACATCTATTATTTGAAATCACTTGCATTAATATATTAGTTACTAATATTATAACAATAATTTCTAAATGACTGCTTTTTTTTCTTAAGAGTCAGGGTCTCACTCTGTCACCCAGGCTGGAGTGCGGTGGCACAATCGTGGCTCACTGCAGCCTCCAACTCCTGTGCTCAGGCAATCTTCCTGCCTCAGGCTCCCAAATAGCTGGGACTACAGATGTGTGCCACCATCCCAGCTAATTTTTTTATATTTTTGTGGAGAAGGGATCTAGCTAGACTGCCTAGCCTGGTCTTAAACTCTCAGCCTCAATCAATCCTCCCACCTCAGCCTTCTGAGTTTCTGGAATTACAGGCATGAGCCACCACGCCCAGCTAAATGACTGCTTTTGAACCATACTTTTCTTCTGCTTTTTCCTTATCAACTGACTTTGTTTAATAAATCCTTGTCTTTAAGGTCACAGACTTTATTGTAATTTGTGGGTTAGCATGGAGGTGGGGCAAGAGGTCCCGTTTCTCCACCAGGTAACCAGGCCATGCTGAGAATACTTCCCTCAGACATTTCCTTAAGCATGTTTTGGGAAGGTTATACTTCCACACTGGAATTATATAAGTGGAATTGAATAAAACCCATCTTTAAAATGTTAATGTTGGAAATATTTGGAGCAACAAATGCATCCTTCAAGACTTCCCACTCCCCGCAGAATGTCAAACCGTGCTATTAAATATATAAATGAGGCCAGGCGTGGTGGCTCACACCCATAATCCCATCACTTTGGGAGGCCAAGGCAGGCAGATCACCTGAAGTCAGGAGTTCAAGACCAGCCTGGTCAACATGGTGAAACCCCGTCTCTACTAAAAATACAAAAATTACCCAGGTGCGGTGGTGGGCGCCTGTAGTCCCAGCTACTCGGGAGGCTGAGGCACAAGAATGGCTTGAACCTGGGAGGTGGAGGTTGCAGTGAGCCGAGATCGCGCCACTGCATTCCAGCCTGGGCGACAGAGCGAGACTCCATCTCAAATAAATAAATACGAAGAGAAAAGATGCCAACTTACGTCCTTGAGTGGAATCACAACATCATTTTCAGCAAAAATGAACAAAGTGGGGTTCTTTAAATTGTAAATGTCTTCAGAATCCTTGACAATGCCTGAAAAACAAGCACAGAGGCATGATGTCTGATCCCCACACTCATGCCACATGATCCCCACACCCATGCCGCATGATCCCCACACTCATGCCACAGAAAACTGCAACATTTGGGTTTGATTTTTCAAAGTAAAATCTCTGCTTTGCGGACTTTATTTTCTTTTTTAGCCATTCCACAGAAGTGGCCCCACTTGTAAGATTAGCGTAAAAGAAGGCCGGGCGCGGTGGCTCACGCCTGTAATCCCAGCACTTCGAGAGGCTGAGGCAGGTGGATGGCTTGGGCTCAGGAGTTTGAGAGCAGCCTGGGTAACATCGCAAAACCCTGTCTCTACAAAAAATACAAACATAAGCCGGGTGTGGTGGTGCATGCCTGTAGTCTCAGCTACTTGCGGGGACTAAGGTGGGCGGATTGCTTGAGCCTGGAAAGTTGAGGCTGCAGTGAGCCGTTTGTGCCACTGCACTCCAGCTTGGGCAACAAAGTGAGACCCCGTCAAAACAAAACAAACAAACAAAAAACCCAAAGCCTGGGCGCAGTGACTCAAGCCTGTAATCCCAGCACTTTGGGAGGTCGAGGAGGGCGGATCATGAGGTCAGGAGTCCGAGACTAGCCTGGCCAACATGGTGAAACCCTGTCTCTACTAAAAATACAAAAATTAGCTAGGTGTGGTGGCACGCGCCTGCAATCTCAGCTACTCGGGAGGCTGAGGCAGGAGAATGGCTTGAACCCGGGAGGTGGAGGTTGCAGTGAGCCAAGATCATGCCATTGCACTCCAGCTCTGGGCAACAGAGCAAGACTCCGTCTCAGAAAAAAAAAAAAAAAGAGGATTATAAGAGTACAAGAGAAATTTATTTAGTCAGATCCTCCTACTGTCTACCTCCCCACTTTATGGACTGGGAATCAGGCCATTAAATAATTGAATGATACCTCGTCCGCTGCTTAGTATGGAAAGATGCGGAGCAGCCTGAGGAATGTCCCGCTGGGATGTACCTTCGTTTACAAAGAGGATCAATGTCAAACCTTCGCTTGAGAAGTTTCTCAGGTCTACACAAGTCCCACGGGTTCTGGCTTGAATGCACTGAGTAGTTTTGTTGGTAAGAGGAGCTGTCTTTTGAGTGGGTATTTAGACTCGCACCAGACCACGAGTGTGGAAGTGTGGAAGTGTGAAACTGCCTGGGCCTAGCAGGTCAGTCTATAAAAATCAGTTTTTGGCCGGGCGAGGTGGCTCACACCTGTAATCCCAGCACTTTGGGAGGCCAAGGCGGGGTGGATCACTTGAGGTCAGGAGTTCGAGACCAGCCTGGCCACCCACGCAAAACCTTGTCTCTACTAAAAATACAAAATTAGCTGGGTGTTGTAGCCCCAGCTACTCAGGAGGCTGAGACAGGAGAATTGCTTGGACCCAGGAGGTGGAGGTTCAGTGAGCCAAGATCGTGCCACTGCACTCCAGCCTGGGTGACAGAACAAGATGCTGTCTCAAAAAATAATAACAATAGTTTTCATCTTTCATCTCAGCATTCATTCGAGATTAATTCTGAAATTAGAAGCATGCTCTGCCTGACCCAGGTTGTCTGAAAACAACCTGTGGGTGTGTCCACTTCTATGCGAAAATAAGTAAGTAAAAGATTTGCAGCAAGTTAACCATTTTAAGATAAGAAGACGTAAATAACATAACTTTTTTCCACTTCCTGCTGGCAGCAGAAGAGCTAAGTAACAGAGAGAGCCTCCTTCACCTGTAACTCCTCTTCAGGAGGCAGGGAGCCACGGGAAAGGTGACCACGCTCCCTTCCCCACTCTAGCAAAGCTACTTCATGTGGATGGGCCTCTTTTGATATCCCTGGGCCTGAGCCCGGCCACGCTCTGCAGCTCACGCACTACACAACAGCGGCCAGAAGGTGGCGCCGGGGAGGCATCCACTCCCGACCGCCTTTTGCTAAATCGCGCAAAAGCATGGTCTGGACAAAGCATCTCTCAGCTCCATTGTTCCCAGAGGCAGCTGGCCACTGCCTTTTGAGTTTATGTCCTTTTGTGTTGTCCTAAGTCAATATTTAAAGGCGTTTTTAACTCTAAAAGTAGTTGAAAATACCACAATGAGGAACCATTAACCCAAGAAGGAATCATTAGTATAACTTTATGATCCACTTCAGATGGTCCCAGGCCTAACGATGGTTCCACTTTCATTTTTTGACTTTACAATGGTGCACAAGCGACACTCATTCAGTAGAAACTGTTCCCCAAGTACCCAGACAACCATTCTGTTTTTCACTTTCAGTACAGAATTCAATAAACTGCATGAGACATTCAAGACTTTATTATAAAATAGGCCTTGCGTTAGATGATTTTGCCCAACTGTAGCCTGATGCAGGTGTTTCGGGTCGGCCAGGTGAGGCTATGATGCTTGGTAGGTGAGGTGGATTAAATGCATTTTCGACTTGAGATATTTTCCATTTATGATGGGTTTATCAAGACTTAGCCCCATTGTAAGTAGAGGAGCATCTGCATTATTTTTAAAGGCTATATTTCCTATGTGTCTTTTTTGTTTTCGTTTATCTATTGGTCTGAATGCTTCTATATCATGAATTTAGCAAGCAGTTTCTATATACAGATATAATGTTATTTCATTGCTGTAGTAACTTTGGTTTGTTTTGGCCAAAAATGTATAAATTGCTATTTCGATTTTAGAGTGTGTTTTCCTTGGCTTTCTTTCCTTTTTTTTTTTTATTTTTTATTTTAAGAGACAAGGTCTCACTCCCTGTCATCCAGGTTGGAGTGCAGTGGTGCATTCACAGCTCACTGCAGCCTCAAACTTCTGGGCTCAAGTGATTCTCCTGCCTCAGCCTCCTGAGAGGCTGGGACCACAGGCATGTGCCAGTACACCCAAGTAATTTTTTTCTTTTTCTTTTGACAGAGTCTCACTCTGTTGCCTGGGTTGGAGTGCAGTGGCACAATCTTGGTTCACAGCAACCTCCACCTCCCGGGTTCAAGCGATTCTCCTGCCTCAGCCTCCTGAATATCTGGGACTACAGGCGCCCACCACCACGCCCAGCTAATTTTTGTATTTTTAGTAGAGACGGGGTTTCACCATATTGGCCAGGCTGGTCTCGAACTATTGACCTCATGAGCCACCCACCTCGGCCTCCCAAAGTGCTGGGATTATAGGCGTGAGCCACCACGCCCAGCCTTAAAATTTTTTATAGAGACAAGGTCTCTCTATGTTGCTTAGGCTGGTCTCGAACTCCTGGGCTCAAGCCATCTGCCCATCTTGGACTCCCAAAGTGCTAGGATTACAGGCGTGAGTCATCGCATCTGGCTGCCTTTGCTTTCTTTCTTAGTGTGTGTGCATGTTTGTGTACAGTTAGAGCAATTTGTATCTTGGAAAAATCAGTCTTTCTTTCTTTCTTTCTCTTTCTTTTTCTTTTTTTTTTTTTTTGAGACAGGGTCTTGCTCTGTCACCCAGGCTGGAGTGCAGCGGCATGATCATGGCTCACTGCAGCCTTGACCTTCTTGGGCTCAAGCGATTTTCCCACCTCAGCCTCCGGAGTAGCTAGGACTACAGGTGCACGTGACCACGCCCAGCTAATTTTTGTATTTTTTGTAGAGACAGGGTTTTGCCATGTTGTCCAGGCTGGTCTCGAACTCCTGAGCTCAAGTGATCTGCCTGCCTAAGCCTCCCAAAGTGTTGGGATTACAGGCATTAGCCACCACCAGAAAAATATTTTCATAGATGTTGCTCATAAAAATCTTGTGTGATATTGATCATCATTACATTAAAAAAACAAAAAAAGCTATCCCCTTCATCCTAGGTGAAGAAATGGAGAATTTAGATTAGGTGGCTTTCCCAAAGTCACACCACTGGGACCCAGACCTCTTGACTCCCGGTGACATCCTCTGGTTAACTGCATGACAAACCTCCACCTCTATTTTCAGATTCTTAAAACCCATTTCCATAAGATGGGCAGTCTTCACATTATTGGGGGTTGTGTTACACTGGATGGGGAGGCTTGTGATTGTTGTCACTCTTCCACCCCTCCCTTCTGCATGGAGTAAAAATGCACAAGGCAGATTTACCATAGACGGACACCCCTGCCCTGAATTCTGAGTATTTCATCATCAAATGATGGACAGCAGTTCCACCCCAGCAGAATCCCACGATGCCAATTTTCTGGGCATGACACTGTTGTTTCAGATACTTCAAGATAGCACTGATCTCTCTAGAACAGAAAGAAAAAATATTCAAGAATCAGGCTTATTTTGTGAACCCCTCAAAGAGCTGTGCTGATGATAACAGGGCTGTATCAGCAACTGTTTTTGAAGTTGCCAAGGTTTCTTCTTTTGGGAGCTCCACCCTTACTACCTCTGGCCCAACTGATGCATCATCCCAGCACATCTTCCTGCCAAGCCCAGCCCTCCTCCAACTGCCTGACAGCTGCAGGCAAGCTGGGCTCTTCCCAAAACATAGGTCCAACTGCCTCACTCCCAGCTGAGAGCTGAGCAGTCTTCCACAGCCTGGGGATGAAGGCCACAGCCCACAGCACGGTTCGTAAGACCCGAGTCCATGATCTGCTCCCTGCAGAGTGCCCCAGTCTTCTCTGTCCCCTGAGTCTCCCAGGAGAAGAGTCTCCTCTCTCCTCTCTCCCATGAGCAGCCATAACTATGGGCAGACGCCCAGACACTCTCTGACTTCACACGTTCACTCTCTCCCCAAAACTCCCCACTCTGCATTGCTCGTCTCCTCCCCCTGCCGCCCAGTGAAGCCAAATTTGGAACGCCATCAGGACTATTTCAGCCATGAGGGGACCAAGAATAGTGGCCCTTGTCTGGCAAATGATTCATGTGCAAACTGATTGTTTGGAACTCAGAATACATTTTCAACTAGAAGCAATGTACCAAAGTGGAGGTGGGCTGCACACGTATGTTTATTGTAGCACGATTGCAAAGATATGCAACCGAAGCGCCCATTGACCAATGAGTGGATAAAGAAAATGTGGCCTATATACACCATAGACTATACTCAGCCATAAGAAAGAACAAAATAATATCTTTTGCAGCAACTTGGATGGAGCTGGAGGTCATTTCTCTAAGGGAAGTAACTCAGGAATGGAAAACCAAATACTGTATGTTCTCACTTATAAGTGGAAGCTAAGCTATGAGTAGATTCACAGAGGCACATAGAGTGATATAATGGACTATGGAGACTCAGAAGGGGGAGGGTGGGAGGGTGTGAGGGCCAAAAAACTATATATTAGGTAAACTGTACACTACTCGGTGACAGATGCACTAAAATCTCTATTTTCATAGATGGTGCTCATAAAAATATTGTTTGATATTGATCATCATCACATAAAGAATGCTATCCCCGCTGGGTGCAGTGGCTCACGCCTATAGTGAGACCCCATCTCTATTTTATTTTAAAATTTTTAATTAATTAATTTCTTTTTTTTTTGAGATGGAGTCTCGCTCTGTCCCCCAGGCTGGAGTGCAGTGGTGCCATCTTGGCTCACTGCAATCTCCGTCTCCCAGGTTCAAGCAATTCTCATGCCTCAGCCTCCCAAGTAGCTGGGACTACAGGCGTGCGTCATGACACCCAGCTAAGTTTTTGGTTTGTTTGTTTGTTTTTTGTATTTTTAGTAGAGGCAGGTTTCACCATGTTGGCCAGGCTGGTCTCAAACTCCTGATCTCAAGTGATCAGCCAGCCTCAGCCTGCCAAAGTGCTGGGATTACGGGTGTGAGCCACCATGCCCGGCCTAAAAATTTTAATTACAAAAAAAATCCCAGCACTTGAGACCAGCCTGGCCAACATGGTGAAACCCCGTCTCTACTAAAAATACAAAAATTAGCCGGGCTGGTGGCAGGCGCCTGTAATCCCAGCTACTCGGGAGGCTGAGGCAGGAGAATTGCTTGAACCTGGGAAGCACAGGTTGCAGTGAGCCGAGATCATGCCACTGCTCTCCAGCCTGGGCTCCAACAGAGCAAAAACAAAAAAAAATTTTTTCTCCTTTGTGCCAGGGGAAGGATTCCATTGGCCATGGAGAAGTCCTACCCCAAGGTAAGGAGTAGTGTCTGAAAGGTGAAGCCCACCCAGCTCTCACCTCCCTGGGCCACAACGTGCACATGGCCACGTCTGCGGATAACTCACCTATCGATCTTCTGGGCATTTCTTGTTTTCAGCCACTCAGGGAAGATAGACCAGTCGCCAGAGGGGTCCCAAGGCTCTTGCCCTACAAAGAAGTCTGGAACAATGGTTCTGCAAAATATGGACATGAATTGATCTTAGTTTCAGAGTTGCTTGACTCAGTATTTTGCTTGCATTTATTTAAAAACTTGCTACGTTGGCGATTCTGGCTCAGAGAAAAGGAAAAGTAGTGGGTGTGAAGGCCAATTTTGATCGCAGCAAAGCAGCCACCTGGCACCGGGCCAAGCCCTCTTAGGTTTCACAACCGCAGGTGCACAGCGTCTGGCAGCCTGCTGGTAACCCAGCCCTGGCAATGAGGCTATCCACAGGGCACACTCCCATGGGATAGGCTGGCATGGGATGTGGAGGCACCTGGGGGAGTGGGCCTGACGTGGGTGGCTTTGAGGGCCCCTCCTGCCCCTCTCAGCCAGCCTGGGGAGACTCCTGGCCTTTCACATGAGCCTCAGGCCAGAGGGCACACCTGGCTAACTTGTCCAGTCACTATGACCAGGCAATGTTCCCAGCCTCCACCAAGACGGCGACGAAGCACAGTTTCCTATCCAGAGGGTATGTTCTAAGACGGGCAGCAGAGCACAAACAAGCCTGGCCCCAGTCCAGGTCGCTCTTCCATGCAAGTCAACCCAGAGGGATAGAGCCAGCCGCTGGGGTTGAGTCCTGTTTCCCAAAATAGAATTGCCACCTGGTTGGAGGAACAGGGCTCCTCCTATAGGGGTAGAAGAACACTGAAACTGGAGTGAGAAAATCCAAGTTCGAGGCTCGGTACACCCCATGCTGCTGTGTGGCCTTGGCCTTCACAAGTCATGTCACCGCTTCTAGCCTCATTTTCTCATCTGACAAACTTGCACTGCCTAACCCCAGAGGATCCTCTCGAGGGCAAAAAAAGTTGTATACCTGTGAAAGGGCTTTGTAAAACAGGGGTCTTTCCTTATCTTTTATGTCCTGACCCCTGCTAAAGGACCCTCCGTGAAACAACAGAAACAGCAATGCCATTTGATCGGCTGCTTGGGCCAGTGATCTGGGGCAGCCGCAAAGCGCTCTCTTTATGGCCTGGTTTCCTAATCTGCAAAATGAGAGCAATAACAGCTCCTCCCTCAAGGGGCTGCCAGGAGGACTAAGGGCAATGAGCCCAGTCATGCCCTCAGCACTGCGTCTGGCTGAGCAACTGAAACTAGCTATTTATTTACTTATTTATTTTTACTGGGCTTGCCCCTAGAAAGTTAAGTCCCCTCACATGGGGACGTGAAAAAGGAAAACTTCAAGGAAGGTCTTTTCATTCAGCACCGACTCTGCATCCCACCAGGGTGGGCATGATTCCTTTAAGCCAGTTTCTCTTCCTAGAAAAACAAGGTAGGCTCATCCTCGGGTTTCCAGCTTCTCCTTCTGTGAAAACAAAGGAAATCCAGCCGTGCACCATCCTCAGGGCTCACTGGGTTGATGCTTTCCGACGCTGGAGAGGAAGGAAGGTTCTGGCCCTCCTCTGCGCTTTACACCGGGGCAAATAAGAAGCAATCGGGTATCAGCCTTGGCCAAAGGTGGCCATGGCCACTTGGCCAGACAAAGAGGTAAACTTGGGGAGGGGAGCAAGGTCTCACTGTGCCACTTCTGAACCCCAGTCTAATTCAGAGGGGGCCACGACCGTACGTGTATGGACCAGGAGGAGCCTTGGACACCCTGCCGTCCAAATGGGCCGTGAAATCTGACACGAGGCTGAGCTGTTGAAGGACCGAGTCACGGGTCCATTTGACAGCAGGTGAGGCTGGCCTCAGATGTCCAGTGCCTGCGTCTGGCTGAGGCCCCACACGGGAAAAGAATTCTCAATGTCCAGCAAGTCTAAAGGCCAGGTACTCCCAGGAGGACAGGAAACCCAGGAATGGGGTTAGGAGCACCAGGTGGGTGTTTAATTTCCCAAGACATTTCCCATCTATCTTCACGGCAGTGAGATAGGGAAGTTTCTAATGTACAGTAGATACTGTATAGTCAGACCGCTGTGGTTTTATTTTTTAAAGGGAACAAAATAAACCACTGAAATTTGTATGAATTTAAACAAAGAAACACAACTTTATACATACGTGTATCCATTTCCTGAGATCATGTCAGCTATATATCTGGTATTGGGCAACTGCCAGCCAAATATATCTTGAATGACAATCACAGCTTTGCCTGCATCAACGGGGGATTTGGTGACATAAGCCTTGATGTGCTCGACTTGAACTTCACGGCCTAGCCCTCCATACTCAAGTCTGTGGCCAATGTCACACGGACAAGGATAAGCTTCGTTAGCCATTGCAGAGATTTAAGTCGGGCTATGGAGAGAGAAACATGCGTTATATTCTGAATGCTGCAAATCTAAAGGCTATAAATGGTAAGTAAACCTCAAATCAAGATTATAGAAAAAAATTCATTTTAGCTACATCTATGGTATTATGTGAGAAACCAATGGTAACTTCTGGTTCTGGCAACACTGCAGAGTAAGGCTATAGACACTAGAAATGCCGGATTGAATAACAACAAAACAACAAAAAATAGCGATGAAAGAACTCACAGGGAAAAGGGACTCTTCAGGGGGCAGGATCGGAGAGGAAACAGAAAGCCAGAGTGAGGGTGACACCCACAGATGCTGACGGGGCCCAGTGATGCTGGGGGACAGGACCCGACTCAGGAGCACACCCTAACAGTCGGGTGCTTAGGATTTTGTGTCGACGTGTAGAAAGAGCCATCGAAGCACATGAGACGGGAATTTGTAAGAGACCCACGCCTGCAATGTCGAGCCCCAAAGGTTCATGTCTCACGGAAGGGGGCCAAAGCAAAAGGAGAAGAGCTCCATCCGCCAGGCTCAGGTGTGTGCGAAGAAACCCATCTCCGTCTAGATTCTGAGTGGAAGGGAAAAAAGAAAGCAATCCTCGGCCGGGCGCGGTGGCTCACGCCTGTAATCCCAGCACTTTGGGAGGCCGAGGCGGGCGGATCACGAGGTCAGGAGATCGAGACCATCCTGGCTAACACGGTGAAACCCCGTCTCTACTAAAAAACAAAAAATTAGCCGGGCGTGGTGGTGGGCGCCTGTAGTCCCAGCTACTCGGGAGGCTGAGGCAGGAGAATGGCGTGAACCCGGGAGGCGGAGCTTGCAGTGAGCCGAGATCGCGCCACTGCACTCCAGCCTGGGGGACAGAGCGAGACGCCGTCTCAAAAACAAAAAAAAAAAGAAAAGAAAAGAAAAAGAAAGCAATCCTCAAATGTATACCATGCTTGCAAAGTAGGAATACCTGGCTGAGAAATTAACACAATTGACTCTGGGCCAGTGAACTGCCTGGAACACCAGGCAGAGGCAAATGCAAATCCACTTTACCACAAGACTTCCACAATCCAGGCCAAAAATACGACCCGCTGAAGAGCAGCTCATCAGGAAAACCTATACACAAGGAGGCGATCCAAATAAACAAGAATCAGCAGACACAACACCCTGGAGGAATTTACAGTGGGAATGGGGTTTGAAATTCACCTAGAAACACTTGGTGAATCAAACTGGAAAACAGGAAGGAATTAGGAAATTAAAAACCTGTTCATTAAAAAGCAGGAAATGAGGCGGCGAAAGTGGGAGTAGTAGAACAAGGAATTTGATTTGTAAATGACTGTGAACAATCAACTGAGATAACTCACCGCCATCAGGCCTGCCTAAATTTAAATAAATGGAAACAGATTAAACTCACTAGCTGAGACAGATTCTCAACTTGGATTTTTTTTTGTTTTGTTTTTTGAGACAGGATCTTGCCCCGGCTGGAGTGCAGTGTCACAAACGGCTCACTGCAGCCTCGACCTCCTCCCTGGGCTCAACTAATCCTCCCACCTTAGCCTCCCAAGTAGCTGGGACTATGGCACACACCACCACAATCAGCTCCTTTTTTTAGAATAAAAATTTTATACAGACAAGGTCTCATTATATTGTCCAGGTTGGTCTCAAACTCCTAGGCTCAAGCAATCATCCCACCTCACACTCCCAAAGTGCTAGGATTACAGGTGTGACCCATCATGCCTGGTTCAAATTAGACTTTTTAAAAATTAAGGTTCCGGACCAGGCATGGTGGCTCACGCCTGTAATCCCAGCACTTTGGGAGGCCAAGGCAGGTGGATCACAAGTTCAGGAGCTCAAGACCAGCCTGGCCAATATGGTGAAACCCCCGTCTCTACTAAAAATACAAAAGTTAGCCGGGTGTGGTGGCAGGCGCCTGTAGTCCCAGCTACTTGGGAGGCTAAGGCAGGAGAATCGCTCGAACTCGGGAGGTGGAGGTTGCAGTGAGCCGAGATTGCGCCATTGCACTCCAGCCTGGGCAACAAGAGCGAGGCTCTGTCTCACAAAAAAAAAAAAAAAAAAATTAAGGTTCCATCAAAAAAGAGGAACTAGGAACACTAAACCCAAAGACATATGTAATTCCCTTCATGAACAACTGGAGAACACAGTCTTTACAAGCAGATGTGAACTGCCTGCATATTAACCCACAATCAAAGTTTCAGTAAAGATTTTATATAACAAATGCTATACAAATACAACGAAGAAATTATAATAAAACTCAAAAGATTTAGAACTGGATTACCATGTTACCATGAAAACACTACATAGCAAAACTTGATACAATCAATACAGCAGTAATTAGAGACATCTTTACAGCCTAGACTACATATACTTGAACAAGAGGAAAGAATAAAAGTAAGCTAAATATCAAGAAGTTAGAAGAAAAAAATAGAATGAAGCCTTAGTCCATTCAGGCTGTTATAACAAAATACAGTAAACTGGGTAGCTCATAAATGCAGAGGTTTATTTCTTACAGTCCTGGAGGCTGGGAAGTCGCAGTTCAAGGGACTGGCAGATGCAATGTTAGGTGAGGGTCCACTTTCTGGTTCATATGTGGTGCCCTCTCCTTGTGTCCTCACGGGGTAGAAGGAACTAGCTGGCTCTCTGGGGTCTCCATTATAAGGACATTCCCTATAGTAAGAGGTCTGCCCTCAGACCTAATCATTTTCCAAAGACCCGACCTCCTGATACCATCACCTTGAGGGTTAGGATTTCAACATATGTTAAAACTAAAAAAAAGAGGTAAGAAACAAGAATAGCCACAATAACTGAAAGAAAATGAAGAAGGAGAAATTAATTTACCAAACAACAAAACCTATTAAAACAGTATGGTATTGCTGGATAGATGAATACATCAATAGAACAGACCAAAGACTCTAGAACCAGACTCATGTGTATTCATCCAGTCATCCACAGAATGTTTACTGAGGCACCACTCTGTGACAAACACTGTCGAAGGTTCTGGGGAAACAGCAGAGCATGAAACAAATAAAAATCCCTGACCTCAGGAAGCACATTCTAGTGGGATGAAATATACAAAAACAATATGCTTTTCAGATGGTAATCAATGCTAAGAAGAAAAACAGAGCAGAGAAGGAAAGAAGACAATGTTGGTTGAGGGTGTGAGTTGCAATTTACAATGGTGTATTGGGGAACAGCTTGTTGGAAAGGCACCATTTGGGCAAAGGAGGCGAGGGGTGGTGCCCTGCAGATATCTGGAGGAAGAGCGGTTGAGACAGAACAAACAGCAAGTGCAAAGGCCCTGAGGTAGAAGCATGTCTGACATGTCTGAGGAACAGCAAGACCAGTGTGGCTGCAACAGAAAGAGCAAGGGGAGAGAACAGCAGAGAATAGTGTGAGTTCCCAGAGTTTTACTGGAAGAATTTAGTTTTTCCTCAGTGTGAGATAGAAGCCACTGGAGAATTTTGGGGAAATGAGTGGCTTTATTTGACTTGATTTACAGTATCATTGGCCTGACACAGTGGCTCATGCCTGTAATCTCAATACTTTGGGAGGCTGAGGTGGGAGGATTGTTTGAGACCAGCCTGGACAACACAGCAAGACCCCATATCTGCAAAAAAAAATTCAAAACTTAACTGGGCATGGTGGCACATGCCTGTATTCCCAGCTACTCAGGAGGCTGAGGTAGGGGGATCCCTTGAGCCTGGGAGGTCGAGGCTGCAGTGAGTCATGACTATGCCATGGCACTCCAGCCTGGATGACACAGAGAGATCCTGTCTCAAAAAAAAAAAAAGGATCATTGAAGATGCTGTTTTAAGAAGAAATCATCAAGTAGCAAAGGAAGAAAAGAAAGTCCAGTTGGATGGCTCCAGCAACAATCCAGCCAAGAGATGAAGCAGCTCACACCAGGACGGTGATGGTGAGAGGGCGGGAATGGTCAAGTGTGGACAGATTTTACGGCAGAGCCACTCAGTTCTGCTGACAGATTGTATCTGTGGGGACATCAGACAAAAGGAGGAGTCCGTGATGACTACAAGGGTTCCTGCCTAAGAAACTGGAGGATGGAGTGTGTTTAAATGAGAAGGGATGTGGGAAGAGCTGGTTTGAGGAGATAAGGACTTCAGTTTGGGGCATATTAAGGCTGAGGTATCTATTACACATCCCAGAGAAAAGCTGGGTAACACGATAGAAGTTCAAGGGCCAGGGGCCCAAGCTAAAACGAAAACTTTGAGAGTGATGTGAGTATACAGCTGACCCTCATTGTTTGCAGATCCTGTATTGATGAATTCATCTACTTGCTGATTTTTTTTTTTTTTTGAGACAGAGACTCGCTCTGGTTGCCCAGGCTGGAGCGTAGTGGCATGATCTTGGCTCACTGCAACCTCCACCTTCTGGGTTCAAGCGATTCTCCTGCCTCAGCCTCCCTAATAGCTAGGATTACAGGTGCCCGCCACCATGCCTGGTTAATTTTTGTATTTTTAATAGAGACGGGGTTTCACCATGTTGGCCAGGCTGGTCTCAAACTCCTGACCTCGGGTGATCCCGCCCACCTTGGCCTCCCAAAGTGCTGGGATTACAGATGTGAGCCACTGTGCCTGGCCATACCTGCTGAATGTATTTTGTAACCTCACCGTCATTCATGGACATTCGAAAAATGTGAACTGTCAATGTCCACATTCCCAGCTGAGGACACACAGGGTGCAATAGACTGAATGTGTCCCCAAAAAGTCAGATGTTGAAACCCTAATTCCAGTGGAATGATATTTGGAGGTAGGGTCTTTGGAAGGCAAGTAGTTCACAAGTGCAGAGCCCTCAAGAATGGGATGAGTGCCTTATATAAGGGGCCCAGAGAGCTGGCTTCCCTTCTTTCTGCTGGGTGAGAACACAGCCAGAAGATGACCATCTGCAAACCAGAAACAGGCCCTCAGCAGACATTGGATCTGCCAGCGCCTCGATCTTGGACTTTCCAGCCTCCAGAACTGTGAGAAATGTTTGTTGTTGAAGCCACGTTTGTTAGAGCAGCCCAACTGCCCACAACACTCTGCTTCTCATTTGAGCTCTCACAGTGTAAACAAGTGTCCTTTGCATGGTCTTAGTGCACATTTTTGTGCTTTTTGAGGGGTTGATTTTGCTGTTTAAAAGGGCCCCGCACTTAGTGCTCACATGCTATCTAGCATTGCTAAGCACGGGAAGGCTGTGATGTGCCTTATGGAGAAAATGCGAGTATTGGAGAAGCTTTGTTCAGGCACGAGTTACAGTCCTGTTGGCCATGAGCTTCCTGTTAATGAGTCAACAATATATATTAGAATGGTATCTTCCACAAAAACACACATAAAACCAGGGTTATGTATGGGTCAACTGAGGAAACCGCTGTGACCAGGCCACAGGTTTACAGGAAGCTAACCTTGTATTTTCCCCAGGAGGAATGGTTTAGGATTTGCTAACTCAGTGTTTGTAGGGACTTTACTACTACAAATACCAAGAATGACTGTATGTGGGTTTGGTTTGTTTGTTTGAGACACAGTCTCACTCTGTCCCCTAGGCTGGAGTGCAGTGGCACAATCTCGGCTCACTACAACCTCCACCTACCAGTTTCAAGCAATTCTCCTGCCTCAGCCTCCCAAGTAGCTGGTACTACAGGCGAGCACCACCATACCTGGCTAATTTTTGTATTTTTGGTAGAGATGGGTTTTCACCATGTTGGCCAGGCTGGTCTCAAACTCCTGACCTCAGGTGATCCACTGTGCCGGGCCTGTAGGTGATATTTAAACTTTAAGAATGAATGACATCCTTCAGGGAATAATGGTGGATGAAGAAAAGAGAAATCTAGAAGACTGAGCCCTGGGGTCCTTCAACACTAACACTTCAGGGAGATGGGAAGGAATCAGCGAGTGAGGAATGAGCCTGAGAAGGAACAGCCAGTGACGGGGGAGGAAGACCCCAAGTGTGGTGTCCTGGACCCAAGTGAAGAATGGGTGTTGAGGGGAGAACAATGAATGCTGAGTGTTGCCCTCCGCGTTTGGCAAAGTGAAGGTCATTGGTGACCTCCACAAGGACAGGCTTGGACGAGGGCATGGGTGACAGCATAATCATAGTGGGCTTAAAAGAAACTGAGAGGAGACTGGGCGCGGTGGCTCACGCCTGTAATCCCAGCACTTTAAGAGGCCAAAGTGGGTGGGTTGCTTGAGGCCTGGAGTTCAAAACCAGCCTGGCCAACATGGTAAAAACCCGTCTCTACTAAAAATACAAAAATTAGCCAGGCGTGGTGGCACATGCCTATAATCCCAGCTACTTGGGACGCTGAGGCAGGAGAACTGCTTGAACCTGGGAAGCGGAGGTTGCAGTGAACCGAGATCACGCCATTGCACTGCAGCCTAGGCAATAGAGTGAGACTCCATCTCAAAAAAAAAAAAGAGAGAGAGAGAGAGAATGAGAGAGGAGAGAACTAAAGAGAGTGAACACAGAAAACTCTTAGAAGACTTTTGACAGAAAAAGGAGCAAAGAGGCCGGGCGTGGTGGCTCACACCTGTAATCCCAGCACTTTGGGAGACGGAGGCAGGTGGATCACTTGAGGTCAGGAGTTCGACACCAGCCTGACCAACATGGGGAAACCCCGTCTCTACTAAAAATACAAAAATTAGCCAGGCAGGGTGGTGGATGCCTATTATCCCAGATACTTGGGAGGCTGAGGCAGGAGAATCGCTTGAACCGGGAAGCAGAGGTTAGAGTGAGCTGAGATCGCACCATTTCACTCCAGCCCGGACAAGAAGATCGAAACTCTATCTCAAAAAAAAAAAAAAAAAAGAGCAAAGAGACTGTGCAAAAGATGGAGGGAAGACACAGGGATGAGCCTTTTTTTTTTAAAGTGGAAGAAATCTCAGCCTATTTGTACGTGGATGAGAATGATACCATAGAAAGGAAAACAAACAAAACACAATCAATGACCCCGGGAGAGAGGGAACTGGAGAGTGTGACAGGAGGGTCTGGCGCATAGCAGAGGAGCTGCCTTCTTTGGCAGCGTGGACAGTCCTCACGCACCCAAGGGAGGCTGAGGACGTGGACACAGACACAGGTGGTGGTGGGTGTGGGGCGGGAGAGTGTGGATGCTCCCTGTTGGCATCTGTTTGCTCACAGAACTGAGAAGCAGAGTCAGCAGCTCAGGGTGAGAGGCGGGACGAGGGCTGGGGAGAGGATAAGCAGGAAAACAGGGGACCAGCGAGAAGTACGTATGGCTGTTTCCTCCAGCCAGGTCCAGCAGTGGGAACAGGCGAAGAGCAGGCGCAGAGCAGGCAGAGAGAGGGGGTCAGATACAATGGGCTCTGTAGTCATGAGAGGGGGCAGGAGGGACCTGTGGGGGGAGGAGGGACTGGCCATCAATGGGGCACGGCTGCAGCACTGAGCTACCCAGGTAAGAAAACAAATCACCATGGATCCCCACATACCCCAGTGCGTGGCTAGAAATCTAAGTAGGAAAGGCGAAATTTCAACAATCAGAAGGAAATACTGAATACTTTTTTCTTGTACTTTGGAATAAGGCAGAATTTCTTAAATTTGACCCAAAAAACATAAACCATAAAGAAAAGGATTATAAATCCCATTTCATGGTAACCAATTTAAAAAAAAAGGAAAGACAACTGCAGAAAACTGAATACTAAGTGGATATTTGATGAAATTGCAAATTATTGTGAATTTTGGCAGGGGAAGATGATGGCATTGCAGCCATGTGTTTTTGAGTCCTTGTCTTTCATAGATGCATCATGATATCATGATGTACCCACAGATGACATGACCAGAGGTCTGGGATTTACTTCAGAATAGCCCCATTTGGGCTGAGTGCGGTGGCTCACACCTGTAATCCCAGCACTCTGGGAGGCCAAGGCTGGTGGATCACCTGAGGTCAGGAGTTCGAGAGCAGCCTGGCCAACATGGCAAAACCCCGTTTCTACTAAAAATACAAAAATTAGCCAGGCATGGTGGTGAGCGCCTGTAATCCCAGCTACTCCGGAGGCTGAGGCATGAGAATCACTGGAATCCAGGAGGCAAAGGCTGCAGTCAGACGAGATCGCGCCACTGCACTCCAGCCTGGGCGACAGAGCAAGACTCCATCTCAAAAAACAAACAAACAAAAACCCAAAATAGCTCCATGTGGGGTAGGGTGGACAAGGTGTCCACGTGCTGATGGTGGTGCAGCTGGAGTGTCCTGTGTACTAATCTCTCTACTTTTATATATGCTTGAGATTTTCCATGACAAAAAGCTCTTAAAATTGCATTAATAAGATAGTAACTAAGATGAAAGATTAATAAGATAATGATTAACATTAATATCAAGATAAAAGTCTCCATAAACAAAGTGAGAAAACAAGATAGACTAGGAGAAGGTATTATTTTAGGAACAGAGGACTTAGTGTCTAGATAAAATATATAAAGAATTCTTATAAGTCACCAAGAAAAAGACAACCCAATAGAAAAATTCATATGAATGGGCAATTTACAAAAAAGTACACCTGAATGGCCCATAAACATATGAACAGATATTCAACCTCACTGTTCTTAAGGAAACTATAATAAAAACAAGAATGAAATACTATTTTCCATCTTGCAGATTGGCAAAAGTCTGTTAACACAGAGATGATGGTACACTTGTAGGGAAATGGGAGGGCATGTGAAATGATACAAACCCTGGAAGGAGTCTAGCAAAGTTAAAGAAGCAGATGCCCCGCACCCTAGATATCCCACCACTAGATGTTTCCCTAGAGAAATTCATGTCACATGTGGTGGGACATGGTGGCTCATGCCTGTAATCCCAGCACTTTGGGAGGCCAAGGCCGGGGGGATCATTTGAGCCCAGGAGTTCGAGACCATCCTGGGCAACATGGTAAAACCCCATCTCTCCAAAAAAAAAAAAAAGCAGAAAAATTAGCCAGGCATGGTGGTGTGTGCACCTGTGGTCCCAGCTACTCAGGAGGCTGAGGTGGAAGGATTGCTTGAGCCCAGGAGGTCAAGACTGCACCACTGCACTCCAGGCTTGGTGTTAAGAGTGAGACCCTATCTAAAAAAAAGAGAGAGAGAGAGAGAAATTTGCACATGCCCACACAGGCACATGCAGTGATTATGGAAAAATGTTCTTGGCACCACTAATATGATGACAACACCTGGAACCAATCTAATTGACCATCAACAGGAGAATGAATAAACTGTAATTTATTGATTGATGTAGGTTGAATTGTATTCCCCCAAAATACATGTTTAAGTCCTATCCCCCACTCCCCGTGCATGTGACCTTAACTAGACACAGGGTCCTTGCAGATGTCCTGTAGTTAAGATGAGGTCATACTGGAGTACAGTAGACCATAAATCCAATGACTGGTGTCCTTCTAAGGAGGGGAAAACGTGGACAAAGACACAACAGACGCACAGAAGAGAAGGCCGTGTGAAGATGGAGGTGGAGATGGGAAGGATGCACCTGCAAGCCAAGGATTGCTGGCCCCCCACCAGACGCTGGAATAGGCAAGGAAGGGCTCTCCTTTACAGGTTTCAGAAAGAGCAGAGCCCTGCTGACACTTTCAATTTGGACTCCTGGCCTCCAGAACTATGAGGCACTGTGTTGCTTTAAGTCACCCAGTATCTGGTAATGTTATGGCAGCCCTAGAAAACAAATACATTCATAAAAAGAATATTACACAACAGTTCGATGAACAGGCTGCACCTGTAATTTATCAATATAATAAATCTCCAGACCCGCATGGTGGCTCAGGCCTGTAATCCCAGCACTTTGAGAGGTCGAGGCATGGTCATAGCTTGAGGCCAGGAGTATGAGACCAGCATGAGCAACATAGGGAGACCCCGTCTCTACAAAAAAATTTTTTTAATTAGCCGGGCATGGTGGCATGCACCTGTAGTCCCAGCTACTCAGAAGACTGAAAGGAGGATCACTTGAACCCAAGAATTCAAGGCTGCAGTAAGCTATGATCATGCCACTACACTCCAGTCTGGGCAACAAAGAGAGACATTTTTATTTTTATTTTTATTTATTTATTTTTTATATATTTATTTATATATATTTATATTTTTTATATATTTATTTTTATTTAAAAATAGAAATACAAAACTTGAAAAATCTCAAAGACATAATGCTATGTAAAAAGACATAGCATTTTGATTCTAAATAACAACCAAAAAACATACATTTTGATGCTAAATAAATAACAACCAAAAATATACATTTTATTCATAAATATACTGTAGGAAAAGTATCACGCATGAGAATGAATTATCACCATTAGGACAATTGGTTACCGGGAAGAGAGGGGAGAAAAAATGGAGATCGTGGGCTTTATTATGTTTTATTTCCCTAAAAAGTTTTGATTTGAAGTATATAGGGCAAAAGGGTATTATCTTTCAAATATGGGTGATGTGAAAGGGTGGCTGTTATATAATTCCCTTCACATTACTGAATATTCTTAGTGTTTCATAATTAGAAATAAAGTAATTAGATTTTGAGAAGAAAGAAATTAATAACTAGTTATCCAATCAAGGACAACTGGACTGTAGTTTTCTTGGTTTGGTTTTCATAAGCTACATTATAGAACTATAATTAGTAAGACTCAATAATTCAACATTGTCATTTGACACCATTTCAGAAAAACTCTCAAGCCATGTTTCCCTCTGCTCTCACAATACAGCGATCATCAACACCATGACCAAAGGTAAGGGGTGGGGGCGCGTGGGGCAGTGAGGGCTCAGTTCCAAGACTGCCCCACCCCTCAGACACAAGCAGCAAGTTCAGGCCTGTAGAGCTTTCTTTTTTTCTTTTTCTTTTCGGGTTTTTTTTTTTTTGGAGACGGAGTCTCGCTCTCTCACCCAGGCTGGATTGCAGTGCACGATCTCCGCTCACTGCAAACTCCGCCTCCCAGGTTCAAGCGATTCTCCTGCCTCAGCCTCCCAAGTAGCTGGGACTACAGGTGCCCGCCACTATGCCCGGCTAATTTTTATATTTTTAGTAGAGACGGGGTTTCACCATGTTCGCCAGGCTGGTCTGGGCTGACTTCTTATCTGGGCTGACTTCTTATCTGGGCTGTTTGTTGGCTATGAGGACCTAGGGATCACAGAAAATCCTGGCCATTCCAGGAAGCCTCTAATCTGAATGTTTTTACTTTATTTTCAGTTGACATCCATTTTGCAAAAGGAATGCTTACAGCCAGGCGAGCAGCCCTCTAGGCTGATCCTGCAAGGTTATTCTCCTACAGGAGACGCCCGTGTGTGTCGAAGGCTGGACTCCTGCCCAGACCCTCCACGTGGGCACAGCAGCCAGGCCACGCCTTGTGCCAGGGGCCAAGTCCACAATGGGCAGGGCGAACAGTTTCTACCCTGGCAAGTCTCAGGGAACATACCCTTGACTCTCAACTAACTGTACTATATTTTCTGTATATACCTTTCAGGATTTTAGCTTCCTCCTGCAAATGCACTGTAAACCAAAAATAAAATTCCAAGCATCCCAACTAACTGAATGGACCTCTCCTCTTGGCCAAGGCGATTCCAAAGAAACCTGTAAAACTAATTCAGGCCATGACAGGAAGGAGGGGCTAGGCTCAGTGGCTCATGCCTATAATTCAGCACATTGGAAGGCCAAGGCTGGTGGATCACTTGAGGCAAGGATCCAAGACCAGCCTGGCCAACATGGCAAAACCTTGTCTCTACTAAAAAAAAAAAAAAAAAATTAGCCAGGCATGGTGGTGCATACCTGTAATCCCAGCTACTTGGGCGGCTGAGGCAGGAGAATCGCTTGAACCCAGGAGGTTGCAGCGAGACTCTGTCTCAAAAAAAAAAAAAAGACAGGAAGGAGGAGTCCAACATACCTCATTATTCCCTCCTCCATTGAAGTTCAGGCACAAATGACCAGCATTAACATTCAAACAGAGGTCTCAAGACTGACGAAACAGACTTTTTGTAGAAATAAGGTATGAAATTCCAACCTGACTCAAATACAGCATCCAAGGATATAGACAGCAGGCCCTGAAACAAATCAAGTATTTTACCCCAAAATATTTTTGACATATTTTGAAAGGGCCCTGCAAAGCTATCTCTTGTAGGGGAAACTTACATTCTGTAGAGAATCCCCTTCCCTTTCCAGGTCTCTTTCTGATCCTGAAAAGATTACCTGAGAGTCTGGCAGCTTTTAAAGGTCTGAACAGAAAACATTTGCTATCTATTGCCTCTAAGGGTAGCCATCTATGAGACTTCACCTACATAATAAGAACTTTGGTCTCCCAAACCTCTTATCTTAACCCAGACCCTCCTTTCTATTGATTCCAGGTCTTTCATTATTAATTTAACTCTTTCAACCAAGCACCAATCAGAAAACCTTTGAATCCCCCTGTGACCTGTAAGCTACCACCCTGACCCTGCCATCCCCGATCTTTGAGTTGTCCCACCTTTCCAGACTGAACCAATGTATACCTCACATGTATTGATCGAGTTCCTATGTCTCCCTAAATGTATAAAACCAAGCTGTAACTCAGCCACCTTGGGCACATGTTCTCAGGCCCTCTGGGGGCTGTGTCATGGGTCATGGTCCTCACATTTGGCTCAGAATAAACCTCTTCAAACATTTTACAGAGTTTGACTTCCTTCTGTCAACAACACATGTATTTATTAAAAGATAATTTTCAGAAAGAAGTAAAACCATCACTCTTCAACAGATATAAAAACAAACAACATTGAGGATTGTACTCTACTTGAACGACAGGAAAAAACTAACAGATGTTCTAACAGGCTTGAAGGAAAATCAAAAGAGCACAAATGCAGCACTGGAAAGTGTAAACTAAAAACTCTAAGCCCCCAACCAACTGACTGGATCATCTCTTCACCAAGGAGACCCCAGAATAACCTTAAAAACTGAGTTATTGGCCATACAACTCAGTTATATAGTTATGGGTTGGGGGATCACACACCTCTCATTATCCGCTCCTGACTCACTAATCACCATGAGGCTTTCTTTTCTAAAGGCTAAACAGAAACTAGCCTCTTCAAACAACCCCACACTGATATCACCCAGCCGCATGACACTGCCCTCCTTTTTGCCTGATAACAAAACACCAACCATGACATGGTTCTGGCCTGTCTACAGAGGGTGCACAGTAAGGATTTTTGTGTCCTCTGCTTCAGCTTTTAACAACAGAGGGCCAAAAATACCACCCTTGGATCATGCTAACGCAGTCATTTTTTGAACATGGCTCCCATGAAGAGGCAAAAAGCTCAATTGCCCACGTACACGGTTCTCCTTCAAAAATATTCATGGCTGAGAACAGTGGCTCATGCCTATACTCCCAACACTTTGGGAGGCCAAGACAGGAGGATCACTTGAGTCCAGGAGTTCAAGACCTGCCTGGGCAACACAGGGAGACCCCATCTCTACAAAAAAAAAAAAAATTAGAAAATTAGCCAGGCTTGGTGGCACACACCTGTGGTCCCAGCCTTTTAGGAGGCTGAGCTAGGAGGAGCACTTGGGCCCAGGAGGTCAAGACTGCAGTGAGCCAATGATCATGCCACTGCACTCCAGCCTGGGGGAGTGAATGAAACCCTGTCTCAAAAGTATTAGCTAATCCATTATTTTAAAAATTCATAACCCCTCCTATAGCTTATTGAATCTGTGTGTTTGGCCACACTGTTCAGCACAGATCCCTGTACTATTCTTCCCACACTGGAAGGGTCTGTTTCCAGCTTCTGGCCAGAGACTACACTTCCCAGCCTGTCAGAATGGCCGCTTTGCGGGCTGCAACACTTTATGAGAAATAAAGCTCTCTTTTTCCAAATTTATGAAACTCATCATTCTTTAGTTGACAAAAGAAATGTTGAGATGAATTGCAAATGAAGACAAAATATCTTTTTGGCCAAACGCAGTGGCTCACACCTGTAATCCCAGCACTTTGGGAAGCTGAGGCAAGAGGATTGCTTGAGGCTGGGAGTTAGAGACCAGCCTAGACAACATGTTTTTTTTTTAACTTTTTTCCACAGGAGGGGAAAGAGTCCATTAATTCTGCATGGAAACGGGATAGAATTTACAGATCTATCAGATCTGCCACTTACTCCTAAAAATGGCTCAAGTACAATGAATGGAGCTGGAATCAGACAGCCCACAGGGCGTGCTATAGACATGGGTACTTTTCCACTGAGGCACTTTTTACAAATGATGAGGTCCTTTATTGTGAGTAAGAAGGTTTCCTTTTCCTCCTGTGCTGGGGCAGGACTGTGTGTCTGAGATGCATGACAGAGTCCTCGTTACACATGCTGTCAATAAAGGCTTTTCTGTATCATGGCAGATGTGTTTGGGGCCACCTTCTGGTCATCCCCAGGTCAGTTCTGTGGTCTCCACTGGTGACGTCTCTGGAAATCAGGACGCTTTTCCTAGCTCTGTGGAGTGCCCTGCAGGACACCCTGGTGGCCATGTTCGTCGGCAATGCCCACACTGGCCACCACCAGCACAAATGCATGATTCCCCATAGACATTGCTGCAAGGTGCTGCATATGTGTGAATGACTTCTATGTGATGGTATGCACAGGAGAGGAGCATATGGAATTGGAATTTGCAGATCAAATACTCAACAGTGATCCCCATGGGTTTTGATGTGTAATTTTCCAGAGAGATTTGCTTGTGTGAGGCAGAGCTGGAGGGGCCACAGGAGTCACTCTGTAGGGGTGAAGGAGCCTCACTCTGCCTAACACAAGCATGTCCCTCTGGAAAATTACACATCAAAACCCATGGGGATCACTGTTGAGTGTTTTTTGTTTTTTGTTTTTTGTTTTTTTTGAGACGGAGTCTCACTCTGTTGCCCAGGCTGGAGTGCAATGGTGCAATCTCCGCTCACTGCAACCTCTGCCCCACTGGTTCAAACGATATTCCTGCCACAGCCTCCTGAGTAGCTGGGATTATAGGCACATGCCACCACGCCTGGCTAATTTTTGTATTTTAGTAGAGACTGGGTTTCACCATGTTGGCCAGGCTGGTCTCAAACTCCTGACTTCAGGATACATCCACCTCGGCCTCCCAAAGTGCTAGGATTACAGGCATGAGCCACTGTGCCCAATCTTACAGTTGAGTGTTTGATCTGCAAATTCCAAGGGTATGCTCCTCTCCTGCGTGTACCTTCACAAGGCACTCCTTTACTCCGTATACATTTGCACTTCTTGACTTCTTTTTTGAACCAGTTACAACATCTGCCTATTTCTCTCTTTAATGAATAAAATAAAATATTTATCACTTTTATATCTGTATAAAAGTCACGATTTCACCTTTGGCTGAAAATTATCTTTTAACAATGTAATCAAACATTCCCTTTCTAACACTGGCAGTCAGACAGGTAAGAGAGGTGATAAAGTATGGTGAGGGTGTGGTTTTCCTGATTTCACGCCCTAAGGATTCAAATAACTCACAAGTCAGACTTCCAGGCACAACGCAGTTCTCCAACAGAAATAGAGAAAACAGATTTTGACAAGCAAAAGGGACTGGTGCAGTTGGGATTATAACAAGCAGGGAAGTCTAGGAATACATCTCCAGCCTCCTGGGAGAGCCTGAGCCCGGAGGGGGCAGAGAGGAGGAGGAGGGAGGTCTGGGGGAAGAGAGGTCTGCAAAGTAGGGGAAGGGAAGGCCAGGAGGGAGGGAGGCGCAGCGGGGAGGAGAGGAGAGAAGGGAGGAATACATTTCTGGAAGCTTTAGAAATTTAGAAATAGAAACCACGTGGAAGTGCATCCAGGGCTCAGGGTTACAGAGGACCCCAAGACAACACAGGAAAGTGGGGTCTAATGGGAAAGGCAGGAGGTTTCTCCTTTACTGCTTAAACATTGTAGGAACTTGCATGGCAAGTGATTTTCAATCTTGCAGCAGGGAAGGCAGGGCCAGTACTTATCCTTAGATGATTCTACAAACATCAAACTTCTCCAAATATTTATTTTTCAGCAGCCATGCTTGTATTTTCCAAGTGTCTATGGTCGAGATAGCATGAATTAGGAAGCTACCTGGATGAGCCCACAATGGCCCTCTTAGACATGCCAACGACGCCCCTGCAGAATCTGCTTTTTCTCTGGCTGTTCCTAGGCCTGGATAGGGTTCCCAGGCCTGGACAGGATTCCCCGGATACCGGCGAGGCTCATTACTAACCACTTTATTTTAAATGGGCTTTGAAAACAACAGGTGGCATCTTCCATCAGCAAGTGGACATAAATCTCAGTGCCCAGTGTTTCCAAGGCCTGCCCGACCCACATGGCTGTGGGGTGTAAACTGTCCAGTCGTTCCTGGCACACCTACCCAGCATTTAGGATGTCCCACTCTTAGATCCATAGACCCAGCACCTCTCTTCTTAATACCCACCCTAAAGAAAAGCTGTCGAATGTGGATGCTGATTTAGTTGCAAATATGCTCAGTTTTTTAATAGTTTTATATTAGTAAAAACGCTACAACCAGAATGTCTCACTGCAGGAAGAGAGTTACAAGGAGTATTTAACGGCATGGTGGAAAGGCTCCTCCGTGCTAAATGGCCAAAACGAACGCAAGTTTGCATACGGTGTGATTTCCACTATGTCTTTAAAATGCATGGCGAAACACCTACAGGAAAATACCAAAATGTAAACAGCGGCTGCTTCGGACGCATGGGATCGTGGAGGCTGCTGTTCTGCAAGGACAACGTATCACTTTTATGAAAGTCAGCTTCTGAAAACGGACTATGGGAAGTTCCTTACCCGTGCACGCGGCAAAGACCTTCTTTGCCATAGTCAGAACACACGCGGGAGTTCAGAGGAGCGGGGCCCGGGCTTGTGTGGGCTTGTGTGCCCCGGGGACGCGCACGTACCTTGTCCCGCGGCCTGAGACTGCGCTGCACCGCGCGGAGGCCGAACCCAGAGGAGGCGGCGTGGCGCCGGGCGGGGACGCGAGAGGGACGTGGACGCGGCGACCGAGGACGCGGGGATCCTGCGGGACCAGTGGCTCCAGTCGTAGCCTCCTGGGAGAGCCAAGCCCGGAGGGGGCGGAGAGGTGGAGGAGGGAGGCCTGGGGGAAGAGAAATCTGCAAAGTCGGGGAAGGGAAGGAAGGCCAGGAGGGAGGGAGGCGCAGTGGGGAGGAGACGAGAGAAGGGAGGGAGGGAAGTGTGAGGGGAGGGGAAGAAGTGGGGTGGTCGGAGGGTGGGGTAGGGAGGAAGAGGGAGGGAGAGATGGGAGAGGCTCCAAGATAAAGAAAGGTGCAGGGAGAGGGGGTGGGAGGGAGGGAACCGCAGAGAGGAAGGGAGAAGAGAATCAGGCAGCCTTGAGGGAGGAGGCAGGGAGGCCAGGAGAAGGAAGACAGCCAGCCTTCTGTGAGATTTACGTGCGTGCCTGGCTTCCAAGACAAGTAACTTCTGTTGTAAATACAAATTAAGCTATTTTTTGTTTATTTTATTTTATTTTATTTTATTTTATTTTATTTTATTTTAGAGATAGGGTCTTATTCTGTCACCCAGGCTGGAGTGCAGTGACACAATCATAGATCACTGGAGCCTCGAACTCCTGGCTTCAAGTGATCCTCCCCTTCAGCCTCCCAAAGTGCTGGGATTACAGGTGTGAGCCACCATGCCCAGCCACAATTTTTTTTTTTTTTTTTTTTTTTTTTGAGATGGAGTCTAACCCTGTTGCCGAGGCTGGAGTGCAGTGGCACGATCTCAACCTCAACCTCACTGCAACCTCCACCTCCCGGATTCAAGTGATTCTCCTGCCTCAGCTTCCCCAGTAGCTGGGATTATAGGCACGCGCCACCACGCCCAGCTAATTTTTGTGTTTTCAATAGAGACGGAGTTTTACCGTGTTGGCCAGGCTGGTCTCGAACTCCTGACCTCAAGTGTTCCACCTGCTTCGGCCTCCCAAACTGCCGAGATTACAGGCGTGAGCCGCCGCACCCGGCCCCAGCCCCAAATTAAGCCTTTTTTTAAAAAAGAAATTAATACACGTTTCATACTTGCCTCCTTCGTATTTTCTCTGGTCATCTGCCCAAGGTTATGACAACAGCTTCAACTTGGCTGCAGAAGCACACCCCTGTGGCTCACTCAAACTGGAAACATACAGGAAAAGGGAATTCTAGGAATATAGCTCAGCCTGGACAAATGGGCACATTAAAAAGCCATTGCACCGTGGTGGCCGCACTTCCTGCCATCCCCACTGCAAAGGTGTTGTTATGGACTGAATGTTTGTGTCCCCTCCAAAATTTGTACGTTGAAATCCTAACCACCCCGCCCATGGTGGTATTTGGAGGCGGGGCCTTTGGGAGATGCTTAGGTCATGAGGGTGGAGCCCCCAAGAATGGGATTTGTGCCGTTACAAAAAGAGGCAAGGGAGCTTGCTTCCTCATCTGTATGCCAGGAAGAGGATACTCACCAAGAACCCAATCCTGCTGGCCCATCCCAGACTTCCAACTTCCAGAACTATAAGAAATAAATGTTGTTTAAGCTACCCAAGTCTATCTATGATGTTTTTGTTGTTGTTGTTGCTGTTGCTGTTTTTGAGACAGAGTCTCGCTGTGTCGCCCAGGCTGGAGTGCAGTGGTCCCATCTCGGCTCTCTGCAACCTCCGCCTCTCGGGTTCAAGCAATTCTCCTGCCTCAGCCTCCTGAGTAGCTGAGACTACAGACATGTACCACCATGCCCAGCTACTTTTTGTATTTTTAGTGGAGATGGGGTTTCACCATGTTGGTAAGGATGGTCTCAAACACCTGACTTCAGGTGATTCACTGGCCTCGGCCTCCCAAAGTGCTGGGATTACAGGCATGAGCCACCTCGCCCAGCCTGGTGTTTTTGTTATAGCAGCCCAAACGGACTAAAACAGTGTTTTCCTTCTAGAGATACACTAATTTTCTTTCAGACAGGATCTTTCAAAACCCAGTCTGAAACATCTGCAGTTGAATTATTTTATGGGCTTGGAATTTCTCTAAAATAGTGGTTAGGGATTTTTTAAACATCAGAATAATTTAAAAAGTTACCAAAGTGTTATTACCCAGAACAAATTCAGGGTCAGCGCCAAAGAAAAAAATTTATTTACTTTTTTTGAGACAGGGTCTCACTCTGTCACCCAGACTGGAGAGCAGTGGAATGATCACAGCTCACTGCAGCCTCTACTTCCCTGGGCTCAGGTGATCCTCCCACCTCAGCCTCCTAAGTAGCTGGGACTACAGGCATGTCACCCAATTAAGTTTTTGTTTGTTTGTTTGTTTTTGTTTTTGTAGAGACGGGCTTTCGCCCTGTTGCCCAGGCTGAAGAAAAATTCTTGTTTCCATCCTACAATGCGCAAATTGCTTGTGACACCTAAAAGGACAATTTTTCAACTTCACCAATTTTAGTGCCAAACTCCATGGAAAATTAATCACACAAGTGATTATTTAACCTAGGTTCTTAAAAAAATTAAGTTTCCTTCTTACAGAAACTCTCAGCAGAAATGAACTCTAAGATTTCATGGAGTTCCCTATAAATTAAAGAGCTATGACTCAGCGTTTGCTGCTCGTTACCCCTCCAAAGTTATCTTTATTTTTCATTATAAAATAGGTAACTAAATTCCAGGGACAGAATGAGTCCAAGCTGAATTAACAAACAGGGCAAGGTCAAAGTTAAACAAAATTGCTGACTCTGCTCAAACTCCTGTGATTTACACTGACCTTGAAGGCAAGGCCAGGAAAAGTATTCCTTGGAATTGCTCCTCTAAAGACGCTTGGAACAAAATCAGAAAAAGTGCTGCTGTGTTTCAGAACATCTCAAAATAATACCTGAGGGCAAACATATTCTATGTCATCTGTTACCATTTCCTGGCCGTGCTGCTGACTCAGCCTCCAGCACTCCTTGGTGGAGCTGCAGGGAGCCCGCTGGGAAAGCGCTGAATCCTGTGCACAGGAAAGGCACTGCTGGTGAAGACAGGTGAGAGGCTGGGTAGGTGATTTCTAGAAGGTTCTTGAGCACCAGTCGGCCATCTTGTCATCCCCAGATAGAAAGCTTAAATTTGCTTTTTTTTTCACTTTTTATTAATGAAAATGTACAAACATATAGAAAGGTAGAAAGAAGAATACAATTAATTCCCATATACCCCAGGCCTAAATATAATTATCTTTAGTATTTTGCTAAACTTGCTTCATCGATTTTTTTTTCAAAAGTGTAGAAATTATAGACAACTTGACATTTTACCCCTTAATAATTTTGTAGTAGTCAGCCTCCAAGATGACTCATAACGTGCCCTGCCTCTGAGAAATCACAACCCTATGTAGTCTCCTACACTTACCATGGTTGGTCTGTGTGACCAATAGTCTACCAACATAGTGATGGTGTATTAGTCTGTTTTCATGCTGCCAGTAAAGACATACCCGAGACTGGGCAATTTACAAAAGAAAGAGGTTTAATGGGCTTACAGTTCCACGTGGCTGGGGAGGCCTCACAATCATGGTGGAAGACGAGGAGGAGCAAGTGACATCTTATGTGGATGGTGGCAGGAAAAGAGAGCTTGTGCAGGGAAACTCCTTCCTATAATACGATCAGATCTTGTGAGACTTACTCACTAACATGAGAACAGCATGGGAAAGACCTGCCCCCAGGCCAGGTGCCATGGCTCACGCCTGTAATCCCAGCACTTTGGGAAGCCAATGTGGCCAGATCACCTGAGGTCAGGAGTTTGAGACCAACCTGACCAACATGGTGAAACCCCGTTTCTACTAAAAATACAAAAAATTAGCTAGGCATGGTGGTGGGTGCCTGTAATCCCAGCTACTCAGGAGGCTGAGGCAGAAGAATCTCTTGAACCCAAGAGGGGGAAGTTGCAGTGAGCTGAGATTGCACCACTGCACTCCAGCCTGGGTAACAAGAGCAAAACTCCATCTAAAAAAAAAAAAAGACCTACTCCCAGGATTCATTACCTCCCACTGGGTCCCTCCCACAACACACAGGAATTCAAGATGAGATTTGGGTGCGGACACAGCCAAACCATATCAGATGGTACGTCTCTTCCAACATTAGATTAGACTCTGGGACTTCCACCTCTCTCTTCTCTCTCTCTCTTTCTCTTTCTGTGTGTGTGTTTCTGTGTGTCTCTGTGTGTGTGTGTCTAGCTTTCTCTCTCAGATCACATGCTGTAGGGGAAGTCAGCTCCCAGCCATGTCTTGAGTAGCCTCTGGAGCAAAGAAATCGTGACCCACAGCCATGTTCCTGGGCCATCCTGGACAAGAATCCTTCAGCGTCAGCCAAGTGTCAGATGCCATAACCCCATGGTAACCTCCTGAGAGACCCTGAGCCAGAAACTCCAACTAAGCCACTCCCAGACTCCTGAACCTCAAACTGTGCAAGATAATAATGTTTATTGTTGTGAGCTGCTAAGTTTTGGGCTAAATTGTGACACAGCGATTGTTAGTTCACACAGATGTTGATACCTTTGATAACTGGAAGTGGGGTGCTGCTATGACAACACTTCATGTGTGATAGTGACTTTGGAACTGTGGCTTTGGATTATCGAGAGTGTTAGTGAAAGCCTTGATTTACCCGAAAAAACCTGTTGATAAAAGATTCACGTCTTTTGTTTTTGTTTTGTTTTTTAGAGACAGGGCCTCACGCTGTTGCTCAGGCTGCGGTGGCATGGTCATAGCTCTTTGCAGCTTCAAACTCCTGAGCTCAAGGGATCCTCCTGAGTCAGCCTCCCAAAGTGCTGGATTACAGGCACATGCCACCACACTGGGCCTAAGACTCGGATCTTTAAAGATTGCAAGTGAGCACTTGTAGGAAAGTGAGGTCAATGAACTAGAACCTGGAGGAAGGGGGTCCTTGTTATGCAGTGGCAGACAGTTTGGCAATGCTGTTGACTGCAGTTATGTAGACAGAAGCAAATTAGCTGGGTAATCTGGCCAAGGAGATCTTCAATTGGTGTTTAAAGTACTACCTAGTTTTTTCTAATTCCTTCTAGTAAGATGCTAGAAGATAGGTCAACAAAAGGAAAGACAGTTAAATATAAATGAATTAGAACTGGATAGTTCTGGAAATTCTCAGTCTGCCTAGATGGCAAATGTATTAGGCCGTTCTTGCACTGCTATAGAGAAATACCCGGGCCAGGTGTGGTAGCTCACACCTGTAATCTCAGCACTTTGAGAGGATCACAAACAAAACAGGAGGATCACTTGAGCCCAGGAGTTTAAGATCAGCCTGGGCAAGGTAGTGAGACTCCGTCTCTACAAAAAAGTGAAAAAATTAGCCGGGTGTGGTGGTGCATGCCTGTAGTCCCAGCTACTTGGAAGACTGAGGTGGGAGGATTGCTTGAGCAAAGGAGTTCAAGGCCACAGTGAGCCAAGATCACACCACTGCACTGCAGCAATAGTCAGGCTCTGTCGCTCAAGATGGAGTGCAGTGGCATAATCTTGGCTCACTGCAGCCTCAACCTCCCAGGCTCAAGTAATCCTCCCATTTTAGCCTCCCGAGGAGCTGGGAATACAGGTGCGACCACCACACTCAGCTATTTTTAAAATTTCCTTGTAGAGAGAGGGTTTCACCATGTTGCCCAGGCTGGTCTCGAACTCCTGGGCTCAAGCTATCTGCCTGCCTTGACCTATCGAAGTGTTGGGACCACAGGACCTGGCCGTCAGACACTTACACAAGCAGATCTCGTGGGAACTCAGAACAAGATCTCACTTATCAGCAAGAGGATGACTCAAGCCATCCATGAGCTTCAGTTTTGAATCACCCCCATGATCCAAACTCTTCCCTCCTACCAGGCCCCACCTCAAACACTGAGGATTATATTTCAACATGAGATTTGGGTGGGGACAAATATCCAAACTATATTAGCAAATTATGAAACAATTAAGAAATGGCTTCTAAGCAAAGATCAAATGCAGGTCCTGCCAGAAAAACTGTGGTCCAAGATGAACCCTTAGGTGTGACTGTAAGATTCCAAAGAGATATAAGGTGGCATCTCAGAGTACCACTGAGTCAGACAAAGGGCCTGCTCTATAGAGTAAAGGTGCACCCCACAGCCTCTCTCAATCAAAGGAGAGTGCTTCTAGGAAGCTTAGGGGCTTTGTCCCTCAGCTGTCTGCAGAAGCCAAAGGTAGAGAACAGATTTGTGGGTGTTGCATTTGTCTATGGAGTGAACCCCAATAAAATTCACAGAAAATCCATAGTTTAAGAGAATTGTATATACGGAAATGTTACCAGCTTGGACTGAAAGGAACAGAAATAATACAACCTAAAAAGAAGACCTTATTTGTTACTTATTTTGGGGGGAGGGGACAGGGTCTTGCTCTGTCAATCAGGCTGGAGTGCAGTGGCACGATCTTGGCTCACTGCAGCCTGGACCTCCTGGGCTAAAACAATCCTCCCACCTCAGCCTCCCCAGTAGCTGGGACTACTGGCACATGTCATCATACCTAATTAGCCATGTCATAATGGCTAATTTTGTTTTTATTTTTTGTAGCAATGAGGGTTTCACTATGTTGCCCAGGCTGGTCTCGAACTCCTGGGCTGAAGTTATCCTTCCACCCCAGCCTCCCAAAGTGCTGGGATTACAGGAATGAGCTACAATGACTGGCCAAAAAGAAGACCCTAAAAATTCTACTGTCAAGCAGTGGACTGAGGCTGCTCCTCAGCCACACACGACACCTTTTTTTTCTCCCTTTGTGAACAGGGGCGTCTGGAGTAGTTATTCTGTGTTCTCTTACATGTTCAATTGGGGAGGGAGAGGCAGAGGTAGACAGACAACCTATCAAGAAGAATTATAATGTAGAAACTGTATTTAAGGAAATAAAGTCCCACCTGGACTTGATTTAGATGATCTGGAGATGGAACTGATGCTACAATAGGATAAGCCTTTGGGGAACTTTGGAAGGAGTTGATGGTATTTTGCATGTGGGAAGGATGTGAAGCTTTGGAGACCAGAAGGTGGACTGTGGCTGTCTGCTGGCTGGCCTGTACTGATTCTCACCTCTAGCAGTCATACCCTTCAGTAGTCCCCAACCCCGCTGTGCCTCATCGCACCATAGTTGGTCTGTGAGACCAATGACATGCAACAGAAGTAATGTGCTATGGTTTGAATGTTTGTCCCTGCCAAAGCTCACGTTGAAATTTAATCCTAAATGTGGCAGTGCTGAGAGGTGGGGCCTTTAGGAGGTGATTGGGTCATGAGGGCAAAATGGATCAATCCATTCATGGATTCATGAATTTATCTTGGGAGTGAAACTGGTGGCTTTATAAGAAGAGGAAGATCTACCTGAGCTAGCACGCTCAGTCTCCCTGCCGCCTGCTGCCCTGCACTCCTTGGGACTCTGCAGGCTCCGCCAGCAAGAAGGCCCTCGCCAGATGCAGCCCCTCAACTCTGGACTGCTTGGCCACCATAACTGTAAGAAACAAGTTCTTTTACTTTGCAAATTACTCAGTTTTAAGTGTTCTGTTATAAGCTACAGAAAAACGGATAAAACATAACAGGCTGTCACTTCTGATGTTAACTTATTTTTATAAGTGGCTTCATCTTGGCCTCTATTTTCCACTCTTGCTCCCTCTGTCAGATCACTTGCTCTGGGAGGTGCCAGCAGCCCTGTGAGGAGGCCCACGTGGTGAAGAACTGAGGCTGCTGGCCAGAGCCAGCCATGAGCGGAGGCTTCTTTCCAGGATCCATGTGGCTGGGTCATCTTGGACACAAATCCTCCAGCCCCAGTGAAGTTTCAGATGACTGCAGCTCTGGCCAACATCTTGATGGTCACTTCCTGAGAGACCCTGTGCCGGAACCATGGGCTAAGCCACCCCCAGATTCCTGACCCTCAAAAACTGTATGAAATACTACATATGCGTGTTTTACATCACTAAGTGTATTAAGCATGTGTTTCTTTTTCTTTTCCTTTTTTTTTTTTTTTTTGAGATGAAGTCCCACTCTGTCACCCAGGCTGGAGTGCAATAGCACGATCTCGCCTCACTGCAACCTCTGTTCCCTGGGTTTAGCAACTCTCCCACGTCAGCCTCCCAAGTAGCTGGGACTACAGGCACGCACCACCACACCCAGCTAATTTTTTTGTATTTTTAGTAAAAACGGGGTTTCACCATGTTGGCCAAGCTGGTTTTGAACTCTTGACCTCAAGTGATCTGCCCGCCTCGGCCTCCCAAAGTGCCGGGATTACAGGCCTGAGCCACCACGCCTGGCCCAAGCATGTGTTTCTGATTTTTTCACAGGTGGGGCCTTGCGGACCCTGGAAAGGCTGCCCTTCCTGGGGCTGGCCAGTTCCTACTGGAGAGAGTGCCTGCCTTTCAAATGCCAACCAACCAATCCAGAGCCCCTACTGCACCACCTCCTTCACTGAGCTCTCACACTGTTGCAGGACTTCTCCTTAGTTCAGCTAAAGATGGAGTCCTTATCACACAGGCACGAAAATTGAGGCTTGCAGACAATTGAAGAGTGAGAAAAACGGGGTTTATTGGGCAAAAAGAAAAAAATGGGAAAGAGAGACTTTTAGCAAAGCAAGAGAGTGTTCTTCCTGCCTGTGGGCTTCCCGCCTCGCAGATTGAATTCCAGGTTCCACACAGGAAGAGGAGGGGCCAAGCTCCTCCCCTCCGCAAACTGCGTGAACTACTATGGCTCCGCTCCAGTACGCAGGTAGGTCCGAGGCTCTGCCAGGGAGCCCTTCCCACCTGGCTGCCTCATCAGGGCTCTCAGGGCCACTATCCACCTGCACTAATGACTCTAGGGCCAGGTACCAGACAACTAGAGTTGGCCCTTATGCCCCGGAGCCTGCCGAAAGTATTCAGACTCACCAATCCTACTCCTGCTTATCCTGCCTTGCCCATTCCTATTCAAAAACCACAGTCAAGCCTCTTGTTCACATTTGCCCTGCTCCTTCTGCTTCTTGACCCACCACGGTGCTTCCCAGCGTAGCCACTTGTGGCATAGTGTGTTTCTTTTTCTATCTTTTTTTTTTTTTTTTTGAGACACAGTCTTGCTCTATGGCCCAGGCTGCCAGGCTGGAGTGCAGTGGCCCGATCTCAGCTCACTGCAACCTCTGGCTCTCGGATTCAAGCGATTCTCCTGCCTCAGCCTCCCGAGTAGCTGGGATTACAGGCGCCCGCCACCACACCCGGCTAATTTTTGTGTTTTTAGTAGAGACAGGGTTTCACCATGTTGGCCAGGCTGGTCTCAAACTCCTGATCTCAAGTCATCCACCTGCCTCGGCCTCCCAAAGTGCTGGGATTACAGGCGTGAGCCACCGCGCCTGGCAGCTTTTGGTTCTTTTATCTCTGTAGTCTTTTTTAACCTAAATAACCCCTTTGGTGATTTTAATTTTAAAATATGTCCACAATGCTTTTTCCCTTCCTTCCTTCCTTCCTTCTTTCCTTCCTTCCTTCCTTCCTTCCTTCCTTCCTTCCTTCCTTCCTTCCTTTCTTTCCTTCCTTCCTTCCTTCCTTCTTTCTTCTCTTTCCTTCTTTCTTTTTTCTTTCTTTCTTCTCTCTTTCCTTCTTTCTTTCTTTTCATTTCTTTCTTTCTCTCTCTCCTCTCTCTCTTTCCCTTCCTCCCTTCCTCTCTCTCTTTCTTTCTCTCACTCTCTCCTCTCTCTTTTTCCCTTCCTCCCTTCCTCCCTTTCTCTCTCTCTCTCCCTCTCTCCCTCTCCCTCTCCCCCCTCTCTCCCTCTCCCCCCTCTCTCCCTCTCCCCCCCTCTCTCCCTCTCCCCCTCTCTCTCCCTCTCTCTCCCTCTCTCTCCTTCTCTCTCCTTCTCTCTCCCTCTTTCTCTCTCTCTCTCTCTTTCGTGACAGGGTCTCACTCTATCGCCCAGGCCGGAGTTCAGTGGCATGTGCCATGATCTCAGCTTATGGCAACCTGTTCCTCCCGGGTTCAAATAATTCTCCTGCCTCAGCCTCCTGAGTAGCTGGGATTACAGGCATGCACCACCACACCTGGCTACCTGGCTAATTTTTATAATTTTAGTAGAGAGGGGTTTCACAGTGTTGGCCAGGCTGGTGTGAAACTCCTGGCCTCAAGTGATCCGCCTCAGCTTCCCAAAGTGCTGGGATTACAGGTGTGAGCCACCGCACCAGGCCCCACAAATGCTTTGACTCTCTGCATTCAAAAGACACAGCTTCCCCTTGAGTGTGGGCTGTACTTAGTGAGTCACTTCTAATAACTAGAATCTGGCAAAAGTAAAAGCCTGTGCCTTCCGGGACTAGGTCATAAAAAGCATGTGGCTTTCCCCTTGATTTCTCTTGGGCCACCTTGTGAGCTGTTGTTTACTGGTGTTTTAAGTGTTGGAGTAACTTATTACTCAGCAATAGATAACTGAGACAGTGTCCATTTAACTCACTCCTTTACCATATTTCCTGTGAACCAGAAATTAAATGTAGAGGCTAGATTAGTTTCAGGTTAAACATTTTTGACAAGAATATTTATAGACTGTCTTAAGAACTGTCACAATAAATCAGGAGGTACATGCTAGATACTCTACTATTCGTGGTGTTAAGTTTGATCACTTGGTTCCATTACTAAATATCTCATACCATGTGGTAGAGTAGATTATTGCCCAGAAATCCTCCCTGGCCCATCCAGTTCTCATAAGAGGGGTGTTTTTCCGATCTCACTGCTACTTGGCTCAGCCATGGGACTTGCTTTGGCCAATAGGATATTAGTATACATGATGCAAGTTGAGGCTTGAAGCATGCTAGTGTGCTTGGGCCTGCCTTCCTGTGTCTGCCATTACCACGAGAAGGGCTTCTCCCAGACAGCTGTCCTCCCCTGAACCTGAGCCCCAGCCAGAGTCATCCCTTGAAGCAGCACTGTCCAGCCAAGCCCAGTCTACATCAGCTGGCCTCCAGATCTGTGAAAATAAATAATGTTGTTTTCAGGCACTTCATTTTGGGTTGGTGTTTTTAGGCAGCACGCACAGCCAAACGAGATTGCTGCTACATTCACCAGCCTGCTTTTCTCAGAGAATCAGCCTGCTGGTCCATAGGTGTGGGCATGCAGCTGCCATGTTTAGACAGCAAGATCCTGCCCCCGAGACCATGGTGGATCAGACTAGGGTGGGCACCTGATGTAAGTTAGACCTTTGATTTAGGGTGACAGTAAACTAGCTAGTGTGCGGGAATAGTAACAGATAAATGCAGGAGCCGTGGGTTGGCCATATTCTGCTAGGGAAGCAGGTCTAATATGAGAAGAAACAATGAAGAAGATGAAAATTAGGGAGGGTCCTGCCAATGTTTTAGGTTCCGGCTCCCATCCCTTTCAGAGGCCCAGATCCACCCTGACCTTCAGTTCTAGCAAACTCCATCCTTAAAATTGTCCCTTTTACATTTCAGATAATGTCACTTGTCAACTGAGGAATGACAAGGTTCATAAACCTAGAAAGAAGAGCTTTCTTCTCATAAAGGGCTGCAGCCTGCAGGGCAGCCATTGTGACAGGCTGAGAAGCAGAGCCTCCAGCCAGAAGCCAGAAACAGACCCTTCCAGGGGCAGAAGAACAAGACAGGAATTTATGCTGAATGAGGTACCAAATACACACATTTGATAAGCTATGGGAGGAGCATTGAATATTGATGAGAAGAGACATAGGCACATGTGCAGTCGAGCTCCATGCCTCTCCCTGGGACCTGTGTTCAAAAAATGGCAGGGTTAGCACGATCCGAGGGTGGAGTTTTCAGGCCTCTGACATCAAAAGATGAGTCAGAGGACATGAAAATCCTCACTGTGCATCCTTCAGAGATCTGCCAGAACGACTTCGTGGCCAGCAGTCTCTTATCTAACTACTCCGCAGCTAGTAGTCCTCTTAAGCAAGGATGCCGGTCAGTTATTTTGTCCAGACCACATGAGGGCAGGGCAGCATTAGGTGGCTGGTTGATACCAGGAGTGAAGCCTCTTTCCCAAGGGTTGGTTTCTGTTTAGACCCCTAGGAAGGAAAGCCTCATGGTCGTTATCCAGGGCATCGGGGTATAATGAGGCGTGTCCAACCTTCCATACCATCATGGTCAGGAACTCAGTTTTCAAGGTTTCTCTGGGGTCCCCTTGGCCAGGAGGGAGTCTGGAGACCGTCAGTTGCTTAGGAGGCTTAGAATTTCACTTTTATTTCTCATACTGGATTTCTAGCAACTTTTAAAAAATTTTTTGAGACAGGTTCTCACTGTGTTACCCAGGCTGGAGTGCAGTGGCTCGGTCTCCAGTGACGCAAGCTCCCTGCAACCTCTGCCTCCCAGGTTCAAGCGATTCTTATGCCTCAGCCTCTCCAGTAGCTGGGATTACAGGCATGTGTCACTATACCTGACTAATTTTTGTATTTTTTAGTAGAGACAGGGTTTCACCATGTTGGCCAGGCTGGTCTCGAACTCCTGACCTCAAGTGATCCACCCACCTTGGCCTCCCAAAGTGCTGGGATTACAGGCATGAGCCACCGCGCCCTGCCTATATTTGCAATTTAAGATTCGTAATACACATGCCTGAACCAACTTCATACAGGTATGCCCCTGACCAGACCTATATTAATTTCTTGTGGCTGTCATAACAAATGACCAGAAGCTTGGTGGATTCAAACAACAGAAACGTATTCTTTCACAGTTCTGAAGACCGCAAGTCTGGCAGGGTGTGACCCCTCTGAAGACTCTAGGGGAGTGTATTATTCTGATCTCACATTGCTATAAACAACTGCCTGTGGCTGAGTGCAGTGGCTCACACCTGTAATCCCAGCACTTTGGGAGGCCTAGGTGGGCGGATCACTTGAGGTCAGAAGTTCGAGACCAGCCTGGCCAAGATGGTGAAACCCCATCTCTACTAAAAATACAAAAAAAAAAAAAAATTAGCTGGGTGCAGTGGTGCATGCCTGTAATCCCAGCTACTCGGGAGGCTGAGGCAGGAGAATCGCTTGAACCCAGGAGGCAGAGGTTACAGTGAGCTGAGATCATGCCATTGTACTCCAGCCTGGACAACAAGAGTGAAACTCTGTCTCAAAAGAAAAGAAAAGAACTACCTGAGACTGGGTAATTTATGAAGAAAAGAGGTTTAATTGACTGACAGTTCCACAGGCTGTAGAGGAAGCATGGCTGGAAGGCCTCAGGAGACCTACAATCATGGTGGAAGGGGAAGGGGAAGCTGGCACATCTTCACCTGGCTGGAGCAGGAGAAGAGAGAGGGAAGGGGGAGGTGCCACACACTCTAAACAACCAGATCTTGAGAACTCATGATGAGGAGAACAGCAAAGGGGAAGTCCACTCCCCCACCCCCATGATCCAATCACCTCCCACCAGGCCCCTCCTCCAACACTGAGGCTGACAATTTGACAGGAGATTTGGGTGGGGCACAGAACCAAACCATATCAAGGAGAATCCCTTCTTGCCTCTTCTGGCTTCTGGAGGATCCACGTGTTCCTTGGCTTTTGGCCGCATCACTCCAATCTCTGTCCCCCTCCGTGGGCTGCATCATCTTCTGTCTTTTACAAGGACACTTCTTGAATTTAGGGCCCACCCAGATCATCCAGGAAGATCCCATCTCAAGATGCTTGACTTAATCACATCCGCAAAGACCCTTTTTCCTAATAAGCTCACATTAATGAATTCTGGGTATTAGGGCAAGCACCTCATACCTCAGGCAGGATTCTTGCCAGGCCTCAGTCAGAATACCCTCAAAACTTGGTGCATCTACCAGGAGCGGGGGCTCATGCCTGTAATCCCAACACTTTGGGAGGCTGAGGCAGACAGATCACTAGAGATTGGGAGTTCGAGACCAGCCTGGCCAACATAGTGAAACCCCGTCTCTACAAAAAATACAAAGATTAGCTAGGCATCGTGGCATATGCCTATCATCCCAGCTACTCAGGAGTTTGAGGCATGAGAATGGCTTGAACCTGGGAGGCAGGTTGCAGTGAGCCAAGATGTTGCCACTGCACTGCAGCCTGGGTGACAGAGTGAGACTCCGTCTCAAAAAAAAGAAAAAAAAATTGGTGCGTTATATCGATTCCAAACATATAGCATTTTAAATATCCACAAAAGTTGTGTGTGGTCTGAAAAATAAGAAAAAGCAAGATTCAAACAAGTTTTAAATTCGTTCATATTGAAAGGAACAAGGATTTACATATTTATGGATCCCTATTAAAGTCAAAGGTGTTTGAATTAAGCAAAGTGTATAACTGAAGTGTAGCAACATAGGCCACGCTAACACTTCTTCAGGTTATGGGGGTGGGTCATTGACAAAGCAACTGTAGAAAGGGCTCTGCATGACGAATGGCAGTGGGAAGAGTCATTCGAGATCCCTGCAGCATTGGGACTCCCGTTTGCCTACAGTCCCCGACCTTAGTGGCCTTAATTAACCAGCATGGTAACTATCCTTTTTTTTTTCTTCCAGACCGAGTCTCGCTCTGTCCCCCAGGCTGGAGTGCGGTGGTGTCATCTCGGCTCACTGCAGCCTCCACCTCCCAGGTTCAAGTGATTCTCCTGCCTCAGCCTCTGGAGCAGCTGGGGTTACAGGTGTGCACCACCACACCAGGCTAATTTTTGTATTTTTAGTAGAGATGGGGTTTTGCCATGTGGGCCAGACTGGTCTCAAAACTCGTGACCTCAGATGATCCACCCACCATGGCCTCCCAAAATGCTGGGATTACCAGTATCATGAAATGCAGGTGAGCCACCGCACCCAGCCATCTCTCTTTTTACTACTCAGCAACCTTGGCACACGCCACCATGCCTGAAGAATTGTTTTAAGTCATTTTTTGCAGAGATGGGTGGGGTCTAGCTATGTTTCCCAGGCTGGTTTCCAAGTCTTGGCCTCCAGTGATCCTTCCACCTCAGCCTCCCAAAGTGCTGGGATTACAGGCATGAACCACCATAACCAGACAGGTATGTATCTTTTGGTTGGAGAAGATTTATAATTAAGTACTGAAAACTTGTGAGACTCAAAACCATACCATAGTATTAATATGAAATTTGTTTAAATAGGGATATGTGCATTTTTGGTATTTTATGTTCTTAATATAGTTAAGGGAATTTGGCCTGTTAGAAAGGTCAGACATGTAACATAAAGTTAAAAGGTATGAGTAAATAGTTAATTTAGACTTGTGATTTAAGGATGAAGTCTCATTTTATTTACCATATTGAAATGCTCAGGAGAGAATTTGTTTTTCTTCCTTTGCAAATTTAATGTATTAGATTTCCTATAATTATTTAGTATTCGGGAATTTTTGTTGTTAATTCAGACAGCAAAAGTACTCTAAAAGGAAATCAGTTACATTAAATTTATAAATGTTGTTGAAAAGGTTTGAAGATGGTTAATTAACTAAGTTAGGCTGGGCGCAGTGGCTCACACTTATCATCCTAGCAAGTTGGGAGGCTAAGGCGGGCAGATCGCTTGAGTTCAGGAGTTGGAGACCAGTCTGGGCAACATGGTGAAACCCCATCTCTACAGAAAATAAAAAAATTAGCCAGACATGGTGGTGAGTGCCTGTAGTCCCAGCTACTTAGGGGGCTGAGGTGAAAGGATCACTCGAGCCCAGGAGGTTGAGGCTGCAGTGAGCCAAGATCACACCACTGACTCCAGCCTGGGTGACAAAGTGAGACCTTGTCTCAAAAAAAAAAAAAAATCTTTTCTTTTTTAATTAACTAAGTTAGTAAATAAGACCAAGTAATATCCAAAGACCTCTTAAAACAGATTCCTGAGTATCCTAGATGTATAAGAAAAATGAGATCTATAACCTAAACTTTAATGACTAATGAAAGAATACACATTTAGGATTTGTACATTTAATATGTTGAAAATCAAAACATAAAGCCAAAATGAACATCTGCATAGTTCCTCTGTACCTACAAGCTACCCTCAAGGATACCAAAAACCTCGTTTTAACAAATCCATGCCATCCCTTGTCCATTTCTGGCTGCCAATGTATTGAATGCTTTTTAAGGTCCAACTACAATGCACCAAGTTAAAATGTTTTTTTAATTCCTACCTTTCTGTAATTCAGATCACATGTTACACTGCCCTGCTCTAAACCACCATTTTACTTGATTTAAAACTATTATGTGAACTCTAAGTGCTTTGCTTGAGTTGTCATGGTTTGTGAAATGTGTTAAGTCATGGTAGTTAAGCGGCAGAGCTCTGAGCTCTGGAGCAGACTGCTTGCGTGCAAATCAGAGCTCTGCTGCTGTGCTTAACTCTCCATGCCTCTTTGCTCATCTGTAAAAGGGGGTAGAAATTGTGTCTACTGCACACAAACTATTTTAAGGATTAAACTGTATGACTAACAGATTAAATTGTATGTTAAGTGCTTAGAACAATGCCTGGTACTTGGTAAACATTCAATCAATAAATAAGATACTATCATGTTTGTGAACTTCAGTGTTCCTAAACTGTACCATGACATTGCAAGCTCATTGTGCAAAGAGATCAGTCTTACTGAGTTGAATATAGAGGCGGGATTTCTCAGTCTCTGCAGCAAGGTGGCTGGGTTCAAAGAAATGGATTCTGGATCCAATGCTTATTCAAACAGCAGCCTTGGTGAGCTGACTAGAAAAACAATCCCCTTAGTCATCAATTAATTTTTCTATCTACAAAGCAAGATGACAAAGGGCAGCAATGTGGAGGAAGGTATCTCTTATCTCTGTTCCAAACGAGAGCTTTCCTAAAATTTGATGGACAGTGTGATGGGTAATATTATGTATCACTTTGGCTAGGCTATGGTGTCCAGTAGTTTGGTCAAACACGAGTCTGGTTGTTGCTGTGAAGTTAATTTGTAGATGTGATTAACATTTAAATCAGTTGACTTTAAATAAAGGAGATTTTTACCCTTGATAACGTAGGTGACCCTCATCCAATCAGTTGGCCTCAAGAGCGAAGCCTGAGGCTTCACTGAGAATAAGGAATTCTGCTTCAAGACTGTAATATAGAAATCCTGCCTGAGTTTTCAGCCTGCCAACCTGCCCTACAGATTTCAGACTTGCCAAGTTCCATAGTTGCATAAGCCAGTTCCTTAAAATAAATCTCTATCTATGTTAGTCTGCTAGGGCTACCATACAAAGTACCACAAACTGGGTGGCTTAAACAACAGAATTTTATTCTTTCACAGTTCTGGAGGCCAGAAGTCCAAGATCAAGGTGCTGGCAGGGCTGGTGTCTGTTGAGGCCTTTCTTCTTGACTTGCAGATACTTGCTTCTCGCTGTGTCCTCACATGGCCTTTCTTCTGTGTACCTGCAGAGCAAGAGATCTCTTGGTGCCTCTTCCTCTTCTTACAAGGACCGCAGTCCTGTTGGGTTAGAGCCCCACCCTTAGGATTTCATTTACTCTTAATCACGCCCCTCAGGGCCCTATCTCCAAATACAAACACACTGGGGTTAGGGCTTCAACCTATGAATTTGGGGAGGACACAGTCCAGGGCGGAACTCTATCCATCTGTCTGTCTGTCTGTCTGTGTCTATCTCCCTATCTGTCTGTCTGTCTCTGTCTGTCATCTATCTATGTATCTTCTGTCTGTCTGTCTTTCTATACATGTATCTATCTATCCATCCATCCTATTTGTTCTGTTTCTCTGAAGGCCCTTAATTGACACAGCAGAATGAAATATGACACTTCATCATATACAGTCATTCAGCTGACTCCAGTGCTGGCCTTTATAATCCATCCAACCTATTGGTTGTTTAATGTAAGCGGTTACACCTAGATTTTCTTTTTTTTTTTTTTTTTTGAGACAGAGTCTTGTTCTATTGCCCAGGCTGGAGTGCAGTGGCATGGTCTCAGCTCACTGCAACCTCCACCTCCCAGATTCAAGCAATTCTCCTGCCTCAGTTTCCCGAGTAGCTGGGATTACAGGTGCATGCCACCACACCCAGCTAATTTTTTGTATTTTTTAGTAGAGACGGGGTTTCACCATGTTGCCCAGGCTGGTCTCGAATTCTTGAGCTCAGGCAATCCACCCGCCTTGGCCTCCCAAAGTGCTAGGATTACAGGCGTGAGCCATTGCACCTGGCCTGGTTGCACCTAGATTTTCTAAAAATAAAAGCTTAACTCCTCCCCTGAAACTACTTGAGTACTTTTTTTTTTTTTTGAGACGGAGTCTTGCTCTGTCGCCCAAGCTGGAGTGCAGTGGCGTGATCTAGGCTCACTGCAAGCTCTACCTCCTGGGTTCACGCCATTCTCCTCCCTCAGCCTCCCAAGTAGCTGGGACTACAGGCGCCCGCCACCACGCCCAGCTAATTTTTTTGTGTTTTTAGCAGAGACAGGGTTTCACCGTGTTAGCCAGGATGGTCTCGATCTCCTGACCTCATGATCCACCCACCTCGGCCTCCCGAAGTGCTGGGATTACAGGCATGAGCCAACACACCTGGCCTTTTTTTTTTTGTTTGAGACAGAGTCTCGCTCTGTCACCCAGGCTGGAGTGCAGTGGTACAATCTCGGCTCACTGCAACCTCCGCCTCCCAGGTTCAACTGATCCTCCCACCTCAGCCTCCTGAGTAGCTGGGTCTACAGGCACACCCACCACGCCCAGCTAATTTTTGTATTTTTAGTAGAGATAGGGTTTCGCCATGTTGGCCAGGCTGGTCTCGAACTCCTGACCTCAGGTGATCCACCCACCTCAGCCTCCCAGAGTGCTGGGATTACAGGTATGAACCACCGTGCCCGGCTCTTGAGTAAATTCTTGAAATAAAAAGTAAAGTATCATAAACTACTGTTTAATATTTCTGCTGACAAAGTAGCTTTGAAATCAACAGCGTTACAGGTTTTTGTTTATTTGTTGTTTGTGAGACAGGGTCTTGCTCTGTTGTACAGGCGGGAGTGCAGTGGTGTGAGCATGGCTCACTGCATCCTTGAGCTCCTGGGCTCAATGTGCCTGTGCCGGGCCTTGCATTACTGTTGTTGTTGTTGTTCCTAATTGCCAGGCCTGTGAATATTGCATTACAGTTCTATGAATTAAAATGAAGAGGCCAGGCGCAGTGGCTCAGGCCTGTAATCCTAGCACTTTGGGAGGCTGAGGCAGGTGGATTGCCTGAGCTTAGGAGTTCAAAACCAGCCTGGGCAACATGGTGAAACTCCATCTCTACTAAAAATACAAAAAATTAGCTGGGTGTGGTGGCACGCACCTGTAATCCCACCTACTCAGAGGCTGAGGCAGGAGAATCGCTTGAACCTGGGAGGCGGAGGTTGCAGTGAGCCGAGATTGTGCCACTGCACTCCAGCCTGGGCGACAGAGCGAAATTCTGTCCCCAAAAAATAAAAAAATGAAAAAATAAAATTTTAAAAATAAAAATAAAATGAAGACATGTTTATAGCAGCTCTATTTGTAATTGCCCCTAACTGGAAACAACTCAGACATCTCTCAGTGAACGAATGGATAAACAAATCTTAGTAACCCATATAATGAAATACTACTCAGATTTTCTTTCTTTTTTTTTTCTTTTTTTCTTTTTTTTTTTTTTTTGAGACGGAGTCTTGCTCTGTTGCCCAGGCTGGAGTGTAGTGGTGCGATCTCGGCTCACTGCAACCTCTGCCCTCTGAGTTCAAGCAATTCTCCTGCCTCATCCTCCCAAGTAACTGGGATTACAGACGCCGGCCACCGTGCCCGGCTAATTTTTTTTTTTCTTGTATTTTTAGTAGAGACAGGGTTTCACCATCTTGGCCAGGCTGATCTTGAACTCCTGATCTCGTGATCCACCCGCCTCGGCCTCCCAAAGTGCTGGGATTACAGGCATGAGCCACCGCGCCTGGCCTACTCAGATATTTTTTTAAAAGTATTCATACATCTTAAAACATGAATGAATAAGTGAAAGAGGTCAGTCTCAAAAGGTTACCACCTACCTGACTCCATTGATACGTCACTCTGAAAGGTGACCCTGCAGGAAGGGAAACCTGGTGATTGTGAATGGCTGAGGTCGGGGGTGGGTTTGACAGCAAAAACGTACTTGAGGGGGTTTTCTGAGGGAAGGAAATTGCTCTGTGTCCTGATTTTGGTGGTGGATACATATATCTGTACTATCTATACACCTGTTAAACTCACAGAACTGTACACCAAACTTGAAAGTCAATTTTGGCTGGGCACAATGGCTCACACCTGTAATCCAAAACTTTGGAGGCCAAAGCAGGAGGATTGCTTGAGCCTTGGAGTTTGAGATCAGCCTGGGCAACATAGTGAGACCATTTTATAGTATGCAAATTAAAATAATGTAAAATGCAGAAATAGACAAATATTATATAACATAGACAATAATTTCTTTTCTTTTCTTTCCTTTTTTTAATTTTTGAGACAGGGTCTCGCTCTCCTGCCCAGGCTGGAATGCAATGGCACAATCACTGCTCACTTGCAGCCTCCATCTCCCAGACCTAAGCTCTCCTTCTACCTCAGCCTCCTGAGTAGATGGGACCAGAGGCATGTGCCACTGTGCCCGGCTGATTTTTGTATTTTTTTGGCGAGACAGGGTCTCCCTATGTTGCCCAGGCTGAGCTGGGGCTCCTGGGCTCAAGCGATCCTTCTGTTTCGGCCTCCCAAAGTGTTGGGATTACAGGTGTGAACCCACCACGTTTGACAATAATTTCTTGTTCTTTTTTCTCCAGGTATTTGCTGCTCAGAATTGGCAAATAGAGGAATAAACTCTGTTACCAAATTCCTTAATTTCAGGAGAACCCATGAAAGGAGTATCATCCAATCAGGTGGGTTTTTTCCACTAAAACAACAGAGAAGTTCTTCCTGAAATCATAACCTGGGGGCATAAGTTTTAATTCAAATTCTTGCAAGTGATGTCATGATGTCAGGGTGAGACCACAGAGTACAGGGAAACCGCATCCTTTTGGAAACAGCAATGTCTACTAGTGCAGAGAGAGCTGCTTTGAAGAAAGGGCAGAAAGGGAGAGCACGATTTCACTAATGCAAACGGCAGTGAAGTGCAAAGGAGGGCAGCCTCCGGCTCCTTCCAGTTGGGAGCGAGCAAAGCACTGGAAAGGGCAAAATGAGGCACAATCACCATCATCAAACCCCTTTATCAAGTTCTTTTTTTTTTTTTAAGGCCGGGTCTCACTCTTGTTGCCTAGGCTGGAGTACAGTGGTGCGATCTCAGCTCACTGCAATCTCCACCTCCTGGGTTCAAGTGATTCTCCTGCCTCAGCCTCCCAAGTAGCTGGGATTACAGGCATGTGCCACCATGCTCAGCTAATTTCGTATTTTTAGTAGAGATGGGTTTTCACCATGTTGGTCAGGCTGGCCTCAAACTCCTGACTTCTGGCATGAGCCACTGTGCCCAGCATCAAGTTCTTTTTCTTTTCTCCCTGACTAGCTCTTAGTCTCAATGATCAAACTCCTCAGGCATGTTAAGTGGGTAAAGAGTATTTTATTTTGGCATTTGAATCTAAAATCATAGGCTTTCTTGAACAACCTTGCTTTCTTATTTCAAAGGTGAAACCCTACTCTACTGTTCCGGAAAGTTTGGAAATGTCTCATTTCTTTTTAGAGATGAGGTCTATTTTTATAGGAAAATGAATCCATCCTGTCACCTTTTAGGATACTATTTGCATTAATTATGTACTGCTGCAGAACAAATGTCCCTAAAACTTAGTAGCTTAAAACAACAATGTATTGTTCCTCACGATTCTGCTGGTCTCATCTGGGCTCACTGAGACTGGAGGGTCTAGATGACTTCATTCCTATGTCTGGGGCCTTGGTACAGCTGCCGGCTGGACTTTTCATCCGTGGACCCTGGGTGTTCCAAGTGATTAAAAATGGAATTTACAATACTTCTTAAGGCCTATTCTCAGAGGCTTCACAATGTCACTTCTGCTGCATTTTATTGGTTACAACAAGTCTCAAGGCCAGCTCAGAGTCAAGGGATAGAGAAATAGGTCCCACCTCTTGATTTCGGGAGAAGCAGCAAAGTCACATTGCAAAGGAGTGAGGACACAGGGACACTATTCACTAGGGGCCATGGCTGTAACAGTCTACCATACAATTGTTAGTGATGTTTAAAGTGGATATAAACATTGATTAAATTGCTCTTGGCTCTGAACCATTAGTAAACTGGATGAAATTCGGCTAAAGATGAATTTTGGATTGGAAGCCCACATTCAGCTCAGCTTTAATGTAGTTAACCCTTATTTCAAAACTATGAGAAATTACTTATAGATGAGTCAGAGAACCTTGACCCCCTGTTTTTTTATGGGGATTTTAACTATCAACTTAGAGAAAAGTAATGTGGGATCCATTAGCTATTTTAAATGCACTATTATTCTCTAATTGTAGGTCAACTCTCTTTGGTTTCCTAATGTCTAAACATTTCACAATTTATGGAATTATGAAAGGATCCAGCTCCCCAGAGGATGTGAGCACATCTGAACACAATTATGCACTGCAGCCAGACAACTGTTAGCTTTCTGGGGCAAAAGACACAGAGAAAGACCAGGATAATCCTTGTGCGTGCAGCTCAGATTTGGCCCCTGTCGCCACACGCTGCCAAGCCTGTCACATTCTGGCAATAAGGAGCAATGCTTGGATGGGGACCAGGACCATGCTGACATCTGACCACCTCTGCAGTCTGGGCGAATTCCAAGAAATCCCTCAGAAGAAAGTGCCATGCAGAAATATCCTGGCGGGGGAACTGCCCACACAGCTGTGCCAGTTATTCACCCTCGCCAGATTCTTCATGCTCTTTCCCACTTCAAGGCCCTTGCATTAGCTGTTCTCCCTGACCATGCACTTGACTCTCAAGAACATTTAGGTAAGTCATGTCCTTACCTAAGCTTAGGGGCTTAAGCGAGGGACTTGGTGTCCTGGAAGTACTCCCTAGCTCGCCACTCTATGTAGCACCCAGTCCAGATCTTCAGCCTCCATCCATCCTTTGAGAATGTTTTATCCTCTGATCCCTTGAGATATGGGCCCTTTCTGTGACCCACCAGCCTGTGCCAGAGCCCAGGGCCTTAATTCTGGAGGAGACATGATGCTACCCTGGGAACAGGTCCTTCCGGGACACGAGGCAGCTGGAGAGCTCTGGGTGTGACAGAGGAATACGGAAACAGGGAGAAGAAACAAAGAAACAGAGAAATGAGGAAACGAGGAAGGAAAAGGGTGGCTCCTGGAGACAAATGTTTCCTTCTCCACACTTCTGCTGATGCTGAGGTGGCCTTTAAAGTGCCAGCAAGGAGGAGCCGGGAGGGGTTTGCACATGTGTTGCTGGGCATGGATGGGGTGGTGTGTGTGCCAGGATGGGAGCCTTCCTGGGCAGTCACTACTGGGTGGGGCGCTCCAGTCAAGACATCAAGACAGACAGCTAAGGCTTTCTCCCAAACCAAAAGACTTGCAAACTTCCCTACAAGTTCTGAGTTTTCTTCTGAAGCTAACTTCTTGGAACTCAATGGCATGAAACCGTCATGCAGTTAAAGCATTTAAGGGCTGTATATGCCCTGGGGGCTGTCAATGTCATAGACACTGTCATTTCTCTCTCCCTGCACAAAAATAACTAAAATGATGAATCCGGCTGGCTCTCCCCTCTCCCTCGCTATCCTCCACCTTTTATGCAGTCCTGCGGACATTCTGATCTGTTTCCTCCTCCCCATCCTCCCCTTCCCTCCCAAGTATACTCTCAGCTCTTCGTGGTCTCTCTCTCCCAACTGCAGCCTCCCCCAAGACTCCATCTTCAGGCCTCCTTCCCTCACCATCTCCAAGGCTGCGGCTCCAGGACACAAGCTGACCACCCTGCCCAACCCGAAGTCCTCGACTGATGCTCAGCGCTTATAGGTTCAAGTCCAGGCTCCCTAGCATAGCACTGAAGTCATGGCTCAGTTTACCCTTCCAAGCCTGTCTCCCCCAAGTCCTGCCCTCCTCCTCTCATCACTGCCAAGTACATCAAGCACTCCCACGTGGCTGGGCTTTAACCCAAGCTGCTCTCTCTTCCCAGAAGGCTCTTCTCTGACTTGCTGCCAAAACACAAAGTCGCTTGGAGGTGAAGGCAAATATTAGTTCAGCTGGCAAGCTCCTCTCCACGTCCTCATCAAAGCCCCCAGCTCCATGAGCTTCTGGGCTGTTCCTGTGGATTTCTGCACTCTCTGTGTTGAAACATCTGTAATGGGTTATAGCTGGGAGTTGGAATGTCTGCCTCCCTTTTCGCTGAGAAGAAGGGGGTCTTTACAGGATCGAACGCTCCCTGGGTTCTGTCTCCTTCCTTTCAATATAGTGAGCAGTTCCTCCCACCTAGTGGGTTCTCCTTAGATGTCTGGGAGGTCATCTATCCAGTGCTGGCTGTTGCAGATCTGTGCAGTTGCTTTTTGAACAGGACCCACATCCGTCTTCCAAAATATCTAAAATTAGGTCTTTGACAGTTCCTGAAAATGTTAGTTATCATATAATCCAGCAACTCCACTCCAAGGTATATAGCCAAAAGAATTGAAATCATATTCCACACAAAAATGTATACCTGAATGCTCATAGCAGCATTATTCACAATAGCCAAGAAATGGAAACCACCCAAATGTCCATCAACCCACAAAGGCATAAGTGAACTGTGATATACCCATACGACAGAATACCGTTTGGCTATAAAAGGAGGGACCGATTCGTGCTACAATGCGGATGGGCCTTGAAAACATGCTAAGTGCAAGACGCCAGTTACAAAAGATCACATATTATGTGATTTCATTCATGTGAAATGTCCAGAAATAGTCAAATTTATAGAGAAAGAAAGCAGATTAGTGGTCGCCAGGAGCTGGGGCAAAGGAGGGCGTGAGCGTGATTGTGAATAGGTATGGCTTTTTAGAGAGGAAAGGGGGTTGTGGTCATGGTCGCACAGCATGTGACTCATGGAGTTTGTGCCCTTGAGAGGAGGGACTGCTGTGGCATGTGAGTTACATATAATTAGGCCTTCAGTGCTGCCAGCATTCTCATCCTTGGAGGGCCAGGTATCTTTTCTGTTGTTTTGTTTTGTTTTGTTTTATGAGATGGAGTCTCACTGTCACCCAGGCTGGAGTGCAATGGTGAGATCTCCGCTCACTGCAATCTCCATCTCCCAGGTTCATGCGATTCTCCTGCCTCAGCCTCCCAAGTAGCTGGGACCACAGGCACCTGCCACCACGCCCAGCTATTTTTTTTTTTTTTTTGGTATTTTTAGTACAGACGGGGTTTCACCATGTTGGCCAGGGTGGTCTCGATTTCCCGACCTCGTGATCTGCCCGCCTCAGCCTCCCAAAGTGCTGGGCTTACAGGCGTTAGCCACCGCGCCCCACCGTATCTTTTCGGTTCTAAGCACAAGACAATTGTCTTGGGAACACCTCCCGGCTCTTGGCCTCAGTATGTTTTCTTTAGCCCTACGTTTCCCCTTTGCTCTCTCCCCGCGTGTGATGGGGGCTGCCTGGGTGGGGCTGTCACAGCGGCAGGTGGGTGAGGAGCCCCTAGGCGCGTCCGGAGGAAGGCTCACCCGGAGGCCGCCTGCAGGCGGCCAGGTGCCAGCCACTGCGGGCCTCTGGGGCCGAAGCCGGCGGATGGTGAGACGCTGGTTGGTCTGCAACACTGCCCAGACCCCGGGCACTCATGTCTAGAAAAAAGCTGACTCGTGACACCAAAGGAGCTCTTTCAAGCTTCCTGCACGCTCTTAGCGCCAGAGCACCCCAGCCGTCCTGGGAGCCCCCGAAGCCAAGCATATTCGAACTCCGAATCCGCTCGATCGCCGGGGACCTGCCATCTGGGTTCGGTTCCCCAAGGTCGCTGCCGACCTTAGACCGCGGGGGTGTGGGGCGCCGGGGAAGGAGACAGAAGGACAGGCGCCGCCCAGGGCCGCGGGGACACTTGGGGCTGCGTCCTGGGTGGGCGCGATGCTCCCCCAGAACGACTGGAGATGGAGAGTGTCGGGGAGGGAAACGGGACCCACGAATTCAGGGCGCTGAGTCGGCGGAATGCGCCCTGACTCCCCCTGGCCGAGAGCCGGCTCAGAATGAAAGAGCGCGGAGTGGGAGGTCTGGGAAATGGCAGTATTTGTATTAGGGAGAGAAGGAAACAGGAGTGGGAGCCGCACGGCTTGGGGAACGCGGGAGATCGCGGATTGCGGGGATAGCGCAGCGCGGCTGCCCGGGGCTGCTGGGAGGGGCCGGACGAGGCCAGGGCGAGCGGGGTAACTGCGGCCGGCCGGACGGCGGCGGTAACCGGCTGCACCGAGGTGGTTCCACCACCGCGCTGGGCGCTTGCGGTTCGTCTGCTCCAACGAAAGCCGCGTCCCACGCTCCCTGCCGCCGCGTGGTTTTGCCTCCTCAGAGGGGCAGCGGCGACCCAGGGGCTGGCGGTGGATGTCAGGAGTGCGCTTTCCTTCTAGGCCTTCTCCCTCATGACTGGTTTTGTTTTTAGATTACAAAAATAACTTATATTATTTAATTAAAAATACATAAAATATATTGTGATAGCGCAGAATAATGGCCCTCCAAGAATGTCCACGGCCTAATGTCTAGAAACTGTTATATGGCAAAATAAATACATAAATAAGGTGGAAGGCCTTTGCAGATGTGATCAAGCTAAGGATTTTTTTATTTTTATTTGATATTGATTGATTGATTGATTGAGACAGTCTTCCTCTGTCTCCCAGGCTGAAGTGCAGTGGCGCGATCCCGGCTCACTGTAACCTCCGCCTCCTGGGTTCAAGCGATTTTCCTGCCTCAGCCTCCCGAGTAGCTGGGATTACAGGCTCCTGCCATCACGCCTGGCTAATTCTCGTATTTTAGTAGAGACAGGGGTTTCACCATGTTGACCAGGCTGATCTCGAATTCCTGACCTCAAGTGATCCGTCTGCCTTGGCTTCCCAAAGTGCTGGGATGACAGATGTGAGCCACAGCGCCTGGCAAACTAAGGATTTTTAGACCGGGGATTACCCTGGATTATCCAGGTGGATACAATGTCCAGTGATCACAGGGGTCCTAGAAGAGGGAGGCAGGGGAGGCAGAGGAGAAGTGAGGGCAGAAGGAGAGGTCAGAGGGATGTGTTTGCTTCGAGGATCAAAGAAGGGGAGCACCGGCCAAGGGATGCGGGCAGCTTCTAGAAGGTGGGAAAGGCAAGGATATGGATTCTCCCTGAGCCTCCAGAAGGAACCCAGTTCTGCAGACACTTTGATGTTAGCCCAGTGTGACCCTATGCATACTTCTGACCTCCAGAACTGTGCAAGAATAATCTGTGTTGTTTTAGGCCCCTCAATCTGTGGCGATTTGTTATAGGAGTCCTAGGAAATACCTGAACACAAACATTTAAAACATAAAGAAGTCACCTGTAATCCACTTCCCAGAATGAACTCATTCAGCAGCCTGAGGAGCAGGGCTGACTGATGAAAACACTTGAAAGGAGGAAGTGCCGTCTTGCTAAGGCTGGTGTGTTCAGAAGAGGACACCGTGAATGATTCTCCTGACTAAGATGGTCCACTAAAAGGAACCAGGGCTCCGTGGAGAAATGGCGACTTCTGGGATTAAGGCTGGAGAGGAATAAGATGAACCCAGAATATATTATTCTGGCAGACAGTGAGGAAGTACCCAGAGAATGGTAGGAACTCATCCAAAGGACAAAAGCTTGAAGGGGCTCTCATTGGGCAAATCTGGAATCTTTTGAGTAACAATCATGTTAGTATTGAATTGTAACTCTTTTTTTTTTCTTTTTGTAGCTGGGATTACAGATGCCTGCCACTATGCCTGGCTGATTTTTGTATTTTTAATAGAGATGGGGTTTTGCCATGTCGGCCAGGCTGGTCTTGAACTCCTGGTCTCAAGTGATTGGCTCACCTCGGCTTCCCAAAGTGCTGAGATTACCGGTGTGAGCTACCACACCCGGCCTATAACTCTTCTTACTTTATTATAAGCACAGTCTAAGAATCCACTAGTACCTACAGGTACAGTAATATAAATGAAAAAGTAAAGAGGGAGAAGAAAACTCTTTCTTATCAACTAATAAACGCAGAAAGATAATGGAATAAGAAAATACCGCTTGGAACTACCATAGTAATGATTATGTCAGGGAGAATCATCAGTGAATGCTAAATTGTGAGAAAAGTTTGAGAAACAGGATTTGTATATGGTCTCAAACTATCGCTGCACGAGGGAGATTCCCAGTAATGACCGAGGGGAAAACAGTCACTTTACTGTGGGGAAACCTGACAAACCTTATTCAAGCGATCAAAGTTAACATCACCAGCAATGGGACAAATAGGCAACACGTGCCTCTGGTGTGCTGCAGCAGGCCTCCATGATGCAATAGCCCTTCATGGTGCTCGTGCTGGCCGTGCAGAACCTGCATTCAATTGTGAGGAAATACCAACACATCAAACAGAGGGACATTTTCTAAAACACTGGCTTCTGCCCTACAAAAATGTCAATGTCATTTTTGACAAAGACTGAGGAACTGTTTCTTACTGAAGAGGACTAAAGAGGCCTGACAACTAAGTGCAGTGTGGATTCTGAATAGTGGGCCAGATGAAAAATGTTTGTTTGTTTGTTGGTTTGTTTTAATTATAAAGGAAGTGAATCATACTAAGGCATAGATGAACCTTGAGGACACTGTGTGCGATGAAATAATCCAGACACGCCAGGCGCGGTGGCTCGTGCCTGTAATCACAGACAGCACTTTCGGAGGCTGAGGCAGGCAGATTGCTTGAGCTCAGGAGTTCCAGACCAGTTTGGGAAACATGGTGAAATCCCACCTATGCAAAAATTAGCTGGGCATGGTGTCCCAAGCTTGCAGTCCCAGCTACTTAGGGGAGGTGGAGGCCGCAGTGAGCTGTGATCAGGCCTCTGCACTCCAGCCTGGGTGACAAAGAGAGACCCTTTCTCAAAAAAAAAAAAAAAGTCCAGGCACGGTGGCTCATGCTTGTAATCCCAGCACTTTGATAGGCCGAGGCGGGTGGATCGCCTGAGGTCAGGAGTTCTAGACCAGCCTGGCCAACATGGTGAAACCCCGTCTCTACTAAAAATATAAAAATTAGCCGGGATTGGTGGTGGGCACCTGTAATCTCAGCTACTTGGGAGGCTGAGGCATGAGAATCACTTGAACCCAGGAGACGGACGTTGCAGTGAGCCAAGATCACACCACTGCACTCCAGCCTGGGCGACAAAGTGAGACTCTGTCTCAAAAAGAAAAACAAAACAAAACAAAAAGTAGAAAAAAAGAGAAATAATCCAGTCACAAAATGACAAATTATCGTGTCATTCCACTTATATGAAGTACCAAGAATAGTCAAATTTATAGAGACAAAAAGTAGATGGAGGGTTACCAGGAGCTTGGAGGAGGGGAAATGGGGACTTCGTGTTTAATGTGTTCAGAGTTTCCGTTTGGGGTAACGGGAGATGGATAATTGTGATGGCTGCATAGCACTGTGAATGTAATCAATGCCATAAGTTGTACTTTTAATGGTTAAAGTGGTAAATCTTACACATATTTTACTATAATAAAAATAATTTCTGAAAAAAAGTCTTCAACTTTCAAATAAATGGGTAGACAATTGACAACATTTACATAAGGTCTGTAGATTATATAATAATGGTATGTCAAGATTAATTTCCTCATCCTGATAAATGTACTGTGGTTATGTAAGAAAATGTCAGCTGGTCCAAAGGTAGTGAGTTATCTCAATTGATTGTTCCCAGACAGTTACAGATCAAACTCCTTCTACTCTTTCCCCGCTTCTCACCACTGCACTTGACTAGTTTTAAGATAAATAAAATGTCTGTGTGTGTGTGTCTGTGTGTATGTATGTGTAAGAAATATACATTGGGGCCGGGCATGGTGGCTTACGCCTATAATCCCAACAGTTTGGAAGGCCAAGGCGGGTGAATCACCTGAGGTCAGGAGTTCGAGACCAGCCTGGCCAACATGGTGAAACCCCGTCTCTACTAAAAATGCAAAAATTAGCTGGGTGTGGTGGCGCATGCCTATAACCCCAGCTACTCTGGAGGCTGAGGCACGAGAATCGCTTGAACCTGGGAGGCGGCGGCTGCAGTGAGCCAAGATCACACCACTGCACTCCAGCCTGGGTGACAGAGCAAGACTTTGTCTCAAAAAAAAAAAAAAAAAGAAATATACATTGAGGTATTTAGGGACAACAAGGCATCATGTCTACAATCCCCTAAATGGTTAGAAAAAGTAATATATACAAGTTATACCTGTATGGGCAGAGAGAAAGAGAAGGGTAAAGCAAATGTGGCAAAATGTTAACATTTGGGGAATGTGGGAAATGTATATGGGAATTTGTACTATTATTCCAACTTTTCTATAAGCTTAAAAGTAAGCAGTTTAAAAAATTAGAAGAGGATCAACCAACTGGAATGGGGCATGCTCTAGAGGAAACAATTCTAAGGCCTTAACATCGAGATGCAGTGAGCTGTGTGGGCAGCCAGGGCTCTGGGATGTCCTAATGAGGCAGGCTCAGGAACAAAGGATGCAGCGTCCCAGCCACACTGACTGGTGGGGCAGAGAGAGGTGAGGAACGTTGGATCAGATGCCCCATCCACTTACAGAGATGGGCCAGGATCCAAGGAGGCATGGTGAGCTGGGTTTGGTTCAGATGGGCATCCATCCAAGGAGTTTCAACGGGAAGGTGTGATGGTTAATACTGAGTGTCAACTTGATTGGATTGAAGGATGCAATATTGATCCTGGGTGTGTCTGTGAAGGTGTTGCCCAAGGAGATTAACATTTGAGTCAGTGAACTGGGAAAGGTAGACCCACCTTTAATGGGGTAGGCAACATCTAATCAGCCGCCAGCGAATATAAAGCAGGCAGAAAAACGTGAAGAGGTGAGACCGGCCTAGCCTCCCAGCCTACATCTTTCTCCCCTGCTGGACACTTCCTGCCCTCAAACATCAGACTCCAAGTTCTTCAGTTTTGGGACTCGGACTGACTCTCCTTGTTCCTCAGCTTGCAGACAGCCTACTGTGGGACCTTGTGATCGTGTAAGTTATTACTTAATAAACTCCCCTTTACATATATATAAAAAATATATATATGTATTTCCTATTAGTTCTGTCCCTCTAAGAGAACTCTGACCAGTACAGAAGGTGAGGTGGAAAAGCCAGGAGACCAGTCCTGTTGCTGGGGGTGGAGGAAAGCATGCTCAGCAGCACCACCCCCATCCTCCGACTGCACACCCAACACGGGAGCATCTCATCAACACAGTGATGAGTGAAGTAAGCTGGACACAAAAGGTCCTTACCATAGGATTCTATTCATGTGAAGCTCACATACAGGCAAACCAAACAGATGGTGATGAAGGTCATATCCATGTCCACAGGGGAGTGGATATTAGCTGGGAAGGGCAGGAGGGAAGTTGGTGGGTCCTGGAAATGTTCTATATCTTGATCTGGATGTTGGTTTCAGTTTATTAAGATGAGCACTTACGCTTTGTGCATATTTTTCTGTATGTGTAAATCCTCCATTTAAAAAGGTTCGGATCGCCCCACCCCCACCTTGGCACAGAGCACTGAAATCACGGTCATCTAAGTGAGGCATTCACGGAGATTCAATGGAGACACGATTTACGCTGTTGGTTATTTCATTGCTAAGCAACGCAGTCTAAGCTGCACAACTAAGTGACACCATTAACAGCCAGCATGGTGGGGAGGGGTGGGTGTGCTAAGACAAGGATCCCAGCGTGATGGCCATGGATGATTCCTGCTCCCAGCCCCCATTTTGCTGTTGGAGGTGGGGGCTGGGGGTTGGGGGGGCAGCGAGCAGCACAGACCAAACAGAAGGCCTGGCCCCTCCTGGCGTGGGCTGGCTGCAGTGAGCCCTTCCTATGTCTGCCTGCTGCATCCATCGCTATGGCAACCACTTCCCCAGCACCGGGGCTAAAATCAGGTTCTGTGGGTGTCTCGGCAGTGATTGGAGATCTCCCCTGCCATAGAATTGAGTGGCCTGATGAGGAGACAAAGAAGTCACTGCAGGGAAAGGCCGAGACTCGCTAAGCAGGGCCATTCCTGCCAAAGTTGCACAGATTTGAGGCTGGCGCACAGGCCTCAGAGAGAGTGGTGAAGGCTGTCTGAAGGCAGGGGTGGGCAGGATGCCAAAAGAAAGACCTAAGGACTGGTTAAAACGAAAACGATGTGGAGATAAACAAAGACCACCCAATGAGAACAAGCAAAGGCTATTCAGGGCTTGCTGTAGAAAAGGAGGCGGCTGCCATTCCTAGTGCTTGGCAGAGACTTGAAGGCAGGCAGAGGAGTGGAAAGCTTCATAGTGGAGGAGGAGAGGCTCCAGGTGTGCCCTGAGTGAAGGCTGCTGGCCTGGGGAAGCCTCAGGTGGCTCACCAGAAGCGAGGCATCCAATGCGACTGGTTAGGGGAGCATGTTGGGCTTTCTCTGGTCCTAAGTTGGAAGCAGCAGGAAAAAGTAGGGAAGCCAGTGGTTATTGATGATGTCCTGACTGTTCTGGGCAGATTGCTGTGGACGTTGTGGTTTGGCTTCCTGGACTGGCTGCTGCAGATTGTGGGTCACACTTCTGCTGTCATCTATGGGCTGGCTGCTGTCTGTATATTCTGTCTCTCTATGCAGCAGTTGGGCAGGTCAAGAAAGAGGTCCCTACCATCTATCAATGAGGAGATGGGGCCCTTTGCAGTGTAGGGACACAGCTGTGAGGGCTACCCCAGGAGAAGCAGGACATGAAGCCTCACAGGAAGGAAGGCATAACAATGCCCTTTTCTGTTTGGGGAATACAGACAAGAAGAAAGGTCTATACATGTTTAGTACAGATGAACCAGTCCTTGATCCACAGTTGGTTGAAGTCGTGGATGCAGAACCCATGAGTACAGAGGCACAACTATATATTTAAAGAGACTTATCTGTTAGAGAGCTACTCATCTGGGCCTTAGGGAGCTGACCTGATACCCATTGTAACCACACGCAGCACAGGAGTTTGAAACTCTAGGCAAGGGAGGTAAGTGAGGTTAAATATCTGGCTGAACTCAGAAATCTCCAAGGAGCCCCACATGCTTTTGTGACACAGGCCCTGGGGCCATTTCTCAACTGCAGCCACTCAGGAGGTGTGAGGCCTGGGCAACTCTGCACCTGAGTGTTCTCCGCCTCCGCCCTGGCCTCCTTGGTTGGATGGTGCTTGCATTCAGCAAGTGCTCCGTCCATGCTAGATACTGTAATTATTTTCGAGCTTCTGAATAACCGGTTACAATTTCAATTAAAAATATTTTTAGAATCAATGTCAGTCTCTGTTGGTGCAGCCATGAACTAAATGTCAGAAGCCTGGACTCAGAGTCGGGGAGGGAAGTGGATGGAAGGGCCAGCAGTAGAAACACAGCACCTGTGGGTACCAGGGGAGGGTACATGTAGTCCTGCCTCGGCTATCCGCCCTCCCCTGACTGGCCGATTTCCCCTAGAACTCTGTGTTTTGAGTGAGGGAGGCGCAGTTCTCTAAAAGAAAGGAAGATATTATTGCCAGGAGAAGAAGGAAGGAGAACTTAACAGACAAACATAACATGCACATGCATTCAACGTTTGTGGTCAAATAGAAGACTTAAGCCTAAGGGATCTAGAAATTCTAGTTAGATCCCGAAGTTACATCTAAGCAGTCATAATGGTGATCATTATGTGGCTTCTCCAACTGATGTTGTAAAAATGATTCTCTCCCAGTAAAGCTAGGCAGTAGTTCTTAATCTAACTGTAGCCTTCGCCTTCTTTGAGGACAGAAATCAGGCCTTAGACTTGCCTAATCTGCTTGTTTTGGGGATCTTTCATAGTGTATTATACAGAATAATATACTCAAATGATGTTTGATGATAATTGTCTTGTTTCAGTTCAGGCTGCTATTTCAGAATATCATAGACTGAGTGGCCTAAATCCTATAAGAACACTCACTAATCCCATCATGGGGACCTTGTCTTCACGACCTCATCTAAACCCAATTATCTCCCAAAGGCCTCACCTCCTAGTACCAGCACATTGGGGATTAAGATTTTAACATATGAATTTTGGGGGGACATAAACATTCAGTCCATAAAACAATAAAGACACACGAGAAGCTAACAAGAGATATTCAGCGTCAGAGCTCAATGGTTTCCATGAATAATGGAGTGAGATATACCAGATAATTCCTCAAGGTTCTTTGGATTCCATGTGTCTAAGATAAAAACTCTTAGGAAGAGTTTCACTTTGGAGCAAATATACAATTTCAGGTTAGAAGTCAAAATATCAGATGAAAATGTATGATCTCTCCACAATATCTGTGGGGGATTGGTTTCCAGACCCTGCACCCAAAATCCATGGGTGATCAAGTTCCTTATATAAAATGGTATAGAATTTGCATGTAACCTATACATATCCTCCTTTAAATCATGTCTAGATTACTTATAATGCCTAATACAATGTAAATGTTATGTAAGTTGGCGTACTATATATCTACGTTTGTTTGTTTGAGACAGGGTCTCACTCTGTCGTCCCGGCTGGAGGGCTGTGGCGCGATCACAGCTCACTGCAACCTCGACCTCCTGGGCTCAAGTGAACCTCCCACTTCAGCCTCCTGAGTAGCCAAGACTACAGGCACACGCCACCATGCCTGGCTAAAAAAATTTTTTTGGTAGAGATGGGGTCTATGTTGCTTAGGCTGGTCTCAAACTCCCGGGCTCAAGCAATCCTCCTGCCTCAGCCTCCCAAAGTGCTGTGATTACAGGTGTGAGCCACCATGCTTGGCTTGTCATACTATTTCATTTAGGGAATACAGACAAGAAGAAAAGTCTATACATGTTTAGTACAGATGAACCTATTCTTGATCCACAATTGGTTGAATCCATGGATGCAGAACCCAAGAACAGGGAGGGCCCGCTGTAGATTTATTTATTTATTTACATAGTTTTGAGACAGAGTCTCACTCTGTTGCCCAGGCTGGAGTGTAGTGGCACGATGTTGGCTCACTGCAGCCTCTGCCTCTCAGGTTCAAGTGATTCTCCCACCTCAGCCTCTCGAGTAGCTGGGATTACAGGTGTGCGCCACCATGCCCGGCTAATTTTTGTATTTTTTTAGTAGAGATGGGTTTCACTATGTTGGCAAGGCTGGTCTTGAACTCCTGGGTTCCAGTGATCCTCCCTCCTCAACCTCCAAAAGTGCTAGGATTAGAGGTGTGAGCCACCGCACCCAGCCCCAACTGTATATTTAAAGAGACTCATCAGTTAGAGAGAGACTCAACTGCATCCTAGGGAGCTGACCTAAGAATCACTGTAGCCATATGCAGCACAGGAACCTGAAACTCTAGGCTCAGCTGCAGCCTTTTCAGTGATGAAGTCAATGCTTAAGTCTAGACTAGTAATGAATAAGGTAGCTGTAAGTAAGAATAGTTCATCACCCACTGCTGGGTTTGCATCCTCCTCCAAATAGGCCCTCCTTATTTGCTTCCTGTGGCTGCTGTAGCAAATTATCACAAACTGGGAGGCTTAAAACAACAGAAATTTATTCCCTCCCAGTACTGGAGTTGAGAAGTCTGAAATCAAGGTGTTGGCAGGGCCACATTTCCTGCCGAGGCTCTGAGAATCCATTCCTTGTGTCCTTCAGCTTCTGGTGGCTGCCAGCATTCCTTGGCCTGAAGCTGCATCATTCCAGTTTTTGCTTGAACCCAGGAGGCAAAGGTTGCAGTGAGCCGAGATTATGCCACTGCACTAAGAAAAAAAAAAGAAAAGAATTGGAGATTGACACAGACATAAAAAGGAGGTTTTATCTTACTGGAAAAATTATGGGAGAATTTTGTGATAAAGAGCTTAGAAGGTTTTGTAAAATAAACTTATCTTTATAAATAACAAGAATGTTTTTAATAGCATGAACTTTCAAATTTCAGAATAATTTTAAAATTTGGCTGTCCTGCTTAATGACTAAGATAAGAAGGAAAGGATCTGAGGACTTACTCCATAGAATACTCAATAAATGGTGAGACTTGGCAGCCACCACTTTAACCAAGTACTCAAACTCAGAATGTGAATCATGGCACAACCTGACTTTCTGGCCTCCAGATGTACTGTAATATGAAAAACACATAACCGGCCAGGCGAGGTGGCTCACGCCTGTAATCCCAGCACTCTGGGTGGCCAAGGTGGGCGAATCACTTGAGGTCTGGAGTTCAAGACCAGCCTGGCCAACATGGTGAAACCCCTGTCTCTACTAAAATACTAAAAATACAAAATTACAAAAATTAGCTGGGTGTGGTAGTGTGTGCCCATAATCCCAGCTGCTCGGGAGGGTGAGGCAGGAGAATAGCCTGAACCTGGGAGGTGGAGGTTGCAGTGAGCCAAGATCACACCAGTGCACTCCAGCCTAGGCAACAGAGCGAGACTCCATCTCAAAAAAAAAAAAAAAAAAAAAAGAGAAAAGAAAAATGCATAATCATCTATCAAATATTCTTGCAAAAACATGTTTAACTTGAATCAGATTAAGCCTCTAAGCCTACCTGCTAGTTTATAGGAAATACAGGGGCTAAAGGAACAAGCTAATGACACCAAGAGGAATCAGTCAGATAAATCTATAATGAAGGACATTCATTGCATGAAACAATTGTTCTATGGTCTTCCAAAAGGCATTGTCATTGGAAAACAAAAAGTACTAGGACCATTCTAGACTAAAGGAGATGGACTATCGAGACCAAACCAGTGGCAATAAGGGAAACCAGATTGGACCCTTGTTAAACAAACAAAATTATAAAGGTCATGTTTGGGACAATTAGAGAAACTTTAGAGTCTATATATTATTATGGTGTGGAAATCATTTTCAAGGAGATTATTCTAACCTTAGGAGATACATGCTAAAGTATTTAGGGGCAAAGATGTTCAAATATATATACTTTGGCGAGGCTCGGTGGCTTGTGCCTGTAATCCCAGCACTTTGGGAGGCCAAGGTAGGAGGATCACTTGACCTGAAAAGTTTGAGATCAGCCTAGCTAACATGGTGAAACCCCATCTCTACTAAAAGTACAAACATTAGCTGGGTGTGGTGGTGCACATCTGTAATCCCAGCTACTTGGGAGACTGAGGCACCAGAAGTACTTGAGCCCAGGAGGCGGAGGTGACAGTGGGCTGAGATCGCACCATTGCACTCCAGCCTGGGTGACAGAGTGAAACTGTCTAAAAACAAAACAAAACTATATGTATATACATATTTTTGGAACTGTATATATAATATACGTATATTATATATAATATATATAGTTCCTTTCTGTATCATTGGAAATATATAATATATGTTATATATATAACATATAACATATATAATATATATATAAAACATATAACATATATAATATATTATATATAACATATAACATATATAATATATTATATATAACATATAACATATATAATATATTATATATAACATATAACATATATAATATATTATATATAACATATAACATATATAATATATTATATATAATATATGGTATATATTTCCATATATTATATATAATAAATATATATTATGTATAACATATATAATAAATATATATTATGTATAACATATATAATAAATATATATTATGTATAACATATATAATAAATATATATTATGTATAACATATATAATAAATATATATTATGTATAACATATATAATAAATATATATTATGTATAACATATATAATAAATATATATTATGTATAACATATATAATAAATATATATTATGTATAACATATATAATAAATATATATTATGTATAACATATATAATAAATATATATTATGTATAACATATAATAAATATATATTATGTATAACATATAATAAATATATATTATGTATAACATATATAATAAATATATATTATGTATAACATATATAATAAATATATATTATGTATAACATATATAATAAATATATATTATGTATAACATATATAATTAATATATATTATGTATAACATATATAATTAATATATATTATGTATAACATATATAATTAATATATATTATGTATAACATATATAATTAATATATATTATGTATAACATATATAATTAATATATATTATGTATAACATATATAATTGATATATATTATGTATAACATATATAATTGATATATATTATGTATAACATATATAATTGATATATATTATGTATAACATATATAATTAATATATATAACATATATTATGTATAACATATATAATTAATATATATAACATATTATGTATAACATATATAATTAATATATATAACATATATTATGTATAACATATAATTAATATATATAACATATATTATGTATAACATATATAATTAATATATATAACATATATTATGTATAACATATATAACATATATTATGTATAACATATATAACATATATTATGTATAACATATATAACATATATTATGTATAACATATATAACATATATTATGTATAACATATATAACATATATTATGTATAACATATATAACATATATTATGTATAACATATAGTATATATATTATGTATAACATATAGTATATATATTATGTATAACATATAGTATATATATTATGTATAATATATATATTACATTATGTATAATATATATATTACATTATGTATAATATATATGTTACATTATGTATAATATATATTATATTATGTATAATATATATATTATATTATGTATAATATATATAATATTATGTATTTTATATATTATATTATGTATAATATATATATTATGTATAATATATATAATATTATGTATTTTATATATTATATTATGTATAATATATATATTATGTATAATATATATAATATGTATAATATATATATTATGTATAATATATATATTATGCATAATATATATTATGTATAATATATAATATTATGCATAATATATATTATGTATAATATATAATATTATGTATAATATATATTATACATAATATATAAAATATATTATGTATAATATATATTATGTATAATATATAAAATATGTTATATATAATATATAAAATGTTATGTATAATATATAAAATGTTATGTATAATATATAAAATATATGTAATGTATATTATGTATAATATATGTAATGTATATTATGTATAATATATAATGTATATTATGTATAATATATATCATAAACATGTATCTTATGTATAATATATATCATAAACATGTATCTTATGTATAATATATATCATAAACATACATTATGTATAATATATATCATAAACATACATTATGTATAATACATATCATAAATATGTATAATACATATCATAAATATTATGTATGATACATATCATAAATATTATGTATGATACATATCATAAATATTATGTATGATACATATCATAAATATTATGTATGATACATATCATAAATATTATGTATGATACATATCATAAATATTATGTATGATACATATCATAAATATTATGTATGATACATATCATAAATATTATGTATGATACATATCATAAATATTATGTATGATACATATCATAAATATTATGTATGATACATATCATAAATATTATGTATGATACATATCATAAATATTATGTATGATACATATCATAAATATATATTATGTATGATACATATCATAAATATATATTATGTATGATACATATAAATATATATTATGTATGATACATATCATAAATATATATTATGTATGATATATATCATAAATATATATTATGTATGATATATATCATACATATATATTATGTATGATATATACCATACATATATATTATGTATGATATATACCATAAATATATATATGTATGATATATACCATAAATATATATTATGTATAATATAGTATATATTAGATATAATTATACATAATATATGTAATCATACATAATATATTATATATTATATATAATAATTATATATAATATACATAATATATTATATGTAATCATACATATTATATATTATATATAATAATTATATATATTATACATAATATAATGTATAATATATATAATTATACATAATATATTATATATAATATATAATAATTATATATAATTATACATATTATGTATTATATTTAATAATTATATATAATCATACATAATATATAATATGTATAATTATATATAACATAAAATATATAATATGTATAATTATATATAACATAAAATATATAATTATATATAACATAAAATATATAATTATATATAACAAAATATAAAATATGTTATATATATTATACATAATATACAATATATAAAAATATAATATCAAATATATAATATATATATTTCCAAATGATACAGAAAGGAATGATATCATTAAAATAAATATGGCTAAATATTAACAATTGTTGAATCTAGGTTGGGCATGCAGGTGTTCATTATATGAATCCTTTAACTTTTCTGAATATTTCAAAATGTTTATAACAAAAGTTTGGAGAAAAGAACAACTGGTCTTCAAGGCCTTCATTTTAGTGACAATCTGGGTTAAATTGTAAGTAATTTTTATGTGAATATTGTATAAGAAATACATGGTGCTCTATTTTGATTATTTGATTTAACTCGGTGTATATCACTGTTGAGCATATCTGCATGAAGTACTGAAAATGAATTCATTATAACCAAGAAATCCCGATGTAAGAGCATAGACACACTAACCCTAATGTATGTTTGTTACTGGATTGATTTTTCAGCTATGGTATGAATTTGTCTTTTCCTAAGAAAAGCATTCACACACATGTTGCTATTTCAGTGACATAAAGTATCTCCTGGAAAATCATACATTACTCATTCAGCCAAAATTTAGTGACACCCTACTATGTGTCAAGCCCTGTGTTGGCCTTAGGGATACATCAGTACATGAAATGAGGCCTCTGCCATTGGGAAGCCACAGGCCGCAGACTCTCACATGCCTAAGGACAGCCGTGCCCTTGCCCATGGAAAAGTGCAGGGTTCTCTGAAGATTTTGCTTGCATGTAACCTAAAAATTATGCATTGCATATCCTCATTTCTTGATGAATACAATTTTATATTTTATGTTTAAATGGTGGCAAAAGATGTAATTCCAGTTTAAAAATTGAGATTTTAAAATAAAATTGTTTCATTACTCTTTTTTAAATAGTCATAGTGTAGTAGCTTTATAATCTGTGTTTGCTAACTTCCATACCTGAGGTCTTTGTGGATGGTTTCTGCTACCTGTTGTGTGTTAGTTCTTGTGCTACGTGTGTGTTGTCACACACACACACACACACACACACACACACATCTATCTGTCAAAGAATCTCCACAAATAAATTTCTAGGGACAATGAGTAGCACACAGGTATATTCTTCCACAGAGAATTTGTGTTTGCTTTTGCCAGGTGCTTAGGGGGTCCCAGCAGTCCAAGATTACATCAAACTAAACTCACTGCTTAAGATTATTGGATCACTAGGGTATGAATTTGGGGTACAGTCTATGCCAGGGCTGATTCATGGCCATAACTTTTCTGGAACTTTTAAAAAATAAGGCTCAGATAAGTTTCCTAAAAGTCTCCAGGAGAAGTCAGATTTACTTGGTTCACCATTCCCCTGAGAGAGCAGCTGTGTGGGTCTTGGGCGAGGCTCCTGGTGGAAGGTCTCTTAACAGATGCCTTCCCTTGGGCAGGCTCTGGGCTTTGACAGTCGTCCTTTTTGCTGCTAGAAACTGTCAAATAGAAGTTCAAGTTTGCCTGGTTCAGCAAAACAAAAGCAGCCTTCATGTTCCATTTACTTTTTGGTATTCTCTCTTGTCCTTAGATTTTGGCCTGGTAGGCCAGGCATGGTGGCTCATGCCTGTAATCCAGCACTTTGGGAGGCTGAGGCGGACGGATCACTGGAGGTCAGGAGTTTGAGACCAGCTTGGCCAACATGGTGAAACCCTGTCTCCACAAAAATTCAAAGATTAGTCAGGAGTGGTGGCACATGCCTGTAATCCCAGCCACTCAGGAGGCTGAGGCGGGAGAATTGCTTGAACCCAGAAGGCAGAAGTTGCAGTGAGCAGAGATCACACCACTCCAGCCTTGGCAGCAGAGTGAGGGAGACTCTGTCTCAAAAAAAAAAAAAAAAAAATTTTTGGCCTGGTAGTTACCTTACTATTTTTGTCAGGCGTTCAGTGCTTTTAGGAATCTGTTTTCTATATTTTATATAGAATTTCCAATTGTTGGTCTAAAAAACCCAGTCTGCCATAGTCTTAGAAAGGGAAGCGAACATCACCACTTTTCTCAGTACTTTAAATGAGAGGTTCTTTTAACCTAGGATTCATGCATGGAGTTCAAGGCATCTATATACCCCCCTGAAATTTCATGCAATGTTTTGTGTTTAACCAATTTTTTCTGGGAACAAAATCCATAGATGTTATCAGATTGTTAAAGGTGCCAGTGATAGAGACACCCTCAAATTTGATAACTATTGCTTTAGAGTTCTATCAGTACCTAGTAATTTTAATTAAAAAATGATTTTAGAATGATTTCAAACTCACAGAAAAGTTCCAAGTAGAGTGCAAGACAATCTCCACATTGTCGTCACCCAGATTCGCCAATGTTAACTCTGCCCTGACCCCACACACAATTAGTCTTTTTCTGAACCATTTGGGAACAAGCTTCAGACCTGAGTCCACGTTACCCCTAAATGCTATAGTGGGTATTTCCCCAAACAAGGATCTTCCAAATCAAGAAGTTAACATCGCTACAAGACCGTTCACAGAATCTATATAAGTTTCAATTTTTCAATTTCAACTGTCCCAAGAATATATTTTTTAAAAAATTGGACTGGGTGCAGTGGCTCATGCCTGTAATCCCAGCACTTTGGGAGGCCGAGGCGGGTGGATCACGAGGTTAGGAGTTCAAGACCAGCCTGGCCAAGATAGTGAAACCCCATCTCTACTAAAAATACAAAAATTAGCCAAGCATGGTGGTGGGCACCTGTAATCCCAGCTACTCAGGAGGCTGAGGCAGAGAATTGCTAGAACCCAGGAGGCAGAGGTTGCAATGAGCTGAGATCACGCCACTGCACTCCAGCCTGGGCAACACAGCAAGACTCTGTCTCAAAAAAAAAAAAAAGTGTGTAATATTTACTTCACAGGATTGCTATGGATGTTCATTGGACATAATAAGGAGTTTGGTTAGTTGTCATTGTTAGTTTGTTACAGTTACACTGTGTCCCCCTACACTTCCCCTCTTACTCATTGCTTATTGGGGTATGGAAAGCCAGCATTGCTATAGCATTCTCGCAGCACAGTACACACACACACACACACACACACACACACACACACGAGGCTGGAATCATGGGTATACTATGTCTTTAATAAAGGATCTTTCTTGGCCAGGCACAGTGGCTCACACCTGCAATCCCAGCACTTTGGGCGGCCATGGTGGGCGGATTGCTTGAGCCCAGGAGTTCAAGACCAGCCTGGGCAACATGGTGAAACCCCATCTATACCAAAAACAAACAAACAAAAAAACAAACCACAAAAATTAGCTGGGCGTCATATGCCTGTAGTCCCAGCTACTTGATACTCGGGAAGCTGAGGTGGGAGGATCACTTAAGCCAGGGTGGTGGACTGTTGCAATGAGCCAAGATCATGCCACTGCACTCCAGCCTCGGTAACAATGTTTCAAAAAAAAAAAAAGTATTTTTCTTGATTGGACAATGAGAATTCTAATTGTAATGGATATCTATTGTTTGGTCCTCCCCCTTCTTGTGGGAAACGGTCTTTCTCTACTTCCACAAGGTAGTGTACATTGTTCTTACCTGAAATGGCAGTTACAAGAACATGACAATGTCCATGTTCTTAAAGATCCTAGATCTTTGGCACAATCATTTGATTCACGGACAGGCAACTAGCTGGACCAATGAACTAGCCTTCCCTGAGAATTTTTAACTTGGGACTAGAGATCATCATCCTTACCTCGCCTGTCTGATGATGAGGCAGAAGATGAAATGTTGGGAGCTGTCAGTGGCCTTGTTTCCAGACATATGGAGGAAGCTGGTCTAACAGCATGAAGCCAATGTGCAGAGAGAGTTGCAGAGCTGAGCCATAGGGGCAGAGGCATTCTCGTTCTAGTAGTCCCAGCAGTCCCTCCCCTTCTTGGAGTCTGTCCATATCAACAGTACATTCCTCCCTTCTGCCTAACAGTTGAGTTCCTGTCAATGGCAACCAAGAGAGGTGTGACTGATTCATGTATTCAAAGGGCTGTTGTGAGAACTTGTGCCTGACTCACAGTGGGGACTCAACAAATGTTGGTTTATTACTCTTATATTTAACGCCTAAAGTCTGAATGCGAAAAGGTTAGGGCAATTCCAGAAGGAATTACTATGCAGAAGGGAAAACTGGTTGACAGGTTAACTTTCCTTTGAACATCACAAGGGAAGGCACCTAAATACAAAAGGAAGGCTTCCTCCACGCCCCCCATACACACACATTCCCTTCATCCTAACCTGGCTCTGCAGCTCCGAGGGTCACATACCTGCCCTTGGCACTACTAGTACTTCCTCCAGCAAGTCTCAGTCTTTCTTTCAGAATCCTTCGCCCTTATGCCATGTAACATCTGATCGGCCCGGTCTTTGCCCCTAGTATCAGCAGGCCAATACGTGCTCTGCTACAGGTCTTACAGGGAGGGTGAGCTCTTGGAGTTGGATCAGAAGGAGAGGGGCTGGGGAAAGATCGTCTTCAAATTGTTTCTTTGGCGGTAGTATATATAAACATATTTAGGCAGGGCATAGTGGCACATGTCTGTAACCCCAGCACTTTGGGAGGCCGAAGCGTGAGGATCGCTTAAAGACAGGAGTTGAAAATCATACTGGTCAATATAGTGAGATTGCAGTGAGCCATTATCGCGCCACTGCATTCCTGCCTGGGTGACAGTGCGAGACCCCTTCTCAAAAAAAAAAAAAAAAAAAGAAAGAAAAAAATCATAAGCAAACAACAACAAAAAAACAAATATAAAGAATGGCGGTCTGCTTAATTCTCCGTGCCAGCCCTTGAAATCAGTGGGTATTATTATGTAGAGTTTGAGTTCTTTCCTCCCTTGAGTAACATGAGTGACATCAGTAACATTAGTCAAGCGCTGCTCTTTTTGAAAGACTGTATTTCATTATTTTTATTCTAAACCTTACTCTGTTTGATGAAGATTGGGGGAAGAGCCCTCCCAATTCCACCGCTCACACATAACAGCGGTTGCTAGCATTCTTTATTTGTGCTAGGTCATCTGCATATTGTTTAAACATTTTTCGAGGCTGGAAAGACTGCTCCCACTCAGGCAATTCTGACGTGGCGGCCCTTCTAATTTATATTCTCTAAATAATTCTTCATTTAGAGAAAACAGTCAGGGATTACAGTGAGGGAGGGTGACGTGCTGACGGGGACAGAGCTTGGCTTTTGATCATTCTCCCCTTAGCTCTGCCCAGGCAAGCGTCCCTAACTCAGGGTATCGGAACCGATCTCCCTTAGAGGATTATGTTTCAACCACCAGCCTCAGCGGTTTACTCAAATGTCCTTCCAGCCAAATGCAGAAGTCTCCCTGGGAGTAATTTTGGTGAAGTCAGCTTTTGCCTTTTTCATCACAGGCAGGCTTTAGTAGTTCCTCAAAACGTGCACCACAACTGCCCGGCTGCCAAACAGAAATGCTGATGCCTGGGCCCACTCTAGCCATTTGGCCTCGGCATCACGGTGCGGGAGCGTGGGGCGCAGACTCGCATTGTCACAGGAACCTCCCGGCCTTCCGAAGAGCCCCGCGCCGGGGCCTTTGTCTCGCACGTCGGCTGGGGCGGGAGCTAGGTTCTCGCAGCCTCCTCCCACCGCTCTGCGCCTTCTTTGTCCCTCCAGAAGCCGCCATCAAAGCTCAGCTCCTGATTAGGTTTCGGCCCCGCTGGCCGGCGCAGTCTCGGCGACTACCCCAGGCGGCCTGGCGCACGCGAGGATTCGCCGCGCCCCAGATGCAGGTGCCTCCCCTCCTTAGCCGCCGACCGACAGTGCACGCCGCGGCCGCCGGAAGTGACAGCGCCTGTCGTTGGGGAGCTCCCGCCCCTTCCGCCTCGGCGCCCCGCCCAGGCCTCGCCCCTAGGTGTTCCCGCCCCTCCCCCTCCCGTGTCGCTCGCTTTCTGTCAGCCTCTCTCCCTCTCCCTCTCCCCTCTCCTTCCTCTCGCTTCCTCTCTCGCACCTGAGCGTACGCACCTGCCCGGGCCCGGCTCCCTCCTCCTCTCCCCTCCCTCTTTCCCCGCCCGGCCGCGGGAGCCTCGTGGCTGCGTCACCGCCGCCCCCCCAGACAAGATGGACACCGCGGAGGAAGGTAAGTCGGCGACGCGCGGCGCCCGAGCCCTTGCGTCGGCGCCCGGGTTCGTACCCCGGCCAGGTCCGCGGCGCTCGAGGTGGGCTGCTGGATCGCGGCGGGGCGGACGCCTGGGCCGTTTGTCCACCCGCTGGGCCTCTGGGCCGGGGAGCGGAAGGTGACCCTCTGCGCGCCCCCCGCCGTTTCCCGCCCGCGCCGCCGAGGGGGGCGGGGACCCTGCCGGGCAGGGGCCGGGGCCGGGGTCGGGGCCTCGGGGCTACTGCAGGCCGGCGTGGCCTCCCTTGTCCCCGCCGTCGCGCGCTGGCCCAGAAAAGGGGGCCTCTGTCGCTGCCGTCCGGGGGCGTTTTCCGCACCCTTCCCCCACTGGGTTTTGTCTTTCTTTACGTCCTTCTGCCTATTGCTCGCCAGGCCCTACCCCCTCGCGACAGAACTTCTTTGTTGACTTTGAAACTTCGCGAAAAATACCCCGCCAGATGACGGCCGAGTGGAGTGAGCTGACCCCTGTTGAAAAGCCTGGTCCTCGGCTTGCCTGCCGCTCGAGAATCTGTTTACTAAACGGGGAGGCTCTTTTGTTGCGATCCATTTGGTTTTAAATCCTTGACACCTATAAGCAGGGTTCTGTTTGTTTTGTTTTGCGATTGCTTGTGTTTTGGATACGGTTACATTGAACAAACTGACCCTTGTAAAATGAATACTTAAGATATAAACGTCCACACCTTATGTCTCTTCAAACGCATTTTCTTACCCACTGAAGGTAGTAGATTATTTTTAACCAGCTGTGTTTTTAAATGAGTGGTGAGTTTATAGAGGAAATTACTAAATTTTGCTTTTTTTGATGTTCCGGTTATCGTGCAAATGCTTTTCTACTTTAGGTATATTTATGGGGGTATGAGCGTCTTTCAACCTTATGGGTTGCGATTTTGGCGATTTTAAACGAAAATGAATTATCAAACGCCGTCATGGAGTGCAATAATGAGTGAAAAAAGTTTGATATTATCTATGTAATGAGTTGATAACGACTTATTTTTTTTTAAAGAAGTCTTGCCTTTAATAAATACCTCAACTATAACATGTGGCACTTGATGTACATTCGCGTTCCATCTTCGTAAAAAGCCTGTGGAATAGGTAGGTATTATCTTTTATAGATGTGGAAATGTAGGCTTCGTTATTTTAATAGCTTGTCGAAGCTTTACACAGGTAGTAAGAGGCAGATTTGAACCTAGGCATTCTGATTGCAAGTAATTTCCCTTTCATTATGCCACAGTGTGTTTATTATATACACTGAGTGTAGCTAATCGCCACTGGAGACGCCTTTGGAAAAAATAGTAAAGCGAAACTGCTGAAGGTTGCGAACTATTTCTTTTTGACAGGTGGTCCTTGCGTGTAAATTTCCATCTACATAGGTTTCACATCCTTTTAGATTCAGGTTTTAATGAGTAAATCTAGTAAGGCATGTATTTATCACAGGATAGGTACGGACGTATTACATTCAATTCTCATTCTTTTGGCCTGGGCATTGCTACTTGCATACTTTTATGGTGTGACAGTAATCTGTGGTAATTCAGGAATTGCGCTCGAAGCACGTATGGAATCATGAAATATTTTCACTGTACTTCTAGTGCTTAAATATATTTTTTCTCTTGTAAAATTATAATCAGGATAAGGTATACATAACATTTATTTATTGAACACTGTTGCCTGTTAAAATAACATGTGCTGAAGACTCAACGTGTAGTATGTGCTTTACTAAACACTTTATATACATTTCATTTAATTCTCTCACATCGTTAGGTAGTCGGCATTTTCATTTTACAGATGAGGAAACTGATGGTTAGTATGATTAAGTAACTTGTCCAGGATAATACAGGTAGTAAATGGCAGAGGCAAGATTCAGACTCATGTCTGTCAGAGTCGCACTTAAATTAGATTATTTATTTATGAGTGTATACTACAAGTCCAATGTTGAAATTTATTTTTGTCACTCCCTCTATAGGATGAATCATTTATATAATTTGGTGGAAACTTTATTTTGCTTTATTTTGTTTTATGAAATTATTAGTCATGAAATGCAAGTGAATTTTAGTGCCGTATTCTCATGCCTGCTTTTGCAAAATTCCAGTTTGGAAGTCTTCTGACATTTTTACAATTAAATTTAAGTTGAAATAACACTTAAAGGAAAAGGGAGGGTTATAGAGGATTAAAAATGATATAGCAAAGATGCCAAAAAACTAATAAAAAATGTTCTATTTGTGAAATCAGTTATTATAGGTTATTTCTTTAAAAAATGCGACTTAGGTTTTTTAAATCTGCTTAGAAATTTTTTGGTAGGAGATATTCAAAGTATGGCCAAACATAAAACTAAATTAAAAAAAAATCAGTATCACCTACTTTTGAAAACACTTATACTGTTGTGGTTCTGTTTTTTATTTATTTTATTTTATTTTATTTTATTTTATTTTATTTTATTTTATTTTATTTTATTTTATTTTATTTTCCGAGATGGAGTCTTGCCCTGTTGCCCAGGCTGAAGTGCAGTGGCATGATCTCTGCTCACTGCAACCTCCACCTCCCAGGTTCAAGCGATTCTCCTGTCTCAGCCTCCTGAGTAGCTGGGATTACAGGAGCGCGCCACCTCCCTCTGCTAATTTTTGTGTTTTTAGTAGAGATGGGGTTTCGCCATGTTGGCCAGACTGGTCTCAAACTCCTGACCTCAGGTGATCTGTCCGCCTCAACCTCCCAAAATGCTGGGATTACGAGCGTGAGCTACCGTTCCTGGCCGGTTCTCTGTCCTTTAAAAATATATTTTAATATTCTGAGCAAAGAGATTAAGAATGTTACAAACACATCAACCGTGCGTATAGTAAGTCTTCCCTTCCTTTTAAAAATAGCACATTGCTTGCCTCTGATGGTACCATATATGATAGTCTGATGCTCAGAATGTTATGCATTTGTAGTAATACTTAGTTCCGACATGGCTGTTTCATACTAATTGTTTGCTAGATTTTAAAGATCTCTAAAGTTTCTTCAGTATTAAATTAATTTTTGTAAAATCAACAGGTTTATAATCCATTCTCATAATACAGGGATGGATAAATCATTCTTACTGTGTATATGTTATTTGTATGAGTGCAGATGTGTTATGTCAACTGCTATCCATCCTGACATTTTTAAACTTCAGAGCTATAGGAGACCTTAGACATTTGCCCTCCTCATTTTATGGGTTAGGAGTCCGATCCTGTAATGCACTGAGATTTCTCAGTTTCAGAGAAAAGTCTATCCTTTGGTCAAGGATATACTTTTTTTTTTTTTTTTTTAAAGGAAAAGCAGTACAATATTGGAATAGATGTTGCAAGTGTTGATGTGCAGTTCTCAAAGATAATATTAAACATTTTGTCATAGAATGCCCACATTTCGGCTCAGTGATATAAAGCTGAGGTTTTTTTTTTTTTCTTTTCCATTTTGCTAAATTACTGCTTGTATTAGCACAACATAATACAAAGTCTTAGTAATTTTATTACAGAATACCAAAGCAGCTGTTCTTTATGCTTTACGGAACATATTCATTCGAAAAGTGTGAAGCTAAAGAGTATTATGGTTGATCATGTTCTATATCACTATGGCAAAAATTTGAGGTAACTTAAATTTGGAAGAAATGAGTTAAAAGGATAGAAAGTTGTCAGAATCAGACAGCTAGTTCCTCTCTTTCTAGACCCACACAGTCTTCTTTGTTTCCAGAGATGTCTGCTGCATGTTTCTTACCACGCATTACCTTTCACTGTTTTGGCATGCTTGTGACCAAGTGTACATGCATTTATTCGTTAAATGTTTACTGAGGACCTGTTATGAGCCAGGCACTATTCTATGCATTTGGGCTAGGCAAGGAACAATATAGAGAAAATCCTTTCTTTCATAGAGCTTACATTATAGTTATTAGCTTAAGACAAAATAAACATGTAAATTATATGGCATAACTAGAAGGTTATAAACGCTGTGGAGAACAGTGAATTGGGAGGGAATAAGAAGTGCCAGGATATGAGGGCATGGGTTGCTTTTTTTTTTTTTTTTTTTGAGACGGAGTCTTGCTCTGTCACCCAGGCTGGAGTGCAGTGGCGCGATCTTGGCTCACTAGGGGTCGCAGTTTTAAATATAGCAGTAAAGGAAGGCCTCACTGAGAAGGAGCAAAGGAGAAGGAGTTAGCCATGCAGATACTCTGGGCAGAGCATTCCAGGCAGAGGGAACATAGCCTATGTGAAGTGTCTAAGATGGGAGCATGCCTAGAGTGTTCAATAAATCACCAGGAGAGCAGTGTAGCTGTAACGGAGTAAAAGAGTTGGAGAAGAGTAAGTATAATATGAGGTCAGAAAGATATGGAGCCAATGGGGAGAGAGCATGTAGGACTTCATTGACTTTTATAGTGAGATAGGGAGCTATGGGAGGGTTTTGAGCTGACGTGAGACATAAATTGTCTTGATATGCAGCCAGCTTTCTGTATTTGTGGGTTTCGCATCTGTGGATTCATCCAATGTCAGATGGAAAATACTTGGAAAAAAATAGATGATTACCTCTGTACTGAACATGTACAGCCTTTTTTTCTTGTCATTATTCCTCAAACAATACAGTATGATGACTACATAACATTTATGTTATAATTATTCTAAGTAATCTAGAGATAATTTAAAGTACAGTTGACTCTTGAACAACATGGGTTTTTGAACTACATGGGTCCACTTACACATGGATTTTTTTCTTCAATAAATATATTGAAAAAAATTTTGGAGATTTGCAGCAATTTGAAAAAACTTGCAGATGAACTGTGTAGTCTAGAAATAGTGAGAAAGTTAAAAAGTTATGTCATTAATGCATAAAATATATGTAGATACTAGTCTTTTACTCACTATCATAAAATATATACAAATCTGTCATGAAATGTTAAAATTTATCAAAACTTACACACACAAACATGTAATGGAGACTGTACATGGCACCATTCACAGTTGAGAGATGTAAAGAAACTTAAAGATACAGTATTAAATCATAACTGCATGAAATTAACCGTAGTGCATACTGTGCTACTGTAATAATTTTGTGGCCACCTTCCGTTGCTGTTGTTGTGAGCTCAAGTGTTGCTGTTGTTGGAGCTCATCTCTCCAGTAAATTGTATATGGTAAAAAGTATCTCTCTGGATTCTCTTGTATTTTTCATTGCATTTAGTGCAGTACCCTAAACTTTGAATAACATGATGGGATCCATATGAGGTGCCACTAAGTGATGCTGGAAGTGCTCCAGGAAGCTGAAAAAAGGCATGACATTATGAAGAAAAAGTCGAATTGCTTCATATGTGCCATAGATTGAGGTTTGTAGCTGTGGTTGCTGGCCATTTCAGAATGATTTATCTTGTAAACAGACAGGTATCAATAAATATGGTACAGTGCTGTAAATGTAATTTCCTTCTGATTTTCTTAATTTTTTTCTCTAGCTTTATTGTAAAAATAAAGTATATAATATAGAATACAGTATATAATATTACAATACATATTGTAAGAATGCAGCATATAATACAGTACGCAATACATATAATACAGTTTATGCATTCATGGCATAATTTTATTTTTTTTGCTCCTTCTAAGCTACACAGTTCATCTTTTTTTAAATTGTTGTGAATTTCCAAAAAATTCTCCAATATATTTATTGAAGAAAGAAATCCGCGTATAAGTGGACCCATGTAGTTCAAACTGTGATGTTCACAGATCTGTACTTTAAATAATCTCCTGAGTACTCATAATACCTAGTATAATGTAATACAAAGGCTGGGTGCGGTGGCTCACGCCTGTAATCCCAGCACTTTCGGAGGCGGTGGCAGGCAGATCACCTGAGGTCAGGAGTTCGAGACCAGCCTGGACAACATGGCGAAACCCTGTCTCTACTAAAAATAGAAAAAATTAGCTGGATGTGGTGGCGGGTGCCTGTAATCCCAGCTCCTTGGGAGGCTGAGACAGGAGAATGGCGTGAACGTGGGAGGCGGAGCTTGCAGTCAGCCGAGATCGCGCCACTGCACTCCAGCCTGGGCAACAGAGCAAGACTCCGTCTCAAAAAAAAAGTAGTACAATATGTGTATTAATCTACTGTTTATGTTGTATTATGTTATGGGAAGGCTTCTGGTCACCAGTAGGCTGTTAGTAGTTTTCCATTAGTAGTTTTTCGGGAGTCAAAAGTTGTATGTGTGTGTGTTTTTTTTTTTTTTTTTTTTTTGAGACAGAGTTTTGCTCTTTTTGCCCAGGCTAGAGTACAGTGGCACCATCTCAGCTCATTGCAACCTCCGCCTCCCAGGTTCAAGCGATTCTCCTGCCTCAGCCTCCCGAGTAGCTGGGATTACAGGCATGCACCACCATGCCTGGCTAATTTTGTATTTTTCGTAGAGATGGGGTTTCATCATATTGGCTTGAACTCCTGACCTCAGGTGATCCATCTGCCTCAGCCTCCCAAAGTGCTGGGATTATAGGCGTGAGCCACCGCGCCCGGCTGTATGTGGATTTTTGATTGTGCAGGAGGTCGGTGCCCCTAACTCTTGTTCAGGGGACTCCTGTATATGGAAGGATGTGCATAGGTTACTTGGAAATACTATGCTGTTTTACATAAGGGACTTGAGCATCTGTGGATTTTGGCACCTGTGGACTTCCTGAAACCAATCCCCCAGGGTTACTGAGTCTATCTCTTTCCTGGTTAAGACAAGTTTTTGTTTGTCTTAAATTCAAATTTCTGGAAGCTACAATCTCACTGGCTCATCTTGGGTCAGTTGCTTATCCTTTTGATCCAGGTAGCTGGGTGGTGGTGGGAAAGGTAATGGAAGAATAAGAATCATGACTGGCTGTGTCCATTCTTGAGCTGGTAAGACAGTGCAAAAGAGATCTGCTATATTGCTCAATTAGAATACTTTTTAGACTGAAGCCCTGTGAGTGATTATTGCTGGGCTATCCTCTTCCAGATGCCTACTTCCCATTTCTTCCAGGCCAGGCTTACTTTAGTGGGTTTTACTTCTGTCCTGTAAGACTATGAAGATCACTTATTTTTAGTATAATACAGTTAGAACAGAAAGAGTTCTTGAAAAGTGAATAGGAAGTAAGAACCCCCCAAGGGAAAACTTAATAATTCAGACTATATTTTAGAATGCTGTTGCAGTAGGCTAGATGAGATATAGGAGTTACATTAAGGTAGAGGGAATGGAAAGAATGGAAAAGAAGAAATAGACCAAGGTAGAATTAATAGAACATAGTAATTGAAGAGGTAATATAAGGAGGAGGAGTTAAAAATGATTGATTTTTATATTATTTCAAATGGGAATGGAAAGAGATAAGTAGTTCAGTTTTAGATATTGTTTTAGTTTGCAGGGGCTGCTGTAACAAAGTACTACAGATTGGGTGCTTAAGAGAAATTTGTTTTCTCAACTCTGGAGGCTAGAAGTTTGAGATGAAGGTGTTGGTAGGCCTGGTTTCTTCTGAGGTCTCTCTCCTTGGCTTGTAGATGATTGTCTTCTGTGTCTTCATGTAGTCTTCTCTCTGTATGTCTTCATGTAGTTGTCCCTCTATGTCCTAATCTCTTCTTTTTTTAAAGACGCTAGTCATATTGGATTAGGGCCTACTCTAAGGACCTCATTTTAACTTAATTACCTCTTTAAAGATCCTGTCTCCAAATATAGTTACATTGTGTATACATGCAGGTTAGGGCTTCAACACGTGAATTACGGGGGGAGGGGCAGTGCAATTCAGCCCATGATAGACATGAATTCTTGAAGGCTTGGAAGACTGAAGCATTCCCTGTACACTTATTTTTTATAACTTAACTTCATTATAATATCTTTTTTTTTTTGAGACGGAGTTTAGCTCTTGTTGCCTAGGCTGCAGTGCAATGGCGCGATCTCGGCTCATGGCAACCTCCGCCTCCTGGATTCAAGGGATTCTCCTGCCTCAGCCTCCCGAGTAGCTGGGATTACAGGCATGCACCACCACACCTGGCTAATTTTGTATTTTTAGTAGAGATGGGGTTTCTCCATGTTGGTCAGGCTGGTCTTGAACTCCTGACCTCAGGTGATCCGCCCACCTCGGCCTCCCAAAGTGCTGGGATTACAGGTGTGAGCCACTGTGCCTGGCTGTAATACACTTTTTACTTTCCTGTCTCTCTCCTTCCCTTCTGTCACCTCTTAATGTATTCTGTAAAGATGGAATCAGGTTAATAAAGTATAATTTACACACAAATTTACCCTGTTTAGGGTGCAGTTCTGTTATAACACTTTTGAAATAGAATATTGGAGATTCCATGTCTTTTTTGATTACTTCCCCATTTACCAAATATTGGGTACATGTCTACTACGTATCTAGGACCTGTGCAACAATGTTTTCTGCATGTTTCATTTCTTCATTCCAAGTCCTTGAAAAGTGCCAAGAGGCATTTCTATTGAATGGAACAGTTTGAAGAGCATTGATGTAGCTAGAGTAGTGGTTTTCAAAGCTTTGTCCCAAGACCCCTTTACATTCTTAAAATTGAGGACCCAAAGGACTTTTGTTTATGTGGGTTTTATATGTAAAGATAGATATTTACCATATTAGAAATGAAGAATGAATACAAATTATTTAGAATATTTAAAAGTAACAATAAACTCAATATATGTTAATAAAAATAACGTTATCTGGATTATTATAAGACAATTGGATTCTCATCTCTCCCTTTGCAGTCACTTTGTTAAGTGTTTTGGTTAGTGTATATAAAAACTCGGCATCACACAGATTTATAGCTTGAAAAGGGATGAATATTTTCAGATGTTTGTATGTTCTTTGATACTATGTCAAAACTTGACAAGTGGTAGTTTCTTAACGTATCTGAAAACATGGCAGTCACCTTAAAAAATTAAATTAACTGTTAAATTAAAATCCATTTGTCTGGTAGTGTAGGATAGAGTCCAGAAATAGATCCACACATACATGGACAGTTGATTTTTGGACAGAAGTGCAAAAGCAATTGCATAAAATATAAAGGATATCGTTTTTCAACAAATGGCACTGGAATAGTTGAATAGCTGTAGGAAAAAAAAAAGAACTTTGAGCTATAGCTTGTACCATATACCAAAATTAACTCAAAGGGCTGTTAGACCTCAATGAAAAACCTAAAACTATGAAACTTCTAGGGGAAAATATAGGAGAAATTCTTCGGAATCTTGGGTTAGACCAAGATCTCTTAGGTATGACTCCAAAAGCATGATCCATAAAAGAAGTGGATAAATCAGATGGCATCAAAATTCAGAATTTCTTTCAAAATTAGAAAGACACTTAACAGAATGAAGACAGGATACAGAAGATGTATCTTATAAGGGGCTTGGAGTATATAAAAAATTCTCAGAACTCAGTAATAAGAAAACAATAACTCAGTTTTTAAAATGGTCCAAAGATTTGTATAGACACTTCACTAAAAAATACATGTACATGGCTATTAAGCATATGCAAATATGCTAAGCATCATTAGTCAAAACCATAATGAGACACCACTTCACACCTGCTAGGATGGCTATAATCAGAAAGAACAGGTAAGTGTTGGTGAGCATTGTAGAAAAATTGGAACCTTCATTTGTTACGCTAGGAATGTAAGATAGTGTGACTGATTTTGGTAATTCCTCAAAAAGATAAGCTGAGTAACCATATGACCCAGAAATTTCATATACCCAAGAGAATTCAAAAAATATATTCACACAAAAACCTGTATATGAGTTAGCAGTATTATTTATAATAGCCAAATAGAAACAACCCAGTGTCCATCAACTGATGAGTAGATAAATGTGATCTATTTGTAAAATAGAATATTACCCAGCAGTTCAAAGGAATTAAGTACTGATGCATGGTACAACTTGGATAAATCTCATAAACATTAGGATAAGTGAAATAAGCCAGTCACAAAAGAACATATTTTCTATGATCCTATTTGTGTGAAATGTCCAGAATAGGCAAATCTATATATAGAGAAATTAGTGGTTGTCTGGAACTGGGGAGAGCAGATGGAGTAGGAAGTATCCACTAATAGTTACAGGGTTTCCTTTTGGGATGATGATAATGTTCTAAAAGATTATGGTGATGGTTGCGTAACTGTAAATATACTTAAAACAATTGAAGTCTTTAAATTGGTGAACTTTATGACATATATCTGAATAAAATTGTTAATTAAAACTACTGTGAGATATCATTACATACCTATTAGTGTGGCTAAAATGGTAATAGAATGACTGACCGTACCAAGTGTTTGTAAGGAGGTAGAGCAGTTGGAATTTTCATATACTGCTGGTGGGAGTGTAAAGTGGTACACCACTTCTTCTGGGGAGCAGAAAGCAACCTTCCGGGTACAGGTGAGCCAAGGTTGATGGGCAGTTATGCAGAGGGAGTTGGGATATCACTGTGTGTACCTGTGCAAGTCCTGGAGTGTGTTGGGTCCTCATCAGCAGGGCTGTATGAAGGTGTTCATTAAAACAAAACTACTGATAGTGTGGCAGGAGCTAGAAAACACCCCTTTCTTCTTAGATATCCCTCCAGCACCCTCTACTGGCAAAGTTTAACTGCCCCTAGCCAAAAGAAAAGAAAAGAAAAGCTTAGCATCCCTATCACTGAACAGGGACTGAAAGGGAGAATTTGGAGTTGAGAAGGGGATACATGGATAACTAGCTCATTACTGCTGAAATTGTTGGAATCATTCATTGCCTGTGCTGCTGAAGCTTGATGTTGCCCACAGCTGTTGGGCAGAATCTCCACCATGACTTGCGTATCTGTTAGCAGGAGTCTGCAGTACCTGCCATTAGCTGCAACTGCTGGTTTTTAGAAACAAGTAGAAAATGGTTTCGCTGTTTCTCTGCTTCTTCTTTATTTTTATTTTTGAGATGGAGTTTCGCTCTTGTCGCCCAGGCTGGAGTGCAATGGTGCGATCTTGGCTGACTGCAACCTCTGCCACCCAGGTTCAAGCGATTCTCCTGCCTCAGCCTCCTGAGTAGCTGGGATTACAAGCACATGCCACCACGCCCGGCTAATTTTGTATTTTTAGTAGAGACGGGGTTTCACCATGTTGGCCAAGCTGGTCTTGAACTCCTGACCTCAGTTGATCTACCCACCTCAGCCTCCCAAAGTGCTGAGATTACAGGTGTGAGCCACTGCACCCAGCCTCCCTGCTTCTTCTGATCTCACAGAAGTGCTTCTCATTGACAGACTCTAACTTAAGCCTAGTTGGCAAGGAGGCCAGAAAGTGCAGTTTTCAGGCTTCCAGGAGCAACAGTACAGGTGAATTTTTAATTTAGTAACGATAGTAATCTGGTGAGCTAAAATAAGTAAACTTTGGGGTACATAGAGAATTGGAATTATTATTATTATTATTATTTTTGAGACAGAGTTTCGCTCTTGTTGCCCAGGCTGGAGTACAATGGCACGATCTTGGCTCACCGCAACCTCCGCCTCCCGGGTTCAAGCGATTCTCCTGCCTCAGCCTCCCGAGTAGCTGGGATTACAGGCATATGCCACCACACCTGGCTAATTTTGTATTTTTAGTAGAGGTGGGGTTTCTCCATGTTGGTCAGGTTGGTCATGAACTGCCGACCTCAGGTGATCCGCCCACCTCAGCCTCCTGGGATTACAGGCGTGAGCCACTGCACCTGGCCGAGAATTGGAATTTTTAAACTGTGTTTGCAAGGCCTAATTCCCAAACCCACATAGTTTGTGTATGGGTATACGCTCACCCTCAAAAAGGAAATATTTTTTGTAAAATTTGAGCAGTTAAACATTTTTTTCTGCCTGTAATTGTAAAAGTAGCAATTAAACACTATCTACTTGGGGACGAGAAAGGAAGAAAAATTACCCATGTTCTCGTCTGACCAATTACAGTGGCTGTCTTTTTTTTGCATTTTCTTCTTTAGGCTATGGTGTTTTTACCTAGTTGGAAGTAAGGGAGTGTGGTCATTTAAAAATGTTATATCTCTTTCCATATTAGCAAATAGTTATATATACATATATATACTTTTTTTTTGTTTTTTGGTCTGTTGCCCAGGCTGGAATGCAGTCACGCAATTTCGGTTCACTGCAACCTCCGCCTCCTGGGTTGAAATGATTCTTGTACCTCAGCCTCCTGAGTAGCTGGGATTATAGGCGTGTGCTGCCATACCTGGCTAGTTTTTGTATTTTTAGTAGAGATGGGTTTCGCCATGTTGGCCAGGCTGGTTTCGAACTTCTGGACTCAAGTGATCCATCTTGCCAAAGTGCTGGGATTACAGGCATGAGCCACTGCGCCCAGCCTTGTATTTGCTATTTTTAAGGGACTGTATACATTCCATATAGTGAATGTGCACCATTTATATAGCCGCTTCCCTATTTTGGGCTATATAGGTTATCTGCAGACATTTTGAGTAATATTTTTAATATATTTTCAAAATTGTCTACTATAATTGTAGCTACTAATTGTAAAAATTTTATTGATAATTACATATTAAACATTCCTTGTTTACTTCAGCCAGATGAACAAGGTCAACATTAACAGTTACATGTGGCATAGTGCCACGGTTATTACTTGAGACTGTCACTATGACAGTTACTGCTGTTACTACTTGAGACCGTCATTATGAGACTGAGTGAAGGGGGACAAATGTAGAAATGAAAAATTAAGACAAAAGAAACTTTTAAAGGAAGAAAAAAGGGGAAGAAAAAGAGGGCTCCCTGCTTCTAGGGAGCAAAGGCAGCAGCCTAGCTTCCACAGCCCTTAGAATTTATTGGGTAGAAAGAGCAGGGGGGAGGTGATAATGACTGGTCAGCTGCTTAATTGATCACACGTTCATATTATTACGAACAGGCTTCAGATGTACCTAATCACAAGAAACTGAGCTTGGGGCGTGACTGCCTTCAGCATTCCTTCTGGGTGGCATAGGCAGTTTGTCAGTTTGCCAACATTCTGCGTTTATGAGAACAGTTTGCTGTTCACTCTTATAGCCTCCAGTGGTATACTGAGTTGATCACGACCCTCAGTCTTTCGGCCTCCAACAGTTACAAATCATGTTGATGGCATATCCCTTGATATGATATGATATGATATAAGATGCCACTTCATGTGATTTTTTTCCTTCCCAAAACCCATAGCCCCAGTCTATTCATGAATCATGCAATTTCCAGTAAACAGACATTCTACAGTGTACCTGACCAGTACTCCTTAAAATTGTCAAGGTCGTCAGAAACAAGGAAAATCTGAGAGACTGCCCGAGCCCAGAGGAGCCCAAGGAGACATGACAACTAAATATATGTAGATCCTAGAACAGAAAAGGGACGTTAGGTAAAGACTAAGGAAATCAGAATAAACCATGGATTTGAGTTAATGACAATGTATCAATATTGGTTAAGTGTAACAAAAGTGTAACAAATCCTAATAAGATGTTAATAGTAGGGGATATTGTGTGCTGGGTATATGGGAACTCTGTACTCTCTTCATATTTTCTGTAAGTCTAAGACTTCTAAAATCTAAAGTCTGTTAGTAATAAAAAATAATTCTTTGTATATTAAATTATCACTGATTTAACACCAGAAGGTAAGTGGAGAGATTTTGAAGTCTTACATCAAAGAACTTTCAAGATAGATAATAGCTTAAGAGTTATAACATGTACCCCAAAACTTAGAGTTTTATTTTTTTCCTCATACTAGGCACTTAGGATAAATTATTGAACTGTACTGTTGGCTAGAAAAACTTTGATGAAATGGGCTGACTTCCACAGTGGTGGTGGTTTTCTTTCTTTCTTTCCCATCTCCTGGGCAATCTCCACAAGAATTTGAAAAATTACTAAGGACTTGAAGCTTTTTTTTAATTAAAAAAACCACTATTGTTTATTGAGCCAAGCTCTTTGGTGGAATCTTTAAAAGGTATCCATGTGTAAAGACATTAGGTATTCAAATACAGCAACAAAAATTGCTACAGGATTAAATAGAAATTTCCCTTTGAAAACCAGGAAGAGCTTTGCCATATTGTTTCTAAGTAGGTTTGCGTTCATAACAAGCAAGATGCATTGATTTTACTTTGGCCTGAGCAAGATTCATAATTTTACTGCATACGAATCTGATGGGGGGGAGCCTCAATCTGCCACAGAACCTACTTCGGTGGTTTAATTTTTAGTAAAGGACTTTAAGCTGAGCCCTTTGTAGACTTCACTCTTTTTGTAGCCTTGGCCTTGTTACTCTGTTGAGGTTTTGGGTGGTGGGATTGGAACTAGTATACAAAACAGGCTATTCTTTTTTTGACTTTGTATGTTTGTAATAGTCGTACTTGCTTCATGTTTTTGCAAAGCTGCTAAGATTCTGTATAAAATAGGATCAGCTAAGTTATGTCGTAGTCACAAACTACCCTAAACCTCAGGAGCTTAAAGCATCAAAAGGTTAATCACTTCTTGGCCAGGCACATTGGCTCACACCTATAATACTGGCAGTTTGGGAGGCCAACACCAGAGGATTGCTTGAGCCCAGGAGTTTGAGACCAGACTGGGCAACGTGGTGATAGAGAGACCCTGCCTCTACAAAAAATAAAGAAAAATTTAGCTGGGCCTGGTGGTGTGCACATGTAGTCCCAGCTGGGAGGCTGAGGCAGGAGGATCACTTAAGCCCAGGAGTGTTTTTTGTTTGTTTGTTTCTTTTTGAGATAGAGTCTTGCTCCGTTGGTTGCCCAGGCTTGAGTGCAGTGGCGTCATCTCGGTTTGCTGCAACCTCCACCTCCCAGGTTCAAGCGATTTTCCTGCCTCTGCCTCGCAAGTAGCTGGTACTACAGGTGTGCGCCACCACGTTCTCGGTAATTTTTAGTAGAGATGGTGTTTCACCATGTTGGCCAGGCTGGTCTCAAACTCCTGATCTCAAGCAGTCTGCCCACCATGGCCTCCCAAAGTGTTGGGATTACAGGCGTGAGCCACCGTGCCCAGCCAGGAGTTTGAGGCTGCAGTGAACTATGGTTGTGCCATTGCACTCCAGCCTTGATGGCCTGGATGACAAAGTAAGGCTCTGTTTCTTTAAAAAAAAAAAAAAAATTTCCAATGTGGGTGGAGGGGGAAGTGCTTTTGCTAACTGTAGTCACTGGGGAGCCCAGCTTGATGGAAGCTCCATCCCTTACTGCATGCTTCCACGCCCATTGAGGCAGGGAAAATGCAGTGTGATGAATTGTGTTCATTGGCTTTCAGACACTTCTACCAAGAAGGGATACTTGTCATTGTACCTCATATTTCATTGACCAAAGTAAGTTACATGTCCATGCCTAATTTCAGAGGTGGCAGGGAAGTGCAGTTTCAGTGTATGCCCAGAAAGTGGAAAGTGAGAAATATTTGATGACCAATGCTGATGATTTCCAGTCCCTAACAACATCAGTTTCTACCTGGTTGGATGAAAAACGTGTGCTCATTGGGTGTACACTTCAATCTACAATTTCATTAGATGACATTTTAGAGAGGGAACAAGTATGTTTTTCATGTCATCCTTCTTTCTTATTTGTTCTTTCTTCCCACATGTCTGTGTAGACAGTACTGTAGAAGGCCTGTCGATTTCATTTTTCAAATTAAAGTATAATTTAAATACAGTAAAATTTACCTTATTTAATATCTATTTTGACAAATACATGCAGTCATATAGCCAGCACAGTCAAGGTATAGAATAGTTCCATTACCCCCCCCCCCCCTTGCAAATATCCTTTACCCTTTTATGGTCAACTTTGTCCCCCATTTCCAGCCCCTGGCAACTACTGATCTGTTTCTGTCCCTATCATTCTGCTTTTTCCAGAATGTCATAAATAGAACCATACAGTATGTAGTCTTTTGAGTCTGGTTTCTTTAACTTAATACAATGTTTGAGGGTTATCCACATCATCGTTGCATGTATCACTAGTTCATTTCTTTTTATTGCTTAGTATTTTATTGTAGGGATGTACCAAAGTTTATCTATTACCCAGTTGTGGAATTCTTGAGTTGATTGTTTCTAGTTTTGGGGAATTAAGGATGAAACCGTTATACATACTCACATAGGTTTTTGTGTGAACATAAGTTTTTGTTTTATCAGGTTAAATATATATTAGTAGGATTTCTGGATTGTCTGGTAAGGGTGTTTTTATTTTCATTTTTTTGCCCTTTCAATAGGTATGGGAGTATCTTACTGTGATTTTTTTTTTTTTTTTTTTTTTTTTTGAGACAGGATCTTGCTTATAAACCCAGGCTGGAGTGCAGTGGCGCCGTCATAGCTCGCTATAGCCTCAAGCTCCTGGGCTCAAGCAATCTTTCTGCCTTAGCCTCCTGAGTAGCTGGGACTACAAGCAGACGCCATCATACCCTGCTAATTTTAAAATTTTATTGTAGATATGGGGGTCTCCCTATGTTCCCCAGGCTGGTCTTGAACTCCTGGGCTCATGTGATCCTCTTGCCTGAGCCTCCCAAAGTGCTGGGATTACAAGTGTGAGCTGCCATATCTGGCGTTACTGTGATTTTTATTAAAAAATTTGATTGTGGTAAAGTATATGTAATAAAATTTACTTATTTTAACTATTTTTAAGTATATACTTCAGTGGCATTAAATACACCTTGTTGTGCAACCATCACCATCTTCTTGTGATTTAAATTTGCATTTCTTGAATGACTTGAACATTTAAAATTTTTTATTCCTCTTTCGGTGAGTGTGTTCAGATCTTTTGCTGATTTTTTTTCAAACCATTTTCTTTCTTTTTTTTAACTAACCCAGCACAAAGCTGATTTTTTTTTTAGTTTTCTTACTGTTGAGACCTTGATTAGTAAACTGGACAAAGAACTTGAACAGATAGTTCACAAAGAAAGAGAACTTGGTAAACTGTGGAAATGTTCAGGTTGGCAGTAATAAAACCACTTTTTAATTAGCTGCTGTACTACCTGGTTATTTTTTATCTTTATATTTCAGTAATGTATGTTTTACTCGATGGAGCAGTCTACTGTGCAAGTGGGAGAATATGATAAAGTTGGAGGAGCAGATAAATAGAATATTGACATTATGAAAAAAATAAAACATTCACGATAACCTGGTTGCTTGATGAAGGTAGTTGTGGGGAAGAAGCATGATAAGGTCAAAAGGAGAGTACTCTTGGAATTGGGAGCTAGTTTTTAATCCTCATTTGGCCCTTGGTTGATAATTACTTGGTTCTCAGTAACTGAAATAGAATTAGCTATTCTTAGATTTCCAGCCAGTTTTCTGAAAGTGTGACAGTTCAGTGATACCCTAGATCTCTTGTATACTGCCTTCTCCTTAGTCTTGTGTGGCCTTAGATGTGTTATATTACCCTACCCCTTTCAACCTCAGTTTCCCAAACTATGAGATTGGTATTGTGAGGAGTAAGTGACAGAATACATTCGGAGTGCTTAGAACTGTGTGTAGAGATGGTAGGTGTATTAGTCTGTTTTCATGCTGCTGATAAAGACATACCTGAGACTGGGCAATTTACAAAAGAAAGAGATTTATAATGGACTTACAGTTCCATGTGGCTGGGGAAGCCTCACAATCATGGTGGAGGGCAAGGAGGAGCAAGTCACAGGGATGGCAGCAGGCAAAAAGAGAGAGCAAGTGAGCTTGTGTGGGGGAACTCCTGTTTTTCAAACCATCAGATCTCATGAGACTTATTCACTATCACGAGAACAGCATTGCAAAGACTTGCCCCCATGATTCAATTACCTGGGTCCCTCCCACAACACGTGGGAATTCAAGATGAGATTTGGGTGGGGACACAGCCAAACCATATCAGTAGGTAATGAAATAAAGGGTAGTTCTTAGCTGATGTCAAAGTAACAATTGAATGTTGTGCTTTTTTATACTTTTTTTTCTTTGAGGCAGTGGCTGGTCTTTTAAAATGCCTTCATTAAAGTTTCTAGTACATTATACCAAATAGAAATTAAAAGACATGCAAGTTGCTGCTGGCTGGCATCTATAATCCCAGCTATTCAGGAGTCTGAGACAGGATGATTGCTTAAGGCCAGGAGTTTGAGACTAGCCCGGGCAACATAGTGAGACTCTATCTCCTAAAAAAGTTAGCTGAATGTGGTGGTGTGCTCCTGTAATGCCCACTCCTCATAGATATTTCAAAATAGTAATATTTATTGCTGCCAATGTGAGTAGGCCAAAAAAAAAAAAGAGAGACATAGAGACATGGAAGATCAAATGCCAATTAATTACTTAAAATTGATTTTGAGAATATGAAAACATCATTTTGGATTTTGATGTTTTCTGCTCCATAATGGAGCAGAAAATTAATTTTCATTTTCCTTATATTTGTTTTTCTCCTAAGACCCAATTGAGGGGGGAGAAAACCCATAGCATCTTAAAGATCTTTATTTTTTTATCATGTCTGTGTACTATTGTTAGTGGATATAATGCTTTATGAAATGTGGTCATTTCAGTAGTTTTATAAAATATGTTTTGATTTAAAAGCATGTAGCAATAGTGATCATTAATCCATTCATTAGAATTTTTTATACTTCATTATACAATTGACTCTGTGAAAATAGATGCTAGGGAGATTTTAAAGAGTTATTAATACTGCTTGGAAATAATAATATGTTAGAATTCCCTTTAGGATTATTTTTTTTCCCCACTTGAGACCTAACCTGTCATTGTTTTCATATAAACCAAACCACTTAAAGTAACAAATGGATTAATGCACTTGTTCTTCCTCTTGACGAACTCCTTGAAGAACAATTTTGGAAGTATTTATTAATTTGCTTTAAAATAACAACACTCATTATGTGTTAATATAAATACTGTTTTTCGTGAAAATAACTATTCCAAACTCCCAAAATTGATGAGGAAAGTGGATTTGTTTTATATTTGCCAATCTCTTTAATACCTATTTTAATGAGAAGCAGCTGGGTCTTTTCATCTCTAGCTGCATTCATTCTATTATCTCATGTAGCCTCTAGAAAATACCACTGCAAACTGGCAAGACAATAAGTGAAAAAGAAGTCTTAGGGGCTGGGCATGGTGGCTCATGCCTGTAATCCTAGTGCTTTGGGAGCTGAGATGGGAGGATTGCCTGAGGCCAGGAGTTAGAGGTTACAGTGAGCTATGGTGGTGTCACTGCACTCCAGCCTGGGTGACACAGCAAGACCCTGTCTCTTAAAAAAAAAAACAAAACAACAACAACAGCAACAAAAAACTTAAGTGTTACTAGGATAGTAGTTGTGTCTTTGCATTCTCTGAGTGAGAAACTTGGGATCCCAGTTCTCTTCTCTAGGCCAAGCAGAGCCCTGGGGCTTGATTTCAGAGTTGTTGGGTTTGCTTAGTATCTTGTTTGTTGGTTTGTCATTCAGAAGGACAGGGGTCTTCTGAAAAATCAGTGCCCTAATTCATGTGTGTGTCTACATCCTTCTAAGTGGAGATCCATGTCTCTCTCCCCACTCCACCTGTCCTGTTCCACCATTCGCTAGCTGGCCATCCACTTGGAGTCAGCAGTGCTTCCTGTGGTGAGTGTGCCCTGGAGTTTGCCACTGCTTTGGTCCTGACCACAGCTTTCTCAGGCCACGCAGGGCTAGGTTGTCTAGGTGGCAGTGTTTTGTATCATGGAATGAGCCCACCAAGTGACCAATTGCTGTACCCACGTGGATGTCACTCCACCTGTTGTCCTTGCCTCTCACAGGCAGCAATGTGCCAGCAGGACTGTCTTTGCCATACCCCAGGCCATAGTCAATGGCCGACCCGTCACGATGTTCCTGGAGGGCAGCGTCCCACGGGTGGGACACCCTTTGTCATGCTGTGGCTGCTATACCCTACTTCCTACTTGCACAGCCATCTGAATGTGGGCTAGGGAGCCCAAACCCTATGCCTGAGATCTGTACATCCACACTTGCACCCACCCTCCCTGGTAGATCCTACAGTAGTAGCACATGCCAGTTTCAAAAGTTAATCCACAGTATTGTTGTGAATGGCTGGATGAGGGTTCAGCTCCTATATAGATAACTGGTTATTGTAGGACTGATCCGCACCTGTGGCTTCAGTGACTCTGGTGATTCTAGGTAACCTAGATCAATCACATTTTCTCCCCACCCCCACCATGGCCCTGTCACTCTTAGGTGGCAGTTGTAGTGCCTACTGAGGCGACCACTGTGACCAAGAATCTTAATAATAGGGAATCTCAATTTGATTCTGCAGAGAGAGAGCCTGATAAATTAATACCCTATCTAAAGAATGCAGCAGGCGCACAAATTACCCACTCCCAACCCTGGAGGATAATGATTAAAACAATATAGAACTCTTTCAAGGCCCTGTAGTTGGAAAGAGTCCAGTTTAAATCCTTTAAAGAGGATCTATTGCAGGGCAAGCCTGGTGCTGGCAGCCACGGTAATCCCACTTTCAATGTGGTGTGCTGAATTCCTGGCAGTTAAAATGCTTGTTTTTGGATCTTAACGTGCTGCCGGGGTCCATTGCAAGAAAGTCCATGCCTCTTGTCTTTTTGGTACCTTACGGGCTCTTCTTCCCTGAGTTTCCCTGGAGCTGAAGTGTGCACTTGAAGAAAATTAGTGTTCAAAGTAGCGTGGGCTGCCTGGATACTGCTGGTGGGAATCATGGAATGGGAGCGTGGTTCTATTTTGTTTGTGTTGGAACTTTGAGGAAGCTTATTAAGCAGGGCAGTTGGGGCATTAGTATTGCACCGCTAGGACTCAAATTCTGGGCCAGTAATAAGACTGATCAGAGTGAAAGTTTTTGCCAAGGATGTTTTCATTAACCAAGAATGAAGGTGAAAGTGGGAAGTTTAAAGATGTTCAGGTCCTGTGTAGTTACGAACATAAATGTGATGTTGACCACTGCATTAATGCCCATGACCCACTAGCAGCTTCCAGGAAACCAGAGCCCTTTGGGTCGTGGTAGGGGGAAGGTCTGTGTTCATAGCTGAAACTGAAAGGCAACAGCAATAGAGACAGCTTAATTTGACTGAACATGAGCAACCTTACCTGCTTCCAGCACAGACAGGATTGTCCCATTGATAGTTATTCTGTGGGTGGGGGTGCATGGCTTTTCTACTTGATGAAGAGATTTTGAGAGGTGACAGCATGCTGGCAGTCCTCACAGCCCTCGCTTGCTCTCGGCGCCTCCTCTGCCTGGGCTCCCACTTTGGCGGCACTTGAGGAGCCCTTCAGCCCACCACTGCACTGTGGGAGCCCCTTTCTGGCCTGGCCAAGGCCAGAACTGGCTCCCTCAGCTTGCAGGGAGGTGTGGAGGGAGAGGCGCGAGCGGGAACTGGGGCTGCGTGCAGCGCTTGCGGGCCAGCTGGAGTTCCGGGTGGGCATGGGCTTGGTGGGCCTGCACTCGGAGCAGCCGGCCGGCCCTGCCGGCCCAGGCAGTGAGAGACTTGGCACCCGGGCCAGCGGCTGCAGAGGGTGTACTGGGTCCCCCAGCAGTGCCGGCCCACCGGCGCTGTGCTCGATTTCTTGCCGGGCCTTAGCTGCCTTCCCGCTGGGCAGGGCTCGGGACCTGCAGCCCGCCATGCCTGAGCCTCCCACCCACTCCATGGGCTCCTGTGCGGCCCGAGCCTCCCCGACGAGCACCACCCTCTGCTCCACGGCGCCCAGTCCCATCGACCACCCAAGGGCTGAGGAGTGCCAGCGCATGGCGCGGGACTGGCAGGCAGCTCCACCTGCAGCCCGGGTGCGGGATCCACTAGGTGAAGCCAGCTGGGCTCCTGAGTCTGGTGGGGACGTGGAGAGTCTTTATGTCTAGCTCAGGGACTGCAAACACACCAATCAGCACCCTGTGTGTTTAGCTCAAGGTTTGTGAGTGCACCAGTTGACACTCTGTATCTAGCTGCTCTGGTGGAGCCTTGGAGAACCTTTATGTCTAGCTCAGGGATTGTAAATACACCAATCGGCACTCTGTATCTAGCTCAAGGTTTGTAAACACACCAATCAGCACCCTGTGTTTAGCTCAAGGTTTGTGAGTGCACCAATCTACACTCTATCTAGCTGCTCTGGTGGGGCCTTGGAGAACTTTTGTGTCAATACTCTGTATCTAACTAATCTGATGGGGACGTGGAGAACCTTTGTATCTAGCTCAGGGATTGTAAATGTACCAATCAGCACCCTGTCAAAACAGGCCACTCGGCTCTACCAATCAGCAGGATGTGGGTGGGGCCAGATAAGAGAATAAAAGCAGGCTGCCGGAGCCAGCAGTGGCAAGCTGCTCGGGTCCCCTTCCACACTGTGGAAGCTTTGTTCTTTCACTTTTTGCAATAAATCTTGCTACTGCTCACTCTTTGGGTCCACACTGCTTTTATGAGCTGTAACACTCACCGTGAAGATCTGCAGTTTCTCTCCTGAAGCCAGCGAGACCACGAGCCCACCAGAAGGAACGAACAACTCCAGACGCGCTGCCTTAAGAGCTGTAACACTCACCGCGAGGGTCTGCAGCTTCACTCCTGAGCCAGCGAGACCACGAACCCACCAGAAGGAAGAAACTCCGAACACGTCCGAACATCAGAAGGAACAAACTCCAGACGCGACACCTTAAGAGCTGTAACACTCACCGCGAGGGTCCGCGGCTTCATTCTTGAAGTCAGTGAGACCAAGAACCCACTAATTCCGGACACAATTTGACTGGTAGTTAATCAATAACCAGGGAGATTAGCGTGCTAACCAGTTAGGTGAGCATTCGGCATCTCCCAATTTAGACAAATGGCATTCAGCCATCTGAGATTGAGCAGTTAGGCTCTGGATTGCCCAGCTGGTTAGCACACAGATAGATCTCTCCACCAGCCTAGAAAAGGCATGCACCCCACTCACAGAAGAGTAGCCACAGGCCTGTGATGCTCTTAAATGCCTGTAACCACGCACCACACTGCTCTCGGCATGTGCTCACTTGAATCCGATGGATGTCAGAGACCCGTTAAGTGCATTAGTGATGGGGATCGGGATTGTAGTAAGTCGTCGTTAAGGAAGAATTTCCCGTGAGAGATTAGGCTGAAAGTGTGCATTAAGTTTCTGCCCATTCTCCCTCCGATAGGCCACTAGGGATTGGCTCTTGGCCCTGACAGATAGCTGAGAACGGTCTAAAATAAAAGTTATAACCAGGGTTCCCTAAGTGGACCCGGGTAGGAGCTTTAGAGCGAGAGTGCGAAGGATCCGTCGCGGTTCCTCTGCCGTCGTGCTGCTTTGGGGCCACTCCAGGCAGAAGACAGACAAATATGCCCCTAGAGTCTTGTAGTGCTGGGCATGAGGGGTGGGCTGCGGTCCAAGGACCCCTTAGCGCTGTCCCTTCTGCTTAAGGTGGCTTCCGGCTCATCTCTCTGTGGCCTGGTGCTTTTGTGGCTTTGGGGTATCCCCTCCCCCCACCAGCCCTTAAAGTGTGTGTATGTGTGTGTGTTTCTGGGTCTGCCTACCTTGCACTCTTGTGGGGTGGGGTGACATGAAAAGCTTGTCTTCTAACTGCTGTTATTGTGGTGAGTCCTCACATGTGTTTTGTGGAGTTTAGGCTGTTAGGACTTTAAACCGTTAAATTGTTAAGACTGGAGTTTAAAACTGTTAGGACGCTAATGGTGACCTGATTTTACATATTTTTATTATTTGTTGTGGAGAGCGCAGTTTTGAATAAAACCATCTGTTTCTCTTATTTTCGACTTTGATTTATTTAAAATCTGTCATACGAAGGAACAACTTAACTTTTAATACATTATTTAGGAATTTTTTAGTTTTAGATAAACACTTGAATAGCAACTTAATCACAACTTTCAGTTCTCCGTACTATTAATGTTTTGTCAAGTGATAGATTCTTGCTTTAATGTCCAATATTTTGGTTTATGCTTGTTTCTTGCTTTTTTAAAAAAGTTATAACCAAAGGAAATTCAATTTTCCTTTTTCATTGGCAGACATATGTAGAGTGTGTCGGTCAGAAGGAACACCTGAGAAACCGCTTTATCATCCTTGTGTATGTACTGGCAGTATTAAGTTTATCCATCAAGAATGGTAAGTCATACTTTTAGAAAGTTATGTAAGTCTGAGCTTCAGTTTCGTCATGTATACAGTAACAGGGATCATTTCAATGTACTTTCTCTGTAATTATTTTTAAAAGTTTTATTGTATTTTCCTGAGCACAGGAAACTGAAAAAGCCCTTTTATTGTAAAAATTAAAAAATTTGGAAAAGAAATTATCCATTAATTCTTAATACCATGGCTGTTATTTTGGTGTATCCTCTTCCAGGTACACGTAATTACCCATTGTTTATTTCTACCATGGAGAGCTTATTTTGTCCTCTGAAAGTGTTATGATTTTCTAGTTTTGCTTGGCATAATAGTAGCTTACATTTATGAAGTACTTTTTGCCAAGAACTGTTCTTAGTGGTTTGTACATCTCAACTCATTTTTAATCCTTATAAGAAAATTGTGATGAGGTGGAGTATTATTATTATGCAGATGAGGAAATTGAAGCATGGGAAGGCTAGATAACTTGTCCTTGGCCACATAGCCAGCCAGTTAGTGGCAGAACCAGGATTCAGACCTAGCTACCAGGTACCAGTATTATCAGACCAGGATTAAAACTGATGTTGATGCTTAGAGATTCTTTCATGTTCATTTTGCTTTGAGGAAATTACAGTTTTGATTAATTGAACCTTTTTTAATGGTAGAAAAATGTGTTGTTTTTATCTCTAGCTGTTGTAGTTTTTCATTCTTAGAAGGCAGTTACAAAAAGTTAAGAATATTCTAAATTTGAAAATTTTGAAACTAAAAGCTCTGTGATATATACATTTTTAATAAAAACAATGTTTTCGACAAAACTGTAATGTTTCTTTGCTGTAAACACTGTACTTATGAATCTATTTATAATTACAGCTTAGTTCAATGGCTGAAACACAGTCGAAAAGAATACTGTGAATTATGCAAGCACAGATTTGCTTTTACACCAAGTAAGTTCTTTAGACATTTTCACTGCATTTTTTTTGGTTATCACTCGTGGCATAAAGGTGTTTGATATGATCAGTTGACAGAGGAAGGGGGATAAAAGTGCTTAAGCACTTTAAAGCAATTATTTTCAGCTTGATTTTTTTTGATAGTAATAGGAAGTATTGATATTTAGGAAAATATTTTGAAAAACTGTATGCTGTCTTTTATCACACACATGTTTGAGATTTGTGGGGTGTTTTTTTTTGTCTTTAAAATTTATTTACTTTTAATTGTAGACAGGTTCGAACACATGCAAAAATCTAACAAGTCCACATGAACCCATCACTTAGTGTCAACTCATAGCCTGTCTTGTTTTACATACACTCTTGTTCCCTGCCTCTTTATCCTTTTATTTTTTTCTCTATTATTTAAAAAATAATTCTACCATTTGTAATTTCATCTGTACATACTTCAGTATGTATCTCTAAAAGGTAAGGGTTCTTTTTCAAAAACGTAACTATAATACCATTATCCACCTAGAAAAATAAACAATGATGCCTTGATTTCATCAAATATTCAGTACTCTTCAAATTTGGACTACATTTTGAGTTAAAGTTGTATAGGTTAGAATAATAGTCATAAAGATAAAGCTTTTTTTTTTTTTGAGACAGAATCTCGCTCTGTTCTGTTGCCCAGGCTGGAGGGCAATGGCGTGATTTCAGCTCACTGCAAGCTCCGCCTCCCGGGTTCACGCCATTCTCCTGCCTCAGCCTCCCGAGTAGCTGGGACTACAGGTGCCCACCACCACACCTGGCTAATTTTTTTGTATTTTTAGTAGAGACGGGGTTTCACCATGTTAGCCAGGATGGTCTCGATCTCCTGACCTCATGATCTGCCTGCCTCAGCCTCCCAAAGTGCTAGGATTACAGGCGTGAGCCACCGCGCCCAGCAAGCTTTTTTTAAAAAAATAATAAAAAATAGAGAGAGGGTCTCACTATATTGCCCAGGTTGTTCTTGAACTCCTGGCCTCAAGCAATTCTCCTGTCACAGCTTCCCAAAGTGTTGGGATTACAGGCTTGAGCCACATTGCTTGGCCAAACAAAGTTTTAAATTACCGTTTTTTTCATGAGGCTAACTTTTAAGGTCAATATTTCATAAGCCTTTATAAAATATTTTTGCAGCCTTTAAGGTTTTAACTATGATTCCTGTGCCTATTAATATTTAATATGTTTTATCTCAAATAAGTAGAGGACTGTGCTGGCAAGTTATTAAATATTTGAAGCATAATTTTTCATTCTGGGATCCCCTATATTGCCTTCCCTTACAAAGGATTTTTGTGTTTTAGTTGTGTGTGTGTGTGTGTGTGTGTGTGTGTGTGTGTGTTTAAGCATCTTGAGCTTCTCGATATAAATGCTGTAACTTAGTGTTTTACTTTGTTTTTATTTGATGAGTATAAATGATTAAAGTTATTACATTTTCACTTTTGGAGCTGTATATTCATCATAAAAAAGTCAATTCTGTTATTTTGTAGTCATTAATTTTCTGTAGTACGTAAAAGCTGTACAGCTTGTCAAGATTCATAGGAAACTAAGACTAACTAGTTGAGTATCTTCATGAAATTCAGTTGATAGGAAATATGTGGGCTTTTACTTTGAGGCCAATAGAAGCTTGTTTTGTACATTTTAATTTTCATTTGATAGTTACATTCTCTATTTCTTTTATCTTTTGCAAAAAATCTCTATTATTCCTGGTTTTAATGACTTGCTCTTGTATACCAGATATCCTATCGAAGTCAATGATCTGTGGGCATGTGCCATTAAAAGTTGCTATTTGTGGCCAGGTGCTGTGGCTCACCCCTGTAATTCCAGCACTTTGAAAGGCTGAGGCAGGCGGACCACCTGAGGTCAGGAGTTTGAGGCTAGCCTGGCCAACATGGTGGAAACCCTGTCTCTACTGAAAATACAAAAATCAGCCAGGTGTGGTGGCAGACGCCTGTAATCCCAGCTACTTGGGAGCCTGAGGCAGGAGAATCACTTGAACCTGGGAGGCGGAGTTTGCAGTGAGCTGAGATTATGCCACCGCACTCCAGCCTGGGCAACAGAGTGAGACTCTGACTCAAAAAAAAAAAAAAAAGGTGCTATTTGTCAGTTGTTTATTTCTCAATGTTTATAGGTGTGAACAGTTTTGTGATAGTGTTCTTATAAATTTTAGATCATTGCTTTTAAACCCTGATATATCATAATTTCTTGTTTTGGCCTTACTGGAGAAAGAATTGTTTGTTTTTCCTTTATGTTCTTTCCGAGCTACCTGTGGTAGAGGTTTTTGATAATAGGCAGTGGTTTTTTATTGGAACCATTTTAAAAGGGAATCCTTTTTAAATGTGGCAGAACTTTTCTTTTTCTGAATGTGTTGAGCCACATTTCTCAGAGTAGTGGGAAGATCTGAATTTATCATTTGAAATTTTAAGTATTATGCTAACATCGGGAAAGTGGCTAACAAATGTCAGTGGGATGTTTGCTCCCACATGAAATGATCTGCTGCGGACTGTTGTGCTTTTTGAGTGCTATTTAATGCTTATATTTGGGGGAGTGTTGATGGCTTGTTGTCAGCTTCATCTTTTGCTCCTGTTTGCTTTATTACATCTTTTATAGTTTGGGAAACCAGATGATTATATTGGTTGAATGTTAAAATGTGTGTAAATGGGCCTTGTATGAGGTTCATGGCTATTAGCAAGGGATGTGAACATCTATTGAATTTTTTTTTCCTGCCCAGAGGCCTTTGTTGATTTCCACGTTTCACATGTGATTTGCCTCATAAATGACTTCTTGGGTAAATGTGATATTATAACTATTTGGTTTATTTTTTTTAAATAGGAAAAAAATTAAGCACAAGGCAAATATTGGAAGTTTAGTTAATGTCTATTTTATATTTATGAATTAAGCTATTTTCGAATCTTCATGAAACTGTAAGTACTTTTTTTCCGCTTATAGTTTATTCTCCAGATATGCCTTCACGGCTTCCAATTCAAGACATATTTGCTGGACTGGTTACAAGTATTGGCACTGCAATACGATATTGGTTTCATTATACACTTGTGGCCTTTGCATGGTTGGGAGTTGTTCCTCTTACAGCATGTGAGTATTCATGCCTCTGATTGGAGTTATTTAAACATTGCATAACTACTTAATATTATAAAGCAATATTGCATCATATTATTATTTGACTGATGTTTAGTTATTTGATGTCAGAGTGTCATGTATTAGGAAAGCCTTACTTAGAAGATGTTCATCGGAACTAAGAATGAGTTTAACAGGTCAGTTTTTTGAGTGAATGTGGGAAAGAACACAGCATACAGAATGGCTAACCATGAAAGTTCATGAAAGCGTTGAAAAAATCAAATCAAATCATAATTAGATATGAAGTATGCTAGAGCTTTCAAGGGCTACAAAAGACGGCCGGGCGCGGTGGCTTATGCCTGTAATCCCAGCACTTCAGGAGGCCGAGGCAGGCGGATCACGAGGTCAGGAGTTTGAGACTAGCCTGGCCAACATGGAGACTGAGGCAGGAGAATTGCTTAAACCCAGGAGGCGGAGGTTGCAGTGAACTGAGATCGCACCACTGCACTCCAGCTTGGGCAACAGAGCAAGACTTTGTCTCGCAAAAAAAAAAAAAAAAGGACTGCAAAAGATGAATTCTTTTGGGATTCTGCAACCCTCCTTTAAAAAAATACTCACATGGCCAGGCGTGGTGACTCACGCCTGTAATCCCAGCACTTTGGGAGGCCGAGGTGGGAGCATCACTTGAGGTCAGGAGTTTGAGTCCAGCTGACCAACAAGGTGAAACCCTAGCTCTACTGAAAATACAAAAATTAGCCGGGTGTGGTGGTGTGTGCCTGTAATCTCAGCTACTCAGGAGGCTGAGACAGGAGAATCACTTGAACCTGGGAGGCAGAGGTTTCAGTGAGCTGAGATCATGCCACTGCATTCCAGCCTGGGCAACGGAGTGAGACTTTGCCTCAATAAAATACAAATAAAATTTAAAAATACTCATACATGTAATGGTCATAAATAATTGGGAGGCTTATCTTTCAGATATAGGAGGCTCTTTGGGAGGGTGGTATACTAATCAACCCCCCTAATCAATCCAAAGAATCCTCTTGGATTCTTTGTTGTTCTTATAGACATGGAGAGAAGTACATAGTATATGGGAGGCAGAGTATATAGATAAGATTCATTAGAGTTAAACTAAATGTTTAATTAGTATAATTGATATCTTCATGTCTCCTTAAAATATGATAAAATAATCTTGATTACCTATGGAAATGAAATTCTTGGAAGATACCAACTAGCAGAATATAGGTACTGTTGAAGAGTGAGTTAGCTAGAAAATGTATCAAGGAATTCTCCCAGGATGAAACTCAGAGGGACAAATAGTTACAAGTATGAGAAATAAATATTGACAAATGGAGGCTAGTCTAGTCTGTCTAGTAAGTAGTTCCACAAGGTAAAAGAGATAATGGAGATGAGGAAACAATTGGTGTCTTTTAGATTGAACGAGAAAGCTGACCATGGTAAAGGAAAAGTCTCATGAACCTAGACATATTCTCAAGTTTTCTGGAGCTGGGTAGGGTGGCGATGGTGATAGAGGTATAGAGATTGTATGCTTCCAGATTATCCTACAAAGTAAAGAAAATCAGAGTGGCATCAGACTTAAAATTAGCAATGTTGAATGCTAGAAGACAATGGAAACTCAAAATTTGATGTTTTTGAACCTAAAATTCCCTTTCTGCAAATTACTCTCAGATTGAAGGACAAACTACAGATGTTTCAATGGATGTGAGGGATTGGAAAGTTTACTACCTTAAACCTTTTTGAAAAAACAGGATATACTTTACTAAATGAGCAAGGAATCAGAGAGAAAGATGTGAGATACAAAGAAGTGTTTCATATAGCTAAGTCTCAATTGTTAATCTGCAATAATTAATAGTTTTTGGGTAACAGCCTGGAACTAAAATTCCAGATGATCTTAACGTGGGAGAAATTGTGACGGGAAGATAGAAATTAAAGCTTTTAAAATTGCTTATCTCATTTGTGGGGAGATTATAGATGTTCTAGATGTAGGTAGAAAAATACAGCATAACTGTGCATTAAAAATGTGGACTAGACTTATAACTACCCAGAACTGGACTCAAAACTACATTGTTACATTATTAATGACAAAAGTGCCACCACAGATCGGTGGCAAAAAGATGGTCTTTTCAGTAAATGGTATGGCAGCAATCAGATGGCCGTACAGAAAAAAAGAATCATATCATTACCTCAACCTAACACAGAAATTAATTTGAGATGAATTTAAAAGCCTGAATGTGAAAGTTAAAAAGAAACTTCTAAAATAAAATACAGGAGAATAAGCATAAAACAAAATATTAGTAAATTGAACATAATTAAAGTTAAAAACTTCTCTTCATCCTTAGACACTTTTAAGAATAAAAGGCAATTGAATTCTGGCACTCAAAAAAAAAAAGAAAATTGAAAGCCATGGAGTGAGAGAAGATATTTGCAGTACCCATAGCCAACAAAGGACTTGTATCTAGAGTATATAAATCAATAACAAAAAGGCAAACACATCCCAATTAAGCAGTGGACAGAATTTTGAACAGGTATTTCTGGAAAAATAGCTAAATATACTAAGCTCTCCGTATCTGTGGGTTCTGCAATGCTGACTGTAGAATGTGAGCATCTGTTTATTTTGTTATTGAGGAGAGTCCTGGAACCCATTCCCCATGGATACCAAGGGATGACAGTAGCCAATAAACACATGAAAAACTGCTCAGCATCATTAGAGAAATGCACAAGGAGGGTGACTAAAAATAAAAAGAGTAGACAGTGCCAAATGTTGCTCAGGACATAGAGCATCTGGAACACGTATACAGTGATCAAGGGGGAGCGCATATGTTATAACCACTTTAGAAAACTGGCAGTATCTACTGATGCTAAATATTACAAATACCTTATGATCTAGCAGTTCCATTCTTGGGAATATAACTAACAGAACAAGAACTTTCTGTTCACTAAAGGACATATGTATAAGAATGACCACAGCAGTTTTATTAATAGTACTTAAAAACTGATATCAGTCAAATGCCTATTAATAGTAGAATGGATACATCGTGGTTTATTCATGCAACGGAATACTACATAGCAGTGAAAAAAGAGCTAACTATTGTGACATGGAATAACATGGATTAATTTTGCTTCTTTGACAAAAACAAGCCAGGCACAAAATCGTATGATTGCATGTGTGTGAAATTTTAAAACAGGTTACATTCATCTATAGTGGTAGAGATCTGAATAGTGGTTACCTTTTGCAGGGGCTGTTGCCTGGGAAGAAGCTTGAGGGAGCCTTCTGGGGAGCTGGAAGTGTTGAACATCTTGATTTGGGTGGTAGTTACCAAAGATATACATATTTTAAGAATTCACCCATCTGTACACTTAAGATTTATGTAAAATATACTTTAATAAAGACATAACAAAACTCAAGGGCAAGTGCTAGAAGAATAGAAATAGGATGAGTGGGAAACAGCAAATAAAATTTGGAAATTTCAAACAAAGGCAGGAAAGAAAGGAAGGGAATGCAGAGGAAGGAAGTAGGGAAATAAAATTAAATACATCTGTAATCATAAGGGTTTAGATTTCTCTGTTACGAGAGAGCTTCATAGATGTGTAGGTATAAAACTTGCACTACTACAAGAGATAAATACAAAGCAGCACAGGTTAATGCTAAAGAGATACAAAAATAGTTTTGTTAGCAAATGGCTAACAAAAAGCCAGAGCAATATTAATCAGCCAGTTATCATTCAAATGCATTAAATGGGACAAAGCATTATATTTCATATTAATAAAAGGCATAATCCACTAAGAAAATAGAATTAAAGAACTTTTATACACCAGAAAGCTGGGCCTTGAAATATGTAAAGCATTCACAGTCATAGTGAAAGACTTAACATGCCTCTTTGAAATCAGTAGATGAAATAGGCAAAAGTAAGGACTTACAAGATTTAACAGTTATTAATCACAAGCTTGATTTCTGTTCTAATTTGTTTATATACAGATACACACAATTTAAATTACATCACACGATACATATTCTGTAACTTTTCTCTAGCTTAGCATCGTATCCTGGTGGTCTTTCCATGTACGTGAGTGTTGTGCTGTCTTATTTTTTTTTTTTTAGCGATACACAGCACTCTGTAGTAAGAAGGCCTGTTGCACATGAATCCATTTACCTATCTAAACATTTGGTTTGTCAGTTTTACATTGTTACAAGCATACTTGTCTGAGTATTTTATAAACATGTAAGTAATTTTTATTACAGAAAATCTTTTCCTACCTTTCCATTTTGACTTGGTTTTGAAAACAGCCATTGAAGTCACTGAAAATCTGATTGGAAGTCTCCGATACAAGGCTATATAGGGAATGCTTAAGCTAATACACAAATACTGGTTTGAAAGAAAGCCTCAGGTTTTTATTCTTGTGCCCCATTTTCAAATCTGTGGTCTGTTATCTCATTCTGTCTAGAATTCTGCTTTCCTGACTAAAAGACTTTCTGCCTTGATAGCAGTTCGTTCACCCATACTTTGTCTTTCTCTAAATGGCCAGAATTTAGAATAATTATATTCTGTATTTTAGAGGACCTGTGAATCTGTGCTTTTAAAATATTGGTTGTCAGGTTGCCATTTATGGCATTGCAGTACATACTCTACTGAAAAATTCTCTTAATTTCAAAGACTTATACCTCCAAAACTGAAACCTTTTATTGTCATGAGCAGACTTAATGAATTTTGGAATTCTAGAATTTAAAAAATTCTTTATATTATAATTTTGGAGATCTTTACTTTAGATTTTTCTTTTCAAACATCTAAGCTCATTCAATAAAAAAAAGCAACTAAACCTAGAGAGAATCTAAGTGCTAAACATGATTGTGTAACATTTACTCTTCATTGTCACTATATTTGTGCTTGACTGTGTTTTTAAAAATTTAATATTTTGAGACTTAGGCTTGTAAAGACTAAATGTTTATTTCAGTGGCATTTGTGGCGTTCCACTTTACCTCTGCTTTCTTGAGCAGCTATGTGAATTCATGATGCGAGTTGTGACTGTGTGCCATCATGCTCTTTTTCGGTAGGCCGCATCTACAAGTGCTTGTTTACTGGCTCCGTGAGCTCACTACTGACGCTGCCATTAGATATGCTGTCAACGTGAGTATTGAACCTCTGTGACGAATGTTGCATGATGTAGATGATGCTTGCTTTTTTCCTTGCATATTTATTTTATTATAATTTGTAAATTCTTTTGTTTTGAGAACAATAATTTATGTCTATTACACTAACAGTTATAGCTGCAGTAGAAGTAGCTGATAAATGTAAATGACACTTCTTTTAAAACATACCTGTTTTATGGGACTGTTTTGTAATGATGGGATGACTTTTCTTTCTTTCTTTTTTTTTTTTTTGAGATGGAGTCTTGTTCTGTTGTCCAGGCTGGAGTATAATGGTGCGATCTCGGCTCACTGCAACCTCCGCCTCCTGAGTTCAAGCGATTCTCTTGCCTCAGCCTCCAGAGTAGCTGGGATTACAGGCACTCGCCAGCATGCCTGGCTAATTTTTGTATTTTTAGTAGAGACAGGGTTTCACCATGTTGGTCACTCTGGTCTCGAACTCCTGACCTCAGGTGATCCACCCGCTTCGGGCTCCCAAAGTGCTGGGATTACAGGCGTGAGCCACCGCGCCCGTCCGGGATGACTTTTTAAATAGGCTGTCACGCAGTTTGAGATACATACTACTGTCTTATGTTCACAAAAGTTTTTTTGTTTTGTTTTTTTAAATGGAGCCTCGCTCTATTACCTGGGGTAGGGTGCAGTGGTGTGATCTCTGCTCACTGCAACTTCTGCCTTCTGGGTCTCCTACTTCAGCCTCCTGAATAGCTGGGATTACAAGCATGTGGCAGCAAGCCAGGCTAATATTTTGTATTTTTAGTAGAGATGGGGTTTCACCATGTTAGCCAGGCTCGTCTCAAACTCCTAACCTCAAGTAATCTGCCTGCCTCGGCCTCTCAAAGTGCTGGGGTTACAGGCATGAGTCACTGTGCTTGCCCAAGAGTTCGTTTTAACATGTGTTTTTAACATACACATTTGAACTCAAATTTATTTTTTAAATGTTTTCCATGATTATTAGAATATAAATGCTAAGAACTTGCCTGTAGTTACTTTACTATATCTTGATATTAAGCATTGTTGCTTGCCTTATATTGGCAGGCTTCTTTTTCCCTCTCACCTGATAGGCTTGAGGGTCACCTGAATTGCTTTCATTAGACTACTCATTGACTCCAGAGGACCACTGGAAGCCTAGTGGGGCTAGTCAAAATAAATTATAAACATGGCTTGGTTTTAGCTGTCTTTTACAGTTTGAAAAATTGAGCCAGTTTTTCTGATAGCAGTTGTGACCAAACTACTTTTTTTCTGAGTAATGTTTTACACTCTCTATAGAATTTTTTTTCTGTGAAATTTTACTTTAAATTTCCTTAATGTCTTACCAGTTTCTATGTATTCTGTAGCTCAGTAATTGAGGTCATGTCTAGGTGCACTGTATCAGTTATCTATTGCTGCAAAACAAACTGTCCCAAACCTTAGTGGCTTAAAACAGCTACCATTTTATTTGCTTATAATTCTGGGGTCAGCAGTTTGGGCTGGGCTCAGCTGAGCTTTTCATCTATTGGGCTTGCCTAGGTCACTCAGCTGTTTTACTGGGACTTAATGATCTAAGATGGTTTGTCTGAGATGCCTTGGTTCTTCTCTTTGTGGCCTCTTATCTTCTAAAAGGCTAGTAGGGCTTCTTTACATGGTAGTCTCAGGGCAGCATTCTAAAAGGGCAAGAGAAGAAGCTTGCAGGCCCTCCTCTGGGCTCTGGAACTTGGGCAGCATCGCCTCTGTCCAGGATTCACAAAACCAGCCCAGATTAAAGGAGTAAGGAAAAAGGACTCCAGAGTTTGTCACCAAATGTTTAAAATCTGTAACAAACAGTTAGGATTATTGCTGATAGCAAGGAAGATGTAAAGGGGATATTTTGGTCCCAACCTTTCAGAATTTAGTAGCCTGGAGAGTTCCTTACTAAGGTGGTAGTTAGGATTCCTCTTTTGATTCAGGACATATTGCAGACTATATTTTCCTAGAGGCCATACCAGTTTAGTTTAAGTTTGGAGCTGCTGGGTCAAGGTCTACCAGATTGACCCTTCTCAGGTTTTCTATGGAGGAAAAAAGTGATTCCATTAAAATAATGGATTTTCCAATGGCTAAGAGTCCAGAGGCTTTTGAGTTATCTGTGAATAATTCTGAAATCATAAACATGGACTAGGGAAGGAAAGATAAGCCTCTTAAGAAAGGAAAAGGACAAAATGGTCTTCAGTATCATGATATTTGATGCATTTTCTTGTATGATTACTAAAGGAACCATACTTTGCCTTTCTGAATTTGTTGAGAAACTAATACACTTTTGGTATGATTGCAGTTAGCATCAAAACTTGGTTTGCTTTCTAAATGAAAAATTTCTTTTTTTTTGAGATGGAGTCTCACTCTGTACCCATGCTGGAGTGCGGTGGCTCAATCTTGGCTTACTGCAACCCCCCGCCTCCTGGGTTCAAGCGATTATCCTGCCTCAGCCTCCCGAGTAGCTGGAATTATAGGTGCACACCATCATGCCTGGCTAATTTTTGTATTTTTAGTACAGATGGGGTTTCACCATGTTGGCCAGGCTGGTCTCAACTCCTGACCTCAAGTGATCCACCTGCCTTGGCCTCCCAAAGTGCTGGGATTACAGGCATGAGCTACTGCACCTGGCCAAGTGACAAACTTCTATAAAATTTATAATAGACCTCTTTGTCTTACATATGGCATACTGAATATCTCTCAACCTTCATTTCTTTATGTTGTCATTAGACTTATCTGGAGGAGCTTCTCCTCTTTTCTGATTTGATGATTCTATTAATTTGTGTGGGTTCAGGTGTCAGCTAATCAAGTTTTTAAACATGTGTAAAATAAAGATACAGAAACTCTTAGAGTTGGACAGAGTTTTTAACCTTTGGTAAATTACATAAATTTAATGCATGGCCTTTGTCAAGTGTTAGACTGCTTTTGTCTTTTTTTGCGTGCTGCCTTTCTGTTTCTAGGCCATTTTCAAAAGATAGGCTATGGATAGGTAATTTCCATATAGTTCTGATGGTATTTGATGCCTAAATAAAATACATAATACAAGTATGTAAATATGTATAGGTTCTCTTGCAAGTAGAATTTCACCATAATCACAAATAGTTCTTTTGGAGAAACTTGAGATTTTCATCCAAAAAATTATGATTTATTCTTCTGGCTGTTTTTTTTTTTTCTGAGACTTTAGTATAAGAAAATTTTTTACCTTTGTTTTCCTAATTTTAAGTCTTCTTTGGAGTAATTATATGTACTTTTTTTTTTAATAGGGAAAATTTGTTGGCAGATTGTTTGCAGGGTTGTTTTGTGGTGACGTGCACACTGTGTGCATTCATCAGCCTGGTGTGGTTGAGAGAGCAGATAGTCCATGGGGGAGCACCAATTTGGTTGGAGCATGCTGCCCCACCGTTCAATGCTGCGGGGCATCACCAAAATGAGGTAACTCCCCTACCCCAAAATTGATTTTACTTAGGTAGGTCATGAGAATTATTGTTTCTCTCTGAGACTCAAACTCTTGACTTCCATGTCCCTCATAAACATTCTTTTGTTATTACAAAGGAGGGCAGCGGAAAGGTTTGGGTGAAGATGAAGAGAGATGTGAAAAATCAAGAAAGTGGTATTACGACTTTGCCTCTTAATTTTCTAGTTAGAGTGGGAACAGCGTTGGGGGGTATACTGAAGTCCATGTACACAGTCTTACCCACTGAGCAGAAATTTGAAAACATTTCCTCAAGTGTTTGATGACAGAGCATGTATGTATATATGTATGTACATTTTTTTAAAAATGTATTTTCATCCCTGATGCTGTCAATAAAGACAAAGGCTGTCTTATAAAAAGGACTACAGAATGTTTTTAAGAGAGCCAGATTTGTTAACCATTTTCTATAATGCTTTGTGAACTGTTAATCCGCTAAATTATACTGAATGAATATGTACACGTGTTATGAAGTGAGGTTGTGTTCTTATATACTAAAATTGATCCCACATCAGATACATTTAAAAAAGATGTCTTTGAAAGGTTTTGTTTTTAAAAAGAATTTAGTAGAGTTTATATTTGTTTTCTAGTTTTTTGTTTGTTTTGGTTTTTTGAGATTGGCTCTTGCTCTGTCACTCAGGCTGGAGGGCAGTGGCATGATCACACCTAACTGCAGCCTCACAACCTCTGGGCTCAAGAGATCCTCCTTCCTCAGCCTCCTGAGTAGCTGGGACTATAGGCGCAAACCACCATGCCTGGCTAACTTTTTAATTTAAGTACAGATAGGGTCTTGCTGTGCTGGCCAGGCTGGTCTTGAACTCTTGAGCTCAAGCAATCTGCCTGCCTCAGCCTCCCAAAGTGCTAGGATTACAGGCATGAGCCACTACACCTGGCCTAGGTTTTTTTTTTTTTTTTTTTTTTTTTTTTAGCAGGAATAATGTGATTTGGAAACAGAGCAAAACAGACAAGTGGATCTAAATTTCTGGGCTTTTCTGTGATTTTAGGCTCCAGCAGGAGGAAATGGTGCAGAAAATGTTGCTGCTGATCAGCCTGCTAACCCACCAGCTGAGAACGCAGTGGTGGGGGAAAACCCTGATGCCCAGGATGACCAGGCAGAAGAGGAGGAGGAGGACAATGAGGAGGAAGATGACGCTGGTGTGGAGGATGCGGCAGATGCTAATAACGGAGCCCAGGGTAATGGCTGCTTGTGTGTCCTCACTCTTCAGCACTGCAAATCTGTTCTCAACTTGCATTGAGGAAAAGGGCTGGCGTTTTCAAATTTTTAATGTTGTGAAGTTCTATTTCTAACTTATTTTTACTTTATTTTGGCAAACTGGCATTTATGGATGTACATATGCATAAATATGTTTTTTTCTATGAAACAGGGCATGTTTTGTGTTTTAAAATCCTTTTTACACAGGCCTTTTTTTTTTTTTTGGGAGACTGAGTCTCGCTCTGTCGCCCAGGCTGGAGTGCAGTGGCGCTATCTCGGCTCACTGCAAGCTCCGCCTCCTGGGTTCACGCCATTCTCCGGCCTCAGCCTCCCGAGTAGCTGGGACAACAGGCGCTCGCCACCACGCCCGGCTAATATTTTGTATTTTTAGTAGAGACGGGGTTTCACCGTGTTACCAGTATGGTCTCGATCTCCTGACCTTGTGAGCCGCCCATCTCGGCCTCCAAAGTGCTGGGATTACAGGCGTGAGCCACTGCGCCCGGCCTACACAGGACTTTTTTAATAGGATAGATAGGAAGAAACTATTTTTTAAGTTGGATTAGGTACTACTTTTTTTAAATAAAGGACTTTGATACAGATTCACCTCATTCATTTGCTTCTCTCTTTCCATGTCCCTTGAGTCAGTGCAATTTCTAAGATTGAAAAAGAATCTTGAAGTTTATACTGCAGACAAGATGCCATCTAAATAAATCAACGTCTCGTTTTCTAGCAGTGTAAACTCTAGAATGTAAAATAAGATCCAAGACAGGAGATGGGTAGATCACCTGAGGTCAGGAGTTTGAGACCAGCTTGGCCAACATGGTGAAACCCCATCTCTCCTAAAAATACAAAAATTAGCTGGGTGTGGTGGCGCACGCCTGTAATCCCATCTACTTGGGAGGCTGAGATAGGAGAATCACTTGAACCCAGGAGGCAGAGGTTGCAGGGAGCTGAGATCATGCCACTGCACTCCAGCCTGGGTGACACAGCAAGATTCCGTCTCAAGAAAAAAAAAAAAAGATCCAAGACAGGGTCTACCAGTCAGCTGTTGGTCACTCACTTCCCCTCCTCCCTCCCACCACAGTTTTCCTGTCAAGCTTTGCACTATCTCTAGTTCTACTTGGCAGCCTGATATTTTTGTGTCTCTTTGTGTCACGTACTCTGTTAGACACTGAGCATATAACTGTGACCAAAACATTAGGCTGCTGCATTCCTGGAGTTTCTGGTTTAGTGAAAAAGTAGGAAATACACGTCATGATGAGTGTTGTGCGGGTTGCTCTGAGGATGCTGTTGGGGAGAGACCTATTAATTTACCTTTTTTTTTGAGACAAGGTTTTGCCTTTGAGCCAAGGTCACCTGGGAGGGAGTACAGTGGCAGGAACACAGCTCACTGCAGCCTTGACCTTTTGGGCTCAAGTGATCCTCCCACCTCAGCTCCCCAAGTAGCTGGGACCACAGATGTGTGCCATCATGCCCAGCTAATTTAGTTTTTGTTTTTGTTTTCTTGGTAGAGATGGGTTCTCCCTGTTGTCCTGGCTGGTCTTGAACTCCTGGGCTCAAGTGATCCTCCTGCCTCAGCCTCCCAAAGTGCTGAGATTATAGGCATGAGCCATTGTGCCCAGCCTAGACCTATTTTGAATAAGGTTTTCCAGGTAGCTCAGAGTACCTGGTATTTGAGCTGAGACCTCTGAAGGATGAGAAAAAGCGACTTGTGTAATGGTAACAGGGGGCCTTTGCAGGGGGAGGTCAGAGGCTCTGAGAATACAGCCTGCTGCTACCCTTGAGTCTGGCCGTTATTTCTCTCTCTTGATCTAATACAGTAGCTCCTAACTATTCTTTCTCCTTCCGTTCTTGCTCCACATAGTTCATATTACTCTGCTGCCTTTAAATCTTTTAGTAGTTTTCCCATTACTAAAGAATAAAATCCAGACTCCACATTCCTCTTGTATGATCTGATTTCTGTCTTTCTACTACCCATATCATTAGTCAGAATGTCCTTAGTTCCCTGGCTTCCTTACTTTTCTCAAATCTGCCAGATTCTTTCCTGGCTTAGAGCTATTGAATTCCTCTCTTTCAGATAACCTTATTTATTCCTTTTCTAGCATTTATCTCAATCTAGGATTACCTTACTTTATATGTATTATTTATTTATATGTATGTTTTTATTCTTATTTGTTCCCTGACAAGCAAATACTCAGTATGGAAATGTGGCTTAGCTTCTCAACAACAGCTTACAAAGTACTAAATTTTACTATTTTTAGTGCATTCTATTTTTTTTATTATTTATTATTTTTACTTCAAGTAATCTTTAAATTGCAATTATATTTTCAGATGACATGAATTGGAATGCTTTAGAATGGGACCGAGCTGCTGAAGAGCTTACATGGGAAAGAGTAAGACCTTTTTCTGTCAAGTATCCTGGTGTTTTAATCCTAAAATATATTTTAAACTTTGGTGTATTTAGATGTATACACTAATGTTATCGTTACAGTTGATGAAAAGTTACTAGAATTTTCATTCCTAGTGAAAGTTAAGTGATATATTGTTTATGGTCAAAATATTGTGATGTTGGTGGCTTTTTTTGGTCTTACAAAATCTTGCTCCATTTAGGAAATGTTTTACCTGAAATTGTGGACTTTTGAAAAACAAAATAACAATTTAAATTTAAGTAGTATTTTCATGCTTCAGTTGACAAAATAATACAGTTTTATTATGAAGTAATCTTAATTAGCTGTATATCTTGAGTAACAAATCCAAGACGGAATTGTTTTAGACTTTATAAATCATGTAATTTTGAATAAAAGGAGACCCAAAATATAAAACTCTCATTCAGAAACAGAATTTTTTTTATTTTCTGAAAATGATAGGAAGTATTGGAAAGTATAGGAAGTGGGTGAGGACTGTGTTTAAAGATATTGAAAGGAAAATGAGGCTTTTCATAAATTAGAATAGAAAGTTCTGTTGCATCTTAAATTAATGCTTATCGTTTTTGTTTATTTTAGATGCTAGGACTTGATGGATCACTAGTTTTTCTGGTAAGTAAAACTAATTTTTTTTTTTTTTTTTTGAGACGGAATCTCACTCTGTCACCCAGGCTGGACTGCAGTGGCGTGATCTTGGCTCACTGCAACCTCCGTCTCCTGGGTTCATGCCATTCTCCTGCCTCAGCTTTCCAGGTAGCTGGGACTACAGGTGCCCGCCACCATGCCCGGCTAATTTTTTGTATTTTTAGTAGAGATGGGGTTTCACCATGTTAGCCAGGATGGTCTCGATCTCCTGACCTCGTGATCTGCCCGCCTCGGCCTCCCCAAGTGCTGGGATTACAGGCGTGAGCCACCGCGCCCGGCCAAAACTAATTCTTTCTAGTAACAGAATTGGAGTTGTCTTAGTGATTCAGAAACTTCACATTTATAGTATGTAGTAAAGGTCAAGATGCCCTTTGGCTTTTAATTACTTTATATGTTGAAGATTGTATGTTTAGTGTGCTGAAAATATTGAAAAAGCATAAAGGTAATATTTTTAAAAAATTGTTAAATATTTGATTTTTAGCAAAGAAAATAAACCCCAAAGTTAATGGTAGTTAAAAAGAACTTGGTCTTCTTTTAAAGTTTCATCTTGCAGTGTTTATTGCCTGTACTGGTGGAAGCAAAGCAGTTTTCCCTATTTTCACAGTGAGACACCCCAGGCTGATGTTAGGTTTTCCTGTTTGCTGAACCCCACCTGTCTTTACCTAGGAACTTTGCCATATTAGTAAAGATTGCAAGTCTAAGGTGAGGAGCAATTCTTTAAAGAACTTGTTCTTTAAAGAAGAAATGGTGCTGTTTTCAGGTCCTGTAATATGAAGTTATTTGCCATTTGGGATTTTTAAATAGCTTAAGATGACTTTGGCTGCAGGTAGCAGAACCCCTGCTGGTTGGAACATTAATTTAACAGGAAGTCCAGAGGAAGAATGGGCTTGAGGTTGCTTGATCCATAGGCCCAACAATGTCATCAGAGACCGAGATATCTCCATCTGTCTCCTTTGCTGTCCTCAGTGTTGGCCTTCTCCTCAGGCTGGCTCCAGATGTTAACCAGAAGAGGATGTTGAATTTAGCAGTTGTGTAGGTTTTTAGGAACATATCTGGTATAATTCCACAGTTTAGTGGGAATGTGATATTAATGAGCTTCTAGTCATGGTTTGATCACAGTCAGTATAGAAAGCATTATTTGGCCACATACTGATTTATATTCCTTACCCCATCAGTTCCTCATAAATGAAGGACAGAAGTCGTTGAGGTAGTGGTGGTGACTCAAACTCATTTGAATTATTGGAAAAACCTTCGACAGGATGAATTCATTATTTTAGTAAAAAATATTTAATATGTATAGTGTGCCAGCTATTGTGCTAGGCACTGGGGAATTCAGTGCCTATGAATTCAATGCCTATGAATGAGACAGGGTCCCTGTTCTCAAAGATGCTCTATAGTGTGGTAGAGAGAAATGAACATGTAAACAAGGAATGTTTTGGAGTCTCAGTGACAAAAAGTGTGCATAGGACACAAGAGGGGCACAAAAGAGGGTTTGATTAGGTCTTTCTTAGTGGAATGGAGTTTGTCAGCAGGAGATTTTCCGCGAAGATAACAGAGGTTGAAGTATAAAATGTGTTGGGGATAGGGAAAATTTAGGAGCCCTTAAGGCAGAGAGGTTGAAAAAATTGAGCCCACATGGTGAGAAGAAATGTAGTAGTCATTCACAAACTAATTACCCTTCTTTCTGGTTGGATTTGTGGAAGATTAGGGGACCTGAACAGAGAAATCCTTTTTTTAGACAAAAGATCTTTGGACGGATCATTTAACTTGATGGTTGCGGGGAAGGTTGTGGGCATGAATGAATGGACTTGGGCAGTCTGGTCAGTGTCAGCATGGGGCATAGCTAAGGTGTGTGTAACATGGCTGAAGGAATAGGCAGATAGCTGTCGCCTTAGAGGTGACAGTATGTAACTGTGGGAGGTGACCAGATGGTCAGGTGAGACAGGACAAAGAAAGTCAGGGCACCATAGGGAGTGGAGGGACCAGAGGAGATCAAGCTAGAGTTTTCCAAAGGAGTGGTAGCCAGGCAATAGTGACCTTGTAGGTGTCAAGAAGGCAGATTGGACGTTGAAAGAAACACTGCAGTTGACGTTAACATGATGTTTACAATTAATTTGGCTTTCAAATTTTTCTCCATTTGAAATTTTTAGTGTCATTTGATTTAAATGAAATCTGGTGGTTATGAAAATCTATGTAATTTGTCGTAGATTATTTCTAAAAAGGAAGTGTTTATAAATGAATTTGTTTTTTGTACATGTAACATTTTTGAGTTTTATTAGGCTTAGTTGTATGAGCTATCTAATGAAAAATGAAAGTTACATATTATGTCTAGATTGAAATCCCAAAACAATAGAGGGAAAATTTCAATCTTAGCTGTTTTTACTATTTGGCTCTAGCTAAATAAGTGGAATAGTCCAATTAAACATACATTAAGTATGAATTGAATATGCTTTATTGATGCTTTTTTCCTTTAGGAACATGTCTTCTGGGTGGTATCTTTAAATACACTGTTCATTCTTGTTTTTGGTAAGTTGTGTTTGTGCTTTTTTTTTTTATAGTATTATGGTAGGAATTTAGTTTTGTAGGAGCCTTGTTATAGGTTTATTATTATTTTTTAACATAGAAATAAATACTAAGCAGTATATGAAAATAGTTTCAGATACAAACCCTGTATAGATAGGCCCCAGACAGACAGATACTTTCCTAAGCAGCAGTGACTGCAGTTACCTACCTATCTCTCCCTCTGTTGGGCATTTCTGGGTTTTTTTTTTGTAGAAGCTGGTTTTAGACCGACTTGAAAATATACAGTTTCCCATTTCTGGAATTAGTTTTATGCTGATTGTGTGTGCTCTTCCCTATGGTGGAATATCTTGTTTTCATCTGTCAAAATCCTGACCATTGCCTTCTAGAGATCTTGACTTGGGAGCTGTTACCAGAGCTGAGTGTAGGCTTGTGGGAAGACAGTAAGCCTTCCCCAAATGTGAGCACCCCTTAGAACCAGATTCCAGCACATACAAAATCACTTCCAAGCACTTCTGCGAGGGCAGCTGTGAGGATTCTTTGACAGCACACAATGGTCCCTTCCATTGGGACTAATTAGAGAAAGAAAGGCAAGGTTGAGGAGACACTGTTGACAGAGGTTTTTCTCCTTTCCAGAAGAGGTAAGGAAAACTAAGTTGAGTAAACCAAGGCCTTAGAATTCAGTTTCTGTATCTCTTAGGGGTGAGGACGTAGAGTCTGATGGAATGGGGTTATTGTTAGGTGTCCTATGATTTGTGTCTCAGAGACTTCAGGCAACATATCCCTATATAGGGATAATCTATGAGAAATTCCTTCCTTAGTACATGGGATTTACCCCTCAGCTCTGCTGAAGAGGATGAGTAGAGATTTCCCAAGGCTTCTTCCACCAAATTCCAAGTTATTTGCTCTGTTGAGGACTACATTGTGACGTGTAAAGCAGACGTCTTTAATAAGAAGCCATGTGGTGTAAGGGGCTTTGAATATTTGGACTGAGGATGAGACCAAAAATTGATTTCTGTGTATTATCTGTAAAAGAGGAAGATAAATTTACTTGTATTTTGTTAACAAAGTATTTCGGATACTTCCATTGATTTCTTAATTTTTAGTAGATACTCACAAAGGTGCAGATTTATTAGGATTTTTTGTTCCCTTTACATGTGGGGGTGTCTGTATGTTATCCTGCATTTATTTTTCATTATGTAAAATAATTCATATATAGACTGTGAAACTGTTATGATCTTGACTGCATTTTTTTTTTTTGAGAGAAAAAATGATCTATAGATTTAAGTCTTTACTCTTGCAGAAAAGCTTAATGCTAAATTAATGTTTGGAGAACCAGGTCACATTTAAAACATGAATTATACAAATAAGAACTCTGATTTATAGAAATCAAATCTAAGTAAAGCTTTTTCTAATCCAACCTCCTGAGCTTATATTGCGAAAAGAATTTTCTTAGTAAACTTATGTTTTATTATATAGTTAGAATCTTTTGGAATCTTTTGAAATGAAACAAGTTTTCTTCCATTAGGAACATACTTTTTCTTTTAATCATTGGGATTAAACACCCTCCTGTTTTTTTCTTGCATGGGTTGCTCTGTTGGAAGTTTTCTACAGGCAGTTTTTTGGCTCTTGTGGTCATATGCTTTGCAGAAATATAATTTGACAAAGCTGTGGTCTTCCACTAGAAGGTGACAATCCTGAGAAATTGTCCTTAATTTCAGGATGCCTTTCCATTAGTTTGTGTGTAATGGGATGGAAATTGATTGTTGCAACTGGTATTTAAGGTTAATAATTATTTAATACATCTGCTAATAGAGTTAAAACTTGCCCCTCCCAGGGGCCTAGTTGAGTCATCTTCAGACTGGGATATGAGAGCAAAATAGGCAAAATTCAACATACAGTTTTTTTCCTTACCTTATTAAATTTCTTCTGCTTTATATTACACACAATATGTTAGTAAACTAATACGTATATATAATTTATAAATAAATTTAAATATATTGGAAATACATGTTCAAAAATATTCTTACCCATGAAATAGTCAGAAAGGGTTAGAGGCCAGATCCCTAGTAGGTTCACTCTGACTTCTGTCTTCATGATTGAGTTTCCCACTCCCCTGGTAATCTACTGCGCTGTCGATTTATTTCTACCATAAAGAAAAGATAACTATATTTTATTATTAGGAATGAAGTAAAATTTAGCCAGAAAGACTTGAGGAAAAAGAAGACTATAAAAATTCTCTTGCTATAAAGGTTTTAAAAATACTTTCATACTTAGCTATAATGCCATTATCTCACCTTACAAAATTACTAGAATTTGGTATTTCCTAATAATCCATCATATTCAAACTCTCTGGGTTGTCCCTTACATACCATTTTGCAGTTGGTTTCTTTGAATGAAGACCCAAATAAGGTCCACATATTACTTTTAGTTGTTAAGTTATAAGTTATTAGTCTTTTAATCTAGAGTACTCTTCTCTTTGCTTCCCCCAACTCACCCTATTTGGCCATTGATTTGTTGCTGGGATTAGGTTAACTGTTCTTGCAGCATGTCATGTTTTACATCTGTCCATCTGCTTCCTGGATGTCCTCTGCCTTTATCCTTTGTCTCCCATATTTCTCTTAAACTGGAAGTCAGATCTAAGGGCCTTATTAGATTCAGGTTGAATACATCTGGGACAAATCCATCACTGGTCACACTGTGCCTATTAATAGTATATGTGAGGAGCTGAGATACATGATGTTGGATTATCCACTTTTATCACTGGATTCAGCTGATATCAACCTGGGCCTCTAATCTTAGGTTTTGTTTTTCCCTTTACCATTATAAAATAATCTGTTGGGAGTGATATTTTAAACAGTCATTTTTTATATTTATTGGCTGACTTTTCTGAAAGAAGAAGAAATTCTTATCAATTTGGGACTATTCAGTCAACCCAAACCTGTCTGTCCGGGGCAAGTAGGACAGATGCTCATATTTTTCCCATTAATTTTGGTTTTCAGAATAAGGAATTGGTGTATTAACTATTCACATGGGTGTGCTAACTGCTTCCAAAACATCAAAGTGTTTTCTTTGATGTTGCTTTTTCTCTTTTCGTGATTATTATTTTGGACTTTTCCTTTTTTGAGCATCATAAACTCATGGATTTGTGTATGTTCAGTGTTTTTCCATCAGTTTTGGTCATTATTCTTTTTGATGCTCATATTATCCTCTCTTTGGCCTGTTTTCACAATGGTTTCTGTGTTGATTTGGCATGGCCCTATTAGACCTTAATAGCTTTGTTGTTCTCTAGTTACAGAGAATGTCCTAGGCAGTGTATTTTTAGCCTAGTTCTGGAATCTTTCATTTCTCCAAGAAGCCCTAGTTCCTTTTAGTGGGGAATTGTAGTAGGAGTGTTCATTGTTTTGATGTCGGAGTTTTCATGGAATTTTTTCCCCCTTTTTAGCATTTTGCCCTTACCATATTGGTCATTTCTCCCTTGTTGGTTTGGGATTTGAAGAACACGTGAGTATAATACTTTTACAAAGTTACTTTCATTCATTACTCCCAAATGTGATTATTAATAAAATAGTATTCTAAAGAGTTACATCATTTCTTCATTGGCATTATGCAAGGGAATAGTTAGGCAATACCGTCTCATTCTTTTTTAAAAAAAATAACAGTGGCTCAAGAGATAGTGGTCATGTTGCCAACTAATGAAAATGTGCTCTGAAATCCAGTCAGCTGGGTGGGCCTGAGGCATACCGTGGGAAAGTTTCCCACAGGCTGATTTTCTGTCCATCTCAAGAACCTGTATGTTCTCTTCTTTCCCTTTCCCCAGGTGCCCCCTGCTGAATTTAGAAAAGTAACAATATATCAATCAATTTAAAAAGGGTAGAATATTTTGGAATGACGGGTTGTAGTGTTTTCTAGAGTGCTTTAGTTTTGACATTTTATCAGTATTTTCCAGAGGTAAATAAATTTTGGAAGGATTATTACTTCTCTGTTGGGGCCCTAGAACAATTTAGTCTTTTATGGAAAAGCTGACTATCTGGGATCATATGCTCAGTTTGTATATTTGAGATCTGAGAGATCACGTTCTGAAGTCTTCTCATATTTAGTACACCTCTGATTCTCACTAGTTGAATGCAAGAACTTGAAAGGTTCAGGTAAGTGTTTTGAAAAATTTTGACTTTCCAAACTTTTGCCACTTGCTATCTGAAACTCAGGAATCAAAAAATACCGACAGGCACTGTTACTTTCAAAATTCTTTCTATAAGTTGAGAATGGGACAGATTTGCAGAGCAAGGGAAACTTGAACAGTTACTTCTAGTGGTAGGAAATGAGGTGGCTAGGATATTACCCAGCTGGTGGGTGACTTGGGCAGTGTGTTCCTGCTTTCAGTGGTTAGCCTTTAGCAAATCTGCTTTAGAGTGAGAGTAGAGGGCAGGCTGTTGTATTACAGTGCTCTTGTTTTTGTAAAATTTAATTCACTCTACTGTTATTTTGTCTCCTTGGGTAAAGTGTTATTTAATTTTTCTTCATTTTTTAGTAATATATAACAGTCAGTGAGAGAATTTGGTTTTCAGAGATGTCATCCAAAGCAGATTTTACAGTTGTTTCCTGGTTATAAATTGTCTCAACAATTCTCTTTTAGTCATTTAGATTGTTTAATATGGGAAAACCGGGGTGTAGAACATGTTGTAAAATTAAATTTTATTTACTTTTTTCTTATTTCCAGGTCCAAGCATCTCATTTTGAAGGCCTAATCACAACCATAGTTGGGTATATACTTTTAGCAATAACACTGATAATTTGTCATGTATCCTTTAATGAACCAACTTGGGTGTACACTAATATTATTCATACCAAAGAACTCTTCATTAATGGCGAAACTTGTCTATCCTTGTCCTCTTAGTAAAAGTTGTAGGTATTTGCAGTAAGGGTCAGTGTGGACAAAATGTGAAATAAATTAATTCTGTCAAAAAATACTAAATGTTGGCTAAGTAGTTACCTGTTTCATTGTACCTTTAAATACTCAGTTTTTCCTTGACCTGATGCTGTAGGGCTTGGCAACTCTTGTGAAATTTCATAGATCTCGTCGCTTACTGGGAGTCTGCTATATTGTTGTTAAGGTAATTCCTGTTATAACTTAAAATTGGAAATGATTTCTCCTACATTTGGGTGATACTGATGACCTTTATTTTCACTTAAGGTCTCTTTGTTAGTGGTGGTAGAAATTGGAGTATTCCCTCTCATTTGTGGTTGGTGGCTGGATATCTGTTCCTTGGTAAGTTGAGTATTCATTATTGTATAATAGCATAATTTAAGGGCTTCAAAAGAGGAAGTCTTCAGCATGTATTCTTTTTAAAGGAAAGCAAATATTTGATAATTTGCTTATTCTTTTGGCATGTGTATCAGTATAGGATCTTAATGTTAATTTTTCTTGAGTACCTGAGTTTTTGAGGCTTTGTGCAAATTTTTGATGTCAGGATAGTTTGGGTGGAATCTTTCTAATAGTGGAGGATTTTATTGCCCATTTTGCTGTCGTAAATTTGTGTAGATAATGCCAAGACATTATATACATAGAGAATAATTTGATAAGGAAACTGTCTTTGTAGTAATAAATTTAACCCTAATCATTTGATTTAACTAATATGCTCAGTCTTGATTATACTCTTTAATTGCTGTTAGTGATAATCAGTTTTTGATTGTTTCAAAAATATTTTATGTGTAGAAAAGCTGCCTTTGGTTCTGAGATAACATTTACCCTCCCATACCTTACTTTTAAAACTTCTCAAGAATGCAGACCTATAACCAAGAAAATTTTTTACATTCATCAAAAATAGTTCTTTAATAGAATCAGTATTAATAAAGCTTTTACTAATTGGTTTATCATTCTTTATATTTGAAGCAGTAGCCAATCTTGTATATAGTTCTGTGACACCGTGGAATGACATTAAGTGAACTGCAGTTCTAGGAATTGTTCCTTGCATGCATATTGATTATTTATTTCCTAGAAGATGAAAATGTTAACTTGGCAAATGTAGGGGGCACAGATTTCTCTTACCTGTCCTCTTTTGTCTCAGGAAATGTTTGATGCTACTCTGAAAGATCGAGAACTGAGCTTTCAGTCGGCTCCAGGTACTACCATGTTTCTGCATTGGCTAGTGGGAATGGTATATGTCTTCTACTTTGCCTCCTTCATTCTACTACTGAGAGAGGTAAGTCCACAGGGAAATGCTGATGCTGTACATTTATAAAAAGGACTTTTGCTTTCACCACCAGTCATGTCTCAAAGGCTATGATGATTTCCTACCTAAATCATATTCTCTACTATTTTATTCTAAGAGGGAATAACTTATAGGGGACTTTGACTTAATTACTTTAAACTGTTTCAGTTGTTTGTCTCCATAATTGGCAAGTTTTAATATTTCTGTCTGAGTTTGAAAGACGATTCAACTGAGGAAAAAGATAAGAGTACTCATTTTGTCACACTTCGTATATACTTTAGCCATCCTCTAATACAGACTCTTGGAATTTTGTATGATGTGAGTGTGTCTCAGACTTCAAGGAACTGTACTGCTGGAAATAACCAAAAGGATATGGTTTTGCAGGATCAGACATGTAAAATCATTTTGATTTAGGCGCCTTAAGTATAGAATTACAATGAGGGTCCTTTATGATTCCAGTTCACTGGCCTGATGGATTACCTTTATTTATTTATTTATTTATTTATTTATTTATTTATTTATTTATTTACTTATTTACTTTTTGATACTGAGTCTTGCTCTGTTGCCCAGGCTGGAATGTAGTGCCATGATCTTGGAACCTCCACCTCCCAAGTTCAAGTGATTCTCCTGCTTGAACCTCCCAAGTAGCTGGGACTGCAGGCACCCACCACCATGCCCGGCTAATTTTTGTATTTTTAGTAGAGACAGGGTTTCACCATGTTGGCCAGGCTGTTCTTGAACTCCTGACCTCAAATGATCCACCCACCTTGGCCTCCCAAAGTGCTGGGATTACAGGTGTGAGCCACTGTGCCTGGCCTGATACCTTTATTAGTTCTATGTTTCTAATCTGGTTCTTAGTGATTTGAAGATGATGAAAGCAGTTGAGTATTTGATTAGTGTACATCTCAAGCTCAGTCATTCCCCAAATACTGAATGGTCACTGTGTGCCGGACACTATACTGCATTCTGGGGTTTCAGTGAGAAACAAAGGCACAATTCCTGTTCTCCTCGATTTTATAGCCTGAAAATGAATACAGCATTGAAAATGTTGGTTTACACGGAGACGGGTGATGGAGATGTGCAGGGTGTGGAGGACCAGGTTGACAATTCCAGTGAGAAGGGAACACAAAAGCACAAAGGCTGAATGCTGCTCTTGGTGTACTTTGTTCTTTGAAAGATTTGAGGAAGAGGAGGAGGGGTCAGGGACCAAAGCATTCTCCTGAATCATACGGTATAATTTCAGTAAATTCTCTTGGTAACTAAAGCTTTCATTCTTTCTTTGAAACAACTGATTGAGAACTAAAGCAAGTACAGAAATGTGTTTCTTAAAAATGTAATTATATGTGAACTCCAGATTACTTCATTAAGTGAATAAAATGCTTTATAATGATTTCTTTCATTTTATCAGTGTGGTGGTTTTTGTTGATATAAAATTTTAATATGTGGAACTTAGGCAGAACCTTAGAAATCACACACTGTAACCCCTTGTTTAGGAGATGGAGAATAGAAGTTTGGGCAGATTAGATGCGTTACACAGAGGGTAACTCAGTGAGTTTGGACCACATAGAACTAGTACCCAGACTCCTCCTTTACCCCATCACCTGCAGCCTCTTGGGTGATGATTTTCATTTACAGGGGGAAGGCAAATCAGACCGTCTATTTAGTACATTTATAAATTGCAACATAACCCTTTTACGATAGTAATGGTTGTATTTATTTTTCGTCTCAGAGGTCTAGATTTCTTGACACATTGGACCCAATGAATGTTTTTTTTTTCCCCCGCCCCTAGTGAATGATGATGTCAAAGGACATCATCAGACACAGGGTAGTTTTCATAAAGATTCTGGTTTAGGAACTTACTTTCCTAAGAATACCATGTACATTTTCTGGGGCCCACTTTAGATGCCAGAATAATTCTAAGTGCTTATCTTTCTGTTAATGTTTTAGCTCATATATAGAATTTGAAGACATTGGTGAATATTCATAGTATTTAAAATATATTTGCAGGTACTTCGACCTGGTGTCCTGTGGTTTCTAAGGAATTTGAATGATCCAGATTTCAATCCAGTACAGGAAATGATCCATTTGCCAATATATAGGCATCTCCGAAGATTTATTTTGTCAGTGGTAAGAAGATGTTTCCATTGTTTTTTTTTTTTGAATTAATTGTGCTAACCTATAGTTTTGTTTAGGTTTTTTTTTCCAGTTCTCAAGCAGGCTGATAGAGTATATTGAATAATATATTTATCTAAGCCTGTGGTATTCAGTTGTCAAGTAGCTGTGTTATTGGTTACTTTGTTAAAATAAATATGTAAAAAGATATTTACTAAAAGGAAGATACTTCCTTGTTCCATAGTAGTATAATTCAGGGGTCCCTAGCCCCCATGTTTTGGCTGGGTACTGGTGCATGTCCCGTTAGGAATGGCCGCACAGCAGGAGATGGGCAGCGGTCAAGCAAGCATTACCACCTGAGCTCCACCTCCTGTCAGATCAGCCTTGGCGTTAGATTCTCATGGGAGCGGGAACCCTATTGGGAACTGCGAGTGCGAGGGATCCAGATTGTGTGCTCATTATGAGAATCTAATGCCTGATGATCTGAAGCAGAACAGTTTCATCCTGAAATCCCGTTGAAAACTGTTTTCCATGAAACTGGTCCCTGATGCCAAAATGGTTGGGGACCACTGGTATGATTGATTGCTAAATTACGGTTGTCTGAATTACGTTTAATTTGCATTGAAGCAATGGAGACTTACTACTGGCTTGTAAATTAAACTCTTAACAGAAGCATGTCAAAGTTTCCCCACCCAGAAGAAGAAATTACATAGTTAAATCTAATTTCTTTCTTTTTTTTTTTTTTGAGATGGAGTTTTGGTCTGTCACCCATGTTAGAGTGCGGTGGTATGATCTTGGCTCACTGCAACCTTCACCTCCCTGTTTCAAGCAATTGTTGTGACTCAGCCTCCCAAGTAGCTGGGATTACAGGCGCCCACCACCAAGCTCAGCTAATTTTTGTATTTTTAGTAGATGCGGGGTTTCACTATGTTGGCCAGGTTGGTCTCGAACTCCTGACATAGTGATTCGCCCACCTCAGCCTCCCAAAGTGCTGGGATTACCTCACCCAGCCGTAAATCTAAGTTTTTCTAAAATAAAATTCTTAAAGTAACATTATGTCCTTTGAAAGCTTTTGTAGCCATTAACATGGGGCAAGTCTTAGCTGGTTACAAGTGATTTATTAAGTTGCAGGCATTTCTGCTTCCTCATTTTAAGTTTCCAGCTCATTCCTTAGGTAGCAAGTGGTGATTATCCTTTGTGGCTTCCGTTTTAGCATTTGTGTCCTAGATGGGAGGTCCTTACAGGAAGAGGGGCAGGCATCTTAGGAAAACATTTTTATACAAAATGACTCAAAGATAATGTGTAGAGTGGGAACCGCTTGGGCTTTGAGTAGACACAGGCCTGGACTGCATATTGCTTGAGTGTGCTCAGAAGTCTGCCTGTCTTGCACAGGAGTGATTGACTCTTATAGTGGTGTCATACCCTGTTTCCTTCTGCAGATTGTCTTTGGCTCCATTGTCCTCCTGATGCTTTGGCTTCCTATACGTATAATTAAGAGTGTGCTGCCTAATTTTCTTCCATACAATGTCATGCTCTACAGGTAAGTTTTAAAAATTTAGAATAGCTTTACTAATTTATCTCTATTAGGGATTTGATGTTCAGATTACATTAAACATTTAAAACATTTCTTATAGTTACTGGAAATCATCTGACAATTAAATTTTGCTTTATTTTACCTTTATTTTTATTATTTTTTAAATTAAATTTAATGTTTAAAAAATTTTCTGGACCTTTTCCACTTTGCATAAATTTTGCCTTATTTTAGATCAGATAAACATTAGTACTTACATTTTGTAAAGGAAGATGTTTATTTTTTCTGCGCATAAAGTATGCATTTGCACACCATTGAAATGTTTTACCATACCTAATGAGAGTGTATTAGCATCATCTTTATTTTGAAAAGCACATTATAAAGAATAAAGCCAGAGTTGCACATTTAATTATTAAAAATAGGGTACAAGGCTTGTAGATGGAACATCTTTTTTGCTTTAAAAACTTAAGTGGGCTAAGGCCAGGCGTGGTGGCTCACGCCTGTAATCCCAGCACTTTGGGAAGCCGAGGCAGGCGGATCACCTGAGATTGGGAGTTTGAGACCAGCGTGACCAACATGGAGAAACCCTGTCTCTACTAAAAATACAAAAAAATTAGCCATGCGTGGTGGCGCATGCCTGTAATCCCAACTACTCGGGAGGCTGAGGCAGGAGAATCGCTTGAACCCAGGAGGCAGAGGTTGCGGTGAGCCGAGATCGTGCCATTGCACTCCCACTTGGGCAACAAGAGTGAAACTGCATCCCCCCCCCCCCAAAAAAAAAAGCCATCCGGAAACCTCCCACTACCAGTAATCTTTACCACTCATCCTATATGCTCTTTAGGGATTTGTATTATCCCCACAGTCATTATCCCAATTGCAGGCAAATTGGATTATTTCCTCAAGTTTACTTCTAATGAGTCTTTAAAGTATTGCCAATTCTAATTTCTTAAAATCTCTTACTAATCTAACTCGATTTGCCACTTACTTAATTTAGGCCTTCCTCTTGCTCTCCATTCATCCGCAACACCTCTGCCTCTAGATTTTCTAGAACTTGGATTATTTTACCCCTGTGTTTAAAAGTTGGCAGCACTTCCTCTGTAATCTATGTGATATATACACCATTTAGAATGAGATGCAAGACTTGGCATAATCTCATGTTGCTTTTTCAGTGTCTTGTCTCAGCATTGACTGACTTCAATTCTTTTAATTGTGCTACACTGCCATTGAGGCTCCCCTGATTACTTAGCTGTTTGTCTTTTTCTCTCTGTTTACAATGACTTGCTTGTCCACGTTTGAGTGGCAAGCATTTGATATTCTTTTTAAAATCCAGATTAAGGTTTTTAAATTTTATTTTATTTTTTATGAGAAAGAGTCTCGCTCTGTCACCCAGGCTGTAGTGCAGTGGTATGATCATGGCTCACTGCAGCCTCAACCTCCTGGGCTCAAGTGATCTTCCCACTTCAGCGTCCCGGGTAGCTGAGACTACAGGCGCAAGCCACCACACCTGCCTAATTTTTGTATTTTTTGGGGAGACCGGGTTTTACCATGTTGCCTGTGCTGGTCTTGAATTCCTGAGCTTGAACCATCTGCCTGCCTCAGCCTCCCAAAATGTTAGGATTACAGGCATGAGCCACTGTGCCTGGCCATCATTCCATCCTTTAAAATTGTCTTCATCGTTGTATTTCTTTTTATAGCATTTGTTACATTACTTTACAAATATGTATTGTTTTATCCCAGATGGCAGAAATCATGTCTTATTTAGGTCTTTTTCTCTCTGTCTCTCTTTTTTTAATTTAAAAAAATATTTTGTGGAGACAGGGTCTGACTATATTGCCCAGGCTGGTCTTGAATTCCTGGCCTCAAGCAATCCTTCCACTTTGGTCGCCCAAAGTGCTGGGATTATAGGTGTGAGCCACTGCGCCCAGCCTCTTATTTGGATCTTAATGCTTTGCATAGGAACATGATTGTTCAAAAATAAAAGGTTTACTCTACACATAGTAAAATCTCAAATTTGTATTTTATTAAATTAGAATTGGAAAATACTTATATCCTGATTATTTAAAGTGGCAGAAAAAATGCCAGTAAGGGTATAGAAAGTGGGCAGGATGGGGTTACAATTTAGGAATAGTGACTGGTAAAGACCTGAGGGGGTGACAGTTGAGGAAAGCCCTGAAGGAGTTGAGAGAGTGAGCCACGTGGATCCCTGAAGGCAGAATATTCTTGCAGAAAGTAGGTGCAGTGGCACCCAGGTCTGTTTGAGGATCTGCAGGGAGGCAAGTTTGTCTGTAGTAGGAGGAGGAAGGCAAAGAATTGGCCCTGAAGTCAGAAAGGTCATGGAGAGCCACCTCCTAGAGAGTCTTACACGACATAAGCACTTTGGCTTTTGCTTGAGTGAATTGAGGAGCTCTTGGAAAGCTTTGAGCAAAGGAGTGATCTAACTTAGGTTTAAAGAGGATCATTCTGACTGCTGTGATGAGAGGAAACTGGGTTGGAGTGGCTAGGTCAGAAACAGGAAGCCAGCTGGGAGGATAATGCAATGATCCTGGTGAGAGGTGAGGGTGGCAGAGATGAAGGGGAGGTAGCAGTGGAGGCCTTGAGAAATTTTTAGGATATTGTTAAGGTACAGTCAAAAGGATTCTCTAGCTGTTTGGATGTGAGGTGTCAAAGGAAGGAGTGACCTTTTGTGTAACATGCTACTAATATAGCAAGTGAGGAGAGAACCAAGACCTACCCATCAGTTTAGCAAAATGAAAGTCTTTGGTGACCCTTATCAGAAACAATTTGGTGGAGTTTGTGGGGAAAGCCTCACTGAGTTGGAGAGAGAATGAAAGGAGAGGTAATAAAGACAGTAAGTTTATTAGATTCTTAAGAAGTTGCGTTGTAATCCCATTAAATAGTAGTCATATGCAAAATACAATTCACATTATAAATCCTGCCTCTTTCAGTGATGCTCCAGTGAGTGAACTGTCCCTCGAGCTGCTTCTGCTTCAGGTTGTCTTGCCAGCATTACTCGAACAGGGACACACGAGGCAGTGGCTGAAGGGGCTGGTGCGAGCGTGGACTGTGACCGCCGGATACTTGCTGTGAGTATGGGCAGCTGACTCCTTGGACATGCATGTCATTTGTGACTATGGAATAACCTTTCTGGAAAAAGTATGTTCCATGGCCCACTCAAGAAAAATTAGTTTTAATAAGAGACAATTTAGTAATATTTGCAATTGCATATAATACTTCTAAATGAAATTTTTTTTTCTTATTGTCCATCCTTTCATGGAGAATATATACATCTTTTTGCCCTCTTATAGAAGTTTGCTGCTGGTCCAGCTTTCATGGAGTAAATGTCTTTTTTTTTTTTAGTGCATTAAAAACAAACCAGTTTACCTTTATTTAGACCAACTAACTTACCTTTATTTAGTGCTCATAACCTGGGAAATGGGTTCTTCTCAAATTTGATTTCTCAATCTTCTAGTGAACATGTTGCATTTTTTTCCCCAAGCTTTATATACTCTATATTTATTTAAAAGTTGAATCTTTAAAAGTTTTTCAGTTTGGCATCTTGTAGGTATCTTAAAGGTGAAGTACAGATTTGGTTATATTTGCTTGAACATCTGTCGTCCTCTAACTGCTTCCTCCCCCAGTCTCATTTCTGACCTAACTGATTTATAGCTTGGAGGTTTTACAAATTTATAGCTTGTAGCTACATGTTGCAGTAGTCATCTGTAGAGAAGATAAGAAGTTTTTCTTTTCCTCCTGTAGATCCTTAACAATATTGTACATTGTAAGTATGTACTTACACCTTGTGCTTGTAAGTACTTACCTCTTGTACTTACAAGTGTACTTGTAAGTATCTTGTACATTGTACTTTTTTCTTTCAGTTACTGATTTCTTCTCAGATACTGGCTGAAGAAAACGTAAAATAGGTTGAATTTATGGGATATCCTACAAGTTCATTAACATTAGAAAGGTTTGATTTAAAGTGGGTACAAACATTTAGACCAAAATTAGGTAATAATGTGGTGCACAAATTCTGTATTATACATTTTCTACCCTTAGTAGTAAATATGAAGAAAATGAGTGTCATGTCTGCCATTTTATTGTGACCTGAAGTGAGACTTGTTACTGATGTAATTTTTGCACAGGGATCTTCATTCTTATTTATTGGGAGACCAGGAAGAAAATGAAAACAGTGCAAATCAACAAGTTAACAATAATCAGCATGCTCGAAATAACAACGCTATTCCTGTGGTGGGAGAAGGCCTTCATGCAGCCCACCAAGCCATACTCCAGCAGGGAGGGCCTGTTGGCTTTCAGCCTTACCGCCGACCTTTAAATTTTCCACTCAGGGTAGGTGCTATACAGACTTAATCACATATAGAGGTTTTTTTGGTTTTTTTGTTCTCCAAATTGCTGTTGAGAATTGGTGCTATTAGTATGCAGTCCTCTGTGTAGACATGTTCCACATTTTATTACCCTCATTATGTAACGTAAATGATTAGGTAAGTTTATCAAATTTTAGAGATAAGTCAAAGAGTTGGGATTCCCTGGGCTCTTGCTCCCTATTTAAGAGGAAAAGACTCTAGAGTAATTAAGAAACTAACATTATTGATACATTTCAACAGTGTGTCAGGAACTAGAATGGGCATTTGGATGTTTTCTCATTTAATCTCCACTCAAATACTGCAAAGTGTAGGCGATAATTTCATGTTTATAGCTAAGGAAACTGAAGGCAATATTGGTTAAGAATGTGCCTATTACATGTTCGTTAGCAAGTGATCAATCTTTGTGCACCTCAGAATTTTGTCAGAAATGTAAGCTGATGACTGCTATATGATTACAGTGAAGTCATCATTTATATCAAGTCTGTTATTTTAAAATGCCCTTTAATAATGACATGGGCTTGTGAGTCTGATCATTTTAAAACTTGGGCAGGTTATTTAACCTCTCAGCCTCACATTTCTTTTTTTGTAAAAATAGTCATTATTATACCTTTGTAGATTACTGTGGGTCACATGTGTTCAGTCATTCAGCAAACATGTCTTAAGTGTCTATGATTGATATTTTCAGTGTCTGTGAGGATATAGAGAGCATACGTGGTCTTTGCTCAGAAAGAGCTTACAGTCTACTCAGATGAGAAAGACAGTGGCAGATTTGAGCTCTCATGCTGGTGTTTACAGTGGGTGCTGTGACTCCTTCAATCAAGAACCACTTGTTCTTAATATGGACCCAAAGGAATCTTCCTAGAATAGGTGGTGCCTGAACTGTCTTAAACATTGAGAGACCTGTCAGAGAGTGAAAAAAAGGAAGTGGGAAGGGCATTCCAGGAATATGTCAGGACTAGGGCACATTAGGCATGGTGGGCTTAGAATTGCAGATAAGAGAGTTGTGTTGTTTTGTTTTTGAGACAGGGTCTTGCTCTGTTGCCCAGGCTTGGTTGCAGTGTGCGATCATGGCTCACTGTAGCCTTAACCTCCTGGGTTCAAGCGATCCTCCTACCTACTCAGCCGTCCGATTAGCTGGGACCATGGGTGCATGCCACTACACCTGGCTAATTTTTATATTTTTTGTTGAAATGGAGTTTTGCTATGTAGCCCAGGCTGTTCTCAAACTCCTAGTTCAAGCAGTCTGCCTGCCTCGGCCTCCCAAAGTACTGGAATACAGGTGTAAGCCACTGCGGCTGGCCTAATTGAATATATTTAGAGGGTGAGGTGTATGTCCAGGAGAGGTGAGGAACAAGGGGAGAGATGAGGGGCCATGGGAGTGGTGAGGGATAAGGTGGGGAAGAGGTGAGGGACAAGAGGAGTGGTGGGAGATAACGCTCTTGAATGGGCAGGAACCAGATAATGGAGCACCTTGAGCACCCTCTGCATGAGTCCACACTCACTGAATTGTTCTTCTGCTCCTTTGTCCCCTTGAGGGGCATATCTCTGTTCCTGATTCAGTGGCTTATTCTAGAGGACTTTGCTGCATAACCTTGAGGAAAGCATGAAGGTCATCTTTTCCTTTATCTCTTAATAGCAGATCTCATAGTCAGCTCCCGTTTTTCCCCCTTGGTCTTTACTCAGCTCTCTCGCCTCTCCGCAGACAAAAAAGGCCTTCTGAGCAACAGTTACTTTCTGGCCAGATCAGAGACAGACTCAAAAAATGACTTTTCACACAGTTACAGCTGACAAAGCCTCAGAGTCTCCTGGGTTTTGTTATCTGTCCTTTTCGGGCTTCCCACCAGAGCTCTGCCCTCTGGTCTTGTGGAGATCCACCTGGTAAGCTAGCAGGCAAGCTACAGTTGCTGCCTTTCTGCTCAGGGAAACTGGTTTCCTCTTCTCTGTGTGATCACTTTTTATCTGCACTTCTGTATTAGTCTGTTTTCACACTGCTAATAAATAATCTGAGACTGGGTAATTTATAAAGGAACGAGGTTTAATTGACTCATAGCATTCACATGGCTGGGGAGGCCTCACAATCATGGTGGAAGGTGAATGATGAGCAAAGTCATGTCTTACATGGCAGCAGGCAAGGGAGCTTGTGCAGAGGGACTCCCATTTATAAAACCGTCAGATCTGGTGGGACTTAATTCACTACCAGGAGAACAGTATGGGGGAAACTGCCCCATGATTCAGTTATCTCCACCTGGCCCTTCCCTTGACACCTGGGGATTATTACAATTCAAGGTGAGATTTGAGTGGGGACACAGTCACACCATATCAGCTTCTCAGTACAGGAGCACTAGTTTATATGGCTATTTACATTTCAATTTAATTAAAATTAAATAAAGTTAAAAATTTCATTACTCATTTACACTAACCACATATCAAATGCTCAGTAGCCACATGTGGCCTAGTGGCTACTGCATTGAGCAGTGCAGATCTAGACATTTCTGTCATTATAGAACATTTTAATTGGATAGCACTGTTATTTGATTAAAAGGTGAATGTTTTTAATTTGTAATGTTTTAATAACAAGGGAAAATTTAAGGTGAATGTTTTTTTTTTATGCTCTCTGATTAAAACATTTGCCATTTACTTGTGGGATGTATCTGATTATGTGAGAATGGATACTTATTTTCATTTTGGCCTAAATCATAGGTAATTTTACTGAAAATAAAAATTTTATGTGAAATTGCAGGAAACCTGGCAACGCAAATATAGATGATTTCTTTTTAATGGGAAGATTGTGTTGATTCTTTGATAAAATACATTGAGCACGTGTTCTCTATTTATGCACTCCTTATGTTTTACTTTGCAGATATTTCTGTTGATTGTCTTCATGTGTATAACATTACTGATTGCCAGCCTCATCTGCCTTACTTTACCAGGTATGAGCTTGTGCTAGCCTTCAGCTAATAGCATCATTAAGGTTATTTATTTAGCTATTTGACAGAGTCTTGCTCTGTTCCCCAGTCTGGAGGGTAGTAGTATGATCATAGCTTACTGCAGCCTTGAACTACTGGGCTCAAGCAATCCTTCCACCTCAGCTAGGTCTATAGCTCTACTTAGGAATTCAAAAAGTATAGTACCATATTAGGAAGACAATCTGTGGAAAAAATATACTGGAAATTTGGGTCTTACTGTTCTCTCTAGCCTATTGAGAAGTAATCATATAAAGTAAGTTACTAAATTATGTAAATGGTCTTATCCAAGTGATTGTTGTGGGATGCTATAGAGTTTATTCCGAACAACTTTTTGTATGAGGCACTCCCTTAGACTGCTCTCAAATCCATTTTTCACATTCCAGCATATTCAGATAGTCTTAACTTTTTCTAAGAAAATTAATATGGTATTCTTTGATTATTGTGCTTTAAAATGTTATTTTGCCCACTCCTTATTAAAATAAGCTTAGTTTTCTGTCTTGATGAATGAGCCAATTGGAAGATAGTTACTCTAAATTATTTGTAATGTTTCTACATATTAAAAGTATTGACATCACAAATAAGAGAAGAAATTCCCCACTTTTGTCCTATTATTTGCATAACAGTTTCATTTGGTGATAAAAACAATGAAAACATTAATTCCCTCAAAAGCTTTTTTAGACCTAAAAGAATAAGTAATTGGCATGACAAATCAGAGTGTATGTCCCAGTAGAGCTCGCCTCCATTGAACTTACCTTGTTTTGGTTGTGATTTCATCAAATTGTGTACTCTTTAGACATTGTGATTTTTGTCTTTTGTTTTTTTGATGAAGACATTGATATATCGAATGTGATATCTTTTTCCTAATGTGAAAATACTAACATAACAACATGAAGATGACAATTCTCTTTACCTAGCCACATGTCTCATTTATCAGCTTTTCTATTTTCAGTATTTGCTGGCCGTTGGTTAATGTCGTTTTGGACGGGGACTGCCAAAATCCATGAGCTCTACACAGCTGCTTGTGGTCTCTATGTTTGCTGGCTAACCATAAGGGCTGTGACGGTGATGGTGGCATGGATGCCTCAGGGACGCAGAGTGATCTTCCAGAAGGTTAAAGAGTGGTCTCTCATGGTATGTGTGTGTAATACAAGACTGATCTTGTATGTTAGGAATAGTGAATATTTTTCCAGTCATCTTAAATTTTTTTTTTTGGCACATTTATTTCCTTACTATATTGTTTCAAGAGAGTTGATTTTTTGAATTAGAAGAAATACTCTTTCAAGATAGTGGCTTTCTGGTTCATTCTTGTTCAGAGTCCTACGTTCAGATATATGAGGTTTAAAAGAAAAACAGGTTGGGCACAATGGCGTATGCCTGTAATCCCAGTACTATGGGAAGCTAAGGCAGGAGGATTGCTTGATCCCAGGAGTTTGAGACCAGCCTGGGCAACAAAGCAAGACCCCATCTGTATTTTAAAAAGTATATGTATATAATATATTTTTACTGGATCATTTAGTAGCATGTTTTTCTTTATACACGTGCATGCACACACCTACACATGCTTATATTACTTACTTAAGGGCCTTACTGGACACTTTGTAACATTATTGCTCTCAGTAACACATATGACTCCCACAAATGTAGGATAAAAAAAATACTGTAAGATGATTATCTGAGTGCAGTGATTTATGTCTGTATGTGTGTAATGTTGGCTGCAACTGGTAACTATGCTTAGGTTACTGCTTACACCTTTTCATTTGTATAATCAACTCTTAATTTTTTATCGATTTATATTTTGATTTTGATTTCATTAGAAGTTTAATATCCATTTAATATTAATGTTGAAGAAAAATATAAAATCCATTTTTATAGTGAGAGATTCATTATATATTATGGAGGGGTATAATTGCTATTTAATCCATAAGATAATGAGACAACCATATTTAAAATACAGAATCCAGCTAATTCCAGTTTTCATTTGATAGTCTTCCACATTATTAGAAAGTGCCATATAGAGAAACAAGTATTTTGTCTTCCATACACATCATATTTAGTCTCTTGTTGAAACAGGTGTGTTTTCTGAGGCCACCTGAAGTAAAAGAGAGGTCATGAGGATCCAAGGCCACTTTAAATCATTTTTTTTTTGGTCAGAATTTCATCATTACTCTTTTATAATGTCTCCTCTCTGTGTCAGCTTTATTTTCATTTTGCCATTTAGTCCAGTTGCTAGAGCTGCACTATCTGGTATACTAGTCAGGTGGCTAAATGGCTACCATATTTGACAGATACAGGGTATTTCTATCAGTATGGTAAGTTCTATTGGACCATGTTGTTCTTTGAGGGAGCCAGTTTGATCAGCTTTATTAATTACTTTAGGATTGTGCAGAGCCCTCCCTGTATACCAGTCCACCTCAAAGTTCACAGATCAGCCTGTGTATGGGTGGGCCACCGTTGGAGCAGGGGCCTTGGCCAGTCGGTAGCTTTTCTTGGGCAAACAGAAACCTAGTCCTAAGAACTGGATTGTGAGAAAAAAACAGCCCAGCCAGCTGTGTGCTTTTTATGTAAGAGACTTGAGTACCTGCAGATTTTCTGGATCCTAAAACCAGTCCCCGTGGATACTGAGGGATGACTGTGGTTGCTCTGTTAGGCATCAGTCTCAAACCTCAAAATGGAAATAGAGTTTGGCTCAGAAAGATCCTCTTTAATGATGTGGGCTCCTGTTTCCTAATAGATCATGAAGACTTTGATAGTTGCGGTGCTGTTGGCTGGAGTTGTCCCTCTCCTTCTGGGGCTCCTGTTTGAGCTGGTCATTGTGGCTCCCCTGAGGGTTCCCTTGGATCAGACTCCTCTTTTTTATCCATGGCAGGTAAATGTATGTCTTTTGCTCATGTTATTTCATTAAGGATTTGAGATCAGAAAATAATCCTAGCCAGGCATGGGGCTTACGCCTATAATCTAGCACTTTGGGAGGCTGAGGTGGGAGGACTGCTTGCACCCAGGAGTTCGAGACCAGCCTGGGCAGCATGGCAAGACCTAGTCTCTATAAAAAATTGGCTCATGCGTCTGGTCCCAGCTGCTTGGGAGGCAAAGGTGAGAGGATCACAGGAGGTTGAGGCTGAAGTGAGCCATGTTCATGACACTGCACTGTAGCCTGGGCAACAGAGTAAGAGCCTCTGTCCAAAAAAAAAAAAAAAAAAAAAGACAAAAGGAAAAAAATATAATTTTTAATTATTTTAGGTGATTTTAAGCAGCTGGTTTAGAAAGACTAATTTTTTTTTTAATTCTAGGAACTCTTATAAAATTGTTTAATGCTCTTTAATCTTTCAGAATATGCAGGTCTTATAACTCCTTTAAAAGTGCTTACTTTATAGGTTAAAATGTTACTAACCATTTAGTCTTCTCTAATACTTGAAAATACAAATTAATAGTCATTGATTTTTGTTCACCTTTGAGGTAGGGTGAATTGTCTTACTCCTTTTGACTTGGAGGCTTTAATACTTTTGAATTATTATAGCATGTTTTCCCACAAAGTCACAGATTCATTAAAAAGAGTATCCTGGCTGGGTGCAGCGGCTTATGCCTGCAATCACAGCACTTTGGGAGGCCAAGGTGGGTGGATCACCTGAGCTCAGGAGTTGAAGACTAGCCTGGACAACATGGTGAAATCCCATCTCTACCCAAAATACAAAAAATTAGCCAAGCGTGGTGGTGTGGGCATGTGGTCCCAGCTACTCGAGAGGCTGAGGTGGGAGGATCTCTTGAGCCTGGGAGGCCGCGGTTGCAGTGAGCTGAGATCATGCTACTGCACTCCAGCCCGGGCGACAAGAGTGAGACCCTGTCTCCAAAAAAAAAAAAAAAACCAAGAGCATCCTGAGGGAACCCATGTAAGTCACAGCAAAGGTCTTAAAGCTCATGGAAAAAGAAATGGAACTTTTCTATTGTATTTAGAGCCTGAGGTTTTTAACATCATAGAATTAAGATCTCAAGTTCTTAGTAGGTATTGGGGGAAAAGAGCTAGGTATTGACTTCAGTCATTCAAAGGCTTTTTAGCTTTGTTTTTATCTGTTAGTATATTGCAATGGATTTTTCAGAAAATGAAAATTATTTGGCCCGTATTTCCCTTTTTCTGCTTTCCAGATGGAGAACCTCCACAAACTTCATTTACCCGAAAATTTTTATTTAAGTGCTTTTAATGGTGTACCCACACCCTGGATTGTATCACCCAGATGAAAATGAGGCTAGTGCAGTAATTTTCCTGAGGAATTTACACACTCTGATGGGAAAGCTAGACAGGTACACAGGTGTTGTGTGGTGTGATTAGGGGAAGCACAAGGAACTGTGGCATTGTGTAGGAGAGACATTTAATCTAGCTTTGGGAGTTTCAGGTATGGTGTTCCATAAGAGATAGTATCTAAGCCAACCTAACTAGTAGAGAACAGAGAAGTGGGTAAGAAAGGAAGAAGTATATTCCAGGAGGGAGATGGGCAGACCTGGCTTGAGACAAGGCATGCATATGTGGGGAACTGCCTCCTTTCTAGTCTGGTTCATAGACTAGAATAGGTGAGAAATAAGTAATACAAAGAAGTACAGAACTGACTTGTGTTTTGATTTATGACTTTTTAACTTTTTGATGGTTGAAAGCGATACACATTCAGCAGAAACTGTACTTTGAGTACTTCTACAGCTATTCTGTTTTTCACTTTCAGTATAGTATTCAGTAAATTGCATGAGATAGTCACTACGTAATTATAAAATTACGTAGGCTTGTTAGGCCTCAGTTATACTACAAGGCAAAAAATAAAATAGGTTTTGTGTTAGAAGTTTTTGCCCAACTATAGGCTAATGTAAATGTTCCGAGCGCATTGTGATAGGCTGGGCTAAGCTATGATGTTCGGTAGGTTAGATGTATTAAATGCATTTTTGACTTACAGTGTTTTCAATTACAGATGGGTTTATCTGGACCTAACATCATTGTAAGTTGAGGAGGATCTAATTAAGCATATGTTATGCCTTTCTGTAAGAGCCGTATTCCAGAGTAGTCAAATAGTATCTGTAATTGAAGGAAAGAGCTACCTTTTTTTTTTTTTTTTACAGAAAAATGCCAGCAAATAAAGGTAGAGAGATTAACACGATTAGAAAAATACTATTTTGCAATACCTAACAAAATAATTGATTATAGCAAGGATTGTTAATGGATGTTGAACCCAACAGATGAAAGGTTGATCAGTCTTCAGTTGCTATTGCTGTGTAACAAGTTATCCCGCAACTTTGCAGCTTAAAACAACCATTTTAATTTTGTCCATAGAGTCTGTGGGTCAGATATTAAGACAGGGCATATCACTTTGCCTCTGCTTTGTGCTATCTGGGACTCAGCTGGGAAGATTCAATGGCTGGGAATGATTTGACAGTTATGGATGGAATCATTTGGCTGGAAACACACAACTAGTGGAGGGGTCAGGCTGATAATACCCTAACCCAGTCAGTGATCACTTAACAGTGTGAGAGTTGATGCTTGTTGTTGGTTGCTACCCATCTGGGGCTGTTGACTGGAGCTCCTATATGTGCCTGGGCTGCTTCATAGCTAAGTAACCTCAAGGTATTTGGGCTTCTTACGTTGTAGTTCAGGGAAATGAGTGACCCCACAAACAAGAAGCTGCATCATCTTTAATGACCCCATGTCAGAAGGCCTACAACATCACTTTTCAGTACATTTTACTGGGTATAAGCAAGTAACAAATGTTGGCTAAGATTCAAGGGAAGAGGACATAGACCCCCTACCACATGATGGGAAAATAATTTGCAGGTATGTTACATTGCAGTGTGAAAGTGGTTATTTGAATGGTGGCAAAGTGTCACCTTATGGATTACTTTATGGCTCAAAGGGAAACACACAACTAGTGGAGGGGTCAGGCTGACAATACCCTAACCCAGTCAGTGATCAAGCAAAGTACTGCTGCAAATGGGACAAACAGATACTATCTGCCTTTTAATGTTACGCAGCATGAGCCCTGGAAAAGGCCAGAGCATCCCGTGGCATCAAGGAGCCATCTTGGCACTGTTAGCCAGGCCTTAGTGTTCTCCTGTTGGACATAAACAATTTGACAGAACATCAACATCATACACTGTCACTCTGTGATCAAGATAGAGGAAGACAAAAGCAAGACCCTCTGCAATCATGTCTGAACACAGACAGAACAGGAGCATTATTCAAACCACAGAAATGACCAAACATTCCCCTTTACTGGCTAACATGATTGGTTACTGCCTCATTACCAATTACAGTTTTAGCTTCTGCCACTTTTTCTAGATAAGATTTATTTATTAAGATAACCATTCACAGATTACTCTGCTTTCTAATAGCATCTGATACAGACCAAATTCCTGCTTCTTAAATCCTCCCCCAAATCCCTAACATAAGCTGAAATCCTGTAATAACCCCTTTCTAGCACTCTTACTGAGGGGCCCCAAGTTCTCCATGATGTGTTACTCCCTTGCTGCAATGAGTAATAAATGCAACTTGTTCTAGTTATACTTGTATTTTTGGTGGTCTTTACAGTACTCAGCATTACTTCTGAAATCATCATCACCTTAGAGAATTCTTTGGTACTATCAAAGTTTAAAAATGCTTATATATTATGACTCAGCAGTTTGGCTTTTCAGAATCTACTGTGAGGCATGAGCAAGGCTGTTTCTGCAAATACATCATTTTTTATAGCAAAAAATGAGAAGTGATCTAGATGTCCACCAATAGAGAATGCCCAAATAAAATGTGGAATATCAATGCAGCAATTGAAAAAATGAAGTAGAGATATTTGTTTTGATATCGATAGCTCCCAGACGTGTTTCTGAGTTGGGGGAAAGCACAAGCTGTAGACAGATAATGTGCAGCGTGCTATCCTTAATGTTTTGCATTAAACCCCCAAGTTTTTGAAGGAACAGTTTGCTTTTTCTTAATTCATGACTTTAAGCTACTTGCCTTTCCTGCAGCAAGTGGCTGCAGCTCCGTGGGATAGTGGGCCAGTTGGAATTCTAGCAGAGCAGCTAGTGTGGTGTGTCCTGTCTGGCAGGAGAGGACTGCAAAGCAGTGGGTTTTTGGAGAACGCGAATCACAGTGATCTTGGACCTCCTTGGGTAAACATTAATCTCATTTGGGTGTCTGCTGGACTCCCAGAAGGCCAAGAGAAAGCTGAATTGGTGGGTTGTTGCATCTTCCCTGCCTGTGAGAAAAAGCAGGGAGGCTTTCTTCATGTTCCTCAGTAGGAGACTGTTGGAGGGCTATCCCAAAGGTCTGAAGACGTAAAAGATCCTTTTGAAGCCCTTTAGGATATTCTCAGCCAGGCCCAAGCCTCCTTGAGGCTGCAGAGGAAATTATAACAAGTGCTTTATATGCAGGAGGCTTAGCAGCCGCAGAAAGGAAGTTAAGGCAGAGCAGTCAGAACACATGCCAGTTTGACAGCACTGCTTGCAGAGCCATGAGCTTCCAGAGAGAAGAGGAAATACACGGACGCCGAGTGCAGTATGTTCACACGCACATACAAACAGCAGCTCTAAAGCAGAACGCAGTTGTTGTGGAGCTGTATGACATAGATTTCAGACAAATCTAGTAGTGAAAAAAGATGTGGACAGTCACCACTGGGCTTGGCTTGGAGGCTTGGAAGATGAATGCAAAGCACTGGGCAAAACGGAAGAGGAAATTGAGAAAGAGAAATGTTTTGGAGGAAACATCTAGGAGACTTAGCGTACTGATAACGGGGGTTCCAGAAGGAACAAATGTGAGGCAGCATTGATACAAAAACAGGAGAAAATTTAACTGAATTGAAGAAAGATCTGATTCTGTAGTTTGAAGGGGCTCATGAGATTTGGTAAGATTGAGATCCAAGATAAAAACACGTAATTGGGTATATCTTATTAGACACGGGGAAATCAAAACAAGCTTCAAAAAACTGCATTGTCATTGGACTTTTTTTCTGTAGCACTGAAAACCATAAGATCAGAGAATTTATAGACGACTGGGTAAAAGGGACAAAAGCCAAGCTTCCTCTACCCAGACAAAAAATCATTTAGCTGTTCACCTATCAGGGTGAAGATTGATATTTGAGGGTATTCAAGAATTCAGTGTATGTATCAACCTCTCACCCCATTTGAAGAAGATCCTTAGAATAACCAATCAAACCAGTAAAGAAATGGGAACATTGGCCTCAAGATGGTAGACAGTGAAGAGGAGAATTAACAATCTGAGCAAAGTCCATATGAAAATGATACTACATACTTTCTATGGGATATAGATGTATAGATGCAGCTGAATGCATGGGGAAAAACATGGATGGTATGTACCAAAAGCTAATAGTGGTTATTGCTGGGGAGGGATCAGGATTTAAGGTAGTGATCACAGAGGACTCCCGTCTTTTCTGTAAAGATTTTGGTTTTATGTAAGAATCAGTCTAAATGTTACATGTGGTTTCTTTTTTTTTTTTTAATACCGTTTTTTGTTGTTGTTGTTTTAAATAAGCTAGATAGAGACCAGGTTATAAAGGGTTTTGTGTGCCTTGCTAAGGACTTCAGGGTTGTTAAGCAGGGAAGTTACGTTCATGATCTGATTTGCATTTAAAGAGATACTTGGTGGTGGTGGGGAAGGGGGCTGTGGGGAGGGAGGAAGTAGTCATCACTCTGTCTGGTGGAGAGCTGGAGGGTGGGCAGGCCAAGAGTCCGTTGCACCATGAGGAGGAACCTAGTAACAGTTCCCCAGTAGAACCACAAATGCTTCAAGCTAGAAGCTATCTGTGAGCCTTTAGAATGGTTTCTTAGGCCAAACTTTGCTCCACAGTCTTAATTTGACATAAATCAGCTCACTTGAAACCAATGAAATAGCCTAAAGATAGTTTGAAATAAAATCTTGGCATTTATTTTATTTGCTTTTTGAGATATCCATTAATGACCAGACTTTCTCTAACTCTTGGGAAAACAATATAGATTTTTAAAAGATAGAAGAACAATTTTTGATGGAAACATTGAATTTGAGCTGTTGAAGAAAAAAAATTCTCTGGGTTTTCAGTACGTTAGTCTTTTGTAAAATTGTTGCCAATCCTATAGAACTTCTATTTTGATGTGAAATAATGTAAGAAAATTATACAGCCTCTCTGCTGTGTTTATTGTTAAAAAACAACAGAAATATGTTAAATGGTTTTTAATTCCCTAGGACTGGGCACTTGGAGTCCTGCATGCCAAAATCATTGCAGCTATAACATTGATGGGTCCTCAGTGGTGGTTGAAAACTGTAATTGAACAGGTAAGCAAAATCAGTTTTCAGAGAAAGACATTCTGGAATTGGTTGTGTTTATGTTTGGCAGCTATAACTCTTATTTCTTATCTTCCTACCTTGCTGAGTTTTCTACATTTTTTTTGATGGGCATATATAACCTTTTTTTTTTTTTTTAAAGACAGCAGTTTAGTTTTACCACTGTAGGGGAGGAAAATAATTTGTTCTCAACCCTTGTTTTTTTTAGTTAAAATGGAACCCTTTAATAAAAGACAACAGAAAAACAAAAGTTTATTAAAGTACATATTTCATATATACATGGAGATACCCAGGGAATGAGTAATTTCAAAGAGGTGGCTTTGAATTCCAACGAATCTTCAACAAAGAATAATAAATTTTTAGAGAAGTGACAAGATGAAGGAAAAGGACTTTGAGTCTCTAGGGGTGGCAAGTGAGGGGAAGCAAAAAATTGGCAGATGCGGCTCCTTAGTAAAGCTTGGCAGTGTTGATTCCTCTGGTGCCATCTAGAGGCCCAGAAAGGCCCAAAGCTCTCTTCAGTGGGTAATCTTTGTCCTTCATGGTGTAGGGAAGTGGGGTGGGCTACCTTTTGTCTTTATACATTTATATTCTGCTTCTAGGCAATAGAGGGAGGACGGAAAGTTTTCCTGCATCTATTCTTTCTCAGTTGCATTCAACTCAAAACAATCCTTATGCCTAAGAGGCATATTTTTAGGGTGGCATATTGTGGTTTTCTATACTCCCATGAATTTTCATCAACCACGTTTAAGCCATCCTTTATCTGAAGGTTAACCAGTAGCTTACGGTATCTAGAACCCTGTTCATAGTGGAGACAAAAATGAAAATACGTGCTTTTTTTCTGGTGAAGGTTGATATTAATGTTTCTAAGCCTGTAGTAGATTTGGAGTGGGGGAAAGGTTATTGCTCGAGGTAATAAAAGAAGACAGAGGAAAAAACATTACAAAAGGAGAGCTGTTTTGGCTTCATCTAGCTACATAGTACCTAAGACTATTATTGTATTACAGAACTGCCAGATAATTTGATTGTTGTGGGAATACCTTGGAAAAGGTAGACTGTGCTTTAGCACTCCGATAATAAGACTAGAAAGTATGGTAATTCATTTAAGGAAAATTTCTATCCAAAATGGCCAACATAACAGATTTTGCTGCTACTTTACGCTTTAGCTATATGGCAAATGTACTTGTGGGGACCCCTCTTATCCTTAGGCCAGTGCCACATAAGTAAGACATAACAGTTCTGCAGCAGTAAAGTACACCTCTTTTTGCTGTATGAGAAGTAAAGACAGTAGTTAGCCAAGCATGCTCAAGAAAATCTGTTCAAAAAGTGCCTGTATTTCAAGATTTTGATTCTTAGGAGTAGGGGGGTTAGGGAGCCAGCAAATTGCAGTGTGTTTGTGTGTGTCTCTAAAGTATGGGCTAATTCTGAAGTCCACCAGGAGTGTGATGGATTGGGGGCTTCTGGCTTCATATCCCTTCAGGATCAGAGTGCAGGCCAGTACACTCTAGAATGGCCAGGTTAGCCTCTGGCCCTTGAAAAAGGAGCATGGAGATGGGATTTATTCATACTGGAGGCTGTGGAACATCATTGATCTTCTAAATAATTTGTTATCTTATTCATTGTTTTCTCTTGCGTATGTGCGTGTGTGTCTCTGTAAATTTAAGAAAAATGGTTGGAAATGGTTGAGAAACACTGGGATGCCTTGCTTCATTGATTAAAATGCATTTGGGTTAACTAGGTGTCTTTGGGAATGGCAGCATGCCTTTAAAAGGTTAAGCATGTTTGCCATTCAAATTCCGAGGTGATGGGGTTGAGTTATGCTACATTCAGTCACAGCTAAGAGAGGTTTAAGTGCTGCTGGTGAGGCAAGAGGAGAAGAAAATAACAGCCTTCTAAGCCTTGTTTCTGTCTGCACTCCATCTAAATTTTCTGTTCCCAGGGTTTTCCCATTTCCATCCATTCTTTCCTCTGCATTACTCTTGTAGAATTTTCTGGATAAGATGATGGAAATATTCTAGTAATTCTTGGACTTGCTTTTTTTATATTCACTATAGAATTCTTTCATACTAAATTTTTAAATACCTTTTGATTTGTTAAAATTTGATTTATGCAAGCTTTTCAGAAACGCTTCCTGCTTCAGTGTTTTCTCATCATACTCAGATAAAATGAATGCAATATTGTATAATAACACAATATTACATATTACGTATCTCTTTCATAAGATGTATGAAGTTACTTCAAGTAATGTGGTCTTGAATGAATACCACTGAATGTCATCTGGTATTGTATAGTGCAAGTAGAGTATAAATTATTCTAGATTAGTGTCTTATTTCATCACTTAGCAGAGCTAACTGCAGAGCGTTAGTGGGTAAATACATTTCTTCAGAAACTCGTGGGCACTATGCTTATGTTGATATACCAGAATTTGCCTTGACTTTAGAAGAAGTAACCAGTTTGACTATTTTTGGGTTGGCAGATTCAGTTGTGTGGAGATTGCTGTATTAACTTGGAGGAATTTGTCTTGTATCTTTGTTCTAATTGCTTTTTGTAATGTTTCAGGTTTACGCAAATGGCATCCGGAACATTGACCTTCACTATATTGTTCGTAAACTGGCAGCTCCCGTGATCTCTGTGCTGTTGCTTTCCCTGTGTGTACCTTATGTCATAGCTTCTGGTGTTGTTCCTTTACTAGGTACGTAATGCTGGTTGTGGAGCCTTGAAGGAGCACTTTTATTAACATTGGACATTCTCTTTACCCCTAGTAAAAAGGATGTCTCACTCCATATGCTTTATTTGTAAATGTGAATCCAGCTAAGACAATGATTTCAAAATACCACTTTTCTTAGATTTGACTATTCTGGGTAAGATTAGAGGATCATAAAGCTCTTTGATACAGTTCTTTTCTCTACCAGAAGATAAAACTTGAAATTTACATGCTGTACAAAATAGGCAGGATCAGATTTCCTTCAGGTTGTCTTCTTCTGACTAGAAGTGCTGTGATCATATAAAATTAAGTAACAGTGTTGTTGTATTTAAGTTTTAAAGAAATATTCTTTGGCATAAAAGATCCAAAGAGGAGATGCTAATGGGCAACACGTTTATACTGAAATACACTGTCTTGTTGATTGTGTAGTGAAGACTCCTCATAGCTCCTTAAACCCAACATATTTTCAAAATTATAAGCAGAGACTTTTCCTTCCCAAATCTTTTTCTTCTCCAGAATTCCGTCTCTCAGCAGCAAACATTATCATCCAACAAATTGCATAAGTCAGAAACCTTGAAGGCTATCCATGTCACCTTATTCTGTCCTCCATGTCCCTCTGGTCTCCAAGTGTCCCATTCTTCCCTGAAGAATCTGGTCTCTCGTCTCTGGAGCCTTTGCTCCTGACTTTTGTTGAGTCATTCGTCTCCTACCCTAACTTTGGCACCTTCCTATCTGGTTTCCCAGCCTTGAACCTGCCATCACTAATTCCTTCTCCACACTGGGCACAATGACCTTTCAAAAGAATGAATCTCATTGTACCTCTTTGGTGAACATTTTTTTCATTGGTTCCTCTGTGGCCTTTAATGCAGTCCAACCTTTTGGCATAGTTTACAAGGCTCCTCCTTTTGCTTTGATGTGGGCTTCAGTTTGACCTCACTCCATGTCATATACTCTGAGTTTTGATTAAACAACCATGGAATGGCCTCTTATCAAACACACAATGTCCTCTCCATAACTGTCTCCACATTTTCATTTGTCTTATCCATCTGCCAGAAATGACCCCGTCCTCCCTTTAACCGTGAGAGAGGAGCTTAAAAAAAACACACAACCAAACTTGCAGTGTAACATGTATACTTGTATGTTACCTTACTAGGTCAAGAAATAGAACTTTTCCAGCCCTTTGGAAGCCCTTTGTGTGTGTGCCCTTCTTTACCTTTTGCCACTGGTTTGACTTCTAATAGTCTCATTGCTTCTTAGACAGTAAAGATATTAGCCATGTGCAGTAGCTACTTGGGAGGCTGAGGTGGGAGGTTGCTTGAAGCCAGGAATTGAAGACCAGTCTGAGCAACATGGCGAGACCCAACCTCTAAAAAAAATAAAAATAAATTATCTGGGAGTGGTGGCGCACACCTGTAATCTCAGCTGCCCTGCAGGCTGATGCAGGAGGATTGCTTGAACCCAGGAGTTCAGGGCTAACCTCAGGTTGTGACACTCCAATCTAGCCCAGGCAACAGGCCAAGACCCTGTCTCAAAAAAAAAAAATTGCTCAACACAGGTTTGTATAGAGAGAGGCTGAGCAATGTATCCCTCAGTCTGCAGGATGGCATGGGAAACAGGGAACAGTTAAGCTGAGGGCCCACAGTGTGCAAACTGCATCATTTCCTGGTTCCTTCTAAGTAGAAACTTCAAGGCTTTTATTTGGTTTGAATTGTGACTATGCCAAGTATCATAAATACCATATTAAAATGCAAATATATATTTCCTGCAAAATATATTTCAAAGCCCATTGCTTTTTAGTTTTTTTTTTTTTTTTTTTTTTTTTTGAGAGACGGAGTCTCGCTCTTTTGCCCAGGCTGGAGTACAGTGGTGCAGTCTCGGCTCGCTGCAACCTCCACCTCCTGGGTTCAAGCGATTTTCCTGCCTCAGCCTCTTGAGTAGCTGGGACTACTGGCATGCGCCACCATGCCCAGCTAATTTTTGTCTTTTTGTTAGAGACAGGGTTTCACCATGTTGGCCAGGCTGGTCTTGAACTTCTGACCTCAGATAATCCACCCCCCTCGGCCGCCCAGAGTGCTGGGATTACAGGCATGAGCTACCACACCCAGCGCATTGCTTATTAGTTGAATACGTCTTTAAAATTAAATTATTTTGACTCTTTAGAACAATCTCTTTACTGGTTTTGTCTAGAGTAGGAATGCCCTATTTTCTTTTTTATTCTAATTAGCATATATTATGTTCTGCCCATTAATAGTATATAGACTTAAGAATTTGGATTTCCAACCCAGTCATTCATGTTTTCATTTTTAAAAATTTTATTGTGAGCATTTCTGGAAAGACTTTGGAAGGGAAAAAGAGTGGCAAATGAAAAATGTTGGTACCTGTTTTGCCCTGTTTAGATGCTTTATGTAATTCTTACATGTTATTCTTAGGGTAGCTTTTTAATATGTTTTGTCAACTCTGTTTTAGAAATGGGAAATTGAGGTTCATAGAGATTGAGAATCTTACCCCAAAGTCTGGTTTTTAAGGAGTAAGAGCAGCATTCAGATTTCAAACTCAGCTCCAGAGCTTATGCACAGCACACTATTGTGGTGTTTGGAATAATCCACCTGACGGTATTAATTTTCTGAATTCCTCGAAAGTACTTGCTCTGATTTTAAAGCCCCCCAGTCCCCTCTGCCAAAGAAGTATTAAAACTCATGAGTTAAATATAGAAAAATAAATACATGTGTGTTCTAAAAGTTTGAGGATTTTTTTATTATATAAGCACAGTTTTGGTTTTGCTTCTTTAAACTGTGGTGCAGTAGAAATGTATCAATGACACCACTGCTTGTGGAACATGAGAAGTCATCTCGTCCAGTTCCTTTTTTTTTTTTTTTTTGAGGCAGGGTCTCACTCTGTTGTCCAGGTTGGAGTGCAGTGGCTTGATTGATCTCGGCTCCCTGCAACCTCCACCTCTCAGGTTCAAGCGATTCTCCCACCCCAGCCTCCTGAGTAGCTGGGACTACAGGTGCAACGCCACCACACCTGGCTAATTTTTGTATTTTTTGGTAGAGACAGGGTTTTACCATGTTGGCCAGGCTGCTCTAGAACTCCTGACCTCAAGTGATCCGCCCGCCTTGGCCTCCCAAAGTGCTGGGATTACAGGCGCGAGCTACTATGCCTGGCCTCCTTGTTTTACAAATGAGAAAGTTGGGGGTCAGAAAGGGCTCATGACCTACACAGATTGTAGAAAGTTAACAGACCTGGGGCTTAGAAAGCTTGTCTGCCCCAGTCCATTCTTCTAGGGGAAGGACATGTTTACGTTTCATGTCACTGTTATTTCACATACACTGAAAGTTTTTCTTTTTTGGTTTTCTAGGTGTTACTGCGGAAATGCAAAACTTAGTCCATCGGCGGATTTATCCATTTTTACTGATGGTCGTGGTATTGATGGCAATTTTGTCCTTCCAAGTCCGCCAGTTTAAGCGCCTTTATGAACATATTAAAAATGACAAGTAAGTCTGGCGTTCTGTTCGTCTCTTGTTTAAGTGTTTTCACTTCTTAATTTATGTATCTGATGTGACAAATCATAGGAGGGAAACATGCTCAGATTCTGGATATACTTGGAGGTGGGATTAGCAAGGTTTGCTGACAGATTGTGACATGTGAAGGAGAGTGGAATCAAGGACTTAGTTGGCCCAAACACAGGGAATATGGAGTTGTCATTTATGGAGCTGGAAAAGACTGGGTGAAACTGTTTTGGAGAGGGAGGTTTTTTTTTTTTGGTGGTGGTTTTTTTTTTTTTTTTTTTGAGACGGAGTCTCGCTCTGTTGCCAGGCTGGAGTGCAGTGGTGCGAACTTGGCTCACTGCAACCTCCACCTCCCAGGTTCAAGCGATTCTCCTGCCTCAGCCTCCCAAGTAGCTGGGATTACAGGTGTGCACCACCATGCTCAGCTAATTTTTGTATTTTTAGTAGAGACAGGGTTTCACCATGTTGGCTAGGATTGTGTCGATCTCCTAACCTCGTGATCCACCTGCCTTGGCCTCCCAAAGTGTTGGGATTACAGGTGTGAGCCACTGCACCCAGCCAAGAGATTTTTTAATGTCCATTCCAAATAGTTTTTCAGTCTGTTTTCAAATGTTCTGGTCTGACAGTATATTAAACAGTTTTAGATAAAAATAAGAAGCCTGCATTAGAAACTAGCAGTGCCTGCATAAGCCCCTCTTGCTTATAGAGGGCCACTAGGTTACTCTGAGGTTGCACAGAGAGGCTTGAGGGTTACTGCAAAAATGTTGTGGGACTCTCTGTTTTGAGGAAACCATTGAAAACTCTGTCACTTGATCTCAGTGAGAGATTGAGGAAAGCCAAGGAAAACACCTTCCTGGGATAATATTTGACCTTTATGTCCGAACTGTAGGCTGAATCATCTGCTTCAATGGGTTCTAGCAGAGAAAGTGAGTTTATGGTTTATCCATCTCAGTCGGCCAAGAGAGTCCCAGTTTATACCTGCTGCCTTTGTGTCATTAACACTACCCCCTTTTACTTGTGCTTGTCCCCCCTTGCACAACAAATTATAGAGTTACCTTATTTATTCTGAGGAGTAAGATTTTTGAGAATGAAATTTATAGTGTTCAAGACTTCTCCAAAGCATTTACTGACAGTAAAAAATACAAGTACACTTAGGCAGTCAGAGTACAAAGGACTGTCAACTGAAAGAAGGGGAAGGGGTATTTTCAATGATGAAAATCAACTTCTTAGCACTCAACTTTTTGGCAGAGGAGTAAATACTGCAAACAGAATGACAAGCAAGACGTGCCCTCAGGGAACTTTCTACCTGCTTCTTTCTTTATGCTGGATGCCTGCCTTTCTGCACCCTGCCCTTCTCAGCCTTTGCCAGGGGTCTAGACGTTCCCATTGACCTCTTCTTTCTCATGCTCTATCTTCTTCTGCTTTTTCCTGTAGCCCAGTGTCCTCTTTCCTCTTTTCCCATCTGTTCCTTTATGCAGAAAGGTGTTGAACTGTAGACTTAAGTGAGGGCATGTCTTGTCAGCTGTTGTATATGTACTCTTTAGCACAGGGTTTGGTCTGTGGGAGGTGCTAAGAGTGAGTGAGTGTGTGTGTGTGTGTGTGTGTGTGAGAGTGTATGTGTGTGTGTGGTGGGCTTGAGTATGAGAGAGTGAGTGGTGGTGGAAGAGAGGGAGTTGGGTTCAGAGTCTCCTTTCTCTGCCACTGAATTACTCTTTGGACTTGTACAATTTAACTTGGTTTCTGTATGCTTTTTATTTACTTACTTTGTCATTGCCATAATGCTGACCATATTTTTAGTGTATCTTGCTATTTAGTCATTACTGTGTGCCAGGTAGTGCTGTGTATATTTTAGTAGATATTGCTCAGCCTTCACTGTTTAAAATATTTACAAAATTCTCAAAGTTTTAAAATCAGTGGTTGGTTGGGGAACAGTGGGGTAAGGAATGGCTAACTTCAAGAAAAGAAGGTAAGACAAAAGAAAAGGAATAAAACAGTGACATTATGGATAAAGATGCAGTAAGATTAGCGTACTTTTAAAAAAGTGACATATTAAGCTACTGGACATAAACTGCCAAAATATTTCCTTAGGCTTGTGTGCATTTACAGAAAAGTGATAGATAAAAGTCAAGGTAGAGAAGGTACTGGTGAAAAGTAAGAGTTCCCACAGTGAGCCCTTACAACATGCTAAGCCTTTGTCACCGGGCTGCATACACTTTCCCTTTCTTAAAACAATGCTGCAGCGTGGGACTGTCGGTCTCATTTCACTGATGAGTAAATGGAGGAAAGGGACGAAGGAAAGCTACCTGACAGCCTGTCATGTGCAGGTTTCACTCTCCCTCAGTCTCCTTCACTCAACTCTGTGGGCTTTTACTGGACATTCTCCCTGATCTGCATCTCTGCCTCCAAATGGGTGCCCTTCACACTTGTGCCCAGCCACCTACAGCTTGTTGCTTTCCAGCTTTGTCCCTGCTGTCCTCTTGGGATCAGCCTGCAAGCCATCTGCTCACATTAAGTAAGGCAGGCCTTCAGTGAGCCTTCGATGCAGCTGTCGCCCTTCCCTGGCATTGGAGATGTCTGTCTCCTTGAGTAGGATCTCCTGCCCTGTCACTCCAACTACAGTAACATCTGCCTTGTTTCTGCAGCCCTGTGGCCTTTGCCATTGCCTTCTCCTTTCATCACATACATAAGTTAGGAACACTTGCCATTCTGTTGTTGAACCATATTCTCCCACCTCCTGTCACTCATACTCACTCACTGCAATGCTGTCTTCCCTTTGACTTCACTGAAATTTCTCCTTTGATTTCTCCTTTCTTCTCTGTAACTAGAACTTCCAGTTTTACTTTCATCCCTTCCTACTTTTTTTTTTTTTTTTTTTTTGAGACGGAGTCACACTCTGTCACCCAGACTGGAGTGCAGTGGCACAATTTCAGTTCACTGCAACCTCTACCTCCCAGGTTTCAGCAGTTCTTCTGCCTCAGCCTCTCTAGTAGCTGGGACCACACACACCCAGCTAATTTTGTATTTTTAGTAGAGATGGGGTTTCACCATGTTGGCCAGGCTGGTCTGAAACTCCTGACCTCAGGTGATCCACTCGCCTCGGCCTCCCTACGTGCTGGGATTACAGGCGTGAGCCACCACGCCCAGCCCCTTCCTAGCTTTCTGATGGTCATGTTTTTAGTCTGTCTCCTTAGATCTGCCCACTAAGTTGTTTTATAAAATCTGAACCTTAACAGATAAATCCACTGCATAAGTTTACTGTATCCCTCCTGGCCTCCACAGGTCTGAGTTTCTGAGACCCCCTAAACCACTGACTGAAGCATGTCCTCCATTGCACAGCATTGGAGGCCTTCCAGCCTGTGCTGCTTCTGCAGCTTCCTACAAACCCATACCTAGGTAGATGTGTCAGCCTTTACAGGTGTTCACTCGGGACTCCCTTTGACTTGCCCAACCATTGACGAGTTTTAAGTAGGAGTTAGATTTAAAAAGACATATGAATGTTTTACTCTGTACATTCATAGAAGAGAGTAACCACCTTGTTTTTGCAACCTAGGTACCTTGTGGGTCAACGACTCGTGAACTACGAACGGAAATCTGGCAAACAAGGCTCATCTCCACCACCTCCACAGTCATCCCAAGAATAAAGTAGTTGTCTCAACAACTTGACCTTCCCCTTTACATGTCCTTTTTTGTGGACTTCTCTCTTTGGAGATTTTTCCCAGTGATCTCTCAGCGTTGTTTTTAAGTTAAATGTATTTGACTTGTGTTCTCAGCATTCAGAGAGCAGCGGTGTAAGATTCTGCTGTTCTCCCTGGATCTTCTGACATTACTGCTGTCTGAGATTTGTATATGTGTAAATACAAGTTCCTTGATACCCTAAAACCTTGGATTAAACAGAATGTGCATTGTACATCTTTAAACAAAATGTATATTAATTTATTAAATCTAGTTGTCACTTTATTTTGGACCTGCTGTGATCTCGACAGGAAACGTGCCACAGAGCAGTAGTGCGCAGGCAAGACTTTTCAGTGACGCCTTGTGGAACGCAGTTCATGATGTCCTAGCAGCTCTCACTAAGGGAACTGTACATTCTTTCTTTCTTGGCTATTCAGACCTTACCAAGAACGTTAAAGGAAACAAGTAGAAATCAGCAGTGGAGTGTCTGTGGTAAGAAAACATGAACTTTATGCTTCACTGTTAGTTGTTTGTGGAAGTTATTTTGTATAACACCAAAGCTGTTGTACATTTCCTACTGCCTGATTTTTTTCATGTGTCTGTGTTTGTAATATTGTATAGTATCTTGTGCTAGGTGAGGAAATTATTTTTAATTTTGATAATTTAATATTCCTAGTGTGATCAGCATTGGGAGTTGGGTTTCAGTGGGGCATGTCTATACTTAGAGAAAAAAAGTCCAAATGAAGATTTTCATGAGTCAGCCCCCCCGCCCGCCCCCACCCCACACCCACATCCTCTCTTTTCCACACACAACTATCTGTTTATTTTTTGTAGCAGTGGCCGAAAGTCCTGCAAGGTCATAAATCTTTCAGAGTGACATCACCAACTGTACTGCATCTTACTGGATTTAGGACTTCTGAGATGCTTGTGAAGTATAGATGTGGTTGTGGTCTTAGATTGACAGCATTAGAGAAGACTGGTTAGAACATCTGGTCTCGCTGGTTAGTGCCTCGTTGGCTGAGGACTAGGTGTGCATTTCTCCTAGCTTTTCATCAGGAAATCCCAAAGTTTCCAAAGCTTTTTGTTTACAGAATAAAACTTCAAATAAAACCAATTCATTATTTGTCCAGAAGGAAGCTTGGCTGAGCTGGCCTTTTAACATAGGAATGTATTTCGTTGGAAACATTCTGAAAAATCTCAGAGAACTGAACCCTTACAAACTTTGTTTTCCCTCATAACCAAAGCTTCAGGTTAGAAGTTTAGAAAAATAGAATGGTTGGGTACATGATCTAAATGTTTAATGCTAAAGGTATATCGTAAGGGTAGTGTTTGTTTTTGAACGATAATTTAGAAGTTCTCATAGAAAGCGTATAACATAGGTCTTCAGAAACTATAAAAGAATTTTCATATAGTATTAAAATCCATAGACTAAAATCTGAGAATTTTTTAACATATGCAAGTCAGCCAAACATAAGCTACCAAAATAAAGAGCAATGTGTTCTGGCTGTTTTATACTTCAACAATTTTTTCCCTAAGTGGTAAGCAATTACTTTAAAACATATTTTTAAAAACATCGGTATCGGGAGCTGCGGTGGCTCCGGCCGGTTGTCCTGGCACACAAGGAGGCGAGGCTATGCGTTCGAGGCCAACCTAGGCAAAATTGGAAAAAAAAAAAAAAATCAGTATCAGAAATAATGCTTGACATAGGATTCAGTGTTATACTCTTTGGCACTTTAGAGCAGCCTTTTCTCTCATTTGAAATAAGGTCTTTGTTAGCCCTACCTTTACTCAGAAATTTAGTCCTACTATAAAAAATTAGGATTTTAAAATATAATGCTGCCTGTCATAGTGTATTTCTAAATTGCTCTCTTTGGGAGAAAAACATTATTATTGAATTGAGCATATAACTATATAACTATATAACTATATATATATATATATATATATATATATATATATATATATATATATATATATATATATTTTTTTTTTTTTTTTTTTTTTTTTTTTTTTGCCCCCGAGACAGAGTCTTACTCTGTTGCCCAGGCTGGAGTGCAGTGGCACGATCCTGGTTCACTGCACCCTCTGCCTCCCAGGTTCAAGCGATTCTCCTGCCTCAGCCTCCCAAGTAGCTGGTACTACAGGTGCGTGCCACCACACCTGGCTTATTTTAGTTATTTTAGTAGAGATAGGGTTTCACCATGTTGGCCAGGCTGGTCTCGGAACTCCTGACTGCAGGTGATCCGTCCTCCTTGGGCTCCCAAAGTGCTGGGATTATAGGTGTGAGCCCCCACGCCTGGCCAACTTGATTATATTAATTTTGGGTTTTTTGTTTTGTTTTGTTTTGTTTTTTAATTTTTCAAAGAATTTGTGGATCTTGGTATAAAGTCATTGGAACATATCTGTTTTAACAGCAAGAGATCCTAGGCAGATACTTCAAAAGGTTAAAAATTCTTAATCCTACAGAATTTTAAATGAATCTTATCAATGTTTTGTAAACAAACAATATGAATGGCCAAAAAATTGCCCTCCATTTTACTGGCAGGTAATTTATATTGTCTTACTTAAGAATTCTCCCCTAGTTTTTCAATTGTACTTTATCGTGTTGTTTTCAATGAGATAAGTATTTTCATAGGGAAAGCATTTTCCAGCATAATATTTGCTTGGGTAGCATCCGGGTTTTAGTATTTAACCAAGAGCCTTTTAAATATTGAAAACCCATAGTTCAGAAAATGTTAGTATTGCTGCCCTTCTTCACATAAATTTTTTTTTAAATTATACTATTATTTTGCTTAATTTTATATTGGGTTAAAACAACCTTCAAGAAGGTTAACTAGGAAAGAAGACCTTTTTGTTTTATTTTTACTATTTATATATAGAAGACAAATCAGCATTTGGTGATAGTTTTACATGACCAGTTATCAAACGGTCATAGTATGAAGTGTGCAGTTGTTCATTATTAGTAAATTATGTTTGATTTTTAAACTATTTAGTACTAATAGTTGAGATGAAAACTGAAGAAAAATGCCAATGTGACGTTTGTGTATAGCTAGCCTTAAAAAACTTCCCATGTTTTTAGGTGACTTTTTTCCCCCTCTTAGTACTCTGGAGAAACAATGAAGATGGGCCATCTCAATTCCAGATGTAAACAAAAAGTAATTTTTATTTCAACATTTAATGTAACTGCTATTATTGTGGATTCTTGTCTTGTGTATTTTCTTTCCCTTATTCAAGTAATATAGAATAACTTTCCTTAAAATGATTTGATCCAAGATACGTCATTTCTGTATTGGCAAAATGCCACTATTAAAGTGTAATTCTTGAATTTAGGTTGAATTGATGACTTTTTAAAACAAAACAAACACTGGACAGTTCTACATTGTATTGCGTTTGCGAATGTGCGTGAACACACGCACACGTGCAGGAGAATGTAGTGCCATAAGAACACTGGCGCTTTTTAAAACTTTCCAAGCTAGCTACTTATTTTCATTTTCAGGGTTGAGTACTCTAAGCTCTCTACTTACTGTGAGAAGTTTTCTACATTGTAAAATTAAAAGATTATATTTAAAATACTTCTTTAGGATGTTATTCAGCCATCAAAAAAAAACCCAACTAAAATGTCTTACCAGTAAAGTATTATTAAAAGCCTCATTTGTGGAGATTCGCTGACTTCCTTGGTTAAGCTGTCTTGTATTTACTTAATTTGTCCCCTCAACCAGGTGTTTTCTTTTCAGCCTGTTACTGTCCTGTGCCATTTTTAAAAATAGCCATCATGAGTAAGGGCTTCTTTAAAATAATCCCTGACAATATCTTTGGCATTAATACGACATAAAGACAAGACAGTATATGTATGTTTTCATTCCTGTTTTGTACGAGTGCCTCATTTTGTAGTCATGAAAGTAACATAGTACCTTAAATAAAAATGTAATGACTAATCTAAGGTCTAGGAATAACTATTGTAGAAGCTAAGTAGAACACTTAGTTTGGGGTGTCAATTTTCTATCAACGCAAACACCTTAGGGTACCCAGACCAATTTTATGTATATATATTCTGAAATGCTCCCTTTTTAATGTGGTCATTTGTTGCCTTCTAAGTTGAGAGGACAAAACTGAATAAAGTGAATGTTAATTGTAGTCTAGTTTTTTTGTTTGTTTTTGTGTTATTGCAAGATTGCTTTAAGATTGCAGAAATATGCATTATTAGCCAGCATAGATAATCCAGATGTTATAATAGGAAGGAAAAACAACTCCAGTTAAATGTGACTGTGGCGACTCCCTTTTATGTATACATTTAAATGCATAGTTGCAGAGGACACATCCCTCCCCTTCTGTCTCCCTAACTTGAACTGTAGACCGTCCTCACTGGGAAGAGTAAGGCCCCACATTTTGTGCAATAGCAAGCTACTGCCCACTTCTGCATGTCTGCTACGAGATCAGAAAGTCAGTTTCACTAAGGTTGTCTTTTAGCTGAATACTTAGAGTAAAACCAATCAAATCCATTGTACATACCTGACCATATGTCCCAGATAAAAAGGAAAGACTTGCGTGATGTTTTTTTCCTTCTGAGTGCCCTGAGGAGATCCTTTTGCTTCAGACTATTTCTAATTTTTCTTTGTTTATAGGTTCAGAATTTTTTCCATGATTGTTTTCCCCCAAACAAGTGCATTTTTAATTACTTTAAATGCAGGGGTGATAGAGGAAATGCTATTCGAACCATAGACATCTTTAATCTGTGAAGCTGAAATTTTTCAGCAAAGGAAATTGCATGGTCAAGTTCAGAAACTGGCCATTAATTTCCCCCTTCCGCTCCACAGTTCATAGCTACTCTTGTTGCAAACATGTAGTGATAAGGAGAACTAACGTATCAAGGGGCTGAGAGGGTAACGTTCCCCTCCTCCTCCATGTTTTTATTTTGGTGTCTGTTTTGTTTCTAGCACTGTATTTAGTACTGTAGTTGAATGAGGTATGATGTCTCCCTTCAAGGAACTCAGAATGGAACAGAAGCATGAGCAAAAGATTGTATTACAGAGGTATGAATAAAATGCCATGGGGAACACAGAGAAAGGTTCACCCGGGAGAGATGGCCTAGCCACTTCCTTAGTGACTGTTTGGTATATGTAGGTCCCCCTGCCATTACTCTTTCAGCCTTCTGCAATCTAGTTCTACTTAGTCACACACTTCTCTAAGACCACTCATACGTAAACACTACGTAGAGGCCCCTTTTTGCCTCATTTTACATTGTTTAGTTATCATTTTGAAACTTTTCTTCACATATGTAACAGTGCCGGAGTTTTTCTGCTTCTCTGTGTTTGTTCAGTAACTCTTCTTTAGGATACACCTAAAGATGAGAAGCTTCATACCCAGTACTCCTCTTCATTCACTCATATGTTTTTGGGATCAGTCCCTTCTGCTGGCTGTGCATTGGTCTAATGGAACAGAATAGAGTCCAGAAATAACCCAACATGTATGTGGACAACTGGTTTTTGACAGAGGTGCAAAGGTCTTGAAAAAATGATGCTGGAATAATTGGGCATCAGATGCAAAATTAAAAACAAATTGATCCATATCTTAACACTGGCAAAGATTAAAGTCCAAATGGATTATAGTTCCCCAAAACTGTATAATTTCTAGAAGACAACAAGGAAAACGTGTTCAGCCTTGGGTTAGGAAAAGATTTCTTAAATCCAACACCAAAAGCACAATCCATGAAGGAAAAATCGATAAATTGTACTTTATCAAAATTGAGAACTTCTCTTTGAAAGGTACCATAAGGAGAACAAAAAGACAAGCTGTAGAGTGGCAGAAAAATATTTGCAAAACATTTCTGATAAATGAGTTGCATCTAGATTACATAAAGAAGTCTCAAAACTGAACAAGTAAACCCATTGTTTACTTAATCGCTGTTTCTCCTGAGCTTGCTGCCTCTGCCCCTGCTCTCTCTCCTTTTCCATTTGTTTTCAACATTGAATCCAGAATGTTCTTCTTGAGATCCAAGTCAGATCACACCAACCCTCAGAACTCTCCAATAGACGACCATGGCACTCAAAAGTCCACAATAGCCTTCAATGCTGGGCAAAACATGAAGCACCCCTTTTCTCCCTTCTCTGACCCCATCACCTCTGTGTTCACCCTGCTCCTGCCGTCCTCCCTGCCTCCAAAACAGGTCAGGCCTTCGTGCCTTTGCACTTACTATTTGCAATACCCAAATGTTCTTCAGGCTCTTTAGCCTCTTCATTTCTTTCCTGAAGTGTCATTCTCACTGAGGCTTATCTAAAGCTGCAGCTACTGGGGCATTCCTGTCTCATCTCCCTGCTGTATTTTGTACTCCCGGCTCTCTTTTGTACTTTTAAACATACTATATGGTTTACCTTTGTTGTTTATATTTGCATGTTGTTTCCCACTTGAATGTAAGCTCCAAAGATTTTATTTTTTTAAACTGAATTATTACTGTATTCCCAGAACAATTCCCTGGCAAATATTTGGTACTCAATAGTAATGCTAAGTTAGTAAATAAATGATGAATTTAGAATCAAAATAATGTGTCTATGGCCAAAATAAAACCTGAAATCCCTGTCCTATTTCCCAGAGGTAACTGCTGTTAATAGTTTAGTTGTGTGCTTCCAGACATACCTTCACAGAATCATTTATCACAATAAAGGTGTCATACTATGCAGATTGTTTGACAAGATGCTTTTTTTCACTTTACACGGGCATCTTTTCATACCATTGTGTGGCCAGGCCATGATTTGTTTTCCAAAAGACATTTACCCAATTTATATGGTGAAGATTTTTGTCCATATTACTTTTTATAGTATTTCTGTAGGGTAAGTTCCCAGAAGTAATATTGCACGATCATCGAAAAATTTTAGTGTTACATTACTGCCCCATAAAGGTACTAATTAACATCCCTCTCAACAACATAGAAGATTCCTTTTTTTTTTTTTCTTTTTTTGGGTGGAGGGGGGCGGGGACAGAGTCTTACTCTGTCGCCCAGGCTGGAGTGCAGTGGTGCCATTTCTGCTCACGGCAACCTCCACCTCCCGGGCTCAAGCTATTCTCCTGCCTCAGCCTCCCAAGTAGCTGGGAATACAGGCACGCGCCACTACGCCCAGCCAATTTTTGTAGAGAAGGGGGTTTCACCATGTTAGCCAGGCTAGTCTCGAACTCCTGACCTTGTGATCAGTGCTGGGGTTACAGGCGTGACCCACCGCGCCCGGACGGATTTCTTGTTTTCATACTGTCATCAACTTTAAATACAAGTATTTTCAGTTTTTGCCAATGCTGTTAATTTAGAAATGTGTATGTATATATTGTCTGGTGGGTGTTTGGATGGAAACGATCAAAATCGGGCAACTTCCCCAGTTTCCTTGAAGGGAGTGCTTGCCATCGGCCCCTCTGGGAAGTAGCTCTCCGTAGTTCTCCATCTTCCTGTTTTGAGGAACGCAGGAGGAGGTGGATCTGGAGTCTCATCCATTCGGTGGCTGTTAACGGCAACTGCAGCAGCCAGCCAGGTCACCCCCTAAAGCAAAGTTAACCCCTTGCATGGTGCCTTGGTCAGCACCCACCAAATTCGAGGTTTCTCCTATCCTTCGACTCGAGGCTCTTTTGACAGATGTGATTTATTTCCTCCTAGAGCCAGTCACATTGGCTCAAGCAACCTATCGTAAGAAAACAAATACAATAGTGTTTTAGCTGGAAACTGCCCACTGTCTAAGCGGCTTTTTAAATTAAGAACTCAGGTTCACTACGGGATGGCTTAGGCCAGGGAACAGCATGTGCGAAGTTCGAAGCCCGAGAAGTTTGGAGGAGCGGCCCCAGGCGCAGGCGGGTCCCGCAGCGGGGCCCGTGCCGCCCAGGCGATCAGCCCCTTCACTTAACCCGCTTCCCTCCTAGCAGGCCCGAGTCCCCTAGCCTCAGCCTCACGCAGCCAGAGCAAGGGGAAGAGGGAGTCCTTCGTGAGTTCGCCGCTCACATTCGGCGGTGGGAAACCGATCCGAAGATGCTTTTGTAGGCGAAACGCTCAGCTCGCGCGGCTCTGAACCACCGGGGAGCAGCGGCTGCTGCTAGTCGGACTACGCCAGCACCTCCTTGTCCAGCCCGGGAGCAGCCCCGCCTCGCTCAGGGCCGCGTGCGCGTGCGCGGCTCCAGGGGCGGGGCCTGCTCGCGTCCCGGGTGCCTGGATACCGAGCGCGTCCGTAGTGGCGGCTGGCGCTAGGGAACTGCAGGGTCTAGGGTGTTGTCGGAGTGGCAGTTGGTCCGAATTTCTCCCGAAGCCCGCGGAGGAGCGGGTAAGAGCCCCGCGAATCCGGCCCCAACCTCGGGAACGGGATGGGAGGCGGCCCTGGCCGCAAGCCCCGCGCTGCTAGCGGGTCCACCGCGTCGTAGCCGACAGCCGCCCTTCTTCCTCGCAGCGCGCCGCGATTCACCAGCCTGGTCCCTTCTGCGGAGAGCGATGCCGCTTCCCGACACCATGTTCTGCGCTCAGCAGATCCACATTCCCCCGGAGCTGCCGGACATCCTGAAGCAATTCACCAAGGCTGCCATCCGCACCCAGCCGGCCGACGTGCTGCGGTGGTCCGCGGGGTAAGCGCCCTTGGCCCGGGGAGCTGTCCGGTCTACATGCCCAAGCCAGACGAGCCCAGAGAGCCCTCCTCCCGGACCAGGGGCCTTACGCGGCACTCAGCGTCCTTAAGAGTATCAGGCAAAACTTTCCCCTTAGCATTGGTGACATCTATACTTGAGTGTTTTATCTAGGAACCATTTCGATTTATCGACTATGAGACCCGAAATCATTGCAAAATGCTCACTTACCTACAACGTAATGGCAACTCAATTGTTTAAAAGTGTTTATGATGAAGATAGACTAAAACTTAACAAAGTAATTGCATTGGGCAAAAAAGTGTTTACATTATGTTAAAAAAATTACACGGTTGCAGTCACTTTGTGAAATGACTTTACAAAGAGGAATATTTTAGCTAAGTTCCTCATCTGCAGAGAGTCCTCTCAGAGCTATGTATACCCAGAGCTGGTTAAATTTATTAGAACCGGAACGACCGTGGTCATACTGAGGTCATCATCCCTAGAGTGCTCAGGGTAAACTGTCCAGCAAATGAAGCTTCACAGTTTATTTTTTGCCACAAACATTCCAACACTTGCCAGGAACAGACATTCATAATCTCAAAGTTACAAGTCAACAGATCTTAGAGGCATTAAAAGAAATCCTCTTGGTTTTACAGGAGAGCTCTTTGCCCCTTTTCAATAAACAGATGTAAAACAAAAACTCACTTTTATGATGACAAGAGTCAGCACAGGTGTAAATTTAATTTAAATATTTTAGTCATCAACATTTCAAATTTTGGCTGGGCTTGGTGGTTCATGCCTGTAATCCCAGCACTTTGGGAGGCCAAGCTGGGAGGATCACTTGAGCCCAAGAGTTTGAGACCAGCCTGGGTAACACAGCAAGACCCCATCTGTATTTTTTTTAATAAGAAAACTAATTTAAAAAGAAAAAAAACAGCCAAATTTTGCTGGCTTTAAACTCTATAACCAAAGTGAATTAGTTTCGTTTGGCTGCTGTAACAAATCACCACAAAACTTGACAGCTTAAAACACAGACATACATTTGGGCCGGGCGCGGTGGCTCACGCCTGTAATCCCAGCACTTTGGGAGGCCGAGGCGGGTGGATCATGAGGTCAGGAGATCGAGACCATCCTGGCTAACAAGGTGAAACCCCGTCTCTACTAAAAATACAAAAAATTAGCCGGGCGCGGTGGCGGGCGCCTGTAGTCCCAGCTACTCGGGAGGCTGAGGCAGGAGAATGGCGTGAACCCGGGAAGCGGAGCTTGCAGTGAGCCGAGATTGCGCCACTGCAGTCCGCAGTCCGGCCCGGGCGACAGAGCGAGACTCCGTCTCAAAAAAAAAAAAAACACAGACATACATTCTTGCAGTTCTGGAGGCCAGAAGTCCAAATTAGTTTCACTAGGCTAAAATCAAGGTGTTGACAGGGCTTTGCTCTTTCCAGTGGTTCTCAGGAAAACCCAGCTCGTTTCCTTGCCTTTTCTGGCTTCTAGAGCTGCATTTCTTGGACGCCTTGGCTCATGTCCCCTTCCTCCATTTTCAAGGCCAGCATCTTCAAATCTCCCTCTGCCTCCTTCTTCCAAGGACACTGGTGATTGCATTCAGTGGCCATCCAGATAGTCCAGGGCAGTTTTCCCACCCGAGATCCTTATCAGTCCACAAAATCCCTGTTACCATGTAAAGTAACATTCCCAGGTTCCTGGAACATGGACCTGGATACCTTTGGGGCTGTTATTTTACCCACCAACTGAGCTACTTGTCCATCCAGTGCTTGCCTTCTGAGAAATGCTTTTATCAATGGTTTCTGAAAGACTCTTTCAAAGTTCTTGCTAAAGAAATATAGCCTCTGGTTTTAACCATTATTCAAGCTTAAATAAAAGGATTTATAAGAGTTTGTGCTGTACAAAAAATTCCAAGATTTAGCAACATCTTCTTGGAACATTAAACTATATTTAGTAATACCTTAGAGATAGTTATGTTAAGCTTCACTTTGTTTATTTATTTATTTATTTTTGAGACGGAGTTTCACTCTTGTTGCCCAGGCTGGAGTGCAATGGCGAGATCTCGGCTCACGGCAACCTCTGCCTCCCGGGTTCAAGCGATTCTCCTGCCTCAGCCTCCCAAGTAACTGGGATTACAGGCACTTGCCACCACACCCGGCTAATTTTTGTATTTTTAGTAGAGATGGGGTTTCACCATGTTGGCCAGGCTAGTCTCGAACTCCTGACCTCAGGTGATCTATCCACTTGGGCCTCCCAAAGTGCTGGGATTACCAGTGTAAGCCACCGCACCTGGCCTAAACTTCACTTTAAGAGGCTTAATCAGGCTGGGCATGGTGGCTCACACCTGTAATCCCAGAGTTTGGGAGGCCAAGGCTGATGAATCACCTGAGGTCAGGAGTTCGAGACCAACCTGACCAACATGGTGAAACCCCATCTCTACTAAAAATACAAAAATTAGCTTGGTGTGGTGGCACGCATCTGTAGTCCCAGTTACATGGGAGGCTGAGGCAGGAGAATTGTTTGAAACCGGGAAGCAGAGGTTGCAGTGAGCCAAGATCGTGCCACTGCACTCCAGCCTGGATGATAGAGCAAGACTCCATCATAAAAATAAATAAATAAATAAGAGACTTAATCAGGAACTTTCCGAATGTACCATGCTACTAATTTCTCTCAAGAGCCATTTATTTATTTATTTTTTAGATAGAGTCTTTTTCTGTGGCCCAGGCTGGAGTGCACTGGTGCTATCTAGGCTCACGGCAACCTCTGCCTCCTGGTTCAAGCAATTCTGCCTTAGCTTCCCAAGTAGCTGGGATTACAGGTGCGTGCCACCACGCCCAGCTAATTTTTGTATTTTTAGTAGAGACGGGGGTTTCACCATGTTGGCCACGCTGGTCTGGAACTCCTGACCTCAAGTAATCTGCCCTCCTGGCCTCCCAAAGTGGTGGGATTATAGGCTTGAGCCACCGCGCCTGACCAAGAACAATTTGTGAGTTTAGGAGAAAACCCAGGTATTATTCATTCGGCAGTATATATGTAATTGTAGGTTCAAATATGTTTCAGCTGTCACAGGACAGAATCTGTTAGGGAGAGCTATTCAAAAGTAACTTGAGTAAGGCGGGACTTGGTAAGTGCAAAAATGAAGGGTCACGAAAGTTAAGCAAAGTAGTGGCTTGGTCCTTGAGAGATTTTGTAGGCAGAGAGATTGGGGCTTGGGTGGGGTGGAGAGGATTCCAGGAAGAGGAAGCAGCACAGGAAGAAGGGGGTGGAGACAGGAAAAAGAAAAACCATCAAAACCAAAACAGGAAACCAGGATACCCACGGACATAACTGCTATAGAACAAGCAAGTAGGCTGAGCACGGTGGCTCACACCTGTAATCCCTACATTTTGGGAGGACGAGGCGGACAGGTTACTTGAGCTCAGGAGCTCGAGACCAGCCTGCACAACGTGGCAAGACCTTGTCTGTACTAAAAATAAAATTAGCCGGCCATGGTGATGCATGTCTGTAATCCCAGCTATTCAGGATGCTGAGGCAGAAGGATCACTTGAGCCCAGGAGTTGGAGGCTTCAGTGAGCCATGTTCACAACACTCTACTCCAGCCTGGGTGACAGAGCAAGAGCCTGTCTAAAAAAGAAAAAACAAACAAACAAAAAAGATGAAGCAAGTAGGCATTCCTCTTTCCTCAGGTTAGGGTTCTTTTCAAAGGTGCTTTTCAGGTGGGCAAATATCAAAGATGAGCCAGCCTCCCCCTAAGCCTGTGGACTCCACTGTGAGGGGAGTCGGCTGTTCCTTATGACACCATTGTGCAGTTGTGCCTCACACAGGACAATGAACATAAGAATCAGTCAAGTAATAGAGGCTGCTTTGGTTGGCGTGTGCCTCAAGGAACTGGCAGAGGCTAACATTAGTTGGTCTCACCTCAAAAGCAGGCATTTCCAGCCTCGGCCCTACTGACAGTTGGGGAGGGCACAGGAGGAAGGGGCATCTTGTGCATGATGGGACTTAGCAGCCTCCTGGCCTGCACCCACTGGATGCCTGGAGTACCATCCACCCTCTGTTGTGACAATCAAAAATGTCTCCAGGCCGGGTGCGGTGGCTCACGCCTGTAATCCTAGCATTTTGGGAGGCTGAGGCGGGTTGATTGTCTGAGCTCAGGAGTTTGAGACCACCCTGGGGGCAACATGGTGAAACCCCGTCTCTAATAAAATATAAAAAATCAGCTGGGCTTGGTGATGCACATGTGTAATCCCAGCTACTCAGGAGGCTGAGGCCGGAGAATAGCTTGAACCTGGGAGGTGGAGGTTGCAATGAGCTGAGATGGCGCTACTGCACTCCAGCCTAGGCCACAGAACGAGACTCTATCTCAAAAAAAAAAAAGCGTCTCCAGAAATTGCCAAATGCCTTTTGGCTGGGGAGGAGGGTGGCGGGTGGGGGAAAGAGGAGGAGCATTATCCCCCACTGAGAACTCTGCCTCCAGAGGCTGTATCTAGCTCGGGATTCCTTGCCTGAGTTATGAGGAGTTACCCCCATGAAATAGGTGAAAACCTTGATTAGTAGGAATGTGGCAAAACGAGGCACCTATTCTTCACCCACACCCTTTAGGTCTTTAGGTTCACATTTGTCTAACTCACTGCTGCCTTCAAATCATTAACAAAGCCACAAAATGGAGCTGAAGTTGTCTTACAAAGCAAGGAAACAAAGTCAAATTTGAGGGGTGTAAAGAGAGAGAAAGGATGAGATATGAAGTTTATTTTAGTCTATCAGATATCGACTTATCCATATTTATCTGTAGCAATGTTTCTAACTACCCATGGCTTTAAAATTGTTATCTGTGGCCCTGGTGGATGCTTTGATGTTCATTTGCCTGGATATGCTGTCTCTTTTCATCATGCTAAAGTCATTAGGGCCCCAAATGATGTGGCTTCAGCATCGCCACCTCTGGCAAAGATACCAAGGGGCGTGAGTTTCTCAGAAGGTCTTGCCTGGCACCCCTCCCACCACGAGCCAGAGGCTGGGTGTGGGTTCCCTCTTGACTTATTGCCCCAACAGTTTCCCACTCTTGCCCCCAACATAAGCAGCAATATCAGTGTCCCAGAAAGGAACAATTAAGGGGAACAATACCAGGCAGGAAAAGTGGGGGTGGGGGGATGGGAGCCAGGCCAGCACCTGCCATTCCCAGTGTGGAAGTAGGTGACCTGTGTGTTCCTGGGCTGCCTCAGGGTTGAATATGCAGAGACGCTTAAAGTCAAGCACCTCAAAAAGCAGCAAGACCAAACCCACCTGTCAAAAGTGGGAAGACGGCCAGGCACAGTGGCTCACGCCTATAATCCCAGCACTTTGGGAGGCCAAGCTGGGAGGATCACTTGAGGCCAGGAGTTCCAGACCAGCATGGGCAATGGAACAAGACCACATCTCTGTAAGAAATAATTAAAAAGATTAGCCAGGTGTGGTGGTGTGTGCCTGTAGTCCCAGCTACTCAGGAGGCTGAGGCGGGAGGATCCCTTGAGCTTGGGAGGTTGAGGCTACAGTGAGCCATGATTATGCCACTGCACTCCAGCCTGGGTGACAGAGTGAGACCCTGTCTCAAAAAATTTAGGAAAAAAAAAGAAAGAATAATACATGGAACTCCAGCTGATTGTGAAGTGGCAGGGAGGAGGGGAAGAATCACACATGTTGAAGGAGCTTCTGCGAGTGCCAGCCACTGCGCCAAGCCCTTCTCACACAATGCTCCCCAACCCTCCAACAGGGAGTCTCATTATCCCCTTTGCCAACAGAGAAACTAAGGCAGGCAGAGAAGGTTAAGTCAGAGAACCAAGTGGAGGAACCAGGACATAAGCCCGGGATGTTGGTCTTCAGAGCTGTCCTTCCTAATCACCGTTGTTTTGGGGGGTTATTTAAGAAATTGGATCGCATAGCTGTTTTTTGTGTATTGATGAGCTTTCAGAGATGTCTGTTATTTATTAGCTATTTTTCAGCTCTGTCGAGAGGAGATCCACTTCCTGTAAAGGACAGAATGGAAATGCCCACGGCAACCCAGAAAACAGACACAGGCCTGACTCAAGGACTCCTGAAAGTTTTGCACAAGCAGGTATGGGGGGGCGTAGTCTCTGGCCTCAGGCAGCTGGCCTGTGCTTTCCTTACCGTTCACTGTGCATTGATGACAGAGCGGGGCACACCCCAGCAATGTATTTCAAACCTCCTGAGGTCCCTGAAATCCTGCTTTCCCTGCCACGCATCGTCAAGGTTGATTCAAGGAAGAAATATGTTGTGTCTGGGAGGTCTTTTTCTAGCTTCAACAGCCCCAAGTCACTATCCAGGGGTAGAGTTTAGAAAAGTGAAATATAATTTCTTTTAAATACAAAATTTACATGACACTAGATTCTGCTGGGCAAAACATACAAAATTTCAGAACCTGGGGGGTTTCCAGTCCGTTCTCCAGGTGTGTGTTTGTGAAAGCTGTGCGCAGGCCTGAGTAAGCCTCTGCCTTCTCTGTCTGGAAGGCGGGGCTGGCCTTTGGCCCCCAAGGTGGGCAGCAGCCTCTGGTGTCCAGTGCTGTGGAGAGCCTGGGCCCCCTTCCTGCCTTGCGCTTCTTTGCCCCACACGCCATCCTGTTTTTACAGACGTGAGTTACTAGAAAGTGGGTCACGGAGCAAGGCTAGGCCTTCCTCATGACTCGGTTCTTTTGCTAAAAGAGACACCAGTGGCATAACCTTGATTTTCAAACTGACTTATCCCCATTCTACACTGTGAAGTACTGTGCTTCTGCGCAGGATACAGTGAATTCTGAAACTAGGACTACCTTAAGGGAAGCAAAGAACTCTTGAATGGTGTAGCTTGCGAAAAGACATGCTGAAATTGCTCAAAGCCTTTTCATCCAGGATACTGCTAGCAGATTGCAGAAGTTTTCAGTTTTGATAGATTGTTTAAAATAGTAGAAGGAAGGCCGGGCATGGTGGCTCATGCCTTTAATCCCAGTACTTTGGGAGGCTGAGGCGGGCAGATCACTTGAGGTCAGGAGTTCAAGACCAGCCTGGCCAACAAGGTGAAACTTTGTCTCCAATAAAAATACAAAACTTAACAGGGCGTGGTGGTGCGCACCTGTAATCCCAGCTACTTGGGAGGCTGAGGCGGAAGAATTACTTAACCCTGGGAGGTGGAGGTTGCAGTGAGCCGAAATCATGCCGCTGCACTCCAGCCTGGGCAACAGAATGAGACTGTCCAAAAATTAACAAATAAATATATAATAGAAGAAATACATTTATTTTCAGTTTTAAGATCTCTCCTATCTAACTGTTAATGTGATTAGGGGCTGGATTTTTAAAATGTTTTTTACTGAGCTTTATTTTTTATTGTGAAGCATTTCAGACAGATAGTGGAGTATCGTATACTCAATATCAGTATGCCTGTTTCATTAAGTCATAACATGATGCCGTATTCGCTTCACCGTCCTTTTTTCATTTAATAAATAAAAGGTTGCCGCTCGCTGCCTTCCCTGCCTTCCCTCCCCAGGGCTGACAGAACCCCCTGTCATGCATTTGGAGTTCATCTGTCCCCTGCATGGGGCGGGTTACTTGGTGTGTGTTGAATATTCACAGCATTCATTGTTTCCCAGGTTTTAAAACATACATAAATTGTCATGCTGTGTTTTCCAAACAGTGTCACCACAAGCGGTATGTGGAATTAACAGATCTTGAGCAGAAGTGGAAGAACTTGTGCCTGCCGAAGGAAAAATTCAAAGCGCTCTTACAACTGGATCCTTGTGAAAACAAAATCAAGTGGATAAACTTTTTAGCGCTTGGATGCAGCATGCTTGGTGGGGTATGTACCTATAAACAGCATATTAATAATTCTGTGTCATCATGGTCCCAGCTTAAAAATAATTTAGGTTTCAGTAACTAAAGGAAACACTTTAGTAACTTTGTCTTAGAAAAGCATTTCCCCCTGCTCCAGGCCTATTATATTAATATTTTCAGGTGTACAGTTATTTTAATTTACAGAAATTATTTATGAATGCCTCAATTTAAAAGTTAATAGTAGATGAAAGATATGGATACTATTAAAATATATTTAGGTTTTAGAAGAAAATGCATCAATGACTTTTTAAAACTACAAATCATTTTGTAAACTGATAACTGTTTTGCTCATCTGTGGAAAGAGGCATACAATTATTTTCTACTTTAGTAGAAATCTATTATTATTATTTATTTATTCATTTTTTTTGAGATGGAGTTTTGCTGTTGTTGCCCAGGCTGGAGTACAATGGCGCAATCTCGGCTCACCGCAACCTCCGCCTCCCAGGTTCAAGCGATTCCCTGTCTCAGCCTCCCGAGTTGCTGATAGCTGGGATTACAGGCATGTGCCACCATGCCTGGCTAATTTTGTATTTTTAGTAGAGACGGGGTTTCTCCATGTTGGTCAGGCTGGTCTCGAACTCCTGACCTCAGGTGATCTGCCCACCTTGGCCTCCCAAAGTGTTGGGATTACAGGCGTGAGCCACCGCGCCGGCCTTAGAAATCTATTATTAATAACTAATAGATACAGTGAGATTTTGCTGATGTTTGAGTATAAGCCAAGCAACTTAGGAATAAGACATGATCCTCCAGGTGACGAGGCGAGCCTGGGAGGTCGGGGCGAGAAGGGAGAGGTTGGAGCTGGGATGATGTTGGCAGGGCTTCCTTTGCAAACCCAGAGTCAGTCTTCTCAGCTAAAGTCTTGCTGTGAGACATGGTGGTTGGGTGAAGGAAGAGTAACCAGGCATCTGCCATGTGAAGCTTATGAAGAAAGGAGGCAGAGAAAGGAGAACCAGCTCCCTTTACTACATAGATGAACAATTTGATTTTCCCCCCTCCCTTCAGTCTGTGGCCCCAGTGTGTATAACTGGTCCTTGCTTCACAGCCCTCACTCAGCTTTGCTCCATGCACAGAGCTCTTTCATTCCATTTTCATTAAAACAAATTACTTGAAATGGGTGGTGGTAAACACCCGCAAGGCTACCCAATGTGGCCACTAATGCACCAACAGTCACTTCCAACCACCTGTGGCCTCCTCCCATGTCCTGTCCCCCTGCCTGGTGGCCTGAAGCAATGACATTTCTGAAGTTCCTGCTTCTCGCTTCCTGACCTCTGAAACACATGCTTCTATGTGTCCCGCAAGAGGTACACTGTGGAATTTTAGTTGGTTTTGACTTGATGAAAAGACATTTGTGTTGTCAGTAATTTTCTGAAATTTTCATCCTAAATTATATGACTAGATGTATTCATCTGTACATCACAGGCCACGTTGTTCATTCCCTTCCTTCGCCATGTCACATCTGAGTGTGGCGCAGTTCACCAGCTCTGCAGATGGCCCCAGTGGGAAGCTCCGTGCCCTCAGGGAGTCGGGTGTGGTGTGGCTGTAGAATGAGCAAGAGTTTTGTTGTGTAACTGCTCAAAGGCAATGGAGGTGCTTCCTGTCAGCCCCGGGCTAATTGTGCCAAGGCCTGGATGTTGGCAGGCATGGTACCCTCCAGTAGCAAGGACAGGTGCAGATGGCACCAGGGGAGTGTCTCAGGGGTATTATCAAGATAGACAAAGGCAAATACTTTTAATTATTGGAGACATTTTTATGTCACTTTGTTAATCTGGAACTCTGTGAAATCTATCTATCTATCTATCTATCTGTCTATCTATCTAATCTATCTATCTATATCTGTATCTAGCTATATGTTTTTTGAGATGGAGTCTCACTGTGTCACCCAGGTTGGAGTGCAATGGTGTGATCTTGACTCACTGCAACCTCCCAGGTTCAAGTGATTCTCCTGCCTCAGCCTCCCGAGTAGCTGGGATTACAGGCATGCACCACCATGCTCAGCTAATTCTTGTACTTTTAGTAGAGATGGGGTTTCACCATGTTGGCCTGGCTGGTCTTGAACTCCTGACCTCAGGTGATCTACCAGCCTCAGGTTCTGGGATTATAGATTACAGGTGTAAGCCACTGCACCCAGCCTAAAGTATATGTGTGTGTGTGTGTGTGTGTGTGTGTCTGTGTGTGTGTGTGTGTGTGTGTGTATTTTTTTTTTTTTGAGACAGAGTCTTGCTCTGTCACCCAGGCTGTAGTGCAGTGGTGCGATCTGGGCTCACTGCCACCTCCGCCTCCCAGGTTCAAGTGATTTCCATGCCTCAGCCTCCCAAGTAGCTGGGATTACAGGCATGGACCTCCACGCCTGGCTAATTTTTTGTATTTTTAGTAGAGACAGCGTTTCACCATGTTGGCCTGGCTGATCTTGTACTCCTGACCTCAGGTGATCTGCCCGCCTCGGCCTCCCAAAATGCTGGGATTACAGGTGTGAGCCACTGCACCCGGCCCTGAAATCGATATGTTAACAATATAAAATTGTATGCAATGTTTGAATTAATGTTGGTGGTTTCTGCCTCTAAGCTTAGTTGTAAAATTTTGATTTTAAAATGATGAGAAAGTAGAATAATTCATGTTTTTGGATCCATCTTTATAGTTTTCACCTTCCTAATTGTGAAAATTAAGCACTAGATTTAAAACACAATTGAATCTGATTTGAAAAATAAGGCCTCTTGTCCATGTAGAGTGTGTGACACTAGATGGAGACATTGTGTTAAGGATAGAGCTTGGCCGTCTAAGCTGACTCCTGGGGAAGAGACATCACAAACAGCACACATTCTTTTGGGTTCTTCCTATCATAGAGAATAAATTGACACCAGGAATCATGCTGTGCATCACTGCGGGTTCCTGCCTGTCTCCTGACTTGAGCCACCTTTGCCAGCAGGACTCCAGATTTGCCCTTGACTCCTTCCATAGGTGCTGGAGGCCTCTCCTGGTTGTAGAAAGCCACAGCCACCCTCTGCTCTGGTCCAGTGCGGCTGTAGACTCAGGGTCAGGTTCAAGTGTGGAAGCTGACCTCTCCTCCCTCAGAGGAGCGTGTGCTCGTCTGGGGTCCATGTCTGCTGCCAGGGATGCCTGCTCTGCCCTGGCTCCCGCGGCCCACAGAGTGCTGAGCACGAGTTCAAACACCTGTCTCGGGGTGCGCTGGGTAGACAGGAGGTGCTCGGACCCTCCAGGCCTTGGTGTGGACAGTTGTGTTGTTGACCTTGTTGGCCCTGGGTGGCTTGGAGGTGTGCTAAGAACACAAAGCTGTGAATTCAAGGAGGGGTTTCTTCATGTCGTTCAGCGTCATAAGCGTTCATTTTTATGCTTTAAAAAAATACCTTCAAAAAGGAGGAAATGAAGTGCGATGAGAATAATTTGTAGTGGATTACCACCTGCAGAAGTTTATTTCACATAGGATGCTGTGTAATTGGTGGCTAGCCGCTGCCTGCGTGAGCGGGATAGATGTCGTTCCTGCTCCCTGCATCTATGGCGGGGGCGTGGCTTGTGGCAGGTGTACTCTCTGTGCTGTTTACATTTATTTATCTTAGAAATCACTCTAGTCAAATTCATCGAGTTGAAGATCTCTAAAAAGACTGGAAACCTCTGCTTCAATTTCTGAATCATACATACCATTCATTCCACAAATGTTTACTGTGCATTATTTTGTGCCAGGCCCTGTTCTAAGTGCTGCAGGTTCTGGAGTGAACAAAACGGGCAAACATCACCAGACTCTTGGAGCTGATGTTCTGTTATATCCTTGAAGCCCTGAACACTGCTCTACTTATTACATCAAAAGCTATCAATTCAGGTTAAGGGGCACTGTGAGCTGCCCCAGGCAGGTGAACAAGGACATTAAATTGCCATCTGGATGTTAAGAGATTCCTGTCCTCTTTCTCAATGTTTTGATGTGCTTGCATGGTGAAATGACCATATTTGTATGTTGTGGCTTTTATTTAATTTTTTTTTTTTTAAGAGACAGGGTCTCGTTCTGTCACCCAGGCTGGAGTGCAGTGGCATGGTCATAGCTCACTGCAGCCTCAACCTCCTGTACTCAAGCGATCTTCCCACCTCAGCCTCCCAAGTCGGGATTACAGGCATGCAGCACCACATCCAGCTAATTTTTTATTTTTTGTAGAGACAAGTATCTTGCCATGTTGCCCAGGGTGATCTCAGTTCCTGAGCTCAAGCAGTCCTCTTGTCTTGGCCTCCCAAAGTTCTGAGATTTATAGGTACAAGCCACAGAGCCTGGCTGACTTTTATTTTTCCATTTCTACAATGCCATTAATGATCCTGAGCATTAAAGCTGTGGATCAAAATGTTTTGTTTTGTCTTTTAAGCATGGAGATCTTTTTTTTTTTAAGATAAGAAAATTGTGAACCAAGTCTTTCATCCCCATACTGACACTGACAGAGTCAGTCTGTCATGATCAAAACAAATCACATTGACTTTAGTCAGGCTTTGAAACGCATTTGAACTTTCTTAGTCACAGAAGCATCATTCTTCGTTTACAACCACAGATGCACACGTGTCTAACGCAGTTTTCCATCTGAACACGGTGCACGCAGTGGGCATGATTTCTAGGGTTTAACCGGGTGCGGGAGTGCACAGAGCCCTGCGTGTGTATTCTCTGGAATCCTCCCAACAGCCCTTTGAGGAAGGCACCATCAGGATTGCAGGCTGGTGCCCCAAGGCAGAGAGAAGCTGAGTCACAACAGGTGACTTGGAAGTGGGGAGAGGGGAGGATTCCTCCTAGTGGCTCCATAGCCCAAGGAATGTGCAGCCCACAGGTTAGGACCACCTTATTCAAGTTTACGCCTGAGATTTCCTGTCTCGGAGAAGAACAACTCCTCGGGACGATCATCAAAATCATTTTGTGTCCTGAAGTGATTCATCCCCTGGAAGGCATTCAACCTCGGCCTCCTCCTGACAACACACACTTTGGAGCTCTCAGAACATCGCCCCATCCAGCTGTGCTACAGCATGTCAGATTCAGTGACTGACCTATGGTGGTTCCCTGTTGGTCCGATGTGACAGCCACCTGCGCTGCGGCAGTGACAGAGGCTGCATCCTGGCTTACTCCTCGCTGCTGTTTCCTTCCAGGTTTCCGCAGCTAGGGCTCGAAAGCCCATTCGGAAGTGACCAAGAAAGGCCAACAGAATTCCTCATAGCCCCTGCAGCCCGTGAGAAGAAGACACAGCCACGCCCCCACCCCCCAGTGGGAGCCTGAGGCCACAGGCGTGTTTAGGAAGCTGTCCCTGAAGACGAAGGAGCCGCTCAGGCTCCTGACTCCCCTGGCCCCAGCTCCAGTTCCCCTGATTGCTCATGTCCCTCCCTCTGTGGGAAAGAGGCAGGGGCCACGCTCCCCTGACCAACCTTGCCCTGTCCGCTGGAGATTCCCATGGGCCGCTGATGCGGGCCGCTGTGGCCTCCCCATCCCTGTCCTGCACAGGATATCACACCCCAGCCACGGGGTGAACTGCTCCTTCCCATTCAGGGCCTCCTACCCTTACCTGCTGTCAGCCCCAGAAATGGTTTTAAATTAGGAAACTCTAGAGGATAATAGAATTCGATGAAAAGGCCCTTAAGCTCTTGAAAACGCAGTGCTGGGTTAGAGGCTTTTAAAAACCAGTGCTCGGTCAGAGGCTTTTAAAAACCAGTGCTGGGTCAGAGGCTTTTAAAAACCAGTGCTGGGTCAGAGGCACAGCTTCACTGGAAGTCCAGTCTCTACCCCCAGCACAGGCAGCTGTGCCTCAGAGGGGGACCTCCTTTGTTCTGATTCTGTGTAAAACGGGCCTATTTTCATTTCCATGCCAGCTGAGAGGTGCCCTTGGGGAGGTGTGAGGTGACTGTTGAGGGGCCTCATATCATCATGAGAGCAGCTATAATTTGGAAACTGAAAAACCCCACAGAGTTGGCATGCCGAAAATGCCCGGAAAATAGTGGGTGCCCTCGTGCCTGTGCTCTTCACTCATCTCCACTTGAATTTCAGATTATGGATCAGGTGTAAATACTTGGTTAAAAACTAAGTGTTTGGCTGGGTGCAGTGGCTCACGCCTGTAATCCCAGCACTTTGGGAGGCCAAGGCGGGTGGATCACCTGGGGTCAGGAGTTCGGGACCAGCCTGACCAACATAGTGAAACCCCCGTCTCTACTAAAAATACAAAAATTAGCTGGGCATGGTGGTGTGCACCTGTAACCCCAGCTATTCAGGAGGCTGAGGCAGGAGAATCGCTTGAACCCAGGAGGCGGAGGTTGCAGTCAGCCAAGATCGCATCACTGAACTCCAGCCTGGGTGACAAGAGTAAAACTCCATCTCAAAAAAACAAACAAAAAAATAAGTGCAGCTTGCCAGTCACCTCTGCCCAGCACATATCGCACATGGGAGAATAAATCAGCCACACAGCAGACGGCAGCATGGGGCAGCCATGCCAAGGAGAGGGTCTTTTGGCTGTTGTGCAAGTGACTGTGCCACCCACAGGCCTTTGGAATTGAGAAACAAATGTTAAGAAATGTGACTCGCAGCACAAGATGGAGCAAGTTGCCTTATGAATCCTTCTGGATATAAAAATTGCTGCAGATCTTATTGTCAGAAACGTTGACATGGGTAGTGTCATCACGCCTTTGCAGAGGAAGTGATGCTCGAGTGTTTTGATGTATTTTTCCTTAAATACCGCTTCCTCTGAAGCCTTGGAACGGCGCGTTACACAGATCTCATCTGCCTGCTCCATCCACGCCAACTCCTTCCTTTCCGACTCATCCTTCCTGAGGCCCCGCAGTCCTGCACACGGTGGTGACGGACTTCCATTTGTGTCCAGTGTAAAAGCAAATCCCATCATAACAACATGTCTTTGAGAGTTTCAAGCAAGGAACATGGATTGTGAAATACACGACTCGGCTTTGAGCAAGTCCTGTCTTGGGGACAGTCTTTTAGAGGAGCCACGTGTGCAGTGGTCCTGGAGCGGTGCCTGCAGCTCCACGGAGCAGGTTCTGCACTTTTCCTAGAGAGAGCATCATGTTGCCCTGGGAGCTGCACTCACCCCCTAACCGTGCCGTCCACCTCGGCAGCATCAGGTGCAGCCGCCACCAGCACTGCTGGCATGGGAAGGGGGTGGAAATGGGAGGAACTGCCCCATCAGGCCGCTGGGGACAGGGAGATCAGTTCTGTTCAGGGCTCCATCTCCTGCAGCCAAATATCTGGGTCCTCAGATAGGCGACGTCTGTGCCCCAGGTCTTGTTCCCAGAGCCCGCCTGGCGGCTGCTAGACATAATAAAATGGAGTAGTCACTGGGGTGAGCTCAGAGGCCCACCGGCTGTGCTCCAGTCCTGGCTGGGTGACTTGGGTGATTGCTGAGCCCCTCTGGGCCTGGCCAAGGTGTCTGTCTGCTCCTCGCAGTAACCACACGAGGTGACTGTCATTATTCTCACTCCCAGAGGAGGACAGCGGGCTGTGTTATCAGCCTTGCTCTGACCATGGTGTTCTGTAGGGAAGGCTCATTTTGTCCCATAGCCTGGAGCGGCCTCAGAGCCCTTTCCTGTCCCTGAGGATGTGGGGTTTATTCCTGACACAGCCACTGTGGAGCTGGACAGTCCAGGCCTGGCTTGCAGCGGCCCTTTCCCTGCATCTGCAGCTCCCCCGTGAGGATGGTGCTCCACCCTGGCCCTCCTGTGTTTGTTTCTTGCGCTTCCCTTGGAAGCACAGCCCTAGATTCATCCCTGCAGGCGATTCCCCAGGGATGTCAGCCACCTCCGTGGCTGCTGCAAGCAGGAGCTCTCAGTCTGCCCTCACACCCCACCCCAGCAGCCTGCAGGGCACCACCCTGCTCGGGAAGGTCCTGGTTCTCAGTCATGTTTGCCAAGCGATGTGGTGTAAATACTCCCACTGCTGCTGAGTTCAGGCTGCCAAGGTGAAGTCCTCCAGCTCACACAACTGCTGGAAACTTAGCAGTAGGCTCATGAGCCGGCTCCAGCACAGCACCGGGCTCCGAGGAAATCCTGTGCCACCCGCCAGTCCTTGTCCTTCCTGTCCTGTCCTGTGTGCTTTGACACAGGAGATTGCTCTCTCCACCAGGAAATGCTTTTCTTCACTCACCAGCAGCCTCCCTCCTGGCTGCGCCTTTCAAGTCCCCATGCTGGTCCCTCATCTCCCCAGCTCTTGGTGGTATAGCGTGTCCATGCACTGTCCTCCCACCTCGGCAACCTCGTGGGGCTCGGCTGTATACACCGTCCTGCTCGTATACACTACCCCACCCATGTATACCATCCCCCCGTGTATACCATCCCCCTCATGTACACCATCCCGCTGTGTACACCATCCCGCTGTGTACACCATCCCCCTCATGTACACCATCCCCCTCATGTACACCATCCCCCGTGTACACCATCCCCCCCATGTACACCATCCCCCCTATGTACACCATCCCCCTCATGTACACCGTCCCCACCATGTACATCATCCCCCCATGTACACCGTCCCCACCATGTACACCATCCCCCCATGTACACCGTCCCCACCATGTACACCATCCCCCCGTGTACATCATCCCCTTGTATACACCACCCCACCCGTGTATACCGTCCCCCCATGTACACCATCCCCTCGTGTACACCATTCCCCCGTGTACACCATCCCGCCCATGTACACCATCTCACCCATGTACACCATCCCCCCGTATGCCCCATCCCCCCGTGTACACCATCCCCCCGTGTACACCATCCCCTCGTGTACACCATCCGCCTGTATGCCCCATCCCCCCACCGTGTACACCATCCCGCCCGTGTACACCACCCCACCTGTATACACCACCCCGCCTGTATACCCCATCTCGCCCATGCTCCCAAGTCTCCTCCGTGAGCGCTAGGCCTACTAAGTAGCCACCTGAGTCACCAGTTCCACTGGGCGCCTGACAGACATGTCAGTGGAAGCCACCCCAAACTCAGCTTCTCTCTGGAACTTTTGCAGCTGTTCAGGCACCAAACATTGGAACCACTTTTCATGGTTCTGTCTCTGCCCACATGCAACCACCAGTGAGTTCTGGTAACTCCACCTTCAGGAGAGGCTGAGTCCGGCCCTTCCCAGGCCCCTGGCTGGATTATTCCAGCAGCCTCCTTGCCAGGTTCCCGCCTTCCACCCTCCTCACCGGGTTCCCGCCTTCCACCCTCATCACTGGGTTCCTGCCTTCCACCCTCATCACTGGGTTCTTGCCTTCCACCCTCATCACTTCTCTTCACACATCGGCAGAAGGACTCCTTAGAAACACTCTACAGTGCTCCGTCTTTGTTTAAAACCCTTTGACACCTTCCCATAGACCCCAGCCAAAGCCCAAGTCCTCCCTGGGTCTGTAAAGACCTCCGTGATCTGCCCCCACCCCATCCCGCTGACCTCATTTCCCGCATCCCTGCCTCTCCATGGCCTGCTCTAGCTACCTGGAGCTCCTGGCTGTTTCTGGAGCACACAGAAGTGCCCCTGGAATTCTCCCAGCATCCCACATGACTGGCTCCTTCCCCCTGGGTCTGTGCTTACATGCTCCCTGCTCTGACCGTCCCTGACCACCCGATTGAAAATGTCATCCTCCACCCCGGCACTGCCTGCCTGCTGCTCCAGGCACGCCCTCTTCCAGAGCACCCTAGAATCCAGGTGTTGTGGCTCTCCCACTTGACTGTGATCTCCACATGAGCAGGCGTTAGGTGTCTGTTCACTGCTACATCCTGGTGTGTAACAGGCACTTGGCAAACGTGGAGGGAATGAAGGGCTGTTGCCATGTGTGTGTGTTGGCGAGGGGGGTTACGTTTAAGCAGCCACCTGTGTGAGCTCACCTTCATCAGTAGGCAGCGTGACCATCCAGGCAGGTATGAGATAGCCACTCTGGCAAGGACGGCCTTCACAGAAGGGACTCGAGGTGGGGACTGAGGGGAGGGTCCCATAGGCCAGCTGCGGAATTAGGACACCTGCCCCCACAGCTTACCCTGGCCAGGGTGTTGAAGGCTGCAGGTCATGATGTCTTGGTGCAGAAGGAGAAAAGGAGACCTGGGCTATGTGTTCTCTTTTGAAAAGATAGTAATCTTATGTTACATGGTTCTCCCACCTTCTTGAAACAAACACACAAACAGCTCATGTTTTTTCAACAAGGATGAATTGAGCAAGTTGGAGGTGGGAGGCCATGGGCTGGCCCTGGGGAGCCCTGGTGCCCAGGCCCTGCAGTTCCAGCGCCATGCAGCCTCTGGTCTCATGAAGACGACCTTGGCCTGTTAGCTGCCCCCCACCCCCGCAGGGACTTGGCTGGGAGGGCAGGTGCTAAAAGTGTCTGCCGTGTGGAGGCAGGAAGGCTGCTCAGAGGATGGGCTTTCCCGCTGAAAGCAGAGGGTGGGCTGCTGTCTGGGATGAGCCCAGCAGTTTGGAAGAGTGTGAGGGAGATGAACGGTCTCAGGGAGGAAGTCCGGTTGCTGTTCTGGAGCTGAGACAGAGCCCAGAGCCTTCTGTGTGAACAGGGAGAGAGCCAGGACAGAGCCCGGACAGAGCCCTCCCTTCTGCTCGGTGGGCAGGCATTGGCAGACACCCAGGGCTTCCTTGTAGGCATGCAGGCCGTTGGCTGCCAGCCCTGCCCTCTGCAGGCAGCACCTCTGGCTGGTGGCAGAGTTCATTCAGCCCCTGGGCACGTCCCCGGGTGTGTCTCCGGGCCAGATGGGGCTGCACAGTTCTGCATTAGCTTAGGAAGTTGGTTTTCAAGACATTGATGCTTCCTTTTGTCTGTAACAGTCATTTCTATTTTAATAGAAAATAAGATCTGTGAATTAGAATTTTTTCCTGGTCAATTGCACCCCATTCGAACCTTTCCTTTTCATTTTTCATTATGGCAATTGTACATTCACCTAGTTCTCAGTTCAGATGGAGCACATACTTTTTGGAGAATTTCTGTCAAATATGCTAGAGTGTTGATTCTGCTGATGCCTGCTTTCAATGTGAGTGATGCCAGGAGTAACTGTTTTTCTCCCCACCTGGCTGTGGTGCTCCCAGTCCTTGAACACTGCGCTGAAGCACCTGTGCGAGATCCTCACGGACGATCCGGAGGGCGGGCCCGCTCGCATCCCCTTCAAGACGTTTTCCTACGTTTACCGCTACTTGGCCAGATTAGACTCAGATGTGTCTCCCTTGGAGACGGAATCCTACCTTGCCTCTCTAAAGGAAAATATGTAAGTATGCACCCTCTCTAGGATTCAGGTATGTTGACCATGGGAGAATTTCCTGTTTCACTTCCCCCTTGTAGGGAAAAACTCAGTTTTTCCTTTGCTCTCTCACCACAACAATAATCAACACAGAAGACTGCTATGATCAAATGTGTGGAGGTTTTTCCTCACCAAAAAGCAAGCAAGTGGTCCTGCAGCAGACACCAGCTGTGCATTCTCATTCCGTCTCTACCCTGTCTACCTGGAGATAGCCTGAGATCCCACAGGTTGAGGGTTCAGTCCCCAAGACTGCCCCCACCCTGCCCCATTTCTGATGCTAGTTGCAAGCCCCAGGTTATTTTGCCTGTGCTTCTGACCGACTGGCTCTAAATCAGGGTTCCCACAACCCCTCCTTGGGTCAATTAATTTGCTAGAATGGTTCACAGAACTCAGGGAAACACTCATGTTTACTATTTGATTACAAAGGATATTTTAAAGGCTACCAACAGTCAGAGGAAGACAGACAAAGGGCAAGGTCTGGAAGGGTCTGGAGCATGGGGGCTTTTGCCCCCATGGAGTTGAGGTACATCCCCTCCCTGCCCGCAAATGAGCTCTTGTTCACCTTCCTGTTGGTCTCGATGTGTTTAGCTTCCGGGAAACTTTCTAAGCCCTGTCCTTTTAGGGTTTCTTTTTCCTGGAAGCTTTGTGATTGATTAAATCATTGGCCAATAGTGATCACCTAAGCCATCAGCCCCTCTCCCCACCTCCAAGGTTGGGCTGGGCTGAAAGTCCCACCCCTCTAATCCTGCCTTGGGCTCTCCAGTGACCAGCCCCATCCTGAAGCTACCTGGGCCATCAGCCAATCACAAGCATAAAGAAAGAACTCACTTTGGAGATTCCACAGATTTTACTTGTATGCCAGGAGCGGGGGTTGAAGACCAAATATATATTTCACAATATCACATCCCTTGTCTGCAATAACTTTGTCCCAACGAATCCCGTGTTTGGCAGAAGGTTTAGGCACACCTGATAGTATTCAGGGTGTGTGTAAGTGGAGCCGCAGATCAAAGGCCATCAGCGAAAGCAAGCAGCACCTCAGAAGGGAGCCCGACCTCTCCCGTGGCTCCCACCCATGTGGGCTGAGGCTCAGGTTTTTTTAGACTTTAGAGGGAGAGAATGTATCTTGTCATTAAGACTCATTTATCCCAGATCTATCCTGATTCCTATGTACAGCATGTCAGGTGGTACTAAATTGTAGCATGTTAAAAAGTGAGATAGAGGCTGGGCACGGTGCCTCACGCCTGTAATCCCAGCACTTTGGGAGTCCGAGGCAGGTGGATCACTTGAGATCAGGAGTTCGAGACCAGCCTGGCCAATATGGCAAAACTCCATCTCTACTAAAAAAATAACCAGGTGTGGTGGTGGGTGCCTGTAATCCCAGCTACTCAGGAGGCTGAGGCAAGAGAATCTCTTGAGCCCTGGGGGGGCAGAGGTTACAGTGACCCGAGATTGTGCCATTCCACTTCAGCCTGAGCAACAAGATCGAGACTCCGTCTCAAATAATAACAACAATAATAATAATAATAATAATAATAACTTAAAAAGTGAGATAGAATTCATTTCTCCACAATGAAACGTAGACATGGATTACTGCTGGTGGACCTCCTGACAGTAGTGCCACGGATGCAGGATCATTTGCAGAAACTTGAGGATGTCATTGACATCAGCCACGCAATTCTCACTCTGATGAACTTGCTATATGACCCCGACACATTGCATGTTATGTTGTATTTGCACCAGGCTGCATGTGATGTAAGGCTGGTTCTGCTCTGAAGCATGACTTGGAGCTAACGTTGGAATATATTGTCCAGTGTTCTGATCACCTGTAACATTTTTAAACAAGATTAATGAATCCTCCCTTTAAAGACAAGATGCAGAGTAAAAAGGAACAAAGCTCTTGGGTCCTGCGGAAGTTCTCATTTGTTCATTCCCTAAACCATCATTGGGTGCTGACTCTGCACCCTGCACTACCTATGGGGAGGCAGAGAGAGCAGCCCAGGGCTGGTGGGGTGGGCAGAGGTGGTGGTGACAACCGCAGGGTCCGGGGAGCTGTGGTGCTGCAGAGTAAGCCTGGTTAACAGCAAGAAAGGGCCTTCTAGGTGCAAGGGCAGGAAAGGGCCCAGGTCCTCCAGGCTCCAGCCCCAAGGGAGATGGGGTCCCTGAGGTCTTCCCGGCACTTCCCCTTGGGACCACTGCCCCCCAAGTGCTGGTTATGGTTTGTCCCTGAGCCCCACACCTCTCATCTCGAATTGCCCACAGTACAGTTTATTGAGCACCTGCTCTGTGCCAGGCATTGGCGCAGGTGCCGGGGATGTAGTCAGTGAACAGGTCACGCCCTGACCCCTGGAGTTTTGCCCTGTGGAGCAGACAGACATCAGACAAGCAGATTTTAAGACAGTAGGTCATGTTCAGTGCCAAGAGGACAGTAAGCCAGGGATAGGGACCAATGGGGGCTGGTCCCAGGGCCGCCTTCTGGCACAGCACACACCCCTGCTCGCCTCAGCCTCCTGAGAAGCCCCCTGGCCTGTCATCACCACCCAGAGTCTTGTCCCCTCCTCCCACCCTTTCCAACCGGCCATGATGCCACCTAGGATGCAGGCCACAGCACCAGGAGCTGGCGCTCAAGTGATCCGCCAGCCTCCGCCTCCCTTCCTGTGCCAGTGGAGCCTGCGTTCTGTGCCCTGCCCCACCTGTCCCAGCCGTCCTCGTCTCCTTGTCCCTTCCACATCGTTTCCTCTCCTTCCTTCAAACTCACATCCCCTCTGCCCACCATGGGCTGAGCCTCTGGACTCCATGGTCCCTCTTTTTCCTCCTTCCTCTGTCATCCACTGTCACTCCAACCCTCCTGTCCTCGTGGAAGACCGCAGCTCCCAAGCCATCCCTTCTGTCCGCCTTATTCTTGACACCATCCTGGCTGGTGTCTGCAGTCACATGGACGACACAGTACTTTGTCCCCAGCTCTCCTCCTGGTGCCCACAGCCTCTGCTTCTGCACCGCCATCCGGGTCATGCTGGGCCCCTTCTCCTGCCCGATCCGCGCACCTCTTCTCTTCTTTTGTGCTCTCTGATGCGGCTACTCCGCCTGACAGAGCCACCTGGGACATGGGTGGTTCCATCTCATTCCAAATCCATGTCCCAAGCCTCCAAAGAACTGGGACCCTGTGCAGCAGCCACTTCTCCCACCACTTTCCTGAGATCACAAGTCATCAAAAAAGAAAAACCTATGCATATAGCACCCATCTTTTCACCTAGAAATAAAGCTACATTTATTATACGTTTTGGTGCACTTTGCACAAGAAAATAGAATGCTTTATTTTTGGAAGTAAGAATTACTGATGAGCAACCATAAATAGTTTTTAAAAGTAGACCTTTTAAATTATATCGCATTTTATAAAAATGTTACTAAGTATATGATGAGAAATTACCAATAAATATCTTTATCTGTTTCCAATTTAGAGACGCCAGGAAGAACGGCATGATAGGTCTTTCAGATTTCTTCTTTCCAAAGAGGAAACTTTTAGAAAGCATTGAAAACTCTGAAGATGTAGGCCATTAATACAGAGAAGAATACATTTTAATGTCAAAATAGTGCTCTTTAAAATTCTGGCACCAAATACAACTTACCCTGAATCACACACCTCTGTAGTGTGAGTGTTTCTCTAAATGGGAATTTAGTGTGACTGCTTCGTGGGGCCTGATTCATGATTGCTTTTCACTGTGTCTTTTAGGGACCTTAAGTGTAAGAAGTTGATAACAGTAAAATGATCTCTTTTAAGAAAATAATCTATTTGGAGACTGCAGAGTCAGAAGTGGGGCTGGGCAGTTTGAAAAGTGGCTTTTTGGGCCGGGCGCGTTGGCTCACGCCTGTAATCCCAGTGCTTTGAGAGGCCGAGGCGGGTGGATTACGAGGTCGGGAGATCGAGACCATTCTGGCTAACACGGTGAAACCCCGTCTCTACTAAAAATACAAAAAAATTAGCCAGGCGTGGTAGCGGGTGCTGTAGTCCCAGCTACTTGGGAGGCTGAGGCAGGAGAATGGTGTGAACCTGGGAGGCAGAGCTTGCAGTGAGCCGAGATCGCGCCACTGCACTCCAGCCTGGGCGACAGAGCGAGACTCCGTCTCAAAAAAAAACAAAAACAAAAACACAAACGAACAAACAAAAAAAGGGGCTTTTTGGTCAGGCGCAGTGGCTCACACCTGTAATCCCAGCACTTTGGGAGGCTAAGGTGGGAGGATCACTTGAGTCAGTAGTTTGAGAGCAGCCTGGCTAACATGGTGAAACCCCGTCTCTACTAGAAATAATAAAAAAATTAGCCAGGCGTGGCGGTGGGCACCTGTAATCCCAGCTACTCAGGAGGCTGAGGCAGGAGAATCTCTTGAATCTGGGAGGCGGAGGTTGTAGTGAGCCGAGATCGCGCCACTGCACTAGAGCGAGACTCCATCTAAAAATAAAAAAAAACAAAGTGGCTTTTCTTCTTCTTGACTCCAAGCTGGTGGAGGGGCTCGCCCTTTGCTCCCTGCCTACCCCTCCTAAGACTCCCTGGGAAGGGCATTGGCAGCTGAGGCTGCATCTTTTCTATGAAAGGTGGACCCCAGGGACCCTGCTGCCTGGCCTAGCGTCCGTGGCTGGGGGAAATGTACTGGACAGCAGCGTGATCCACTTGAATGGAAATAAGCATCCAAGATCCTTTATTTGCTTTCCTTTTATAAAGTTTTCGAAAAGGCCAATACCAATGAATACATTTCAGGTTAGCTTCCAGGCCAGGGCTCAGGCCCTGGAGAAAACTCGTGCGAATGCCTGTCTGGGGGGCCCAAGGAGCGAGTGTGGGCCCCTCTAAAACTTAGAGGGACAGATTACATGACGACTTTGGGGACAGCTTGCTAAGTGTCCATTTGGCAGCATCTGGGATGAGACGTGCTTTCACTGTGACTATCTTGTTGGGAGGTGATGGGGAGGGGAAATGAAGCCCCTGCCTCCTCTAACCCTGGAGGCTGCCCACGTTTACCAAGAGAATCTCACCCAATGCTGACCAGCTCAGCGTGCAACACAGCATCACTGGGCTCAAGAAAAGACATTTGAAGACGAGTTTTGTAAGCCCGAGCATAGGTGAATATCACCGTAAATAAACTCCAACGTGAAAATCTGAATGTATAAAGCATAAATCAGGAACAGCTTTTCACTCAATCAAAAAGGCATGTGGTGTTTCAGTAATAAAAAGCATGAAGTGTGGAGACGCGCGGCAGCATGGGTGTGATGAGGCCCGTCCCTGCTGGTGAACAAGTCCTGGCCTTTGTCCCTTGAAAAGGCTTTTGTCTCAAAAAGTGGGTTTTCTTGGGAATGACTTGGTCATAGAAGGAGAAATAGCATTCTGTATGAATCGGTGAGGGCTGCCAGAACGAAGCACCGGAGACCCAGTGCTTACGTAGCAGAAACACTTCCTCACTGTTTCGGAAGCAGAAGTCCAAGGTGAAGGTGTTGGCAGGGCTGGTTTCTCCGGAGGCCTCTCTCCGTGGCTTGTGGTTGCTGTCCTCCTCCTGGGTCCTCACATGGTCTTCCCTTGTGCCTCTCCGTGTCCTCGTTTCCTCTTCTTATTAGAACACTGGTAATATTGTTTTAGGGCCCATGCTAATGACCTCATGTTAACCTAATTACCTTTTAAAGATCCTGTCTCCAAATACAATCACAGTCTGAGTTGCTGGGGGTTCCGACTTCACCTTGTCAATTTTGTTGGTGGGGACTCAAGTTCCTCCGCGCCACATTACTTCTCCCAGCCCTCAGAATGGTTTTAGCCTGACTTGGCAAGTGAGGGCTCTGAAGTTCAAACAGATTTTCCCATAGAAACATGCACTGGCTCTACAGGTATAAAAAGAAATGTAAATAGAAAAAAAAAAAAACCAGAAACAAAACAAAACAAAACACAAACTGGCCTTGTCTAGTTGACACAAAACCAAAAAGTATGTGAGACAGATCTCAATCAACTTCGAAGTTTATTTTGCCAAGGTTAAGGACGTGCCTGGAAGAACAAAACCACGGGATCACAGAGGCAGTCTGTGGTCTGTGCCTTTCTCCAAGGGTGATTTCCAGGGCTTCACTGTTGAAAGGGGAGAAGCGGTCTGGAGGCGGGAGGGGAGGATGTGGTCATTACTGAATCCACAGGCTGCAAGGGAAAAGTTGCAGACAGGGAATCGTCAGTTATGTATCTTATGGTCTCGTGCTCAGTAAATCTGCGCTTCACCCAAGATAAGGTGAACCCAGAGCTGCTACCTGAGGAGATTTTAACTTTTTCTCTGTAGCTCTGTGCTGAGGAGCAAAAGGAAAGGCAGCTTCCTGCATGACTCAGCTTGCAGCTTCATTTGTTTTCCTTCTGGCAGAGTGAACTGGGGTCCCAAGTTTCTTTTTTCCTTTCATGACACCGTCTGAACACCTGTGTCGTCTCAGAGTAGTGACCAAAATGCCAAGGCCTCATTCGGAGGATAAGCACTCATCTGCCCAGCCAGACCCAAGGTTTTCAGAACACTCCTTAGCGTGGACTCTGGGTCTGGAGCAGAGTGGAGGTGGGCACCCAGGTCCCGTCCCCTGAGTGCTGGGCCACTGGCCGGCTCAGCATGAGACTCAGACGCACAGCCCTTAGATCACCCACACATCGGAGTCTCCTGCTTAACGCTCTGTCCCTGTCCCTCCCCCAGCACAGTTGGGGGTCTTCGTCTGGTTCCTGGTCACTCTCGGCTCAGCTCCAGCCCCCAGGGGTTGTCCCTGCCTCACGGTTGACTGTCACCATTGGGGCTCCAAGTGCCCAGAGGCCGAGCTCCATCATGGGTGGAAGATGAGCTAATTTTGTAATTAACAAAACATAAAGGGGGATCACTCTCCATGCCATTTAGTGGGGGAGCTTTAAATATCTTGCTCTAACACCTGATTAATGTGCCATGCTTCTGTGAGCAAAAAGTGGATTGTTTGTGCCTCATAAACCGGATTCCTAATCCCAGAATACTCAGGCAGAGGGCTTCCTCTCATCAAGGAAAACACGTTCCCTATTCTGTTGATTTTGACTCTTCTTGTTACAAGGCTGAATCATCTATGTTCCCCTTCATAGCCTGCAGTTATTTCTTGTTAAAATAGCCATAGGTAGTTGGGCTTTCAGTCAGATTGTTGCTTGTCTTTAGGGGGTAACTCAAATGGTTTATTTAATAACTACAAACTTTATTGCAAATATCATTAACTGGTCAAGATGTTGAATAAAATAAACTGTTCAGGTGGCTGGTGTGTTTGAAGAAAGTAGCTCTGGGAGGAGAACAGCAGAAACTCCCTTGCTGCAATGAACATGGGAGGAGGTGCCTGAGGACCCTAACGGGATTGATAGGGGCTCCAGTACAATAATGGGAGATTTGCTATCACGTGGAGAGGAGGCCACATCTGGATTTAGCACCTCAAGAGTCAAAGACAATTTTTCCAATTGAAGTCACTTTAAAAATAAACTTTGGGCTGGGCGCAATGGCTCACGCCTCTAATCCCAGCACTTTGGGAGGCCAAGGTGGGTGGATTACGAGGTCAGGAGATCGAGACCATCCTGGCTAACACGGTGAAACCCCGTCTCTACTAAAAATACAAAAAATTAGCCGGGCGTGGTGGCAGGCGCCTGTAGTCCCAGCTACTTGGGAGGCTGAGGCAGGAGAATGGCGTGAACCTGGGAGGCGGAGCTTGCAATGAGCCGAGATCGTGCCACTGCACTCCAGCCTGGGCGACAGAGCAACTTTCTTTAAAAAAATAAAAATTAAATAAACTCTGAAGATGATGGAGCGTTTGCTGGCACTGTGGCTCATGCCTTAATCCTAGCACTTCTGGAGGCCAAGGTGGGAGGATTGTTTGAGCCCAGGAGTTTGAGACCAGCCCTAGCAATGGAGTGAGACCTTTTCTCTACAAAAAAATTAAAAAAAAAAAAAAAAATCAGCTGGAAGTGGTGGCATACGCCTGTGGTCCCAGCTACCTGGGAGGCCAAGGTGGGAGGATAGCTTGAGCCCAGGAAGTTGAGGCCACAGTGAGCTATGATTGCATCACTGCACTCCAGCCTGGGCGATAGAGTGAGATCCCGTCTCAAAAAAAGAAAAAAAAGTTCCTGGCATTCATACGGTGTGACTTTGAAAAACACCTGCTTTTCCTTAATTGCAGTGTGGGGAGGGGGGTGGTGGGAAGCAGAATTGAAAAAGCTACAAGATGCAGATGAGTGGACAGTGGTTTTATCTTATGACTTAAAGAATGCTCTGTCCCATTGAAATATGTGTCTTAAGTCTTTGTCCAGGCAGCAACGAGTGGCTTATTTGGTTTCAAGCTAACTTTATTTGTTGGCTTCTGTATTTTTCATCTCTAAAGAAAGTGGAGTATATTTCTTCTGTTGGTTTATGAGGTATAGGAAAAGAATGAAAGCAGGGATGACTCCAGAAATACGTGCTTACCCAGCATGGTGGAGTTCTGAGGTGGCTGGGCAGGGCCAATGATTTGCTTTTGAAATGATTGTGCTAAGAGTCACACATTGAATTTACGATTAGTTGTTATTTCTTGGCAATCACTAACATACTTGTGAATTCTCATTGTGTGAGAGAATCTAACTTACAAATCGTTTTCAAATGTAGTGAGATTTTTATGTATACTAAATTTAGCAATTAATGAGGAATGAACACAGAAATTAATCATTTATTGAGTCTGATTTTGCTATTTCCGTAATTTGCAGCCAATAATTTTTTTCAAGTCTTAAACATTCTCAGAGGTCGATGAAACCCTTGTCAGCCTGCGGCTTTGTGCCTTAGCATCTCAAGAATGAAATGTGTTCAGGTCCCCCGTCCTCCAAGGAAAATCCCAACTCTATTATGTTGCTTTGTACAATTTGTACAATTGTACAATCCCCTGGTTATTGAAGGGGATCCCCACCAGGACCCCATGAAGTGGACAGAAGTAGGATTAACCCCCTTTAGAGGGGACTGGCCTAGAACTAAGATGCCAGGGGCAGCCAGGTCCTCCTTCTGCCCAGGGTCCAGGCCCACCCACCTGGCCTCACACTCCTGTCCCTCTCAACTCTTCCATCCAACAGCATTCCCCGTATCTGTCCCATTTCCCCGTTCTGGCTTTTGGTAAGGCCAGAAGCCCCCACAGGTGAAAGAAACTGGATAGGTGGGGTTGGGTTGATGTCCACTGTTTCCTGGAACCTTCATGCTTTCCCCGAGGTTGGAGCAGGGATCCCACGCTTTCCTGTGCTGAGTTGGAGCCAGTTGGCCTGGGATATGGAATGGCTTTCTGGGCACATGTCCCACCTCAAACCCCAGTCCCATTCTTGAATCTCACGTAAAGTATTAGCAGGGCGTGATCAGGAGAGCCACACAGCATCCATGAAGTGCCCTGGCCGTGGGGCCTCGGGGCCGGAAGGACATTTGGGTTGGGATAATATTCGGGCTTAGGTGAAAATGCATTTACCCAGCACCTGCTAAGGGCTGGCCCCCCTGCCACGTACGGGTTTTGCAGCTAATTAAGTTCTCATCCCAGTGGCAGGGAAGGCTGCTGTCATTACCCCTGTGTTATGGAGGCACACTTCCTTGTCCAAAGTCCCCCGGGTGGAAAGGCAGGGACTGTTACTGGGTCCTGGCAGTCCGACTCCAGAGCCTTGGAGCCCAACTCCAAAGGAAAGGTGAAGAGTAAAGTGGCTCTTGGGGAGGGGACAGTGATGAGTGGGAGAATTTGTTCCTTGATTCTCTTTTCTTTTCTTTTTTCTTTTTTGAGATGAAGTCTCACTCCATTGCCCAGGCTGGAGTGCAGTAGTGTGATTTTGGTTCACCTCAACCTCTGTCTCCCAGGTTCAAGAGATTCTCCTGCCTCAGCTTCCCGAGTAGCTGGTACCACAGGCACAAGCCACCACTGCTGGCTAATTTTTTGTACTTTTTTTTTTTTTAGTAGACACGGAGTTTCACCATGTTGGCCAGGCTGGTCACAAACTCCTGACCTCAAGTGATCCGCCTGCCTTGGCCTCCCAAAGTGCTGGGATGACAGGCGTGAGCCACCATGTCTGATCCGTCCTTGATTTTCAATTGGGGAAGTGTGTAGGTGGGGCGGCCTGTTAGGAATACTGGAACAGGGTTTTCGAAGAAGGTTTCAAGGAGACTGCTTACTAAGATATGGGGAGGGCTGAGGGGAGCCCACAAGGGAGGGTGCAGGCCCCTGGGCTGGCTGCGGTGGGGTTTTATGTCCCGCAGCCTGAAAGTGCAGGAGAAGCTGTTGCGGGGATCCACAGAGATGGCAGGGCTGAGGAGAGGGCTCTTGGTGAGAGCTGTGGCTTTAGTACAGGGGTAGCCACCCCCCACATCCCCCCAGGGAGGTGACTGGGGGATAAATACCCTCCTTCCATTTGTCTTCCATCCTGGGATCTTCCATCAGGGTCTTGTCCTGGCTGAGCACAACCAGAATCTGGAGAGAAGAAAGCCTCATGATACACAGGTCAGCTATGCTGGGCTCAGAGCATGGAAGAGCCAGGAGAGGCTAAAGGAATGTGCTAGACAAAGAAGTTTGAAATATCCAGCACACGGCCATTCGATGAAGACATGGTGGGGTCCAGCACACGGCCATTCGACCATTTGGGTGAAGATGCGGTGGGGGAGACTCATACCTCCACATATTCATATGCATGCTCACAGTGCATACGTTGTTTCTGGAATGATACACAGAAAAAACTGGTAGAAACCTCCAAGGAGGAGAAGTTGGGAGGAAGGCTGCCTGTGTCTCATTGTATAACTTTTTTCTACCATTTGATTTTCACTTGTGCATTTATTATGTATTAAGTCCACCCATCAACCGTGCATTTATTATGTATTAAGTCCACCCATCAACCATGCATTTATTATGTATTAAGTCCACCCATCAACCAATCATGAAAAAGAATTGGTGTCTGAGTTCTTTGGGCTTGGAGTGTAGCCAACAGGGAATGCTTGTGATCTAGGCTGGGCCCATCACAGTGCTCCCCTCCTGGCCAAAGTGATTTGCCCAAGAGAGTTGGCACATGACCTGCACTTGACGGATGAGAGCCTTCTCTGGGTTTTTCGGCTTGGTGCTGGGAGAGAGAGGCCCTTTTCTTCTTCCTTTGATTAAAAAGCTTATTAGGATATGGGTCTAGAGTTGTAGGTGCTAGTAGTCACTAACATACGTGACACTGTTATGTTGAAACATGTTAGCTACTGATAATCTCAAATTTTCATCCCCCAAACAGCAATTTCATCTAGCTCAACCCCATACGTGCCAGGCCTCAAGGAGAGTGGATTATACAGGGCGTGTTCACCAGGAGGGTGGGGATTTGGGGGCCATCTTAGAATTCAGCCTGTTTTCCACACGCTAACTCATTTACTCTTCATAACCATGTTATCAAGTGGAAATTATTGTTATTAACCTCATAGCCATTATAGATAGGTGAAGAGAAAGAGAGATTAATTAAGTTCCTAGTCCAACACCACACAGTGGTCCTGCTTGCCCTGCTCTCCCAGTCTGCTGTGAGCCCAGCATGGAGCCTGTCTACACTAACGGGGTGAGGAGGAGAGGAAGGCAGAGTGCCAGGGTTCCCAGGGGCTAGGATCATGGTTCTTCTCCTCTCTAAGGCCAGCACCACCTCAGCTCAGCTCTCAATTTAGTTAGACCCAGCAGGCAAGTCCCCCTCCAGGCTTACACAATATCAGGGTGAATACCTGGCCTTTGCAATTGATTTGACCTGACTTTGAAATCAGCCTTTTCCCTGGTTGTAGTCAGTTGAATAGTGAGTGACTCCCAGAAAGATATGTCCATGTCTCAACTCTGGAACTTACAAATGTGGCCTTGTTTGGAAAAAGGGTCTTTGTAGATGTCGTTAATTTAAGGATCACAAGATGTGAGCATCCTGGATTTAGGGTGGACCCTAAATCCAATAACTGGTGCCCTTAAAAGAGAAAGGCAGAGGGGAGTTTGAGACACCAATGCAGGGGAGAACACCATGTGAAGACAGAGACAGAGATTGGAGGAATGCTGCCATCACTAAGGAGTGCTTGGAGCCACCAGAAGTTGGAGGAAGCAAGGAAGGATTCCCTCCTAAAAGCTTCAGAGGGAGCAGGGTCCTGCCGATACCTTGATTTTGGACTTACGGTCCCCAGAACTGTGAGACAAGAAATTGTTGCTGTTTGAAGCCACCAAGTTTGTGGTAATGTGTTTCAACAACCCTAGGAAATGAGCACACTTATTACCTCTTTTCTTGCAAACCAAGTCCAAAGGGGACACCAGAAATGGGACAGAGCCCTGAAGCAAGACCTGGGTTTGGTTTTCTTTTGATTCCGAAAATAACAGCCCTTTAAGGAATCAAGAGGTTGGGGAGAGGTTGAGGCTGAAGAAAGTTGAAGAACTGAAAGAATCTTGGCTCATTTGGAGGATAAGAGAGAGTTCTAGAATGGAGAGAAGATAGACCTGCTCTAGAAAAATTTTCTGGCTGGGCGCAATGGTTCATGCCTGTAATCCCAACACTTTAGGAGGCTGAGGCAGGTGGATCTCCTGAGTGCAGGAGTTCGAGACCACCCTGGGTTACATGGCAAATCCCCGTCTCTACTAAAATACAAAAAATTAGCTGGGCGTGGTGGCGCACACCTGTGGTCCCAGCTACTCAGGAGGCTGAGGCACAAAAATCGCTTGAGCCCCGGAGGTGGAGGTTGCAATGAGCTGAGATTGCACCACTGCACTCCAGCTTGGGCTACAGAGTGAGACTGTGTCTCAAAAAAAGGAAAAAAAAAAAAAAAAGGAAAATTTTCTAATTTCCACAGGTTTTCAATGAGTTTCTGCTGCAGACAGAATCCTAAGGTGGCTTTCAAGATTCCGTCCACTGGCAGACACGCCCCATTGAATCTCCTTCCTTGAGTGTAGGTAGGTCTGTGTATAGTCAGGTACACAGCGGGACAGTACATGGTGGGACAATTACCCCCTCGATTGTGGTCTGTGACATGACTCAGCAGTAGCAGACTAGAGAGGGGTTCTCACACTGGCTTTGAAGACATAAGCTGTCACTGCGAGGGCACCAGGTGCTGAGGACATGAGGATGGCCTCTAGGATTTGACAGTGACCTCCAGCCGACTACCAGCCAAAAAACGAGACCTCAGCTCTACACTGCCAGGAGCTGAATTCTGCCAATGACCTGGATGAGTTGGAAGCGAACCTAGAGCCTCTGTTGAGATTGCAGCCTCGGCCCACGCCATGATGAGGTTTCTTGCCAGGTGAACAGAGGACTCAGCCAAGCTGGGCTTGGACGCTCCACCCATGGAGAAGGTCAGATGATGAATATGGATCATGTTGCTAAGTTTACGATACTTTGTTATAGAACAATAGAAAAGGAATGCAGTTTCTGACCAAAGTTCCTCCCAAATTGTAACTGAATAGGAGCGGCTGAGCTTGAGCCTTGATTTTGTGCTTTTTTGCTGATTTGGTGGTTTTTTATGACCAAGTATTAAAAATGGGTGTATATTTTAAAGTCATGTTTTGAGACAAATCACACAGTTAAAAAAACAAGTTTAAAAGTCTCTAAAGAAAATAGAGAACAGATGGGCAAAAGTTGATCAGTGGTTAAACATAAATGTGTTCCAGATGGGAATGGAAATTGCTTGCTTATTATTGTTGGTGTGGCCAGCAGCTCCCTTCAGAAGCCTCTCAGGTGGCTTTGTAGCAGAAAACCTCCAGAAAGACATCTTTCCAGGGACGCCTTTCCCTGGTGCCATCTAGATGGCAGACTTCTAGCAAGTTCCGCTAGCAGGGCACCACAGCCACTTCTCTGCAGTTCTACAAGCCACAGTCACACCCTCTTCAACAAGACCTGGATCTCAGCTCAGGGCAAGGGGATTTCTCTGGGTGTACCATTCCAGTCCTTGGGGTAATGGCTGTTATTCATATCTGCTATTCATATATTCTGTAAAATTATCTTTACTTCTTGCCAGCCAGTTCCTCGTACCCCGACCCTATTGTCCTTACTGATTATTTATATAAAACTTTCCCTGTTCAAATCACTCTGTGGTTTCTCTCTCCTGATTGGACCCAGACTGATGCACTGTTCCCAGCAGCAAGTAGCACTATGTGCCAAGCACCAGGTGATAATTTCAGAGAGCTGAAGTGACATAGGCCTGTCTCCAAAGAGTAAACATAATGCCCACTTCAACACTTGAGAAAAGAAGGGAGAAGTATAAAATAAAATATAAAAATAAATAAAAAATAATGCCCAAGTTAAGCAGACAGAGCATGGGGCAACAGGGTAAGAGACTGGGTTCCAGACCTGATTCTGCAACTAAGTATGGGATTTGGGGAGGATTGTCCCATCGCTCTGTTTCCTCTTCTGTAAACTACAGAAAGTAATGGACTCAGAGGCTTTCTATTAGAGTAAAGCTAAGCTGCAGTAACAAAGTAACAAATCACACAGTGGCTTAAAGCACGTAGAAGTTTATTTTCTCTCAAATACCAGTCCTCAGATGAAGGGTCCTTGGTGATGGAACTGCTGTGCTCCACATGATCATTCAGGGATCCAGGTCCTGTCCATCTTGTCGCTTTGCCATCATATGGACTTTCACCCTCATCTGCATGGGTGCAGTTCATAGGAAGGTGAAGAGCAGGGAGGAGGCCATTGTCTTAAGGCCCATACTTAGGAGTGGTGTCTATTACCTCCCCTCACATGCCGGCAGGCGGTGCGCTTAGCCACGTGACCACATTGAATTGCACAGCAGGCTGCGAAATGCAGTCTCTAGCTGAGCAGCCACATGCCCTTGATCACATGGAAGAAGTGAGAGCGTGTTGAGGGGGCAACTTTCAATGTCCCCAACTCCTGTTCCAGCTCTGCCAGACCCCTCTATGTGTTGCGGGGCATGATTGCGTGTAAACTCCAGACCATTTAGGTAAAGAAGGAAAACATCTCTGGCAAGGTGGGAAATACGTGCCTCATCATTCTGCTTTTGCATTTCAGAATCAAGATCTGAAGAGCTTGCAAAAAAGTTCTTTTAGTGCTGAAAAGTAGGAACGTGGCAGATGTGACTAACAAAACAGTCCTTGTGCATCTGCTAGGGAGCACAGATTTTCTTTTTTTCTCCAATATAACAAATTACAATCCATCTGGGATTTGAGAAGTCTGAGCTAAGGTTTCTGGATCTGTTTGCATGTGGAACAACGATGAAAAGAAGAAAATGATAAGTCAGTTTTAAAGAACTTTTCTTGTGTTTCAAGTGGAAAGAAGGCTTGAGAATTTTTTTACATTTTACTCTGGTGTAGAAGGACGGTGATATTTAAAGAGTTAGAATGAGCATTAAAACAAAGACATGAAAATAATCGAACCCATCAATTGTATTTTTATATGCTGGCACTAAGACCTTAAAAATAATAATGTATCTAATTCTCACAAAAATATGTTAAAATGAGGACTATCATGTCCATTTTAAAGAGACGAAATGGAGGCAGATAATTTGTGTAAAGTCAAACAGCTAGTAAGTCTTGGATCTGGGAGTTGAAGTTAGATCATTTGGCTCGAGTCTATCAGAGACCTGCAACCCTTTTCTGTAGTGCATCATATAGTAAATCTTTTGGGCTTTGCAGACATGCAGTCTCTGCTGCAACTGCTCAGCTCTGCTGTGTAGCATGAGAGCAGCCATAGACAATATGAAAATGAGTGAGTGTGGCCGTGTTCCAATAAAACTTTATTAATGAACACTAAAATTAAGTTCATAGAATTCCACATCACAAAATATTTTTCTTTTTGAACTTTTTCAACTACTTACAAGTGTAAAAACCATTTTTACCTTGTGGGCCATTGTTTGCTGACCCCGGGTCTATGCAGTTAACCTTGACCTTTTTCAACATGTTAAAGAGGTTAACCCACATTTACCGAGGGCCACTGACCTGGGCACTGTGTGGGGCGCTCCATGTCCTGGTCCACGGACTTGCTAGTCCACAGACTTGCTACCTTCATCTATAGGTAGCTCCTGCTACCGTTATTCACACTGTATAGATGAAGAAAGCAAAGCGGTCCTACTACAGGTGGAACAAGGACACGCAGCCAGCCAGGAACTGAGCTGACATCTGTTGATGGACAGGAAGGAAGGATTTGGGTCAGCCATCAAGACTCTCTCAGGACCTGAGGAAAAGGGCGGGAAACTTAGGAGCAAGATGACAGGAGGGCAGATGCTCCGTGAGGATGGCAGGAAGAGGACATGTATGCTTAATATTCTGGAAAATCCTCTGGGATAAGGCCAGGCACAGTGGCTCATGTCTGTAATTCCAGCACTTTGGGAGGCCAAGGCAATCGGATCATTTGAGGTCAGGAGTTCAAGACCAGCCTGGGCAACATGGTGAAATCTCATCTCTACTAAAAATACAAAAATTAGCTGGGTATGGTGGCGTTCACCTATAATCCCAGCTACTTGGGAGGCTGAGACAGGAGAATCACTTGAGCCCGGGAGGCAGAGGTTGCAGTGAGCAAAGATCACACTACTGCACTCCAGCCTTGGTGACAGAGTGAGATTCTGTCTAAAAAAAGAAAAAAAACTATTCAAAATCCTCCAGGATAAAACTCTCTGTTGAAGGAAGCTTTAATCAGCAGCGAGCACATCAGGCACACTCGTTGCTGCCCCTTCTCATCCCGCATTCCCTCTGCTTTGGTCAGGTGGTGCCCTCCTTCCATGGGTAGAGCCAGAGATGGTGGGTTCTGGCTGGTCAGATGGGAGTGGACAGAGACCCGGGGTCCTCCCGGCTTCATGACTGCACGTGGTGGGCCCTGCACTGTGTGTCTACTGGGATGGATCAAGGTGCAACCAGAGAAACCTTGAGCCCTCTCCAGATACTTGAGTGGTAGCTGAGTTCCTGCAGCCTCTGTGAGCTCCCTTCTGAGCCTCTGGCTCCCAGTTTCCCAGTACCCTTTCTGTATTAGCTTCCTGGGGCTGCCCCGACAAAGTATCACAAACTCAGGGGCTTCCGCAACAGAGATTTATTCTCTCACAGTCCTGGAGGCTAGAAATTTTTGGACTTCTAGCTTCCCGGACTTGATTGGCAGGGCCACACTTCCTTCTAAGGCTCTGGCTGGGGGTGGGGGTCCTTCCTGCTTCTGCCAGCTTCTGGTGATGCTGACAATCCCTGGCATTCCTTGGCGTGTGGGTGCATTACTCCAATCTCTGCCTCCCTCTTCACATGGTCTTCTCTGTGCGTACGACTGTGCATCCTCTCCTCTCGTAAAGGGCAGCAGTCGTTGGATTTAGAGCTCACCCTACTGTGGTATGATCTCATCTTAATGACATCTGCAACAGCCCTGTTTCCAAATAGGGCCACATTCTGAGGTTCTGGGTGGACATGAATTTTGGGGTGGGAAACACTCTTCAAGCCAGTAAATCTTCCTCCCCAAATCTTGCTAGGTTTCCAATGCCTAAAAGAAGTGCTAATTGGAGAAAATAAGAATAGTTTTCTACTTATCTCAGGAGCGGGAAAAGATGGCAAAATGGCATGGCCAATTTTGGAAAGAATATATAGGGTGTTGTAAAGATATGTGATGATGATGAGGATGATGTTTTCACCAATATTTGCAGCCTCTTGTCCACACAGAAGGATTAGGAAGATTAATGCCTTCGAAATCAGCTATATTTTAGCACTCTGTTTTTAGTGTTTTCATGATTATCCTGGTGTCCTTGTTTTTGAGGTGGCTGCTATAATTATGGTAACGTGTGTGAGTAGGTTAGAAAGATGTTACAAGTGATTAAGCTATAAATTAGTCACTTTGGAGTGTGTAATAGTTCTTTCAAGTCCCCAGCATATAAGGGAAAGTGACACTGGTCTACAATGACTGTCTCCATGCTTCCATGCAGAAATTGAGACCTGGAGAATGTAAAGACTTGCCCAAGTTCTGTGAGTGAGTCAGTGCTAGAAAAATCTTGAGCCCAGCCCCCCAGATGTGATGACTATTCTCTTTCAAATATTTCTACAGGATTAGAATGGGCGCTCAGGCTTGGCTCAGACACCCCACATCTTTAGGTGAGTGGCTTTTAAATTGCCATTTGGTCACGCCTACTTGGCAGAGTTGCAAACACGGGCTGCAGAGTTCACACCCGCACCCTCCTCTCTGGAAGTGGAGTGAGAACAGGGTGGGCAGAGGTGGGGCTGCCACACCTGCTTCCCTGGAAACCCGAGGGAGAGCACAGGACGCCAGGCTGGGACTCGGCTGGCAGCTGCTTCGGGCGTCTCACCTTGTGACTATTTCCTGGGCACTGTGGGAGAGGAGGCCTCTTGCCTGAGCTCCTGTCCCTACTGTCTCCTCTCACTAAATGCACGGCACGGCTTTGCGGTAATAGGCTGGGACATGTCAACTCTTTTTTTTTTCTGAGACGGAGTTTCTCTTGTTGTCCAGGCTGGAGTGCAATGGCACGATCTCGGCTCACGCAACCTCTGCCTCCTGAATTCAAGCAATTTTCCTGCCTCAGCCTCCCAAGTAGCTGAGATTACAGGCATGCGCCACCACGCCTGGCTAATTTTGTCTTTTTAGCAGAGACGGGGTTTCTCCATGTTGGTCAGGATGGTCTTGAACCCCCAACCTCAGGTGATCCGCCTGCCTCGACCTCCCAAAGTGCTGGGATTACAGGCATGAGCCACTGTGCCCAGCCAACATGTCAACTCTTTAGGAGAGTTTGAAGACAAAAAATAACCCATGTCTGAGCATGGGAGGTGCTAAAAATAGGAACTTCTTAGCTTCCACAAGGGCAGATAAATGAATAAATAGGCCATAAACCAATGTAGTTATTTCAGCTGGGGGATTTTATTTTCTTTTGATTGTCCCCTGGAGCTACGAAATACACAAATATAGACTGATAGATTTTTTTCATTAATTCGAAAAGCATTTAATGGCTGTCATCTATGTGCCAGGCAATTGATGCGCAGCCAGACTTCCAGGAGGCTGGAGGGGGATCCAGATGAACCTCCCGGAGTAGGATTGTCAGGAGGGGACTGGAGACCAGGGCCATCCTGAAAACCCCATCTCTGTTCCAGGAAATTCCTAGGATCCCCTGGGAGGCACAGCCTGGAGAATCCTATTTTGGTTGCTGAACAGATGCACACATTGGAATTGAGACTGCGTGTGCTTGGGGTGGGTCGGTGAGGCGGGGGCAGTGGGGTCCAGGTGGGAGCCGTATGGAAGCCCTCCCCTCCCCATCCTCCAGGCATGCCAGCGAGTGTGGCCTTATGTTGAGTGTGTCCTCCAGTGTGAGTGGCTCCTCCGAGTGTGGTCCAAGGACCCGCAGCATCAGCATCCCCTGGGAGAGCCTTGGAAATGCAGAATCTTGGGATCCAGCTCAGACCCAGTCAGAATCAGATTTCCAGGCAGCTCGTGTGCTCATTGATGTCTGAGAGGATCTGCTTGAGAACTCCACAGCTGGGGCTGACAAATCCCCCTCTGACCTCAAATTTACCTCCTCCTTCTAAAAAAGCCAGACAACCTAGCTCCCTGCCCACCCACAGCTCTTTCCAGTGGATCCAACTTCCTCTCACACCCAGTTTGAGCAGGGGGAGACAGGAAGGGCCTCTTCTCTGCTTCCAGATCGTCTGTTTCTTCCGTCAAACACCACAGTTCCTATGAAACCCACCGCAGTAGCAGACCTGGGTCTTGTCAAGAGCTATGAAGGGTCTGAGATTTTACCTACTCCTAGGCTAAAAGTTAGCCTGCCAGTTTGACAAATGCTGCCTAATGACACGAGACTCCCGGGGCAGAGACAAAGGACTTTGCTACTCACAGCACAGCAAGCAGCATAAGTTTTGCTTTAAAATGTGGTGTATTAATGCAATATTTGAGTTATAGTAAGGCCAACAGATCAGGAAATGATTGTCATTGAAAGGACAGTTTGTTACTCCCAGTTCCCAGGAGGAGGGGCCACGCTGAGCTATGCAGGGCCACGAGCGTTGTTAGCAGGCTCAGGAGACAGCGGACATGTGGGCAAAAGCCTTGTTTGTGTCCCTAGTTGTCCGGTACTTGCTCCCAGGGTGATTAGGCAGGTGGATAGTGGCCTGGAGTGTGAAAACCCAATAGAGGAGGTGTCTGGGGCATGGGCTTGCAACTGGTTGGTTTGCATTTGAAAAGCATGTTTGCAGGAGCCTGGTTTACTATCTCTGGGGATTGGTTAGTACTGGGTGGGGCAGTCCCTCCAGGGTCAGCAAGGTCCCAGATATCAAAGCATCAGAATGCAGAGAATGGAAGACATGGTTAATACAAGCTTAATGTTTGCACTGGTTCCCTATGTCCCCAAAACCCCATGGGGGTGACGTGGGGGGCCCAGGTGGATGCTGCCGCGCAGTGAATTTGCATCAGCGAGGGAAAACCCTGAGCTCAGGGGATGCAGATGCTTTATAATGGGCAGTAAGCAAACACACCTAACCTTTGTCCCAGCGGGAGATGTTATCTTTATAATATTAGGTAATAACCAAACCTGCTCTCTGCTCTGTAGGGAGACACCACCTCTTTGCTTCTCCAAGGCTGTTTGCTGCATCTGAAAAGACAATCTGGAACAAGAGGAGAGTCAGGCCAGCCACAGTGGTTCATGCCTATAATCCCAGCACTTTGGGAGGCCGAGGCAGGTGAATCACTTGAGGTCAGGAGTTCGAGACCAGCCTGGCCAACATGGGGAAACCCTGTCTCTACTAAAAATACAAAAATCAGCCGGGTGTGATGGTTGCACCTGTAATCCCAGCTACTCGGGAGGCTGAGGCAGGAGAATCGCTTAAACCCAGGAGGTGGAGATTGCAGTGAGCCAAGATCATGCCACTGCACTCCAGCCTGGTGACAGACGAGACTCCGTCAAAAAAAAAAAAAAAAGGTTAAAATGCTACACTTTCTTATCATAGTTTACCGCAATTAAAAATCAAAACAAAACAAAACGAAAACCGTAAAAGATAAACCTTTTCGAATGCTACTATTTCCTGTATCATAAACAGTTCCTCTTAGGAAGGCCTTTCTGGTATATTAAAGACCTGCTCCAGAAAACACAAAGCGGATCAGAAAAACAAAAAGTGGATGTCACTCATGGACATTTTGATAACATCAATGTCATGTACATTTCTTTCCCATAAATTCTGGGGAATTTTTAAGTGGCATGTGGGGCTCTGAAAGGTTAGGAGAGATCAGGTTTTAGGGGAGTGGGGAACTCTGATGTAATGGTCTAATGGCCCAACAAACTTGGGTGCCAGGGCTCTGGCATGAGGGCAGAGAAAGGGCTCTTGGAACTGGGGTCCTGGTGGGAAGGGGAGGGATGGACACGGTAGTGGGTAGAATAATTTCCCCTCAAATTTCAGGTCAACTCGGAATCTGTCAATGTGACCTTACTCGAAAGTTCTGTCTTTGCAGTTGCAATCAGTGAAGAATCATGAGATAAAATAATCTTGGATTTAAGGTGGGCCCTGAATCCAATGACTCTTGTCCTTATATGAAGAGAAGGATGACAACACGGAGTCACTCTGAAAGCTCAGCGTGGTAGAACTTAGCAGCATGATCCAGCTGTGAGGAAGCAGCTTCCAGGTGTGCTGCCAGCTGCTGACCTAGGGGGTTCACCAAGAGGGCCCCTCCCTGCCCAGTGCCCTGACTCTGGGGTCCAGGGCTGCACACTTGGATGACAGAAGGACATGCCCAAGCTTACCTGGCTGCTCAGAGAATATAACCAGACAGTCAGCACTGACTACTCACATGCTCATGTTTATTAAGAGACTCTGACTGGTGGGAATGGAGTCATCAGAGCCAAAAGCACGTGTGCAAAAGAAAATGAGCGTTTTCACCTTTTAAGCGAAGATTGTTTGGGGGTTGAGAGAATGCTGGAGCCTGCGCTAACTCCCTGGGCCAGCACAACTGCGACGTGTCCTCTGCAGGGGTCTCCAGCCTGGTGCTCCCAGCGAGATAAACCAGGGATTACGTCTAGAGGGTCAGAGCATCTGCACCTGTCTAGACAGAGGCTCTAAACTGGGGCAGTGGGGTGAGGTTGGAAAGCAGCAGATGGGATAGATACACGGAGTTGGAGGGAGTCTTCTATTTAGGGGTATCTCAGCAGACATTCTCAGCTGCCAAACAGCCAGCCCCAGGCATTTCCCTGTTGCAGAGGTGGGTGCCCGTGCTATCCAATGATTCCCTCGGCTGACAGACAGGGATGGGGTGAAGAAATAGCAGGAGAAGATGAGAAGGAAAGGGTGAGTGAAACAGAGGAGGTGGGGGAGGAAAGAAAATGTAAATGACACACAAAATGCTCTGAGATGCTTACTGGATGCCAGACACTGTCCTGAATGTTTCGCGGGCACTGAGTCCTCCTGACAAGCCCATGAGGGAGAGCTTTTATTTCCTCCATTTTCCAGAGGTGGAGGCTGAGGCAGGGAGGTGGGTTATGGCCTTTCTGCGAGCATTCGCAAACATTCACCGAAACACAGTATGTTCACCAACATAGAGTTCAAAAGCCACACTGAGAATCTGCGTGGTCCATCAATAACGTGTTGGGCATGTTCTATGATCTGAAATCCACTAGGACCCTGGGCTACCAGGCCCAATGTCTCTCTGGAGTGTCTACAGCCTAGCCAGGGGAAAGAGAGATGCTAACTATAACAATGACATGGGATAATGTTGTTGTCCAGGTGCAGACACTCAAGTATTGGGAGGAAACAAAAGGACTGGAAATTGAGCCCAGGCGTTTGAGACCAGCTTGGGCAACATTAGTGAGACCCCCCCCAACCCACCGCTCTCTACAAAAATTAAAAAATTAGCTGAGCGTGGTGCTGCATGCCTGTAGTCCCAGCTACTTGGGAGGCCGAGGTGAGCAGACCGCTTGAGCCCAGGAGTTTAAGACCAGCCTGGGCAACATGGCGAAACCTTGTCTCTACAAAAAATACAAAACATTAGCCAGGCATGGTAGTGCATGCCTGTAGTCCTAGTGACTCAGGAGGCTGAGGTGGGATGATCGCCTGAGCCTAGGAGAACAAGGCTGCAGTGAGCCGTGATTGCACCACTGCACTCCAGCCTGGACGACAGAGTGAGACCCTGTCTCAAAAACGAACAACCACCAAAGAACTGGAAGAGTCCTGCAGGCACTTGGGATTGCTCAGCAAGCACCCGGGAGAGCTTCACAGGGGTCTGGAATAGTCCAGCAGGTGCATGAAAGAACCCCGGCTATATCTGTACCTTGGAAGAGTCAAGTGCAGGAGCTAAATTTCCATGGGAAGAGGTGAGGGACATGGAGTTAGATTGGAAAGGTCTCTGAATGGCAATAAGGAGAATGATATCCTGTGACCCAACATGGCTGCTATCCGAAGATTTCCAAAGTGGAAATGTGTTAGGACTTTTTCCGTTGCAAAAGATAGAAATCAAATTCAAACAACTAGACTGAAAAGGGAATGTGTTAGGACTCTGGGGAGCTCTAAGAACCGTAGTGACTGCAGGGACATCAGGAAGAATAACGTGGCTTGCGAATGGAGCCGAGACACCCTGTGGCTCCCCCTTTGATCTAGGTTTCTCTGTGCCTGGTGTCATTCCTCCCCTGCAGGTGGGCATTCTCCATGTGGCAGGCAACCTCTGTGTGGCAGAAAAATTCTACAGGGCAGGGTACCGGGAGGCAGGTACTTCCATAGGGCAGGCTGCCATGAGCCAGCACCTCCAGATAGCAGTACTTCTCTGACATCATTGCAGGTTAGAGATCCCTGAAAAACAATTTCTCAGCCTTGATTTTAAAAACCCCAAGGAAGGAGGGATTCTGATTGGTCTAGTTTCAGTCACGTGTCAACAGCAGACCAATCAACTGTGGCCAGGGGCACAGATGCTTTACAGAGGCAGGCCTGTGTCGTGTGACCACCACATGACCTGCGTCATGTGATGGGTGGAGGAGAGGGTGGGCATGCTGTGATTGGCAGCCTCCTTCCCGTGGGTGGAGACCTTTTATAAAGGGAAGGGAAGAGCGCCATGTGGATAAACAGATGTTCACCGCAGGAAGGGCCCGAATCAGATGGGTTTTAGAGATTACTGGGAAGGCAGCCCCAGGGATGGTGGGTCTGAAGCTCCGTGATCAGCCGCAGAAATATTTCTCAACTTTGCTCAACACAAGCGCACTTACCCCACCCCTAGATAAGAAAAACAAGCCAAGCCTTTTTAGAATGTTATCTGAAATTCAAAATAGATTAAGTCTCAGGAAGATAAATAAACCAAATGAGCACTGCTTGGCTTCTAAACCACACGCCCATCCCCTGGGGAGGCAGGCAGCCCACACTCCTGCCAGAAGAGAAAAGACCAGCTCTTGAATGGAATGAACAGTTGCATTGGTGGGAGGGGAACAGGCACTGGAGTTGATTCTCCACGTGCTTCTCGCTGTCATGGGCCCAGGACTGCCGGGCATCTGGTAAACATGCAGATTCTGATGCAGAAGGGCCAAGGCTGGGCCTGAGGGTCTGCTTTTCCAACAAGCTTCCAGGTCGCGGGGTGGGGGGGGGGGGTTGCTGCTGGCCCTGGCACCCCACTTTGAAGGAGTGAAGACTTACGGCCTAGCACCTGCAGATTTGAATGAGATATTGGCGAAGAGCTGCGAGCTAGCCCTCAAGGAAGCCACCCAGGTGGCCAGCGCTGGTGGTTCCATCTCAGATGGAGCTGGGCATGACTGGGCCAGGCAGATGTGTGGGCCTTGGCCAAGCCTGGGCCGGCCCCTGCTCTGGGCTGCTCACACCCATCCCTGGCCACACGGAAAACTTGTGTCAGAGCCAGCAGGGAAAGGAGTGAACTTGCTCTCACTTCACACTTGGATCAGAGCCCGAGGACCTCAGTGGCGGCCCCCTTGGGGTACCTGTGGGGGCTGAAAGAGACAGAGCAGGCTTCCTCCAGGCCCCCCGGGCAGCTTTACCCGGCAACAAGAATGGGTGTCCTAAGCCAACCCCTCTCTGTAGGTAGAATAATGGCCTCCAAACATAACAGGTTTTAATCTCTGGAAACTGTAATTGTTACTTTACGCGGCAAACACTTTGCAGGTGTGATTAAATTAAGGCACTTGAGATGAGGGGATTATTCTGGTGAAGAGGGACGCAGGGGGACATTTGACACAGAAGAGGGGAAGCGATATCACCATGGAGGCAGAGGTTACAGGGGTGCTGCCCTGAGTCGTGGAAGCTGGAAGAGGAAGGAACAGATTCTTCCCAGAGCCTCCGATGGGAGGGCGGCCGTCCAGCACCTTGATGTCACTGCCTCTGGCTTCTAGGACTGTGTGGAATAGACTTCTGCTGTGTTCAGCCTCCCTGTGTGTGGCAGTTTGTTCCCGCAGCCACGGGAAGTGCATGCACCACCCCCCCGCCGGGTGCTGGGGAGACGTGGAGGTCTTGGGGGGCGTCCCAGGGGGCTCTGCTTCTCTGCTGTCTCTTCAGAGGAGGGCTTCTCTTCGGGCTGTTGGGAAGGGGCTTTGGGGTGTCTGCATCTGTTGAAATGGGGGCTCCGCGTGGGGCAGCAGAGCCCCAAGGTCGGGAGGGTGTTCAAGGCTGAGCGCAGCAGCTGCACAGGAAAGAACGCAGGAGGTTGAGCCTGCGCCTCCCGGAGGGAGGGCCAAGGAGGAGCAGGGAGGTCTGTGCCCAAGGATCCGCCAAGCCGCAGCAGGCTGTCCCCACTCACTCCTCTCTAACCACCCTCATGCCCTGGCCTAGGACCTGACCTCCTCCATGGCTGTGGCCCAGCCCACTGCTGCCCCAGTGATTCCCGCATAGTCAGCTGCGGGCAGGACTAGGGGCCTCCCTCCCCTCCAGGGTCTTCCCTGGGACACCAGCCTGCTCCTTGCAGAGTGAATGAAAGGCCTTGTTAACTCAGGCCTTCTGCATCCTACCGCCAGGAGCGTGCTCAGTGCGCACTGGGGAGAGACGAGGGGAAGGGAAAAAAGCACAATAGGCCGGGCGAGGTAGCTCATGCCGGTAATCCCAGCATTTTGGGAGGCTGAGGCGGGCGGATCCCTTGAGGTTGGGAGTTCGAGACCAGCCTGGCCAACATGGTGAAACCCCGTCTCTACTAAAAATACAAAAATTAGCTGGGCGTGGTGGTGGGCACCTGTAATCCCAGCTACTCAGGAGGCTGAGGCAGGAGAATCGCTTGAACCAGGGAGGCGGAGGTTGCAGTGAGCTGAGATGGTGCCACTGCACTCCAGCCTGGGCAACAAGAGCAAGACTCTATCTCAAACAAACAAACAAACAAAAAAACCAAAGAAACAAACAAAAAACCCAAAAAAAACACAACAAAAAAGCACAGTAATTATATTTTAAAATCTTCTGGGATACAACAGATTAGATTTCCAAGAAAGGGTTTGTTTGAATGACTCATTGTGCAGATAAAAATAGTTCTTCAGGGTGGGGTGTGGTGGCTCAAGCCTGTAATCTCAGCACTTTGGAAGGGCTACGTGGGTGGATCACCAGAGGTCAGGAGTTCAAGACCAGCCTGGCCAACATGGTGAAACCCCGTCTCTACTAAAAACACAAAAATTAGCTGGGTGTGGTGGCGGGCACTTGTAGTCCCAGCTACTTGGGAGGCTGAGGCAGGATAATCACTTGAACCCGGGAAGCAGAGGTTACAGTTAGCCCAGATCACACCATTGCACTCCAGCCTGGGCAGCAGAGTGAGACTCTGTCTCAAAAAACAAAACAAAACAAAACAAAACAAAAACCCTCAGGTGGAGTGAATGAGCCTAATTAATATTCCAGAAACAATTTTGACAAAGGTGGCATTACAGATTGAACTTTGTGTCTCCCCAGAAAAATACGTTGAGGTCCCAACCCCCAGTATCTCAGGCAGTGGCCTTATTTGGAAACAGGTGTTGCAGATGTAAATAGTTAAGATGAGGTCCTACCAGACGACAGTGGGCCCCTAATCCATGATGACTGCTGTCCTTACAGGAAGACAGCCAGGTGACGATAGAGACACAGGAAGAATGCCGCATAACAGCAACAGAAACGGAGATTAGGGGGATGCAGCTGGAAGCCCAGGGATGATGAGGATTGCCAGCAACCCACAGAGGCGAGGATGAGGCAAGGAGGAATTTGCCCTACAGGTTTCAGAGGGGACAAGCCCTATGCACACCTTGATCTTGAACTTCTGGTCTCCAGAACTGTGAGACAGTAAGTTTCCATTGTTTAAGCCCCGATCTGTCATACTTTGTTAGTGCAGCCCAAGCAAACTGATAGGGGCGATGTCTGCCCCTTCTTTGCTCTGCCCTCTGCCACCTGCCATGGCAGCCCCCCATGGCCCCTTCTCAGGTGGTGACCCCCTTCTCCTTGGTGGCACCCTCAATAATCCCCTATCCTGTGTCTGAAAATGGGCAATCACCTTTATTAAAGAAATGAGGCTTTTCTCACTCCCCGGCCATCTTAGCGGCTGCTCTTGGTTGGGGTCCGTCCTGCAGCTAAGGCGGGAATTTGGTGGCTGCAAAGAAGAAGAAAAAGCTCCTGGAGTCGATCAACTGTAGGTTCCAACTCATTATGAAAAGTGGAAAGTATGAGCTGGGGTACAAGCAGACTCTGAAGATGATTAGACAAGGCAAAGCAAAATTGATCATTCTCACTAACAACCACCCAGCTATGGAATGTTGGCCAAAACTGGTGTCCATCACTACGGTGGCAATAATATTGAACTGGGCACAGCATGCGGAAAATATTACAGAGTGGGCACACCGGCTATCATTGATCTAGGTGATTCTGACATCATTAGAAGCATGCCAGAACAGATTGGTGAAAAGCAAACCATGCAAAATTTTCCTTTAATAAAATTTGCCTGAGCTTGTTAAGAAAAAGAAAGAGAGAGAGACAGAGAGAGAGAGAAAGAAAGAAGAAAGAAAGAAAGAAAAGAAGGAAAGAAAGAAAGAAAGACGAGGGAGGGAGGGGAAGGAAGGAAGGAGGTGGGAGTTGGATGCAAGGAATGCGACCCTCAGGGACCCGCTTCGAACAGCCCATCAGACCCACTTTTGCCCTTCAAAGGAGGTTGAGAAGCTCCACTCTGTTGTCCATGCAGCTATTCCTGCTCAAGCTGCAGCTGGGACTTTTATAAGAAACTGCCTTTTAGAGCCGGGTGACATCCCACATGAAGAAACCAGGGCCGGTGCAGTGGCCCATGCCTGTAATCCCAGCACTTTGGGAGGCCGAGGTGGGAGGATCACTTGAATCTAGGAGTTTGAGACCAGCCTGGGCGGCATAGTGAGACCTCGTCTCTACAAAAAATAAATAATAAAAAAATTAGCTGGGCATGGTGGCACATGCCTATAGTCCCAGTTACTTGGGAAACTGAGGTGGGAGGATGGCTTGAGCCTGGGACGTGGAGGCTGCAGTGAGCCATGATCATGCCACTGCACTCCAGGGGGGTGACAGAGCGAGACCACTGTCTCAAAATAAATAAACAAGGAGTGCCACTTATTGTCACATTTGGATTTGTTTCTAACATCGTGCTGAGTTTGGTCACCCACCTCAATCACCTGATGTGACTTGAAACCACTTCTGGCTATTTCCAAAAATCAGCTCCGCACTGGGAGGGGTTAGGGCTGCCCTTTAAGGAAACATTAAAAGCTCAGTATCTTCCTTTGGTGGCTCCTTCAGGGGCGCTAGCTTCTGACTCATCAGCATCATTTTAGCTCTCTGAGGGTTCAGAAATAGAGGAAACAGCACTTCCTTTTGGTGAACGCCTTTGTATTATTTTATTTTTTCACCATGATACTGAAACTAGCTCATCCTGGGAGAGTCAAAGGAAGCTCATATGTTTTCCCTGAGCTGGGCTAAATTCCTGATTCTTCTAATAGGAAAGATCCAAAACTTCCCACGGAGTTTCCCCTCGTCTGCACTGAGTCACATACCTGTGGGCTTCGAGCTAACAGACCTTTTTTAATCAAAGAGAAGATGAAAAAGGCACCTTGCTTCTGTCCCATTTTTAGATCTTTTTTAGCCCCATTTCTTCTCTTTCCTTCCTCCATTTTTGGGTTTGTTTGGTTTCACGCCTGAATTAAATGTTAACAGGAGGAGCAAGTTTTATACATTGCCTGAAGTCATCATTGTCAGAGAAACAAATGCAATCTTTAGTGAGGCTAGCAATGGTGGGAAGAAGACGCGTGGGTTACAGCAAGCACAGTTACTAAAGCTTTTTGCATTGAGTAGCTGTGGGGTCCAGGGCTCCATCTCTCTGGCCCTCACTTGCTCATGAGCAAATAGAGGCTTCAGGTTGTAGCAGGTTGTCTCAAACTAGGGACGTATATTCAACAAACCTGCACCTTATTCAAATGTAGATTCTGATCCTTAGGTTCTGGGTGGGGCCTGAGATCCTGCACCTCTAACAAGCTCCCAGATGACAAGCATCCAAGATCACACTTTTCCTAGCTCTGGATCACACTTTTCCTAGCTCCTAGCAGAATCTCAGGCTCATCCCAGCCTCTTGAGCCAGAATTCAAATTTTCACAAGAGCCCCGATTCGTTCAGATGTGCATTAAAGTGTGAGAAGCCCACACTGGATCACTGAGGGAGGTCGCAGTTGCACCTGGGGAACCAGGAACCGTGGAGGCATGAGCCCATCCTGGAGACCCTGATTTAGTTGGTGGGGAGTGGCCTGGACATCGATTGCTGCCTATTCACAGTGGTTCTTGATTTTGCTGCCATTAACATCACCTGGGGAGCTCTGAAAGGCGTCCCCGTGATGTTAATAGGCAGCAAGATCGGGAACTACTAGGCTGCGGGTTCCTCAGGTTCTAATCTATGATGTCATTGGCTTTATCAGGGCAATTTTTCCTGGCCACATTAGGCAGGAGAGGTGCCTGTGCATCTCAGAAGTGTCTATGGAACTCTGCTTCTGAACTTCCCAGCACGCTCAAAACAGGACCTGGTTTACAGCAAAGGGCCAGCTCCTGGCAACATCATGAAACAAACGTACACTATCCTCTACCCAGGGTTCCCTTCAGCCTATAGGTGCCCGACGGCCCCTGCTCTGTGCTCCATCCTGACATCAGGAAACCCACGAATGGGAGAAAATCTCATGTCACCTGTTTACAGGTGAGTGAACATTTAAGTCAATGGGTTGCTCTCTCCTGGGGAGCTCTAATTGTAGAATTTAAGAGGGCAGAGTGAAGCCAGTGGGAGTCCTGCCAGGTTTGAGTCACAGCTTGGCCACTTATGAGTCCCTCTCATTACCCCACCAGAGCCCGGCGTCCTGATGCATAACACCCACCACCCGGCTTAGGGAGGGCTGACAGAGTGAATTACTGACAGAGGATGGCCCTTGGCCATTTCTGCTTCCTTCACTTTCCCATCACTGCCTTAGAATCTGGAGAGACTCATGCTGGCTTCACCTGGACAGGCATCCTGACACGCAAGCGAGGATTGCTCCCACCAATTTTCTGCGAGAGAAACAGGGGTTCGGTTGATTCCTGGCAACACGTTCGTGTGGGGATGCACGTGGGGGTGCAGAGCTGGACTTGGGAGATGCTTCAGCTGATAGCACACTTTTCCTTTGGGGAGTTTTCTTCCTGCTGTTATAACACCTGTCTCCAAACAAAGCCTTCATTGGTCAACAGTGAATGATTCATTTATTCTGTGCATAGACCTATGGCGTGAGATGCATTTGGAAACCTTGAGAACAGCGGTTCCCAACCTTGGTGCTTGGAGTAATGTCCGAGGACATTTTTGGTTGTCACAACTGGGGCAGGGAACTGTTGCTGGCGTCTAGTGGGTGGGGTCCAGGGGTACTGCTAAACGTCCTGCAGGGCAGAGGCTAGTGCCACCGCAGAGAATGATCCAGTGCAAATGTCGCTGGTGCTGAGAATCCTACTTCAGACCCAGGGCAAGACTGATTGCATGTGTTCATTTATATCTGCTCTTGTAGTCATTCAGTCAAGAAATGAGCACCTTGAATGACTATTAAATCAAGACAGGTTGGGTGTGGTGGCTCACACCTGCAATCCCAGCACTTTGGGAGGCCGAGGCAGGTGGATCACTTGAGGTTAGGAGTTTGAGACCACCCTGGCCAACATGGCGAAACCCTGTCTCTACTAAAAATACAAAAATTAGCAGGGCATGGTGGTGCATGCTTGTGATCCCAGCTAATTGGAAGGCTGGCGCACGATAATCACTTGAACCTGGGAGGAAGAGGTTGCAATGAGCAGAGATTGCACCGCTGTACTCCAGGGTGACAGAGCAAGACTGTCTAAAAAAAATCAAGACAGATCTCTGAGACTCCACAGGTCAATGGAAGATGAACAGAGGGGCGGTGGGGCTGCCCCCCACCCATGTGGGAGGCATGGGCAATGCCTAGGTTGACCAGCTGCCCATGCTCTGAGGCAGTAGTCTCAGGGCAGGGTGTGCACCCTCCCAGGCAGGGCAGCACTCACTTATGGTACAGAAGGAATCTTAGAGCTTCCCTTACTCAGGAATGAAATGAGCTCTAGCCCCTGCCATCACCTTTTGCTCAACACTCACCCACTCCAGGCTTCAAAAGGAGGCTGCCCACATGGACAGCTCAGAGGGACTCCAGGGCACGTGGTTGATGGAGAAGCCAGATGCAGAGTGGTTCACTTGGGGGTGCAGTTCAGGAAGCCACGGGGTGGGTGTGAGGGTGTAGTGGAGCGTATCAGTGCAAGGATACCCTGAGACTGGGGGTGACATTGACTCCACAGGCACGGGAAGGAGCTTGGAAACAGACTGAACTCAGAACATGCATGTCACGAGGGGAGGGGCTGGAGGCTTGGGGTTGGGAGAGGCTGCCTCCACTGCTGAGGGCACAACTTCCTGGTTCAGCCCCGGCAGGCCTGCAGATCCCCCTGCATCCTTTCCCTGAAGATGGGCCATCTGTGCCTAGACAGGTTGGCATGTGTATTAGATTCTTAGGGCTGCCACAGCAAAGAACCACAGACTGGGGGGCTTAAATAACACAAGTGTATTTTCTCACAGTCTAGGAGGCTGGAATTGCAAGGAGCTCAGGGTGTCAGCAGGGCTGGTTTCTCCTGAGGCCCCTCTCCTTGGCTTGCAGGTGGCCGCCTTCCCATGGTGTCCTCACATGGCCTCTCCTCTGATGTGCCTTCCTCTTCTTAGAAGGATACCAGTCCTATTGGATTAGGGTCTGCCCTAAATAACTCATTAGGACATAATTACCTCTTTAAAGATCTTAACTCCAAATATAGTTTTATTCCGGGGTTCTGGGGGTTAGAGCTTCAACATGTTGATTTTGGGGGACACACTTCATCCCATAACAGTGTGGGCTGCCATTCTCCACTGGCCCTCTATCCTGGAGACACACCTCCTAGAGAGTTTCCTACAACATGCAGGACATCTAGTTAAATTTGATTAAATTGTATTTCAAATGCTGCATGGGATACACTTACCCAAAAAATTATCATTGATCTGAAATTTACATTTAACCCAGCATTCTATATTTCTAGCTGCTGAGTCTGGCACCTCTACCCACTGGGAAACCTCCTACTCATGGCTCCTTACCTGGGCTGCCTTGGTCTGGGACGGACACAGAAAGGTGGAGGGTGGAATTGGTGTCTGGAGGAGCAGCTGGTATCTGGGAATCCATCAAGGGCCCTGGCCTCATGGCTCTTTCAGGACAACCTATAGAAGCCACTGAGATGCTGGGGTGGCCTGTGGTTTGATAGAAACCGCAGCATCTATTTAGGTGAATCCTGGAGGTACTTCCTGTTTCTCTTCCAGTTTTCACATCTCTGTAGAATGGGAAATGTCACACAATAACGAACCACTAACAAATGATCCAATTTCCAGTTGCAGAAAACACATGACGTCATGCACATCATGGTGTTGAAAATATGGGTGCCCAATCCCTTACCCACAATTCTGAAATCCAAAACACTCTGGGAACATTTTTTATGTGTAAATTTGAAGACAAAACCCATTTGGGGATAAAATTGATTTGAATGGACTTGGGACTATTTATAGACTTTCTTTATCCATTGGTGAGAATAGTGATACTGTGTTTTCTGGGGGGCACTGTCCAGACATGTGGGGGGTTGTAGGAGATTGGTCAGGGTGGTGGGAAAAATTGTAGAAAGAATGCAAACCTTCCTGGAAGGCCAGGAGGTTTTACAAAAGCTTTGGAAAAGGATTTGGGCTGAAGGCAGCCAGATTCTCTTATCTGGTACCTGAAAGCTTAGGTTAGATAACAAGGGGATGTAAAGAAACTGATCTAGATAAGTTAGTTTACTTAGGCCTCGGAACCTGGCCTTTAATCGCCTGTGTGCAGGACTGCTCTCTCTGGGGGAGTGACCATGTAAATTACCCACAAGTGTGTTGACTCAAGGCCTTTGTCATTAAATCTGTACTAAATAAATGCCCGCAGTGCCAGCTTGTCAGGGCCGTGGCTGCTGACTCTTTACAGCACCCTCCTCAGTGTCTGTGAGCGGCCTGGTCCCCTAGCCCACTCTTTCACTGGATACCTGTGTCTGAGTGCATGTGTTCATCTGTTGTTCGGCCAGGATCTGCAGGCCAGACCCAGCAGTGGGTAGTAAGTGATATTCAGGATATGTCCTGTATTACCAGCCTACAGCTCCCCAAACTCGAATGCCAAAAACCCACAGCTTTCTGGATAAATGATTGTGCAGCTACAACAGCAGACAGGCACCGAGCTCTTAAACTGTGGGAGGCACAATGCTAAATGCTTTAGGTTTCTTATCTCTTTAATCCTCATAATCTGCAAAATGGATACTTTTATTTGCATTTTTGGTAAGCTGTTTTTGTGTTGAAGTATGACATGCCCACAGAAAAGCCCACGAATCAGGTGCCCAGCTGGAAGAATTATTAGAAAGTGAGTCCACACCCATGACACCACCCAGCGCCATCTCTCAGCAGCGCCCCAGAGGCTCCCACCACAGCCTGCCGCCATCATTACCTCCCAGATTCTCACTTTCATCACCAAAGATTCATTCTGCCTAGAAAAAAAAAATGCTGTCATTTATTGAGCAGTTATTATGTGCCAGGAACTTATATTATTTCTCACATTGACTCTATCAGGGTGAGTATTCTATTTTTTTTTTTTTTTTGAGATGGAGTTTTGTTTTTGTCACCCAGGCTGGAGTACACTGGCGTGATCTCGGCTCACTGCAACTTCCGCCTCCCGGGTTCAAGCGATTCTCCTGCCTCAGCCTCCCGAGTAGCTGGGACTACAGGCACATGACACCACACCTGATGAATTTTTTTTTTTTTTTGAGACAGAGTCTCACTCTTCACTCTGTCACCCAGGCTGCAGTGCAGTGGTGCGATCTTGGCTCACTGCAACCTCTGCCTCCTGGGTTCAAGTGATTTTCCTGCCTCAGCCTCCCAAGTAGCTGGGACTACAGGCTCGTGCCATCATGCCCAGCTAATGTTTTGTATTTTTTTTTTTTTTTTTAGTAGAGACAGGGTTTCACCACATTGGCTAGGCTGGTCTCAAACTCCTGACCTCAGGTGGTCCACCCGCCTCAGTCTCCCAAAGTGCTGAGATTACAGGTGTGAGCCACCATGCCCGGCCAGGGTGAGTATTCTTATTATTTCATTTTACAAGCAAAAAGAAGCCAGAGCTGAGAGCTGTTATGTCATGTTCTATTCTATATCATATTATGCATCTTATCATGTTATGTATCATAACCTCAGCTCAGGGAATTTTCGCAGACAGAACACACTCTGCTAACTAGCACCCAGATCAAGGAACAGAATATTAGAAGCAGCAGAGAAACTGCCCCCTCAATCCCACAGCCCCCCAAGTCGCTATCCCCTCCCAAAGGTAAGCACTATTCTGACTCCTGACACCTTTTGCCTGTTTTTGAACTGCCTGTCAATGGAACGAAATGGTCTATTCTTTTTGGTGCCTGATTTTCTCTCAGCATGATGTTCATTAAGCCCATCCACATTGCCACGTGAGGCTGGAGTTTGCTCTTTTTTAGTGCTGAGTAGAATTCCACCATTATTTAAGCACACCTCTATTTATTCACCCATTTTCCCCTTGCAGGATGGAGGTTAGAAATGTTTTCACTTTTTAGCAATCACCAGCAGTGCTGCTCTCTAAATTCTTGCATGTCTTTTGGCGGACAAACACACACGTTTCTGTTTAGCATATGTGTTGGGGCGGATTGGGGGGCATCACAATAGTGTGTGTGTGTGTCTGTTTAGCTTTTCAAAAACTTCCAAGCTGGCCAGGCATGGTGGCTCACCCCTGTAATCCCAACACTTTGGGAGGCCGAGGCAGGCAGATCACTTGAGGCCGGGACTTTAAGACGAGCCTGGACAACATGGTGAAACTCCATCTCTAACAAAAATACAAAAAAAAAATCCGCCAGGTATGGTGGTGCATGCCTCTAATCCCAGCTACTCAGGAGGCTGAGGAATGAGAATCACTTGAACCTGGGAGGAGGAGGTTGCAGTTAGTGGAGATCATGCCACTGCACTCTAGCCTGGGTGGCAGAGCGAGACTCCATCTCAAAACAAACAAACAAACAAACAGGCCATGTGAAGATGAAAGCAAAGATCAGGGTGCTGCCTCTACAAACCAAGGAACCCCAGGTTTTCCCTGCCAACACCAGAAGTTAGAGGAGAGGCCTGGCAGATTTGCTCTCACAGCCTCAGTAGGAACCAACCCTGCGGACACCTTGCTCTTGGACTAACAGCCTGCAGAGCTCCGAGGTGAGGCACTTCTGTGGTTTAAGCCCCTCTGCTCATGACACTTTGTTACTGCAGCTCCAGCATACTCCTCCACGGAGTGATGCTTCATGTTTAAAAAGACATCTGCTCTGTAAAGAACACTCATCTGGCCGGGCGCAGTGGCTCACACCTGTAATCCCAGCACTTTGGGAGGCTGAGACAGGCGGATTACCTGAGGTCAGAAGTTTGAGACTAGCCTGGCCAACATGGTGAAACCCCATCTCTACTAAAAATAAAATTAAAAAATTAGCAGGGCATAGTGGCAGGCACCTGTAATCCCAGCTACTCGGGAGGCTGAGGCGTGAGAATCACTTGAACCCAGGAGGTGAGGTTGCAGTGAGCTGAGATTGCACCACTGCACTCCAGCCTGGGAGACAGAGTGAGACTCTGTCTCAAAACAAAACAAAACAAAACAAAACAAAACAAAACAAAACAAAACACTCATCCTAGTGTTCCTTGAGGTGGTCTGATTAGCAGCTAATGGGTTTACAACAGCTTTCCCTTTTCAAATTTGATTTCAGAAGCCATCAGCTGCATGATTTGTTGTATGTCTGAATGCTTGAAGTGAAGGTTGATAGTTGATAGGAGCTGGCTGATTCTGGTCTATAAGTGTGGCTGGGCTGACAAACAGGCATCCACCTACTTGGGCTGGGTCCCGGGAGCAGCCTCAGGAATTGAGATTCCTGCATCTGCCTTCATGGTCTTTATCTTCCAGGCCTCCCTCTCCCTGTCATGGCTCAGGCGGGGACCACGGCAGAGGGTGGGCCACACCATCTTTCAAGGGCAGCTGGGCCCCTTCTGGCAGCTGGACGAACCTTATTCGGTGCAGTGGCTCATGCTTGTAATCCCAGCACTTTGGGAGGCCAAAGTGGGTGGATCACTTGAGGTCAGGAGTTCAAGACCAGCCTGGCCAACATGGTAAAACCCCATCTCTACTAAAAATACAAAAATTAGCCAGGCATGGTGGTGCATGCCTGTGGTTCCAGCCACTCGGGAGGCTGAGGCACGAGAATCGTTTGAACCCGGGAGGCGGAGGTTGCAGTGAGCCGTGATCCATCACTGTACTCCCACCTGGGTGACAGAGCCAGATTCCGTCTCAAAAATAAAGAATGCTGTTCTTCCTGGGCAGAGAGTTTCTCTGTTCTGGAGGTCATCCAGTAGCCCGGCCCCAAGGTGATCTCTCTGGATGGGTGAGGGGAGGAGGGGTCTCCTCCAGCTGGAAGCATCGAATCAGGACTAGCACTTCCTAAGAGCACGTGGCCCAGAACTGGGCTAAAAATAGTACAATTTTTAAAAATTACACTAAGCTTTGATTTCAGAGTGTATTGGTTTCCTGGGGCTGCTGTAACCAAGTGCCACAAACTGGGTGGCTTAAGACAACACACATTTATTCTCTCACAGTTCTGAAGGCCAGAAATCCCGAAGCAAGGTGCTGGCTGGGCCATCCTCTCTCCCAAGGCTCCCCGGAAGAAGCTGCTCTTGCGTCCCCTCATTCTGATAGTCACAGCGCCCCTGGTGTCTTTAGTTTGGAGCTCCAATGTCTGCCTCTGTTTTCACGTGGCCTTTTCCCCATGTGTCTGTGTCTCTGTGTCCAAATTTCTCTCTTTTTTTAGGACACCAATCACTAGATAAGGGCCGACCCTCCTCCAGCATGACTTCATCTAAATTTGACTGCATTCACAAAGACCCTATTTCCACGTAAGGGCTCACTCTGGGATTCCGGTGGACATACATTTTGGAAAGACACTGTTCAACCCAATATAGAGTCTTTCCTGTTTTGAAGTAAGTTTTTGCTAAATTCAATTTTAGAATGCCTTCCTCCACTTCCTTGAGCTTGGATAGTTTAGAAATTTGAAAATTTGCCTGTTAGGGTAATCTCCGTATCTTAACATAATGTAAGTTTATTTTGGTCACGTGAAGTTCAAAATGAGTGATCTTGAGGGGCAGTTGGTGTCCATCTAAGCAGTGATTTGGGGGCCTGAGCTCCTTCTATGTGGGATGCCCCAATCTTCCATGTGGGAACCCTCCAAACTTCCATGTGGGTCCCAAGGTCCCTATGCTCCCCTGTCTCAAGCTGAAGGGGAAGAGCATGGCGTGTGGGGAGCCAGGCCAGGAAGTACTGCTCATCCTGTCCATGCGTATTCACTGGGCCAGAATTCAGCTACAGGCCACAGTGAAGCCAGGAGGGGTAGGCTGGCCGTGCACCCAGGAAGCAGAGGAAGGGGTTGGGGAAGAGCCGCAGCTGAGGCTGGCGAGTCAGGATGGCGCCTGGAGGGCAGCTCCTCCTAGGACTCATTTCCCTTTGCTTTCCCCCCTTCTTCCGCCTCTCCACCTTGCTAGCCCTGGCGGGTCTCTAGTCAAGAGGGTCAGTTTCCAAACCTCATGGCACGAGACCCTTCCCCACTGACATGCAAACAGCAAAGGAGCACCTCCCATTTAAGGGGAGACTGAATGATCAAATGCTAAAGGAATACATCTTTGGGGGTGCTGTGAACGCCCTCAGTGAATCTGGGTGATCCAGCCTGGTGGATTGTGGGGGCCCTGAAGGTGCGCTTCTCACTAAACCTCCCTCTATGCCCACTAGGAGCCCACTGCATCTCAGAGCAGGGGATGGAACAGTTCCCCTGGGGCGGGGCTGGTGCTTAGGAAGCTGGGCCCAGGTATCCTGGACGGAGTGCTTGGAGTCTTGTCTGAACAGGATCCTCAGGCTGTGCCACACAGTCCCAGGGCAGATTACACTTGACACCTGCCCCCTCACTGGCCACTTCACCTTGCCAGTGGTTTTCAAACTGCCAGGCAAGGCCAGTTGAAACCAGTGCTTAAAAATAAAACAGGGCAGGGTACAGTGGCTCATGCCTGTAATCACAAGAATTTGGGAGGATCCCTTAAGCTCAGGAGTTGGAGACCAGCTGGCAACATAGTGAGACTTTGTCTCTACTAAGAGAAAAAAAATTAGCTGGGCGTGGCAGTGGGTGCCTGGAGTCCCAGCTACTTGGGAGGCTGAGGTGGGAGGATTGCTAGCCCAGGAGGTTGAGGCTGCAGTGAGCCGAGATTGCACCACTGCATCCAAACTGGGTAATAGACTGAGACCCTGTCTGAAAACACACACACACACACACACACACACACACACACACACACACAAAACCTACTAGAAAAATACCAGGTACATAGAACACAGTGAGAGAAAGTACTGTGTCATTAAATCTTGATTCCATGTTTATATGTATATTTTCTGGGTTGTGATATAAAACATTTCTTTCCAAGTGAGGCAATCAAAAACTGAAAGCTGGCCAGGCACAGTGGCTCACCCCTCTAATCTCAGCACTTTGGGAGACCAAGATGGGAGGACTGCTTGGGGCCAGGGGTTCCAAACCATTCTGGACAACATAGTGAGACCCTCATTCTATAAAAAATTAGTTTAAAAAATTAATTTAAAAAATTAGCCAAGTGTGGTGGCATGCACCTACAGTCCCAGCTACTTGGGAGGCTGAGGTGGGAGGATCACCTGAGCCCAGGAGGTTGAGGCTGCAGTGAGCTATGATCATGCTACTGCACCCCAGCCTGGGCAACAGAGTGAGAAAGATCCTGTCTCAAAAAAACAAACCAAACCAAAGAAATTTGAAAGCCACTGTCCTATGTGGAAGAATTTGGAAGTCAATGATAACACAGGGAGGTAGTAATTATTTTCCAGGTTTCAGAAGTGCTTGTGGGTCCCGATAGGAGAGATGCTGTGATGGTGTGAGGTCAAGGAGGACTCTGGGCTGGGTTGAATCGGGGCTGTACCACTTCCCTCAGGAGGTCCTTGTGAGGGCGACTCCATTGCCTGGGCCTCCACTTTTCATCTGTAAAATGGGCTAAATATCTACCTTGATGGGGAGGAGGAGGATGAAATAGCTCCTCACTCTTGAATGCTCCCTGTCCTAGGATTTGTTCTGAGTCTTTTATGTATATTACATCAGTCTTTCTTCACAATATCCCTCTGGTTAAGTGCTAGTACCATTAGTTTATCAGTACAGGTAAGGACACTAAGACACGGAGAGGTGAAGTCACCTGCCCAAGTGAGCTGATGTCAATGAAAATCTGTATCATGCCAAATACTGTGTCTGGCACATAGCAAGCACAGAGCAAATTTTAATTTTCTTACCCTTAATTTTGTTTCAATCGCTTTAAAGGATCCTCAGATATAGGCAGACAAACAAGCTGGTGGAAGATGTGTGAGAAGCACACTTCAAACTGCCAGGAAGCTGGCTTCTATGGAGTCCCAAAGTGTGAAATTAGCTCCTCTTCTGTGAGGGTCCCTGGAAACAGTGGCTGCTCCCTGCAGGAGGCAGAGTCCCTGCAAGCCCTACTCTTCAGCATCAGAGGAACTGCAAGGGAAGTCAAAGAAAGGGGACCCTCCCCTCCAGCCCTTAGGGGAAGACTCATCGATGGTTTCAGGGAGGAAAGAGAATGATGGGCCTGGCTCACAGTACACTACCTTCTTGCTGGATTTTAAAGATTAGAGGCCCAGGAACCCCCAGCCCTACTCCACACCCTGCAATACAGATCAGCTTCAAGGGGTCTCCACCTCCCCTGCCCACGATGGCCGGCCCCACTCCTCCAGTAGAGACTGTGGGCCCCACTGTCTGGAGGCCAAGGGAGAACAGAGCTGCTTCTCCCTGGGGGAGATCAGACAAGTAATTAGACCAAACTGCAAGAGGCAGCTATGTCATTGCTTCTCAGAAATGATAAACAGCGCAAAGAGAGGATTGCATCACTTCTTCCCAGGGTCGCTGGGACATTTGCTCTCAGAGTCCAAGCTGGGTCGCATTTTAATCAGAGGGGGGCTGTGGACTGATTCCCTGCCGAGTGCAGAAATGTTTCATCAGCAATTAGTATGAGCACTCCAAAAGGAAGCTACACGTTCTCCTTGCCTTGTTCCCACGTTTGCTTGTTCCAAGTCGTGTCTTTATACTATCTTAACTATATAATGTCATTTATGCCATATTTTAAAATAGTTGTCTTCTTATAGAACCCATGACTTTGTTTGACTTCATTAACAAAACTTAGTAATTTACCTTGCACAGAGCCTGCCCATATGGGATATGAAATTAGTATTTGCAGAATAAAAAGATGTTGATGACAATAATAATACACATAATGACATAATAATATTAAAGTAAAAGCTAACTTGCGGGGGCCCTCTCTTCTGCCTCCTGTCTGAAGAGGGCTGCCTCTGCAGTGAGCCTGGACGTGGGACTACTGCACACATGACCCTGCGGACATCAGGCCGGGAGCAGGTGGAGGCGGGTGGCGGAGGAAGTGGTAGAGGAGGAGAGGCCAGGAGCTCCCTGAGCCAGCGCTCCCACAGAAGGAAGTTCATCAGAAAATCACAGAGGGCCTGGGACCCAAGGTCCCCCATCCCTCACCCCACCCACCCCATCAGAGGTTTGTTCCCGAGTACCTGTGTTTTAAAGTGCCCAGATGGCCTCCAGCTGCCCACTCTAGCACTTACAAGTTTGGAGTCCAGGGTCCCCAGACCGTGGGGTGGCAGTGACCACACTGGCCTCCTGAAGTGGGCAGGTCAGAGGATCCCAGGCCTGGCTGCTCAGAGTGCTGTCTGCCAGCTGGGGGTGACATTCCTGTCCTGGCTGTGACTGTCCCCTCAGCTTCCGCCTTATTCACCCCTGATGGGAGGCAGAGGTGGAGCCAGGAGAGCTCTGCTCATGACTGTGCTCCAGGAGGCTCCACCTCCGTGTGCACCCAGAAGGCCCACAGGAGAGATGTTGTAGCCTGCAAAGCACTACTGCCTGCACGACTGCACGGCCGGCTCCACAGGCTCCTCGGAAACGACAGCAGGAGCAAAGATGAGGGCTACAGTGCCAGGTGAACACCTGGGAGCCGTCTGTGTCCATCTCTGAGTTCTATTCGTTTGCTAAGGCTGACCTAAGAAAGTGCCACATACTGGGAGGCTTATAGCACACAGGTGATTTTCTCACTGTCCTGGAGACTGGATGTCCAAGGTGTGCAGGCTGGTTTCTCCGAAGGCCTCTCTCCCTGGCTGCAGGTGGCCGCCTTCCTGCTGCATCCACCCTCGGCCTTTCCTCTGTGCAACAGCGTGCCTGCGGTCTCTTCCTCTTCATATAAGGACCCCAGTCCTAGTGGATTATGGCCTACCCTAATAGCCTCATTTAACCCCCATTCCCTCCTTAAAGGTACTGTCTCCAAATACAGTCACATTGGGGGTTAGGGCTCCAGCGTATGAATTTGGGGGGACACCATTCAGTACACAGCAGGAGGAAAATCACTTTCACAGTCACACAGCACTTCCAAGCTGTGTGTGTTGCCTTACGTGTCCAGCACCATGCGTGAAGTATTGTCGCAGCTGTTTTCGTTAGGATGTGTGGGAAGAGCACATCTGTCATCAGTTCCAGCCCCCAGTGACCAAGAACACGTCCCTTTGGCTCTGCCTCTGGCTCACACTGGACTGGGACTAGAGCTCACAGCTGCAGGTGCCAGGCCTGAGGGCTGCAGGCTTGCTGCCAGGCCCAGGGCATGGGCTATCCATCCCATATTCCACCCAGGTGCAGACAGACCAACATGAGTACCCAGGAGAGCTGCAACCCCTGGGCGCCACCGAGACCCCCTCTCAGCCTGGCCCCCTCCATTCTTTCACTTGAGTAATGCAGGTTCTCTAGGTGCTATATACAGTGCTTTGCAAACTCAGCTTCCAGCTTTGTGCAAAGAGACCCTTGTGAAGGGGGTCCTTAGACTACCTTTGGGTTTGGCAACTCGCTAGTAGGACTCACAGCACTAAGAAAGGCTATTAGATTTGTGCTTACACTTTGAAAATACAGATTTAAATTAGCAAAGGAAAAAGGAACATAGAGCGGAGTCCAGGAGAAACTCGCACAAGCTTCTGGTGTCCTTGCCCTGCGGGGCTGAACGGATAGCGTTTATTTTCCCCAGCAACGATGTTTCACGGCACACTTGAGGTGTTAGCCACCATGAAAGCTTACCTATGCACTGGTGTTCAGGGTTTTCATTGGGGTCAGTCACATAGGCATGCAGTGCCCATGTGACTGACCTCGGCTACTTGGACCTCAGCCCAACAGAGGTGAAATTAATAGAGCATGGCCCAGAGCCTCGGGCACGTGTGAACAGGCTTTCATCATAAATCACACTGTTGGCATAAACTAAGGATGTGGCCCAAGGCCTCAGATACACAAAGCCACCCTTATCAGGAGGGACACTCCAAGGACTCAGGGGTCATCTCTTCGGAGCTGATCAAGGCTGTATGCAGGGTTTGGTCAACTCAGATCTGCTGAGTCACCCTTGACATCACAGCTGACATCCCTAAGTCTCTTTGGCTGGGACATGTGGGAGCTGCTGCTGTCAGTGTCAGAGGCTTTCAATTTGATTCATGTTTGACAGTATGATTTGGGAGAAATTATATATTTTATCCTAATTTTCATTTATTTCATTATCAGTGAAGCAGAACAACTCTCTACGTGTTTTATTGCCATTTGAATTTCTTGTGTACTTTGTCTAGTCATTTGTTCATACATATGTTGAGTTATTTACATTTTTATAATTTATAGGAGCCCTTATGAATTGTGCACATAAGCTCTTTGTCATATGTGGCAAATACGCTTCTACTATTTCTTTTAACTTTATTCTTTTTTGTGAGTGATACAGAAATGTATATTTTTGATGTAGTCAGCTGGTCAATCTTTTCTGTCATGATTTCAGATCTTAGTGTTAAGATCACAAAGGTTTTCTGCTCCCCAAACTATATGCTGTCCAATATATCTTCTCATGCTTTATTTTTAAACACGTAAATATCTGATCTTTTGGAATATTGTATTATAATATATTTATTATGTTATGTTATATGATATGATATTATACATTTCCTAGGGCTGTTATAACAAATCACCACAAACTGAGTGACTTAAAACAGCAGAAATTTATTCTTTCATGGTTCTGTTTGCAAGGAGGCAGCAGGGCTGTGCTTTCTTGAAGGGCTCTAGGGGAGCATCTATCTGTTCCACGGCTTTCTCTTCGCTTTGATGTCACCAGCAATCTTTGGCTTATAGAAGAATCACTTGAGCCTCGGCCCCTCTGTCTTCACACGGCATCCTCTTTGTGTGTTTGTGTCTCTTTTCCTCTTCTTATAAAGATGTCAGTCATATTGGATTAGGGCCCTCCTAATGACCTCATCTTGATTACAACTGCAGAGACCCTATTTCCAAAAAGGCCACATGCACTGATACCAGGGGTTAGAACTTCAATGTATCTTTTGGGAGGACACAATTCAATCCATAACATATATGGTGTAACAAAACTTCATTTGTTTTTCCAAATGCTTACCTAATTGTCGTAATGTCATTTATTGGACAATCCATCCTTTATCCATGGGTTTATTTCAAGACTGATTATTCTGCTCCAGTAATGTATTGGTCAGTTCTGCTGAGGTCACATACTGTTTGACAAAGTATTGGTGTATAACCACCCAAGATAAGCAATTATGGAAGGAAATTGGAGGGAAAAGTTAGCTAGCCTCGCACTGTTAGTATGATCAGTCTTTCCCAGTCGTACAGTCTATAATGGGAGGCCTGTCTGAAAATACTTGCACTTCTCATTTTTATGCCCTTGTTTGGACTTGGGCTGTTCCTGCAACAGTTGGTTATGTCTGATAAAAAAAAAAAAAAAAGAGGAACTGGCCAGGTGCGGTGGCTCACGCATGTAATTACAACACTTTGGGAGGCTGAGGCTGGCAGATCACTTGAGGCCAAGAATTTGAGACCAGCCTGGCCAACATGGTGAAACCCCGTTTCTACTAAAAATGCAAAAACAAACAAACAAACAAGGAAACAAAAAATTAGCCTGGTGTGGTGATGCGTGCCTATATTCCCACCTATTTGGGAGACTGAGTCTATGAGAATCACCTGAGCCTGGGAGGTGGCGGCTGCAGTGAGATGAGATTGCGCCACTGCACTCCAGCCTGGGTGACAAAGCAAGTCTCTGTCTCAAAAAAAAAAAAAAAAAAAAAAAAGTAACTTCTTTCTTTCATAGCCACTACACTGATATAGGGTTTGAAATATTAAGAGATACTAGTTTTAAACATCTGCCCAGAGTAGTCCTCCAATTCCTGGAACAATCCAGAAGTGTACAAATTCTGACAGAGCTATTAGAAGCCATACCAATGCTAAGGGTTTAATGGCCAAGAGAAACTCAGTCACTCCTTTAACATGGATCTATTGAGTGCCAGGCATTGTTCTAGGTGCAGGAGCTACAGCAAAGCCTGGGACAGACAAGGCTCTCTGTTTCCTTTCAGCTTACATTTCAATGGGGGAAAGACAAGGATAAGACAAACCTAAAGAGGTACAGAATACCCTCTCCAGAAGTAAAGGGAAAGTATGTCACCTTGAAGTCCTGGGCAGAATCCGATCCTTTTCACAGCTTTATCCATCTTGTTGAAATATAGATTATTGGCGACATCCCCAAAAAGAGAGTTGTAGAAGAGAAACGCACTGGCAGAATGACAGGCAGGTATTAGTGTGGATGACAATTGAGTCTAAAGACATTCTTAACAGCAATCTTCCATTGATAGCCTACTTTATTAGTTCATCAGAATTTTCATTCCCATTTGTGAGACAGGGGAAACTGAGGATCAGAAAGATTATCTGGTGATTTGATTTCTGAAAAGATAATGCTTATTTAGCAATTCCTCCAGGAAGCCATCAGAGTCCTCATCCATACAACAGATGCGCAGTAAGTGATGAATTTTGCTGTGAACACCTGAGTTGGAATTAGTCATTGATTGGGCTCCACTCCATGAGCAAATGAGGTGAGGGGGCCAGATACACACAGATAATATATTTTCTTATTTCTTCCATTGCTTGTCCATGTTCCCATGGATTTTTTTTTTTTTTTTTTTTTTTTACAGAGTCTCTGTCACCCAGGCTGGAGTGCAGTGGCATGACCTTGGCTCACTGCAACCTCCACCTCCCAGATTCAAGTGATTCTCCTGCCTCAGCCTCCCAAGTATCTGGGATTACAGGCACCCGCCATCACGCACGGCTGATTTTTGTATTTTAAGTAGAGATGGGGTTTCACCATGTTGGCCAGGCTGGTCTCGAACTTCTGACCTCAGGTGATCTGCCTGCCTCGGCCTCCCAAAGTGCTGGGATTACAGGCGTGAGCCACCACGCCCAGCCTTCCATGAATATTTTTAACATTTTACTTTGATATAATTTTAGACTTAGAGAAATTTACAAAAATAGTATAGAGAGTTCATATATATCCATTATCTAGCTACCTATAATGTTATAAATGTATATAACTATGGAACAATGCTCAAATCATATATATCCATTATCTAGCTACCTATAATGTTATAAATGTATATAACTATGGAACAATGCTCAAACCCAGGGGAAAAACTTTGATACAAGACTATTAACTAAGCTACAGACTTATCTGAATTACACTAGTTTTCTCCCTGTGAAGTAAAGGATTAACTCAGCAGGCTTGGGGTGTTCAAACCCTGCATCTCCCAGAGAAAGGACTGGCCCTTGACTACCTTCTGGGAGACAAACTCTAAGCCCTTGAAATATCCTGCCTGATGACAGTCTTTGTTTACTTGGGCCCTTGGGCCCTGTCAGATAGTCGGTAATAACAGCGTGATTTATGGTGGGGAGTCTTGGATCTTGCTGTATCCGTTTGACCTCTTGAGGAACTGCAGACTGAGTAACTAAGGTCAGCTATGAGGTGTTCCATGCCTCTATAACTGATCCCTAATAAAAAACCTGAGCCCCAGGCTTTGAGTGAGCCTCCTTGGTTGGCAATACTTTCTGTGTGTTGTCACACATCACTGCTGGGAGAATTAAGTGCTGTCTGTACAGTTTCTCTGGGTGAAGACAACCAGAAACTGGTGTTTGTCTCTCCTGGATTCTGCCCTCTGTGCCCTGTTCCATGCTAACTTTAATCTGTATCCTTTACTGTAATAAACCATAACTGTGAGCATGACAGCTTTTTAAAGTTCTGTGAGTCCTTCTGGTGATTCACTGAACCTGAGTGTGGTCGTGGGGACCTTTGGCATGCTACCTAATATCCTTTTCTTTCTTTCTTTTTTTTTTTTCTGAGAAAGAGTCTCACTCTGTCACCCACACTGGAGTGCAGTGGAATGACCTTGGCTCACTGCAACCTCCATTTCCCAGGTTCAAGCGATTCTCCTGCCTCAGCCTCCTGAGTAGCTGGGACTACAGGCCCGCACCACCATGGCCAGCTAATTTTTGTATTTTTAGTAGAGACAGGGTTTCACCATGTTGGCCAGGCTGGTCTCAAACTCCTGACCTCAGGTGATCCGCCCACCTCGGCCTCCCAAAGTGTTGGGATTACAGGCATGAGCCACCACGCCCGGCCCTAATATCCTTTTTCTATTCCAGGATACAATCCAGCGTCCTTTATTGTTGGTCTCCTTCATCTCCTCCAACCTGTGACAGTTCCTCAGTGTCTTTGTCTTTCGTGACCTTAACACTTTTGGTGACTACTGGTCATTTTGTAGAATGAACCTCAATTTCAGTTTGTCTGTTTGCTCATGATTCATTGAGTTCATGTAATTTGGGAAAAAATGCTTTATATCAGATAACTGGGATTTTTAAGGAGAATAAGCTCTTCAGTACCCCTGTACACACACACACACACACACACACACACACACACACACACACACACACACACACACACACACTCTCTCTCTCTCTCTCTCTCTCTCTCTCTCTCTCTCTCTCTCTTTCCCTATCAGCTGGAATTCCCCACCACACTAAGGCTCTCTTGCAACACTGGCTCTCCACCTCTACTTTCGCTATTCAGTTTTATTGTCAAACCTCGGATGAAAGAGAACCAGTGGCGGCCAGTGTTAAAGAGAAGAACTCAGCTTTCCCTGTTAACAGAGGCCCTTGTGCATCTGGTGGTCATAGCACTCCTCACATTCCTTAATTGACCCTCACCCCAGATCGCTGGAGCAGGGATGTGGCGGACATTGACTCTTTTGTCTGCTGAGGGTAATAGTCAACCTTCTTCTGGGAGATGTTCCTTCTTCCCACCATAACCACATGGCTCTAAAGAGAGCTGCCATGATCTAACAGACTCTCCCCACGTGGCCACCACTGATTGGTCAGAGCTGGGCACCTGACCCTATTGGGGCCAATTAGAGCCCTTCCCTGGGATTTCTGGGCTTGAGAGGAAGCAGCACATTCTTCCCCTGGAGGGTCCTTGCTTGTGGAAGAGCCAGGCTAGAGTAGGAGGAGTTGAATTCAGACAGAGGCGGAGATGAGCACTGGAGAGGGAGCCTGGCTTTGTCCCAGGTGTATCTGGAGGCCCAGGTATGCCCTGCACCCTTCCTCCATGATGGGAGCCTCACTAATACATAGACCACATTCCATCCTGTCTGCATACCCGACACATGGAAAAGGCTGGACACTCCCTACATCTCATGATTAGCCAGTGAATGAAACGAAAAGGGCCGAGTGATACTTCATCAGCATTGCAGTTTTTCTCACGGTCCTCTCTGTCTTTATGTTTCCATCTATGGGATGTAGTAAATCAGAACCAAACATGTTGAGCAGCATTCATTTTAACAGGCGTCTTCAAGAGACTGTCTACGTGATTAGCAAATACCATCTGCCCGCCTAATGAAATCAGAACAGCCAGTGTTTTCCATCCTCAACTCAGGGATTAAAGAGGAAAAGCCGGTGTAAGCAGGTCACCTGGGTTAGCGTAGCTGTGGAGAGGTGCGCTGAGCAGATTGCACAGCTCAGCCCCGCCCGAGTTAAGAGGAGTCAGGACACAACCCCAGATGCCAAAGGAAAAGAAAGGAAGCAAGACAGAAAGGAGAAAAAGAGAGAGACAGACAGAGAGAAAGAGAGAAAGAGAAAGAAAGAAAGAAAGAAAGAAAGAAAGAAAGAGTCTATATTTTACTTCCTGAACAGCTCATTTTATAATACATAAATAATTCAAGACAAAATAAATTGGTTAGAAAATAATAATGTTTGTCCACTCTATGGCTACGGCTATACGAGGAGCAGAAATAGGAAACCTGTGTATGTTTTGCCAAAAGAGAATCTGTTTGCTCATTTAAACTTTTTCCTTCTGATTATAAAACATACACATTCTTTTATGGATAACTTTCAAAATAAGGGAAAATACAAAGTGTGTGGGGCAGGCATCACTGAGCGTAGGGAGAGGGCGTGGTCATTCTCTGCTCACGCCCACCCCGGTGAGGGCTGTGTCTGGGTGACTGGCAGGGTTGGGGGTGCTTCTGGAACCCACTGAGGGGGCTTTTGGGAAGGGGATGCAACGGGGAAGAGAGCTTGGTTCTCAATAATCTATCAGCTTTTGGAACAGCAACGTTCGTTTCCTTAGGCTGTGTTAGTTTCCTAAAACTGTCCTTTAAAAAGTACCCCAAACTGGGTGGCTTAACATGACAGAAATTTATTCTTTCACAGTTCTGGAGGCCGGAAGTCCAAAATCAAGACGCTGGCAGGGCTGTGCTCTCTGAAGCCTCCAGAAAAGATTTCTCTTGGCTTCTTCCTAGCTTCTAGTGGTTGCCAGCAAGCATTAGCATTCCTTGGCTTGCAGCTGCATCTCTCGAATCTTCTGTTTCTCGAAATCGCTCGAATCTCTGCTTCTGTTTCCTTGTGGCGTTCTTCCCTGTGTGACTATCTCTGGGTATCTTGGATAGTCATATTGGATTAAGGGTCCATCCTGCACAACTATGACCCTGACCTAACTTAACTAATTACAGCTGAGTGTGGTGACTCACACCTGTAATCCCAGCACTTTGGGAGGCCAAGGAGGGCAGATCACTTGAGGTCGGGAGTTTGAGAGCAGCCTGGGGTCTCAAACTCCCGACTCCTGAGGTCTTTGCAGTAACTGGTACTCAAGGGAAATGCTGAAGAAAAAAGGCGGCCGGGCGCGGTGGCTCACACCTGTAATCCCAGCACTATGGGAGGCTGAGGTGGGTGGGTCACTTGAGGTCAGGAGTTCGAGACATGCCTGGCCAACATGGTGAAACCCCATCTCTACTAAAAATACAAAAATTAGCCAGGCATGGTGGCATGTGCCTATAATCCCAACTACTCAGGAAGCTGAGGCAGGAGAATCGCTTGAACCCAAGAGGTGGAGTTTTCAGTGAGCAAAGATGGCGCCACTGCACTCTAGCCTGGGTGATAGAGCAAGACTCTGTCTCAGTAATAATAATGATAATTTAACTAATTACATGCACCACGATCTTCTTTTCAAATAAGTTCATAGTCTGAAGTTCCAGGAAAGACATGAGTTCTTGGGACACAATTTCAGTCCATGCAGCCTCTCTTACCCACACAAACCTCCCTGGCACTGTGGAGTGGAGGGCAGCATGGCCCCATCACGGAGAAAGTCTCCTCCGGGTGGTGGGGAGTGTTCTGCTGAGACCCTACCAGGCTCTGCGGAAGCCAGGGCAGATCCACAGTGGCAGTGGCCTCCGCCGGAACATTTGGCCATTGCTGTTCTAGAATACCACAGGAAGTTCTGGCCTTGGCTCCAGAGGCAACAGGCCTCAGGGGCCCACCCTGTGAGCCCCAAAAAGCAGTCTAGGTCCTAGGGGGTGGTTCCAGTGGGCCACCAGAGGCAGTGGCTTCGGTGGGGCTGTGTTCTCGATCTTTTAGAAGCCCTCACAGCACTGTGCACTCCCTTCACAATACCGACAACAATTCCAAGGAATAAATAACCATGAAGTTAGTTCTTTAGTGTCTGTCTCAGCAATAGGATGACCAGCTGTCTGCTAAGTGGGGCCACCAACTTGTCTAGTTTGTGCTAGGCCAGATTTGCTTCAGCACCGAAAGTACCACATCCCAGAAACCCCCTCAATTCCCAGCAAACCAGGACAGCTGGTCACCCTCCTTAGCAGACAGATGGGAATCTCATGTGCAGAGCCACGGTGTCTATCTAATCCACTCTATCTCCTGTGTTCCTGTTTGTCAATGGTACCTTGCACAGAACATGCATCCAATAAATATTTGCTGAACAACAATCATAATAATGATTATCTGCAATGCTCAGTAAATATTTGCCAAATGAATGCCCCCTGCCAGTAAATAAAGAATTCTCTTCAGCATTTTAATATGTTACCGATAAATGACACCAACTGGATTTACAGACTCATCCAGGAAGCAAAGAGATTTTTGTCCAAGTAGAAAATGCCAAGTAGGGTAAGTTTAGCAGCATTCAATCCTCTAACAAAAGATCAGCAAATGTCCTAGAGAGGTTGGGTCTGATTTCCTGAATCCGTCTTTAAGTGGAGATTATGGATTTCCAGATCCTCTCAGATAGGAGGGGCCAAAGCAGGAGGGACAACTGCTGGACAGCCGTAGCGGTGGGAACGAGAGCTTGCATTGCACATCCCAACACAGCAGTCTCACAAACCTTCCCTTGGATGGGATACACTAGACTGTAGACATGGAGGGATGGTGTGCTTCTCTGTTTTTTTGAAAATGAGTCTCACTCTGTTGCCCAGGCTGGAGTGCAGTGGCGCAATCTCAGCTCACTGCAACCTCCACCTCCCAGGTTCAAGCTAGTCTCTTGCCTCAGCCTCCCAAGTTGCTGGAATTACAGGCATGTGCCACCATGCCTGGCTAACTTTTGTATTTTTAGTAGAGATGGGGGTTTCACCACGTTGGCCAGGTTGGTCTCGAACTCCTGGCCTCCAGTGATCTGCCCGCCTCAGCCTCCCAAAGTGTTGGGATTACAGGCGTGAGCCCCTGTGCCCAGCCTGATGTGCTTTCCTTGCCTTGCCTTTCCTCTTTCTTTCTTTCCCTCCCTCCCTCCCTCCCTCCCTTCTTTCTTTTCTTTCTTTCTTTCTTTCTTTCTTTCTTTCTTTCTTTCTTTCTTTCTTTCTTTTCTTTCTTTTTCTCTCTCTCTCTCTTTCTCTCTCTCTCTCTTTTGAGACAGTTTCACTCTTGTTGCCCAGGCTGGAGTGCATTGACATGATCTCTGCTAACTGCAACCTCCACCTTCCGGGTTCAAGCAATTCTCCTGTCTCAGCCTCCTGAGTAGCTGGGATTATAGGCACCCGCCACTACGCCCAGCTAATTTTTGGTATTTTTAGTAGAGATGGGGTTTCACCATGTTGGCCAGGCTGGTCTCGAACTCATAACCTCAGGTGATCTGCCCACCTCAGCCTCCCAAAGTGCTGGGATTACAGGCATGAGTCACCACGTCTGGCCTGATGTGCTTTTCTTAAGGATGCACGCAAAGTAGGGCTTTGCAACCAGGCCATCTGTGTGCTTCTTTACTGCGCTGTTCTCCCATTTCACTTAACCACAGCCACAGCAATGAAGCCCAGTGGTCAGTACCTTCCTGAGCTTGAATCCAAGCTCCAAGTCGTCTAGATCAATCTGTAACTAAGCAGTGGCCACTTAGACCATTGAGATGTGAAGAAAGAGCCAGCCTGGCAGGTCTTGCTTGCTCGTTGCATGTCTCCAGGGCAGCCTAGAACAATGACCCTTGGCCAGCCCTGGTGAGTGCAGTCCCCAGGAAGGTTTTGATGTCTGTGATTAATGATTTTGTTCTATACCTCTGGAGGAACTGGCCACATGCAACCAGCTTGTCAGGATAGTTTGCACAAACATCAAATTGATGATGTGTACGTGGTTTCACTGCTGGGGTCCTGAGTTTCACTTGGCATAGCTGATAGCTAAGCAGAATGTGTCTATGTGATCAACCACCCGAAAAACCTTGGACCCTGAGACTGGCATGGGTTTCCTCGGGTCTTCCACACATGTCCTTGGAGTTCTCTGCCAGACAAAAACCACATTCTGAGTGGTCTCAGATGAGGAGGCATGAAGGAGCCTGAGCTGGACTGTTCTGGAATGCAAACAATGCGTATCTTTTCCTGTGGCCTTTTCTCTGCATCCTTTGCTGGAATAAATGTTAGCCATGCATATAACTTGCTATTGAGTCTTGTCAGTCTTTCTGGAAAATCACCAAACTTAGCACCTCAACACATAGAAGAAAACAGGGATGCTCCGCCCCTGCTTATCCTGCCGGATGCTGCCCTTGCCCCTTCCCCCCATCCCCCCCACCCCATCCCTGACTCCACCCAGGTTTGAATAAGGGCTGTGGGAAACAAGGTTTAGAATGGTTACCGACAAAACCAGAGCTGGAGTTCTAACCCCCGTGGAGGTGGGTTTCCTCTTTGGCTCACAGCCCCAGTGTCTACCCAGCAGGAAAATGTGGCAGGAAAGCATGAGGCCTAGGGCAACAGGGGGCAGGAGGTTGCGGATGCCTGGGGAGCAGATTTCAGGGTTGATAGACTTTTGGAATCTCTGGGATTTGTGAACTCTGGTTAATTTCTGTAAATGGAGCCACAGGTCTTCCCCGGATCCCTGATACTTATTACTGGCTCAGCCAAGCAAACACTTTGGGTTGGAGTATCCTCTAGCCCTGCAAGTCTCTGACCTCCACATGTGTGCAAATTTCTGTTTTACAGTCCAGAAGTACATTGCAAATTCATTCTCTCTCTCCTTTTATCTGTCTTTATTTATTTTATCTTATTATTATTTTTTTTGAGACAGTCTCTCTCTGTTACCCAGGCTGGAGTGCAGTGACGCCATCTCAGCTCACTGCAACCTCTGCCTCCTGTGTTCACGTGATTCTCCTGCCTCAGCCTCCCACGTAGTTGGGATTACAGGCACGAGCTACCACACCCAGCTAATTTTTGTATTTTCAGTAGAGACAGGGTTTCACCATTTTGGCCAGGCTGGTCTCGAATTCCTGACTTCAAGTGATCCGCCCGCCTCGGCCTCCCAGAGTGCTGGGATTACAGTGGTGAGCCACTGTGCCTGGCCCTATCTGTCTTTAATATTCTGTAGGTATAAACTGATGAGCACAACCATGGACAGAAATGTCAATAAAATGATTAAAATGTAAGATAACTAAACATACCAATAAAACAATTTTATTAGGTTGGTGCAAAAGTAATTGTAGGTTTGCTATTTCAATGGCAAAAACTGCAATTACTTTTGCACCAAACTAATAAAAAGCAAGCCACTCAAATAATTACTTACACACTTGCTATTCAGATAAAGCCCTGACATTTATTTTGCATAAAAAATAAATAGCTTATAGGCCAGGCTCACACCTGTAATCCCACCATTTTGGGAGGCTGAGGCAGGAGGATTGCTTGAGGCCAGGAGCTTGAGACCACCCTGGGCAACATAGCAAGACCCTGTCTCTACAAAAATAAATTAAAAAAAAAAAAGATAGTTTATCCAGAATAGCCAAAACAATTTTGAAAAAGAAAAACAAAGTAAGAAGACTCACACCTCCTGATCACAAAACATGCTGCAAAGCAATGGTAATCAAAGCAGTGTGGCATTGGCATAGGATAAACATATAGACCAATGGAACAAAACTGAGAGTCCAGAAATAAATCCATGTGTCTATGGGCAACTGAATGCCAAGACCATTCAATGGGGAAAGAATGTTTTTTTAACAAATGGTGCTGAAACAACTGGAGAGCCACATGCAAAAGAATGCATTTTAGACCCATAACTTACACCTATACAAAAATTAACTTAAGGACCAAAGATTTAATCATAAGAGCTAAACCTCTAAAACACTTAGAAGAAAATATAGGGAAAACCATGACGTTGGGTTTGGCAATGGCTTCTGAGATAAGGCACCAAAAACACAAGAAACACAAGAAAAAAATAGGTAGATTGGACTTTACTACAATCAAAATCTTTTTTTTCCATCAAACGATACCATCAAGAAAATGAAAAGACAACCCACAGAATGAGAGAAAATATTGGGAAACCATGTATCTGATGAGGGTCTACATCCAGAATATGTAAAGAACTGTTACAACTCAACAACAATAAGACCAACAACCCAATTCAAAAATGGGCAAAGAGGCTGGGTGCAGTGGTTCACGCCTGTAATCCCAGCACTTTGGGAGGCCAAGGCAGGTGGATCACTTGAGGTCAGGAGTTCGAGACCACCCCGGCCAACATGGCGAAACCTCGTCCCTGCTAAAAATACAAAATTAGCCAGGCATGGCAGCGCATGCCTGTAATCCCAGCTACTCGGGAGGCTGAGGCAGGAGAATCGCTTGAACTCAGGAGGTGGAAGAGGTTGCGGTGAGCCGAGATCACGCCATTGCACTCCAGCCTGGGCAACAAGAACAAAACTCTGTCTCCAAAAAAAAAAAAAATTATTATTATTATTTTTTTAAAAGAATGGCTCTTCTTCCTTTAGCCAACAGGACATGTCCACTTCTGCTTTCTCTGTCCTCCCATTCCCACCCCAACACTGGTTGTCAGTATAAGAAAGGCAAAAAAAAAAAAAAAAAATAGCCAGGCGCGGTGGCTCACATCCCAGCACTTTGGGAGGCTGTGGATCACCTGAGCTTGGGAGTTCAAGACCAGCCTGACCAACATGGAGAAACCCCGTCTCTACTAAAAATACAAAATTATCTGGGCGTGGTGGCACATACCTGTAATCTCAGCTACTCAGGAGGCTGGGGCAGGAGAATTGCTTGAACCCAGGAGGTGGAGGTTGTGCTGAGCCAAGATTGCAACATTGCACTCCAGCCTGGGCAACAAGAGCGAAACTCCATGAAAAAAAAAAAGGAAGGCCAAAAAATAATTTATTTTTTTATTTTTATTTTTTGAGACAGAGTCTTGCTCTTTTGCCCAGGTTGGAGTGCAGTGTTGCAGTCTTGGCTCACTTTAACCTCTGCTTCTTGGGTTCAAGCAATCCTCCTGCCTCAGCCTCCCAAGTAGCTGGGATTACAGACATGTGCCACTGTGCCTGACTAATTATTGTATTTTTAGTAGGGACAGGGTTTCTCCATGTTGGCCAGCCTGGTCTGGAACTCCTGACCTCAAATGACCCACCCTCCTCGGCCTCCCAAAGCGCTGGGATTACAGGTGTGAGCCACTGCACCTGGCCAAAAATTGGGTTTTACAATAAAAGAAATTCTGGTCCAATAGAGCAAAGATTCTTAGCCAGATTCGGATCTCAGATCTCTTGTGAATTTGATAAAAGCAGCTGTCCTCCTTAGCTTGGAAAAATATAAACACACACAGAGTTGAGTATGCAATCTCAGTGGGTTCATGGATCCCTGTAGCCCATATTCCGACTCCAGGTTAAGACTCTCACAGGACTGAGCACATCCAGCATCCACGCTGTGGCTTCTGAATGCCATTCTCCAGTGAAAGGAACCAGAGCTCCTCGGAGAAATGGTCATTCCAGGAAGAGAAAGAACAACATGAGCCTGGAGCATCTTGCAGTGCCAGAAATTAAGGAAACGCTGAAAGAAATAAAGGAGAACTGTTCAAAGGGCACAGGGGCCAGCTGAGGAGCTCCCACTGACCAGATCCAAGACAGTTAGAGAATCAGAATACATAATGACAGTGATGAATGGCAGCCCATCCAAATGCATAAGAATCCGTGTGTCCATAATGATCATGAATGAGTGAATGAAGAAGGGGAAGCTCTTCCTCATAGTGGAAAGCCAACTAATCATCACAGAAGAAAGAATAGGCTTAGAGAAGCCACTGTTTTACAACCATAATTGGTCACCGAGTCCAGCAAGAATCCTTAATAAATGCTAAAGCTCTTGGTTGCGAGGTTGGGGAGGAAGGAGACATTGACCTAGTCTCAAAGTCCCTCCCACAGATGACCTGTTAGTTACAATGGAAAAGAGAAGATTGTACAGCTGGCAGACACCACCTTCAACTCAAGTCAACGTTGTCACTAAGAGGGGACTGAGGCCAGGCGCCGTGGCTCATGCCTGTAATCCCAGCACTTTGGGAGGCCGAGATGGGCAGATCACCTGGGGTCAGGAGTTTGAGACCAGCCTGGCCAACATGGTGAAACCCCGTCTCTACCAAATATACAAAAAAAAATTAGCTGGGTATTGTGGCGAGTGCCTGTAATCCCAGCTACTTGGGAGACTGAGGCAGGAGAATTGCTTGAACCCAGGAGGTGGAGGTTGCAGTGAGCTGAGGTCATGCCATTGCACTCCAGCCTGGGTAACAAGAACAAGACTTCATCTCAAAAAAAAAGCTGGGTCGGGGGTGTGGGGGACTGAACCGAACCGACATCATGTGCCTGTGATGGGACGCACAAGGAATGGAGACTTCATTGTTTATTCCCAGCAAACTCAAATCTAGTAATGAGGAGACCTCAGATGGCCCCATGGGGCAGAGAATCTGGGGAAGGGCATCCCAGATCTTCCATACGATTCTCTTCAGTAACAACTTCTGCAGCTCCTGCAAAAATATAGTGTCGTGCAAGACAAACAAAGCTAAAAGACAGTGTCAGATGAAGGGAGACCAAAGAGAATTGGCCACTAAACATGATGTATGATCCTGGTTTGGATCTTGGACTGGAAGAAAAATGCTATGAAGACATCATTGGGTCACTTGGTAACCAGGTAACCACATTCCAGCAATGAGAAATTTCCTGGCTCAGATAACTGCCCTGTGGTTATGTGAGAAAACACTCTTGTTTGTTGGAGATCTATGTGGAAATATTTAGGGGTAAAGGGTATGATGTCTGTAATCTGCTCCTAAATGGATCAGGAAGAAAAAGAGATGTGTATTTATAAAAAGAAACAGAGATGATGTGGCCAAATGCGGCAAAATGTTGACAATTAGTATATCCAGGCCAGGCGCCGTGGCTCGCACCTGTAATCTCAGCACTTTAGGAGGCTGAGGCAGGTGGATCACCTGAGTTCAGGAGTTTGAGACCAACCTGGCCAACATGGTGAAACCCCGTCTCTACTAAAAATACAAAAATTAACTGGGCTTGGTGATACGTGCCTGTAATCCCAGCTACTCAGGAGGCTGAGGCAGGAGAATCACTTGAACCCGGGAGGCAGAGGTTGCAGTGAGCCAAAACTGGGCCATTGCACTCCAGCCTGCGTGACAAGAGTGAGACTCCATCTCAAAAACAAACAAACAGAAACAATTAGTATATCTGGGTGAAGAGTACATGGGAAGTTTTTATGTTTCTTGCAAATCTTTTGTAAGTTAGCCATAGTTAACATAAAAGTTATTGGCCGGACGCAGTGTCTCATGCCTGTAATCCCAGCACTTTAGGAGGCCGAGGTGGGTGGATCATGAGGTCAGGAGTTCGAGAGTAGCTTGGCCAACATGGCAAAACCCCATCTCTACTAAAAATACAGAAATTAGCCGGGCGTGGTGGTGGTTGCCTGTAATCCCAGCTACTCAGGAGGTTGAAGCACGAGAATCTCTTGAACCCAGGAGGCAGAGATAGAGCAGTGAGCCGAGATCAAGCTACTGCACTCCAGCCTGGGTGACAGAGTGAGACCCCATCTCAAAAAAGGAAAAAAAAGTTATGTTAAAAATAAAAATCAGTAAAGTTTTTATAATCAAAATAAAATATAATAAAATTTAAAAACTCTCCAAAATCTCTGCCATAAAAACTGTAGAGACAAAAGTCAGCTCCTTTAGGGGTAGTGCAGCCTGCAGAAGCCACCACGTCGGCCAGGTGGTCGGCAAATGGCACAGACGCTCACTTGGCTCTGACACCAGCTGGAGTCCCTGAGGCTGGAGACTGTCCTGGAGAGAAGAGCATTGTTTCCTGGCATAAGAGAAGTAGAAGAAAACCACTTCTGGGATGAAGTGAGCTCTAGTGGAATCCAAGAGCCTAGAGGCTCCCCATGGGTCCTTAGCGTTAGTGGCCAGCTGTGACCCTTCCGGTCTGCAGACCAGCTAACCACAGGGCCAACTGCACTGATTGAGCCCCTATTGTGTGCAGGAGCCTGTGTGGGCTAGGAGGCCCCACTGGTGGCTTGCGTGTGTGTTTGCATGTTTGTGTGAACCTCATTTCCCTGGGGAGCCAAGTGAGAACGACCATCTTGTCAAAATGCCATTGCTAGTTGCGACAGGTGAGCGTTGATGGTACGACAGGTGCAAGAAGCTCTTTTATGCCAAGGAATATTCAAAATATTTCACTTACATTAAGCCATTCAACAGCCTCCTGCCCAGCAGCCCCATGGGGTAAGTATCACTATTGCCTCCCATTTTACAGATGAGAAGTGAAGTAAGGCACCTAAAGTCACCAAGATCTGAGGCTCCTGGTCGACACAAAGGTGGCATGCCCAGCACAACAACACACACCTCACTCTTTGGTCCTGTCCTCTTGGGGTTTTTTTGTTTGTTTGTTTGTTTGTTTTTGAGACAGAGTCTCACTCTTGTCGCCCAGGCTGAAGTAGTGGTGCTATCTCTGCTCACTGCAACCTCTGCCTCCGGGTTCAAGTGAATCTCCTGCCTCAGCCTCCCGAGTAGCTGGGATTACAGGCATGTGCCACCACGCCAGCTAATTTTTGTATTTTTAGTAGAGACGTGGTTTCTCCATGTTGGCCGGGCTGGTCTTGAACTGACCTCAGGTGATCCTTCCGCCTTTGTCTCCCAAAGTGCTGGGATTACAGGCATGAGCCACCGTGCCCGGCCTGTCCTGTCCTCTTGGAACAGAAGTCAGCTCGCCTCTAGGAAGCAGGCTCCAAGAAAACACAATCATGGCCGCACCCTTGCACAGAAGTCGTGGCTCCCTCCCTACTGGGGCAGTGGGCATCTCCTGGGGTCAACGCTCAGTTATGAATACATTGCTTAAACTTGATCGTTGTGAGTTTCACACCCAGTTGGGAAAAAAGACTGGTTTGGTCAGTTGGCATTTCAGGAGTATCTAAAATATTGAAGTGTATTTAATATTTCAGTGTACTAGCTCAAGCTTTTGTGTGTTTTCATAAAAAAGTTGCTGCCAAACATATTTTGAATACCATTTGTGAGGACGTATGGCTCTTTCCACGCCTCTCAAAGGCCAGGGAAAGCAGAGTTGGAGGAAACCTCCTTTCCTCTCCTTCTAGAGAGTCATTTAAAAGTAGTGAGTACTTTGAGAAAATGCTTTTGACTCTTGGTCCCTTTTTTTGAGTATTAAATCAATTATAGCCACACAGCAAGCCTGCATCTCCATTCTTCATCCAGGGGCCACCAAAAAAAAAATAAAGCAGCTGAACAAATATAAGATTCTGTACCATTTCCACCCCCTGGCCCCCCTGCCCCCCCGCCCCCCCCACAGCAGAAATGCTGCTTGTTTTTGGTCAATGGTCAAATGATAACCTGAAAGCTCAAGTTCCTTTTTTTTTTTTTTTTTTTGAGATGGAGTTTGGCTCTTGTTGCCCAGGCTTGAGTGCAATGGCGTGATCTCGGTGCACCACAACCTCTGCCTCCCGGGTTCAAGTGATTCTCCTACTTCAGACTCCCGAGTAGCTGGGATTACAGGCATGCACCACCACGCCTGGCTAATTTTGTAATTTTAGTAGAGTTGGGGTTTCTCCACGTTAGTCAGGCTGGTCTCGAACTCCCAACCTCAGGTGATCCGCCCCCAACCACCTGAGCAATTGCAAGTTGTAAGAGCTTTGGGTCAGAAATGCAGGTGTCTTCTGATCACCCAATTGCCGGGAAAGATGCCACAACAACACAAGAGGGAGGCCACTATCAGTTCCAGCGTCATCCCCACTAGTACCACTAGGGGGTCAGGCCACTCTGGCCACCATGGAATGCTCGTATGGTAGCCCTAAGTCATGGTTTTCCATTCACAGGGACAATGTGACCAATGAAGTAAGCAGTCAATACCTTTAGGACATCAAGGTGAACCATAATTGGGACACAGAAGTTTCTGGAAGAGGTAGGCTTGGGCAAGGCGGGTGAGCAGCAGGTTGTGTTTACCAAAAATGGCCATGATGCTGCCTTCTACACTCGTGTTCTTCTGCAGTGTGACTGTGTCATTCCCGCATGCAGAAGCAGAGTCTCTCCATCCCTGGGAACCCAGGGCTGGCCTGTGGCTCCCTTGTGACTGATAGGATGGAGTAGAATCGATGCCGATGATGTCCCAGGCTGGCGTAGTGCTACAATCCGAGGCCAGGGCAGAACAGGCCTGATGCTGAGGCCTGGTTCCCTTGGAACGTTCCCTTCAGGAAGTTCCTGCTCAGAACTCCGCCTCTGTGCTGCCAGAAGCCCAAGGTACAGGAAGCAGCCAGGCACTGGGGCTCATACACAGGCTTGGCTGAACCTGGCTTCCCAGGGCAGGGGTTAAGAGGGAAGAAGCCCCTGGAGGATGTCAGCCATGGCCATTCACAGCTTCCTGGCTGAGGCTTCATCCTCTCCAAACTCCTGACTTGCAGAATCCCTGGGCATGGGAAAATGGTTCTTGTTTGATGCCATCAAATGTGGGATGCTTGTTACGCAGCATAGATAACTATGGTAAACCCCGTGTCATGGGCACTGTTGGGTGATGCAGGTCTGGGAATGGGGACATTTGGTGAGGCAAGGCCCTTTGGATTCTGGTTAGGAGAGCGAGTTCTAGAGCTGCCTAGGTTCAAATCCAGTCTCCACCACTTACCAGCTCTGTGGCAGTGGGAAAGTGACTTAACCTCTCTGTGCCTTGCACGTCTTCCTCTGTGCAATGGAGGTGATAACAGTACACACCTGGGCAGGCTGTTTGAGGACCGAGTGTTGTTAGTGCCCGAAGAGCACCAGGCTCACGGGAAACGCTCATTCCGTGGTGTCACCTCTGATGGGCACAGGCCTAGGCCTCGACTGGACGGCTGGAAGACTGTGCAGGTCTAGAGGGTGCTTAGACTTGGCAGGCAATTGTATTTTTTTGTCTCACTAACTAAACTGGGAGAAGACAGTTATCTGTCTGTCTCTCATCATCTGTGCGTTGAGAATGTGGGGCATACAGAAAATGCTGTATTTTGACTGGAAGGAGTTGCAAGTTCCTGAAAAAAGCCTGCTGGTGGAATTGAGGCTGACATCAGGCCTGAGAAGGGGAGGGGAGGGCATTGGGGAGTGAGAGGGCTGGGCCTGGGCAAACGGGTTGGTATTGCTTTAGTGGGGTGCACGCACATGTGTGTGTGTGTGTGCACATGTTTGTGCCTGTGTGTGTGTGTCTGTATGTGTGTGTGAATAGAGAGAGGTGGCCCCTAGAAAGGGTGAGAGATGCTCAGTCAAAACTCAGATGTGAGCCAGATTTAGACAATGAAGGGCCCAGTAGGCCACACTCAAGCAAGGTTGTGGCAGGGATCATGATCTGTATTAGTCCATTTTCACACTCCTGTGAAGAAATACTCAAGACTGGGTAATTTATAAAGAAAAAGAGTTTAATGCACTCACAGTTCCACATGGTGGGGGAGGCCTCCCAATCATGGTGGAAGGTGAAGGAGGAGCAAAGGCACATTTTACATGGTGGCAGGCAAGAGAGCTTGTGCGGGGAACTACCCTTCATAAAATCATCAGATCTCCTGAGACTTATTCACTATCTCGAGAACAGCAGGGGAAAGACCCGTCCCCATGATTTGATTACCTCCCACTGGGATTATGGGAGTGATAATTCAGATTTGGGTGGGGACACAGAGCCAAATCATTTCATGATCCAAGCCCACATTAGCCAGGGCAGCGGGCAGCAGGGTGGGAGACGTGGGAAGGGCACAAAAGGAAACAGAGTCAAGTCTTCTTCCAGGTGTTCTGCCTGTGCTGGGGGGGCCCTCTCACACCACCTCCTACTCAACCTGCAGGGCTGGGCTGGTGCATCAAGAGGGAGGTGGAATCTCATTCTCCCTGTGTGAGTGCACATGGAAATGTGATTTCACTCCTGGTTTAACTTTTCCCTTGCCCTCCAGCCCTCAGCTTCACTTTTTCGGGTGACCAAATAATGACAATTTTCACATCGCCAGGTTTCCTTCAGCATTTGCTGACGGCCGACTGCCTTAGACACCAAACACATGTTATCCAGACGCCTGAAACGGCCATGCCCTGGGGAGCTGTTTAGTAGTTTTAAAGACCTTGAAAGGCCGGGTGCGGTGGCTCACGCCTGTAATCCCAGCACTTTGGGAGGCCGAGACGGGCGGATCACGAGATCAGGAGATCGAGACCATCCTGGCTAACACGGTGAAACCCCGTCTCTACTAAAAATACAAAAATTAGCCGGGCATGGTGGCACGCGCCTGTAGTCCCAGCTACACGGGAGGCTGAGGCAGGAGAATGGCGTGAACCCGGGAGGCGGAGCTTGCAGTGAGTCGAGATCGCGCCACTGCACTCCAGCCTGGGCGACAGAGCGAAACTCCGTCTCAAAAAAAAAAAAAAAAAAAAAAAAGACCTTGAAAATACTTTGATGAAAATGCTTCTGATGACAAGCACCTATTGTGCTGCAGATCTGTTGTGTGCCATCTGCCTTCATTAAAGACGGGGATGTGAGGGTTTTCCCATAAAGAATCCGAATCGCCACTGCTCTCTGGTTTGGCCAAAGAAAGAGATTTATATTATCATCACTTTTGGCTCCCAAATGGTTAAGCATCCTTGCGCCTTCGTTGGCACATAGCGGGTACTTAATAAACGTTTGTGGGATGAGAGTGAATGAATCACTAGATGGAAGGCACTGGCAGTTAGGAGGAGCTCATTAAAACCTTTCTAATGGAGATCTCCCAGCCTGCAGCGGCTGTGATGGTGAACACCAGCCATGCAAAGCGTATGTCTGCTTAGTACCCTGAGTCTACAAACCGGAGGGAAGAGAGCCGAGAGAGCAAGCAACAAGTAATGACTGCTGCCCCTCCACAATCCCACCTGCTCGGCCCGGCATCTGCTACCCGGCCCTCCACACCATCTGCGCCCAGGGGGCTGGCCATTGCCAAGCCTCCCCACGTGGCCTTTCCAGAAGACAGTACCATCACTGACCTCACTGTCATTGGCCCCATTCGCCGGCAGCTCTGGACACCAGATGGGCCTGGCGTGGAGCCTCATTGCTGGTGGTTAAGCAGTTTAGCTCACTTCTTACCTCAGCATCTTTGAGGACCCAGCCTGCCCAGGAGAATGCTCACTTCTTTCTGTTTTCCTTTGGGAATTCTATGAGGCTGCTTCAGGCACTGATTCATCCTGTACATTTTTCTCCCATGGGCATGCAGGCCTGAGTGTGTGGCTCACTTTGTGCAGATGGCCGGGGCCTCCTGCTGCAGACCAGGAGAACACGGCAGGCACCAGATTCTTCTCAACCTTCAGAATGCAAAGGTCCCAGAAAGGAGTCACCTTGAGAGCCGAGATGCAAACTTCTGTGTCACTAACGTTTGAACTGCTTTCAAACCTTGTGGCAAATTGTTTTGCATATATTCCCATTAACAAATAAACAAAACAAAACACACTTCAGTCTTGGAGGGTTGATTTGAATTCTAGAAACAGCTGAGTCATTCACAGCCGAGTCTGGGGCACAAGGTGGGTGAGCCAATTTGGATAAGGTATTTTTAGGTGAAAAATGAGGAATGACTTTAAAGCAATCCAACTGATTTTCATAAGTGACTCTTAGCCTGAATTTGGTGAGTGTGACAGACATCTTGGGCAAAGGGAGTTGTATTGTTCTAGAAGTATTATTTCCCAAGATAGCCCATGAAGACATTCATTCAGATGGGAAAACTGAGAACTTTTTTTTTCTGCCACTTCGAGAAAGAAAATTAGTGTTCTTTTCTTTTTTCTTTCAACCAATCATATTCATTTATACAAGTACACAAGTACTGTATACCAGAATGATCAAGGTAATGTCCCCCAAAAAGACATTAGACCATCCTGTAAAGATGTCCTTGCTTTAGAAAGGAATCAATTTGTTGGTATGTGCTGACCATTTCCCACTTTCTTTTCTGTCTTCATGCAAGTAGCAGAGGCCCCTGAGTGGCAGAGGTACAGGATTGACCCTTGTTCTTCTCACCTGGCAAAGCCACCGTGCCAGGATGCATTCACTACCTCCCTCCTGACCAAAGGCATCCATGACATGCTGAGTTTCTAGGGCAGACCCATGGTCAGTCCATCCAACATCCAAGCCTCCTCTCTGCCTTACCAAGAGAACCTTCATTCAACCCTGCAAAACTCATCCTCCTGGCAGCCAAGGGCTCACTGAATGGAGGCAGAAGTCAACTGACTTCTGCAAAATCTTAGCTTTCCCAATAAAAGACAGACATGCTCACAGCTTCCTCTTCTCCCACTTCTTACTTTCTCAAAGATAGACATGATGTCTGGAGCTACAGCAGTGCATTTGAAACCAAGAGGAAACCAGCCTGAGAATGAAGAGCCAACCTGACAAAGACAAGGAAAAGCCTGCATGCCTGATGGCATTGTCCAGCAACGGAAGCAAGACCAGCAATTTGTGACTGCTGGGCTTCTCAGCATATGGGACACACGAGACCCTCTGCTCCTAGCAGCAGATACAGATCAACCTCACACACAGGGTATTCCTTTGTTTAACATGGTAAGTGCTGTGTGGCAGTGTACCTGGGGACCAAACGCACTTCCGAACCTCAGCTGAGTCTATTCATTTAGAGAAAGGGTGGGAAGAACCACGAACTTAAAGGCTGATAATTCTCATCTTGAGAGAATTCTGGAATCAATAGGTCTAACATGTTTAGTTTCTGACTTAAAATGCACTAAGGCAGCGGGGTGTGATGGCTCACGCCTATAATCCCAGGACTTTGGGAGGCCGAGATGGGTGAATCACCTGAGGTCAGGAGTTTGTGACCAGCCTGGCTAACGTGGTGAAACCCTGTCTCTACTAAAAATACAAAAATTAGCCAGGCATGGTGGTGGGCACCTGTAATCCCAGCTACTTGGGAGGCCGAGGCAGGAGAATTGCTTGAACCTGGGAGGCAGAGTTTGCAGTGAGCCGAGATCACACCACTGCACTCCAGCCTGGGCGACATAGAGAGACTCCGTCTCAAAAAAAAAACACAACAAAACAAAAAATTTGGGTCGGGCATGGTAGCGCATGCCTGTAATCCCAGCACTTTGGGAGGCCGAGGCAGGGGGATCACTTGAGGCCAGGAGTTCGAGACCAGCCTGGCCAACATGGCGAAACCCTATCTCTACTAAAAACACAAAACATTTAGCTGGGTGTGGTGGCAGGTGCCTGTAATCCCAGCTGCTTGGCAGGCTGAGGTGGGAGAATTGCTTAAACCTAGGAGGCGGAGATTGCAGTGAGCCAAGATCGTGTCACTGCACTCCAGCTTGGGCAACAGAGTGAGACTCTGCCTCAAAATAATAATAATAATAATAATAATAATAATAATAATAATAATAAATAAATAAATAAAATTTTGAATTGACAAATGACTCATGCTGAGGAGGCCCTAATCTTCTCATAGGCGGCAGGACAGGGGATTGAGTGCTTGTTTAGATTTCTGTTCTGGGGAGGGGCAAAAGGCATCTGGTTTTTAGTCTGTGCCTGCTGTGTCCGAGAGACTCCACCTACATCACCTCATTTAACTCCCACACCCACTTTGACAAGGAAACTTTATTCTCTCTTTTATATTTTCTGAACCTAAGTCTCAGAGAGGTTGAGTAATTTGCCCAAAGTCACACAGCTGGTTGAGCAGATCCGACTCCCCAGCATTGATCTCTCCCACAGCAGCAACCCAGCCTTGCACATAATGAGACTTCAGTCATAATCGCTTTTCTTTTCTTTTTTCTTCTTTTTGAAGCAGAGTCTCCCTCTGTCAGTCAGGCTGGAGTGCAGGGTTGTTAACATGGCTCACCACAGTCTTGACTTCCTGGGCTCAAGCCGTCCTCCCACCTCCCGCGTAGCTGGAACCACAGGCATGTACCACCATGTCCGGCTAATTTAAAACATTTTTTTTTTTCCTTACAGGCAGGGTCTCACTTTGTTGCCCAGGCTGGTCTTGAACTCCTGGGCTCAAACAACCCTCCTGCCTCAGCCTCCAGAAGTGCTGGGATTGCAGGCGTGAGCCACCGCACCCTCCATCTTCTTGATGGAAATCTGTCAGTGAAGAACCCGCAAGTGACTGGTAATGCTCTATTTTCTCAGTCACAAACTGAGATGCACAGGTTTTATTTTTCTTTTGGTGGGGACAGGAGAGTGGGAGCCAAAATTTGTCACTGTAAAGACTCCCACCCTCCTGTCCTCACCAAAAGAAAAAGAAAACTTTGCATCTGAGGTTGCGACTGAGCAAACAGAACATTAACTTAGGGAAATTTCTCCGTCCGTGCATTAACTGAAGGAAACTGCCGTGTTGCTCTCTGCACTATTTAGAGAGAATGTGAGTTAGGAACTGTTGGAAGAGACATGAATAGATATGAAATTTTTGTCATGACAAAACTAATGCTGTGTTAATAAGAAACAGATGAAGGACCCATCTGTTTCATTCCTTTCTCTTCTTAAGAGGATATAGCCGAATTATGGTTAAGTAACCCTGAGGACAGTTACATGATAGCCTTTCTCATGTCAAATGTGTGGAAAGAGAGTGTGAGGTCGAAGTTTCAGGTATTGTAAATAAATATCTTGTGACCTGAACAACTTTTTAATTAGCTTTATTTCTACCAAAAAAAAAAAAAAAAAAAAATCCAGAATGCTGTACTGCAGCCAAGTGAATGAATACATGTAAGGTGTCTGTGTCAGGGCTGAGAATGACAGGGCCGGGCAAGTCCAAACCTGCCTCTTCTCATGCCATCGTCTCACATGGCGCCCCTGAGGAAGTAGCAGGAACAGGAGAGGGGACTGGATTGCCCCCTATGGGCTGAATTGTGTCCCCCCCCAAAATTCATCTGCTGAAGTCCTAAGCCCCAGTACCTCAGTATGTGACTTTATTTGGAAATAAGATTGTTGCAGATGTAATTTGTCAAGATGAAGTCATGCTGGAATAAGGTGGATCCCATAATCCAATATGAGTGGGTTTTTAAAATTTTTAATTTAATTTAATTTAATTCTATTTTAAGTTCTGGGATGCATGTGCAGGATGTGCAGGTTTGTTACATATGTAAACGTGTGCCATGGTGGTTTGCTGCACAGATCAAACATCACCTAGGCATTAAGCTCAGCATGTATTAGCTATTCTTCCTGATGCTTGCCCTCCCCCTGCCCCCACCAAACAGGTCCCAGTGTGTGTTGTGTCCCTCCCTGTGTCCATTTGTTCTCATTGTTCAGCTCCTACTTATAAGTGAGAACATGCAGTGTGTGGTTTTCTGTTTCTGCCTTAGTTTGCTGAGGATAATGGCTTCCAGCTCCATCTATGTCCCTGCAGAGGACATTATCTCATTCCTCTCTATGGCTGCATAATAGTCCGTGGTGTATATGTACCACATTTTCTTTATCCAGTCTATTATTGATGGGCATTTGGGCTGATTCTATGTCTTTGCTATTGTGAATAGTGCTGCAGTGAACATATGTGTGCACGTATCTTTATAGTAGAATGATTTCTATTCCTTTGGCTACATACCCAGCTATGAGATTTCTGGGTCAAATGGCATTTCTGATTCTAGGTCTTTGAGGAATCACCACACTGTCTTCCACAATGGTTGAACTAATTTATATTCCCACCAACAGTGTAAATGCATTCCTATTGCTCCACAGCCTCGCCAGCCTCTGTTGTTTCTTGACTTTTTTTTTTTTTTTTGAGACTGAGTCTCGCTCTTGTCGCCAAGGCTGGAGTGCAATGGCATGATCTCAGCTCACCACAACCTCTGCCTCCTGGGTTCAAGCAGTTCTCCTGCCTCAGCCTCCCAAATAGCTGGGTTTACAGGCATGCACCACCATGCCCAGCTAATTTTTTGTATTTTTAATAGAGACAGGGTTTCGGCATGTTGGTCAGGCTGGTCTCAAACTCCTGACCTCAGGTGATCCGCCCGCCTCGGCCTCCCAAAGTGCTGGGATTACAGGTGTGAGCCACCGTGCCCGGCCTGTTTCTTGACTTTTTAATAATTGCCATTCTGGCTGGCGTGAGATGGTATTTCATTGTGGTTTTGATTTGCATTTCTCTAATGACCAGTGATGTTGAGCTTTTTTCATATGTTTGTTGGCCACATGTATGTCTTCTTTTGAAAAGTGTCTGTTCATCTCTTTCACCTACTTTTTAATGGGGTTGTTTTTTTTCTTGTAAATTTGTTTAAGTTCCTTGTAGATTCTGGATATTAGACTTTTGTCAGATGGATAGATTGCAAAAATTTTCTCCCATTCTGTAGGTTGTCTGTTCACTCGGGTGACAGTTTCTGTTGCTGCGCAGAAGCTCTTTAGTTTAATTAGATTCCATTTGTCAAATTTTGCTTTTGTTGCAATTGCTTTTTCCCTGCATGTGACAGACACACATGCAGGAAGAATGCCATGTGAAGGCAGAGGCAGAGATTGGGATGATGTGTGTACAAGCCAAGGATGCCGAAGATCTCCAGCAAAGCCCAGGAGTGAGGAGAGAGGCCTGGAACAAGTTCTCCCACACAGCCTCAGAAGGAAGCAACCCCGTCCACACCTTGATCTTGGACTTCCAGTTTGCAGAACTGTGAGACGATGCATTCTGGTGGTGGGAGCCCCCAGTACACGGTGCTGGGTTGCAGCACCCAGAGCCAGACAACGCACCCCACGAGGAAGCTGAGCTTGACAACTAAGAGGTTGCAGTTTTCCAAGGTGGAGACATGTTTGCTCATGTCTGTCCACGTTTTTCCTTTTATGGAATGGAGCCCTTGGTACACGTCAGGCAACTTGCTGAACTTTTAGAAAACTGATCACACCTTCCCTGCCTTCCAAGAGTCCTCATTCTTGGGGACAGAATGTACCTCATAACTTGGTGTGTCCTTAAGACTGTCTCCGTGTTGAGTGCTGGGTGATTTTAGGAGTATTTGTATGTGTATGTCCGTGTGTGTGTGTGTGTGTGTGTGTATGCATGCATGCGTGGGTATAGATGTGTGAATGTGTGTGTGTATGAGAGTGTTGGGTGTGAATCTGTCTGCATGTGCATGTGTATTTGTGTGCATATGAGTGTGTGGCTGTGTAGAAGTGTGAGCGTGTGTGTGAGTGAGCTCTCACAGGAAGTCTGTCAGGGGCTTTGGCCCCTCGTCACTCTGGAAGTAGAGGCTGGAGAAAGAGAAACCCACCACAGGGTCTCTTGGCTACACATAGACAGGGCGGGGTCTTGCTGTACCTGGGGAAGGTTTGGGTCTGCGATGGGGCACCTCACCCTCAGGAGGAGCTGAGTGTGTCCTGAGCCCCCCACAGCCTGATCCTCAGGGCCGGCTGCCACGAGGCTTAGCTTGATGCCCCGCTCACCAAGGAAGCCCCTGGGACTGGATCCACAGGACCAACACCAATGAAAAGGGGAAAGGTGGGTTGAAACATTTTTGCAAGGAGAAAACACTGCATAGAACTCTATTGTCTTACAATTGGGGCTAATTTAACAAGACACTGTATGTCCACATAACAGAAAATTATGCAGCCATCAAAAGTGAAATTTGAGGAATTTTTAGTGCCTGGGAAGCTGCTTCTGATGGATGGAAAATATCAGAGTTCAAAATGGCGGCGACAGTGTCATCAGACTCAGGTGTTGTACAAACTTCCTGGGTTCGAATTTGGACTCGCCACTGGCCGGGTGTGCATCCTAGGGTGTTACCAACCTCCCTATCCTGGTTTCTTCATTGGTTAAGTGGGAACAACAAGAGTACCAACCCCACAGGCCAAAGGGTGGCATTTAAGGGGCTCTTGATGAAAAAGCCCTGATTTGTCGCATCTAGTGACTTCGGTGGCAAATACTCCCATAATGGCCAATATCACGCTCCCAGTGACTTAACAACCTATTGACAGAATTTCTGAAAACTTAAGTCACCCTCACAAGCCAGCCAGGGCTAACTCCAGCACAGCACAGCTAGGGGCTTTGGGGATTAAATAAATACATGCTTTGAGCAATGCATAACACAAAAGATAAATAGGAGCTATCACGTCCACTGCATCCTATTTCGACACAAATTGCCAGAAAAATAAGTAAAATAAAAAGAACAATGTGTGTGCAAACCATGGTATGTGGTGGACTGAGGGTGGTGATTACAACTCTGTCCATCTGAGGTCCAAAGGATAACTTAAAATACGTGTATGGCTGGTTGGGCGTGGTGGCTCACCCCTGTAATCCCAGCACTTTGGGAGGCTGAGGCGGGTGAATCACCAGAGGTCAGGAGTTTGAGACCAATCTGGCCAACATGGTGAAACCTCATCTCTACTAAAAATACAAAAATTAGCTGGATGTGGTGGCCCGCGCCTGTCATCCCAGCTACTCAGGAGGTTGAGGCAGGAGAATCGATTGAACCTGGGAAGTGGAGGTTGCAGTGAGCTGTGATCTTGCCACTGCACTCCAGCCTGGGCAGCAGAGTGAGACTCTTGTCTCAAAAAATACATATATGGCTAAAAAGAGGTTCACTAAAATGCTGAGAGTGGTGGGATCATAGACCGTATGTGTAAGTTGGCAATTTGTCCTAGTTTTGCACAAGGAGCACATGTGATATAATCATTTAATGTCATTTAAAGGAGGGAGGAGTTCTGAAGGTGGGCGCTCTAACTCTTGGGATAGGACCAAGGGAATGAAGCCCCCAGGGGCTTGGGGAAAGGCGTGGTCATCACAGAGAGTCAGGGAGGACTGCCTGGGGTGGAGAGAGGCTGCTGAAGGGCCTGTCCCCATCAACACCCATTAGGTGACTCAGCTTTCATGACACCTTCACTCCTTCCAATCTAAAGGGGAGGCTTTTTCTTGGCACAACCTGCCTCTTAGACACAGTGAGAGGGAATCAGCCGGGCTTTCTGTCTGGGCTTGTGGGTGGTCCTGACACTGGATGTGCTGGGTTGAATAATGTCCCCCCAAAACTCATATCCATTCATATCTCAGAATGTGGCCTTATTTGGAAATAGGGTCTTTGCAGATGGGGTTGGTTAAAATGAGACCATTCTGGAGCAGGGGGGTCCTCATCCTTATGACTGGCGTCCGTATGAGAAGGGGCACTTTGAAGACAGGCACAGGGGAGAAGGCCCTGTGGCAGTGGAGGCAGAGACAGGAGCTGTGTGGCCACAGCCAGGAGCGCCAAGGCTGGCCTGGCCACCAGCAGTGGGCAGAGAGGCTGGAAGAGGTCCTCCCTTAGAGCCTCCAGAAGGAACCAGTGTTGCTGACACCTGGAGTTTGGATTTCTGGCCCCCAGAACGGTGAGAAACACACATTTCTGTTTTTAAGCTACCCAATTTGTAATGTTTGGTTATGGGGGCCCCAGGATATGAACACACTGGGCCCAGGCCAGGAAGCCCCCTAGGGTCCCCCCCGCAGGCCCCCAACTCTTTACCTTCGATCCCTTCCTGCCCTCCCTATCCTGGGGTCCTCCTTGAAGCCACCTCCACTCGAAGCCACCTCCACTTGACGCCATCCCCAGCACCCTTGGTCCTCTCCCCCTAACTGTAGTTCTCTCCCCGCCACCCCTTCCCCCAGCCCTCCGTCTCCTCCGACCCGCGCCCTGGGTCCCCTCCTCGCCCCGCCCCCGACGTCCCCGGGTCCCCTCCCCTCCTCTGCCAGCGTCTCCACCCCGCTGGCTAACGCAGGGCTGAGTCCTCACCCAGCAGCTTAGGGCCCCTCAGAACTAGAGCGGCAGGAGATTAAGGGTTGCTAATTTGGAAGCAGGGACTGATGTTCTATAAAAAGCAGGGAGGCTTTGGGATCTGTTTGGTTTTTAAGTTTCTAAGCCATTTTAGAAACTCATCCTACACACAAAATGGTGAGGTCCGGGGGATCTGTCTCTGCCTCGCCCTTTCCCCTCCGGGATCGGTCTCTTCCCCTCCCCACCTGCCTCCTGGGACCCTCCAGGAGGAGAGGGGCCTGCAGCAGGGAGAGGAGTGTCCTGTCCTGGAGGAAGAGCTGGGAGGAGAGGACCCTCCCACAGTTCTGGGTGGGAATGGTGGGAGGGTCCTAGGGCCTCTTGCGCCAGGGCAGAGGTGGAGGGGGCGTGGAGGTGGGTGAGTGGCCCCACAGCCCGTGTGCCCACCACGGCCCTGCCAACAGCCTGTGCATTTCAGAAAAGCATCATAGCCCGTGAGGTTGTGGCGTCTGTGGTCCCAGTGCTTTGGGAGGCTGAGGTGGGAGGATCACTTGAGGCCAGGAGCTCGAGGCTGCAGTGAGCTAAGATTGCGCCACTTCACTCCAGCCTAGGTGACAGAGCGAGATCCTGTCCAAAAAGAAAAGAAAAAGGCTGGGCGCGGTGGCTCACCCCTATAATCCCAGCACTTTGGGAGGGCGAGGCGGGCGGATCATGAGGTCAAGAGATGGAGACCATCCTGGCCAACATGGTGAAACTCGTCTCTACAAAAAATACAAAAATTAGCTGGGCGTGGTGGCGAGTGCCTGTAGTCCCAGCTACTCGGGAGGCTGAGGCAGGAGAATTGCTTGAACCTGGGAGGCGAGGTTGCAGTGAGCTGAGATCGTGCCATTGCACTCCGGCGTAGTAAGAGTGAGACTCTGCCTCAAAAAAAAAAAAAAAAAAAAAGAGAGAGAGAGAGGGGTGCGGGGGTTGGCGAGGGGGAAGAAAAGCTTTCTAGGAGAAGAACCCCAGGGAATGAGTCTCTCTTGTTGACATCATTGAGCCCTGGGGGAAAACATTTTGGGTGGGGGCCTTCCAGAGATGCTGTGGAAGTACCATAATACGTGCCAGGGACACACATACAGACATCTGTGCCTCTTGAAGCCGGGGTTAGCGAGGCCTGGGTTGGAAGAGCAGCACAGCTTTCTTCTGCTACAGAGGAGGCATTCAGTGCTGAAAAAGCCAGAATGTTGAAGATGGCTGTGAAATGTCATTTTACTCATTTTCCCATCTTTCTCATCAGGGAGCCAGGGAGCAAGCTCAGTGACTTTGGAAAGCAGCTGTGTGGACCCACACGTGCACACACAGGCACATATGTGCACGCACGTGCCCACACACAGCCATAAGGGAAAGTATGTGGTTGTCTCAGCTCAGTAGTGAGCAGGTTACGTAGAATCTGGAAGCCTTGAGTGAACCCATTCCAATTCCTCTCTGTCGGCGGAAAATACACTAAGTGGTTTTTTGTTTTTGTTTTTGTTTTTGAAATTCACTCGAAGTATTTTTTCTGCCCATCACAAGCCATTTCATTCATAAGCCAAACGTTCCTCCCTCAAAAGCTCGTTCCCTGTGACGAGGCCTTCGTGTTCTCAGAGAGGAATTCCGGGATGTTTGTTTGGGGACATAACATCTGCTGTGTAGCTGTGAAAAGGAAGGATGCAAAGCCCTCAGGGCAGGAGGCACCCAAGGCAGAACGGTGACAGCAGAGTCACAGGGTGGCCCGCAGCTCCCGCCATTCGTATTACTATATGTCCCCATGTAATTAGGTACAGGGAACCCGGGCAGGGGGACCCTGGTGTGGTGGGAGCGTCAGCTTAGGGATGGCCCTGCCCCTTGTCCTCTGGAGACTTGAGGCTGCTCCTGGCCTCTCAGGACACAGACCTGGGTGGGAGGGCAGGAGGTGACAAAATCAGGGATGCCCCAGCCTGGACATGGCACAGGGAGATGTTTACGGGGCAACCTTGTCCCTTGACGTCCCTTCTCAGGAAACAAAGGGTGTCAGGCTGTCTAGTGGCAAACCCAGCCCTAATCCAGCCCTCGTGGGTGGGGTGGAAGGGTAGTGGGGAGCAGGGCAAGATGTTTGGCTCTCAGAAAAGGTGCCGCCTGTGACAACCCACCCTCCAAATGTCTTTTTTTTTTTTTTTTGAGACAGGGTCTTGCTCTGTCACCCAGGCTGGAGTGCAGTGGTGCAATTATAACTCACTGCAGCCTTGAACTCTCGGGCTCAAGCAATTCTCCCACTTCAGCCTCCCGACTAGCTGGGACTACAGGCATGCGCCACCACACCTGGCTAATTTTTTATTTTTTGTAGACACAAGTTCTCCTCCCTATGTTGCCCAGGCTAGTCTCAAACTCCTGGGCTCAAGTGATCTTTCTACCTTGGCTTTCCAAAGTGCTGGAATTACAGGCACGAGCCACCTCACCCATCCCTAATGTCTTTTTTTTTTTTTTTTTTTAATTGAGATGGAGTCTCGCTCTGTTGCCAGGCTGGAGTGCAGTGGTGCTGTCTTGGCTCACAGCAACCTCGGCCTCCTGGGTTTAAGCCATTTTCCTGCCTAAGCCTCCCAAGTAGCTGGGATTACAGGCTCCTGCCACCAATACCTGGCCTAATTTTTTGTACTTTTAGTATTTTAGTAGAGATGGGATTTCACCATGTTGGCCAGGCTGGTTTCAAACTCCTGACCTCAAGTGATACGTCTGCCTTGGTCTCCGAAAGTGCTCGGATTACAGGCATGAGCCACGGCGCCCAGCCTAATGTCTTCTTTTAAAGTCAGTTTATTGAAATACAATTTTTATTTATATTTCTTTAGGTAGCATAATATAATTGATAGTATCATATAATTCTATGATACAATTTGGAACAGAATTATGTAGTATAATTTACTGGTGTATATATATATTATTATCATTTTATAAAATGAGATAGTATAATCTATGTAGTATAATATAGTGTATAATAGTATGTAATTTACATGATATACTGGTCTATGATTTTTGACTAATACATACAATCATGTGATCATTGTTATATTCAGGATCGAGAACAGACCCATCACCTCCAAAAATCCCTTCCAAATGATGTTCCTTTGCAGGGTCCCCCACCTCTGGCCCAGTCCCTGACAGCCACAGGTCTGTTCTCTGTAACATCCTTCGGCCTGGCTCCTTTGACAGACACAAGACCATGGAAATTGGCCTCTGTCATCGCAGTACTGGGTCCCTGCAGCTGGAGGGTGTGGCCTTTTCAGTGATCCTGTCTCTCCTCTTGTGTTTTGTTTTTTTTCTGTTGTTGTTGTTTTTTTTTTTTTTTTAGGTTTAAATGTTATTTGTTCTCAAACCAGACTTTATTATAATTTTACTTTCCAGACTTTAATGGAAGCAAACCCAGCCATAACATTTGAAAATACACTACTTAGCTTATCTCGTTTTCAACTGGGAGAATTGCCATGTTTGACGATCTGTCATTACCTAGGTGACGATCTTAAATAATTTTGCATTCATTTCAACTTCCTGAAATGTGTTTCATAGAACCTCCCAGGGACTGATATTGTTAAAATAAAAAACAGAACCCACAGAGGAAGTCCATTTCCAAATTTAGAAAAGATTGCACTCAGCAAAATTCACGAAGCATCTCATGGCTTCTCCTCCTCGACCTGACAACTGTTCTTGTCACCGAGTAGGCTCCCCTGCCTTCCAGAAGAGACTGTCAGCCACATGCATGACACCGGCATGTCTTGAGGGGCTGTGGTCTCTCCCCTGCTACTGCTCACTGAAGAGTTCGAGTGTTATGCTCTACTGGAACCCCAAAGCCTGCATGTCCCTTTCTGCTGTGGCTTCTCTCCTTTCCTTTTAAAGCAAATGCTTATGTAATCCCGCAGTCACTCTGTGACAGGTCCTGATAAGCCTTTCTCACGTTAACTCATTAAATCCTGGTGAGGCCCTCAGAGCCAGGCGTTGCTCTGGGCCCCCCTGTGCCAACAGCTCCCCAAGGGGCTCCGACAGAAGGACACTGGTATTCATCATTTGCTGCAGCTCTTAGACAACTCTCCCGGCAGGGAAGTTCTCTGTTCAGGCTAATGAAAGTCCCTCCTTGGCTCTTCCATGCCCCACAAGGCATCCCAGGCCACCATTCCTACCGCCCTCAAAGACTCTGGGGAGAGGAGCCAGTTACAGAGGGAATCCAGGTCCATCCCTTTAAGGAGGGCACATCCCAGACTGTCCCAGGGGAGCCTGTGCAGTGCCAGAGGGCCTGAAGCCAGTGGGCAGAGAGAGGGCTGCTGCAGTCGGTGGGGAGGAAGTCACCCCTTCTCCAGCTCCATGATGCTGCCTCACGGTGAGGATGCCCACATCCTGGGCACCCCCTTTGTCTTTCTCTGCCCACCGCACAAACCCAGAGGTGGGAGGGAAACTCATGGTGAGGTGAGGTGCTGTGACTCAGGAGAGCTGGAGTGTGGACCATGTCCATCCCCAAGTCCTGGCCTTTCCTGTTACTCTCTATCATCCAGTGACCTGAGTGATGCTTCCAGGAGATGGAAGAGTTTCGGGGCAAAAGCCCAGACCCTAGAAGTCCAGATGGTGGCCATAAGAATGTAGGAGCGAACTGGACTTGGTGACCACCTGCAGTCCTGCACAGGAAAGCCCTGGAGGGAGGCTCTTGGGGACCCTCTTGGGGACCCTCTCGGTGCCCTGTTATGTTGTGCATGTAGGAGACAGTGTGAGAGAGACTGGATGTGAGTGTGTCAGAGTGTGTGCCTGCATGAGCGAGGCTGAGTGTGTGCGTGAGTGACTGTGAGGGTGTGTGGGTGTGAGGGTGCGTGAGTCAGGATGGGTGTGTGAACACACAGTGGGCAGGAACCCACACTTCTGAATGGATTGTGAGTGTTTTGGGGGCTCCTGGTGCCTTGATCAGGGGTCAGGATCTCTGGCTGTCCCCACCTCCACCTGGAAGAACCAGTCTTCTTCCTGACACTTTTCTGGGCTTCTGAGCCTGGGCTTGGCATCCTCTCTGCAGCCTCCGAGCCTGGGCTTGGCGTCTTCTCTTCAGCCTCTGAGCCTGGGCTTGGCGTATTCTCTGCAGCCTCTGAGGCTGGGCTTGGCATCCTCTCTGCAGCCTTCGAGCCTATGCTTGGTGTCCTCTCTGCAGCCCCCGAGCCTGGGCTTGGCGTCCCCTTTGCAGCCTTTGATCCTTGGCTTGGTGTGCTCTCTGTAGGCAGCCACCTAGGGGGAGCAGCATGGAGCGAGAGTGGGCAGTGGGCGCCGACTCCATGCCACGCCTGCTATGAAATGCTGATTCTAAGCTGGGAATAAATTCCTTGCTAGAAGAACATGCTGTGCAAGGTGGAAAAGGAACAAATAGAACCTCCCCACGCCTCCCACATGCGTGGGGCTCTGGCAGGGAAAGAGATGACTGATTGCTGTCGCAGAAGCGCAGATGCAGGGAGCAACCCGACCCACACCTCCATGGCATGGCAGGCTAATTCATGTTCTTCCTCATGATTTCTTATGTTGTGCTACCTCCAAGGAGTCACTGTAAACATTCGCTGTAGGATTACTCCGTTCCCCCCTTCGTTCCTGTAACACATCCAAACATGTAAAACAAGTCATTTGAAAGTTAGACTGATAACATCCAGACTGGAGTAGGATACATCCAACAATTAGCTTAGTCTGGTTTTATAGGCGTGTATTCTTGTGAAACAGGTCCGACTGTGTTTACCCTTTCCGCAGGGAAAATCTAGTGGAGACGCGGCTGGAGTTGAGGCATTTGCAGTTGAGGCTGGATCATGGTCCACTGTGCTGGCTGAGTCCCCCAGCCCCACTTCCCCAGGTGATTTGGAAACCTTGCTGGGCATGTTTCAGCAGCAAATCAGGCAAGCCTAGTCCCATGTCTTTGGGTTGACCTGGAGACCTGACTGCTGGGAATGCCCACAGCCCTATCTCAAAGAGCGTGCTCCGCTCCCAGGCCCTACTGGCCCCTTCTTGGCTTCAGCTGAGTTGGTCAAGAGTGGATGGGCTCCCAACCCCAGAGAAACTCATGCGGCTGCCTGAGAAACACACTGACACGCAGAGGGCTGAACAGGAAGGGAAGGACTGGGCTGGTCGTCTTCCTGGTTGTGATAACTGACTGGGTTGGAGCAAAAGTTAAAGCTGCAACATGGTCAGCAGGTGAAACAGGAGTCGTGAGAGATCCAAGGCTGGTCAGATTTGTGTGAGTGGGAAGATTCAGTGAGCTAGAGAAAGCACTAAGCCAGCGCAGTGGAGGACCAGAGAGAAAACTGCTGTCTTTGTCAGCTGGGCTGCTATGGCAAAATACCACAGACTGGGTGGCTTACACAACAGGAATTTATTTCTGGAAGTCCAGGATTGAGGTTCTGGCTGATTCAGTTCCTGATGAGAGATGTCTTCCTGCCTTGTAGGTGACTGCCCTCTTGCCCTGTCCTCATATGATGGAGAAAGAGAGAGCGCTCTGGAGTCTCTTCTTACGAAGGCACTCATTTTGTCATGGCCTCATTTAAAGCTAATCACCTCCCCAAAGCCCCATCTCCTAATACCATCATACTGGGGGTTAGGGCTTCAACACAAGAATTGGCGGGGAGACAAACATTCAGTCCATACCAGCAGATACGGGAGACCTGATCTATGGCACAGGCCTCCTCTAGTTCATTCCACGATGCTTTGCACCGACGGGATACCCAGTTCAGGGTTGCCAAGGCCTGTCCGAACCACATGTCAGGGTCTCGGGCATTAGGAAGTTCTGTCACCTCCTAATTTATTACTCCGATGACAGGAAACTCCACCCTCTAACTTTCGAGTCTTAGGAGAGTCTCTGTCCCTTGATAAGGGGGGCGGGGGGGTGGGGGTAAGGAAGAATCCAGGCCAGGCATGGTGGCTCACACCTATGATCCCAGCACTTTGGGAGGCTGAGGCGGGTGGATCACTTGAGATCAGGAGTTCAAGACTTAGCCTGGCCAACATGGTGAAACCCCATCTCTACCAAAAAAATACAAAAAAAAAAAAAAAAAAAAAATTAGCCGGGCATGGTGGCATGTGCCTATAATCCCAGCTACTCAAGAGGCTGAGGCAGGCAAATCACTTGAACCCAGGAGGCAGAGGTTGCAGTGAGCTGAGATTATGCCACTGCACTCCACCTTGGGCGACAGAGCAACACTCCATCTCAAAAAAAAAAAAAAAAAAAAAAGAAAAGAGAAACTCTCAGTTAAGTAAGTCAGTCTTCTGCCAAGTAAGTTTTTATTTTCTTTTTCTTTTTTTCTTCTTTAAATAATAAAGATGGGGTCTTGCTATGTTGCCCAGGCTAGTCTCAAAGGCCTGGCCTCAAATGATCCTGCCACCTCTGCCTCCCAAAGTGCTAGAATTACAGATGTGAGCCACCACACCTGGCCCCAAGTAGGTTTTTAAAATGCAGATGGTACAGGGTCCAGATGAGAACCCTAGGGCCTGTCCACTGCTCTGGTTGGAGCATTCAACCAGCTACGTCCCTCTCTGCTCCAGTGGCCCTCACCCTCACTCACCTACCAGCAGCCTATGAAAGATTGGTATTAACTATTAGATGAAATCCAGTTCTATTCAAAGTTTTTAGAGCTTTGTAAAGGGCCTACTGTGTGCAGGGTACCATGTGGGGTCCCCTGGAGGATGCGTGAATGATGGAGACACGATGCCAACCTTCCATCAGGAGAAGCACAGAAAGAATTTAGCCAAGAAGCCAGCAGGGTGGAGGGATGCCAGGAGGACCCTGAAGGCCCTGCTAAGGATTAAGGCAATTATATTTTACATTCCTCCAACCGGAGACTCTGGAAGTAGACGAAGTGAGCCCCTGCAGTGCATAGTGACTTTCCTCCAAAGAGCACAGCATAGGAACGGGGAGGGCAAAGAGCAACACTGCCATGGGAAGACCTGACCATCGCCGCCTGTCACATGGTCAAGGTCAAGCGTTAGTCGGGTTGACGAGGTGTGCCCTTGCTGTGATGCAATACACGTGGAGCTTTGCCTCTGTGGTCTTCCCCACTAAAACTCACAGCCTTCATCTCACCGTGAGAAAAAAAAATCAGGCAAATTCTGATAGAGGAGCATCCTACAATATCCCTCATCAGTCCTCCTGAAAACCACCAAGATCATCCAAAACCCCGAGTCAGAAACTGTCACAGCAAGAGGGGTCTAAAGACACATGATGACTAGATGTCACGTGAGACCCTGGATGGGATCCTGGAACAGAAAATGGATATTAGGTAAAAACGAAGGAAATCCGAATAATCTAGGGACTTTAGTTCCTAATAATACGTCGGTATTGGTTCGCTAATTATAACAAAATTACTATACTAATGTTAGGTATTAATAATAGGGGCATGGCATATGGGAACTCTGAACTATATGCTCAATATATCTGTAAATCTAAAACTATTTTTTTTGAAGAGCATCTTTTTTTTTTTTTTTTTTTTAACCCTGCAGCAATGAGCTTTGGGATGGACAGCCTGTGAACCAGACTCTCCCTCTCTCCAGGAAATTTGGTGAGCTATTCAGCATCTTTTTAATCTCTTTCTTGCTTAAACTAGCTGCAGTGAGAGCTCTGTTGTCTGCAACCAAGAATCTAGACTAATACCTGCATTTAGTTATTTACATACAGTGTTTAAAAAAGAGAGAGCTGCAGGAGATTTGGTGTCATTTTCCATTTTGAGCTGCGATCATTTTTAAAATGCAGGATAATGTCTGCAAAGTACCTGGGGATAGAGTCAGGACTAATGAGATAATATCTGCAAAATGCTTTGAGTTCCCTGGAGCTGCTGAGAGGCAAGGAACATGCATTATCATCATTAGAAAAAACAAGCTTTGAAAACTTTGGCAGGAAGGCGGATATAAGTGGAAATCAGTTCAATTACTCATGCCTTTCAAAATAGACAAGTTCTATAAAAGTTAAAGTATTTTTTTTTTTTGTAAATCAAATTCCTCTTCATTTCCTCTGTCAAACATTACTGTTCTATGATCTTTCAATTATTTTTGGTTGGACTCCCTTTGACAATGTATTGAAGCAGCTTTCGTTTCTCTGCTTCCAGATTCTCTGGCAGAATATTCTCAAACTTCAAATCTATCTCCATTTTGAGAAAATATACAAAGCATATGCTTTCTTTTAATGTTACTTGAAATTTCAAAACAACATGGTGACCAAAACTAAACCAATACAATGATAGGAATAGAAGAAAATATTATTTTTATTTTTCAAATTTTTTATTTTATTTATTTACTTACCTATTTATTTTTTGAGACAGGGTCTTGCTCTGTTGCCCAGGCTGGAAGGCAGTGGCACGATCACGGCCACAGCCTCCCAAGTAGCTGGGGCTACAGGTGTGCCCCACCGTAATTGGCTAATGTTTTATTTATTTTTGTTTTTTGTAGGGAGGGCATCTCCCTAGGTTGTCTAGACTGGTCTCAAACTCCTGGGCTCAAGCGATTCTCCTGCCTCAGCCTCCCAAAGTGCTGGAATTTACAGGCGTGAAGCCACCACACTCGGCCATCTTTAAAGATACATTAAAAAAATTTGTCAGTTTATATATGAGTAAGCTTGGAGTCTTGCATTGGCATCTTCTGAAGAAGAGGGAGAACAGAGCTCATCATGACCCTTTCAACATCTAGCCTAACGCACTGTTTTGTTTTCAAAGTCCGTAGGAAGGAAAAATCAAATATAGACGGGTAAAAATAGAAAAATGATAAGAATGCTTTCTCTCGTTTTAAGGAGGGAGATTTTACCTAGCAATTCTCCAAAGTTCTTGTATCAGTTAAGACTTTGTTGTGATTAACAGGGATTATCATCTCCCATTCTACTTGGGTTACCTGTGACCCAAGCTGTTTTTCTTCTAAAACCTTACAGAAGATCACAAGAATTAGCCAACACATTCTAAACATTTCCTAAAACATCCCCTCAAACTATCATAATGGATAAATGACCTATTTCTTAAGATATAATTGAAGACAATTTAATTAACTATTTTGCAAACATGTAATAAGAATTCCTCGTTTCAAAACTGGGCTAGAGGTATCCTCACTGTTCTCTGGGCAATTTAGCTTGTTAGTGTTTATGATTTGCAACACTTACCTCCTGGCACCAAATTCAGATTTAGCAAAGATTCTTTATGTGGCAAGTAATTAGAAACCCAACTTAAACTGTCTTAGATGACAAAGGAGATTCATTGGTTCCCATTATAGAAGTCCAGAGGTGGGCAGATTTCCGGGCAGGTTGATGCAATGACTCAGTTATGTAATCTAGGAAGCCCGTCTGTCCTTTTTCTGTTCCTTTTGTAGACACAGTTTTATCTAGGGACCCATTTCCTTTATAGACTTGTAAATGTCAAAGCCAAGCCGGGTACAGTGGCTCACGCCTGTAATCTTAGCACTTTGGGAGGCCAAGGCGGGTGGATTACCTGAGGTCAGTGGTTCGAGACCAGCCTGGCCAACATGGTGAAACCTTGTCTCTACTAAAAATGCAAAAATTAGCCAGGCATGGTGATGCACGCCTGTAATCCCAGCTACTCGGGAGGCTGAGTCAGGAGAATCACTTGAACCCGGGAGGTGGAGCTTGCAGTGAGCCAAGACTGCGCCACTGCACTCTAGCCTGGGCGACAGAATGAGACTTGGTCTCAAAAAAAAGAAAGAAATTCTTGGTGGTGTTTCCTGGTACAGATAGAATATTAGGAGGAAAGAGGATTTCTTGATAAGCTCTGAAATAGGATTTTTCAGCCATGATATCTAGAAAATAGTCCCCCAATTCAGCCTAAGCATGCACTAGGTAAAAGTTTATTTTTCTGTGAAATTATCTTAAGAACATTGTGTTTGAAAGTTTTATGTTGAAACAAATAAATAGACCATTTTAGTAATGATTCCTGACATCTGTGACTTGATTTGAGCTCTAAATGTTTTAATAAGGCAAAGTTCATATTCAAACTTTTGAACATAGTTGTCTAATATGATAAGCTTTGCTGGAAGATCTTTTGAGGAGTTTCTTTTCTCTAGTATTCCAAACATAGGATACCTGTCTCAACCAGCAGGTAAAAATGCTTATTTTCCTTTGACAACCAATAAACTCCAGTACCCAGTGGAGCAGCACTTTCTGATTGGCATTCAGATCTTCATCCAGAGCAAAGCAAAACATCTGGGGGTTGACACACAGTTTTTCATTTCATTGATTATCTTTAGTTGAAGTTTTCTTATCGATTTCTGGACAGAGTTTTGAAAGGTACCACTGATGGTCCATGACAGAGCACACACCAGAAATGAGTGTTTTTCCTTTGATTTTCACTCAGTATCAGCAAACCCCAGTTCATCTGGAGCACTAGCATGGCAAAACCCCATTAAGAATGTTTTTTTTTTTTTTTTTGCTATTTAGCAAACTTGCTTAGAAGAATTTTCATGCAGTGTTAAAAATTTTCATGCAGTGTTAAAAATATCATAAGGGACTGGGTGCAGTGGCTCATGCCTGTAATCCTAGCACTTTGGGAGGCTGACGCAGGTGGATTATCTGAGCTCAGGGGTTTGAGATCAGTCTGGGCAACACAGTGAAACCCCGTGTCTACCAAAATACAAAAAAAAAAAAAAAACCAAAAAACAACAACAAAAAAAACTAGCCAGGAGTGGTGGCGTGCGCCTTTAGTCCCAGCTACTTGGGAGACTGAGGCATGAGAATTGCTTGAACCGGGAGGTGAAGGTTGCAGGGATCTGAGATCGAGCCACTGCGTTCCAGCCTGGGTGACAGAGAGACTCTCTCTCTCTCTCTGTCTCTCTCTCTCTCTCTCTCTCTGTCTCTCTCTCTCTCTCTCTGTCTCTCTCTCTCTCTCTCTCTCTCTGTGTATATATATATAAAGGTTTTATGATGATCTCCAAGGTCCCAGAAACCACAATTCTTTTCCAACAGAATCTCGAGTCATTGTGCCTAGACGAATGACCATACTCAATTTCCTTTGTTATCGTAACAGGGACAAGAGAGGTGTTATATCAATCTTTTGCAAAACTTGAAGTTTCACATCCTAAGCTAATTCAGCTAATCATTTTTCAATTGAAAAATGGGACTGGCTTAAACAGCAATCTGAAACATTCTGTCAGATTCCTCTCCAAAGAAAACTTTGGCAGCTGTCAGAATGCAAATTGTCACACAAGTTCCACTGCCATGATAGGTTAGCTTTTGTTGTTGTTAGTGTTGTTTTAATCTTGAGGATGGGAAAGGCTAATTCATACAGAATCTACAGCACCTTGTCCATTCCCAAGAGTGTGGTCTTGTTCTGTCCAATCTTCTGTGCTCCTGAAAATGCTCCTTTGCTGGAAAAACAAATGTATAAACATATAAAAATTCTTCTTAAAATATTTTGACTAAAATATTATTTAAATCAAGAATTTCTGGCATAATTACACAACATTTTTGGAAATGTAGCATACTGAAAGAAATGCTCCATTCTTTTGCATGAATCCATACATGACAGTAAACATTGTCAAAAATTTTGATGACATCTTCAACCCTCCCCACACAAAGCTCTGTAAAAACGAAAGGTTTTGGCAAAAACACTTGGTCCCACACTTGTAGAATGACAATATTGTATCGACTTGTACAGATAAAAACCAGCCCATCTTCAAGTTTGGTTGCTAGGAGCAGGAAACTCTAATATGATGCAGGAAATATATTTGCTTCCGTGGAAAATTGTGCATTTTCTTAGTAGCTAGAACTCCAGGGTATCTGATTTTAGCCTTTCGTTGTCTTTGAGCTATTTCATACCTCAGGAAGTTGTAGATAACTGTGTTAGTTACTTAGGGCTATTGTAACACAGCACCACAAATTGGGTAACTTAGCACAACAGACATTGATCACTTCACAGTTCCAGACGTTACTGGAACTGAAGGCTCCAGTTCAGAGCTTACTGAGACTGCAACCGACGTCTCAGCAAGACCAAGCCCTCTCTAAAGGCTCTAGGAGAGGTTCCTTCCCGCCCTCTTCCCAGCTCCTGGCAGTTGCTGTCAATGCTTGGTGCTTCTTGGTTTGTAGACGCATCATTCTGATTTCTGCCTCCATCTTTACATTGCCTTCTCCACTGTGTGTCTGGGTCTCTGTGTCCGAGTTGCCCTCTTCTTATAAAGATATCAGCCATGTTAGACTTACGGTCTACTCTTCTCCAGTATGACCTCACTTAACATTATTATGTCTGCAAAGACCCTATTTCCAAATAAGGTCACATTCACAGGTTCTGGGTGGACATGAGTTATTGGTGGACACTATTCAACCTAGTACAGTAACTGATAGCAATGAGAAATAATTCTTGTTTATAGATATGCAAATTCTGTCATGTTCAGAAGAGGTTCAACTGACTTCTTGCCCAGCCACCTTGGAAAATCAGTTTTGCCTTAATTTGCACAATCATTTCCATATTCCTGATCTAGAAACACATCTGCTCTTCAGATTATCTTTAAACTGGATGGAACACCTGCCTTGTTCCTTCATTTATGGAAGAAAATCTTTAATAAGCATTCATTTGTATATCTGTAAGGGAGTCATGATTTTTTTTGTTTTCTTTTTTTAAAATTATCTTTAACAGTGAAAAGGGGAGAAAACAGGAAGCACAAGGGAATTCCCTTCCCTCCCATGGGCCAGGGCCAGTCCTAAGCAAAGTGCTGCAGAAGGGCAAGGCTGTCCTGAGCAACCTTGACCACCTACTCAATAACTGCTCCAGGCTGGGTGTGGCTTCATGCCAGCTCTTTGGGAGGTCGAGGCAGGAGGATCCCATGAGGCCAGGAGTTCCAGACCAGCCTAGGCAGCACAGTGAAACCTTGTCTCTACAACAAATAAAAAATTAGCCAGGTGTGGTGGTGCATGCCTGTAGTCCCAGCTACTAGAGAGGCTGAGGTGGGAGGATCGCTTGAGCCCAGGAAGTGGAGGCTGCAGTGAGCTATGATTGTGCCACTGTACTTCAGCCTGGGCCAAAAAAACAAAACGAAACAAAATGAACAAACATGCTCCACCCTCTCAGTTCATCTTCTTGGGTTCTCTGCACTTCATCTCAAGTGGTGGGGGTCCTTACTTGAGGCCTGAGTCAAAGACTTTCTCCTGAATCTAACCCACCTTCCTGCATCCATATGCTCACCATCCCCAGTGGCTCCTATGCGAGCCACAGTTGGGAGATATCTGACCCCTTTTTTCCACCAAACTCCCCCACCATGCTGCTGCTGACCCAATTTCACCACTGCTCAGTGTGATTTCTAGTAATGAATAATAATTAGACTCTGAGCCTGCTTTCCCCAGTTTCATCCTGTGCTGCCTCTGAACTCACGTGATATCAAAACCTTTTTTTTTTCTTAAACAATTGATTCCTCTGGCATAGCAACAAACAGATAGCTAGAAAGTCAGCTCTGTAAATTGAGAAACTTTTCAGATAAATCATTATTTGTATTTTTTTATTGCTTTTTTTTTCTCATTTGCCTCTTTAGTAGGTGATTTGGCGTAAGTTTTCAAAAGCCTTTCAAAGCTATATGGAGCCAGGTATGGTGGCTTGCACCTGCAGTCCCAGCTACTCAGGAAGCCAAGGCAAGAGGATTGCTTGAGCCCAGGAGTTTGAGGCCAACCTGGGCAACATAATGATACCCAGTCTCTAAAACAAACAAACAAAAAGTACAGGAACAACAAAGGTATACAAGAAAACTTTTGGAGGTGACGGGTAGGTTTATTACCTCAGTTGTGGTAACATGAGGCTGTTTATATGGCCCAGCTCACCAAATTGTATATAGTAATTAGGTACAGTTTTTTCATATGCCAATTATGCATCAATAAAGCTGGAAAAAACATATAAATAATTCCACTTATAGAAATAATTATAAGCATATAAAAGACAGTTGAGCCAAGATAGATACACACGGCGGTGCATTGCGCTTTTGTTTACAACAGTGACCACTGGAAAGAAGCCAGGGGCCCATCACCATTGGATTGTTTGAATGAATGATGGCATGTCAATGCCATTCAGTGCTACACAGCCACGAAGAAGGCCGCAGATTTGTGTTGTTAGCATGTAAGTTGGCATGTGTTAGCGTGTGTGTTGGCATGTGTTAGTGCATGTGTTAGTGCGCGTGTCGGCACGCGTTAGCGTGCGTGTCGGCGTGTTAGCGTGCGTGTCGGCATGTGTTAGCGTGCGTGTCGGCATGTTAGCGTGTGTGTCGGCATGTGTTAGTGCGTGTGTCGGCATGTTAGCATGTGTGTCGGCATGTGTTAGCGTGTGCGTTGGCATGTGTTAGTGCATGTCGGCATGTGTTAGCATGTGTGTCGGCATGTGTTAGCATGTGTGTCGGCATGTGTTAGCATGTGTGTCGGCATGTGTTAGTGCATGTTGGCATGTGTTAGCATGTGTGTTGGCATGTGTTAGTGTGCGTGTCGGCATGTGTTAGCGCGTGTGTCGGCATGTTAGCATGTGTGTCAGCATGTGTTAGCACACGTGTCGGCATGTGTTAGCACGCGTGTCAGCATGTGTTAGCGTGCGTGTCGGCATGTGTTGGTGTGCGTGTCGGCATGTGTTGGTGTGCGTGTCGGCATGTGTTGGTGTGCGTGTCAGCATGTTAGCATGTGTCTGCGTTAGCGTGCGTGTCGGCATGTGTTAGCACATGTGTTGGCATGTGTTAGTGTGCGTGTCGGCATGTGTTGGTGTGCGTGTCGGCATGTGTTGGTGTGCGTGTCGGCATGTGTTAGTGTGCGTGTTGGCATGTGTTAGCGTGCGTGTCGGCATGTGTTGGTGTGCGTGTCGGCATGTGTTAGCACGTGTCGGCATGTTAGTGTGCGTGTCGGCATGTGTTGGTGTGCGTGTCGGCATGTTAGCATGTGTGTCGGCATGTGTTAGCGTGCGTGTCGGCATGTGTTGGTGTGCGTGTCGGCATGTTAGCCTGTGTGTCGGCATGTGTTAGTGCATGTCGGCATGTGTTAGTGCATGTCGGCATGTGTTAGCATGTGTGTTGGTTTGCTAGGGCTGCCATAACCAAGTCACAGAAACCAGGTATCTTACAACAACAGAAGTGAATGGTCTCATGATCCTAAAAGCTAGAAGTTTGAAATCAAGGCATCTGCAGGACAATGTAGGGGAGACTCCTTCCTGCCTCCTCCAGCCTCTGGTGGCTCTCAGCAATCCTTGGCATTCATTAGCTTTAAGCGGCATCACCTCAACCTCTGCCTCTATCTTCACAGGTTCACACGGCCTTCTCTCTGTGTGTCTCTCTCCTCTTCTTTTCTTTTTTTTGAGATGGAGTTTCGCTCTTGTTGCCCAGTCTGGAGTGCAATGGCACAATCTCGGCTCACTGCAACCTCTGCCTCCCGGGTTCAAGCAATTCTCCTGCCTCAGCCTCCCAAAGTAGCTGGGATTACAGGCACCTGTCACCACACCTGCCTAATTTTGTATTTTTAGTAGAGGCAGAGTTTCACCATGTTGGTCAGGCTGGTCTGGAACTCCTGACCTCAGATGATCCACCCGCCTCGGCCTCTCAAAGTGCTGGGATTACAGGTGTAAGCCACTGCGCCCCGCCTTGCTTCGGGTGGTTTTTCTAACTTCAGGGCTGGGAAGCAGCCACTCTGGTGGGAAAGATTATACCTGCCCATAGGAGAGACTGGTAGGAGATGGAGAAACCTTCCAGAAGGGGGAGAAGTCAATGGATTTTCCAGGTGTTATAGTGGAAGAAGCTGGCAACTCCAGATCAGGCCTGTGGTTGTAGAAATCTGTAAGGTTCTGGAAATGCTTCCATGTTTGTTATTTTTATGCTCCTGTCCTGGGCCACAAGGAAAGAAGGCAGTCAGATCGGAGGTGACTGTGTCCTACTACACAACTGGAGAAGGGCTGAGGTGTGGCTGCGGGAAGGAGGAATGTGCTGGAGGAAAAGGACCCCACAGCTGCTGAGAGGCTGGACTGCTGCCCTGGGCTCGGGGCGGGGGCCCCAAGGTGATTCTCCAGTACCTTACTTTTCGACACCTGAAGCATTGGAGGTGTGGACACGACATTGATGACCTCTCCGCCTAAGCCCTTCACCGTCTTTCTCTGCTGCCATTTTTAATCTTCCAGAATTGCACCCAGTTTTTAAGTGGCTGGTACCCTTGCCAAGCTGCCCTTGGTTTCTCCAGTTTGTCTTCTGAACTCTAGTATGACTGGAGGCTGCTTGGAGCAGGGAGGACCACCGCACAGCCCCAGGACAGTTCAATTAGAGAAGCAATGTGCTGTGTTCTACCAGCAACAGCAGGAATGCCAATCCTAATGCTTATGCAATGCTTCTTATGTGCCAGGCGCTGTTTTAAGAATTTTACATAAATTAGCTCATTTAATCCTCACCAAAATACTATGAGAAAGGCTCTATTCTCACTCCCATCTTTATAGATAGGAAAATAGAAGCATAAAGGGGTTAGACAGTAGCTGAAAGACTGTTCCACTTGTCAAGAGAAGCTGATGCATTTCCTGAGCCTAGGGTGTTATAATGTCCCCCAGAAAAAGCCCATCCGAAGGCCAGGGTTTTTGTTTGAGACAGAGTTTCACTCTTACCGCCCAAAGCTGGAGTGCAGTGGTATGATCTGGGCTCACTGCAACCTCTGCCTCCTGGGTTCAAGTGATTCTCCTGCCTCAGCTTCCCAAGCAGCTGGGATTACAGGTCCTTGCCACCACACCTGGCTAATTTTTGTATTTTTAGTAGAGACGGGGTTTTACCATTTTGGCAAGCCTGGTCTCAAACTCCTGACCTCAGGTGATCTGCCTGCCTTGGCCTCCCAAAGTGATGGGATTACAGGCGTGGGCTATAGCGCCCGGCCAGAAAACCAGTGTTTATTGTTGGTCTTGTGGGCTGGGAGCTAATGAGCACATTCTTCAATATCAGTGGCACTCTCTGGGTTAAACGTGCAGCAATAGGTCAGAGGACACCCGGGGTGGGCATTCCCAACCAGTGATCTGGCCCTGGGGAATTTGGGGTAAACAATGATTTGAATCGTAGTTAAGCTCAAGAGCCAACAAGAAATGCCTAAACTGTGAGTAGTGCTACAGAGGATCCTGAAATCCAATGGGCTGCTTGGAATCCCCTCCCTGAGGACGCCTGGAACTGGGAGGGAGCCTTCCTCCCTAGGAATTCCATTCTCAGTGGGAGGCCACAGGGCGTGGAGCACTAGCACTGAGGTGGTTCCCAGGGCACCTCTTACAGGACAGGGGCTACAGGAATCAAGAGAATTTCTGGGATAGGGAGAGAGCTGGGGCAGTGGGTTTAGCTTCCTTCTGCATTTACTAAGGGCTAATTAATAATCATAACTAATATTGAGTGCTTGCTCAGTTTCAGGCTCCACACTAGATGCTTCTCATGCGTTGCCTTTCTCTGTCTTCCATTACCACTTCGTGAGGCAGGTGTTGTATTCCTGGACAGGGATACATAACTTACCCAAGCTAAAAAGAGCTGAGTTTTTAAAAAAGGGCCGGGCATGGTGGCTCATGCCTATAATCCCAGCACTTTGGGAGGCCCAAGCAGGAGGACTCTGTACAAAAAACAAAAAAACAAACAAACAAACTTATTGAAGGGTTGCAAACATTCAGAAAAATCTTAAGTATATAGATTGATGAAATTATGTTAAAGTGAACCCATTGGGACAACAGATAGGACATTCCCAGTGCCCCCAAAACCTCCCTTGTCCACTTCCCAATCACTACCCCTTCTTCCTCCCAAAAGGTAGACACTATCCTGATTTCCAGCACTAGCCATTAGTTTAGCCTGATTTCTAAGCTTCTGTCAATGGAATCATACAGCATGTGCTCTTCTGTGTTTGGTTTCTTTTGGTCAACGCTAAGCGGGTGACATTCCTTTATGCTGTTGTGTGCAGCTCACCCGTTCTCACTGCTGTGCGGTGCTGCACTGATGATTGTGCCGCAACTACTCTATCCAATCTACTGTTGGGGAGCATTTGTTTCCTCTCTTTCTTTTTTGCCACGGTGAAAAAAGTTTCCGTGAACATTCCCGTTCACGTCTTTGTTTGGCCACATGTACACATTTCTGCTGGGTACGTGCCCAGGAGTGGAATGACTGAGTCACAGGGTTGGTGCCAGGTGGGGTTTTGAGCCTAGACATGCCTGCTCTAAACTCAAGAGCGGTGCCATGCCATAGATCACTGTGTGGATGTGGAGGCCTACAGAGGAGACACCTGAGGTGGCAGTGGGAATGGAGGGGGAGGGATGAGAAGCAGGAGCTGCAGAGGGAGGCCTCCTGGGCAGATGGCAGTGCTGTGTTAGTCAGGCTTGGGGGAGTCTCTAGGTGCCTGTGTGACCCCCAGGAGGCACTATCCAGGGTGCCGTCTGGCTATGCCTCTTTAAGCTTGATGGGAACCCTGGGTGTGAGGGGGCCAGCCAGGGCTGAAGGTAAGGTGCCTGGGGAGGGAGGGGACAGAGACAAGCCTTGTGCCTTGGGCCCTCAACCCTCGCCACTGGAGAGTGATGTTGCCTGCTCAGACCAAGTGGGGTGGGACTGAGAGAAAGTGGTGACTGTTTATAAAGCAAGGCCAAGTGCAAGAACTGCTGAGTGACTGGGAACTTCCTGTGTGCAGACCACACCTGCTTTTTTTTTTTTTTTTTTTGAGAGTCTTGCTCCGTTGCCCAGGCTGGAGTGCAGTGGCACGATCTTGGCTCAGATCCTGGGTTCAAGCAATTCTCCTGCCTCAGTCTCCCAAGTAGCTGGGATTATAGGCATGCAGGCATGCACCACCATGCCTGGCCAATTTTTGTATTTTTAGTAGAGACAGGGTTTCGCCATGTTGGCCAGGCTGGTCTCAAACTCCTGACCTCAAGTGATCCACCCGCCTTGGTCTCCCAAAGTGCTGGGATGACAGGCGTGAGCCACCATGCCCGGCCGACACCCGCATTTTTAAGTAGCCTTCTTTTTCAGCAGTGTGACTTTTGCGGGGCAATACTCAGCAACCAGGATGATGTGGAGCTTCCGGAAGCCAAGGGCAGGCCAGGAGACAGTTTGATAAGAGGGGCATTCACGTGAGACTGCCTAGTGACCTGAGGCAGGAAAGGAGACAAACTGCAAGAGCAGGGTTGTGGTGCTGGGTGGTGAAAAGGGTTGAGCCATTGCCCCAAAGGGTGTCAGAAAGTGAAGCATTGGAGAATCACCTTGGGGCCGCCGCCCCGAGCCCAGGGCAGTGGTCCAGCCTCTCAGCAGCTGCGGGGTTTAGGGCACAGCCTCAAACCTTTAGGGGCAATCTGGGTAGTGAAAAGGGTTGAGATATTTAGGGGCAAGTCCTAGGGCAAGGTCAAAGGAGGTGCGGAGGTCAGGAGAGAGGCCAGGTGGAAAGCTCCCTAAGCCACCTGAAATATCCACAGCTAGAATAAAACAAGGCAGCCTTTTCCCAATACACAGAAAAATGCTGGCTCTAGAATTCGGCCAGCTCCATTTTCAGTGTCTTTTACACCAACATTTTAACTTTACCTTCAGTGCCTTTTACTGCTTAGTGGCAAATGTTCCTAGATGACCATGGGAATCAATGAGCAGAAAGCACTGTATTGATGACTGGAAATCCTTACTGAGAGACACACTCATCTTCACTGGAGAGCTTGTGTATGTATATGCATGTGTATGAGTGTGTGTGTGTGTGTGTGTGTGCATGCAGGTGTGCTGGGTGGAGGGTGGGGGGCACTTGTTGTGATTTCATATTGTGCCAATAAAAGCAGATTTTACGCTGGTGAGAGTGATCTCAGTTCATGGGGTGGACGTATGTGTAATGGACGGTGGTCCCCCTGCGGCCCTCTGATTGTGCAGTGATATCTGGGAAGTCTGAGAACCGCATCAGTGTGGGGTGGACTGGATAGGACGAGAGGCTGGGGACGGTGGGAAGGTGCAAGAGGAAGAAGCAGTGGAAAGGAGCTGCCAGGTGTTGGAGACAGTGTGAGGGAAGTGAGGAAGCGGCCCCAATAGAGGGCCCAAAGCAAGGGTCCCTAGAGTGCTGGAGTGGGGAAAAGGAAGGGCATTCAGTTGTAGATATCATTAGGGCTTAGGAAAAAAAGACTTAAAAAATACACTGATGGAGTTCAGACACCTTCTTCAAAGGGTGGATGATCTGAAACTAAGGGAGAGGTGAGATTTGGTTCCATTCTTCTGACAACCTGGGGAAGGGCAAATTGGGCCCCAGAATCTGGAACTCAAAGACAGACAGTAGAGATTGAGTTGAGGTGCAGTGAAAAATCATATGTAAGAGAGAAAAAGAGGCTGGGCTCAGTGGCTCACACCTGTAATCTCAGCACTTTTGGAGGCTGAGGTGGGCGGATCACCTGAGGTCAGGAGTTCGAGACCAGTCTGGCCAACATGGTGAAACCCCGTCTCTACTAAAAATACAAAAATTAACTGGGGTAGGTGGCGGGCACCTGTAATCCCAGATACTTGAGAGGCTGAGGCAGAAGAATCGCTTGAACCTGGGAGGCGGAGGTTGCAGTGAGCTGAGATTGCGCCACTGCACTCCAGCCTGGTCAATAAGAGCAAAATTCTGTCTCAAAAACAACAACAACAACAACAAAAACCAAATAAATAAATAAATAAATAAATAAAGAGAGAGAGAGAGAGAATTCTTATATGAAGTCAAAACCGGCTGTGCTGCTCTGTCCTCTGAGGCATGCGTGTATGTGTGTCTGGTCTATTCCCCTCAACAGACTATACTTTCTGCTCCACCACCTAAACTTGAGAGTTTTATTGAGGTCCTGTTCTTTTCGGTGACATCCCACCTCTTCAGCAACACCTTCCCGCCCTTCCAGTTTGAGTGCTCGGTAGCTGCACATCCTGTGAACAGGTTGCACACACAGGAATCTCAACATTATGAATAACTGCAAGCAGGATGACACCGGGATCCTCTTCTCTCCCTCCCAATGCCTGCAGTGGATATCTGGACTACATATGTAAGTAATACATCAAACTGAGTAAATACTATTGAGGAAAATGTTTACAAGGGATGGGAGGGGAAGTCTATGCCAACAAAGAGACCAGAAGCCACAAGCCCCGAGGCATCCTGGCAGGTCTGCTGCGGGGCCTGGGAGCCGGCTGCTGACACAGGGAATGTGGGCATGAGTCACCGGTGGGGGCTTCTGAGGAGGAAAACCATGACAAAGTGTGCATATTGAGAAGTGGAGTGTGCATCTGCCGTGCTCAGTAAGCCAGTTGACTGAATAACTCCAGATTAGGAGAGAGAATAGAACTTGGGAATTTTTATCATTATAAACTTGGGGTATTTTTGGTTCTAAAAATGAAATACCAAAATGTTCTGGTGAATTGTCTGAGAGAGTCTAAACCCTATATACATATACAGCCATGGAAACAGAGGCAGTCGTACTCAAGTGCAAAAAAAAGTGTGCTAGTGAAAAGTAGTAATGGGCCAGGTGCAGTGGCTTGCACCTGTAATCCCAGCACTGTGGGAGGACACAGCAGGAGGATGGCTTGAGCCCAGGAGTTCAAAACCAGCCTGGGCAATATAGCATAGGGAGACCCTATCTCTACAAAAAATAAAAAATTAGCCGGGCATGGTGATGCATGCCTGTGGTCCCAGCTACTTGGGAGGCTGAGGTGGGAGGATTGCTTGAGTCCAGGAGTTGGAGGCTGCAGTGAGTTATGATTTGCCACTGCATCCCATTCTGGGTGATAGAGTAAGACCTTGTCTCAAAGAAAAAGAAAAAAAAAAAGAAAGAAAGAAAAGGAAGAAAATTAGTAACCATCAGCTCCAGCTCCATTGCAGTCCACGTCTTAGGAGCGTGGATTTTGTTCCCACACACTTTGTGCCAGGGTTGAGCTGAGCTTTGGCACTGCTAAGCATGTCGCTTCTGGGTTAGGTAGGTGGAGTAGGTTGCTTTAGGTTTAGGGTCACAGGAGAGCTGGGCTGGCTCAGCCATCCCTCCTTCACTTAGTCATCAGAAATGTTTCCCAGGCACTCAAGCCACGTGCTGCTTTAGCATACAACAGGGAACAGTCTCTGTCCTAGAGAATTCAGTCCTCAGCCTTGCCCCTCTGCAAGGCTATGAGCAGAACTCCAGGCTACTCTCCCTTCCTGTGGTCTCAGGACTGCCAGGGGCATGGAGTATGGGGATCCCCACTTTCCAGCTCTGTTTACAGTGCTTGGATGACCATAGTATGGACAGCTGAAGGGAATCCAGGGGACTGTGTCTGTATTTCCTGGAGATGATCACTGTTCAGGCAAAGCATGGGGCACATGTCGTCATCAAATATGGCTTAGGGCTGGAAATGTCCACTGAATTTCATAGGAAAGAAACCCTTGTGGGATCCTTGGGGAAGCCAGGGATGGTGGGGGTGGGTGGGGCAGGAGCAGATGGCAGCAATTCAAAGAGCAGCAGGAGGAAATGAAAGTAAAGACATTACCTTCTTTAAAAAATGTTTATTTTATTTTACTTTTTGAGACAGGGTCTTGCTCTGTTACTGAGGTTGGAGTGCAGAACTGTGATCATAGTTCACTATAGCCTCAATTTCTCAGGTTCAAGCCATCCTCTTGCCTCAGCCTCCCAAGTAGCTGGGATGACAGGCACAGCCACCATGCCCGGCTGACACTGCCTTCTTACTGTGTAGAGCATAATGTTTGGGGGGTTTTTCCCAAGAAGCGTGAATTACTTTTGTAATTTTCGATTGTGTGTATTACATATGTCAAATGAAGAAATGGAAGATGAAAAAGTGCAGCTTGTGCGGATCTGTCTTGCAGAAGGTTCAGCTGTGAGCTAAGCTGGTGGGGGTAGCGCAGGAGCGTGTGGGGGCGTAAAGTCTGTTGTGGAGTGGGGATCTGAGTGGGCTGTGGATGCAGAAACAGATGCTACACCATGACGGGAGGACCTCAGGGAGGGTTGGGAGGGATCCAGAGTCCCAGGGAAGGAGGGCTCAGGGTTCTGCTGCAGGGGAGGGTCCTCTTCTGTGTTCCCCAAGATCAGAATGACAAAGTCAGGGATGCTGATGGCTGAGCCTCCCAACATGCAGTCGCTGCCCAGCCTGCATTCTCCCTGCCTTCATCTTTGTCCCCATGGGCACGTTTTGACCTGAAACTGACCTAAGAGAGAATAAGCTGAGTGACAAGGGAAGCCAAACTGTGTGATTCACCACGGTAGTTTGAAATCCTGATTTAGGCTTTGCTTTGCTGACTGAATTTATGCTCAGTTAGGGAGAGGATGGGGTGGCAACTTGTAGGCCTGGCATTAAGCACACTGGTCCCAGCTGAGAGCCAGGCACGATGCCCCCATCCCTCCTGGTTCATAAGGTGCTGGTCTATCAGCTCCAGTCCCCTTGCTTGGTGTCCCTGAAGTCTCAGTCTGGCAGTTTTACACGTGCTAAGGCATGAATCCGGCTTTACAGAGGGCTGTTGATCCTCAGAAGCTGACACAGAATCTGAGTATCCTCCTGAGTCCCATATTTACCTACCTATGGCAGGAGGTTTTTTAAAAAATCCTGAAGATACAAAGACTTTGAAGTGTAAGTGGCTAAAGAAAGCTCAGGTTCCTGGTGATCAGCTGCTCTGTGCTGACCTTGTGTACATTCAGAAGTTTCCAAGATGCAGCAGAGCTGGGTCTAGCAGGCATCGCCTTCTCTTTTGTTTAACACATCTGTTGAAGATCAACCAAGATGGTGAGGCATCCTTTTAGATGCTGGGGATTCAAAAAGAAATTAACGAGACCTGGTTCCTGCTCTTGGCAAACTGTCAGCTTACAGAGGAACATAGTTTTGCAAAAACATATTGGAAAGCAGGGCAGTAAGAGTGATTACAGGGGCATGTAACAGGGGAAGTGATAGGGAAAAGGGTGGAGTTTCTCCTGCACTTCGGGGAAGGCCATCAGGGTGGGTCATGGGGAAGCCCTCGATTAGTAGGTCATTTTTTTTTTTTTTTTGAGATGGAGTCTTGCTCTGTTGCCCAGGCTGGGCTACAGTGGCGCGATCTCGGGTCACTACAACCTCCACCTCCTGGGTTCAAGCAATTCTCCTGCCTCAGCCTCCCGAGTAGCTGGGATTACAGGCACGTGCCACCACGCCCGGCTAATTTTTGTATTTTTAGTAGAGATGGGGTTTCACCATGTTAGCCAGGCTGGTCTCAAACTTCTGACCTCATGATATGCCCACCTCAGTCTCCCAAAGTGCTGGGATTACAGGCGTGAGCCACCGCGCCTGGCCGATCAGTAGGTCTTTTAATAGGTTCTCACCTCACAGGACTCCCTCAACTGGCCTTGTAAATCCAACCACATTTATTCTGTTGAATAAAAGGTTCCATTGGCAAAAGACCCAAGGCCTTTTGTCCTTAGAGTAGGCATGGATTTTCTAGTGATACCCCACTATTGCTAATCCCATGCAGAGCAGGAAAAAGGTGGCAGAACTGGCAGTTAAGTGCACACATGCATTTACTTCTAGACATTTAATCACAAAGAAAACTTCCTTAAAAGAAGCTGAAGTTCCGAAATGGTTACATGAATTGAGATTGTAATAGGAGGGATCTAGGTGCTGTCAATTGAATGGAGTGAGGCCCAAACAGCAACTAATCTCTTTAATAGGGAGATCCAGAAATACACAGAGACCTTTCTTTATATTCCTAAACTGATGAGAAAGGTAATCTGGCCTAGTGATTCCACAGATTGACTTCAGGACACTCTAGGTTGCTCCCACGAGTGTGGGAATCAACTCAGAGAAATTTGCAAAAACTCCAAAACAAATCATTTTGGTTTTTAAAAACATGAGTGTTTTAAAACTGTTTTTTAAAAAATGAGTGACTAAGAGATGTCCCGTTCCCCACTCACTTCTTCTCTCGTAGGCAGTGGGAGAGCTGGAAGAGCCTGTTACAAACCTCAGCCCATTAGCATCTCCCAGCTCTGTCTTTTGAGAAGATGACTGAGAGGAAGGTGGTATTGAGAAAACAAAGCATCCAGCCTTTGTGAAGCTGAGCCTTAAGGTCCCCTCTCCAGCCCTGGCTGACCCCAGACCCTCGTTTTCTTCTCTGGCATCCAACTTCAAGGATTGGCCTGTTTCCCTTTAACTATAGCTACCACTCAGCTCACTCGCTGAAGAAGGCAGAGCCCACGCCTCCTGGCACAGTTTCCCTTCGGCTACCTAAGGCAAGCGAATGAGTCTTTTTCATCGTAATGAGCTGTATTTCCCTCACTATGGAACAACAGGGGCTAAACAAATTAATAAATATGCTCAGCTTTTCCTTCTTGGTTTGTGAATTCTCTCTACGTTTTGGCTATCATCCTAACCACTTGCCACAAGCAGCACAATTAATGTTTTTTCTGCAATTAATGTTTTTTCCCCATTTAGCTTGCTCTTTCTTTCTTTTCTTTCTTTTCTCTCTCTCTCTCTCTCTTTCTGTGCTGGGATTACAGGCATGAACCACCGCGCCCGGTCGAGTTTTTTTCTTAATATGCTGTTTTGCTGAACTGAGTTTTAGTTCCTAGTAACAGAGACTAACTCTGGAAAGCTTTCGTCAACGACAATGAAAACAACAGCAGCAAAAGAAATTATCAGACGGTTGTTATCTCATGAGATCTACTTTGGATTAGTGCTGTCATGTTCCCCTCCAAGCATTCACACAGGAATGTGGTCATGTCATTTCTAGAACAGTATGAAGACAAGTAGGATCTTTACAGCCCTGAGTCTTCCCATCTGAGCTTGAGGTCTGGCTCTCCCAGTCTCTCTCACTGAGAACAATTTTTACACATAATACTGGGGTTTAAAAAGCTCAAGCCACTTGAGGTGGGATGTTTTTCTGAGGAAATACCTGGACAAGGGTGCATTTGTGTCCACTAAGGAAAATGTTGGAAATACCCTAAACATCAAGAATAGGAGATTGGTACCCCCACAGTAACAGACATTCAAAATCTAGAACTATTATCATTGTAACTTAGCAGTGGTAAAGCCATAATTGGAAGCCAGCCTGTCTGATATCACTATCTGGTCTTCACCCCAAGCTGCACTGCCTTCTATACACATTTCTCATTCACTTCACCTGGGCTAGCTCTCTCGGCAAATAAGGCAATGAATCTGGAGAAGCAGGTCCTACAGAACAATTTATATCAAGGCGAATGGATACTTTAATTTTCATACTAATGAAAGTTAACACTGTTGCTAAATTCCAGACAATGTGAGAAGGTTTTAAATCACTCTCTCCTTCAGTTCTTCATTTAGCCTTGGGAGATGGGAACTGGTTATTTTATTTTCTTCTTTGGTGAGGGATGGCGTCTCACTCTGTCATCCAGGCTGGAGTACAGTGGCACAATCTCAGCTCACTGCAACCTCCGCCTCCCAGGTTCAAGCAATTCTCCTGCCTTAGCCTCCCGAGCAGTGGGGAATATAGGCATGCAGCACCATATCTGGCTAATTTTTGTATTTTTAGTAGAGATGGGGTTTCACCATGTTGGCCAGATTGGTCTCGAACTCCTGACCTCAAGTGATCTGCCCACCTTGGCCTCCCAAAGTGCTGGAGCTAGTTATTTTATGAACACTGTGGTGCACTTGTGTGCTCCTCCACCACTAGGTTCCCCCTGCCTCCCTCCTTCCAAACCAAGGTGGGGCAGGCCCTATAGGTGCATGCAGTTTTCTCTCTCTTCAAGATAAACATACTGCTTGTAATTTTGAAAGGCATGTTACAGACATATAACTGAGCTAGTGCTGAATTTTTAAAAAATGGTCCAAAGACAAATTATTCAACTAAATGAACAAATTGTGTAATTGCTATGTATATCTTTCAAAATCATAACAAAATAATTCATTGAAACTTGACAGTCGGATAAAATATAATTTCTCAGTACTTCTCTTTTTGTTTTGAGACAGGGTCTCACTCTGTTGCCCAGGCTGGAATGCAGTGGCACCATCAGGGCTCACTGCAGCCTCGACTTCCCCCTCAAGTAGCTGGGACTGCAGGCACACGCCACCACACTAGGCTATATTTTGTATGTTTTGCAGAGATGGGGTTTCACCACGTTGCCCAGGTTGGGCTTGAACTCCTGGGGCTCAAGGGATCCGCTAGACTCAACCTCCCAAAGTTTTGAAATTACAGGTGTGAGCCACCACACCTGGCCTCAGAATATTAATTTAAGTTATCCTGAGTCGGCAGTTTTGATAAGCTACTTTCTCCTACCTATGCAGATTTTGTACATATAATAAATGTTGGCTTTACTAAAAATGCCTATGCCTGATTTTGTGTCTTTTTTTTTTTTTTTGGTGTTTTGTTTTGTTTTGTTTTTGAGACGGGGTCTCGCTCTGTCGCCCAGGCTGGAGTGCAGTGGCACAATCTCTGCTCACTGCAAGCTCCGCCTCCCGGGTTCACGCCATTCTCCAGCCTCAGCCTCCCCAGTAGCTGGGGCTACAGGCGCCCGCCACTGCGCCCAGCTAATTTTGTTTTTGTATTTTTGGTAGAGACAGGGTTTCACCATGTTAGCCAGGATGGTCTCGATCTCCTGACCTCGTGATCCGCCCGCCTCGGACTCCCAAAATGCTGGGATTACAGGCGTGAGCCACCGCGCCCGGTCGATTTTGTGTTTCTTTTAGCCCATCTTCCAGAAATGTCCAGACTCTACTGTCTTTGTTGTAAAAGAAGCATATTTTATTTTTTATTTATTGTTTCTTCTTAGCGGTTTATTTTTAAAAGACAGGAAAATGATCAGCTTGCATCCTGAATCGGACCACTTACTTATAAACGATAGTTCTTCTTTGAAGCAGACGATGACATTTTAGTTTATATTTAAGGGGAAACACATTCAAATGCTATTTGGACTCAAATTTCTAAGGAAGAAAAGGAAGTGGTAAACTCTGAAGATAGAACCTCAATTCCCTTGCTGAGTGACGCGGTCAATGAGCACCAATCGCCTACGGGAGGCCAGAAAAGGCTGCGTGGTGCTCCCCTCTCAGGGCCTGGCCCTGTCCACCTGGGCCTTGGTGACCCGCAGCCGGGACTCTTGCTGTAAAGTGACGCAGTGCTCTCCCTGGGAGGACAGTGGGTCCAGCAAACCCAACTCAGCCCTCAGGGGGCACTTGAAATTGTAACTACCCCAGGCCTTTGGAAACAACCCTCAACCTTGAAAGGGGAAATTCCCAGTGGGAATTGATGCAAACTGTGGTCAGTTACACAAAAAGGTAGAGTTTACTGTAATCTGGGGGCTATTTTTGGTTGCAGAAAGAATCCCCGGAGTAGAGAAGGAGGCCAGCGAGTCTCAGTTCGCTGCTCGCTCAGAGCCGCCCAGGTGCGAGGGCGTCTTCACCAGAAATCGGTGCTCCCGCGCGCCCCACCCTCCGGGGCCCTGCAGATGCCGGGTCGGGGGCCGCCAGCAGGCCCTTTGGCTCCTGCTGGAGACACTGGAAGACCAGGCGACCAGGACAGCGGGTCGGGCCAGTGCGGTGTGACACGAGGGCTCGAGCGGCTTCGCAGTTTAAACGTGTCCTCATCCTACACCTCCCACGGCTGTTTCGGATTCGGTGCCCTCGTGCCCCTCAGCTTGCCCAGCGGCACGTGGGCCTCAAGCCTGGTCCCCAGCGGCTGCGCCAGCCTAGCTGTGTTCACCTTGGGGCCGCGAGGGCCTCCCACCGGCTGGCAGCTGGTGGACACGCTGTCAAGATCGGGGGAAAAAAAGGAAGGAAGGAGGCTAGGGGGACACAGGGCTGGTGGCCTCCGCAGTCTTTGACCTGCGACGGGCGCGAGCGCACCTCCGCGCCTTTGCGCAGAGACCTTCCCCCAAGATTGGCTCACGACGCCTCCTACCCCGAAGTCAAGGGCTCCCTGTGGCAAATCCTCACACGCCCTCCTCCTCCCCGCCCATCCCCGGCGCCAGGACTGACGGGGAGAGGGCAAGGCCGGGCCAGAGGGGCTGTGGGCCTGGACTGCGGCTGTCGCCCGCGGCCCTGCTCTTTTGGGCAGCCAGACGTGGGGTCAGCGCCCAGTCGCAGCCTCCGGGGGTGAGTCCGCAGATCCCCGCACGTGACACAGGCCAGGCATGGGGACGGGGAGTTCCTCGTCGTCCGTTCCCACTCAGATGCTCCCTGAGGTTCCGGAACACCCCGCCCCCCATCCCAGGATCTGACCAACCCTCAAGCCACGGCCGGCCCCGGTTCCGCGAGACGGGGGACTCTGAGGATTGTCCTCCCTTCCGGGCTGGGACTCCCCCACAGCAGCCGACCGCCCCCAGTTCAGAGTGGCCCGGCCCGCAGCGCTCCCCGGGCACAGGTCCCAGGTGGACGGCTCCGCTCCCGCGCCCGGCTCCTCTGCCCGCCAAGCGCCCCGGGGATTCCCCGGCCTCCAAGCGGCCGCGGCCGGGTGGAGTCAGCCCCGAAGCCCGGGATCCCCCGAAGGGAGAAAACCCGCTCTGCTCCTCTGAAGCGGCGGGAGAAACCGGCCCCACCCAGGTCCGGGGGCCCGACGCCCTCGGCGGAGGCCGGCTCCAGGGGTCCGAGGTTCCCGAAGCTGGAGGCCGGCTCCGCCCCGGCGTCCCCCCGCCGCCACCTCCGCCCCCATCCCGCGGGCCGGCGGAGGGAGGGGCGGGGCCGCTTGCCGCCCGCGACTCGGGTTCGGCTTCTTTAGTGATTGCTTCTGCTTCTCCCGCGCCAGCTGTCCCCAGCTCTGGGGCAACGCTGCCAGGTGCCCAGTCCCCGCGCTCGAGAGAGCGCCTGCCTGGCTCTGAACTCTGGCCAGGAAGGGGCGCGAGGGGAAGGCCCCGGGGGAAGGCGTGTCCCCGCGCCCCGCCCCGCCCCGCCTCGGAAAGCCCCCGCGGTCCCGCCCACCCCAGGGGCTCGCTCAGCCTCCGGAGACTTTTTTCTTTGAGCGCAGCCGCCTGGTGCCGGTTTCCGCCGAGCTGGAGCGCGCGGGCCACGGCTTCTCTGGGGACGCAGAAGCGAGAAGCGGGGACCTCGGCGCGCGCCCCGCGTCCCGCTCTTCCTGCCCGCGCCCCGGCCCCCGGCCCGCGCCCCGGCCGCCGGCATGGTGCTGCTGGCCGGGACCGGGCCGGAGGGCGGCGGGGCGCGCTGCATGACCCCACCACCGCCGTCCCCACCCCGGGGCGCGCAGGTCGAGGAGGACCCCGCTGACTACGAAGAGTTTGAGGACTTCTCGAGTCTGCCAGACACCCGCAGCATCGCCTCGGACGACTCTTTCTACCCTTTCGAGGACGAGGAGGAGCACGGCGTCGAGAGCGCGGAGAGCGTCCCGGAGGGCGTCCCGGAAAGCGTCCCGGAGACGGCGACCCTCCTGCGCGCCGCCTGCGCCAACAACGTGGGGCTGCTGCGGACGCTGGTGCGGCGCGGGGTGAGCGTCGAGGAGGCGCAGGAGACTGACCGCAACGGCAGGGTAAGCGGGCGTCCCCGCAGGATTTGAGCCCCCTCACTGCCCCCACTCCCCTCCTCCCCACCACATCCCCGCGCCTCCCAGCTCCTGGCTCCGGACCGGTCCCTCGGTCACTCAGCCGCCGCCCAGAGCGCCTTTTCCCCGCTGTTTGGGAGCGCGGTGCCCTGGGTGGCTTCCCCGTCTCAGGCTGGGGGACGCGGTGCGGGGAGGGAGCAGTCGAGGTGTCAGCGCGGCAGAAACGCCAGTCCGGCGTCCTCACCGCATCCCCTTCTCGTTTACCGGTCCCCGTGGACCTCCTGACTGAATTCGCGCTGGCTGCCCGTGCTGCAATCCAGGATGGGCTTCTTGCGGCCCGGTCCCCTCCTGACTATTACCTTTCCCCAGGTCCCTGGCAGGGGACCATTCCTCCTCCCCTGCAGGAGACAGCCCCTCCTGCCCAGCGCCCCATTTGGCCCCTGGGCCCCTCGCGCCGCCCTTGTCCTAACACGCTGGGGCGCAGATCGGCTCCTCCAGCCGCAATGATTTGGAAGCAACAGTTTCTTCCCTCGCCGGGACAGCTTGGTCCCCTACCCCACCTCCGCTGAGCTTTGTGGCCCGCGCCGCGACCAGCCAACGTGATCTCTGACTGGTCTGTCCGCAGGTCACCTTCGCGAGCCAATGCCAGCCGGGGCTCCCCAGAGTCAGGGCATAGGGAGAGCCCCAGAGCCGCGGGCATCCACCCGGGTAGGGCAGGAGGCGTGGAGGCAGGCACAGGCTATCCTTTCGTTATGACCAGATTCAGAGAAAACGAGATGTTTAGAAAAGAAAAGAAAAGAAAGGAAAAGAAAAAAAGTTGGCTTAAGAAGACCTGAGAAGGACTGGCTGGTGGAACACCTTCCACCAAGCAAAGCACTTCAAGGGAAAACTGCAGAGTGACCACGGTGGCCAAGTTCCCCGTAGTCTGTGCTCAGTGGGCAAATGGCAGCGTTCTCACCTGATTTTTGTATTGTCCAAGGACCGTGGTATCTGCAGATGCAGCCTAGCACAAATGCACATGCTTTTTGCTCAGGAGCCTGCAGCTGACAGAAAACATGTGCTTTGACTTGGGGACCCGGGTGACCTTGTGCCTTTGGTTTATCCTGCAGTGGGTGGGGCAAGTGGTTTGCCCTGACTGTGGTTTGGGCTGGGCTTAGGTGGATGGGAAGCCCTCCAATGTCACTCTCCCCTTGTACTACATTGCCCCCGTGATTCAATTACCTCCCACCGTGTCCCTCCCACAACACGTGGGAATTCAAGATGAGATTTGGGTGGGGACACAGCCAAACCATATCACACAACATTTGAACTTGGAGGAAGGGTCTGTGCTTGTCATATGTTAGGCAGTGAGACCTGAGGTGGCGTCCCCGTAGGTAGCATCACCTGGAGCCCTGTAGTTCCTGCTGCCATTCCTCTTGCAATGCCTCCTCCCCCAGCCCTGGCGACAGATGCCCTGGCTGGCATGTGATTAGGGCTTGGAGCTCCACCCGAAGTCCTAGGGCCTGTTTCTCAAGTTCTACATTTGGTTTAACTGAGTTTTCAGGCCCAGATGTGTGTAATCAGAAACCTTGCTTTCTGGAAGCCAGTATGGGGGCCCGCTTTAAAGGAAGCCTCACCAAGCTCATAAAGGAACAGGTGGGGTGGGCCTCTCCCCCTGTCCTGGGCAGCCTGGTGGTCTCCAGTGGGCTGGAATGGGCACAGGAGGGGCCTGGCTCGCCCAGTCCCCACTCTAGGGCACCACTGGGCTCAGCTTTATATAATGTTTCCTTTAGGGGCAAAACATAAATGTTTGAAAACAGCTGCATTGAAGAAAACTGACAGCAACGTAAACCATCCCCAGGGGCTCGAGCCTAACAGACTGAGTCTCCAGGCCACACAGCAGAGAGGCAGGGGAGGGCCGTGGTATGGGAGGCTAGCTCCAGCCTCCCAGCAGCTCTCTGCCTCAGTTTCCTCGTCTGTAAAATAGGGATAAGGGCAGCCTCTCCTCTTAGGATGTGAGCATAAAATGGCTTAGTGCCCACAAGGCTCTGGGAAGGCCTGGCCCCAGGCTTGTGTTTACCATCGTGTTTCTCATTCGTCTGCCTTCTCTTGGCTTGGAAGAGAGCACCTTCCAGTTTTATTTTGTTTTGTTTTGTTTTTTGTCTTCTGCCAGGCAAGGCTTTTTCTCTCGCTGCTTTTCTTCCCCTTTGATTACAGCAGAAGTGAAGACTTTGTTTCTCTGTGTCACGTAAAATAATGATGTAGGCCCGGACATAGCCTGCTAACTTAGAGACCCTTGGACTCTTTCATCTTTGGATCAGACGGAGCAGGGCTTGTGTTCTGTGCTTTGTGAGGCCAGTGGGGGGAGCGAGGCAGGAGCCTCCATTCTTTTCATTAGCTTCTCAAGGCTGTTGATCAAACAGCCTCTATCTTCCTGAAAAACAGCTGAAAGAATCAAGTGTGGCAAAGCCCTGATGCCCTGCTCTGTGGTAAATGGAGTGAGTCATTGCCAAAGTGTTTACCGCAGACCTACTGTGCTCCCGCTAGGTACTTTAGCAGACTCAAAACTGAATCTGGCAGTCCCTGCCTTTGAAGAGTCCTAGCCTTTTAGTGAGGAGAAGAACTTGCAGAGGAAGAGCGGCTAGCTGAGACCTAGGAAACTGGGAGACGGACTGCTTTTCACATGACGGTGTCCGGTCTCCCCGACGGCAGTGTGGGTCACTCCCTCTCTGTCTGCAGGCTCCTGGTTTAAGGGCACCTTCCCTGGGAGGCTTTTCTGTCTCCTCTTGTCCAAGCCTACAGAACCTGGAGCTGAGCAAGGGTAATGTAGGCATTCACACATTTAGGGCTGAAATTATAAATAGGATGGTCATTTAGAGAGCAGGTGACGTTTGAGCAGAGACGGCATCTAGGGGAAAGAGGAGTTAGACGGAGGGAACAGTGTGTGCAAAGACTGAGGTGGGAACCTCGTTGGAGCCTGGTCTCCAAGCTTATCATGATTAGTGGCAGTGAAAACCTTAAAGAAGGCCCGGACAGCTTTGGTGCAGTGGAGGGGTAATTGCATTAATGACAGAATGACAGCTCACAGATACAGCCCACAGCCGGCTTTCTAGGAGGAAATGATCTCTAAAGGCGTCTAAACTTTTCTGGGACATGCTTGTTGAGCTCTTCATCTCTGGGCATTTAAGAAGGGAGCTTTGCCTGAGCTGACAGGCATTCCATTTGGTCTGGGTAACTAAGGGTCAGATGTGTTTTGTTTAAGAAAATGCATTCTCTCCTGCCTCCTGAGATTGGTAGAATGTTGGATGTGGCTCAGCACACCATTTTCCTTCTAAAATATTTATTGCTCTAAAAGCATTGCATGATTTAATATGCAACATGTAAATATTTGTCAGATAATTGCCCAATAACATTCAAAGCTTGCTTCCAATGTCTTCTGGATTTATGGTTGTTTTGTTCCTTCTGACTTGAGGCAGTGCAAGCTGCCATAATTCTTTTTCTTAATTCTTCTCTTCCACTTACTATCACCTGAAGTTCACCTTTATGGCCTTGGCGGCTCTTGAGATGACAGTGAAAACACACAAAGTGTGTTGTTTTAATTGTTGCAGAAGGGCAGTTTAAATGTCAGACAGCTCTTGGACTTAATTAGGCCCAAATACATGCTCAATTTAAAATACTGCACTCCTGTCCTGATGGGATTCTGCTTCTGCGTGTTCGTGTTTGTTTTTGAGACTGAGTCTTGCTCTGTCACTCAGGCTGGAGTGCAGTGGCGCAATCTCTGCTCACTGCAACCTCCGCCTCCGGGGTTCAAGTGAATCTCCTGCCTCAGCTTCCCACATACCTGGGATTACAGGCGTGCGCCACCACGCCCGGCTAATTTTTGTATTTTTAGTAGAGACAGGGTTTCATCATGATGGCCAGGCTGGTGTTGAACTCCTGACCTCAAGTGATCCTCTTGCTTGGCCTCTGAAAGTTCTGGGATTACCGGTGTGAGGCACCGCGCCTGCCCTGCTTCTGCGTGTTTAAATTTCCAGGGTCTCTTGGTTACGTTTTCCAAAGGCCCCTCCATTGGTTTGTTTTGTTAGGTCAGCAAAGCCCACATCACACCCAGTGTGGGTGTTTCCCTTTACTCTTGAGGTGCTTAAAATTAAAACTTAATTTTCATAGATTTATAGCGATGATCAGGGCTTTATCTTGAAATGTATGTGAGAAAGTTTTTATTTATTTATTTTTTTAATACTTCCGAAAGATTTATAAGCTCCAGAATCACTTTTCCCCAAAAATGAGAATCCAGTTATTGCAACAGCCCTCCGTCTTTACCAGGCCTCGGTGCTCATGGCCTGCGTGTGCACAGCAACGGGCTGACTAGCATAGAAAGTGACTTCTCTGGTTCTTGTTAGTTACCATAGAAAGTGAATTCTGGCCTCAGGCCTCTGTATGCTTGCGGAGGGCCTGCAAGCACAAGCTTTGCTTTTTAGGAATGTATGTTAGGCTGGGCGTGGTGGCTCCTTCCTGTAATCCCAGCACTTTGGGAGGCCGAGGCAGGCAGATCACTTGAGCCTAGGAGTTTGAGAACAGCCTGGGCAACATGGTGAAAGCCCATCTCTAAAAAAATACCAAAATTAGGCAGGCATGGTGGTGGACGCCTGTAGTCCCAGCTACTGGGGAGGCTGAGGCAGGAGACTCGCTTGAGCCCAGGAGGTGGAGGTTGCAGTGAGTTGAGATTGCACCACTGCGCCCCAGGCTGGGCGACAGAACAAGACCCGTGTTTGAAAATAAATAAATAAATAAATAAATAAATAGAGGCATGTATGCTAGTGTTTTAGTTGCATCTCCAAATTCTGAACTGTGAGAAAGCGGGTGAGGAGGGCAAATTGAGCAGAATCCTAGACCGGGAGTCCGAGGGGCTGGAGTCAGAGGAGGTCTCAGCTGAAATGGGCTTGGCGATGGGTGGGCTGGCAGATGTCTGCCTCTTCCTCTTCTGCTGACCGTGGTGGGGAGCATTCTGAGTCTAGCAGCAGTAGAGAGGCCCATGTGTTTTTTGTTTGTTTGTTTTTGTTTTTTTGTTTAGAGATGGAGTCTCGCTCTGTCACCCAGTCTAGAGTGCAGTGGTGTGATATCAGCTCACTGCAACCTCCGTCTCCCAGGTTCAAGCGATTCTCCCGACTCAGCCTCCTGAGTAGCTGGGATTACAGGCATGTGCCACCATGCCCGACTAATTTTTATGTTTTTAGTAGAGACGGGGTTGCGCCATGTTGGCCAGGCTGGTCTCGAACTCCTGAGCTCAAGTGATCCACCCACCTCGGCCTCCCAAAGTGCTGGGATTACAGGCATGAGCCACTGCACCCAGCCCCCATGTGTTTTTGATATAAGAATGTCAGTCATCTGTGGCCACAATCATGCTGCCTACCAAATAGCTACAAAACCTTACAGGTGTTTACAACTGTAAATGTTTTGTTGGGGGTGGCCTATCTCAGCTGATGTAGGCTGGATTTGCTCATTCGTCTTCATTCAGCTGGTGGTCAGCTGCGAATGGCAAGACCAAAACAGTCTTAACTGGGAGGACTCATCGCTGCTCCATTTGGTCTCTCATCCTTCAGCAGGCTGTCTCGGCCTGTTTTCCATGGCAGGGGCAGGGTTCCAGGAGAGCAGGCTGAGCAAATATGGCCTCATGATGCTTCAGCTTGGCTGAAGCATCACTTCTGGCTGCTTTGTCACGTATTGCTTCTTTATTTTATTTTATATTATTTTGAGATAGAGTCTCACTCTGTTGCCCAGGCTGGAGTACAGTGGCATAATCCTAGCTCACTGAGCCTTGACCTCCTGGGCACAAATGAACCTCCCACCTCAGCCTTCTGAGTAGCTGGGACTATAGGTGCACACCTCCACGCCAGGCTAATTTTTATTTATTTTTTGTAGAGACAGGATCTTGCTATGTTGCCCAGGCTGGTCTCAAACTCCTGGCATCAAGCAGTCCTCCTGCCTCAGCCTCCCAAGGTGCTGGGATTATAGGCATGAGCTACCATGCCTGGCCTCCTTTATTCTTTTCAGATTCTTTAACAACATGACTCAAATAACCTTTTTTTTTTTTTTTTTTGTCAATTAGGACTCATTAAAGAAGAGAAAACAGGCATTTAGTTTTTAAAAAAATTCCTTGGTATAAGTGTGTTTGTGTTTATAACATTGTAATTATTATTATTATTGGTCAGCTGCCAACCTGAAAACAAACAACAGGTAGAATAATCTACTTCAAGCCTGTACTTACAGTGCTAATTTCCCCCATAGTCTGTGACTTTGCCCCTGATCTACAGTGTGAAATGGAGAGAGGGCTCTGCTGCGTTTGGGTTTCTTGAGTACTTATTTTAAAATCTTATTTGTTTATTTATTTATTTTTTTGAGATGGATCTCGCTCTGTTGCCCAGGCTGGAGTGCAGTGGTGCGATCTCGGCCCACTGCAACCTCCACCTCCCGGGTTCAAGCGATTGTCCTGCCTCAGCCTCCTGAGTAGCTGGGACTACAGGCATGCGTCACGATGCCCAGCTAAATTTTGAATTTTGAGTAGAGATGGAGTTTCGCCATGTTGGCCAGGCTGGTCTCAAACTCCTGACCTCAGGTGATTCACCCACCTCAGCCTCCCAAAGCGCTGGGATTACAGGCCTGTGCCACCGCCCCTGGCCTCTTGAGTATTTATTTGAGCCAACAGGTGTCCACACTGGGGCTTGTGCCTGGAACCCAGAGTGTGCTTTTCATTTCCTAGTCCTGATCTCCAGCTCTGATTTTTTTAGATTGAGGAAATATCCATCACCTCAAGGGGTTAATAGTTTTCTGAAATAAATTTAAAAAACAAAATTTGGATAAATTTAAACAACAATGACAAAGTTGAAAAAAATGTGAGTCCAGATTTCTGAGGTGTTTGCACCAGGTAGTCTCCCAGAGATGGTGGTTCCCAGCTTGGACTGTACATTAGAATCATCTGGAAAGGTCTATAAAAGTCCAAGTGCCCAGGCCACATCTCAGAATTAAGTGAGAATCTGAGGGTAAGATAAGGCATCCGTATTTTCTTTTTTCTTTTTTTTTTTTTGAGACGGAGTTTTGCTCTTATTGCCCAGGCCGGAGTGCAGTGGCGCAATCTCGGCTCACTGCAACCTCTGCCTCCCAGGTTCAAGCAATTCTCCTGCTTCAGCCTCCCAAGTAGCCGGGATTACAGGCACCCGCCACCATGTCTGGCTAATTTTTGTATTTTTAGTAGAGATGGGGTTTTACCATGTTGGCCAGGCTGGTCTCGAACTCCTGACCTCAGGTGATCTGCCCACCTCGGCCTCCCAAAGTGTTGGGATTACAGGCGTGAGCCACCACACCCGGCCAGGGCATCAGTATTTTCTAAAACTCCCAGAGTCATTTCAATGTGCAGCCAACACTGACAATCACTGGTGCAGACTCTTGAACTCAAAGTGGGGTCCTGAGACCTGGAGCAGGGGGTTCCCTGCTGGGGAACTTGTTAGGAGTGCAGAATCCCAGCCCTCCCCACCAAGACCTGCTGAGTCAGGGCCTACTTTTCAACAAAACCTGCCAGGGGCTTTGGAGGCAATGGAGCCTTTGAGAAGCCTTAGCACAGAGCATCTCATTCTACCCTCGGAGCCCTGTGATGTGGATGTGGGTGTCTGTGATGAATGGATGAAGTTACAGGTTCAGGGAGGTGCCATAGGTGCTCCCGTGGTGGAGCCAGGAGGCAGTTCCGGTGTGGTCTGAGTCTGAAACTTACCATCCCCACAACACATGGCTTCACCTACTGCCCATGCCGCAGCGTTAGTGTCAGGCAGCCCCGTCTGGGCCTGTTCCCCAAGTGGACACTGGAATGTGACTTCTGTCTTTCCTTGTCTCAGAAAAAGTGTGCCACTATGAATGCACTTAACACCCTTCACTGGGCACCTCTGCTGAGCACAGGCTGACGTGGTTACACCTGCTTCTTCCTGGGCCTCCCTGTCCATGCCTCTCCCAGCTGGAATGTCCCTTGCCAGAAGTGTGGGTCCTAATTCAAGGGCCAGGTAAGCATCCCAGAAACAGAGGCCAGAGAGAAATGCTTCATTCTTCATTCCCATCTGATCAGATGCCTACTTCTGATCTGAGTTTCATCAGACCTGACATAAATATGCCTCTGGAAGCATACGTCGTTATTTCTCTGTTTCTTTGAAATTGCTCTCAAATCCCACCACTCCAATCCAATCAGTTGCCACTGAGCCAGCTGTGACATGGGATTTCACTTCTACCTCAATTTCTGTATCTCTGACTTAGTAGAAATAAGTAAAATCCACCTTCAACTGTCCTTTAAATTCAGGGACATCATTTAAAAATAATCTCTTCCAGCTGGGCGCGGTGGCTCACACCTGTAATCCCAGCACTTTGGGAGGCCGAGGTGGGCAGATAACGAGGTCAGGAAATGGAGACCATCCTGGCTAACACGGTGAAACCCCGTCTTTACTAAAAATACAAAAAATTAGCTCGGTGTAGTGGCACACACCTGTAGTCCCAACTACTCGGGAAGCTGAGGCAGGAGAATCACTTAAACCTCGGAGGCGGGGGTTGCAGTGAGCTGAGATCACGCCACTGCACTCCAGCCTGGGCAACAGAGCGAGACTCCGTCTCAAAAAAAAAAAAAAAAAAACCTCTTCCAATTCTTTTATGGACATACATACTGTATTAGTCTGTTTTCATACTGCTGTAAAGAAATAAAGAACTGCCTGGGACTGGGTAATTTATAAGAAAAGAGGTTTAATTGACTCACAGTTCCACATGGCTGGGGAGGCCCCAGGAAACTTACAATCATGGCAAAAGGCAAAGGGGAAGCAAGGCATGTCTTACTACATGGCGGCATGAGAGAGTGAGAGTGAGGGGGGAAGTGCCACATTAAAACCATCAGATCTTGTGAGAACTCACTATCATGAGAACAGCAAGGGGGAATCTGCCCCCATGATCCAGTCACCTCCCACCAGGCCCCTCCTCTGACATGTGGGAATTACAATTTGAGATGCGATTTGTGTGGGGACACAGGGAAACCATATCACATACTTAATGACATCAAGGACTCCTGACACCCTACTTTATCTTAAACTCTGACATCATCAGATCTACAAACAGGTAACACCATCATACCCCTCCACTCCCCATCACAAATAAAAGGGGCCTCCTCTCAGTCATGCTCTTCACGTCTGTGTGGCTGCCATCAACCCCTTCCTTGCCCCGGGCTCTTTTACACACGCACAAACATGCGTGAGCAGGCGTGTACACACACACATACACACATATCATTCCACCGGCTGTGTAGAAGATATCCACCTTTTGTGAATGAAACATATTTTCTATTTTCTTTGTTCACATATTTTAGTAACTTTTCTACATATTTCTTTCAATTAAAAGGATTTATGTATTCTTTTACATATGGAATTATCTTGACTTAATTTGGAGAAAAATTTCACATGGTTATGATTTAGAATTATTAGCCCAGTAGGCTGTAAAGCCAAGCTCAAGAAAATTCAAAAAAATGGTGTCATAAACACCATGTTCTCTGAATTTGGTTAATTTTTTTTTTCTAGATCTAACACAATTCTAAATAACTCCTAGATAAAATGGGAAACCATAATGTAAATTGAGCTGAAAAGTAATAAAAATATTACATATCAAAATTTGTGGGGAAAAGCAAAAGTGGTATCTTGAAGGAAAATTACAGGTAGCATAAAACTAAAGGAAAGAAATAATCAAATGAAAAGCAGAAATTGATGAAATCATGAAGATTATAGATCCAGGACAAAAGCTGATTCTCTGAAAGTAATAATAAAATAGATATTTTTGACAGTAGCTGTCATCAAAAAGAGAAATAGCACACATTTGAAAATACAGGATAACAGGTTATAGCACAGTTAAAACAAAGATTAAAAAGAGATCCTGTAAGAATGTCATCCTATTAAACTTTAAAACTGGCCAGCTGCAGTGGCTCACACCTGTAATCCCAGCACTTTGGGAGGCTGAAGCGGGAGAGCTGCTTAAGGCCAGGTGCTCAAGACCAGCGTGGGCAACATAGCAAGACTTTGTCTCTACAAAAAAAAAAAAAATTAAAACTTAGTCGGGTGTGGTGGCACATGCCTGTTGTCTTAGCTACTGGGAAGGCTGAGGTGGGAGGATCACTTGAGCCCAGGAATTCAAGGCTGCAGGATGAGCTAGGATGGTGCCACTGCACTCAGCCTGGATGACACAATGAAACCCTGTTTCCAAGAAACAAACAAACAAACAAACAAACAATTCTCACTTAAGAGTCTTGCTGGCAGGCTGGGCGCGGTGGCTCACACCTGTAATGCCAGCACTTTGGGAGGCCGAGGTGGGCGGATCATGAGGTCAAAAGATCAAGACCGTCCTGGCCAACATGGTGAAACCCCATCTCTACTGAAAATACAAAAATTAGCTGGGCGTGGTGGTGCACGCTTGGAATCCCAGCTACTCGGGAGGCTGAGGCAGGGGCAGAATTGCTTGAACCAGGGAGGCGGAGGTTGCAGTGAGCCGAGATCGCACCACTCCACTCGAGCCTGGCAACAGAGCGAGACTGTCTCAAAAAAAAAAAAAAAAGAGTCTTAATTCTATGCCATTGTTGGGCCTTACCTTTATGAATAAGTAAACAGGGCCTGGCAAACGGAACCAGTTTTCTGTCCTTTAGAGCTAGAGCTAAGGGTAAATATGACGGGCAGAGTCCCCTATTTAAGTTGGAGAGCTTTCTGTAGGTTCCCAGAGCATGGCTAACACCATCTCCAGAGACCTTCTGCTGCACATTCAAGCACTTCTAGGCCACTCTGCTTCCCTTCACAGGGACACCGACTTACCCTTGCTGATTTAAAAATAAAGGAAGGCCAGGGAATTACAGGGAGTGAAAAGAGTTGGTCTCAGAAGGTTATATGCTGTATGCTTCCATTGACGTCACAGTCTTGAAATAATGCCGTTGTGGAGATGGAGAACTGATCAGAGGCTGCTGGGGCCGAGCGTGGGGAGGGGAGAAGTGTTACCATAAAGGGGTAGCTGGAGGGGGCCTTTCAGTGCTGGAACCTTTTTGTGCCTTGATGGTGGTGGTTACAGGAAGCTACGTGGGGGTTAAAATTGTATAGATGGACGTATACACACACACACACACACACGATTGTGTGCATACAGGTGCAATCTGAATAAGCTGCATGGATTCCAGCAATGTCAAGTTCGTGGCATTGTTATTGTACAGTAATTGTGGAAGATGCTACCTTTGGGGAGGACAGGTGAAGGGTACAAGTTCTTGTGGGGCTGTAACTATTTCAAAATAAAAAGTTGAATGAGCGTGAAAAGCTGCACGCATGACCTTTTTCCTGTAGCCTTGTTTCCATGAATCGATTGAATTTTGGACATGAAAGCAGGGTCAGACCTAGTTATTAATAGGTGGGAAGAGGACTCACTGGAAATATTGGGCAACAGAACCTGGCTGCCTTCACTGTGGTTCATGGGCCAGCAGCGTTGGCATCGCCTGGGAGCTTCTACCAAATGCAGGATCTCAGGCCCCTGAGAATCTGCATTTCAAGGTCCTGAGATGATTTGCACATACATTTAAGTTTCAGGAGTTCTAGAACTTTTCTTAGAGTAGAAATCCAGTTTGTTGGTTGCATGATCCTGGACAAGTCCCATGATCTTTTGATCTTTAGTTTCCTTTAGATACCCATCTAGAAACTGGGAGGCTTACTATGAAGATAATAACACCTCCTAGAGGTTCTAGGCAGAACTAACGAGTAAGTTACAGAGAATGTGCTTGTGCTGTAATAGACACTCAGTAAACAGAGCTGTTGTTTCTATGGGCGAATGAATCTCCAGATGGTTTTCCAGTACTGCTAGTTCCATTTTAGCCAAGGGGAAAAGTGGAAGCAAATTGAATGTTTAACCAAAAGAAGAGTAGTTAAGAAAATAGCACATCCACATGGTGAGGCCTCTTTTGTAACTGTTAAAAGTGGCAGCCAGTGCCATGGGGAGAAGCCCAGAAGAGAGCAGAGGAGGGTGCTGGGGCTTCTGGTGCATCCTGTGGGCACCTCGGATGACGCGAGGGTGGAGCCTGAAACGCTGGCCCAGGAAATGGAACAGAAGCCTGTTGTGGGTGGGAGGAGAATCGGAAGCGGCATAAGGAGAGTTTTTCAAGAAGGGGGAGGAAGCTGGTGCCGGGGATGGTCACAAGCCTTTCCTCTTTCTTTTCCCTTCCCTTTCCCCTTTCCCTTTCCCTTCCCCTTCCCCTTTCCCTTCCCCTTCCCCTTCCCCTTTTCTTTTCTTCTTTGAGATGGAGTTTCACTCTTGTTGCCCAGTCTGGAGTGCAATGGCACAATCTCAGCTCACTGCAACCTTTGCCTCCCGGGCTCAAGCAGTTCTCCTGCCTCAGCCTCCCAAGTAGCTGGGATTACAGGCACCCACCACCATGCCTGGCTAATTTTGGTATTTTCAGTAGAGACAGGGTTTCACCATGTTGGTCAGGCATGTCTCGAACTCCTGACCTCAAGTGATCCACCAGCCTCAGCCTCCCGTAGATTACAGGCGTGAGCCACCGCGCCCGGCCGCCTTTCTCTTTTCTTCAGCACCAGTTACTGCAAAGACCCCTGGAGTCGGGGCCCATCCTGGGTCTTGCAGGGACTGATTCTGTCCGGTGTCGGGCTATGCACAGGCAGCTGTGGTGGATTCCTGGGTTCTCCCCACATCTGCTTCCCTTTAACATGTCAAGGCAGCCATCCAAAGGGCATGACCCTTTCCATGTGTAGCGGGAGGGTCAGTCTGTATCGCTTCCTTCTAGACCTTGCAGCTTTTGTATTTTAAAACTCGAGAGACAATAGTCATCTCCTAAAAATAGCAGCAGTGACATAGCTCCGCAGTCAGTTTTGCTGGCACTGGGAATTCAGCTTTTGTCTCTGGTGTTAGATAACGGGCAGGTTTCTAGGAAATGAATTCCATGTACAGTAGAGCCAGGTTCAGTTGACCTCACTGGAGACCTTGAACCCAGCTTGCTGCACCGTGGGGTCCTTTAATCATCTCCCTGCTGACCTCCATGCTTTGGAGGGTCCAGGTCTTAGGGGGACCTGTTTCCTTGGGAGTACAAAGGCCCTAGACACTTAAGAGTCGCGTTTCAGGAAGCTGGCACAGCCTGTGAGGGGCCTTCAGGAGTGGGGAAAGGGGCAGTGCCTTGTCACCTATATGTCCTCTGTTGAAGAGTGAACTGCACCAGGCCATCTCTGAGGCTCTTTCACACACTGTGATGGGTGGAAGGCCACTTTCAGCTGCAAGTACAGACCCTGTAGATGATCAGCTCATTCTAGTTTGCCTGGGACTTTCCGGTTTTTTGTTTTTAGCACTGAAAATCCTGTATCCTGGGAAACCCCTCTGTCCCCAGGAAACTGGGATGGTTAGTCAACCTGCCTATGTACAAGGCCACCCTTAGGTTGAGGCTGCACACAGAGTGCTGCCTAAGAGAAGCTGAAGGACCCACCAACAGCAGAATTTCTCCTTTAGCACTATCTGGCCCCTGACTTTGGAGGAAAGCAGCATGTTAAGTTACATTATCTGGAAGGAAGCACTGGACTAAACTTAGTCCCTTATACTGGATTCTTTTATCACACAAGAAAGCCATCACCCAGCCAAGGGCAGGACCCGCATGGGGACACAGGACAGATAGATCTTCTTGGGGGGATTTTGGGAGATAGGACAGCCCTTGATCAGAGAGGGCCCATGGGGTGGAGGGTGGGGCTGGATTGGAGTTGGGGAAATGTAGATTAAATACATTTCTTGAAAAAAATTCAGTTAAGATATGCTAGAGAAGCTACGGTCAATTTCTTTTTAATAGAAATAATCATTTTTAAATTTTATCAAGTGTAAACAAATCTGAACCGTTGGGTTTGTTTATGAGGCACAAGTATATTGAGTTAATTTTGAAAAACCCCAAACCTATCTCATTTTTTAGAGATAGTGACTTACAGTGACTCTACTAATAATTTTATTGGGTCTAAGAATACTTAAGATACTCTTGGCTGGGCGCAGTGGCTCATGCCTATAATCCCCCAGCGCTTGGAGGGGCTGAGGTGGGTGGATTGCCTGAGCCCAGGAGTTCAATACCAGCCTGGGCAACATGGCGAAACCCCATCTCTACAAAAAATACAAAAGTTTTCTGGTCATGGTGGCATGCACCTGTAATCCCAACCACACAGGAGGCTGAGGTTGGAGAATCATCTGAGCCCAGGAAGTCAAGGCTGCAGTGAGCCGTGATCGCGCCACTGCACTCTAGTCTGGGCAAGGGAAGTGATACTGTGTCTCAAAAAAAAAAAAAAAAAGATACTCTCTCCTTTTTTTTTTAATTCCCCAGTTTTAATCTGGTAGAGGGACCTTGAAAATACTTAAATACTCATATCATTCTTATGGATTGGTTTGGGTGTGTGAGTTCTAACATAGACAGGAAGGCTATTTTTCCTATCAATAACATCCAAGAAGCCTGCTAAGTAATGGTTTTTTTTTTTTTGGAAAAACCATTTGGAAAAGAATAGATTTTCCTGAACTTTATTAAAACACAAATCAGGTGCTGAAGGGATAATTTTGAAATTCTGTATTTTGAATGTCTTTCCACTTGCAGAAGAGGTATGTAGTTTTTAAAATTTCTGAATAGAACTACTTGTGCATGACTTTGAAAAAGTCACTTTCACTCAAAAAATACCAGGTTCTTTACCTGGAAAATTAATCAGTGCACATATAGATGATCTCTAGCTCTAAAAATTGATGGGATTCTATCTTATGATTTAAAAAATTAAATGAGTAGTATTAAATGATTAAAATAAGTAGTCACGGGATGACTAGGAACAGAATTTTTTTTTTTTAAAGAAACCTAGTGAGAAAGGTCAAAGTAATGGGAAATCCCCAAAAAGCATAGTAAAAGGAAGCAATTTGAAAGTGAAGAAAAAGGAACCTTTTAAATAACAGCTGTATTGATACAGAATTCACATACCATACAATTTAACCGTTTAATGTCTACCGTGGTTTTTATCATGTTCACAGATTTGTACAATTATCCCCACAGTTAATTTCAGAACATTTTCATCAATTCAGAAAGAACCACATACCTTTTAGCTTTTACCCTCTATTCCCCACCCCCTCCAGCCCTAAGCAACCATTAATCTACTCTGTCTGCCTGTTTACATGATTTATGGGAGGATTTTTATGAAAGAACCAGATCCCTGTAATTTTATGTCCCCCTATCTTGACATTTTCCTCAGTAAGAGAGTAGGACAATCACTCCACCACCAGGAGTGGCTGCCACATGCAAGACATATGTGGGTTCTACCTGCAAGGGTCTCACCATAAATTACCTGTCAATTACAGTGGAGGATGAGGGGCTGAGTCTTTTAAAGTATGCAGAGCCCTAAGTCTGACTCATTCTGTGTTGAGCGTTGGGCCACACTGTCTGCTCATTCATCTCTAGTTGGTTTGCTGACCTGTCGCTGCAGAGGTCCTCCGAGTGTGGTCCCCACCCAGCCTCACTTGGGACCTCACCCTAGACCCCTTGCTGGGGCAGCAGGGTCAGCACTCAGTATTGAGCAAACCCTCCAGCGGATTATGTTGCCTGCTCGAGTTTGAGCACCATGGATGTTTCTTGTCCCCCACCCCCAGCCCCACCCTGCCACCCTTCAGGTTTTCTCTACCCTGCTTTCTTTTCTGAAGAGAAGGTTGCAGTTGGTTTCTCTGGATCTTGTCTGTTCTCTCTCACTCTTTTCTTTCTTTTCTTGGTCCTGCCTCCGGTTTGGGGTGGGGGCAGCTCTGTGGAGAGTAGGCCAGTTGGCTTTGCCTTTGGTGGGGTGTCGGGGGTGAGGCTTGGGAGGGACTCGGGAGTGGAGAGATGTTGACAGAAATCTGCTTTTGCCAGTGGCTTTGGTCCGGACTTGCCCCTGGACCAGGTCTTTTCAGTGGCCTCCTCCCACTGCCTCTTCCATCCTTCCCTCTCTTCTGGTTCTTTCCCTCCTTTTCATGAACATATTTAGATCCCTCCTGTCATTAAAAACAAAACCAACCCAACACTCCAAACTCACTTGGCAGTGGGTTGGGCTCTGGCAGGTCCTCTAAGTCTTCTGCTTCCCAAGGCCAAAGGGCTGCCAGTCGGTGGGTCCCATGTCCTCGTCCTGCCTCCAGCCTTGGGGTGGGCTGGTTCTGCCCTTGCCAGCCCAGGGCTTCTGCCTTCTCAGGCTGCTTCTCTGCAGTGTGTATTGGCTTTATTGGTGGGTGTCATGAAAGCATCTGTGCCTGGGGCCTGGTCCCACCCCTTAAGTCCTGATTTCTTCCCCATCCCAGCCACTGAGACTTCTCATGACCTTGGCAGGGCTGCCTCCTCCTCCCCCAGTGTTTTGGGCACTATTGTCAGAATTGGAACATGATGACAAACCTGCTTTGGGGACTGGGATGCCAGGGCAGAGTCTCAGATTCCCTTGGCCCCCTGCCTTTCAGCCAGGTGTCCTAGGGGAGAGCAGCCTGTTTGAGGTGCACGGTGGCCTGGCCCTCTGGGCTCGCCAACACCGTGGCTCCTAGGAACTGCTCTGCGTCTGGGATCCTCTACCCTGGATCCGGGAGCCTCTTTTTGCTTTTTGCTTCTTTACACTGCTCATTTTTGGTCTCCCCTGGATGGTCTGGTTTCCCTTCCTTTGTTCCATGAGGCACTTTTCATAGGCTGGCCTCTTTACTCCCTGTCATGGTTAGTTTTATGAGTCAGCTGGGCTAGGCCACAGTACCCAGGTATTCAGTCAAACACTGGTCTAGGTGTTCCTGTGCAGGTATTTTGTAGCTGTGGTTAACATCTACAATTAGTTGACTTTAAGTCAAGGAGATTACCCTCTATAATTTGGGTGGACCTCATCCAATCAGTTGAACAAAAACTGAGGTTTCCTGGAGGAGAAGAAATTCTGCCTCAAAGCTGCAGCCTCAACTCCTGCCTGAGTTTCCAGCCTGCCTGCCTGCCCTGTAGATTTTGGACTTGCCAGCCCCCACAATCTCATGAGCCAGTTTCTTAAAATAAATCTCTTTATGTCTGTATCTCCTCTTGGTTCTGTCTCTCTGGAGAGCCCTGACTTATGCATTCCCATAGGAACATTGTCTGCTGGCAGAGCCTCCTCAGGCTCACGCAGCTGGTGCCAGCTCTCAGCCCTGGACCACTTTCCTAAGAGTCATGTGTGCATTCAGCCTCATGTGCAGAGTTCCTCTTGCCAGTCTTCCCCCAGCATCTCCTTCTTAACGTATTCCTTTTGCCTCCAGGGCCAGCTTCCTGGGTATACAGCCTGTCCAGTTCACAGGCCTGTGCTTAAAAGGGCCCTATGTCTGATGTAACACTCTGCTGTTACTGTTTTGAAATTCTTAATGGTTTTGAACCAGGGCCTGCATTTTCATTTTGTACTGGGGCTGCAAAGTACGGAGCTGGTCCTAGCTGTCCCTGCGTTTCTGGCTGCCCGTGTTTACAATCCTAGAGTCAGCCCAGCCTTCCTCATCTCCTGTATCCAGTCATTTCCCAAGCGGGGGGGATGTCCACCATGATGGTCTCCCACATTTCACTGGGGTCTCACTTAAGCAAGTGCTATAACCCCCCGCCCTGGAGTCTCTCACCAGTCTGTTCTGCTGCCACTTCTAGATTTATCTTCATGTATGTGGCTTTTTTATTTTCTTTTTAACAACAGCATTGTCTTTGGAAACTCTCCCTGCAGGGCTCCTCCCAACAGTTCTCCAGATGCTTCCCTCTGTGTCACAGAAGCCAGGTGACTTGCTGTCCCCCAGCTGTGCGCTGTGCTGCCTGCTCCCTGTTCCGCCATGGTGGATCCTTGTTCCCCATGGACCACACACCTGTCCCTCCTTTGACTGCAAGGCCACTCAGAGTTCCCCTCCCATGGACTTCCCGTGGGCTCCTTTGCCGCATGGCTTCCCCGACTTTGGACCCTCATCGCAGTTCGCAACTTGGTATAGATGCCTTTCATTCTGCGTTGTTTTATATTGATTGGTGGATATTTTCTCTTGAAGCTTGGTCAGCTCCATGAGGGAGATGCTCAACCTCATTCAGTTTCTGCCCTGTGCAGTCCGGCAGTTTGTCGCACATGGTTGGTGGATGATTGTCCCTGCTTTTTTTTTTTTTTTTCTTGTTTTTGAGATGGAATCTTGCTCTGTCGCCCAGGCTGGAGTGCAGTGGGGCAATCTCGGCTAACTGCAACCTCCACCTCCAGGGTTCAAGTAACTCTCCTGCCTCAGCCTCCCGAGTAGCTGGGACTACAGGTGTATGCTACCACGCCTGGGTAATTTTTTTGTATTGTTAGTAGAGACAGGTTTTCCCCATGTTGGCCAGGCTGGTCTTGAACTCCTGACCTCAGGTGATCCTCCCTCCCCGGGCCTCCCAAAGTGCTGGGATTACAGGCGCGAGCCACCGCGCCCGACCTGTCCCTGCTTTTTGAACATGATTCAAGTATCGTGCCCTGTTGCCAGTTACATATACTATTTTGAAAATTCTTAAAAATAGGATAGGTCTCAGCACTGTGGACATTTTGGTTCTAATAATCCTTTGCTGTGGGAACCCGTCCTGTGCATGGCAAGGTGCTGAGTAGCATCCCTGGCCCCTGCCCACTGGATGCCAGCACCAGTGCCTTCCCCTCTGTGACAATGAAAGTCTCCAGACATTGCCAGTTTCTCCTGTTGAAGTCACTGGAATAGGGATAGAGACTGAAGGGAGTAAGATTGTTGGAGTTGTGAACCTGAGTGCCTTCTTACCTGGAAGGATCTGTGGTATTTGGCACGCCTCGCTGCTCTCTCCTGCCTCTTCCTCACCAAGAGTTTTGTCAGGTGTTTTTTACAGTTAAAGAATTTATGTACTTTGGTAGGAAAATTGTGTTTACCAGCCCTTCCAACAGGCGGTCCTATTCTGTAAGATGGAAAATACCTATAATTAGAATTCCTGGCTCTGTAAATGCTTCTCTCTTTGTGATTTGGAGTGTTTGTTGTTGTTTGAATCTTAACATTTGACTGTATTTTTCTCTTGGAGTTGTAATAAGACAAGGGAGCTTTTAAAAGTGTAATCTGAGGAGATTAACCCCAGGAGGCATGAAATATCCCTCCGAAGATCACAGTCGGTCTTTCGAGGACATCCTGCCACGTTTACCCAGTGCCCGGCGTGAGCAGCCTAGAAGACGAGTGGTGGCAGCTGCCACCTGCCCGGTGAAAATGTAATTGACAGGAAATTAATGAGGGGCCAGAGATGACTGTTTTATGCCTAACAGAACCACATGACACGTGTTTTACCAAGAAATCATACATTTGGCTTTGATTTTCAAAGTGATTTTTATGAACTAATAACACTTCAAGCAGGCACTTTCTCTGTTGGAATTCTCCCTTTAAAAAGAACTGTCAGCTGGGGGCGGTGGCTTATGCGTGTAATCCCAGAACTTCGGGAGGCTGAAGTGGGCTGATCACTTGAGCTTGGGAGTTCAAGACCAGTCTGGGCAACATAGTAAGACCCTGTCTCTACAAAAAATGCAAAAATTAGCCAGATGTGGGGGTACATGCCTATAGTCCTAGCTACTTTGGAGGCTGAGGCAGGAGGATCACTTGAGCTGGAAAGTTGAAGCTGCAGTGAGCCATGATCATGCCACTGCATTCCAGCCTGGGAGACAGAGCAAGACCCTGTCTCAAAAAAATAATAAAAAAAAAAGAAATGTCACAAAACAATTTGCATTAAATAAGCCTCTTGATTCAGCATGAAGTTGCCTCTTTTTCAGTTTAATGTATTTATTTATTTAGCAAATATTTATTGGACAGGGGTACCTGTGCCAGGCGCTGTTCTAGGGGACAGAATGCCAGACAGAAATGGAGATTGCTGCTGAAGTGGAGCTTACGTGATTTTGGGGGTGAGAAACAATAACAAGCTCAAATACATGCACCTCTTCTCAGGAGGGAGCAAGTGCTCAGGAGATGGGATAAGGTAGGCAGGGAAAGGGTTTTGCAGCACTGGGCTGGTGCTGAAAATTTCCGTCCTCGTTGAGGAAGGAACCTTTGAGTAAAGACCTGGAAGGAAGTGAAAGTCTTGCTGTTTGGAGGTCTAGGAAAGAGCCTTCCAGGCTGGTGGAGCAGGTGGTAGAGCTGGAATGTTCTAGAAGAGCCAGAGGTCAGAGGGACTACAGCAGAGCACCATGGGGAGAGGGCAGGAGATGAGGTCAGAAGTGACCAGTGCTTTACTCACAAAGGGAAGGACAGACTTGGGTAAGGAGAGCTGGAGGGGAAGGAAGAAGACCCAACTCCAGTGGTAAGTGAGAGCTCTGCTGGCGTCGTGTTGAAGTTTGGTCCTCTTTGAAGTGGACACAGTCTTCCAGGGCAGATCTTCTTAGGCTCTGGTTGTGGTGAGCTCGTCTCTTACATTGTGCTTACTTAGATCAATGCCTTTTCAGTGTTTGTTTAAATCAACAAGTGTTTTCCTGGATGCCTACAGAGCTGGAACCTGAGGTCCCCTAAACATTGTCCTTGATGGACAAATCCATATTTGGGATGCTGATCTGTGGTCCTTAACTTAGACGTCTTAGGTCTGACTTCGAGTCTCCACAGTCATTTCCATTTGACAAAGGGAGTTTAAGCATGTGATTAGATGGGGTCTGTGGAGCATGTGGCTTTGCTTGTTCTAGGGAAAAGAAACGCACTGAGAAACACCTGGAATTAGAAAGCACTTCCTGGGTGTTTGTGGCTTCCTCTGTCAGCCCTGGAGATGTGGCTGCCCAAAGGCCTGTGTGGCTAACAGGTGTGCTGGAGATGTCTGGATTGTAGCCTTGCTGGGAGCCCTCATGAAAGACAATGCCCGGGCCCAGGTGTTTGATGGGTTACCATGCTGGGTGAGGGCGCTGTGCCAATGGCATAAAGCATGGGGTCATGGGGTCATGGCCTCATGGCCATGGGGTCATGCGTAAAGCAGAGCTGTGGGTCCAGGGTCTGACAGATGGGACTCACTGCAGGGCCCCTCCTCTCTGTCCTCACCTGAAGCAGTTGCATCCATCAGTCCTTCGCCCATCCCAGAGTTTTGGTGATGGCTTCCCTGTGCCAGGCTTTCCGCAGGAGACTGGAGGCCAAGACAAGTACAAGCCACGGGGCTCTATCATCAAGGACCCAACAGGCAGCAACATAGGCTGTGGTGAAGACCCTGAATTCTATGTTCTTGTGGGTCTTGGGAGTTTCTCTGTTGTCTCTGCTCCATGCTAATTGCATAGCATTTCTTTCTTCCATTATGTAACACCGAGAAATACAGTCATCCTTCAGGACACGTGAGGAATTTGTTCCAGGACTCCCCCACCTATACCCAAATCTGCATATACTCAAGTCCCACAATCCGCTTTGTGGAGCCCCTGTATACAGAGTCAGCCCTCTGTAGGTGGATTTCACTTCCCACGATTTGGTTGAAAAAAATCTACCTATAAGTGTACTCTGACAGTTCAAGAGTTGTTTAAGGTTCAACTGTAACACAGCCCTATATGAAGAAGAAAGAAAAGGCTGGTGTTGGTGCCACAGCCAGTGGCTCTCTACTTGATTGGAAGTTCTTGTTTAGACCTGATACACTGTGAGAATACGATGTGCGTTGGGTTCTTGTAACTGTGTGTGTGTGTGTGTGTGTGTGTGTGTGTGTGTGTGTGTGTGTGTGTATACTGCTTTCTTCTCTTTATTTTCCATACAGTTTATAAGAGGACATTCAGACCAACAAACAGTTCTCATCTTCAGTCTTTTAGTGCTGAATAAGTTTTGCTGTGTGGCATCTTAATGCGCAATTTAGGAAATTGCTCTTGGTATCTTGCAGTCACAGCCAGATTCAATTGGTGAGGGATCTTTCCAGTGCAAACATGGCCTTTTCCAATACATTTACATATTCTGGGACATTACTCATTTGTTTCCTGGCTTTTAACAGCACTGCAAATATGGGCCTTTTCTGAAACATTTACATAGACCAGGACATTATTATTCATGTGTTGCCTGGCTTTTAAATCAACAGCAGTATTTACTTAGCTAAGAAATTGGGAGACTCTTTAGCCTACTGAATTTAAAAAAGCAGTGAAGTGTTGGGGGTATGTGAAGTTTTCATTGTGGGAGAGTGTTTCCAATTTTAGTGATTTTATTTATTATTTATTTATTTATTTATTTATTTTGAGATGGAGTCTCGCTCTGTCGCCCAAGCTGGAATGCAGTTGTGCGATCTTGGCTCACTGCAACCTCTGTCTCCTGGGTTCAAGCAATTCTCCCACCTCAGCCTCCCAAGTAGCTGGGATTACAGACGCCCGCCACCATGCCCGGCTGATTTTTGTATTTTTAGTAGAGATGGGGTTTCACCATGTTGGCCAGGTTGATCTCGAACTCCTGACCTGAAGTGATCTGCCTGGCTAATTTTTGTATTTTTAGTAATGACGGGGTTTCACCATGTTGGCCAGACATGTCTTGAACTCCTGACCTCAAGTGATCCGCCTGCTTCAGCTTCCCAAAGTGCTGGGATTACAGATGTGAACCACCACACCCGGCCAGATTTTAGTGATGTTAAAGATCTTTCTGAGTAGAGTTACTTTATTTTCACTGTGAATGATCACATTCACAACATGATCCTTATTCTTTTACTCGGACAACATTGAATAGTAATATTTATTAGGTATTTTATTATTCTTCTGATACAATTTTTTTTTTTTTGGTGTGGAAAATGAAAAAAAAAAGAGAAGTACAAAGAAAAAAACAAAAACCAGTCACCTGTATTCCCAGTACCTGGAGCTAATGATAGTGAATTTTTCGGTGTTCTTTTCTGACTTGTGCTGTGAAATATATATGCTCTGCCAGATTAGCTATCTGTAAAGTTATCTATCTATAAATAAAGTTTTGAGTCCTGGTTTATTCACTTGTAGGGGTATTTCTATATTAGAAATACTTCAGAATCTTGATTTTAAAAATCCAACTTCTGCATATATCATAGTTTATTCAGTAATTTTGGGTCTTTTTTGTTTCTGAAATTTTTTGTGATATAAATAATGCTCTGATGTATGAATGTCTAAATACGTCTCTTATTGGCTCTCTGGGCAGTTCTGTTTAGATCAATTCCAAGAAGGTATATTATTGGTATGTTATTATTGTACCCAGTTTTCCTTCCACCAACAGGGTATGAAATTGCCTGTTTCACTATATCCTCATGACACTGAATGTTAATTATCAAAAATGTTGAAACGGCTTTGCTGATCTTCAAAATATTAAGTCATGCATACTTATTGTAAAATATTCAGATAACATAAAAAGGTAAAATGCCAAAGATGATAAAAAAGTGACTGCGAATTCATGATCTAGGCATACTTATGTATTTGAGGTATAACTTTAGCGACATTTAATATAATACGGTACTTATAATCTTTTTTCCTTAGCACCTTCATGAGGGCACCTTTCTTTGCCAGCAAATACATGTCGTTTTTAATGACCACAATGTACTCTTTCTGGATATGTTCGTTTCTTTAACCTGTGGCTTCCTAGTGGACATTGAGGTTATTTCTGGTTTGCAGATTAGTAACAACACAGAGATTTGCACATCTTTGTACAGAAACCTACTGACTCTCTTAGGAAATTGTTAGATTTTGTTTCGATCTGTGGAGTAAGTTCTCTTATTTTTGAAAGTAAATGTGCCTTTCCCTAAGGTAGGATTAGACTTTCCTCCCCATAACATCACACTTGGCCATGTCACTTGCTCTGGCCAATTCAGTGAGAAGTGACTTGTGTAACTTTTGGCCAGAAGTTTTAAAATCCAGCGTATGATTTGCCATATCCTTTTTCCCCTCTTCCGGGCAACCCACAATTTTCCAGGTAGAGTTTTCTCCATCAGCCTGAGTCTTGCAAGGGAAAACAATGTGGAAAAAAGCTGCATGCCAACCATGTGGCATGAGCAGGAAGCAGACGTTTGTCGTATGCCATTGGGATGTGGAGATTGCTTGTTCTGCTGCACAGTCTAACTCAGCCTGAGTGCATATTAGCTAGTGGCTCCCTAGAGAGAGTGAACTTGCTTATTGTCATCACTTATGCATATGAATACTGCCTCAGCGTCCATCTGCTTGTCCTGTTCCCAGCTTGTCATGCTTGACTAACATATTTTGAGGCAGTCTTCACGCAGCTCCTGTTTTCATGTTCTGGGTAGATAAGACCCCATACCCTGAGCTGCTTGACCACATTACTTCTGCTTTAAGCCTCGGGAACCTGATAAGGTAACCCCCGAGTTCCTGTGCTGAGTCTCGTGCTTCCTTCAAATGAACTAATCCAACCGTGCTGTGGGAAACCCACCTAGGTAACCCCATAAAGGATCCAACCCACAGGCCCCTCCGTTTCTCGTTCCCCACCTGCTGGTCGAAGGAGCAGGTCCTGGATGGCTCCTCCCCTCTTCTCTTTGGTCTTGCCAGGGGTGCTGTCCTCTTCCTTCCAGACCTGTGAGTAGTAAACTTGATTCATTTTGCAGTCTGAGTGTCCCTCACTGTGCTGCACCTGACTACACCAAGCCTCACCATCTCACTTAACATTACAACACTGAAGCTTTCTAGCAAGGTAAGGGAGTACATTTCCTTCTACACTTTGCCAACACCAATTAATTTGACTCTGTTTACTCTTTTCCAACTTGTCAAAAAATGACACCTCACTTTTATTTGTGCATTTTTGTTGATTAGTGAGGCTGAGACATATTTCATATCACATGTTTACTAGCCCTTTGTATTTCTTTCTTTGAACTAATTTACCAATTCCTTTGTCAATTTTTTGATTAGTCTGTCTTATCTTCTTGAGGTCTAAGGATTTTTTTACATATGCTAAAGTTATTATATTCTGCCTTCTTTTTCTAATTTGTCATTTAAAAAATCTTGTTTGGGGTTTATAGAGTTTCCTGAATATGCGGCTTGATATCTCTTGTCAGTTTTGGAAAATTCTCTGCCATTATCTTGTCAAATATTGTTTTTGTTCCAATCCCTTTTTCTTCCTATCCTGTGACACCAAATTCACACACATTAGACCTTTTATACCATGCTGCCTGTGTATGTTATGCTTTTCTTCCTATCTTTTAAATCTTTTTTTTTTTTAATTTTCTGGGCATTTTTGATTAAACTTATCTTTTGATTCACTAATCATATCTTTACCCTAATCTACTATTTAATTGCTTTTTACATTCTTAATTTCAATTATGCTGTATTTCTAAAATTTTTGATTCTTTATTGATTCTAGTTCTGTAATAAAGTTCCTCATTTGTCATTATTTGCTTTTACATATTAGTTATTTTAAAGCTTGATCGTTCTAATTTCTGGATCTTCTGGGGATGTTTTCTATTTTCTGTTTTTCTCTTGGCCCTGTCTCCTGATACATCTGGTAATTTTTGGAATGCTAGACATTGTGTATGAAAATTGAAGTAGCACTAGATTGTGTTATCTTGTCCAGGGAGGATTTAGTTTGCTTCTGGCAGACAGAGTGGGACAGAAGATTGCAGTCTAGGTTGTAGTTTTTATAAGATCTGGCCTCTTTCTGGCCTGTCTTGTAGGATATAGCCCTTTTGGCTTCCTATAGAAATATGGCCTGGGCAGATCATGAATACCACTTTTGTCTCCTTAACCCAAGCTTATCCAACCCCTGGCCTGCGGGCCACATGAGGCCCAGGATGACTTTGAATGCAGCCCAACACAAATTTGTAGACTTTCTTAAAATATTTTGAGATGCGCGCGCGCGCGCGCGCGTGTGTGTGTGTGTGTGTGTTTTCAGCCAGTGTTAGTGTTAGTATATTTTATGTGTGGCCCAAGACAATTCTTCTTCCATTGAGGTCCAGGGAAGCCAAAAGATTGGATACCCCTCCCTGCAAACCCTCGAGAGTATGACCAACTCTGCTTAGCTCCTCCTACCCTTCACTACTGCTCTCTGCTTGGTTTCTCAGCACCCAGCCTTACTCAGCAAATGCCCTTAGGGAAAGCCATGAGAATGGAAGCTTATCTCAGGATTTCCGCCTTCTTTCTGGAATACAATCAGGCCTGCAAGTCCTGGTCGTCTTGGAAACTGGATGCCTCCAAATGGATATTTAGGGAAAAAAAGTATTCAGTTGTTCTCAGGGGAAAAGTGCCTCTGATTGAAGCCAGTTTCTCAGAGCTGAAAGTGAGAGTCCCTGTCATTTGCCTTTTTACTTTCTTTACACTGTTTTGCTGAGAAGGTTTAAATTTTTATACAGTCAGATGTATCTATTTCTTTATGGTTTCCGGCCTTGCTCTATTGCTTCAAAATGCTGTTTCTAAGCCAGGTTTATAGAAATAGTCATCTACATTTTTTTTAGTGGTTTTTTTTTTTTTTTGAGATGGAGTCTCATTCGGTTGCCCAGGCTGGAGTGCAGTGGCACCATGTGGGCTCCCTGCAACCTCCCCCTCCCAGTTTCAAGCAATTCTCCTGCCTCAGCCTCCTGAGTAGCTGGGACAACAGGTGCGTGCCACCATGCCTGGCTAATTTTTTTTGTACTTTTGGTAGAGACAGGATTTCACCATATTGGCCAGGCTAGTCTCGAACGCCTGACCTCTTGATCTGCCACCCTTGGCCTCCCAGAGTGCTGTCCCGCACCGAGCCTTTTTAGTGTTTTTATGATTGAATATTTAATGATTCATTTCAGCCTGAGATGTGAGATAAAGATCCAACCTTATTTTTTTTCCGTATGACTGGGACTTTTGTCCAGAACTATTAATGAATTCATCTTTTGTGAAGATCTGAAATGTAATATTTATTGTTAAGCATATGGTGTCTCATTAATATTTTAATTTACATTATTTTGCTTACTAGTAAGATTATGTATATTTTACATGTATTTACTGGCTTTTTGCTATTTTTTGGTTTTTCTACTCATTCCTTTACCCTTGAAAAATTGTACTCTTGGTGTATTTATGCTGATATTCAATATAATATTTCTGTTTAAATCATTCTGTGAATGTCACTAATCTTGATTGCTTTTTCATTTTTCTTTCAATTTTACTTATAATTTTGATATAAGGGAATATTGTATTTATATAGTAACTTACATTGTATATTTATTGTTATCTTATTATTTTTAGCTTTTGAATCTCTTTTCTCCATCAGTAAACTATTTTAGGATATAAGTATGTATGTATGTATGTATATATATTATACCCTTGACTTTTTAGTCCTTTTGTATTATCTTTTGATTTTATGGTGTGTGTGTGTGTGTGTGTGTGTGTTTACTGCTCAGTAATCAACTTTTCCAGCAATGTTGGTTGAGTCATCCATCACTGCCCAGATTGCTCCTTTAACACATGTTCCCCTTTAAAGACAGGGTCTTATTTTGGGCCATCTGCTTTATTTTCTTCTCACCAATTTGTGGGAAAACTTTATTCTTGTTAGTATTCTACTTTCCTTGTCTCTTATTTTTGTTAAACAGAGCATATATGTGATAGAAAATAGAATCCTGGCTGGGCGCGGTGGCGCCCATGCCTGTAATCCCAGCACTTTGGGAGGCCAGGGCGGGCGGATCACCTGAGGTCAGGAGTTTAAGACTAGCCTGGCCAACATGGTGAAACCCCATCTCTACTAAAAAAAAAAAAAAAAAAAAAAAAAAATTAGGTGGACGTGGTGGCGGCTGTAATCCCAGCTACTTGGAAGGCTGAGCATGAGAATCGCTTGAACCCGGGAGGTGGAGGTTGCAATGAGCTGAGCTGAGATTGCACCACTGCACTCCAGCCTGGGCAACAGAGTGAGACTCTGTCAAAAAAAAAAAAAGAAGAAGAAAAAGAAAAGAAAATAGAATCCTGCAGATGAGCTTGCAGTGAGAGACCCCAGGCTTCTTGGCCACCTGTCTGCTCCTCAGAGCTGTCTCTTGCCACTGTTCCCACTTTCATTTCATCTGGCAGTCCCCTCCCTGCCAGTTGCAACCTGCTCATCATAGCTACTCTTGGTTTGTCCATTTGAGGCAGTGGAGATGATTGTGTGCAATGGTAGTGGAGTTTTTTGCTGACTTGCCCTTTTCACCCCTCTGATCAGACCCATCCACCCATCCTTTTTCATATGTATTCTTTTAGTTTCTTATATATGTTATTTCAACCCCAGTTCCTTCTCCATCAATTCTAGCTGGTATTTCCTGACTTCTCCTCTGTTAGGTAAGGACCTTCCTAACCTTTTCCCACCACCCCGTATCCACCCCTCATATTGTCTTCGCTAGCTTTCCACTTACGAGACTAGTAACATTTTCTTGGATCTTAATTATGCTTATTATTTCAACTTTATCTATAGTTTGATTCTAAAAGTAGAAAACAACTAACCCTTATATTATAACACTACAGCTATTATTAGTTGAGTCAACTGGCATAATAGGACTCTCTTTTTTTCTGTGCAGTAACATATTTTAAATTATTATCGCAGATAATATATTTTGCTCTGTTTACTTTTTTTTAAAGCATTAGCTATTAACTCTTTTAAGAAAAAACAAAATAAAGCAAAAACCTGTACCATCAATGAATGTACGACCCCATCTGCAATGACAGAATACTTTCCTCCCCTTTAGACACTGGATATTTGAGTGGGGAGCTTCTCAAAGGGGTCATCTACACATTTGTTGTATGACATTTACTTTTTAGTGCCTTAACTTGCCTTGTACTGTACCTCACCTCTGTCTCAGTCGACACCCTACCCTGCTCATCCCAACCCCACCCTGGGTCAACCTCCTGTTCACCATGACTCCAGCCCAACTCCTCCAACCCTAGCTCACCTCCAGAGCTCTGAGTCTTCACCTCTCCAGCCTCTCTCCAACCTCTTCTCCTCCCGGGCAGGGGGGCTAACATCAGACCCCGACTCAATGACCCACTCACTCCCCAACCCCTCACCCTGGCTCAACTTCCCTGACCCTGGCTCACCTGGATCCCCATTCCAGCACAACCCCCACCCCTCTCAACTCACTTACCCTCACCCCCTCATGAACCCTCTGCCATTTAAGGATAGTTCATCTCCTTTTCTGCTGCAAGACTACTCTTGGCTGTTGAGCTACAGTTTTTTCAGACCCAAGGCCTGTGCTGTCTCTGAGCCGAATTCTGGTCCCGTGGCAAGGCAGAACCTGTCCCAGAGTCTCTGCAGTGAGCAAAGCCTAGAGACTCAACAGCGAGGAGTAACCACATGTGGGAGCTGTCAGCTCACGGGGATTTTCTCTCCTCTCCAAGGGCAGGAATTCTCTTCATTGTCACAGACCTATTCCTTATTTAAAGCTTTTTTTCACTCTTATTCAGGGAGGGATGTTTAAAGAGATCATGTATTTATTGATTGATTGATCTCCAATACTGCAGAAAATATGCATTTTAAAAACACACATCCTTCTTTTTTTTTTTTTTTTTTTTTTTGAGACAGGGTTTCTTGCTCTTGTTGCCCAGGCTGGAGTGCAATGCCCACCACAACCTCCGCTTGCCGGGTTCAAGCGATTCTCCTGCCTCAGGCTCCTGAGGAGCTGGGATTACAGGCATGCGCCACCACGCCCGGCTAATTTTTGTATTTTTAGTAGAGACAGGGTTTCTCCATGTTGGTGAGACTGGTTTTGAACTCCCAACCTCAGCTGATCTGCCCTCCTCGGCCTCCCAAAGTGCTGGGATTACAGGTGTGAACCACCACGCCCAGCCAAAAACACATTCTTCTTTCTACTTGTTATTCCCTTCGTGCATGCACTCATCCCCATGCATGCCGAGGGCACATGTTCTGGAAGGCCCCTGGGAGCCACATGGGGTTCACGACCTCAAAACTGAAGCCCTCAGAGGGTATTTGATTCATTAGGTGGGGTAAGACATGAACCTAAGAAGAACGACTCCTTGAAAGAAAATGAGGTAACAGGAAAGGAATTCACTGATACATGTCAGGAACCCAGAGCTGCCTGCGATGTGGGTGGGATTCGGCACTGGGAAACCTTGTGTGTGGGTCCTTCGGGGAAAGTGGGAGTTGACTGCCGTTGAGCGGGTAGGAAAGTGCCTTCCAGGTACAGGCAGCAGGAGTGGTGATTGTCTTGGTAGAGGATGGGTGAACTGCAAATAGAGTTGAAGGAGCTGGGCTGAGTAGTTGGGATTTCACTCCCCGGGTGATTGGTGGGACCCAGCAGGGCCAGTCCTGGGCTTTTCCTATGGCAAGTAACTCAAGAGCTGCAGGAGCAGATGTTGTTAAGCAGAGAGGAAACACCAAACATGGATCCCTATCTCTAGCGAGTGTGCCCTGTGACTGTGGAGGGTGGAGGGGAGTCACGCCAGAGGGAGGTGCTGTGTTGGGGCCAGACCGGAGGGTTACATCCTGAGCAGGAGAGGAGGGAGGAGGCCAGGTGGAGGAGCGGCCTGGGGGACATAGGTGGTTGTGGTGCTAGATTGGCAGTGGATTTTTTTCTGAAGGCTGCCGTAACAAATGACCACAAAGTAGGTGGCTTAAACATCAGAAATTGATTCTCTCACAATTCTGGGGGGCAGATGTCTGAAGTCCAGGTGACAGCAGGGCCACGCTCCCTCTGGCAGAGCTGGGAATTCTGCGGTCTGTGACAGCATCGCTCCAATCTCTCTCTGTCCTCATCTGTCCTCTGCACATCTGTGTCTCAAATCTCCAGGATGATCTCATCTTAGGATCCTTAATTATGATCTATAAAGATGCTATTTCCCAACAGAGTCTCATTCACAGCGACCGGGGTTAGGATGTGGACATGTCTTTTCTGGGCGATACATTTCAACCTACTACAGGCAGTTACCTGAAGGAGTAACTGAAGGAGAGGGGTTCAGAATCCTCCAGTGGGGCCTGATGGGCAGAGGAGAGACTTGGACACCCTTAAGAGACGAAATGAATCTTCAGAGGTTCAGCCATTGCTTGCAATGTCATCTTCTGGGCTCATCCCTGCACTCCAACCCTGGACATTTTCTCTGGTCTTTTCTAGTGGCCACCATCTGGATGATTACGACTCTGGAAATCTCTGTCCATCATCCATTTTTTTGCCTCCTCTGTGAACGAGCAGGTGTGATGGCCTGAAAACAGAGAGGGAGAAGGCTGAGTGTACCAGGGCAGGGGAAGCGCTTCCTGGAATTACGTGTCCCAGGACAAAAGTGAAACTGCCTTCGCTGACTCATAGGAAAGTTTGAAAATATCATGTTTCGCCTATGCCTGGGGGATCTTTGTTTTTGGCATAAGCCGAACAGATTGTTCCAGGCCAGAAAAAAACTAAGCCAAACCAAAACAACAGAATGACTTAATTATGTACCAGCACCCTTTAAAATTAATTATGCTTGCTTTCTTTTTGTCCCCCTCAACTTTTAGTTTAAGTTCTGAGGCACATGTGCAGGATGTGCAGGTTTGTTACACAGGCAGTGTGCCATGCCCATTGTGGTTTGCTGCACAGATCAACCCATCAGCTAGGTATTAAGTGCAGAATTCTTTAGCTATTCTTCCTGATGCTCTCCTGCCTCACACCCCCTGATAAGCCCCTGTGTGCATTGATCCCCAACTGTGTGTCCATGTGTTCTCATCGTTCAGCTCCCACTTATAAGTGAGAACATGCAGTGTTTGTTTTTCTGTTTCTGCATTAGTTTGCCAAGGATAATGCCTTCCAGCACCATCCATGTTCCTGCAAAGGACATGGTCTTGTTCCTTTTTATGGCTGCATAGTATTCCATGGTATATAAGATTATGTAAAGAGATCGAACCTACAACTGATTGGCGTACCTGAAAGACATGGGGAGAATGGAACCAATTTGGAAAACATAATTCAGGATATCATTTGTGAGAACTTCCCCAACCTAGTAAGACAGGCCAACATTTAAATTCAGGAAATGCAGAGAAACCCAGTAAGATGCTCCATGAGACCATCAACCCCAAGACACATCATCATCAGATTCTCCAAGGTTGAAATGAAAGAAAAAATGTTAAGGGCAGCCAGAGAGAAAGGCCAGGTTACCCACAAAGAGAATCCCGTCAGACTAACAGTGGACCTCTCAGCAGAAACCCCACAAGCCAGAAGAGATTGGGGGACAATATTCAACATTCTTAAAGAAAAAAAAATTCCAACTCAGTTTCATATCCAGCCAATCTAAGTATTCATAAGTGAAGGAGAAATAAGATCCTTTTCAGAAAAGCAAATGCTGAGGGAATTTGTCACCATCAGGCCTGGCTTGCAAGAGCTCCTGAAGGTAGCACTAAATATGGAAAGGAAAAAAACACTCCCAGCCACAACACACTGAAGTACACAGACAAGTGACACTATGAGGCAACAACATAAACAACTCTGCAAATAACCAGCTAGCATCGTGATGACAGGATCAGACTCACACATAGCAATATTATCCTTAAATGTAAATTGGCTGAATGTCCCAATTAAAAGACACAGAATAGCAAGCTGGGTAAAGAGTTAAGACCCATCAGTGTGCTTTCTTCAAGAGACTCATCTCACATGCAAAGACACATGTAGGCTGAAAATGAAGGGATGGAGGAAAATTTACCAAGCAAGGGGAAAACAGGAAAAAGCAGGGAGTGCAATTCTAGTTTCTGACAAAACAGGCTTTAAACCAACAAAGATAAAAAAAGACAAAGAAGGGCATTACATAATGGTAAAGGAGTCGATTCAACAAGAAGAGCTAACTATCCTAAATATATATGCACCCAATACAGGGGCACCCAGATTCATGAGGCAAATTTGTAGAGACCTACAAAGAGACTTAGACTCCCACACAATAATAATGGGAGACTTTAACACCCCACTGACAATATTAGATCATCAAGACAGAAAATTAACAAATATTCAGGACCTGAACTCAGCTCTGGATCAAGCAGACCTCATAGATATCTCCAGGACTCTCCACCCTAAAACAACAGAATATACATTCCTCTCATCACTACATGGCACTTACTCTAAAGTTGCTCACATAATCAGAAGTAAAACACTCCTCAGCAAATGCAGAAGAACTGAAATCATAACAAACAGTCTCTCAGACCACAGCACAAACTAATTATGCTTTCTAATGTGAACCTCTAATTCTTGGTTATATCTTGTACATACATGTGTTTTTTTCTTTTAGTTTTGGATTTCTGGACCTTGACATGTTTACCAGGAGTACTAGATTTTCTTGCTATGTTCCTTTTCTTGGCATATGACTTTGATCCTTCTGAGGGGTTGGAGTCAGAAGCCAATTACCACTACTTTTTCCTGCCTCCTCCCACATCCAGATGTCTGTTCTCCAGCCTCCATCTCTTCTAAGTTTGCCTTCTCCTCTCAGTACCTGGATGTGACCACCCCATTCAGTGGCGTCATCTCTACCTAGTGACTCCTAGGAGACTTTTGAGTATTTTCTGACTTCTAGCCTGCCCCTTCTAGCACTCTCAATGCCTTGTTGCGTTTTAACCATATTTTATATTTTGTTTTTTGTTTTTTTTTGAGATGGAGTCTTGCTCTGTTGCCCAGGCTGCAGTGCAATGGCACAATCTCGGCTCATGGCAACCTCTGCCTCCTGGGTTCAAGCGATTCTCCTGCCTCAGTCTCCCAGGTAGCTGGGATTACAGGCATGCACCACCATGCCTGGCTAATTTTTGTATTTTTTGTAGAGATGGAGTTTCACCATGTTAGCCAGCCTGGTCTCGAACACCTGACCTCAGATCATCCATCCGCCTCGGCCTCCCAAAGTGCTGGGATTATAGGCGTGAGTCACTGTGTCTGGCCATGATTTTTGTTTTGTTTTGTTTTGCTTTTAATTAAAAAAATTTTTTTTAATGTTTAGAGACAGAGTCTTACTATGTTGCACAGACTGGTCTTGGAACTCCTGGGCTCTAGCAATCCTCCCATCTCAGCCTCCCAAAGTTCTGGGATTGCAGGCATTAGCTACTACACCTGGCCAATCATATTTTATGTTAATAATACTTGGTTAGCCAGGCATGGTGGCTCATGTCCGTAATCCCAACACTTTGGGAGGCTGAGGCAGGTGAATCACTTGAGCCCAGAAGTTTGAGACCAGCCTGAGCAACACAGAGAAATCCTGTCTTAAAGAAAAAATAAAAAAATACTCTGTTGAGGTATAATTGACATATGATAAAGTACAGAAATTCTAAGTGAACAGCCGTATGATTTTGACAAATATATACACCTGTGCAGTCATCCCCCTACTCAAGATATAGAGCATTTCCATCACCATAGTAAGTTTCCTCTTGCTCCTTTCTACTCAGTCCCTGTCTCATCAGAGGCAAAGACCTGTTGTTCAGATTTCTGTCACCATGGATTAGTTTAGCCAGTATTGAAAATTCAGTGGAATCACACAGTGTGCGCTCTGGTGCCTGGATTCTTTCACTCAACATAATGGTTTTGAGATTTAGCCATGTTGTGTGTACCACTAGGTTGCTTTTTTTTTTCTTTCCATAGTTAACAACTTTATTGACAATTCATCCATTAAAGTATACAACTTGATAGTTTGGGGCATATTCCATTATTAATTTTTAAAATTGTGGTGAAATATATATAACATAAAATTGTTCATTTTAACCATTGTAACCAGTGTACAGTTCAGTGGCATTTGCAATGTTGTGCAAACATTATCACTATTTCCAAAATGTTTTTATCATCCCTCTCCCCCCAGTCCCTCTTCCTCCTCCTACCCTCTTCCCCTCAGCCCCTGATAACCTCTAACCTATTTTCTGCCTTTATGAATTTGCCTATCCTACATATTTGCATAAATAGAATCATACAATATTTGTCTTTTTGTATATGGGTAATATCACTTAGCATGATATGCTCAGTGTTCATCTATATTATAAAATGTATCAGAATTTCCTTTTTTTAAAGGTTGAATAATATTCCATCATATGTATATACCACATTTTGCCTGTCCATTTATCTGTTGATGGACATTTGGGTATTCCATGTTTTCACTACTGTGAATAATGCTGTTAGGAACATGAGTGTACAAATCTTTGTTTCAACCTCTGCTTTAAACTCATTTGGGCATATACCTAGGAGTGGAATTACTGGATCATGTGGCAATTCTATGTTTAGCTTTCTGAGGAACAACCAAGCTATTTTCCACAGTGGCTGCACCACATTAGACTCTGACCAGCAATGCACAAGGGTTTGTTTCTTCACATCCTTACCAAACAAACACTTGTTATTTTTTTATATAGGTGTGTTTTAAATGGTAGCCATCCTGATAGGGGTGAAGTGATTTCTTATTGTGGTTTAGATGAGCATTTCTCATGACTCAGTGACTAATGATGTTGAGCATTTTTTCACAGGCTTATTCAGCATTTGTATGTCTGCATAGGCAAAGTTGCTTTTTCTGCTATCATTACTTCATTGAGAGATAATTTACATACAGTGAAATGCACAACTCTTAAGGGTGTAGTTCAGTGAATTTTCACAAATGAATATGCACATGTAAATGTCACTCAGATTAAGATATGATTCCATTACCCCAGGAAGTTCTCTTGTGCCATTTTCTAATAACCCCCTTCACAATTTTTTATTACCATATACAGTATTAATCTTGCCTGTCCTTGGATTTCATTAAATAGAATCCAGCAGCGTGCACTTTTTGGTGTCTGGCATATTTTGTTCAATGTAATATGCATGAGATCCACTGGCATTGCTGTGTGTATCAGGATTTTGTTCTTCTTTTGTTGCTCAGTAGTATTCCCAAGTTTGATTATAGCAGACTTTGCTTATCTAGTCTCTTGATGAATATTTGGGTTGTTTGCAATTTTGGGATATTATGGATAAAGCTGTCCTGAACATTCTTGTATACATCTTCATGTGGATATAGACTTTAATTTATTTTGAGAGAGTATCCGTGAATGGAGTTGCTGGCTCATAAGGTAGACATGTGTTAAACTTTAATAGAAACTGCCAGTTTCCCAGTGTGGTTCTTCCATTTTACACTCCCACCTGCTGGGAACATGAGAGTTCCACACCCTTGCCAACATTTGGTATTGTCAGTCTTTTTAATTTTAACCATTCTGGTGGGTGTATGGCGGTATCTCATTGTGGGTTTAATTTGCATTTCCCTGTGACTAACGATATCGAGCCCTTTCACATTTGGAAAAGGTTATAATTTAAATTTTGTACATTAAAAAAAAATCAAGTTAGAAGACATTAATGAACACCTGCAGAACAGACATCCCAAAGCCCAGAATGTCATGTGGAAGCCACCGCCCTGACAGCTATGAGTCAGACAGACAGATGTCAGTTTCAGTTACACCTTAAATCACAAATGAGTTGCCAACTCAGTTTAAAAAGAATAGGGTTGGGGGGCATATATTTAAAGAATATTTTGAAAATAGAAGAAAATGTGGCAAGGCTGTCTCCTCCCACACCAGCTCCCACCTGAGAGCCAGATAGTTAGCAGGAAAATCTGATCACGCTGCTTTCTAAGACCCTGCGTGGTTCTCCACCAACTTTGGATGCACTTCAGCCTCCTCAGCCCTCGTGGAAGCCCGTCATGACCCAGAATTCCCCACTCGTCAGCTCCACGCCTTTGCACATGCTTGCCTCCCGCCTGGGACACGGTCCCTCCACCATCCCTGGCGCTGCGGACCTCCCACCATTGCTTGGCTAACGAGGCTCAACCTGGCTGGGTGCCAACTCCTCCCAGCCTGGGCAAGTTGCCAGTCATCTGTGCTCCCACCATCCTCTGGGCCGAGCCTGGCATTCTCATTGTTTACTTCTCTGCCTCCTTCCCCAGACTGAATGTCCTGAGGGGAGGGAGTCGCATTTCAGCAATCTTTGTATTTTGAACACACAGCCAGGGACCAGTAAGCCTGCTGATGGTGAATAAATGCTCATGGGTGATGACGACAGCCAGCTGAAAGCGGTGCAGCCCTCCTCCCTGCGGGGCATGCTCTCCGTGGATGTGCTGGTTTAGTCACACACATTTTAAGTGTGACGACACCTATATATTCCTAAATCTGTAAGACAAAGTACAAGCCACAATATCTCGAGATCTGCCCTTCTCCTTTGACCACTCCACCCCAGCCTATGACAGGGGGCTGCCATTTCCCCCCATGGGGCCAGGGATGACTCTTGGTAGAGCACCCAGGAGCTGGTGCACATGAGAACAAGACCAGTTAGGGGGCATGTGAGGGAGTGCTGTAGGCATCCAGGCCAGGACTAGGTAAGAATTTATTTGGATTTATATATAGCAGAGACTGGGCAAGACAAGAAGGTGGGTGCGTTGCCCCACTGAAAGAAAGCCAATCAAGTAAAAATGAACAAGAACACAAGCTGAGCTCTGTGTCCTGTGTCCCCGAAGGGGTGACTGAGCAACCTCGGTGCCTGGGTGTAGAGATAACACCACCACTGTCCATCCCGGGGCCTCACCCAGGGCGTCAGCGGAGCATGCTCACACTTTAGGTCCTGTAGACAAAAGTAATTGCAGGCTCCCAGCCAGGAGCCTGGGCTGAGGCCTGAGGATCTGCATTTCTAACACGCTCCCAGGGGACGCTGATGCCGCTGGTCCTGGGACTGCACTATGAGTGGCCAAAGTCAAACCTGCGCCTGGCAGAAAACAGTAAATAGGTCGTTTGGCTCAATCATTAGCCAGGTTGTTAATTCTGCATCCATTGGTTTGGGTTGTACTAAATTAGGCCACACTTTTTGTGAGGTGGACCAGTATTTGTGCATGACAGGCCCAATATTTGTGAAAACATTGCCTTGAAAATAGTTGGAGAATTTTATTTCTCATGAATAGAACATGCTGTCGTCTGAGAGCCTGCCTCAGAGCAGCTGGCTGGGAGCCTCCGGAGTGGGAACCGCTTTGGCAGAGTAGGTAAAACATTCAAAAAGGGTTTCAAGTCTTTGAGTCTGAAACGAGTGGACAATGTAGATTCCTTTCATGAAATTGTATGCAGCATTTTGCAAGGAACTTATAAAGCTGATCATAGTCTATAGATCCTGAAGGTCCAATTTGCTTTCCATTGATTGCTTGTCATTTTTTTTTTTTTTTGAGACAGTGTTTCAGTCTGTCACCCAGGTTGGAGTGCAGTGGCATGATCACAGCTCACTGCAGACTTGACCTCCCAAACTCAAGCAATCCTCCTGCCTCAGCCTCTAGAGTAGCTAGGACTACAGGTGTGCACCACCACACCCAGCTACTTTTTGTATATTTTTGTAGAGACGCGGTTTTGCCATGTTGCCCAGGCTGGTCTCGAGCTTCTGAGCTCAAGCCATCCTCCCGTCTCAGCCTCCCAAGGATCTGGGTTTATAGGTGTGAGCCACCGTGCCCGGCCTGATGGTCTATTTATATTCTCCCAACTCTTTCTAGAAAAGGATGGGAGGCAGCTTTCTGTCTTCTGTACAGTTTTCTCACAGCCCGTGAATCCACTTGTGTAGTTAAGCAGGAGACTGGGAAGCTTCATCAGAATTTTTTCATCCTTAAAAAAAATTTTTTTTTTTTGAGACAGGGTCTCATTCCCTCGCCCAGGCTGGAGTGCAGTGGAGTGATCTCAGTTCACTGCAACCTACGCCTCCCAGGTTCAAGTGATTCTCCTGCCTCAGCCTCCTGAGTAGCTCAGATTATAGGTGTGCACCACCATGCCAGGTTAATTGTTGTATTTTTAGTAGAGACGGGGTTTTGCCATGTTGCCCAGGCTGGTCTTGAACTCCTGACCTCAGATGATCCACCTGCGTTGGCCTCCCAAAGTACTGGGATTACAGGGGTGAGCCACTGTGCCCAGCCCCATCCTTAAACATTTTGTATTTTCTGATTATTAAATAAAAATAGATGTTCATTGTAGGGAAAAATGAGACTTTTTACAACTTTTTATAACCTATTCAGAATCAATTACTACTGAAGGCTTAGTGCATTTCTCTCTTGTTTTTTGTCATGCAGTGTTAATAGATGATTTTATATAATTGTTTTAAATGTATATTTATCTTATGGTAATTTAAGCCTTTCCTCATGATTAAAATTCTTTATATACCTCAATTTTACTAATATTTGATAAATGTAAGATTATACCATAGAAAAATGTTTTTTTTTAAACTTTTTAAAATAATTTCAAAAGGAGAACTTTTTTTTTTTTTTTGAGATGGAGTTTCACTCTTTTTGCCCAGGCTGGAGTGCAATGGTGCAATCTCGGCTCACTATAACCTCTGCCTCCTGGGTTCAAGCGATTCTCCTGCCTCAGCCTCCCCAGTAGCTGCAATTACAGGTGCCTGCCACCACACCCAGCTAATTTTGTATTTTTAGTAGGGACGGAGTTTCACCATGTTGGCCAGGCTGGTCTCAAACTCCTGACCTTGTGATCCACCCGCCTTGGCCTCCCAGAGTGCTGGGATTACAGGTGTGAGCCACCGCGCCTGGCTTTTTTTTTTTTTTTTTTTCAGACAGAGTCTTTCTCTGTCACCCGGGCTGGAGTACAGTGGCGTGATCTCGGCTCACTGCAACCTCCGCTTCCTGGGTTCAAGTGATTCTCCCACCTCAGCCTCCCGAGTAGCTGGGACCACAGATATGCGCCACCGCACCCGGCTAATTTTTATATTTTTTGGTAGAGATGGGGTTTCGCCATGTCGACCAGGCTGGTCTCGATCCCCTGACCTCAAGCAATCCTCCCACCTCAGCCTCCTAAAGTGCTGGGATTACAGGTGTGAGCCACTGTGCCTGACCAAAAGGAGAACCTTTTTGAAAAAAAAAAAAAAGAAAAAAAAAAGAAAAATATAGCACTCTCCTGGTGTCTTCTGGGAGTATAGTGAAGTCCAGAGAGGAGATTTTCTTAGCTGAGTTGCAGAATTAATTATATCTAATCTCGCTGCACCTAACATCTAGTAGATCTCAATGGCTAATAATAAAATACTAATATGTTTTATTTAATTATATATTGTCTTATATAAACATATATTCAACTTTAATGAATGATCCAGTTCTCAAGACAGAAACATAGAATTATATGTTAATATGACAGGCTTTGGAAAATTGTAACTGGATTTTGTCATTATTCTATCCTTATGACTTGTTGATGTTTGTATTATCTAATGCTACATGCATCACCCCAAAACACAGTGGCTTTAAATAATAATTATCATTTATTTTCTCTCACAGTGTCTATGGCTCGGGAATGTGGGAACCTGGTTGGGCAGTTCTGACTGAGGGTTTCTCGTGAGTTGCAGTGGGATGCTGGCTGTGGCTGTAGTTGTCTGAAGGCTTGACTGAGGCCACAGGGTCCTCTTCCAAAGTGGCTCTCTCTCGTGGCTGGCACATTGGTGCTGGCAGTTAGCTGGGGGCCTCAGTTCCTCTCCCTGTGGGTCTCTCCATAGAGCTGCTTGAGTGTCCACAGGGCGTGGCGGCCGGCTTCCTCAGGAGCCTGCAATCCAGGAGACCAGGGTGAAAGCTGCAAGATCTTTTAGGATCTGGCCTTGGAAGGCACACACCATTACTCCTGCCATATGGGGCCAGCCCTGATGCAGCATGGGAGGTGATCACCAAGGATGTGAATACCAGGAGGAAACGAAGATCATTGGGGCCATCCAGGAGGCTGGCTACCACAGTTGTGGTTGTGAATATTAGAAGTACAGGGTATGGAATGAATAAGAAAAGTATACTCATGACAGACATACATGGTACTAGGACAGGGTCTGTGTTTTTGCTGTTGTAATTCATCCCCTGCATGACCTCTTTCTCATTGAGTTTCTTTCTTTCCTTTTCTTCTTCCTTTTTTTTTTTGAGGTGGAGTTTTGTTGTTGTTGCCCAGGCTGGAGTGCAGTGGCAAGATTTCAGCTCACAGCAACCTCCGCCTCCCGGGTTCAAGTGATTCTCTTGCCTCAGCCTCCCAAGTAGCTGGGATTACAGGCACTCGCCACCATGCCCAGCTAATTTTTGTATGATTAGTAGAGACAGGGTTTCACCATGTTGGCCAGGCTGGTCTCGAACATCTGACCTCAGGTGATCCGCCTGCCTCAACCTCCCAAACTGCTGGGATTACAGGCATGAGCCACCATGCCTGGCTGAGTGAGTTTCTGTGTTCCGCTCTTCTAGCCTTGCTAGTTCCTTTAAGTTCTCTGTCGAGCTTTGTACATCTGTTGTAAAAATTCCAAGCTTAATTTCAGAAAGATTAAGTGAATCAATGGTTGGAAGAACATGTAATTGTTACTGACAGTCACTGCCTTCAGGTCAACGGTTAACAGGCTTAGTTTTCTTTCATCACATAATGCTTGTATGATCACTGCGTGGAAACCACTCCCAGTGTTGGGAAAATTAGATGAGCCTCTGAGATAGGAATAGATTAGGTATATACATGAAGTTGGCAGAGGGAATACAGTTGAACAAAGTAGTGGTTTCATACATTACTAATCTAAAATCATAAATCCCAGCGAGAGGTTTGCAGTGATAATAAGATTTACGTTTTATGCAAAATTTAGTCTAAAGGGAAATTGTTTTGAATTACTGACAACCTTGAATTTATCAAATCCTGATTACAGGGCTACAAGGTGACCCCATGTTGGAAGGAATTATCTTGATGTATTTTACATATTTATTTATTTTATTAATAAAATGTCATTTCTTTATTTAAAACAGTTTATTAGGCATCTCTTTATTTGAAGCAGAAAAGCATAGATAAAAATACAAATATTGGCCTGGCACAGTAGCTCACGCCTGTAATCCCAGCACTTTGGGAGGCCAAGGTGGGCGGATCACAAGGTCAAGAGATCGAGACCATCCTGGCCAACATGGTGAAGCCCTGTCTCTACTAAAAATACAAAAATTAGCTGGGCGTGTTGGCGAGTGCCTGTAGTCCCAGCTACTCGGGAGGCTGAGGCAGGAGAATCACTTGAACCCACGAGGTGGAGGTTGCAGTGACCTGAGATCGTGCCACTGCACTCCAGCCTGGCGACAGAGCAAGACTCTGTCTTTTTTTTTTTTTTTTGAGGTGGAGTCTTGCTCTGTCGCCCAGGTTAGAGGGCAGTGGCGCAATCTCAGCTCGCTGCAAGCTCCGCCTCCCAGGTTCATGCCATTCTCCTGCCTCAGCCTCCTGAGTAGTTGCGATTACAGGTGTGCGTTACTACACCTGGCTCATTTTTTTGTATTTTTAATAGAGACAGGATTTCACCATGTTGGCCAGGCTGGTCTTGAACTCCTGACCTCAAGTGATCCACCCACCTCAGCCTCCCAAAGTGTTGGGGTTACAGGCATGAGCCACCACGCCCAGCCCATTTTATAAGTACATTTTGTGCCCAATCAAGTATCAAAGACATAATCTTAAAATAAAGGACAGTTCTTCCCAAGGGAAAAAGAAAGTAGGCAACCTGACACATGAATAGATGATGTATGCTACTGTTACACGCACACACACACACTCAGAATAGACTGTGATGCTGTGATAACAAACCACTTCAAGTCCCAGTGGCTTAAAATAACAAAGGTTTGCCTCTCGCTCATTCATGCTGTTGTGCGCCGGCTAGAGGGGGCAGGGCTCTGCTCTCTCTGCCCTCACTCCGGAGGCCCAGTCTGGGAGCAGTTGCATCTCTGAGCTTCAAGGGCAGTCAAGTCAAGAAAAGGGAAGGTGGCACATCGTCCACCGTCTCTCGAAACTTCCTCCTGGAAGTGACACCTGCTATTTCACTTACGTTTAATTACCCAAAGCAAACCAGATGGTCAAGTCAGAACTCAGAAAGGGTGGGGAAATGCAATTTTACCAAGAGGCAGGAAGAAATAGATAACGGAATAACGCCAGTGAGTACTGCAGCTGAATCCAGTGCAACTGAATTGTCCTGGTTCAAACAATTAAAAAAGACTTTGTGTGTGTACTTTCACCAGCTTCTTCACAGACCGTCGCCCATACTTGAGTGAATCTTCCTCCTGTGCATGCTACTGTATATGATAAGTGGAAGAGAATAGAGAGTGTTGTCAGGGACATTTTTGAGGAATACTGAAGTCTACTTGGGACAGTGAAACACACTGGACGATGAGCTTCCAGCTGCTTGTTTTCCTGCTGGACTGTCTGTGAGTTCATCTTCTTATTTAAAGCTCCTTGTTACTGAGTGCCTCCTAGCAGCAGTTTCCTTTAGCCCTCTCTAGGAGGAGCACAAATGCCTATTCCTGGCAGCCTGAGCATGTCGTCTTAGGCGTCCTCTCGTGACCTGTGGTCTGGTGTTTTGCACAATCTTCATCACCACTCCTTCTAGAAGGACTGAGAACTGAATTTGACTTTTAAAACGAAGCTTGGTAATCAAGAATAGCAACAGCAGGCTGAGTACGGGGGCTCACGCCTATATTCCTAGGACTTTGGGAGGCTGAGGCGGGTGGATCACTTGAGGTCAGGAGCTCGAGACCAGCCTGATCAACATGGTGAAACCCTGTCTCCACTAAAAAAATACAAAAAAAAAAAAAAAAATGGGCGTGGTGGTGCATGACTGTAGTCTCAGCTACTCAGGAGGCTGGGGCAGGAGAATCGCCTGAACCCATGAGGCGGACATTGCAGTGAGCCAAGATTGTGCCACTGCACTCCAGCCTAGGCAACAGAGCGAGACTCCATCTAAAAAAAAAAAAAAAAAAGAGCCGTGGTAGTTCTGAAGGGGAAGAGCAAGGAAGGTTTCTTCCCTGCAAAACACAAGGCTGCAGTAGCGAATCAGGATTGCCTTGGGGCTGAGGTAGATTGTTAGACCAATGGGAGCAACTCTCAGGTTCATTCCTGTGTTTATGGGGAGGTGGGATGAGCTTGAGCATGCTGTTACTACCAATGGGAAAAGAATGGATGTGTTCATATATTGTGCTAGGAAAACAGAAAAAGGTAAAATTAAACTTCTATAATAAAAACCATGGTGGATTCAAGACCTCACTATGAAAAAAAAAAAAACTTGAAACTGTTGAAATTAAATACAGAGGAATATCTTTAGGGTTTTTGAATGGGAGGCATTGCTTAAACGCATGACAAAAAGCATTCCTATAAAGGAAAAGATTAATAATATGACTGCATCGAAACGTAAAACGGGATGGTAAATGAAAAACAAGTGGTGTCGAGAAAACAATCGCAACACCCTTGACAGAGCTTCAGGTCCAGGGGCAGCATTTACAGAGGCACCTACTCTCTGTGGTGCCTGAGAGGGAGCGCCTCTTTAAATTTGGTGCCCCAGGGCCTCCTTTGCCACATCTTAGTGCCAGCCTTGGGCGCCAGTGCCATCCTGATGCCAGCTTTAGTGTCTAGGGCTGTATTGCCCAGTAGTGTAGCTGGTACCTCCAAGTGGCTGTGGAACACAGTGCAACTGAGGTGTGCCGTAAGTGTAAAATATGTACTAGATTCATCCAAAAAAGGTAAAATAGCTCATTAAAATTTTTCTATTGATTACATTTTGAAATGGTAATATTTTGGATATGTTGAGTTAAATACAATATATTTATTAGGATTTCATTTGGCTTTTATTAATTTGGCCACTAGAAAATTAAAAATTATCAGCCAGGTGCAGTAGCTCATGCCTGTAATCTCAGCACTTTGGGAGGCAGAGGTGCGCAGATCACTTGAGCCCAGGAGTTCGAGACCAGCCTCGGTAACATGGCAAAACACCATCTCTACAAAAATACAAAAATTAGCTGGATGTGGTGGTGCTCACCCATAGTCCCAGCTACTAGGGAGGCTGAGGGGGGAGGATTGTTTGAGCCTGGGAGGCGAAGGCTGCAGTGAGCCGTGATGCACTCCAGCAGGTAACAGACCAAGACCTGTCTCCAAAAAAAATTTTCCATTACATTTGTGGCTCCCCTTATGTCTTTATTGGACAGCACTGTCCTCAAGTATTATAAAGAATTCAAACTGGGCTAGGTGCTGTGGCTCACCCCTGTAATCCCAGCACTTTGGGAGGCTGAGGTGGGCAGATCATTTGAGGTCAGGGGTTCGAGACCAGACTGGCCGACGTGGTGAAACCCCATTTCTACTAAAAATACAAAAATTAGCCAGGCATGGTGGCAGGCACCTGTAATCTCAGCTACTTGGGCAGCTGAGGTGGGAGAATCGCTTGAACCCAGGAGATGGAGGCTGCCGTGAGCTGAGATTGTGCCATTGCACTATAGCCTGGGTGACAGAGTGAGACTCCATCTAAAAAAAACAAAACACACAAAAAAAGAATTCATACTGATCAATGAGGAAAAGACAAAGAAGCCAATGGGAAATGGACAAAAGACATAATTAAATCCTTCACCAAAGAGGAAATCCAGACAGCCAATAGATGCATGGAAAGGTGGCCAGTCTTACTGGCAATCAGGAATGCGAAGTGAAAACACAATAACAATGTTTAAGCATCCGATTGGTGAAAATGCAAAGGTATTGGGAATTGGTGAGAATGAAGAAAAACTGTAACTTTCACCCATGAGTGGTGGAGTTGAAGTTGTTGCAGCCGCTTTGGAGAGGACTTTGGCTCATGTTCTACCCCCAGCTTGTCCACTTAGAGCACTGGTTCTCTCCTGGGGCAATTTTGCCTCCCAGGGTGCATTTGGCAATGTCTAGAGGCATTTTGGGTTGTCATAAATGAGGGTAGGAGATGCTCCTGACGTCTAATGGGTAGAGACCAGGGATTGCATAGTACAGGGGACAGCCCCCCCCCCGAATAAAGAATTATCTGGCCCCACATGTCAATAGTGCCCTGGTCGAAAAACTGACACAGGCGAGGATCGCAATTAATTTCCAGCTCAGGTGCATCAGGAGATACAGATCAAGGTTTTAATTTCAGTGCTCTCTGTATTTGTAGTCACAGAACTTTGGACACAGTGTCTATCAGTTTAGGGGCATGGATGAACATGCAGAGACACTATAGCAGTCACGATGCATTTGCCAGTGATTTGGCTGAATCACGTCCAGCACTGCGTGAATAAACCAAGTTTCAGGCTCAGATGTACATGGAGAGCATTTTGTGCAAATAGTTGCAATAGGAAATAATGCTCCCTATTAAATATATCGCTTGGGCACAGTGGCTCACGTCTGTAATCCCGGCACTTTGGGAGGCCGAGGTGGGTGGATCACCTGAGGTCAGGAGTTTGAGACCAGCTTGGCCAACGTGGCGAAACCCGTCTCTACTAAAAATAAAAAAATTAGCTGGGTGTGGTGGCGGGAGACTGTAATCCCAGCTACCTGGGAGGCCGAGGCAGGAGAATTGCTTGAACCTGGGGGGCGGAGGTTGCGGTAAGCTGAGATTGCGCCACTGCACTTCAGCCTGGGCAGCAGAGCGAAACTCCTTCTCAAAATAAATAAATAAATAAATAAAAATATATTGTTTATGGATACATGCATATGTAATAAAAATTCAAAAGCAAAATCAGAGCATACACAGCTGCACCAAATAGTGATCACCTCTGGGAGGGATGGAGAAGAAAGCACAAAAAGGCATTTCAACTTTTTCTGTAATGTTGATTCCTTTAAAAAGTTTGAAGCCGTTATGACAAAATATTGACCTTTGTTAATGTTACCAATGAAGACATGGGTGTTTATCTTACTTATCTTACTTTCTATTTTACTTTTCTCTATATTTGGACTTTTTCTCATAATAAACTCTGATACACACATACCAAAGGGCACTTGGAACAGGGGCTGCCTGAGTCTAGGCAGCTCAGTGGGGGTTGTCCCTGTGTCTGTGTGGTTCGCCTGCTTTTCCCCAACACTGATCTGTGGTTAAGAGTTTGGTGCATGGAACGTTCCATGGGATTCTTTATTATGAGCTGGCTTTGGAGAAGCAGTGGGCTGAAATGGTGGTGTCTGACCTGCGGTGCTGGGGCCACACCCTGTAGGGATTGACCCTTGGGTCCTGCCTCCCGGCCAGGAAGTCCTCTCCCCTTGCCACTTGCCACCCCTCTGCACTAGACCTGGGCCTGACCTTTACCCTCCAAACTTCTAACAACACATCCCAGAAAGGATCTGGTTCAAGATACTAACAATCACACTTGGGGAGTGTATTTCAAGGAAAATAGATGGCATATCGTAGAAATTGCAGACAAACCTGAACTCCTGGGGAGTCCCTTCAGAAAGGAAGTTTGCTGCCTGGTTGAGACTTGATTGGGAAGGGTTTGCCTTGTATGACACCCAGTGCCTAGTGTAGTGTGGAATTTAAGGCCAGCAGGTGGTGATTGATATGCACACTTGGTCTTCTCTACAGGCCACATGTGTTGAAGATTCCCTGCCTTACTGGGGCCTCCCTCTCATGCTCTTTCATTCTGTTTAGGCCCAGGGAAAGGATTCCTGCCTGTGGCGCCGGGCTTGAGGCTGCAGTACTCACCATTTTTCTATGATATGTTGAAGCAATCAACTGGTGTTGAGGGATCTTAGAATTTTTAAGACTTGTATGAAGTATCCTTCCCTTTGGAATCTTGTTTGGAGAATAGCTTAATTAGATGATGTCTTAGTCCGTTTAGGCTGCTATAGCAAAATACAGTAAACTGGGTGGCTTATAAACAATGGAGATTTATTTCTCACTGTTTGGAGGCTGGGAAGTCCAAGATCATGGGCCTGCTTTCTGTTTCATAGACAGCACCTTCTTACTGTGTCCCCACAGGGTGGAGAAGGCAAGGCAGCTCTCTGGGTCCTCTTGTATAAGGGCACCAATCCTATTTATGAGGGCTCTGCCCTTATGACCTGGTTACCTCCTAGTGGCCACATCTCCTAATACCATCACCGTGAGGGTTAGGATTTCAACATATGAATTTTGAAGGGACACAAACGTTCCGTCCATGGCAGATGGTAAGGCTCTGTCACCAGAAGAACATTTGAGTCAGTCTTCATTCACGCTGCCCGAGTATTCTTGCATTACCTGTGTGAACTGAACCAGGAAGTTGTCCCCTCACAGGGAATCCATCTCTCTTGCGCCGTTGCAGCTGCTGCGACCAAATGCTGTCATCGATGTTTATCCTGGATGCCCACCCCGTCCCCAGCGCAAGATTCTTTTCTTAGACCCCTGATGATTTTAATTTGCATTGTCTTAAAACATCCTGAGATGATTGAAACTTGCCTAAAATAGTTTACCCAGCAAATCACACATGTGTTAGCAGGGGCTCATGGCAGCCTTTTAGAAATATAGTAGCTCTTTAGAGGCCAGAATTCTTGCATTCATTCATAAAGCCACATAGACATCTCCCCCGACCTATTGCTGGTGTTATTATGGGGTTTTATAGAAATGGAGTTTTAAGTATCTGAAATGTACTCTCTTCGTTCTTGGAATTTTTTCTCACACTCGAGCATGGTAACATCCTTTTTCTTCTGGGGCATCAGGATGATGGCTCCCCTACTGTGGTACCATAGGCCCCACGTGGCTCTGGGGCTCCCTGGGCCTCTGGTGCTTCAGTCTCTCCCCTGGCTGTCGTGGGCTCCCGCTTCTTCTTCTGCAGACTGTGCTGGGCCTCACGCAGCATCCGGCCCTCCTTTTTCCTTCAGACAGCTCTTGTTTGCATTTGTTTATAGTGGTTATTGTAAAACTATTTCTTAATGAGGATTTTTTTTTTTTTTTTTTTTTGAGATAGAGTCTTGCTCTGTTGCCCAGGCTGGAGTGCAGTGGCACGATCTCAGCTCACTGCAAGCTCTGCCTCCCGGGTTCATGCCATTCTCCTACCTCAGCCTCCTGAGTAGCTAGGACTACAGGCTCCTGCCACCACGCCCAGCTAATTTTTTTTTGTATTTTTTTTAGTAGAGATGGGGTTTCACCGTGTTAGCCAGGAGAGGATGTTATTAATGTAAACATTGTGTTTGCTTACTTTTTTCAATGTTAATTAAAATGATATAATTTCCTCATGAATACAGCTTTGTTTTACATAAGAATTCTAACTGCACAGAATCATATGGGGTGGCTCACGCCTGTAATCCCAGCACTTTGGGAGGCCAAGGAGGGCAGATCACAAGGTCACGAGATTGAAAACATCCTGGCCAATATGGTGAAACCTCCATCTCTACTAAAAATACAAAAATTGGCTGGGCATGGTGGCATGCGCCTGTAGTCCCAGCTACTTAGCAAGCTGAGGCAGGAGAATTGCTTGAACCCAGGAGGCGGAGGTTGCAGTGAGCCGAGATCGTGTCAGTGCCCTCCAGCCTGGTGACAGAGAGAGACTCCATCTCAAAAAAAAAAAAAAAAGTTGAAAGTAGTTCTTCCAAAATGTTCCTTCCCCACCCCACCAACCCTGGATTAGTCAGGGGTCTCCAGAGAAATCGTGTGTGTGTGTGTGTGTGTGTGTGTGTGTGTGTGTATAAACATATATGTAGAGAAGGAGAGAGATTTGAGGAACTGGCGTGTGCGATTGTAGGGGCTGGCAAGTTCAAAACTTTTCCATGAAAAGTTCAAGATCTGGGTAAGAGTTGCAGTTTGACTCTGAAGGCAGTGCTGCCGGTCAAGTTTCTTCTTTCCAGGGTGTGGGGAGGCCAGCCTTTTTTCTCTTAAAGTCTTCAGCTGATTGGATGAGGCCCACTCACATGACGGAGGGCATCTACTTTCCTCAAAGTCTGTTGATTTAAATATCAGTCTCATTTAAAGAATACCTTCACAGAAATAGCTAGAATAATGTTTGACCAAATACCTAGGTACTACTGTGGCCTAGCCAAGTTGATACATGAAATTAACCATCACACACCTCCCATTCATCTTCCTTCTGTTCTTAATATTTTGGTGTGGTTCTTCTAGATGCCATCTCACTGTCTTGCCCAGGCTGGTCTCAAACTCCTGGCCTCAAGTGGTCTTCCCACCTTGGCCTCCTAAAGTGCTGGAATTATAGACATGAGCCACTGCACCTGGCCTCATTTAATTTGTTAATATAATAAGTGATGTTCTGGCTGGGTGCCATGGCTCACACCTGTAATCCCAACACTTTGGGAGGCTGAGGTGGGTGGATCATTCGAGGTCAGGAGTTTGAGACCAGCCTGGCCAACATGGTAAAACCCTGTCCCTACTAAAAATACAAAAATTAGCCGGGCTTGGTGGCAGGCACCTGTAGTCCTAGCTACTCGGGAGTCTGAGGCAGGAGAATTGCTTGAACCCAGGAGGCAGAGGTTGCAGTGAGCCAAGATCACACCACTGCATTCCAGCCTGGGCAACAGAGCAAAACTCCATCTCAAAAAACAAAAAAAGTGATGTTCTTAGGTTTCTAAATGTTATATCAGCCTTCCCAAGGTGGCTGTCAGCAGGTGCCTGCTGCACATTTTGGGAAGTTTTACCTTAGGAAGCTGGAGGAGTGTGGTGGGGAGAAGGAGGTGCTATTAGTCCAGAGCAGAACCCTTCACTGGTTGAGGTGAGAAGGAGGGAAGAGTAGGGTGGTCCTGAAAGAGACCTAATTCAGGAGCCAGATACTTCCGGAACCCTGAGAGTGTCTCTCTTGTATCCACCTAGGGAAGGCATTCCTTTTAACCTGAGCCCTTTAAGTGCAGGTTGGATATCAGGGTTGGCAAAGGCAGATGCCATCTGGGACCTTCCTGAAGAGCAGGTTAGCATATTCCAAGCTGGAATATGCTAAAAGCTTTCAAAATACCTATTTTCTTTAATCCAGAAATCCTGCTTCTAACAATGTCTCCTGAGAAAACGAGAAACAAAATACACAAAGCCTTAGCTCTAGGGCTTTTCATTGCAGGTTTTACTCATGAGAAAGAAAGTGAGAAACAGATCATCTGAGTATCCAAGAATAGGGATTTGTTAAATAATGACAATTCTACCCCACATAGAATAGGATAGTCTGTATCTACCAGGAATTTTGACACAGAGTTACTTTTATTGATGTGAAGATATTGCTGATATAGTCCTAACTAAGACATATAGCAAATGGTCCTGTTTTAGTTTGAAGAAAAATGTGTGCATATGTGTGTGTCTGGTCTATAACTTTTTTTCTTCTCTTTAATTTTTGGATCTTTTTCTGCAATAAATATGAATTACTTGTGTAATTATATGCAAAGGAAGATGTTACATTATGTTCAATATGTTTTATTTATAAGTCAGGAAATTGTAGAATACTAGAGCAATATCTCCATCCAAAGAAGTTAAAAATGATTTTTGGGTGCTCCCTGGTGGGATGACAAGTTTTCCGGCACATTTATGCGAAAGCAGGTGGGTAGGTTAGCTGGGAGAATGGAGGTGGTGGTGGCAGCGAACTCTTAGTTCCCAAAGAGGCTGAAAACCTCAGTGGCTTTTAAGTAGAGCCTGCCTGCAGCCCACTCTTTTCTATTTAAAATTAGATTATTGTGAAACATTTCACCATATAGATGGAATGACCTATTTCAAAGGGTGCTTAAGCTAGATTATATTAAAGAGGCTTTACCATAGTCAACAGTTATTGAGTTGATTATGCTGTGGTATGGATGTCAGTGTTAGAAAATCAATGGTATTCTGTAGAACTTTAAACATGTGAATATTTGTGATTTAATATTCTTCTGTGGGGCAACTAGGAGCCTTATTGAGATAAGTGGGCAGGGCTACTCGAGTCCTCTTGTTGTTCCATGAAAAATTATATTCTTACTAAAAATTGGCCGGGTGTGTTGGCTCACGCCTGTAATCCTAGCACTTTGGGAGACTGAGGTGGGTAGATCACGAGGTCAGGAGTTCGAGACCACCCTGACCAACATGATGAAACTCTGTCTGTACTGAAAATACAAAATTAGCCGGGCGTGGTGGCACATGACTGTAATCCCAGTTACTTGAGAGACTGAAGCAGGAGAATCGCTTGAACCCAGGAGGTGGAGGTTGCAATGAGCTGAAATCGCACCATTGCACTCTAGCCTGGGCAACAAGAGTGAAACTCTGTCTCAAAAAAAAAAAAAAAAAATCTGGTGAAGATTGGGCTGGGCCACTGTGGAGTTGCTCTCAATATAAACTTTGTGCCTCTCATGCAGTGGTGGTGTGACTGGCAGTGCCAAGAGTGACACTTGATTGCCTGGTCATTAGCTCCTGCCCTGGGTTGAATTTTAGCATCTCACCGTATCTACGTCTGTGAGGCGGTGAGCCTCACACCTGAGTCTACGCTGTTTTCCTTTGTTACGAGGTCTCTTCGTCAACTTGGGTTGCTGCAACAAAGCACCATAGACTGGGTACTTATTCAGAATGGAAGTTTATTCCTCACAGTTCTAGAAGTCCAAGATCTTTTACAGAGTGGAAATTTATTTCTCACAGTTCTGGAGGCTGGAAGCCCAGGATCAGGGCGCTAGCATGGTGGGGTTCTGGCCCGGGCCCTCTTCCAGGATGCAGACTGTAGACTTCTCTCTGTGTCCTTACATGGAGGAAAAAGGCACAAGAGAGCTCTTGAGGTCCTTTTTATAGGACACTAATCCCATTCATGAGGACTCCACCCTCGTGATCTAATCACCCCACCAAAGCCCCACTTCCTGCGCCATTCCACTGGGAGCTAGGATTTTAACATTTGGTAATACTTAATTAATAGATCTACAAAATCAACTATCAGTGTATGTATCCAGCTTGGTTCTCTCTCCATGACTCCACGCTGCTATTCATCTCTACCTGACGTCACCACTGGGTTGTCCAGAGACAGTCTCCCACAGTACACTGAAGTCTGCGTGCCATCTGTCCCCACGCCCGCTCTGTCCCACATCCTGTCGCTCTCATTTGATGGCAACTGCATCCTCTCAGCTGCTAGGGCCGAAACTCTGGGGTCATCCTGGACTCTTTTTCTATTCAACCTCACCTCCATTCTAACAGCAAATCTTCCTTTCCAGAATCCAAATTCGCCTCCCCAGCTGCTGCCCCCACCCTGGTGTGACACCATCCTTGCCTGCCTGGCCCCACAGTGGTCTCCCATCAGCCCCCTTCCTCCACCCCATTCTTCTAGAGCCTGTTTCCCACCCAGCAGCCAGAGTGGATGCAGATGATTGGCAGCCGATGGCTCAGGACACTCCCCCTACTCAGGGGGTCCCCAGGCCCCTGTCCACGGTCTCTGAGACCTCCTGTTGCCTCCTGGACCCGGGTTACTCCTCCTCTTCTCACTCACTCTGCTCTAGCCCTGCCGGCCAATGGGCTGCTCCCTGGATGCACCAGGCACAGTCCTGAGTTGGGGCCCTTGCTTGAGCTGTTTCCTCTACTGGGGCATTTTCCCCTCTCTGTGTCCCTGTGGCCCACTGCCTTGCCTCTTTCACACACGGACCCCAACATCACCTCTGCCAAGCCCAGCCTGACCACTCTATTCCCTAGAGAGCTGCACCCGCCCTGCACACACCTTTTTTACCCCATCGCCGTCTGCCGTGCTCTGTCGTTTATTTCTCTACGAGCCCCATAGTTGGTGTGTTTCCCTCCCTGGAGAAAGCACACCCCAGGAGGGCTGAGACCTTAGCAGTTCACTGATGTTTTCACGTCTAGGCCCTCACTCGAGTCAGTGCTCAACACACATTTGAGAAGGATCGAGCGGCTGGCTCACTCTAAACCATCTCTGAGAATTGGGACTCCAGGTCCCTGTCATTGCCTTGTCCAGCCCCCTGGAGGGTAGTGGGTGCCCCTCGGGGTCCCCAGTGCTGACCCACCATGCTCCGACTCTGCCCCTCTGACCCGCTTCCCCTCTTCATTTCTAGACCGGCCTTATTGTCGCCTGCTACCACGGCTTTGTGGATACCGTGGTGGCCTTAGCAGAGTGCCCCCACGTTGACGTCAACTGGCAGGACAGCGAGGGGAACACAGCCCTAATCACAGCTGCACAGGCAGGTAAGAGCTGGCTTTCCCCTTTCCTCTCAGAGCCGTGGCCAGAGCACCGCCGCCGGGCAGCCCGGGCTCCCGTTGCGATGCAGTCAGGATGGAAATGATCAGAGACCATGTCCTGCTACCAAGGGGTGCCAGGGAAGGGCTGATTGCTGTGACCACACGCTATGCATTTACCCACTTGTTCAGAATTCAGTATGGGCAGATCAAGCTCCGATACTGCCCAAAGTTTTTGAATATGAATCTGTACCAGAAAGCCACCCTTGTCACCGCTTCACCTGAAGCCTCACACTCCATCCTGCTCCCGAAGACTGGGGGTGGCACGAGGCTGGCAGACCCACCAGTGGAAGAGACACAATCATGTGTCTCAGTGATAGTTAATCATGAAAGTAGACACGTGTAGAAGGTGACTTTGCACTTCACCTGTAGAGTTAAAGAAACGCCAGGAACTGTTTCTGAGAGCTGTTAGAGTATCCGTGTAACAAGCTGAGATGAAGTCAGTGGGAGCATCTTGTGAGCGGGTATCCAAGCATGTGGCCCTCAGCCCATCAGTCATCAAGAAGACAGTGCTTATGTCAATATTGCCAAGTGCATTGCGACTCTCCTGCTTTGGAACTGTATCCAGACATTTTTTTGAGGACAGACATGAAACCTATGCTTGCCTCTTCATAATCACACTTCATTTGGAACAGTGGTCTTGACCAGGTTTATCACTGACCCCTTTCACATTTCTTTGCCTCCAAAGATTCTGTCTGTTTCATCGGTCAAGTTCTCAGTTGCAAGCAAAGAAGCTGCCTGCAGCTGAGCCAGGAAGAACAGGCGCTTGTGTGTTGAAGGAAGGAGGGGAAGCTTACACGGTTGTCGGGTTGTTGAGAATCCCACTCAGGGCCTGGAAACTGGAGGAAGTGCCCCCGACCACACTGTATGTTGATTCTGGTTGGGAAATGGCTGTTGCTGTCACCAAAAGGAGACCTCCTTGTCCCTTGTTGCTTCACAAGCTCCTGGACCAAAGCCACCCTGGGTGGATCTGATGGGTGGGGGGCCAGGGAGGCTGGAAAACCAGTGTTTGACAGTTTCATCCCCTGTGGTGGGAGTGGTCTGGGCACCCTACTTTTCAATCAAGACGAATAGAGTGGGGGAACTCTTCAAACTTAGAAAGGGCCAGGGGCTGTGCTAACATGTGTTCACCTCCTCAGGTTTCGAAGCGTGAGGCATCACTTCCATGGAGGGTTCCAGGCTTTGAAAACCTAGCAAGAGTGTGAAAGGGCTTTGTAAGGCATTCAGTGATTCGTTTCCTCTCGTGGGCCAGCTGCCATGTCAGGGACCAAGGATACAGAAGTGCAGGGCAGCCCCGTCCTTGAGTAATTCTGCAGCTCATGGGACAGAGAAACACACGAAGCCCAGCACCATCTGTCTGCCGGAGCTTGGTGCTGTGGGATGAGAACACTCTATCTAGCCTGAAGTTCATGATAAGGTCTTGCAAGAAGGGGATTTGAGCTGGGGCTGAGAGGGAGCCGGGCAGTTCTCAGGAATGGCGAGTCTTAGGGACAGTGTAGGTGGGCATGGCTGTAGGATGGCGTGTGTCTAGGAGAGATGAGGGAAGGATGGGGACCAGACCATTAAGGGTCTAAGCCCAATGCAAGGGAATGTATTTCAGTAGCGTGAGGCTGCGTGAGTGGTGACAGGGGTGAGAGGATCCCAGGGGCGTAGCAGAGGGCTCAGAGCACAGGGAAGGGCCGGGAGCTGTGTGGCTAGAAACACAGTTGGCGGTGGTGGTGATGCGGGCCATGGAGGAGAGCTGGGGGTCTAGGATGGCTTTGGGCTTTGGGACAGGGGATAACACCAACTGCAAAGGGCATATAAGTAAAAGAAGATGAATGGGAGGAACATTGGTTTTGAGCTGGCTATCATGACTTTGAAATGCTCTGAGACCTCTAAGTAAAGAGGTCTCCATGGCAAGTCAGGAAGAGAAGGAGCTCCAAAATCTGGTCCCTGCTAGAAATACAGATGAGGGACAGGTGTTGCTGGTGAGAGCTGGGACAAGGATTAGGTCATGACAATATGAGAATGTACGATAAGAGGGGATTTCTTTTCTTACTGATCTGCCAGAGCTCTTTGTGCGTTAGAGATAATAGCTGTGCTTTGATACCCATGAGGTGCTTTCCAGAGTCTTGCCTGTTTGCAGGTGTTTTGATTTTATATTCACCCATGATTGTTTCTTCAGAGTCAGGAGCACATCGTATATTTTTGGCAAGAATATGGCATTGGCCATGATATGTCCTTGGTGTGTCCTATCAGGACACATACTGCCAGTGTGTCCTGGTGTGGGTGATGCTAAATTTGACGAACTGCTTACATTTCTCCATTTTAAAGGCAGATATTTCCCCTCTGTAATTAGTAAGTAATCTGCAAGGTGATACTTAGAGATTGTATGAATATCCTGTTTCCCCACCAGTTTTTGCCATTGATAATCCTTTTCTGAATCATTTATTTTACACTTATTATCTGATATTTTTCTATAAAGAAGAGCTTTCCTTTAGCCCCACCCTTTTTTTGGTACCATTACTCATTTTTTAAAAATCTCGTGTGTTCTACTTCAATAACGCCTTTGTTCTTTTCAGTGCTGAAGTTATCCCAAACCCAGCCAGTTGGTAACCCTGAAGATGGCTCCAGTGTCCTTTTGTCATATTTCTGTCAGTTTTGAGTATTTTCTTGATTTATGGCACACCAAAGTGTTCCACATTCTCCCTGGACTTTCCCAGTCCCTGTCTGTAACCAGCTGTATCTTCAAGGAATGATAGTTCTTTTTTTAGTGAGGAATGGTATTTAGAAACCAAAATCTGGACTCTAGCTGTGCTCATTCACACTAAATGTTATTGCTTCTAGGCATTTCAGTGAGCAGAGTTAGAAAAAAAAATATTTAAAAAATAAGGATACCTCCAATCCAAATGCAACACCATAGTATTCCTCCTCTTCACCCTTTCCATATGCTTCCCCCATTCTTTGTCGGCAAGAAACCTGGTTTGCAGCAATCACAATGCATTTACCCATTTTCCTGTCCTACGACAAATGTGCACAAAGTGGTGATACTAAAGGATAATTTTCAAAAGCTTAAAAATTTGACTCTTAGGTGGACAGAAAGTGAAAACTCATTAATTAGTGATGGGCTAGTAATTAGTTAAGGCCAGTTCAAAGGAAATTTGAAGAACAGGCACATAGAGGCAATCACAAATGCTGAAATACATCTGCTAATAGATGCAAAACTGGTTAATATCCTATAAGGCAATAGAATATAATGTTGTGGGTTATCTTTTCTATAAGGTGATGTTATGGACTGAATGTTTATGTCCTCCCCCTCAAATTCATATGTTAAAACCCCAACTCCCAATGTGATGCATTAGAAGGTGGGGATTTGGGGAAGTAATTAAGTTTAGATGAGATCATGAGAGTAGGGCCACCATGATGGGATTAGTGTCCTTATAAGAAGAGGAAGAGACCAGAGCTCGCTCCTTCCCCACCATGTAAGGACACAGTGAGAAGACAGCTGCCTGCAAACAGGAGGAGGAGCCTCCAGAACTGTGAGAAATAAATGTCTATTGTTTAAGCCACCTAGTCTATGGTATTTTGTCATAGCAGCCTGAGCTATAACAGGAAGTAAATTATATCTCTACCAGATACAATGCAATTGCCTTGCTGTGGACAATCAGTTTTACAGCTTAACTTCTAACCTTGTAGAGTTGTGGAGCAGCCTAGGAACTGAATACTGCCAGAGGGTCCCCTGGACAGCACCCAGAACCCCACATCCAGCACCAGCACTTCCCTGGAGGGAAAAGAGACCCAGTCACCTCATTAGCTCAGTTTCCAGCTATGAACAGTTTTTTTTTAACCAAAGAATCAGAAATTAGAATACCACCACTGCTACCAGCATCAGACCTAAGTAAAAGCCCATATTTCTTTGTGGTTGTTTTCTTCCAACATATTCTACCAAAAGTTATTGGTCTTATAGCACCATATTCAAAAACGCGGTTAAATTTTTTTAACTTTATGCAGTCTCTCCAGATTTCAAATTGCTTCCCTTTCCACAAATGCTTATGTTTTTCACTGAGTCAGTGACCTATTGAATTTTTCTAAGAATATGGATTGTTAAAATTTGAAAAATGTTCTTTTGCTTCTTGCAATAAACCAATTTCATTTTTTAAATTGTTTCCTAGGCACTAGACAACCGGGGAGCAATCGATCTATTTCAGATGAAGATGCTGCCCTGAAACCTGTAGCCCAGCCCCTTCTTTTTGAATCTCACTGTCTTTACAGTGATCCAGGGTTGTTTTTTGTTTTTGCTTTATTTTATTTTATTTTTTTTTTTTTCTGGCTTGCTCATTCTTCTGCAGGGACTGTGCTCATCCTTCTCTGGTTTATTTTAAGTCAAGGATGACACAGGTCCTCTTGGAGATTGGAGGGCTCTCTGGCAAAGGAAGAAGGAAAGGGCTCCAGCTGATTTCCATCCAGGCTCAGTGCCCAGCAGCCTGGGGCGTGGTGGGAAGAACTCGGGTCCAGGTGCAGGCCCCGCAGCCACTCCCCTCCTGGGCTGTGTAGTTTTACTTCCAAGTTGAGTGTGGCATGGGAGCCTGTAACAACCAAGGAGCAGCCCCCACCCTTTGCCTGGTGGGACCTCAGGGGGAAGGTGGCCTCGGGAGCTTAGTGCCCTCCCTGGCCTCATGTGCCTGGAGTGTTGAAAAATGGCATCAGTGGGTCTCAAAGCGTCCCCATAGACCACCTCTCCTTTTCTGCCCTTCTATCTGTGGGGCATTGCCGGAATTTTGCAGGGTTCACTGAATTAGGTGTAATACCCCATCCTCCTCATCAACAGAGGCCTGTCCCTGCCATCTTCCTTAAGGAACAGAAATTGGGTGGTGTCCCTCGATGGTTCTAGTCACACTCCTGGCTTCTCTCTGTTGCCTTTGGTCACAGATGGTGTCTTCATCTGCTTAGGCTGTGATAAAGGAAATAAGCAGCTCTCTGGGGCCTCTTTTGTGAGGGCACTAATCCCACCACGAGGACCCCTCCGTCAGGACCTAATCACCTCCGAAAGCCACCTGCTGTAGTGTCATCCTGGAGGCAGGATTTTCGCACAGGAATTTCGGAGGACAGAAACATTCAGACTGTGGCAGGTGGGAAGCTGGATAGGAGGGAAGATTCCTGTGTTCTCAGCTCTCTTGGGAGCTGGCCCACCCAGGGGTAGCCGTGCTGCCAGACAGAGCTGGAGTCCAAGTCAGGTAGCAGGATCGGGTGGCCGGGGTATGTACCAGGGTCTGGGCTATCCTGAGGGCAGCATCACAGCTGGAAACCTGCCTGGGTGGACAGGAGGAGGCGGGCAGAGGCCTCAGCCATTATCCTGCTTCCTCCACTTGGCCTGGCTGATGTTCTTGGAGGCTGATTTTAAAATACAATACACAGTGTTTGGGGGGAAAATGACCCCACATGAGCAAGGAAATTAGAGGTGAATACCTCTTCCACCTCACTGTCAGCCCTCTCTTCAGTCTGCTCTCTGGAGATAACTGTTGTTAATGATTTGATGCCTAGATGGGTTTACTCTGCCTTTTCAATTTAAATAAAATCATTATTATAATGTATTTTTTCTTTACTTCTTGTTTTCTTTCGTTCTTTCTTTCTTTTCTTTTTTTTTTTTTTTTTGAGTCTGAGTCTTGCTCTATCGCCCAGGCTGGGGTGCAGTGGCACAATCTCAGCTCTCTACAACCTCTGCTTCCCAGGTTCAAGCGATTCTCTTGCCTCAGCCTCCCGAGTAGCTGAGATTATAGGCGCCAGTCACCGTGCCCAGCTACTTCTTGTATTTTCAGCAGAGGCGGGGTTTCACCATGTAGGCCAGACTGGTTTTGAACTCCTGACCTCAAGTGATCCGCCCACCTTGGCCTCCCAAAGTGCTGGAATTACAGGCGTGAGCCGCCGGGCCTGGCCTTTTTTTTCTTTTTTACTGGCTTTTGTTATCTTCCCCTACTTACTGATTTGCTTGAGCTCTCTGTGGCCGCCACTGTGTGCACCCACCCTCTGGCCTGGGCTCTGATCCCTGGACACCCAACCTAGGCTGCTGCCTGAGGCTTTGGGACTGAATTGTTGAGGTTGCATACGGAGGCAGAGGGGAGAGGGACTTTACACCATTTAAACAAACACAGATTAAAAAGCTTCCTTGTGTGTGTCTTAATTGCCTCAATGTGCCGAAGAGATTTTCCCTAATTTCTTTCTGAACCTCCAGGGGCTGCCCCTGTCCCCATGGGCATAGTTTCCTTAGACACTGGCTCCCAATCTTGCGCCTCCGGCGTCAGCATCACCTGGGCTGGCTCATGTGAGCATTAACACAGATCTGGTGGAAACACAGACTGCCAGGCCCTGCCCCTGGAGTCTTTCTTTGAATAGGCCTGGGGTGGGGCCCAAGAATGAGCAGATCAACAGGTTTCCTGGTGAGGCTGATGCCACTGGCCCAGGGACCCCACATTGAGGATGGAGAGCTTTGAAGATTTTATGCCTGATGACGGCAAAGGACCCCTCTCAGTGGGCACTGAAGACCAGCAGAGTCACAGACCCCACGAGAGATGTTGTCAGACAGACACAGAGGCATCACGGAATTAAAGTGAAAATGAGGAAGGCAGGTGAGCATGTGTTCATGACTTTCCTGTGCTGTTTTGCCAAAGAGGCTGTTTAGGCCCAATCAGGTGATGTCCCATTTTAATCAATTTCATAACCAGTTTTATTTCTTTGATGATTTGTTAATTTCAAAAGCTGTCCATGCATATTTGCTTACAGCCAAAAATGACTACAAAAGTATTATCAGGGAGGAAGAAAAAGATCCCTTCTCTGTCTTCCAAATATTCCAGCTCCCTTATCAGCACTCAGGAGTCACCTCTTCAGACCTCATTCAGTCCTTTCCAAACACACACGTATGTATGTGCGCTTTGTATTCACATGACTGGGCTAGTGCTGTTGAGACTGTGTTTTTAGTGGTTTTGTTCACATGGTTATTAATCTAGAAGCTCCTGCTGTGTCGGTGTCCCTGAGCCCTGCCAGGCGCTCGTAGCCCTGCCTTCCTGCACGGGGATGTGTGGCTCATGCCCGGTTCCCCACCAAGACTTCAAATTTGAGAGGCTGCGTTATGACTGGCCTTCACTCACTGTGGTGGACCCGGCTCTTAGGCCAGTCCTTGAACATGAAGTACTTGCTTCTTAAATATTTGTTGGAAAAGAGGATATTGTGTAAAATGCATGAACCGTGGTATACTTAACTGTCCCAGTTACTGGACAGGTGGGCTTTTGAGTTAATCAACGGCAGCAAGGCTGTAGTGAAGTCTTTGGATCTGGGGTGCATCTCTGAGGACAGCGTGTTAGGATCCTGGCAGCTTGAAGCATGTTGAGTGACAGGTGGTCTCAGAGGGCTGAACAGAGGAGTTGATGAGGGCCTGTCAATTACGGGGGGAAGGGTAGAGTTAAGGGAACCAACATTGAAAGGATTAAGGGGAGGGACTCTGCAGAGAGTGACCCAGGCCAAGAAGCTGGAACCCGAGAGGCAGCCTCGGCCTAGAACCCGAGTGACACAGGCCAAGAAGCTGGAACCCGAGAGGCAGCCTCGGCCTAGAACCGCAGCCAGGGGCCGGAGTGGGAGGCAGGGCCAGATGTCCCGCTCCTTCCACCCTGGTCCCCTGCTGAGCCAACCCAGAAACCTCATTGGGGCGGAAACTGGGCAGGTGCTGTTGGTGCAGGTCAGCTTCCTAGGCCGAAAGCAGGGCAAGGAAGAGGAGAAGCAATGTGCAGACACACTCTTAGAACAGAATTGCTTCAGCAAGGGCTGTGCCTGTTTTAAGTGTATGCAGCTGCCAAGTGGTCTTTAGAAAGCTGTGGCGATTTCTCCTTTCCCCTGAGTGTCCAAGAGTGTTCTTGCAAGCCCTGGCTGAGATCAGTCTTTTCAGTATTTCCCTACTCAAATGAACCAAAACTCTGGTTTTCAGTTGTATTTCCCCAGCTCTCTTTTGAGCCTAGTACCTGTTAGGATGCTTTTGGCTTCAACCACAAGGACACTGCCTTCTCTTGCAACACAAGACATCTGCGGGCGATGTTGCAGGGTTGCTTCACTGAGTAGCTGGGTGATGCTGGGACCTAGAGCCACTTCTCAGAAATACATTCGCCTTTTCCTTCATGGTCCCAAGGTGGCCCCAGCTGCTAGAAGTGCCACGGCTTCACGTTGCAACACTCAGGGACATCAAGGAAGAGGAGCAAATCCCTGTCGGCGTTTCCCTTTATAAGACAGGAAAACATTTCCAGAAGGCTCCAGCAGAGTATCGTTGCCATCTCACCAACCAGGGTTGCGTCACAAGCCCGTGCCAAACCAGTGATGGAGGATGGCTTGTGTAGACAGCAGTCGCACTAAGCAGAATCAGCATTGTGAAGCGCAATCTTAAAGCAACCATATGTTTATATTATTTGCTATGGCAACTGGGTTGGTTGTCTGAGAGTTGGAAGCTCTGGGTTTCTGGAGGACACAGCATTTATGAGTACGAATTCGGATGCAAATGCCTTCATCTGCCTTTTGAGTGTTCTCTAAAAAGTCTAATTTCCTCGGCTATTTAATGCACAATAAAAATACAGCCAAATCTGTACTAGGTCTGTAAATGGAGAGAACGTTTGAAAATAAATCCCCATGTAATCCCTAAGTCTCATTTAGCCAGTCATTTCAACTTTCACCACCGCTCCACTAACAAAAATAAAATAAGATAACCAAAGAAAGGAACAAGAAGTCCCATGGATAGAGTTGTGTGTTTATTTCTGTTTCCTTGTTGTGCTTTAACAGAATAGCATGGACGTGGTAAAGTGAGGAAACGCCAGGGGTCTCTTTGAGCTGGTGATGGGATACAGCACGTGAAGCTTGTTTTGGGTATAAGGAACCTCTGATGTGTGCTTGCAACTTGTTATTTCTTGCATTTAATTGTAAAATTCTGAGGCTACGTGCTGAGAGCCAGCCTGGCAGGATGCTGCCCGGGGACGGGGACAGAACGGGAGGGATTCTCAGGGGCAGCTGTGGGTTTGGGCTGCGGGGGAGCCCTGGTTCCTGAGCTGAATCGGGGAGAGTCCCAGTTCAGAGGAGAATTTATGACTTGGTCAGAACCCAGGAACAATGCCTCTTCATGTTATTTATCTTATTTTATTAGCAGTGCACACGATCACGATCTTAGTGTGATCTCATTGTGATGTTCATGTTGTTTTGAAGTGCTTCCTTTTTTCTCAGTTTATACCGTTTCAAATAAGAGAGTAGAACTTGGTGAGTCTCGGTTTCCCAGCGTTGCCTTATCTTTTCCTGTGAGCTTTTCTGAGCTCTTCTGATTGGCCATGGCAGCGCCACACCCCTGCCCGCTGGCCAGCCAGGAGGGCTCCTCAGCCAGCTTGGGGCTTGCCTGGCTCCTCCTTCAGACCCCTGCCTGCCCTGCAAAGAGCAGGGATGCTGCCCTCCCCTACTAACCCTGCCCCTCCATCTGCATGGTAAATGCCTTATGCTAAGAATTCCTGGAGTCTGTTCATGCCGCGTGGCTGGTATGATGTCATATTTCCAAAGCCGACAGCTCCCTCTACTGGCCTGGTCTGGAGAACTGCAGTTTGAGTGCCTTGAGTCAGTCAATCTTAGACAACCCAATTCTGTAACATTTTCCAATTTTTAGAGCAGTTTGTGTTTATTGCCTGTTTTTTTTAGATGGAGTTTTGCTCTTGTTGCCCAGGCTGGAGTGCAATGATGTGATCTTGGCTCACTGCAATCTCCGCCTCCCGGGTTCAAGTGATTCTCCTGCCTCAGCCTCCTGAGTAGCTGGGATTACAGGTGCCTGCCACTACGCCCAGCCAATTTTTTGTATTTTTAGTAGAGACGGGGTTTCACCATGTTGGCCAGGCTGGTATCGAACTCCTGATCTCAGGTCATCCACCCACTTCGGCCTCCCAAAGTGCTGGGATTACAGGCGTGAACCATTGCGCTCGGCCAGCCCAGCTAATTTTTATTTTTTGAGATGGGATCTTGCCATGTTGCCCAGGCTTGTATCTAACTCCTAAGCTCAAGTGATCCTCTAGCCTCAGCCTCCCTGGCCTCTTCGGGCCTTGGCCTCTCTGCTGGGATTACAGGCACGAGCCACCTTGCCCACCCTGATACTTTCAATAAATAAACTTTTCCCAAAGGAGTGGTAGGAATGTTTCAGCCTTTTCATCTAATGCATATTTATTGAGCACCCCAGAGCATGCAGTCAGTTGGAAGTTTTAAGCATGTGAGCTGGGTAACGAGGGCTGTGGCGGCTGTGGGAACCCATATATGCATGGGAACGTGGACGATGAGACACCGTGGGTCAAGGGGCACCAGGGAAGACCTGGAGTTGGAAGGGATGGCTCATCAGGTCACCAAGTAAAAAGAGGAGGCAGAATATTCCAGGTAGAGGGACTCCTTGTGCAGAGGCCACTAGATTAGAGGAAGTGTGGCTCATGAGTGAATTACACGGAATGCTGGCTGTTTGACCATAAAGTGGATTGGGAGGGCATTGGCGGTGAGAGCTGAGGGTGAAGAGGTAAAAACCAGCTCATTGAAGAGTTGAGACCTCATCTAAAGAGCAGAGCCCATGGAGAGTTTCGGATGAGTAGTGGGGATGGTCAGAGGCCCCTGTTGGTGTCACCGTGCTGCTGGTGTGGAGAATGAATGGGGGCAGAAGTGGGACAAAGGAGGCTAGTCAGGACAGGAGCTGTGGCCCCATGGGGACGTGGTAGCCCAGGTCAGGGATGGAGAAACAAAGACAGTTTTAGGAAATTTAAACTTTTTTTTGTAGAGATGAGGTCTTGCCATGCTGCCTATGCTGGTCTCAAATTCCCGTGCTCAAGTGATGTCAGAGGTGCAGTTGGCAGAATGTGGTGATTGCTTGGGTGAGGGAGGATGTGGAGGGCTTGAGACTGAGTCCAGCCGTCTGGCTTGGGTGATGGGGTGACTGGTGGTGTTCATCACTGAATAAGGGATGTGGGAGAGGAGTAGCTTCGGAGGAAAGATGTTTTGGGTTTGATGCATTGAGTTTGTAGGATACCCATGATGAAATACTCAGTAGACAGATACTCAGGTAAAAAACTGAAGAAAAGAGATAGAACTGGAAAGAGTTGATGTGGAAGCTTTAGAGCTGAAACTTGGATCCACAGGAGTGTATAGGATCACCAAAGGAGAGTGTATGAGATAAGGAGGGGGCTTAGCAGGCAGCTGAGGAACAGCAGCATTTCAGGAAGGAGAGAACAGGAGCTCAGAATGTTGAGAGGGCGGAAAATCAGAAGGGTGAGCATCTGCATGTCCATGGAAAGAGCGTGTTTCAGAAAGGATGAAAGAGAGGAGTGAGTGGGAAATGCTGGGGAGATGTTGAATGTGATGAGAACTGACAAATCACCACTGAGTCTCATTGTAAGAAGGTCACTGGGGACTGCTGGGGGTGGTTTCAGCAAAGTCAGAGAGTGTCATTAGCAACAGTGAGAGTAGATGGATCTGGAATTGGACTGAAGCGGAGTTGAATGGTTGATGGAGGGTGGCGGGAACATGAAGACGGCCCACAGGGGTTGCTGTGAGTCACATATGCTTTTAAGATGAGAGACCCTTGAGCATGCATGTCAGCTAGTTATTGCTGTGTAACAAACAACTCCCATGCTCTGGGATGTTTTTATTGCTTATGCATCTGTGGATGGGCTGGGGATCTGTTGATCTAAACTGTCCTTGCTCAAGTCTGTGGGCAAGTCGGGGACCTGTTCTTGGGCACTTCGGCTGGGGCAGCTCTGCTGCATGCATTACTCATCCTCTTCCTGGGAGCAGCGAGCCAGCCTGGGCATGCTCTTCTTGGGGAGACAGCTGAGGCACAAACATGCATGAAAGTCTGGATAAGTACATTTCAACCTTCTGCTTCCATCACGCCTGCAAACATCCCATCGGCCAAGGTTCCACTAGACAGAGAACTGGGAAGTCACTTAACAAAGGGCAGTGTGAAGAAGATGGGCCATTAGTGCATTGTAGGAACTAAGGGCCTTCTGAAGGTTCACTAAAATCAACTTGCAAAAGGCAGGTGAATAAGAGAAGAGGCATACAAAAGAGGCCATGTTCCCATAACATGCGTACATGGGAGCCTTCGGAATGAAAACCCAAAAATGCAGGAGGAATTTTCCATTTTTCTGCTTAGGTTCAACAAAGTGTGGACAGTTATGTAGAAATATAGTTGGACAGGCCAGGCACGGTGGCTCATGCCTAGAATCCCAGCACTTTGGGAGGCTGAGGCAGGAGAATGGCTTGAACCCAGGAGGCTGAGGTTGCAGTGAGCCAAGGTCGCGCCACTGCACTCCAGCCTAGGTGACAGAGTGAGACTGTGTCAAAAAAAAAAAAAAAAGAAGAAGAAATATAATGCTAATAAATAGACTGAGTGGGGAAACCCCACAGGCCTGCCTGTCTCCTCGATTCTTCTAGGTTTCTCTGAGCAGCACTTCTTCCTTCTGGGAGTGACTCTCCCTGGAACAGGGGTCTTATGACCTACAGTCGGACATGGCAAGTCAGATAATTTCTTTATGTTAGGGCAGTATTTTTAGGTTTTAGGGAACCTTTAGGCTGGCCTTAGGGAAAAGGGGTTCTGGTTTCAAAGATCTGCCTTGGGGAAGAGGGATTCCAGTTTGGATGGCTGGCCTCAGGGAAGAAGGGACTGAGACATGGGAGGGCAGGAGGGCAGAGAGAAACCTTTGCTTCTGAGGCCTTCACTGTGGGGTATTGCTTTCTGAGCCCCAACAGCATTCTGAGGGAAGTGGGTCTGCAAGGAATGAGAGGTTGATGAGAAACAGGAGGGATCTGATAAATATTCCACAGCAGTGGGCAGGGAGTGGCTGTCAAGCACAGGAGGGGAGGAGCAGGGATAAGCCTCCTTCAGCAAGAGGAGAATCCCCTGCGTTTTCAATAGGAAAAGTGAACTGAGGATTGACGAGGTTCATAAACTTGGAAAGAAGAGCTTTCTTCTCATAAAGGGTTGCAGCCTGCAGGGTGGCTATTGTGGCAGGGAAGCAGCGCCTCTGGCCAGAAGCCAGAAACAGACCCTTCCAGGGGCAGAAGAACAAGACAGAAGAACAATGCATGCTGAAGGAGGTGGCTCAATACACATATTCCATAAGCTATGGGAGAAGCATTGAATATCGATGAGAGGAGAAACACGCAAGTGTGCAATCGAGCTCCGTGCCTCTCCCTGGGACCTGTGTTCAAAAAGCAACAGCGTTAGCATGATCTGAGGGTGGAGTTTTCAGGCCCTGACCTCAAAAGGTGAAGCAGAGGACATGAAAACCCTCACTGCGCGTCCTCTGTGGACCTGCCGGACGCACTCCAAAGCCATGGCCAGTGTCTCTCATGAGGACGGAATGCTGGTCGGTTGTTTCATCCAAATTGCAGAACGGCGGGGCAGCATCAGGCGGTTGGTTTATATCAGTGGAGGAGTCTTTAGAACGGGCTGGTTTCTGTTTAGACTTAGGAAAGAAAGCCTCACGGTTAGCAAGGAATGGGTATAACGAGGCGCATTGCCCTTCCATCCTGTCATAGCCAGGACTCAGTTTTCAAGGGTTCTCTGGGGTCCCCTTGGGCAGGAGGGGGTCGGTTCAGTCCGTTGGATGGCTCAGGATTTCACTTTTCCTTCTCGGAGGCCCGTGAATGTGGGCAGCGTGGGGGGCGATGGGGGAAAGCCGAGGGACTTCCCTTCTGGTGGTTTCTGTTCCCTCTATGAACTTGAAGATGAGTCATCCAGGAGAGGGGTTTGCGTGAGGTCGGTGACTTCCATGTGAAAAATTTAACATTTTCCCCATGGGGCCTGGGGAAGAGTCAACCGGGAAGCACAGGAGCACTGCTGGGGCAGGCTGAGAAGCCGGTCGGGCCCGGGTGGCGTGGGTGTCCACCTCTTTGTGTCCCCCAACGAAGGCACCTTCGCATCCATGCAGAGCGGAACCAGGGGTGTGGCGGGGCCAGGCGTCATTTCCAGCTTTCCTCTTTTGCATACCACAGACCTGTCCATCCACTCATTTAGGAGCTCTCTGAATCAAGCACTCCTCTCCCTCCTCCTGCCCGGGGTTGGGGGCTGGGCTCCATCTCTGCCTCCTGAATGCTCCCGTGGCTTCCTGGTGAGCTCCCCACCACTGGGAGAGCCTCAGGTCCAGGGTGGAGAGGCCCCACACCAGGCCGCACAGCCAGCTGTGAATCATGGTCCTGACCTTGCACTCTTTTTGAACGGCTCTATGCTAGTTTCCCCTTTTTTATTTTTATTTTTATTTATGTATTTATTTTGAGACAGTGTCTTGCTCTGTTGCCCAGGCTGGAGTACAGTGGCATGATCTCTGCTCACTGCAACCTCCTCCTCCTGGTTTCAAGTGATTCTCCTGCCTCAGCCTCCCGAGTAGCTGGGATTACAGGCACCCGCCACCACTCCCAGCTAATTTTTCTATTTTTAGTAGAGATGGGGTTTCCCCATGTTGGCCAGGCTGGTCTTGAACTCCTGACCTCAGGTGATCCACCCCCCTCAGCCTCCCAAAGTGCTAGGATTACAGGCGTGAGCCACCATGCCCAGCCAGTTCTCCTCTTTTTTTTTTTTTTTTTCTTTTTGAGATGGGGTCTTGCTCTGTCACCAGGCTGGAGTGCAGTGATGCAATCTTGGCTCACCGCAACCTCCACCTCCTGGGTTCAAGCAATTCTCCTGCCTCAGCCTCCGGAGTAACTGGGACTACAGGTGCACGCCACCACGCCCAGCTAATTTTTATATTTTTAGTAGAGATGGGGTTTCACCATGTTGGCCAGGACGGTGTGATCTCTTGGCCACGTGATCCACCCGCCTCGGCCTCCCAGAGTGCTGGGATTACAGGCGTGCGCCACTGCGCCAAGCCTATCTCCTCTTTTTTTAAAATAAACTTTTGATTTGAGAATAGTTTATGTTTACAGAGAAACCACAAACACTGTACAGAGAATGCCTGTGTGCCTCACACTGGTTCCCTCTGTTGTTAAGATCTGACGTCCGTGACGCGCTGAACACAATGAATGGACGCGTGTCAATTCACCATTATTAACTGAAGTCCGTTCTTTATTCGGATTTCCTCAGCGTTTCCCGGATTTCCTTTTTCTGTTGCAGGATCGCATGTGGCATTTAGCACTCATGGCTCCTCAGGCTCCTCTTGGCTGTGAGCTTCTCAGACTTCTCTTGTTTTTCATGACCTCGACAGTTTTGAGGAGGACTGGTCAGGTACATTGCAGAATGTTCCTTAATTTGGACGTGCCTGATGCTTTTCTTGTGATGAGACTGGAGTTATGAGTTTTTGGAGGAAGACGCCCGATAAAGGGCTGATGGGCCTTGGTCACCTGGCTGAGGTCATGTTAGCAGATTTCTCCACTGTGAGGTTCTCTCCCTCCTCCCCCGTTTCCGTGTAATAGTCTTTCACAGGAAGTCAGTGCACGCAGCCCGCGGGTTAAGGAGGGGGGAACACGTTCTAGCCCCTTGAGAGTGGAGTGCCTGCCTGGATTATTCAGAATTTTTCTTCCAGATTTTTCTATTCTGCTGGGCACCTTTTACACACAGATTGTCTCCTATAATTTTCACAAATGGGAGGTTGATATTATCCCTCATTTTACAGATATGGAAAAGCTGACTTCCAAAAGACACCCGGATTCTGAGTGGCAGGCCTGGGCCTTGAACCTGGCTGTTCTCAGAGCCAGCTCTCTTCAGTACTGAGCTCATTGTCTACACTATGTTCCAGTGACGCGATTTCATTCAAATTCACTTCCTCCCTGGGTCACTTGTGACCCTCTCTTAAGCAGGGTAGGGCTTATTGGTGGAGAGGGGGTGTTCTGGGGTTCTCTAGGTGAACCTACCCTTTAAAAGGGCTTCTCTGAGGATTTCAGGAACCAAGTCCGATTCCATAATGTCCAAGTTGGACTGGGCTCAAACTAGATTTTTTTCTTTTTTTTTTTTGAGACAGGGTCTCACTCTGTCGTCCAGGCTGGAGTTCAGTGGTGTGATCTTAGCTCACTGCAACCTCCACCTCCTGGGTTCAAGCAATGCTCCTGCCTCAACCTCCTGAGTAGCTGAGAATATAGGCATGCACCAGCACACCCAGCTAATTTTTGTATTTTTAGTAGAGACAGGCACTATGTTGCCCAGGCCGGTCTTGAACTCCTGGCCTCAAGTGATCTGCCTGCCTTGGCCTCCCAAAGTGCTGGGATTACAGGAGTGAGCCACTGCACCTGGCCTCAAACTAGATTTCAATATGGCGTGTGTTTGGGTTCCCTTGTGCAAGGAAGGCTGTGTGTCTCATATATGTAAAGAAAAGGAAAGCTCCTTTTGGTTACTCATCATGGTTTTTAAAGAAGAAAGGTTAATACTTATACATTCTTAGAAGTATTGGGTCCACCTTTGATTTCCATTGAATGGGGTCATCTGTGTGATGAGAGGTATTATTCTGCCATCCTGGGAAAACCCGTGGGAAGCAGGGCGTGATTTCTTGGATCATCGAAAGCTCAGGCCTGTAGTCAGAACAAGTTGACTGCATGTTGGTTTTTCTGGACTCAACATAATACGCAGAACAGATCTATATAATGGGTGGTTTGCTCTGTGGACTTTGAGTTTTTCCTCTTTCCACCTGTTCAAAGTGCTGAGGATATATCAGTGCAAAGGAACATCCTGCAGAAGATTGTGACGGACACGCTATTTCACAGTTTAAAGAAATGGCTCCAAAGGAATTGCAATTCATTTTACTATGCCCCTGGTTAAATCTAACTGACAGGTGCCGCCAAGCATTTAACTGGACCATAAACCAAACTGAGATCAAAGGATTCCCCCACCTTCCCATACCACCCAGTTGAGAGTAATTCAGCAGCTCTGGGTACCTGACAGCTGGCCTTAGCCCCTCCCCGCACATAGTAAAGGACGAGGGAGAGCAATGTGGTGTAAATGAGTCAAAAAAGCACCAGCGACTGGCTGTGAGTCACGCAGCGAGGGGATCGTACCCTTTGTTTCCTGCTTATAACCTGAACACTGTTAGACTCATCAGGGCTTCCTTTTCAAAAAGATACATGGTTCCCCTTTTCACATTTGTGGAGAGCTCAGGAGATGGGCTGAGGTCAATGGCGAGCTTGCTCCTCAGGAGAGTTCACCCCTGATTTTGGTTGCCTGTTCCTTCTTCTTTTGGATTGATGAAGAGCAAACCCACAGGATTTCATACTGGTGAGGCAGCAGCCTGGAGTGGCCCTCAAAGGAGGAAACTGGGTTCCAACCCCGGCAGTACTATCCCTCAGGGTGTGGCTGGGGAGACAGAAGCCACTTGATATATCGGAGGGTTTCATATTGGATTTGCTGAACTGAAGGGGCTAGGGGAGCAGAGGCCAAGGGCGCCCAGCCCTGCCTACTGGAGATCTCAGCCGCAGCGGGGAATCCTGGAGGCTGCTGCAGCGTCATGCTCACGTAGTATTCTGTCTGCAGAGGTGGGCTGGGCTGGGGAGGCACCTCAGGTCTCATGCCTGCCCGACCCCAGAGTGATGTCCTTGCCACCTCTCTCCCATCCCAAATCTCAGGCAGTGCCACCCATTGGAAGTTTCTGTGCAAACCAGATGCCTGTGGAGATTCTGGGCCCAGGGCCCGGCTTCTCCATGATTCAGGTGTTCCTGGGGGGAGGGAGGTGATGCCAAGTTAAGGAGAGAGTGCATAGAAATGTCCACGAGGCCCCTGCAGCTGCGACAGTGGGGGCTGAAAGGAACATGCTTGAGTTGGAATGAATAAGTGGGGATTTCTGAGCACTGCGTCATCGGTGCATAAGAATGGGGACTGTGGCCAGACACAGTGGCTCACACCTGGAATCCCAGCACTTTGGGAGGCTGAGGCAGGAGAACTGCTTGAATGCAGGAGTTTGAGACCAGCCTCGGCAACGTTGGGAGATCCCATCTCTACAAAAAAAAATTTTTTTTAATTAGCTGGGCATGATGATGCTCGCCTGTGAGCCCAGCTACTTGGGAGGCTGAGGAGGGAGGATCTCTTGAGCCCAGGAGGTCCACACTACAGTGAGCTATGATCGTGCTCCTGCACTCCAGTGTGAGTGACAAAGAGAGACTCCATCTCTTAAATAAACAAAAAGGATGGGAACTGGGTACCCAGCACCTCCCCTGGGGTTCAGGAGGAGAGACTCGGGCAGATTGCTCATATTCCCAAGAGTTTCAGACCTCATCAGCAGGGGCCTGGATGGAGGTGGCAGCTCAGGGGAGGGTGCAGCAGAGGGAGAGAGGAAGGAAGCTCTTTCCACCAGGTGTGGTTGGTCACGAAGGAGTGAAGTCTGAGCTTCGGGGACAGTGGTTCTCACCTGGGGTGTTCTTGCCCCACCGATGGCGGTTTGGTGGTGTCTGGACACAGTTTTGGTTGTCACAACCTATGCGGGAGTGGGGGTGGTTGCTACTGGCATCTATCGGGTAGAGACCAGGGATCTGCCTAGTGTCCTGCAGTGCACAGGGCAGTCCCCACAACCAAGAGTCATGCGGCCCCCTGTGCCGACTGTGCCAAGGCTGGGACGGACCCTGCTCCAGGACACTGAAGTGGGGGAGGGGGAGATGTATTCACACAAGGACTTATGAGCTAGCCGGCATCAGGTGGCATGGACAGTTGACCCAAGAGGATGCTCTCCCACTCCATTTTGGTTTTCCATGGGAGAATCCTGGAAACAGCACTGTTGCTGTGACATTCTCCTTATTCACCATTAACTGAGAGCACCATGGGCGTGCCTGGGAATGAGCAGAAAGTTAGATCCTTTTTGGAGGTGCAAGGTGAGAAAGGGGAGAAATCTGTGTTCTCTGAGACATCTCCTTACCTGCTTTGCTTTATAGCTGAGGGCCTTGCCTGCGACACTCTGTGGGATGTGTGTGGGCGTAGGTAGTTAGACACACACACACACACACACACACACACACACACACACGGCGGCGGGGGGAGGGGTGGTGGTGGGTAAGGGTGGAGAGAGAGACTCCTGCTTCTGGGTGGGAACAGGGTGCCAGCGTGAATTGGCACTGTCCTATTGCTATGATGATGACTTTTTCCTCCCTGCAGCTCTGGAGCACTTGGAAGCGGTTCTGAAGCTCATTTGCAGCTTTGCATCTGTTTGCACGGGCGTCTCCTGCTGGGAGTTGAGGCTTCCTGCCCTCATTGGCTGTCTGAGGCTGCGCTCCCTACCTGCCCGCAGCGTCCCTGCCCCCCACATCCACCCCCAGTAGTGTAATGGGACAGCTCCTCCCTCGAGTGCTTTGCCGAAGGGGACCTGCAAGAACCCAAAACAGCAGCGCTGCAGCCAGGGCGGTGCCTTCTCCTTTCCTCTGTTTCCTGGGCTCCAGGAGAATTCTGTCTTGGGGTCCGAGAAAAACTCACACAGCAGACCGGCTGGCCCAGGGCTGACTCAGTGTTTCTTTCTCTCTCTAGGAAGGCCTGGCTGGAACCAGCACATTTTGTGGAAGTGGGAACCAATACACGTGTACACTTCTCTTTACAGGGCACGCTATCATCACTAACTACTTGTTGAACTATTTCCCTGGTCTTGACCTTGAAAGGAGGAACGCGTTCGGGTTCACCGCCCTGATGAAAGCCGCCATGCAGGGTCGAACGGACTGCATCCGAGCCCTGATGCTAGCAGGTATGTCCACCTGTCCTGTGCAGCTTCCAGGGGCCCTGGGACACCAGAGTTGCTCCTTTATGGAATATGTTTTGAGATTAATCACTCCCATAGAAACAATGCCTAGTTGCTGCAATAAATAATAGTTTCTTCACTGACATATACTTCTGTAACTATCTGAGGTTTTAAAAAAGCCACAGCATTGGTTCCCTTCAGGACACCCCTTTCTGCTCCCTGCTGAGCTTTGCAGTGGGTGGCACCTTCCCTCACCTGCTGTTTTCCTCCTGCCCACCCGTTCTACACCCCAAGTCCTGTCCATATCTGTTCCTCCTCAGAAAGGGGTGATCCCTTGGCTGTAAATGGCAAGACTGTGCTGTTGAAGGTGGGCGTAGGGATGGTGGGAACGGCCCAGGCCATCCTAGGTCACTGCTTGCTGGTGGGTGGCATTGCATAGTAACGTTAGGAGGTGATGTGGAGTTGCATGTTAATGTTGGGATGTGATGTGGAGTTGCATGGTAACGTTGGGAGGTGACGTGGAGTTGCATGGTGACGTTAGGAGGTGACGTGTTGCATGGTAACGTTAGAAGGCGATGTGGAGTTGCTTGTTAACGTTAGGAGGCGACATGTTGCACGGTAGCATTAGGAAGTAACATGGAGTTGCAGGGTAATGTTAGGAGGTGATCCGGAGTTACATGGTAACATTAAGAGGCAATGTGGAGTTGCATGGTAATGTTAGCGGGTGACGTGGAGTTGTGTGGTAATGTTAGCGGGTGACGCGGAGTTGCGCGGCGATATTAGCGGGTGACGCGGAGTTGCACGGCGATGTTAGCGGGTGACGCGGAGTTGCGCGGCGATGTTAGGCGGTGACGCGGAGTTGCGCGGCGATGTTAGCGGGTGACGCGGAGTTGCGCGGCGATGTTAGCGGGTGACGCGGAGTTGCGCGGCGATGTTAGGCGGTGACGCGGAGTTGCGCGGCGATGTTAGCGGGTGACGCGGAGTTGCGCGGCGATGTTAGCGGGTGACGCGGCGTTGCGCGGCGATGTTAGGCGGTGACGTGGAGTTGCGCGGCGATGTTAGCGGGTGACGTGGGGTTGCGCGGCGATGTTAGGCGGTGACGTGGAGTTGCGCGGCGATGTTAGCGGGTGACGCGGAGTTGCGCGGCGATGTTAGCGGGTGACGTGGGGTTGCGCGGCGATGTTAGGCGGTGACGCGGAGTTGCGCGGCGATGTTAGCGGGTGACGCGGAGTTGCGCGGCGATGTTAGCGGGTGACGCGGGGTTGCGCGGCGATGTTAGGCGGTGACGCGGAGTTGCGCGGCGATGTTAGCGGGTGACGCGGAGTTGCGCGGCGATGTTAGCGGGTGACGCGGCGTTGCGCGGCGATGTTAGGCGGTGACGTGGAGTTGCGCGGCGATGTTAGGCGGTGACGTGGAGTTGCGCGGCGATGTTAGCGGGTGACGCGGAGTTGCGCGGCGATGTTAGCGGGTGACGCGGAGTTGCGCGGCGATGTTAGCGGGTGACGTGGGGTTGCGCGGCGATGTTAGGCGGTGACGCGGAGTTGCGCGGCGATGTTAGCGGGTGACGCGGAGTTGCGCGGCGATGTTAGCGGGTGACGTGGGGTTGCGCGGCGATGTTAGGCGGTGACGCGGAGTTGCGCGGCGATGTTAGCGGGTGACGCGGAGTTGCGCGGCGATGTTAGCGGGTGACGCGGCGTTGCGCGGCGATGTTAGGCGGTGACGTGGAGTTGTGCGGCGATGTTAGCGGGTGACGTGGGGTTGCGCGGCGATGTTAGGCGGTGACGTGGAGTTGCGCGGTGATGTTAGCGGGTGACGCGGAGTTGCGCGGCGATGTTAGCGGGTGACGTGGAGTTGCGCGGCGATGTTAGCGGGTGACGTGGAGTTGCACGGTGATGTTAGGCGGTGACGTGGAGTTGCGTGGTAATGTTAGCGGGTGACGTGGAGTTGCGCGGTGATGTTAGCGGGTGACGTGGAGTTGTGTGGTGATGTTAGCGGGTGATGTGGAGTTGCGTGGTAATGTTAGGAGGCAACGTGGTATTGCATGGTGATGTGTGTGGCAATTTCCGTTTTCTATGCTGTGTCATAGAGTGGAAAATTCTCAGGCTATCAACCTGGATCAACCCCTCTTTGTCTTTTGCGCCATCTTGGAGAACGCACTTTCCTGTTCCCATCTGTGAAATGGGAGTAATGACCTCTTTCTCCCTCACCTCCCTGAGGCTAAAATGCAACAATACTTTATACACTCCTAGAGGCTATCCAGCTTCAATGAGCTACTAAGCTAAATGCCACACAACTAATAGCTTTAACTCTTTTCTTCACTCTGAAATAGAATCAATGATCATCCTTCGTGCAACCTCATCGGGTTATTTTGAGAATTAAATGAGAAAATATGTGTCAAGCACATGTCGTGTTAGATTCAGTTAGCAGCTGACATCTCAGTGAATGTGCGATGCTGCTTTCACCATTACTTAATTCTGTTATTTTAATTTCTCTTTATTTTTGTTCTTGGCACTGGGTTCAGCCAGTCCTGCTTGGCGCTGCAAGTTCCTGAAGAAGTGGATTTCCTCTCTGTCTTAGTTGTTCTGCTGCTATAACAAAATACCTCACCTGTGTAATTTGTAACTGTAGAAATTTATTGCTCACACTTGGGGAGGCTGAGAAGTCCAAGATCAAGGTGCCGGCAGGTTCGATGTCTGCTGATGCCCCTTCCTTCTTACTGTCTCCTCTCATGGCAGAGGGGACACCGAGGTACCCTCAAACCCTCTTTCATAAGGCACTAGTTTGATTCAGGAGGGCACAGCCCTCATGATCTAATCACCCCCTAAAGGCCTCACCTCTTAATACTATTCCAGTGGGTCTGAAGTTCCAGCATAGGAATTTTGGAGGGTCGTCAACATTCAGACCACAGCACCACCCCTGTCTTGGTTATCCTGAGGGTGGCATCAGAGTTTTCCCAGGCATCAGTGCTTCCATTAATGTCACTTTTCTGTTCCAGGACCCCTGCTGGGCTCCCACATTTAGTTGTCTTCTTCTTAGTTGTCCCCAGTCTTCTTCTTCTTCTTCTTTTTTTTTTTTTTTTTTTTTTTGAGACAGTCTCACTCTGTCGCCCAGGCTGGAGTGCGGTGGTGCAATCTCGGCTCACTGCAACCTCCACCTCCCGGGTTCAAGCGATTCTCCTGCCTCAGCCTCCCGAGTAGCTGGGATTACAGGCACCTGCCACCACGCACAGCTAATTTTTGTATTTTTAGTAGAGACGGTGTTTCACCATGTTGGCCAGGTTGGTCTTGAACTCCTGACATCCCGTGATCTGCCCGCCTTAGCCTCCCAAAGTTCTGGGATTATAGGTGTGAGCCACCGCGCCCTGCCCCTCATCTTCTTGGGTCTGTGAAGTTTCTGTCATAACCTGTTGCCCATGACGGGACAGTCTTGATTCCAACCAGTGTGCAGCACCGCCCAGTCTGAGCCCGTCTGTTGTTTTTCTCGAGATCAATCTGGAGTTACAGGATTCACAATTGCTTCAGATTTATCTTTCTTTTTGCTTTAACCTTAGGGGATTCTTTAGTCTTAGGAGATGCTATAATAAAAATAAGTTCAGTGAATGAGAATAGAGGCTTCAAAGATGAAAACTTTCTTGGAAATAAAAAAAAAAACATAATTAAAAACGAGTCCTATCGATTGTACTTTTGATTCAGAGATGATAGTTTTATTTTAAAAAAACGAGATATCAGTTTCAACAGAGTTTCGGCCCTGCCTGCCCTCATCAATGAGAAATGGTTCCTACTAATTAAATGGTAATTATGTGATGCTTTTGTGTTTGGCGGGAGCTTCAGACACTTTTACTATTTCTGGATCTAGTTATAATTGGGCGTAGATGTTTGGTAATTGACTTTTTCAACTGAACATTTATGATGTCAGTCACATCACTGCACTTTCCCATTGAATTAATTTGAACTGCAAACCTTTTTTAGGTCAGTTGCCCTCTAATCGCTCCGTTTGACTGCCGTGCTTTCTTCCCTGGGTCTCCTGGGGGTTTCAGGCATGTGTGACAGCATTTAGAGGATTCCAGAAACACCTTGCACATCTCTTGGAACGATGAGTCTGCGGGCAGTGGGTTTACTGCTGACATTGCTCTTCCCCCATCAGTTATTTGGATACAAATTTGACATTAGATTTGAGACTCTCCCTCCCCTATTCTCCACTTTGCAAGCCCATCCCCCATCACAGTCTAGAACAATCCACGGATTATTGTCTGTGGGATCCTCTAGTGAGTCTCTCCCTGTCCTATACGAGGTACAGAGCAGGAGCTGAACAGAAACAGTCCAGGAACCAGGACCCAGTTTCAAATTCATCTTCTCCACTTCCCATCTCTACACCTGCAGCCTGTCACTCACCTCTCTGGGCCCCAGTTTCCTCTTCTATAAAATGAGGCTAATGATAGCACCCACCGCAGGAAGGTGGGATGCGGATTGGGCACGTTCACAACAGAACAGCCCTCGGGTGCATGCTGGGCTTGGAGAAGCCTTCGGACATGTTGGTTGTGATTATTGTTATTATTATGATTATTGGTGAGTTTATGTGTTCAATAGTTATCTGTTAAGTGAATGAAAAAATACGGTTTGTTTTTCCCTTTGAGAAATATCTTGTAAATGAGATACTTAAACTTTCTTAATGAGGGTAGTAAGCCCCTACCTCAGGGTTTTTGTTTTTTGCTTTTTTGTTCTGTTTTTGTTTGTTTGTTTTGCTTTGTTTTGTTTTGTTTTGAGACGGAGTCTCACTCTGTCGCCCAGAGTGGAGTGCAGTGGCGCGATCTCGGTTCACTGCAATCTCTGCCTCCTGGGTTCAAGCAATTCTCTTGCTTCAGCCTCCTGAGTAGCTAGGACTACAGGCATGCACCACCACATCCAGCTAATGTTTGTATTTTTAGGAGAGACAGGGTTTCTCCATATTGGCCAGGCTGGTCTCAAACTCCTGACCTTGTGATCTGCATGCCTCGTCCTCCCAAAGTGCTGGGATTACAGGTGTGAGCCACCGCACCTGGCCAGGGGTTTCTTAATTTCAGCACTACTAACATGCAGAGCCAGATAATTCTTTGTTGTGGGGGCTGTCTTTCAAATTGTAGGATTTTTAGTGGCATCCCTGGCCTCTACCCACAAGATGACTGTAGCACCTCTTCAGTTGTGACAACCAAAAATGTCTCTAGATGTTGCTCAAAGTCTCCCAGGTTGGGGGAAAAATTGCTTCCCATCGAGAACCACTGATATAAATAATTTAAATGGGAAAGGATATACAAAGTGAGAAGAGACATTTTCCCCTCTGTGTACTCTTCCTCGCTTGTTCTGTATTCCTCCCTCAAATAAAAGTGTGACATCTTGGCCGGGCATGGTGGCCCACGTCTGTAATCTCAGCACTGTGGGAGGCTGAGGCGGGTGGATCACCTGAGGACAGGAGTTCGAGACCAGCCTGGCCAACATGGTGAAATCCCGCCTCTACTGAAAATACAAAAAAAATTTAGCCGGGCATGGTAGCACAAGCCTGTAATCCCAGCCACTCGGGAGGCTGAGGCAAGAGAATCGCTTGAACCTAGGAGGCGGAGGTTGCAGTGAGCCGATATCATGCCACTGTATTCCAGCCTAGGCAACAGAGTGAGACTCTGTCTCAAAAAAAAAAAAAAAAAAAAAAGAGAAGTGACATCTTGTTTAGGGAACTTTTGAGCTGCCCTCTTAAGCTTTGGTTGTAGTGTAGAACTTACGGAATATTTTCATCTTCTACTATTACTACTAAGCTTACAGTTCTCCCAAGAAAAGTGGGTTTTATTTTCCTTTGACAGTAGATGGGTAAGAATTAAAAAAAAAAAAAAAAGTGTTGAATTGCTTCCCCAGGATTAGTGGAGAGCAATAAGGACAGATGTTGATATATTTCTAAAATTCACACAAATATTTTAAGTCTTATTCTTTCCATTTAAATACGTGATATTAAGAAAAAAATAAACCATTTAAAGAAACTAATAGCCAGAGCCTTTCTTTTAGATTGACACTTCAGATTGTAATAAAAAGTATAACCGGGTTCTGAGAGGCTGATCGATTGCATCTTTGGTTTGGCTTCGTAAGGAGTAATGCAGGCTCTGCTGAAGAGCATCACAAGGGAGTTGCAGAACCTTGTTAATTCACTGAAATATTAATGCCCACAGTGACAGGTCTATTTAAATAGGTGGCTCTGAGAAGCGTATCGAGGATGTGATTTTTTTCTGAAGAGAGGCAGAATCTGTGGAGGTTGCCAGGTTCCAGGCTTGCTTAAGGGAGCTCACTTTCAGACCTGAAGTGTGGTGTAACTGCCGCAGCCTTCAGGAAGCAAAAACAAGCAGCAATAACCTCAAATCTTCCTGTGATTCCAAGGCGCAAAGTGGATTTAAAGGACGGCGAGGAACAGAGATCAGAGATGCTCCCGCTGTGGGTCAGAGGGTTGCTCTTGTCTCAGGGAAGCCCTGATATCTCTTTCTGGAAAGTCAGATGATTTCCAACCATATAGAGGTTTCTTTCTGTTTATAAGGAAAACTTAAATTTCCTATGAAGTGTGAATTTGCCATGTAGAATTGTTTGAAGTCATTAGCCAGAGAAAGGATGAAAAGTCAAGCATTCTGTGTCACCTGCAAAGCAAACCTCGAGACAAGGACTTGGGGGCAAGTAGTTTTGAGGGATGGTGGCCCCAGGAAGTGGAGTGAGGGGGCAGCAAGTGAGATTGGGAAGAATGGAAGCTAAGAAATGTCCACCAATGAGCAGGTTCCTCTTGTGGGCAGCTGGGACTCAGACCCCCTGGACCCTCCACTATGAGGAAAAGATATCGCAGAGATGCTGGGAAGTTTATTTCCCAACTCCAGTGCCTCTTTGAGGGGAGATGAGAACTTTGAGCACACTTCCCACCTGCTATGTGGTGGGGGTGGCTTGTCCTCCCTGCTGGGCTGGAGCACAAGCTCTTTCTTGGACCCTGCATCCAGATTTGTCATCCCGATTATACCCACAATGCCCAAGATACAGGCTGGAGGTGGCACAAGGGGAGGCAGTGAGGGCTGGTCCACAGTGGTCTCCTGTGGCCAGGAAAGGCCCCCTGGCAAGAGGGAGACCTGAGCTAGGGTTTGTAGAGTGGATAACATGGGGGTGGGTGGGGGCTGGTGGAGAAGCAGGAAAGGAAGTGACACATTCAGGGCTTCACGCTCCACCCACCTCCTGCTAGTCCTGGGCCTGGCCATGGCTCCCAGAGAAAGCCTTCTTGAGAATGAGTGATGGAAAGTATAGATTTTTTTTTCCCATTAGCACCTGTTTGGAATGTTTTTGGCTGCAAGTAACAGAAATCCTGACTAGACAGTGGCTTAAAGAAAACAGGCCGCATTTCTCAGCTCCCTGGAAGTCTGAGGTTGGCAGTCACCCTCCAGAGCTGGCCCTGGATTCCATGAGGACAACAGTGGTTTCCTCCTGTCCATTTGGCTCCCCTTAGCCTGTTGATCTGTCACCCCTTGATTCCACGAGAATCACCCAATATGTGTTTCAGACAGGAAGCTGCAGCAGCACCAACCATGCTGGTCCCTTTCGTCAGGAGGCAGAACCCTCTTTAGGGCTCAGTCACCAGTGCTGGGTTGCTTGGCTACTTTTAGCTGTAAGGGAGGCTGGAAGAATGGGGAACAGGATTGCAGCCGTTAGATTCCAATAGTGATTCTCAGCTGGAGGTAATGTTGCCCCAGGGGACATTTGGCCACGTCTGTAGACATTTTTGGTTGTCAGAACTGGCGGACTGCTACTGGCATCTAGAAGAAGGTAGAGATCAGGGATGCCGTTAAATGTTCTCCAATGCACAGGACAGCCCACACCAAATAATTACCTGGCCTAATATGTCAACAGTGCTGAGGTTCAGAAGTCCTGGGTTAGACTGATCGTGATGCATTGCCAAGAACTGAGGATGTTGCTGCCTCAAGTGAAATAGAGGATTTTGTGTAGACTTAGAGCACTCAACAAGGCAGCGAGTGGACCCATGGGTGGCAGCTCCACTTTTGTCCACATGATTGAGCCCTGGGCAAAACAACACTGGGTGGGAGATGACGATGCTGGGGGGTCTGCTGGCGAGAAGATGGATACAGTGGCATTTCAGAAATCCTCTGTATTCTCTGGAAGGTATTTGTATAAAATGTTAATAATCGGTACTTATCTTTTATAATTTAATTGCTGTGTTCATGTCATTAATATAACCCTTTACAGTTGCTTCCTAAGGCAGCAGATCCCTAATTTATAGCATGACTCTGATTCTAGGGCTCAGTGGCCTTTGTTCCTTAGAATGTTTGTATTTTCTGAGATCATTTTGAAAAGATAGGTGAACATCAGGACGAAGAGTGCAAAACTTTGGACAGATCTTCCTCTGGTTTTCCATTAGCATTTGAAAAATGTCTCTTTCAGGCAGTGTTCATTAAGATTTTAATTTTATAGTTTGTTCCTTTTTTAAGTGACATGCAATTAATTAAGGTTTAATGTGTCATCTATTTTTTGCAATGACACTTTTACTGCCCCCTTTTCATTTTAGTCAGTTTATAAATTGTACTCTAGCTAATGAGTTCCATCCTGATATCCAGTTCCAAATAATTACCACTCTTCTAATATGGCTATTCTTTAATGTGTCACAGAACTAAGATCCTTACCAGGCAAGCTCAGGTGAGCTGGGTCTGCCAGAGCCATGAGGCCACTGTGGGCCAACAGGCCAGGGCAGTGGCTGGGGACCCGACCTTCCTCAGTTCAGCACACGTTGATCAGCCATCACATGTCAGACTCCTGGGTCTGCATGGGATATAAATGAAGAAGCGTCTGTCGGGTCCGGTCCCCTTTGAGCTCACAGACTAGATAATTGCCCTAGTTCTCCATGTTGCTTTGCTGGTGGAGATATGACTAATGGGACTTGAAATCCTCAATGATTTTTTTTTTTTTGAAATGGAGTCTTTCTCTGTTAATCAGGCTGGAGTGCGGTGGTGCGATCTCGGCTCACTGCAACCTCTGCCTCCCGGGTTGAAGCGATTCTCCTGCCTCAGCCTCCTGAGTAGTTGGGATTACAGGTGCCTGCCACCACGCCCAGCTAATTTTTTGTGTGTTTTTAGTAGAGGTGGGGTTTCACCATGTATTGGCCAGGTTGGTCCCAAACCCCTGACGTCAGGAGATCTGCCCTCCTCGGCCTCCAAAGTGCTAGGATTACAGGTGTGAGCCACTATGCCTGGCCCCTCAATGATTTTTAACAGTATGTGGGACTGAGATTGGACCAAGATTAATTGAACAGCAATTCCGTATTAATTTCTATACTACAACATTGAAATTTATGCAGATTTCATCAAGTTGAGTTGAAGTTTAACTTTGCAATATTTGGGGGCAGTGGGTGGACTGGGGAGATTTATTAAGGGAGTGACTAGTGTCAGGGAGACTGTGTAAGGGGACCTATCAGTCAACCAATAGGATGTGGATATCAAGAGATTTATTTTAAGGAATTGGCTGTGTGGTTTGGGGGGTTGGTGAGTCTGAAACTGGTGCGGTAGGCTCGAAGGCTGGAAACTCAGGCAGCAGTAAGTAGATGCCGCAGTCTTGAGGTGGAATTTCTTTGTTTCCAGGAAACCTTGGTCTTTGCTCTTAATGCCCTCAACTAATTGGGCGAGGCCCACCCGCATTATGAAGGGTAATCTCCTTGACTTAGAGTCAACTGATTATAGATGTTAACCACAGCTGCAAAATACCTTTGGGGCAACACTTAGATCCATGTTTGATTAAATCACTGGGTATTCTAGCCTAGCCAAGTTGACATAGAAAACTAAAACTGACCATCACACCAGGACTGCCAGGTGGTAGGAAGTACATTAGACTGAGGTTAGGACACCCAAGTCTTAGACCCTCTCTCTGTTACTAGCCCACAGCCACTGTGACTGCCATTCTTTTTGCAACAAGCCTTTTAAAAATTCATGCCCCCTACCCACCAGGATGAAACGTGTTGAGCAAACAAAAATGAATTTTTCTATCCTGGAAAAGCCCACCATCGGTTAAAGGTAGACAGACCCCAGCCAGCTAGGCCGCAGTGGGAGAAGCGAAGGAACCACCCATTTCCCACAGTCCAGGACCCATGGCAGTCCTCAAGAGTGAGACCACAGCTGGGGTGCCACCACTTTGCAAGTGACTGTTACTGGTCATATTTTTAGAACTTTCTAGCCACAGCATTCAAGTATGCAAGGCAGCTTTGTTGTCTGGTCATCTCTCCATTGATGGAAAGCTATAGGATCTTATTTCTTTAAAAAATTCTGTAATTTGGCCAGGCGCAGTGGCTCACGCCTGTAATCCCAGCACTTTGGGAGGCCGAGGCGGGTGGATCACCTGAGGTTGGGAGTTCGAGACTAGCCTGACCAACATGGAGAAACCCCCTCTCTACTAAAAATACAAAATTAGCCTGGCGTGGTAGCACATGCCTGTAATCCCAGCTACTCGGGAGGCTGAGGCAGGAGAGTCGCTTGAACCCGGGAGGCAGAGGTTGCGGTGAACGGAGATTGTGCCATTGCACTCCAGCCTGGGCAACAAGAGTGAAATTCTGTCTCGAAAAAAAAAATTCTGTAATTTAGGTGCTGAATTCAGGCGGGGTTTTATTCAGGACAGATAATCAATGGAGCACTTAAAAGGCAGGTTGGGCTGGGCACGGTGGCTCACGCCCGTAATCCCAGCACTTTGGAAGGCGGAGGTGGGAGGATTGCTTGAACCCAGCAGTTCGAAACCAGCCTGGGCCACATAGCCAGGCCCCATCTCTACAGAAAATTACCTGGGCGGTGGTGTAGCCCCAGCTACTCGGGAGGCTGACTTGGGGGGATGGCTTGAGCCCCGGAAGTCGAGGCTACAGTAGGACGTGTTCCCGCCACTGCACTCCAGGCCCGCCTTCCGGCGCTCAGATGAGCACAGGGTTCGCAGAGTGAACTAGGTGCAGTCTGTTAGGAGGCTTGGGGCCAGGGGTGGGGGGTGGGGGCAGTTTTGCCTTTGCCCCAGGCTCTGCCTGGGAGGGAAGAGTCCTTGTTGCCGCCACCCACTTCTGTTTGTGTTTTGCGTTTTGCAGGGGCGGATGTCCACGCGAGGGACCCCCGCCGTGGGATGTCGCCGCAGGAGTGGGCCACTTACACGGGCCGCGTGGATGCCGTCCGTCTCATGCAGAGGCTGCTGGAGCGCCCCTGCCCGGAGCAGTTCTGGGAGAAGTACCGGCCCGAGCTGCCGCCGCCCCCTGAAGCGGCGCGGAAGCCCGCGGGCTCCAAGAACTGCCTGCAGAGGCTCACAGACTGCGTGCTGTCCGTGCTGACGCCGCGCTCCGTGCGGGGCCCGGAGGACGGGGGCGTCCTGGACCACATGGTCCGGATGACCACGAGCCTCTACAGCCCCGCCGTGGCCATCGTGTGCCAGACCGTGTGCCCTGAGAGCCCTCCGAGCGTGGGGAAGAGGCGGCTGGCGGTGCAGGAGATCCTGGCGGCGCGGGCTGCACGGGGCCCCCAGGCGCAGGAGGAGGATGAGGTGGGGGGCGCGGGGCAGCGCGGGCGGACCGGACAGGAGGACGCGGACTCCCGGGAGGGCTCCCCGAGAGCCGGCCTCCCTCCCGCCCTGGGGTCCCGGGGCCCCGCAGCGCCCGCCCCGCGGAAGGCCAGCCTCCTGCCCCTGCAGCGCCTGCGGCGGAGAAGCGTGCGGCCCGGTGTGGTGGTGCCCCGGGTCCGAGTCAGCAAGGCGCCCGCGCCCACCTTCCAGCCCGAGCGGCCGGCGCGGAAGGGCAGCACCAAGGACAGCGGCCACCTGCAGATCCCCAAGTGGCGGTACAAGGAGGCCAAGGAGGAGAAGAGGAAGGCAGAGGAGGCCGAAAAGAAGCGCCAGGCCGAGGCGCAGAAGGAGAGGCGCACTGCGCCCTGGAAGAAGAGGACGTGAGGGCCCGTGTGCCTGGCGCTGGGGCCGGGGCTGGGGCCGGGGCGGGGCCGCAGGGCTGGGCGCGGAGAAGGAGGCGGCCCCGTTGCGCATCGCACCACTTCCGCTCCATGGACCACGGGGCTGCGCGCATTTCCAGGCTGTTTGTCCAGGCTGCTTCCAAGAGAGGGCTGAGGGAGCCACATGGATTCGCTTGTCGCCAGCCCTCCTAGCAATCAGTACACCTAGCGGGCACGTTGCCTAAAAGGCTCCCTTTAGAGAACCTCAATTAAGATTTTTTTTAAAGATCAATTTATCAAAGGGCGTTTTCTCCGTAATTTTGTATTTTTAATCATTATTTATCAAATTTGCAACGTTTTACAAGTGATAGGGCCCCTTATATCCAAGGCAGTTTTAATACACTTGCCTGAAGACCTTTTGTTTAAGATACTGTTTCTAGCAATAAGTATCCATGATACCTGTATGAGTTCACACAGACATCATGGGATTCTCCCCTTTTTGGCTGTTTGGTCTTTTCTCCTCATCGTGGGTGTAGGTGCACACTGGATGTTCTTAGTCATTAGATTAAGTGTTGCCGGATATTTCTATTTGACGGAGGCATTGGCTCGTTGAGCCACATGATCAAGTGAGACAGAGGATCAGATGTTACTGTATCTTTTTAAAACTCTTATCCATATAGTAATATATTGAGGAAAAACATATTGTCAAATTATAAAACAATGGAGCGATAAACATGTATTTATTGCTAGAATTAAACTCATTTTAAGCAAGGGGTTTTAGGTAAACTGGATACGAAATCTTTAACATTAAAAATAGATATGAGAAAAAAACTGTCATTCGATAAAATGAGGCAAATTTAATAATAAATGATTACCAGAAATACAAAATTAAGCCATATGTGCTCTTAAGTAATTCGAATCCAGATATCCTTAAAATGTCAAAAAGATGCAACAAGAGTCAGGAGCCCAGAATGACGCAAATTACAGGAATGGGGAGGAGGTGATTTTTAGAAGAGGTGAGAGAATGGAATGGGGAACAGACTTGTTTTCGGCAAATTCTCCTGGAGTAGACTGGGCAGCCCCCTCCTCCAGGCTCAGTTCCAAAGAGTCCGTTGTGTGGATATTTCTTTTATTTTTCCTTTGAGGACTGCGCTTGGTGTTTAGTTCATCCTTATGCCGACCTCTTAGAATTTCCAAGATGCAGGGCCTTGGGCAGGGCAGGGCATGGGTGTGATTTGCCTTGGGCCACAAGCTCTTGGTGAGAGTCTTATGTCCACACTTTTATCTCCAAAGTGACATGGAGATCACTTTTCTCAGTGATCAAATTTGAATTTATCAAAGGGGGTTTTCTGCATAATTTTGTATTTGTAATCATTATCAGATTTGCAGCATTCTAATTCGGCAGGGCAGGGTATGAAAGCTGGAAACTCAGGCTGGAGTTTCTAGTTCTAATGGCTCTCTGGCCATGTGGGTTGTAGAGTGTCTGTCACATATGCACTTTATTTCAGTATTAATTGAAATACTTGGACACGCACGATCACAGGCCTATTTGGAGGCTCTGTACTATGACCCTAATAACCCTAGATACATCATGATACATGGTGTCTGTCTCAGGATGCAGGCAGGGCTGGTGCAGGCTTCTCCATACTCCCTTCCACTTGGCACCAGCAGGCATCGAGCAACCAGGGATCTTAAACTGGCCTCTCCAAATACTCCATTGAACAGGACTGCAGGCTGCACCCAGGCTAATGGGAGATTGGTGTGTTGATGATACAGTGTTTAAGATGAGATTGCAGTGAGTTCCTCCTTAATCCCAGAAGGGCACCATGATGAATGCCACAGGAGACTGGACCCTCTTTGAGAACTGCAGATATTAGTTGACTGTGGGTCACCCTCGTGGCCAAGGAGTTGGGATTGGCCATGTCTTCTTCGAGGAGGTGGAGACTGTAACTGACACTGGTTATCTTTGGGGTTGTCTTTCCTGAATCCTTTGGCATGTGGCACCTTCCTGCCACATGTAGATAATTCACGGCATTACCAAGTCACCACGAGCCCCACCCTCACCTCTGTCAACCGAGGACCCAGCCAGGCAGTGCCATGTGGTCTCCCAGGCACGCTTCTCAACACCGGCTACCCCTGCTGTGAAGGTTCTCAAGGCCCTGGTCCGGGGAGCCAAGCCCTGGGAGCGCCCTAAAGCTCCGCAGGTAACTGCACTGCAGCCCGCATTGAGAACCGCAGCTCTAACACAGTGATTGCGAGAGGACACCCATTCTGAGCTCCCACAGAGGGCTCCACCTCCCCAAGAATGTCTCATTGTCATTGGAACAGCCAGGGTCAGGCAGCTTCTGCTCGGACTGACGTGGCGTCTGACCCTTGGTGGGTTGCCAGACATTCCTGCCTGTTTCCACCATGGGAAGCTGTCACTGGGAATGGTATGGAGCCCTCACTTCTACCCCAAGCCTGGGTGTCTGCTGCCTCCATGTCAAAAATGGACATTTCTGGTCCTGCCCAGCTGCTACCTCACCACAACCCATGCTCAGAGTTGTCAGGGATGCGTGGAACAGCAATGATGGGACAGCAAATGACTGGCAATTTCCCCAGGTCCCACGCTGTTCTGGAGTGGACGTGTTGCGGCCCTGCCCCCGATGTGTTCCAGCCTCATCCAGGTGCACAGGATACTCTGGGGCCAGCACAGGGATTGTCCAGTGATGCTCCTGGTGTCCACAAAACAGCTCTAGAGATACCTGCATTTTGAAAAGCCTGCTGAGCCAACAAGCTTGGGGCAGGACACGGATTTCTTTGGCAAATCTGCAGGCGAGCTGACCACTTGCCTGGTGAGTGGAAGCTGCCATTACCTGGCCAGTGTTTGCAACTCGAGGGAAAATGACAGCTGCATGGGGGGAAGCCTGACCTCCCGGGGAGCTTTATTGTGGCCTCAGTGGAAAGATTGGATTTTGAAACCTGCCAGACCCAACTGAAAGAAGGGTCATTCCTGATTGAGTTGGAGACTCTCCCCAGTCCCTCTCTCTGGACTCATTCTAGCTGTGGCCTGCCTGTGGACAGCCCTTCCCTTTGGCCCATGCGGCGGGTCCAGGCAGCTCCTGCAGCTGTGCTCATGGCTGCTGGCCCAGAACTTCTCATTTTTGCCATGTGGAAGCAGATTTGCTAGTAGAGGAATTTTCCAAGTCAAGGGAAGTGTTGCCAAACCTCTTGCCTCGACCTGTGGGGGGCCTTCTGCTCTTGTTTTCTCATTCTCTTTGGAGTGGGCACAGAGGGGACAAGTCGGCCCCCAGTGAGGCTCAGGGAGTGCAGGAGACCAGGGAGGGAAGCCCAGATGATGGGGAAACAGAGCCACCTTGAGGGGGTGTCATGGGGTCAGTGTCAGGGTGATCTGACGGGTCAGTTCATACTTAAGCAACATTATTCTGTTCGTTTCTTTTGGGTAAGGAATTCCTCATGGGAGGTGTGGTCATCTGGTCGTAGAGGTGGACAGAAACACCCCCTCGTCTTCCTGAGCCATTTGGAAGCCCTTTCCTCTAGCCCTAGGTACTGGTGACACAGGCCCCTCGGTCTCAGGATGTGGACAGGGCTGGGAGGTGCAGGCTTCTTGTCCCATCCCCACTCAGTATCATCGGGTATCTGGTAGTCAGGGGTCTCACAGTGGCCTCTCCAAAAGCCTGGTGTCCTTGGAGAACATTTTTCATTTTGTCTGTTTTCGTTGCTTTGAACAGCTGCATTCACTCACCGAGGGCTCGCCCTCCCTGGATCTGCCATGTGGTTCAGGGAGGAGGGGACCGATGAGCACCGACCCCTTCTCTTCACCTGTCAGTGGCCACCACAGTGCCCCCTCTGGCTTTGCCACCACGTTCTCCTGCCCCCGTCACCTTGTCTCTTCTAACTCATTAGCCTTTCCTTCCTTTGTCTGTTTTCTTCTCCCAGCTGGTTTAAGTTCTTGATCATCCCTGGCACCACCTACCCTAAGGTCTTCCAAGAACAGAAAAGCCAGGGCCTGTGTGGGGCAATGTGTTGTCCCTGTCGGGTTATGGTGGGACCTCCTAGACCCCAGAGTGAATGAATGGCAGGCCTGCCAGTGACTGTGCTGATGGCTTAGAATTCCTACACGGCTGTGCCTCTCCCACCCCGTCCTCTTTGCTCGGAAGGGAGACCTGGTTTGCTCTCCTCCATGACAGCCCAGCCCCTGCTGTGCACAGGGGTGGGGCTCGGGATCCCTCCCTGCACCCTGATGTTTATTAACTGTAGATAGTGAATTTCAAGTTGACAGGTACCTTCTCAGGGATTTATATATAAATATAGTTAGAGGAAAAGTTGAAGTCTATTTTACTACTTTTTAGTGTTTGAGTAAATTATGCTTTAACTGGACAGAAGAAATATTTCTCAGACAATGTCGATGCTGCTGATGACAACTGAGATGCCTGGAGCTCACCCTTGATGGAGACTTCCTTGGTGATTGGAGATGGGGGACTCTGGTGGCAGAAATGGCTTTGGGGTAGGTGTGAAGTTGCTTCAGTCCCTCTGAGTTGCCTCTTCTGGATGGAACGTGTGTATCAACAACAATGAAATGCACCTCCGTGTGCATGGAGGCGGCTGATGAGAATACAGATAGGCCAGTCCTCGCTCTTCCCTCCAGAACCGGCCGCTCCCGGTCTGACGTTGGAGCACGTGAACTAAGAGTGACAATTTTTTCTACTTGCTTCTGTGAATAAAGTGTTCTACAGTCAGCCCAGCACTAAACTCACCAGAAAAGAGGAGGGAACAGCACGGAGCCATTCATCTGGAATTACTCGATGTGCAGAGGCTGCCCCTTGGCCGCACTTGGGAACATCGTGGACATCTTCCTTCCTCTCAGGCTCCTCCTGACAGACTCCTGGCAGCACTGGAGACCTCAGGACTATGGAGATCAGAATTGTAATGGCTTTGTCATCTCAGTGTGGCCACTCCTGAGGCAAGAGGCTCCTCCTGGGAGCAGGAGAGAGAGAGTTTGTGATGTTGGTTGGAAAATAGGATTTATGGATGCAGGAGGGCCGTGCTAGGCCCCTCTGCCCGCTTCTCTCCCTGCTGTTGGCGGTGACCAGGTCTCAGGAGCGGAGACGAGGCTGTTGTGAGTGAAACAGAAGCCCCTGGCATAGGGCCAGACCCTAGGCCTGAAAAGGATGCAAAGCCTGCTGTTTTCAGGCTGTTGGGAAGAATCGTGCGTACCGAGTGATTATGATGAAACGTATCCCAGAGAGGAAATGAATGGGACCTGAAAAGTGGGTCTGCCACATCCCTGGTAGCCCGCCTCCAAGAGCACTACACTCCCCCCAGCCCCACCGGCCACACTACATGACGTGGGAAGGCTGTCCGTTCATCCTTACCCTGGGGACTCAAGTGTGCTCTGCGGAGTGAGTCACAGCCCTGATGTGCACCCTGCACTACTCTTTCCCCAGGTGCGCCGGAGACGCAGGCTTGCTCATTTCCGTCCTGACACAGCTCGCTGTTCCTGCGGTGGTCAGAGTCCCCCTGTGCTGTGTCAGCTCCTGGACACTACTAGTCTTTCACATGATAAAGCGCGAGCACTTTTTCGCTTTTGCAGTATTTGGGGAAATTCTAACACATTTCCCGGGGATTTGCCCAGGTCCCTCCACCTCCCACGGTGGGTAACTGTGTGGATTCTGCACCTGGCAATCGGCGCTCCCCTTTGGAAACACCTGGGGGCCCTGTTTCTTCCAGCCTGGTCCTTGGTTTCTACCCCAGCCGCTTTCAGCCGGCACCTGCATGGGACTGCCTGGAGGGCCACGGTCCAGGGAAGGACAGGTGGGACCCTGACCATGACAGATCTTTCTAAAACAATAAAGTCCCATTGATGACAACTGCAGTGGGATGAATGCCATTGCAGCGGTCATGCTGGGAGCTGCCGAGAGCTTACAACAAAAGCAGTTCCTCTCAAGACACTGCTTGCATCTTCCCTCCACGCCTCTCGGTGCATTTGGAACTTGTTTATGCGCTGGTATAACTCGAGTCAGCTGCTTATTTCTGTGCCCTTGCACTCACAGGTTCCTTCATTAACATTTTAAATAAGTGGCTAAAAAAACTCCTCTGGAGGTTGTTTTTGAAAGAGACAGGAAAAAGAAACACACAGTACCTGGATTGTTTTGACTTATTTTCAAGCGACTCAGCTGAAAGCCGGTGTTGCATACACAATTTCCTCACGCTGACCCAGCCTGACTAAGACTTGATAAAAGGCACAGCCCTTGGCAGCAGGCAGTGCCAATGTGGACAGTGTACACTAAGCTGTGAGTGTGTGCACGGGCGAGCACATGTATGTGTACTCATACATCCAGATGAACTAAAGGGACACTGGGCTTTGTGCTGGCAAAGGTTACGATGCTGCTGTAGCTTGGCTGTGGGCCCCAGGCAGTGTCAGATGGAACCTGCTTTGATGGCGTGTTGTTCAGTGTACTCAGTGGGGTCTCACATGGCCCGAGGACCCACTGTGAGCACTCCGCCCGCTGTGGCACAGAACACGGCTGGGGTCATCACAGCCCAGGTCTTTATTGAAAGGCGGCTCATATAGAACCCATTTGGCCAGGTCTGGGCCATCTCTCTGCCTCTGCCCTATCTTGGCTGCCTGGAGGGGCCCAGGCCCAAGAGGATTCTTTACCCCTGGAAGAGCTCCCCAGGCATTCAGCCTATGGCCCTTGACATTTGGCTGCAGGTTACCGTCAGAATCAACACCATATCCTGAGGAAGCCCTGGTATTTCCCCAAGTCTGCCTATGTATTAGACACTCTAATCAATGCTAACACAGTTCAGTTTTTGAGGGAACTAGTTTTGTCATAATACTACACCCCTCTATTGTTTTTAAATAAGAAAAAAAAAAACCCCACGAAACTTTCCATCAAAGCAATGGTCCGTGTTGGCCTGATGCTTTAAGAAGTTTGAGGAGGTAGGTATGGAGGCACCTTAACACCAGTTTTTGAGCAGAAGTTCTAGAAGCTGATTTAGAACTACACAGCTATGGATACACCTGATGAAAACCGCAAAAGGCGATGACAGGCCCAGAAATATGACCAGCAAGCCCGTGAGCCTTTGGGGCATCCGACTGAATTTGAAAATAATACCCCATTCAGATGAACATTAAAAGCCAATGTACTGGAATTCTCTTTGTTCTGCCCGACATTTGGGGGTGTCCAAGGACCTGTGTTTTTAACAAAGATGACTTTATGACCGTTCTAAGGATTGAACAGATTCCTGCACAGGGTGCCAGGTTTCAAGTTAGGTCCTCTTAGTATAAGCTCTCTTTTTTTCTGAATGTAAACCTATTTGCATTGTCATTTCTAATAATCCAGTAGGTTTCTGGATATTGTAAAGATACTGAGTACAGATATAACTGTGTAAATTTCATAGTGTTTTATTTTGAGGTGAGAGTTTTGTTATAGTTTATAAAAGATATTTTCCTATTCAGACCTCAGGGCTATTTTGGGACCTACAAATAAATGTGATTCCCAGCAGCTTCAATTTTTGATATTCAAAAAGTTAATAATCTTTAAGCTAAATATAATGTGATATGATTCAGAAAAAAATGTTTTTCCCTTTTAACTTCTAACAAATTATGTATCTAATGTTTAAAAAATATGGAAAAAAGGGATAATGTAAAAATGTGGGAGAATTGTGGCTAAAGAATAAAAAATCACTTGTTAAAACGCATTCTTATGGTACAAATGTGTGATATTTAAATAAACTTAAGTGTGTATAAATTAGAGAATGATACAGTGAAATATACCAGGATTTTTCATGTCACTTCTTTTCATTGAAATAGACGTTCACTTTCTTATCGTGACAAACTTTCACCTTATTTTTCAAAGGTAAGATTTAAAAATTGTGAGTTCCCCACAAATAGTTTGTCACATGTTCAGATGATCTCATTACAATCTGCCTCTTCTCAGAAGAACCCACTGGCAGGTGGGCATCCTTCAGGGATGTTGCCATGAATTTATGTACATACATAAAAACAAGAATATAATTCAGTTTCTATGTGTTCTTTTACCTAAATGGTACACTGTACAGGTTGTCCATTAGTTTCTTTTCTTTACTTAAAATATGTCCCTAGAGAGCTTTTTAAAGAATTTAAATATTTTCTTTTGACAGCTAAAAAAGTAATACACAAATATGAGAAAAAATGTAAACATTGTACAAAGTTCTCAGATGAAAGTGACTTTACCTTCCCCCAAGACAGTCCCTCAGACCAGCTACTTGTACATCCTTTTAGAAATACCTTTTGAATGCGTTCTTCCCTCCGTACTGTGCAAACAGAACCCGATGGGATATAGAGTCTCATTCACTCACTGTGTTTTGGGAAGGGCATGTTGGTCCCTGCTTTGTTCTTTTTCATTGCTGTGTAGTATTCCTCAGCAGAAGTGCACCATGGTTCATTTAACCATTTTCTCATGGGTGAACTTTTCAAATGGTCCCGGTTTTTATGATTTGCTAGTAATGAAGATCCTTGTACCTACCCAATTGTATACACAAATGGATATCTTTTAAGATAGGAGTGCAGAAGTGAGATCTGCCAGGTTTCAAAGAATATGTGTTTTAATTGCTATAGTCACTGCCATGGTGCACTTTGCAAAGCTCTGTGGTGTGTGCAACCACCAGCAGGGAGCAAGAGAGGCCCTTTCCCAATAGTTAGAAAATTGTATCTCGTTTTAATTTTCATTTCATTTCATTTTCCCAGTTGTTGATGTGGCTGAACATCTTTTCACCTGTTTTTCAACATTTTAATTTCCTATTTTTACACATTTCTTATTTATAGCCATGTCTCATTTGGTGTTTTTTTTTTTTTCTTTCTAAGGATGGGGGTGGTGGGTGGAATTTTATTTATTTTGTTTTTTTTTTATTTTTGAGACGGAGTCTCACTCTGCCTCCCAGGCTGGAGTGCAGTGGCACGATCTTGGCTCACTTCAACCTCTGCCTCCTGGGTTCAAGCGATTCTCCTGCCTCAGCCTCCTGAGTAGCTGGGATTACGGGCACTAATTTTTGTATTTTTAGTAGAGACGGGGTTTTGTCATGTTGGCCAGGCTTGTCTCGAACTGCTGATCTCAAGTGATCCGCCCGCCTCGGCCTCCCAAAGTGCTGGGATTACAGGCATGAGCCACCGTACCTGGCCCCTCATTTGGTTATTATTTCACTTTTTGGTGTCATTTTTGCTGGAGGTTGATATGTATTTGGGATCATATTTCATTCATGTGGTGTGCATTTTCTCTTGTTTTATTAAGGTATTTTCTGTAGTGTAGAAGATTTAAATTATGATTTAGTCAAATTTGTCTAACTTTTGTTTGTTTTGGTATTTGCATCCTGTGTTTTTTTTTTTTAAGAAGGCCTTTCCTACCCCAAACGAACAATCTTTTTCTTCTATATTTTCTTCTAATGACCTATAGGTACTTTGCTTTTTTCCTTTTAGCTGAAAGACATGTACCTGTATACACAACTCGTTTAGGTTATATTTGATGGGACTGAAAACAACCAGCCCCTATTTATTTGGGAAGCTCCATTTCGAACGTAGGAAATCGGAAGTCTCAATCATTAAATACCATAATCTATGTGATTATTAAGGAAGAGTCTAAGTAGGGAATAAAATTTTACATATGAACCTTTGTCCTAGGGCAAGATTGTTATTGGAGATTATTTGTGCTCATTTGTGAAAGAGCCAATAATGTGTGTGTGTTGGGTGAAACATGATTGAATAGGAAGGTCACACACAAGGGAGGATCCCCATAGGAAATCCAAAGAACTGGGACGGGAAAAGGGAAATGGGGTTGGGGAGGGTTGGGAGAAAGGTGATCTTGTCTCCTTCATCTTCCTGACTGGAGATACTGGGGGAACGGTGTACTAAGTTCTTTCCCGTGGAAGATGGGAGCATCTTCCCAGGGAGCTGGCCCAGTCCAGCTGCCTCGCGGCTGTGTCTGCCCACGCTGGGCTGAAGTGGTCAAGAACGTCCGCTGAGGATTTTACACATAGCCCCTTGTGATCCTCCTTCACCAAGGCCCTTTACATGGTCTTTGCTCCCAGCAGGTCATGCCTGCCATTTTCCTTGATGATGTCCAGGCTGGTTTCCATCCAGGGACATGAAAGGTGGCCCCAAAGCTTCCAGTCTGATGACAACTTTGATGTGCAAATTGCTCAGGCAGAAATTGTCAGCTTGCCAGCCAGGGGCTTCCCAGTCCTGAGGGGTCACTGATCCCTCAGCAGTGTGGCCTGGGCAGGGGTGGGGAAGGGGTGACAGCCCCCGGGCAGGACGGCCACCACCGCCATCCCCCTCACATCACCTGTACTTCCAGCCTTATGCTGCCTAAGCCCTTTACTGCTTTCCCTTAAAAAGCCAACAGAAACCTAGCAAAAGGTTAATAGGTTCTTTTGGCTAAAAATAATTAAAATACATCAATCCAACTCAAAAGCACCTTGATATTCCAAAAGCAGTATTTTAAAAACCAATCAAGAAATTGGTCAGCTGCAAGGAAAATACTTCACCTTTTTATTAGCTCTTATGTAAGAAAGAAGCCTTATTCATCCCTACAGCCTAGGTGAGAAGCTAGACTAGGAGGCCCCTCTCTAGGCCAAGGGAGACAGGAGGGTTCAGGTGCACGGACTGTGCGGGGAAGCCGGTACCCTGTACTGAAAAAGCTGTGGAATGTCCTCACTCCCAGTGCAAGGGGGTACTTGGGGAAGCCACCCTCCAGCCTGGGCTAAAGATGGCCAGTCTGTGTCCTGCAAAAAGGGCCTGCCTTGGTGTCAGCCCTGGGCACCCCAATGCCCCTTCACCCCTTGTCGGGGGCCCTGACCTGCTTATAGGCCAGGGTGATCATTTGAAGGGATGACAAGTCCTGCCTCGCCAAGCCCCATCTGAAAGGGCCTCCCAGGTGCACATGAGCGTCTCCTGGCTTGATTTAAGCCCACAATGTCTGTTGGAGCATGAGAGGTGGCAGGTAGGGGTGGTTGAGCCACCGCCACCTGCGCTTCCTCCCCCTGCTTTGCAGGTGCTGCCCCTGAGTGTCTCCTCTGCGTGCTCAGCCCCAGGCTGTGTTCCTCTAACTCTACACGCTGGTCCTCATCGTGGACTCAGGGCCAGGTGGCCCTTGAGACATTGCGGCAACTCTCATCTTCTCAGTGATGAACCGCATTTACCTGCACCATGGCTCTCCATGGGCGGTCCCCGGACCAGTAACATCAGCACCACCTGGAAAATTGTCAGAAATGCAGGTTCTCCAGCCCCACCTGTATGCCTTTCTTCGAGTTGCCTTAGCCAATTACCGCAAATGTGGATAGCTGGAAACAAATGTATTCTCTCAAAGCTTTGGAGGCCAGAAGTTCAAGGTCACGCGATGTTGTCAGGGCTGCGCGCCCCATGAAGGCTCTGCGGGAATTCCCTCGCACCTCCTCCAGCCTGTGGCGGCTGCTGGCGACGCTTGGTATTCCTTGGAGAGGGCCTCCTTGTGGAGAGGGTCTCCAGTCTCTGTCTCTGTCATCACGAGGCCATTGTCTATGTGTGTGTGTCCAAATGTTCCTCTTCCTATAAGACCACGAGCCATTGGCTCATCGCTACCCTCATCCAGTGCAACCTCATCCTAACTTGCTTGTATGGACAGAGACCCTATTTCCAAATAAGGTCACATTCACAGGGACATGGGTTAGAACTTGAACATATTTTGCAGGGGACACAAACCCACACCACTACCACAGACTATTGAATAAGGATGTTGAGAGCCTGGGAGGGCCCTCATCCCACCACCCCGGCCAGCTGCAAATCTGATGGTAACTTCTCCATCTGCGTGAGGGAGAGATTTCCACCCTGGGGCATCGGGTTGGCTGCGCACCCAACACCTGACACTGGACACACTGTCAACAGTGGTGTATTCACCACATGCACTCACAGCCCAGGAGGAGGCCACTGCCTGCCACACAGACCACAGGGGGAACAGTGTGAACAACCAGGACCTGGGAGAGGCAGGCTCCGTGGTATCGAGAAGATGGGGTGCCCCCACTCCGTCTCCATAGGAAGATACAATCGGCTCGTTAGGAACATTGCAGGGGCTGGTGGGCCATGGAAGCCGCTCTGCAGGGGTAGCAGGACTGCGTCTGGTCCAGAGACAGGAGGGCAAGTTGGTTGGGGGCCGTATCCATGGCAGCAGAGCAGGACAGGGCTGCATCTGGTCCTGCAACAGGAGGGCAGGTTGGCTGGGGGCCGTATCCACGGCAGCAGAGCAGGGAGCACAGCGCATGGTTGGACCACTCCATTCTCTCCTGGGTTCACCCAGAGTCAGGAGCAAAAAATCTTGAATTTTAATTTCAGGCTTTATATTGTATTATTTGTAAAATAGACCTCAAATCCTTCACCCATTCTCTGCTACCAGCCTAGCCTGAGCTACCATCACACCTCCCAGACAACGGCCTCATTCCACGTTCGTTCCCCGCAAATCCATCCTTCCCTTAATGGGCAGAAGGATCTGTTGAGAGTATGGATGAGATCCTGCCACTGTCCTGCTCAAAACCTGCCAGCAGTCTTTGGTTGCACCTAGAAAAACCACCCAGCCCCTGTCCCATGGCCTGGAGGCCCATGGGGTGTGGCCCTATCTGCTGTTCCTCTTCCTGCTTTCCCTGCTCAGCCTTCAGCCCAGTGTCATTGCTCAGGTCCTTGCCGGGCCCCCAGCTAAATTTAGCTCCCCTTGGGGTGCGCTGCCCCCCGTCACCCTCCTCTTTCCTTTATGGCATTTTCTATACTCTTCTGCTTGGTGTCCATTCCCCATGATGTGTCCGTCCCAGCACCTAAACTGGGCTTGGCCCACAGGAGTTGCTCCCTGGTATTGGTGAGCTGACAGAGAGGAGGGCTGGGGCTACTTTTTGACTTGGGCCTTGCGACTGAGTGGGACCATGAGCAGAGCACAGCTCTCCACCCCAGGGCAGCAGCCCGGACCTCGGAGTCACGGCATGGCCTGTGGGTCAACCCTGCCCGCCTTGGCTGTGGGGCATGGGCATGTTATTTAATTTCCCATGCCCAGGGTCCTCATTTGTAAAGTGGGGATTGTAGGGTTTGCATAACAATTTAATTAAATGACAGAAATTCTACTCAGATCTTTAACAAGGCTGCTGCAGAGTTGGAGGCCACTAAAAGGTAGTTTCCTGCCTTTCTCTGTCCTGCTTCAAACTAAATAACAGATGGCTACAAAATCCAGGACCACCCAGGGTCATCTTCCAGAGGGCCAGTCACTGAGGCTGCAGGTGAGGGAGTTTTAACCCTCCCCCCAGCCCCTGTCTCCCACACCCACTGGCTCACTTTCCATCAGCTCTAAAAGTTTCCTGACTATCCAGGGGCCACAGCTGCGGTTGCCTGGGCTTTTCCATTCCTGAGACTAAAAGAATGTTCACAGCTGGAACCTGCACCAAACCCACCCAGTGACCCCAGATGAAAGCCCCCTGTACCCCATAGAGAGGCAGGAGCAGAGAGAGGGCCTCCAGTCACTCCGTGCTCCAGGGTCCAGGGTCCAGCTGGGGTTTCCAGCTCCCCTGTTGGCACCTGTTCCCCTCTGCGTCTCTGGCAATGACTCATTCCCAGGGACAGAGCTGCCTTCCTGGGGGATGAGCAGGAGCTGCAGGAAGCCAGAAGCGAGGCTGGGGGCAGTGGTCCACCTCCTCACCCCTTGTGCCCAGGGTTCAGAAAAGTGACCTGCCACCAGCGGCCGCCTATTGGCGTGTGGGAGGTGGCTGTCCTCCCAAATGCTGCAGGACATTGCTGATTAGGCTGCTTCGATGTGGGCGTTTTTTGACTAGGGGCATATTAAATGGCAATGGAAACCAGCGAAATCAGCCCTCCGGGAGACAGCAACGCGGAAAGTACCTGCTCCATTAGGCTCAGCCTGGCTCTTCTCCCAGAAAAGCAGACTGGATGAAGGCACTGGGCCAGCTTAATGAAACCCAGCAGCAGTCCACGTATTCTTTTTTTTTTTTTCATTTATTTATTTTATTAAAAAGCTAAAATATATATTTAAAAATAACTTTAAAACTATTGAAAGCACCTGTGCAAAGGTGGGGGAAAGTCAATTTGAGTAACTAGGAAAGCCACAAAAGGACCCACTGCCCTGTGTATTTTTGTAATTTTTGCTCCTATCTCTGCAAGTAATAACTCAAACATTGCAATCACATGCAACTAAGGTAAAATGAGGTAAACTGCTCTGCAGTGAGTTCTTCTACTCAGAAGGCAGTAGGTGAGCATGCTGGAAGTCACATGATCAAGGCTGCATCTCCCATCATCCCTCTGGGCAGTGATATGGGATAGTGGGTCTCTTTGAGGACTTCCAAGCCTGAGAGGGGGATGGACAACATATGATTCATTGCTGGCTTGGGTCCATGTCTGTGGTCAACTTCACATAATTGGATGGGAAGAGCCCCACTTGTCCATTGACTTCTCCTTTCCACCAGTCGGGGTCCTCCTTGTTGAGGATGTTGATGATCTGGCCCTTGTTGAAGGCCAGCTCATCATCATTCTGCGCGGTGTAGTCGTACATCCCAATCACCTGGCACACTGCCGCTAATGCTGTTGACTTAGGTGGCTCTGTTGGAGTGATTTTGCTCGTCCCAGGGCTTAGAAGCTTTACATAATTAGCTGGGAACCAGCCTATCTGGCGCTTTTTCCCACGTGCTTGCAGCTCTCCTTCCCACCATCCACCTGGGTTCTTTTTTCAGATCAAAATCAGCTGACCAGGGGCGAGAGTGAGCTGCTCGGGGCCCGTGGCGGTGTATGAGGAAATAACCTGGGCAATTTCAGGTTTTTTTCCTAAACTCCCTGATTTCCCCAGCAGTTCCAGAGCCCTCTGAATCTTTAAGCCTCACATAGTTAGAAGGGAAGACTCCGGCCTTGTCGCCCACTGTTCCTGTCCACCGGTCACCATCTTCTTGGTAACCAAAATCACATCTCCTTGCTGAAAGGTTAAATCTCCTTGCTCAGAACTCTGGTAAGTGTACATGGCAATAAATTCTTCTCCCGAAACGACTGGCTTAGCAGTCCACGTATTCTAGGCTGTGTGAGAAGGGGGCTTCAGGGGCAGAGACGGGGTTCCACCCCTGGCTACACAGTTTCTCCAGCCTTGGATGCATACTCTCTGTGTGACTCTGACAGTGTTTGTTACGTCCTAGAGAAGAGCAAACTTCTGAATTCGCTGCACACCCTGCCTGGGCCAGTCCTGGACAGAACGATGCTGGGGGCCACTCTGAGCACAGACTCTGTGCCCATCACCTTGACTGACAGTCCTCAGGGGTTCTCCATCTCTTCTCTGCCTCCTACCCCCCCACCGATCAGGAACAGTTCCCCAACCTCCCCCACCCCCCAGCAATTCTTGATGGAAGGTAGATCAGCATAATACAGCCTGCAGTGGGGTGTGTTTTAAAGCAGGGGCCCCAACCCCCGGGCTAAGGCCTGGTGCTGGCCAAGGCCACACAGCAGGAGGTGAGTGGTGGGTGGGCGAGCGTTACCGCCTGGGCTCTGCCTCCTGTCAGATCAGCAGTGGCATTAGACTCTCATGGCAGCTTGAACCCTATTGTGAACTGCGCATGCGAGGGATCTAGGTCTCGCACTCCTTATGAGAATCTAGTACCTGCCTGATGATCTGAGGGGGAACAGTTTCATTCTGAAACCATCTGCTGCCCCCTCTCCGGCCACCCATCCGACCCCAGTCATTGGAAAAATTGTCTTTCACAAAACCAGTTCCTGGTGCTGAAAAGGTTGGGGACTGCTGTTTAAAATCCTTCTGAATTCTCACACCTTCCATTATAGGTCTTCCTCCAGGAGAATCAGACCACAGCTCTTTGCCCCAGGCCCTGTGTGAGCCCCGGCTCTGGTGCGTGGCCTTCTAGCAGGTGAAGAGATGCACTCGCTCCTTGTCCCTAGGGCCATGCTGTCATCATGGTCTGGAAGACCCCGTGGTGTCCTCAGTACCAGCAACAGCGTCCCAGACCATCTGGGCCCAAATCTTTCCAATCCTGGTAAGAATAGTCGGGGACCCCCAGGAGAAGCCCCCCGCTTCTCTCAGAGCCTAGAGTGAGGTGTGGCGAAGAGGCCTGGTCTGGGGCCCTCTGAGAGGAGGGGACCCCTCTGGGGTGGATGGTGTCCCAAATCTGCTCTCCCACCATCCAGCCACTTGGAACTAGGAGAAAAGCTAGGGCGACAGGAAACGTGGGCCTTCTGTGAAACAATGGAGCCTCTCCTCTCGGCCCCTTCACCCTGCAGGTGGCACCCAACTGCAGCCCGTGCTGGCATCCTCAGGGCTAGAGCTCCAGCAAGCATGGCCTGCTGCTGCCTCTACAGACTGCAGAACACAGCCAATAGATGATTTCATTATGTCCAGGTTCTTTTCTCATCTCCAAGCGAGGAAAAATCATGCCGCTTTTGTAAAGAAATTATGGACACATGGGAAGCTTCAGAAAATCAGGGCTGAGAAAGGCATGTGACAACATGCTCAGACACGGCCCACTGCCCCTGTATTTCTGACCAATGAAACAGTATGCAAGGGGGTCTTATTTGAGACTCCCTGCCCAGACCGAGCACAGAGAGTGGCATGCTCCTGACCCTCGGGCAGCAACTGCTCCCCCAAGAGAAGGGCCTTGGCCAGAGGCAGCTGCATAAAGAAATGGGGCTGAGGTGGCTATGGAGCCATTCGATGCCTGTGTCTACATCTGTTTCCCAAAAAGGTTATGGGTGCACTAGGCACCCAGACTGTGAGGTTTCAGGAAATAGTTTCCAAGTCTGCCCTCACTTCTGACAGCAGCTGCAAGCTTGGAGGGTTCCCCAAGCTACCTCCCGCATTAAGAGTTTGCTAACAGGATTCACAGAACTCAGTGAAAGCTATTATACTCATTGAATACAGGGCAAGGGCACTGACAGAAATGAGCCAAAGGCAGAGAAGCATGGGGCGTCAGGGAGGGTCTGAAATGTGAAACTTCCCACTGTCCTAAGGATGTGTCACCCTCCTGAGATTGATGTGTGACAAATGCATGGAGAATTGTCAACCAAGGAAGCTTGCCAGAGCTTCAGTGTGCAGAATTTGTATTGGGGCCTCACTATATAAGCATGAAAGAATGATTGATTGATCACATGTGTAATTGAAATCAGGCACCAAGGCCACTGATATTGTGTAACTCAAAGCCACCATTGTTGGTCTTTCCTGCATGGCCAGTTCTTATCCTGAGACTGTCAGATGTGGCTGGCTCTATGCTAAGGTTCCATGTGGCCAGCCTTTGCCACCAACAAAGACACTCCTATCAGGTATGCCATCAGTCACCTCCTAGAGCTGAGGGAAATGGCCAGAACCCCTCTGTGGGCAAGGCCACATTTTTTCCTATGTACCTGGCTCTGGGCTGCACTGGTAACAAGTCCCATGAGGCCCACTGACATCCATGCAGACATACTTGATACTGGGTCTGATTGTATCCCAGGGTCATGCCGTGAGAACAGACACAGAGAAAATGGCAGAACCCGGCTTCCACAGCCAGTGATGCAGAGCTTACCAAACGAAGGTTAAAGAGGAGGTGAAGGATGAGTCAGTTACAACAGGCCCCACCCAAGGGGACAACTCCACCAACCCCCCTGCTGGGCACCCATGCTCCCTCTGGGGCCTCAGCCTTGACTTTTAGTCTCTGTATGTTTTCTTCCCTCCTTTGCCCCACACATCCTTGGAGATCCTTTCTATTGTCCACAACTTGAACGCTGACTTAGCACAATTGAACCAGTAGTTGGCTAGGCGGGTTATATTCTGTTGCCCCAGTGTGCTCTGTCTTGAAAGTGGGTTCTACTCTATTTTTTTGGAGACAGAGTCTGGCTCTGTTGCTCAGGCTGGAGTGCAGTGGTGGGGTTCTTGGCTCACTGCAGCCTCAACCTCCCAGGCTCAAGCGATCCTCCCATCTCAGCCACCCAAGTAGCTGGGACTACAGGTGTGTGCTACCATGCCTGGTTAGTTTTTGCATTTTTTGTAGAGATGGGGTTTCATCATGTTTCCCAGGCTGCTCTTGAATGTCTGGGCTTGGCCGATCCTCCCACCTTGGCCTCCCAAAGTGCTAGGATTACAGGTGTGAGCCACACGTCTGGTCGGCCTCTGCTGTTCTGAGCTCATGGTTTCACAGGGGAGCTACTGAAAGGTATTGAAGAGTAATGTCTCTTCCTTTGTTCAAGGTTCTGGAAAACCCATTCTGGCTTGGCCATTGTGAGCATATGTACCAGGTTAGGTTTACCTGCACATAACAGAAAACCCAGTAACCATCATTGTCACTGTCATTGTCATCATGATCATGATCATGATCATGGCCTATACTTATAAAAGTGCCTACCATAGTAGGACCCCAAGAGTTAGAGGAATAGTTAGGTCCTCTAATTGCAAGTCACGTAAACATGACATAACATAGAGACCATTTCATGCTCGTTTTACAGATGGGGAAATAGATACAGAGAGGTCAAGTAACCTATCCAAGGTCTTGATGCTAGTGAGTGAAGGTGCTGAGATATAATCCGGGGTGTTCAGCCTCAAAATCTCTACTCCAAACTTTTCTGTTACAACCAAGAAAATAGTGGCTTAAATACTTAAGGGTTTGTGTCTCCATAAACAAAGTCCAGAGAGGCAGGCTGGGGCGATCATGGTGGGGCCACTGTCACCAGGGACCCAGGCTCCTTCTGTTCAGTCATCCTTGGAAGGGGCTGGTATTCCCTCATTGCCTCATGATCTGAAGTAGCTGCTGGAGGACAAGCCATCACACCTGTTTTCCAGGCAGGAGGAAGAAGTGAGGGGGAAAAACAGGCAAATCTTCTGGATGAGTCAGCTCCCTTTAAGATACCATCCTTTTATATAGCCTATTAACCAGAACTCAGTCATGAGTCACACTTACTGCTAGGTTGGAAAATGGAGCAGTAGAACTGGGCCAATTGCTGGCGTGGATATAACGCGGCTCCAGTCCAAAGACAGAGGGGAGAATGGACACTGGGAAGCAACTTGGCAGCAAAGCCAAGAAAATCAGTTTCTTTATTGTGTTTTCTTTCCTGAAACGTCTCCTGGGGGGCAAGAGGGAAGAGGCCCCATCCTTTTCTCTGTCTGATTTTTGGAGCTCTTCATCATTCTAGACCTGCTTGCCCCATAGGACTTTCTCTTACAGTTCCCTGTTCCAGGGACCCTGAAGACCAGCCCTGCAATGTGTGCATAGGGGGTCCTATTTGGTGCTGAGAGAGACAGGGTCTAGAGCATAGAGTTGGATTTCTGCACAGTGAAAGCAGGACTGAAGTCTGGTCTTTAAAGATTTCCTCCTTTTCATGATATGGCCCACTGTCATTGTCATTGTTATCACTGACAATGATGACATCTCTTCAAGATTAATAGGTTTCAGACTTATAGTGTTACCATCCTGGGAACAGGACCTAGACACCTGTGAGGTTCCAATTATTGACCTAAACGGTTGACAATTGGAGGACCTAGCTGTTCCTCTAACTCTTGGGGTCCTACTTTCACCTGAATGATGGATTGATTTGTTCCATCAATCAAATGTGTGAAAATGACAGTGGAGCTTCCTGCTCTTTAAAAGTTGGTGGTAGAAATCATAGCTGTCATATTGATCTTAGCTTTGCCACCTACTAGCTATATGATTTAAGTATGTTATTTTACCACACTAAGCCTCAGTTTCCTTACCTGTAAAACAGCAATGACGAAAATGTCTACCAGTAGGATATGTGAGCATCTAGCACATAGTAAGTGTCCAATAAATGTGAGGAGGAGGATGATAATGATGATCATGATGGTGGTGATAGTGGTGGTGGTGGTGATGGTTATGATCATGGTGGTGGTGGTGATAGTGATGACAAATGATGGTGGTGGTAATGATGGTGATAATAGCAATGATGGTAATGATGGTGGTAATGATGGTGATAATGATGATGAAGGTGGTGATGGTGAGAGTGATGATAATGGTAATGATGATGGTGATGGTAATTATGGTGATGGTGATGATGGTAATGATGATGGTGATGATGGCAATGATGATGAGGGTGATGATGGTGATGGTAGTTACGGTGATGGTGGTGATGGTGATGATGGTGGTGATGGTGATGATGGTGGTGATGGTGGTGATGGTGGTGATGATGGTGATGATGGTGATGATGGTGATGAGGGTGATGATAATGGTAATTATGGTAATGGTAATGCAATGATGGCAATGATGGTGATGATGGTGCTGGTGATGATGGTGGTGATGATGGTGATGGGGATCACGACGGTGGTGATTTAGGACCAGAATCTCCTTCAGTGGGAAATCTGTCTACTTCAAGACTTTTGTGATTAATGAAAGAAAAAGTATAACTCTGGCTAAATTTATATGGGTTAAACAAAGCATTAATTAATTAATAAATGCCCATTTGTCATTGTCTTATGTTCAGGTTAGTTAATTGTCCTTGAAGAAAATGCTGGTTTAGTGATCTAATGCTCTTTCTTAGACACTGCAATAGTGTTGCCCCTGAAAAGTAATAATCTTTTGGTTTTGTTATTGTTTCCTAGGATAACTTTCTTTGGGATCCTTTTGATATACTAAGAGCATCTGTGAGGATAGCCGAATAACTATTAGGCTGAAAAAAAATAGTATTAAGGCAGCGAAAATACTTTAGCTGTGAAACTAAACAATACATATATGAAGTCCTTAGCATCATTTAGGGCTGTTAAATATATGTGATGTGACATTACAAAGCAATTTGAGATGATTTCCTTAGTATGCATGATGGAAATGATTCATAATTACCCCAAATACCATTTCTTAGGTATTGTTTTTATGCATGTATTAATTATGGCTGTGGTTGTTTTTGTTTAGAGATGCTTTGTACTCCAGTTTGTCTTCTTAGGCACAGCCTTGCCTGTGATGGGGCAAGTCTCAGGATGTGGGTTTCTTGCATTGGCCACTGGTCCCACTGGGTGAGGATGGAGGTGTCATTGGTATAGAAGGTAGGGAATTTGTGATGAAACTTGCATCTTTTGAAAAGTTTTGTTTTGTACAGTGCTCTGAAATTTGTCTTTTATATATGCGTGACGCAATCTAGTTGCACATGTTGCAGCTAAAAGCGGAACCAACTAATTGAACATTTTCAGAGTCTGACGGAAATGGTGGGTGCCAGCATTCCTAGTCTATCATCCAGTTAGTTTGGAGGCTTGGGTAAGTGCCAGGTACGGTAAGAAATGACCACTTTCTCCCAGAACTCACATCTAGCCTTCACTCCTGTAATAGAAACAGGGATTTGTTGAGCGGCTGCGATAGGTAGGAATTCTGCTAGCAGACAGGGACACAGGACAAGGGCAAAGTCCCTGCCCTGAAGGAGATCTTTACCTACATGAGTTTCTTTTCATGCTGCTTTTCTGCAGACACACACATTTTCCTCTCAGCTATTTATCCCTTTGCCATGCACACTGATATCTGGGAGGTTAATCAACTTGAGGGACACATGGTTCATTTTGGAAAGCAGCTGCAATTCTTTGCAAAGAGGTTTCTAGACCTGTTTTTGAGAATATTTAAATCGCTGAGCCAAAAGCCAGTGTGACTGTCCTTCCTGCCCTAGGTGAGTGTGCTGGGAAGCCACCGAGGACATTGATCTTGGCTCTTCTTTGTATCAGTGATTGAGAAAACAAACACTATGCTGGAGAGCCACTGAACGCTCTCCCTGAAGGCAAAGATTTGCTTTATCTAAAATTTTCCATTGCGTCCAGGAGCAAATCTGCATCACAGCAATTTACTATTTTCTGCTCCAGGAACTGGAAAACACAAGCTTGAGCTACGTTAGCTGCTTCCACGAAACGTGCTGTCATCACTGAAACACATGTATTTTTTTTTTTTCAGGATTCCAGGTTGAGGGAAATTTGCTTTTGATTGTTTAATTGCATTATTATAGATTTTTAGTGGCATCTCTGGCCTCCATCTACTAGCAACCTCCAGACAGTGTCAAATGTTCCCTGGGGGGGCAACATCACCCCCAGGTGAAAATCATTGCCCTAGAAATAATGAAGATCATTATTAGTCCTCTAAGCACATTCCATGTTCTCAGTACATCCCTATTTAAAGACTAACACAAGTGGGTTTCTGGTGACTTGCACAGGAAACTGAGTCCTTATGCTGCAAAATGTTGGAGTCTTTCTTTTAAGTGACCCTTGGCAGTGCAGAATGCTGATGTCAAAATATAATCAAAAGCTCATTCCGGGCTTCTGGGTAGAGTTCCAAATCCTCCAGATTATATTAGTTCATTATAGCAGACCATGCTGGGGCTTTTCCAGTTGACAAATTAGATTTTTTTGAAAGCATGGCAGTTGGATTTATGAAAATATTTAGGATTAAAGGGGAGGATGAGGGAAACTAATTTTCTCTTGTCATGAATGCCCTTAATTGAATTTTAGAAACTGTTTGAAAGAGCAAGGTGAATGCTAGACAGAAGGTTGTAAAGATGTGCAGATAGGTCGAAGTAAAAACACATCCGAGATGCTTTAAGGACCCAGAGAAAAATCAGCCGCAATGAACACTTACTTTAGCTAATTTTATGTGTCAACTCGGCTGGGTCATGATGCCCAGATATGTGGTTAAACATTATCCTACATGTTTCTATAAGGATGTTTTGGGATGAGATTAACATTTAAATCAGTAGACTTTCTGAGTCAAGCGGACTGTCCTCCATTATGTGGGTGGGCCACATCCAATCAGTTGAAGGCTTGAATAGAACAGAAGATTGACCTTCCCTGAGCAAGAGGGATTCTGCCAGCAGACAGCTTTCGGACTTGAACAGCAGCACCAGCTCTTCCTGGGCCTCCAGCTTCCTGCCATCCCTGCAGATATGGGATTTGCTAGGCTCCATACTCTCATGAGCCAATTCCTTAAAATAAGTCTCTTCCTATATGTGTAGCATGTGTGTGTACACACGGATAAACATGTACACACACACACACACACACACCCTACTGGTTCTGGAGGACCTGGCGAATACAACTGTGATGAGGATGTCTCAAGTTCGCAAAGCCTCATGATTCGCCACCACCACCAACTCCCTCCCTCCCTCCCCATTCTTCAGGCGCATATGGCTGCCGGCGCCTCCTGGGAGGGTTACAAAATGCCTATTTTTTTGTTTTGTTTTGTTTTGTTTTTGTTTTTATACTGCAGAGGTCAGCAGGATGCCAAGTCTTAGGGAAAAAGTTTACTTTCGAATTTGTAAAAAGCAGCATTTAACCAGCACAGCAGCTGTGAAGACAAGAAAAGCTGCAGAACAGCAGAATAGCATGGGCTGCCGAGGCAGAGGCAGATGCTTTAACAATAACCAATGAATGACAAACCCACTGGGTCTGGCCCTATCTCCCCATGGCTCTGCTCTCTCGCCCCCAATCCCTGCCCTTTCTCAGGCTGCCTGCGTGGCGCTCATCCAGGCCTGGGTGTGCCCTCTGCTTGGCTGGTGGTCATTCCACGGTCTCCTTGACCAGGTTCCTGTCCAAGCCATGGGCACATCACACCCTGTAGCTTCACTTCCTGATACACACACGGGGGTTCACCTGGTGCCCAAACCTAGTAAGTGGCAGGAGGCAACTGAACCTGAGCCCTGCCTGAGCTTCCGGGTTCTGCGGTCCAGGCACTGGCTCCATCAGGGGCCGGTTTTAGTTTGAAGAACTGGAGCTAAGGAGGTTCTTTGAAATGGTGTCGAGGTGGCAGAACTCCAGGACACATTTGAATAGGGTCCCTGTTCTCCTTCCTCCCTGGACCCAGAAAGGAAATGTCCCAGGGATTCTCTCCCTCCAGGAGGGGTCTGCGGAGAGAGGGGGTGGCCCCAGGGACCTAGCCTCTGGGTCAGGGTGGAGCAACAGGGATGTCCCAGGGGCACATTGCAGGCACAGGGAGGGGCTGCTTGCTTCTCGGGTGGTCGCAGGGGAGAGCTCAGGGCTTGTGGTCCATGGGGCAGCAGATGAATGAGTCAGGGGCACTGGAAAACGATGTGCTCCTCTTGGTAACCCCTCCAGTCTTGGATCATTCCAGTAACACTTGTAAACGTTATGAAGAAATTTATCAGCGAAAACATTCAAGGCGCTGTGCTTTGTGCTGGGGCCACCTGAGTCCAGAGACTGCGGTGGATGGCATGCGGGAACCAGAGGCACGCACGCGCCGCTGACCTCTGGGTGACAGGTAGCCCCTGGAGGGTCCTTAGGGCCCAGCACCCTCCTGCCCATCCCTGCTCCGCCAACACTCACCTGGGCCCCTGGCCTCCTCTCCATCTCCTCATTGTTTCTGAACACAGTCTTGATTGGCATTGATCCAACCATCCCTTTCTGGAATCTTCTTGCCAACTGCAAATCTCTGTACCCCTCTAGCACCCTTTGTCCATACTGGGACCCCTGTCCTCATGATCCCAGTCACGCCTCTCATTTACTGAGCATCTGTATTAACCATGAGGTTAGCGTGTATGACTTCTTTTCATGCTCACAAAACTGAGAATGCAGAGGTGCAATTGGGTAGGTGGAGACTGGGGTCCAGAGACGCTGATGGAGGAGCCTCTTGCTCCAGCAGGGCTGAAGTTTGAGCCTGGGCAGGGGTGACTCTAGAGCCTGTGCTTGCCCCGGTGCAGTGCCATCCCCCCTCTCCCTTCCTCAAGCCTGCCATTCACCATCTGGCCTTTACCACACATAGGTGCTCACGACCCTGTCTTCCCCGGCTCTGCACAGCAGAGGACAGCTTGTCCCCCACACTGTGTCCCTAATCCAGGGGCAGCAGCTAAGCAGAGCTTCTTGCTCCCTGTGGGGGTTTTTAGGTCACCATTTGTCCTCCTTACAGGTCTCCTTTCTCCGTGTTTTATGCCTTCTGTTTAAGCTCAGCCTTTCCCGGTCCTTACTGCTGTCATCTAATCACCCCTGGGATGTGCTGCTTCCCTGAGGATTTCAGTATCAGTTTCATAGTCTCTGGGGTCTCAGCATCCACACTGACCCTTCCAGGTTTTCTCTTTTCCTCGACTTTCCTCAAATGGCTCCTTGCCATCCTGCTGACTAGCTCCCCTGAGTTTCTCTGACTGCCAGTCTCTCTTGCCTCCTTCAGACCCCCGAGCTGCCCTTTCCATGATATCTGTCCCTTCTGGGCTAGCAGGTGATAACGTTTGTTTGGTAATTGAACATAAGCCTTTACGGTGACACTGCCTGCGTGCAAGTCCCAAGTCTTCCAAGCCTCAGTTTCCTCATCTTGTAAATGGGTATGACAACATGGGGATCCATCTCCTGGAGCAGATGGTGCGCGTCTATGGCTCAGACAGTAACGCACGCCTGCACAGAAGGAGCACCTGGTGTGAGTCAGCCATCCCTGTCCCCTGGGCTGGGTCCCGGGCTCAGTGATTGTGGGCACTGTGGGAAGCGCTCTTGATCCTTCGGCCCATGGCCATGCTCTGGCCCCATGTTAATCCCCACGCTTCACTGCAGGCAGCCTCTACCTCTTCCAAACTCCCCCGGTCATGGCTAGAGAAAGTCCTAAGACTGGATGCATCACTTCCACTACAGATCCACTCTCCTGTCTCAGCTCCGTCTTTCCAGGCTCAGTAATCTTTCGAATCATCCGTTAGTGGCCTTGCATCTCAAACAACCTGATCTTCTCAGCGCCCTATTCTGCAGAAGCTTTCTCATAGGTTTGTTGAGAAGGCTGGCTGTACATCTGCGGTGGGTGCTCTCTGCTGTCCTCTTCCCAACCTCAGTGTGACTTTCCTGCGTCCACATTGACTTCTGTCCCTCTCGCCTCCCCTCAAGGGTGACCTTCCTGCTCTGGCTCATGAACTCACCCTCTGTGGGGCCCCGGGACCTCTGCTGTCAATGAACATCATGCAGTTGTTCTCTTTCTTATGCCTTAAATCACTCTGGGGCCTTTCCCCACAACCATGTCCAAGTCTCCCTGTAGCTCAGGCTAAAAACAACTTTTCTTCTTCAAACCTACCCTCCCCTCCAGTGAAGGTCTTACCTATAGCTTCCCATTATAGGCAAACTTTTCCATTCCTAATTTTGCGAAATCTGGCTTCCATCTCTCCACTTACCAGAAGCCCCTGCTCTAGGGTCACAGGGTGATGGAATGCAGTCACCTGTCTGCAGCTCCCTGTGTCCCATCTGCCAGACCCCCTGGCACTCATGACCTTGTGTGTGCTGGTGTGCCTCTCCAACCTTCCCTCACCTGGCACCTCTGCACTCATGCCTTCAGTGTGTCTCCATGGCCTCTCCGTCACTGAGTCCCTGCCTTTATCAGCATCTCCAAGCAGATGGATCCCAGATGTCTCTCCAGCCCTGGCATCCCTCCAAGCAGTGGTCTCACCTTGTCAAAGCCCTGCACAGTAGCTCTGCTTGGAGGCCACGTGGGCACACTGGAGTCTGCCCAGAATGGTCTCTTGCTTCCCATGTTAATTCCTCCTCCATTCACGCTGGCTTTTCTTAACACCTTCGCCAACATCCTGGCCATCCAGTCTTGAAACCGCAGCATGCTCTTGACCCCCTTGCCCTTCGCATCAAACCACATTCTGTGTTTTCTGTTATTTAGTCCCTAGACCATGGCAGGGTGAGGTGTGATGGGTTGTGGGATCAGAATGATCTGGATTCAAGCCTCAGCTCTGCCATTTGCTAACAGTGACTTTTAAAATAAACATCTTTATTGAGATGTATTTCCCATACCACACAATTCGCCTAAAAGTGTATAATTCAATGGCTTTTAAAAAGCATATTCAAGGTTATGTGCAAGTATTAACATGGTTGATTTTAGAATATTTTCATCACCTCAAGAAGAGACTCTGTACCCTTTGGCCATCACTTCCCTACTCTCCCTGCCCCCCACCAGCCCTAAGCAAGCACTGTCTCTACAGATTTCTCTGTTGTGGACATTTCATATGAATGGCATCACACAAGTAATCTTTGGTGACTGGCTTCTTTCACTTAGCATGATGTTTTCAAAGTTCATCCATGTTGTAGTGTGTATCAGTCCTTCATTCCTTTTCATGGCTGAGTAGTACTCCACTATGTGGCTATACATTTTGTTTATTCATTCTTCAGTGGATGGACATTTGTGTTGTTTCTTCCTTTTAGCTATTATGAATAATGCTGCTATAATCGTTTACAAATTTTTGCATGGACATGTTTCATTTTTATTGGGTGTATATACCTAGGAGTGGATTGCTGGGTCATATAACTCTATGTTTAATTGTTTGAGGAACTGTTTTCTCACTTGAGAAACTGTTTTTCTGTTTTTTCACTTGGGACTGTTTTCCCAAGTGGCTGCACCATTTTGCACTCCCAACAGCATTGTACGAGTTCCAATTTCTCTGCATTCCTGTCAGTACCCTTGTGCCATAGACTTTTTGGTTCTAGCCATCTTGGTGAAGTGGTATTTCATTGTGGCTTTGATCTGCATCTCCCTGGTGACGAAAGACGTTGAGCATCTTTTGATGTGCTTATTGGCCAACTGCTAACAGTGGCTTTGACACTGGATGCTGAACTTCAGTCTTTCCTCCTGTAAAATGGTACAACCACCATCCATGGAGCACAGTGGCAACACCGCGACTCTCTGGGCTGAGGACACATGCGACAGCAAGTAATCCCACAGCCACTGGACCCAGGGACAGGCAGCCTCTGCAGCCAAGGGTCCTGTCCCTTCATGTCTCTGCTTCCAGTCTTTTCTCTGTACGTCCTGCAGCCAGGCTTGGGCTGCTGCACGGCTAGAGATGCTTTATCATGAAACCTGCAGCAGGTGAAGGTTCTCCCAGCAAAGTTTTTGCAGAAAAGTGATGCACTAAGTGAACTGTTCTTCAAATGGTGTGAGCTGGGAGTGAGGTTTCTGGCTTTTCAGCACATGGGTGATGTTCTTGGGTGAACGATGTTTCCCCAAAAGATATGTGGAAGTCCTAAATCTCAGTGCCTCTGAATGTAACCTTAATTGGAAACAGAGTCTCTGCAGGTGTAATTAGTGAAGGCGAGGTCATAGTGGCATAGGGTGGGCATTCATCTAATGACTGGTATCCTCAGAAAACAAGAAAGATTTGGAGACAGACACATAGACAGGGGATGGCCATATGACAGCGGAGTCAGAGACCAGAGTGATGCTGCCCACAAGCCAAGGAATGCCAAGGATGGCCACAGCCGCCAGGAGCTGGGTGAGGCCAGGAACTCCCACTGAGTCTGTGGAGGGCGTGTGGCCTGGCCAACACACTGATTTCAAACCTCTCCAGAACTGTGAGAGAATACATTCCTGTTGTTTTAAGCCACCCAGTTTGTGGCTTAATTTGTGACTTTGTTAAGGCAGCAATAGAAAACTGACACAGGATAATGATGTTCAGGAATGATGTGGAGAGCCCTGGGGGTGGTTCTGTTCCATGCTTGTTGGATGCTTGGCATTTCTGGCCACCACAATGTATTTACTGAGAATGGACTCTCTGCCCAGTGACAGAAAATGAGTATGGCCCTGGTTCCTGTCCTCAGCTTAGCATGGGAGACAGGAGGCAGGAATACAAGCAGCAGCTTCAGAGGCAACACCAGGCAAGGCCAGGGTTGTTGGAGGCGTGGGCTCCAGCCACTCCCAAGCCGGGGCTCTGAATGTGGCCCCTGGTGCTCTCTCTGGTGCTCCCTGACAAATATGGCCCTGGGTGAGAAAACCTCAGGCCCCTCCCACTCAAATTCTGATTTGATTCTGGATTGCCAGTGTAATAGTTGTGATTATTTTCTCACAAGGGTTACAGGAGACCTTCTGATTAAGGCAAACATCTTGTACATCAAAAGCTGCTCACTGTCACCCCTGGGCTTACTATTCATCATTCTCTCTTAAATCTGTTCCCAAAGGGCCTACCTGGCACAGGCCAGCTGCTGGGCCCAAGTAATATGTTTTAATCAATGGTATTAAGCTTTTTCCATGTTCTGACATTTTAAGTAGATAATTAGACTCCAGTCACCAGGTGTCCAACAGTTCTACTTTTCTATCTGGAAAATAAGTTTTGAAAATACCTATCATGTACACGTTTGTATTTCTACTGAAACCACCTGGCAACCCTGGTAAAATGTAAAAGGGAATCTCTGATCTATAAGAAAAAACAAAGCTGGAGAGAAATGCAGGAGCTTTATTATAAATCATTTAATATTCTTGAAGTTAACAACTGATAAACTCATTTAGGCAAACATTTTGGATTTAATGATCTAAAGCTCACAGATGCATGCCACATCTAGCTAAAAGTACATAAAAAGCGCACCTCTGGAAATAACAGCCCTCCCTCTGGCTGAAGACTGAGAAGCATTAAGGATGCTTCTGGATTTCTGCAGCGGCAGGGCAGGGGTCTGCACAGGCCTGACCTGGTGTTGCTGGAGCGCGGCATCCCCTCCTGGGTGCTGCTCCGAAAGGCAGGCTGGGAGGTGCTTGCTGGGGTGTTCCATGGCAGCGCTGCCAACCAAGTCTGGGTCTCTAAAAGCCACCCTCAGTTTATACCAACTGATCAGGAAATAGGTGGTGACAGGGCCTTGAAGGGTACATGCCGGCTTCCCTTAAGTTGATTAGATGGGAAACCAAACACCGTCTTTCAAGTGTGAGGCTGTGCCATGCTCCCTCAGGGAGGAGGGGCGCTGGGTCTGACCAGGTCTGCCTCTGCCCTCACCAGCTGGCAGACGTGAACTGGAGAACAGCACCAGAAAGGCTGGTGGTTGGCAGCTGCTCACGACACAGTTGCTGACCTGCAGCAGATCGGCTGTGGGTGAGCAGGACAGTCAGGCCCTCCACAAGCACTGTTCTGGAGTTTCGTCTGACTAGGTGAACCCTCTGGCTTTTCGAGGACGCAGGGTACCCTACTGCCACCAGCCAGTGAGCAGACTAGGACATCTCTAGACAGGAAACTCATCTAAAAATCGGAGGACAACCTGATGCACCCAAGTGACAATGGACCCAGGCAGCTGTGCACACCAGGTGGGAGGCGTTTGGAACAGTTAGACTCATCAGTGGATAGGTTTTTCTAGCACAAATGGAATGTGGTGTCTCATGTCCCTAGGGAGACAAAGGGCAGGTTTCTTATCTGGTCTTTCCAAGCTTTCAACTCTCTGGCTCAAGTGTCCCAGAATGAACTAGAAGTCTATTCCTCCACCCTGGTCCGTGGTCACTTCCAGAACTCTGAAGTGGCTCAGGAGGTGACTCCTGAAAGGCAGCCCTTGCTTGATCTCCTGGTGGAGCCTGTCTGGGCTGAGGCGATGCTGGGCTTGCCGTGCCGAGATCTCATGCCAGAAGTCCTCCCTCGGAGCTACCTGTCTCCAGCCTCATTCTTTGGCATGTTGACTCCTGGAATTGAGGGGCTATTTCTAAGATGCATGCTTTTTCGGCTTTTCTCATGGGTGCCTCATCAGCCTGCACAGGATCCCCCATCTCACGAGAGAGGGAAATTTGGCATTGCTGTTCCCTGCCTCTAAGGTCCTTTATGAGGGGCCGCCCAAACTCATTCCCTTAGTTCTTACTCTCCCACAGGTGTTGAGATTTTATTGGCCCATACTAAAAAGCATGCAATGACTGAGGTTTTCTCCTAACCTTAATCTCATCTTCTCAAATGTGTGCCTTCTTGTTTTTAAGACCATAGACAAGGACGTCAGGTGACTGCTGAAATAGAACTAAAGCTAAAATTTTTCTCGGATCTTGGCAAATTCTGCTAATGGCACCTCTAGGGGCACAATGATCCTCAAATGACATCCAACCAGACTCCCCATAAACAAGGTTTGGGCTGGAGCTGTTTCTAGTTTTAAATATGGAAATGTAAGGCAAAGGACAGAGCACTTGGTTTTGCCTTAGATTTCCCAGCAGAGTAGGATTTGGGCGAAACTGCTGGTTCTCTCTGTCAGGGAAATACCAAGTGCAGCAGAGCCGGGGCCATGGGGCAGGCTGGTGGACTCCAGGCTCACTTGCGTGGCTGCTGGATGTGCTGGGTTCTTGGGGAAGGATGCTTGTCCATGGAGGCATGCGGCTTCTGGTGAGCCACCTGCGCAGCCGCCGGGGGGAAATCTTTGTCACCCTGTCAGGAAACACGGAAAGCTCAGGTTAATCAATAGGAAGCATGGGGTTTGTGGGTGAGGAAGCCCCAGGCCAGTGCCCACCAGCGTCCCTGCGGAAGGATAGCAATTGTGTGTGAGGAAGCCTCAGGCCAGCATCCACCAGCGTCCCTGTAGGAAGCATGGGGTTTGTATGTGAGGAAGCCCCAGGCCAGGGCCCACCAGCGCCCCTGCAGGAAGCATGGGGTTTGTATGTGAGGAAGCCCCAGGCCAGCGCCCACCAGCGTCCCTGCAGGAAGCATGGCGGTTGTATGTGAGGAACGTCCAGGCCAGCGCCCATCAACGTCCCTGCAGGAAGCATGGTGTTTGTGGGTGAGGAACCCCCAGGCCAGCACCCACCAGTGTCCCTGCAGGAAGCATGGTGTTTGTGGGTGAGGAACCCCCAGGCCAGCACCCACCAGTGTCCCTGCAGGAAGCATGGTGTTTGTGGGTGAGGAAGCCCCAGGCCAGCGCCCACCAGCGTCCCTGCAGGAAGCATGGGGTATGTATGTGAGGAAGCTCCAGGCCAGAGCCCACCAGCGTCCCTACAGGAAGCATGGCAGTTGTATGTGAGGAAGCCCCAGGACAGCGCCCAACAGAGTCCCTGCAGGAAGGATGGCGGTTGTATAAGAGGAAGCTCCAGGCCAGCACCCACCAGCGTTCCTACAGGAAGCATGGTGTTTGTGGGTGAGGAAGCCCCAGACCAGCGCCCACCAGCATCCCTGCAGGAAGCATGGCGGTTGTATATGAGGAAGCTCCAGGCCAGAGCCCACCAGCGTCGCTGTAGGAAGCATGGGGTTTGTATGTGTGGAAACTACAGGCCAGCAGCCACCAGCATCCCTGTAGGAAGCATGGTGTTTGTGGGTGAGGAAGCCCCAGGCCAACGCCCACCAGCGTCCCTGCAAGAAGCGTGGGGTTTGTATGTGAGGAAGTCCCAGGCCAGCACCCATCAGCGTCCCTGCAGGAAGCATGGTGTTTGTGGGTGAGGAAGCCCCAGACCAGTGCCCACCAGCGTCCCTGCAGGAAGCATGGGGTTTGTATGTGAGTAAGCCGAAGGCCAGCAGCAACCAGCCTCCCTGCAGGAAGCATGGGGTTTGTATGTGAGGAAGCCCCAGGCCAGCGTCCACCAGGGTCCCTGTAGGAAGCATGGCGGTTGTATATGAGGAAGCTCCAGGCCAGCGCCCACCAGTGTCGCTGGAGGAAGCATGGGGTTTGTGGGTGAGGAAGCCCCATACCAGCGTCCCTGCAGGAAGCATGGCAGTTGTATGTGAGGAAGCCCCAGGCCAGCACCCACCAGCTTCCCTGCAGGAAGCATGGGGTTTGTGGGTGAGGAAGCTCCAGGCCAGCGCCCACCAGCGTCCCTGCAGGAAGCATGGCAGTTGTATGTGAGGAAGCCCAGGCCAGCACCCACCAGCGTCCCTGCAGGGCAGGCGTGGACTGTGAATGGATAAAGGAAGGTGGAAGTCTGTCCCTTGTGGGTGTTAGGGGGCCTGGGCAATCAAAACCAGGGAATGGCAGGTGGCACTGAGGCCCACACACTGGCAGGACAGCAAGAATGCTCACTGGCTCTGCCCCATGCCGTGAGACACAGGAACATGCGACTCCCACAGAACTGACTTGGATGCTGCGGGGTTTCTTCTGCTACATCTGTATTTGTGACTATTTAAATTGGGGGCAGGACAGAACCAAATCCAGGATCTTAAGTTCAGATGTGCCACCACAGCTGTGAGCCAGGCCTGGGACGCTGGCTGGGAAGGAAATGCACAGGGCGCCTACGAGACAGAGCCAGGTTCGGCCTGTCCAGTCTCAGGAGGGACTCCCTATTTTCCAGAGGGATCAATGGGCTTCTGTGCCAACTGTGGGTGTGGCCAGGGTGGGGTCCACATGGGCAGGCTGGAGCCACACTTCTCTGGCTGGCAGGTTGGCTGGCTGCGGTCACAGCTCCACCAACAGTGGGCTGTCCCCAACACTGGCACTTTCTTCAGGCATCCTCTGATAAGAAAGTGAATGTTCTGAGAACAGCAGCCCTATGGACGGCAATACTGTGGGGTTCACTGCGGGGGTTTGCTGATGGGAGTTCACTGGTGGGAGGTCTGCGCTTAAGTCACAATGTTGGGTCTCACCAGACGGCGGCTCTGGAAAGGTAAAGGATGCGAGTCTGGCCTGCGGTCTGCAGAAGCAGCCTCTGGGGAAACGCGGCAATGAAGAGAGCCATGGCCACAGAGGAGATGAGCAGTGGTGCTGGGTTATTCCAGGTAGAGTTTAACAAAACCAGAAGCAACCAGGAGACTCCATGCTGCCATGCAAAAGCCTCAAACCCACCGCAGACACTCCCAGACTTACCCGGGCGATGACCCCAGAGATGAACACAGTGGGTTTAGGTGGACTGGAAAAAAAGAAGGGAAAAGGCAGATTTAACAAAACAGTCCACAACAGGGAACACGGTGGCAGACGATGTGTATGTGGATGAGCCAGGCTGGAGGGCGTGGAGGCAGAATGGGAAGCAAACCTCTCCTCTGCGTTATTTGTTGTAATGATCACACTACGGGGCTCGGGAGCCTCCTTCTCCTGAGGCTAGTTCAGCCCCAAGTACGAGAGAGAAACAGACTGCAGCCAACTGCGAGTGAATTGCCTTCAACCACTTTCTATTTGTGTTTTTTTTAGGGACAGGGTCTCTGTCACCCAGGCTGGAATGCAGAGGCACGATCATAGCTCACAGCAGCCTCCACCTCCTAGACTCAAGTGATCCTGCTTCAGTCTCCCGAGTAGCTGGGACAACAGGTGTGCAGCATCATACCTGGCTATTTTCTTTTATTTTTGTAGAGACAGGGTCTTGCTATGTTGCCCAGGCTAGTCTCAAACTCCTGGCCTCAAGCCATCCTTCCACCTTGGCCTCCCAAAGTGCTGGGATTACAGGGATGAGCCACTGTGCCCAGCCTATTTTTGTTTTTTGGTTAAATCAACACATTTTAACTATGGGCAAGCCCATTTATTTGGATTTAATGAGATCGTGAAACAGGCGCTTCCCTAAAGCAGGGGAGAAGTAGCTTTACATGGTGTGGACTTGGAGACTTTCTCACTGCCTCCTCAACCCTAGGCTTCCCCTTCCAGCGTCCTCACAGGGGAGATTCTAGAGCCAACACAAACCTCCCGTCCCCATCAATCCCTGAGCATTACAAATATAAGGTCCTTGGGAAACATGTCACCTCTTGACATGTTAACTCACACTGAGCTCACCTAAACTGCCGAGTATTGAGGGAATGGATGCAGTACCAAAGCAGTACAGCTCAGTGTGAAAAAACAGACAAGCCCAAACAGGCTCAAATCGCCAGCAGGTCTACCACCTGGAAACACACACTGTTAACGTGGGGCTATCCTCCCAGGCTTTCCTTCTATGGACAGATGTACGTGCTTGTCTTCTTATTAACTTTTTTCTTACAAAAATAGTTATACTGTTTTGTAATCTGCCTTCTGAACTAAGGCTATGGCAAGCATCTCTCCATGTAATTATATACTCTTCTGTACACTTATTTTTTATGGCTACGTGTGCCATAATTTAAAAACATCAGGACACAGTTTGAGGTAGTGGACAAGGTGTGTGCACTTCCAAATGCCTCCACCAAGAGGTACAGACACCCAAGACCTGGAGGTGAATACAAGGTCAGCCCAGCTGGGACAGCGCGATCGATCGGGGACACTCACGGAGGTGGGTGGAGGGGAAGCATCTCCCTCTTAGTTCAGTTTTGCTTAAGGCCAGTCCTGCTGGGTAGAGGGGGTAGAATTTATCCCCTGAGCTCACCAGCCTGTCTCTTCCCAGCTCTGCTTCTCCTCTGCTGCCAGTGGTCTTTTTTAAGGAATCCACTTGTCTTAGCTTTGTTTTGCTGCAGTCAAAAGTCCCAGCATTCCGAAAGTTCACTGACTGTTTACTTCCCCAAAGAGTTTACCAAAAACACCTGAAATTCCCCCAAGTAATTTCTGTTACTTCGCGACATTAAGAAACTTCAAGTTTTACTAAGCAGCACAGAGATGCCCCATACATTACCTTGGTTTTATTTAGTGTTTGTTGTGTGGTTACCCAGGTTGGATTTTTTTCCCCTTCCTTTACGTACATGATTTAGCTATAGGATTAATAGTCGGCCAGAAATGAGTAAGCTCAGCTCAAGTTTAAAAGTCCCGCCACGTGGTATAACTGAATTCATTTGGATTCTTAAAGCACATCCTGCTGTGATGGCTGATACCATCCACAGGGGAGGGCTTCCAGGGATTCAGGGCCAAGGAGTTTGCATCCAAAGCTCAGGAACTGTGGTCTGAATTCTAACATTTTAGAAAAGATTTGGAAAGGAATACACAAATGGCAGCACAAAGTTTCTTAACGTCGTTTGGAATGTTCTTTTAAACATCTAGGAACAGCCTGAAGCAGGGATGGCCCCACTCTGGTAGCGAATCATATAGTATCATCTTCAACAAGGCACAGCCGTCTTTCCGTAGCAGGAGTGCACAGTGGCTTCCACTGTCTCCATGTCCTATTTGTTTTTTAACCTGCTGAGGCTCTGAAAGGCGGAAATGCAGGACATCACCCCACTCCAGAAACTTGATATAAAATGTCATCCATAGAGAGTCAATCTAGTAAGAATACATGCATAATAAAGGGAATTAGCTTCCTCACCAAACTGAGCCCTAAAAGGTGGCTGAGGAAGCTTGAGTAATTATATACATATATAAACACCCTCCCCTCTACAGACACACACACACACAAACAAACACCTTGTTTTATGGCATCTGCTTATCGCACTTCACAGGTAATGTGTTTCTTTAGGAATTGAAGGTTTGTGGCAACTCTGCATAAGCAAGTCTATGGGTGTCCATCTTCATTATTATTATGTCTGTTACAGTGATCTGTGGTCATTGATCTTTGATGTTACTACTGTAATTGTTTTGGGGCACCACGAACCGTGCCCATATAAGATGGTAAACTTAATCAATACTTGTCATATGTGTTCTGACAGTTCTACTGACCAGCCATTCCCTGTCTCTCTCCTTCTCTTCAGGCCTCCCTATTCCCTGAGACATAGCAATATTGAAATTAGGGCAATTAACAACTCTACAATGGTCTATAATGGCCTGGAAGTATTCAAGTGAAAGGAAGAGTTGCATGTCTCTCACTTTCAATCAAAAGCTAGAAATGACCCAGCTTAGCGAGGAAGACATGTCGGAAGCTCAGACAGGCTGGTCTCTTGCACCAAATAGCCAAGTTGTGAATGCAAAGGAAGAGTTATGGGAGAAAATTAAAAATGCTACTCCAGTGAGCACTGGAGTGAGTGACAAGGAAGTAAAAGAGCATTATTGTTGATATGGAGAAAGTTCGAGTGGTCTGGATAAAAGACAAGCCACAACATTCCCTTAAGCCAAAGTCTAATCTAGAGAAAGGCCCTAACTCCCTTCAGTTCTATGAAGGCTAAGAGAGGTGAGGAAGCTGCAGAAGAAAAGATGGAAACTAGCAGAGGTTGGTTCATGAGGTTTAAGGAAAGAAGCCATCTCCAGAAGATAAAAGTGCAAGGTGAAGCAGCAACTGCTGAGGAAGAAGCTGCAGCAAGTTCTCCAGAAGATCTAGCTAAGATCATTGATGAAAGTGGCCACACTAAACAACAGATTTTCAATGTTGACAAAACAGCCTTTTATTGGAAAAAGATGTCATCTAGGACTTACACAGCTAGAGAGGGAAGTCAATGACTGGTTTCAAAGCTTCCAAGGGCAGGCTGACTCTTAGTAGGGACTAATGCAGCTGATGACTTTAATTTGAAGCCAATGCTCATTTACCATTCCAAACATCCTAGGGCCCTTACGAATTACATAAAATCTACTCTGTCTGTGCTCTATACATGGGATGACAGAGCCTGGATGACGGCACATTGGTTTACATCAAGGTTTACTGCTTATTTTAAGCCCACTGTTGAGACCTACTGCTCAGAAAAAAAGATTCCTTTCAAAGTATTACTGCTGATTTATAATGCTCCTGGCCACCCAAGACCAAGTATACAAGGAGATTAATGTTGTTTTCATGTCTGCTAAAACAACATTCATTCTGCAACCCATGGATCAAGAAGTAATTTTGACTTTCAAGTCTTATTATTTAAGAAATAAGTAATTCCACTGGTAGATTTGGGCAAAGTAAATTGAAAACCTTCTGGAAAGAATTTACTACTATAGATGCCACTAAGAATACTCATGATTCATGGGAGGAGGTCAAAATATCAATATTAACAGGAGTTTGGAAGAAGCTGATTCCAACCCTCATGGGTAACTTTGAGGGGGTTCAAGACTTCACTGGAGGAACTAACTGCAGATGTGGTGAAAACAGCAAGAGAACTAGGATTAGAAGTGGAGCCTGAAGATGGAACTGAATGGCTGCAATCTTGTGATTAAAATCCTCAGGGATGAGGAGTTGCTTCTCATGGATGAGCAAAGAAAGTGATTTCTTGAGCTGGAATCTACACCTGGTGAAGATGCTGTAAACACTGAAAATAACAACAAAGGATATAGAATATTATATAAACTTAATTGATAAAGCAGTGGCAGGGTTTGAGATGACTGACTCCATTTTTGAAAGAAGTTCTACCATGGGTAAAATGCTATCAAACAACATTGTATGCTGCAGAGAAATCTTTCTTTCCTGAAAGGAAGAGTTGATCTATGTTCTATGTCACAAACTTCATTGTTGTCTTTTTTTTTTTTTTTTTTTTTTTACAGAGGGAGAGGGTCTCACTCTGTTGCCCAGGCTGGAGTACAGTGGTGTGATCTCTGCTCACTGCAACCTCTACCTCCCAGGTTCAAGTGATTCTCATGCCTCAGCCTCCAGAGTAGCTGGGATTACAGGCACACACCACCATGCCTGGCTAATTTTTGTATTTTTAGTAGAGACAGGGTTTTGTCACGTTTGCCAGGCTGGTCTCGAACTCCTGGCCTCAAGTGATCTACCCACCTTGACCTCCGAAAGTGCTAGGATTGCAGGCATGAGCCATCACACCTGGCCTGTTGTCTTATTTTAAGAAACTGCCACAGCCACTCCAACCTTCAGCAACCACCACCCCAATCAGTCAGCAGCCATCAACACTGAGGCAAGACCCTCTACCAACAAAAAGACTGAGCCTCACTGAAGGCTCAGATGATCATTAGCATACAGAATTTTTAAATTTTTAAAATTTTAAATTAAGTTATGCATTGTTTTTTAGACGTAATGCTACTGTACACTTAATAGGCTACAGTGGAGGGTAAACATAACTTTTATATGCACTGTGAAACCAAAAAGTTGTGGGACTCACTTTATCACAATATTTGCTTTATTATGGTGGCCTGGAGCAGACCCTGCAATATCTCTGAGGTCTGCCTGTACATATTCATTATTGAAACGCAGACAAGCAAAACAAGTTAAAATCACTTGTACTTCTGTATTACTGTACGTGTGTATTTATAAAGATTGACACACACACACAACTACTGTCCCATCACAACTGCTGAATGGCCATGGAGACTCTGGAGGCTAAAGGAGATCCCCAGCAATGAGGGTGGTCTACCCTGTGAGTACGCCACCCTTTGCAGAGGTGGAGTGGAACTCCAGGACGCAGAGGCGCCATCCAGCAGTAGGGCGCCAGCCTGGAGAGGCCTCCATGTTGGGTGTTCCTGACAGGCTCCTTGGTTGAGCCCAGCCCCACTGTGTAGTAGCTGCCACGTGAGGCTCTCGGGGGACCTGGCTATCAGGAATCTGTCTCCAGCACTGGTCCCCTGTGTGCACTGAGGACGGGAGTCTGGAGCCCAGGGGCCTGCCACAGTCCCGCCCTTCCTCCCTGCCCTCGGTGCTCCTCAGAGGTGCTGTCCTCTGGGCGTCTCCTGCATTGATCACGACAAGGGTGGGGTTCTATGCCTCGAGTATGTACCCGGAGAAATGTGTGTGAACAGTGATGATATGAGATCATGACAGCTCTGCTCTAGCCTGAGTGCTGGAAAACACACACGGAAGCTGAGGCCTAGAAACCAGCCTCTGACTCCCAGGGCACGCTCTTTCCTTTCCTAAACCCACATTTAGCACCTCACTCCCATGTGAGCTGCTCAAGACACTGTCCCATCGCAACTGCTGAATGGCCATGGAGACCCTGGGGGCTAAAGGAGACCCCCAGCAGTAAGAATGACCCTCCCCCCACAGGCCCAGCTCATTCCAGGAGTGTCCAGGGCCATGGTTGCAGGTTGCAGCGTCTAAGAGTCCACAGGAGTCATTCACAGATGGCGCTGTCCTTGTGAAACCCCAAATTCACGGAGATAGCTCCTTTGTGCTGAGTCATGACTGAATCTGCTGAGCTTTAGTGGCTTGGTGGATTCTGCTCATAAAGACAGAGGATGTCAATGAAAATCATGCTAGGCTCAGCATAAGAAATGTGCCTCTGCCAACCACTGGGTGGCGAGGGGTGAGGTGAGGCCCACCGGGTGTGGCGATGAGCCAGGGACTGGTGTCCTTTGTGCTGCATCCTATACAAAGTGGCTAGTCATTCTGCTGGATGTGGTGCTGGCGACTTGGCTGAGTGATGGCAAGACTGAGGGTCTGATGCCGCAGTCAAAGGGACTCACTCAGGATGGAAAGGCCGTGAACTTGCCCTTGTGCACACCCTGAGGGCTGACTCCGAGCTGAGGAGCAGGGACAGGGAATGTCACTCAGTGGCAAGCTTAGGTCAGAGCAGTCTCTTGGGGCACAACCAAAACAGTGTGCATTCCACCTAATTAACCTGGGGAAGAACAACATGAAGGCCTGAGACTTCATCCTGCACTGCTGTGCTCCAGCGCCCCCATCTGTTTGGCACTGGTAAGAAATAAGGCACTGAAAGAAAAGAACCCCATGTGTCCAGCACTTCCGCAGGCGAGGTCCTTGCTTTAAGACTGCACTTTTTACACAATATTCAAGAATTGTGTTGCATGAGAAAGTCTTATCGAGCCGCAAGAGGCGACTCGGCGGGAAGTGACAGGACACCAGACTGAGGGTCTCCTTTAGCTCTGGTCTGCTCAAGGCAAACGTTCTTCCTAAAGACAGTCCAAGCTCTCCCTCCCTTCTAACTTCGCTTTGAAACCCCAGCCAGCTCAGCAACTAATTACAAAAAAATTATGTACCATTTTAGCCATTTTTAAGTATACAGTTCAGTGGCATTAAGTATATTCATATTATTATGCTATCATCACCTTTATCTATTTCCAGAACTTTTTCATCATTCCCAACAGAAAGTCTGTCCCCATTAAACACTAGCTCCCCATTCTCTCCTCCTCCCAGCCCCTGGCCATCACCGTGAGTTTAACTGCCCTAGGGATCTCATGTAAGTGGAATCATACAGTACTTGTCTTTTTGTGTCTGGCTTATTCCATCTAGCATAATATTGTCAAGGTTCATTTATGTTGCAGAATGTGTGGGAATTCTTTTTTGAGGCTGAATAACATTCCACTGTACAGACAGACCACATTCTGCTTATCCATTCATCTGCTGATGGACACCTGGACTGCTGCGAATGGTGCAGCTATGGACGTGGGTGTATAAATATGTGCTCGAGTTTCTACTTTCAATTATTTTGTGTGTAACTCAGAAGTGGAATTGCTGGGTTATATGGTAATTCTGTGTTTAACTTTCTGAGGAATCACCAACCTGTTTTCCACAGCGGCTGTTCCATTTTAGATTCCCACCAGCAACGCACATGGGTTCCTATTTCCCCATATCCCTGCCAACGCTCGTTGTTTTCTGTTTTGTTTTATTCTGTTTTTTTGGATAAAGGCTCTATTCTAATGGGTGTGAGGAAGTATCGTACTGTGGTTTAGATTTAGCAACTAATTTTAAGAATAAGCTTCCCTGCCACAGAATAATAAATATCAATCTGTATTGATCATTCATTAAAGGTCTTTATGAACCAAAAGTCGCCCCCAAAATTCTTCTCTAAAACTGAAAAGGCCATAATTGGCTGTAAGGACATATGGCAGCTGCCCATGAAAAGATGGCAAAAGGCAGGCCTCTTCCAAAATGTCTAACAGCGATATGTATTTTCATGTAACTTGTCCCGTGACAGAGCGTATGTTGTGTTGAAGGTTTTCATCAAGTTTGGCCCAAAGGCTTCAGAGCCCAATCCTTTTTTCCAACTATAATTAACAGCAACTTAAATTGGCAAATAATTATTTATGACGTTTATAAAGTAAAAACAGTTACTAAACTCTTTGAGATGTGGTAGCTTGAACAAAATCTCACAAGCGAGAAACCCCAGTCAAAGGTCTGGGTGTAAGGCTGTACATGCAAAACACACCTATTTTAAATGCCATTAGGCTTCCATGCAAAGTATAACCTACATTTCTCAAGTCTAAGAAGTATGATAGCTGCTTTGAGGATTTATTTAATCTGATGAAAATCATTCTGACAGATGCTGTTTTGAAGATGCAACATTATTTTCTCTCAGGAAACAGAGAGTGAAAACTATCAACCCTGCCCGCCCCATATCCTCAGGCCTTTCCAGACTTTAAAAACTACACTTATTTAAATTGAAAAGAACTGCAAGCCAGGCAGAATTAGCCAGGATTAGAATCCAGATAACACTTCCTATACACTAGCAGAAACTGCAGCTTTTTCACACCCAGACTAAGCAGCCACCTGATGTCCGTGCACGTGGGTCTCTATTGTCCATCTGGCAAGGACCACATCAAACTCTTAAAAGGACCCTTTGTCCTTAACAAAAGTTTGCTATTACTTATTTTCTAAATTTTCTTAATGAAGATTTATACCTTATTGGCATTCTGTGGAAACTGCAGACAGACAGGATAAAATGCCAGAAACGCTCAGTGACTGAGTAACCCTGTGGAATGCAGATATCATCAAGACTGAGTTTGATGGTCTCATCTTTAAAGGAATGTGGAAAGGGCTGAGAAACCCAAATTCATAGTTTTAAAACTTCCCTAAACTCCCAAACAGCAACTATTTAACTCAATATATTCAAGTTACTGCTACCCCAACATGTAACTCATATAAAAATTGAGAAGACTTTTAACATTCTTTTGTGTTCTAAGGCTTTACACCCTCCCTCATCATCGTGGTGCTCTGACAGCCTGGTTTCTGCCCCAGTTCTGAGAGGTGTAAAGCGATGCACTCTTGTGAGTTAGAGCTGGACAGGAGGTTCCCTACCAGGCAGACGGCTGCTGCAATCTATACCTTCATCCTTTCGCAGTTGAGAGCTTAAGGGCCTTCAGTGGGGGCCGCCTGGATGTCTCCCAGGTGGGCCGGATTCTGTCTCCCTGCACTTAGTCCAGCGCCCATCCCAAGTCTAACGCTCTTCCACAGGACAGTCCTTTGGTATTTGAAGAAGGCTACCACAAGCCCCCAGAACATCCCTTTCCCAGACTCAAAGGCATGATTTCAAATTCCTTCACTCTCTCAGCTATTCTCCCAACTGCATTCCAGTGCGGTTTCTAGAGTTTTGCCTAGAACTGTACGCGACACCCCACATGTACCTACTCAGTCCCCACAGGACACCGATATTGCAATAATACTTTCCCCTGGGCTACAGAGAGCAGGTCAGCCAGGAAATGAATCCGGGCTCCCCAAAAGGACCGATTGCTAGTAATCTTCAAATAGGACTGCTACTGACAGGCAACTTGTGAACAAAGTAATTTGTATCTGCTGCCCTGCTCCAGCCTGGCTCACCACAGCTAGTTTTGTGGGGTCCTTACCCTTCTTCCCTTAACCCTGGAGAGCTTCTGCACTCTTAGAAAAATGCAGTGCCCTTCTTCACCCCAAAATAGGATTCTGTGCAACAGGGAGGGTCCGATGTGCATCTGACTGGTCAGCCTCTTCCTTCCCAAGCATCCTGGTAGGGATTAGGGTCAGCTTAGTTACCACGAAGGTGAATTCTGGGATGGGGAGAAACATGCACACGCACACACACACACACACACACACACACACGTGCGTAGTAGTAGTGAAACTGGGAATCTGGTCAAATCTCTGATCCCACTGAAAGTAATCAAAATGGCAGCAAAGGCATTACTGGAGAGTTGTACGTAACAGAATCATTTTCATGTTAGTTTTGACCTGGGTTCATGGAAGTCTACTCAAGTTATCCTCTGCAAATGCTGTCTCCTTTTCATGTAAATGTACTCTATCAGCAGGAAGCATGTACACAGAAGGCAGGGACACATGGCCTTTAATAAGCCACTGGTGCTCTATTTTCCCTAAAGGATAGAAATGATCTCAGGTTGATAAAAGCTACTGTTTATCAATCACCACTATGTACTATGGACCAGGTGCTGAGTTAGGCGCTCCCCTTAGAAGTGCTGTATCTAACTCTCTTGGTCCTGTGAGGCAGGAACTGTCCATTTCACAGATTGGAATGGTAAATCAGAAAGGACCAGTCATTTGCCCAAGGGTTGCACAGTAATAAGTGCTGGGAACCAGACTTGGAACGAGGGCTGTATAGTGCATGTAATCTTGGCTCCAAGCCCAGTCCCCTCATTTTAAAGCAGAGTTTTAGCTTGTCTTCTGTATATGATTTAGAGATGCAGAGTTTTAAGGTAAGCAATCTAAATGTAACCTGAGGGTCCTTTATTCAACCAGACAGTACAATATATTCAAATCTACCTAAAGATTTACTTTCTGACTTGATAGTGGATTTTTTTTCCTGAAAAATGATCACTTATGTCTCTAGCATTTAACTAGCATACAAAGCACTTCCACATAAATCATTAGCTCATCTGAGTTCCTTCGGCAGGTGATGTTCTATTTTACGGAGGAAGAAATGGTGCCTCAGAGAGGCTGGAACCTTGCTTGGGGTCCTGGGGGTGGAGCCCGGGAGGAAGCGCAAGGGCTGTGCTCTTCAGTCGGGTCGTCTGAGATCTCCACCATCTCAGACGACTCTGTTCCTCAGTCTCGGGAACAAAATGCAGGGGAGGCTTCAAACCATTTAACAGATTCGAGGCAGCCGACAGGGCCAGAGACGATTCAGAACCACGCAAAGGAGGGACCGTGGCAAATGGACACCATGAGTGTGGGCTAGAGTGTTGGATGATCCGGGTTCAAATCCTGACTCTGCCAGGGACAAGCTGGTGAGCTGGTGGTTGACTTTTCTGAGGCTTAGTTTCCTTGTCTATAAAACTGGACAGCAACAGACCCTACCTTCTTAGGTGACTCTATATATGTGCATACACACACACACACACACACACGCACATACACACAGCAGAAAGCAACAGATTCTAAACAGGGTCGAAACACAGTTTCCAAATTTGCTTCTAGGCTGCCTGGCGGGCTCTGTGCTTTCCTGAGGAGGGTGGGCAAAGAGACTGCTTTTCCAGGGTAATGACCTTGAGAACTGGGCCGCACCTCAAATCAAACCCTCTGTCAGTGCAGAAGAAGAGGCCCTTGGGCCTCACCCACTGTGTGCTGATGAAAGGTAGTCACAGTGTGTGCTTAGCACTTGTGTAACAGAGAGGACACGACACTAGAGCACTGCAGTGGGAGGACAGGGTACCCTCGATCAGCTTCTGCCCATACAAAGTGAATGGGGCTGGGGGCTCTTCTCATGCACTGATGAAGGGGGTGACATAGGTTGTGGCCCAGCACATGCGCTCATTGACCGGGAAAAGCAGTCTCCTCAGGAAAGCACAGAGCCTGCAGGGCAGCCTAGAAGCAAATTCCAAAACTCTTGTTTTGACTCTGCTCAGAATCCATAGCTTTGTGCTTCCAGAGTTTACAGAAAATATATTCCCAGCTGGGGTGACTTTTTAAACATTTCCCAGTAAGTCGATGGAAAACAAATCCGTTCCTGCCATTTTTAGTTCTTGAAATACCTTCTTGGCTTGGTCTTAATTTATTTGGGCTATTAATTTTCTGGACAGCAAAATAATAATTAGCATGGCTGGTGAGCAGAGGGAAACGTCTCACTCGATTGCACCCAGACATTTCTGGATAACATCATTCTTCAGAGTGTGACAGTCGAGGCTGTCTCCCTCCTTCAGCCTGGCTTCAGCACTGACAACATTTCCACAAGATGGCACTGCTGGTCCTCTCAGCCCGCGAACGCTCCGGCCAGCTCAGCCACCTCAAGGAGAAATGGAAGCCGGCCAGGCACTGCGGGCGAGGGCTGCTGGCACCTGGGCACGAGGGTGCCCCTTCTCCCCAGGAGTGGCTAATTGTCACGAGTCTGACCAAAGGCATATAAAACTCAACTTCAGTGTCGTAAACACAATTCTAAACCCGAGAGAAAATAATCTGGAACCTAATTCCTTCTAAATTTGGCATAAGAAATTTATAACATTTTTCAAAAGGGCACAACCAGAGGTGCTTTTCTAGGTGAGAATGCTTGAGCTCATGTTCACATTGGTCTAACAGCACCTTCTTTGCAGTGAGATGCTGTTTTCATACAACTGGAATCAGCCTTCAAATCCTTCAGTGAAGAGGCTGGGACGGCAATCTGCCCCTTCCTCAGAACTACTGCTTCCAGGACACTGTGATTTCAGGACAAAACTTCATCTCAACCTGTTCTTCTGGGTCTGGGCCAGGTCTGGGTCTGTGTGGGAAGGATGCTCTCATTTGGGGGTTCTGAAATATTTCTCTCCAGGTAGCATTCCACCCACAGATATTTGGCTAATTGTTGATCCAGATGTCAAAACTTCACAGAGATTTTTTTTTTTTTTTAGTTAGGAAAGGCTAAACCCCCAAGTTCTGAGTGTGTTGGGTGAATAGGGCTCATCAGTAGATGACGTGTTCCACACTCTGCATGTAGTGTGAAAGCCACAGACTGGGAGTCTGGTTTAAACAGGAGGGAACCTTCATTTTCCCTCTAGACACAGCTCCAGAAAGCTCCTGTGTGCCCAGCACTCTTCCCATTCCAGACCACTTCAGTTTCTGGCGTGTGGATCTTCCCTCCCCCTCCTCCTGCTCTTCCCTATTGTACCCCTTTCCCTGGATGCAAAGAAGGGGAAATAACAACAGGAAGTGTTAATTACCCTTCTCACATCTTATGGATTTAATACGTAGTGATGGTCCTGGGCCACTGAGAGTCTCAAAATTCATCACATATACAGAAGCGACCACATCTGAGGGGCACAGCCCAGGCACCACTTCCTGAAAGTGAGCCAGGGAATAGGGGGTGTGGCGGGGGGGAGGCTTCAGCCTGGTGTAGAAATCCCAGACATTCTGCTGCCATCTCCACAGGAGTCATAGGCGATTCAGAACCACAGACAAAAGCAGTGTCATGGCACGTTTGAGGGCTTGGGCTTAGGAAATAGATGGTTCTGGGGTTGAATCTCAGTTCAGATGAGCAGCCTCTCAAAGCCTCAGTGTCCATCTGTAAGATGGGAATGATTCCTACTTTGTAGAATAGGGAGTTTAAAGAAAATAATGTATTCACTGTGCTTGGAATAGGCCTCCACTGACAAGCTCATGTTTAGTGGCAATAAGTAATGAATTAGTTTCCTATGTAAAGACAGTCTAGAAATTGCTTTTTGTCTTCTAAAGCATAACACTTCCTTTCTCTCTCTCTCATTTCTTTCAAGACTGGGGAATTTCAGAGTTTCTCAGGGCTTCTTTGAAGAATGCCAGCGGGCCCACCTTGAGTTTCCTCACTCCTTTGTTCTAAGCATTGCGCTGTGCCATGGCGCAGGGTTTCAGGGCATTACTATGAGAAAAGGTTCCCCCAGCACCAAAGAGTGGGAATCCCTGTCCACCTCCACTGCCAGCAGCCTGAACAATTCAAACAGTATAAAGCAGCAAAAATGACTGCTTCCTTTCCTTAATGAAATGTTCCAGAGAAGGTAACTTTTAGGAAGAATGTAGGTTATCATTAAGGGCAAGGGGCAAACTTAAAAAAAAGGGTGCATGTTTAACTACATGGCAATGTGGAACATACTGGGGGGAAGCCCGCCTAGGCTTAGCTCTAAAGCTACATTGTTGGGAGACCTTGGCTGTAGGTGGGCCATCTCTAAAGACGCTAGATCAGGCATTGGACATAGTCCTTTGCAGTATTCAGAAAGGCTCCTGGCACTGCCCTAGGAAGTGCCTGCTCACCGTGCTTTATTACATGGTTAGCTCGTTACAAGACAGATGCGCGGCTGTCCAGCAGGGCCTGAGGACAATTGGTATGATTATTAGTCTGTATAACGATCATCTATGTATTAAAAACTTTACATGTTGCTTGATTTCAGTATGTAACATTTACCCTAAAAACCGTTCCATCTTTGATTCTGAACACGTCCACGCTTTAGAGTCACTCTTTGGAATTTCAATTATGGGGAGGTGCTGGTGACTGCTTAATGCTGATTAGACAGGTGCTTTAAAAATCACTCTATTTATTGTCTATATTTTGAAATGCAATCTTCAGGCTCAAGGGTCATGTTATAAATGGTTTAATTTTTGGGAGGTGGGTGTCCATGGTTCAAAGTACAAAGTATTTTAAATAGGATAAAACTATGGTGGCTCTAAAAAGGAAAATGATCATGTAGGTAGAAAAAAATCCAACAAGACAACTGTCATTGGAATTCCTATTAGAAAGAAGTACACATTAATCCAATACAGACACCAAAAAACTCATCTGGTCTGAGTCTACTTCCATCTCCGGAAGCACAGGTGGCTGACCTTAAATGGGACCAGCTGTCACTAGGATGTTTTTGTGTCGAACCCAGCAACAGAATTAGAGAGATGCCAGAGTTAACTTGCACTGAGGATACTTTCCAGCCAGGTGTCTGGCTGGAAAGTCACAGAGCTACGCATCTAGCAAGAATCAAAGCCTGGCCTGTGAGAACCACGCACAGTGTGGACTCAGGTCAGGGACACTGCATGATGGACAAGGGCTTTCTGAATTCCTGAATTCACCAGGAATTATGTCCTTAGTCCACCTTTCCCACACACAGCAAGGGAGGGAGTTGGTGAGCTGAGAGCACAGCTACTCACCAGCCAGCCAGGCTGATGCAGTAAGTGTCCTCAGTGGTCTCTGGATCTGCAAATTCAACTGCTACCTGACTGGAAATGCTAGCTCTGGGGACCCTCCTAAGGCCCTTCCTCAGATCATACCAAGCACTTGGGCCTTTTCCAGACTTAGCAAAAAAAAAAAAAAAAAAAAAAAAAGAGAGCAAGGTCAAGTAGACAGAAAACTAAACTCACAACCAATTCTGCTTACTTTCCAAAACCAGCTAGTGAGTTGGGATAACTTACGTTCAACCCAACAACCCTACCTTCACCCACGTTTATAGCAAACACCGCCGAGTATTAGAATACAATGGGAGCGCAGCAGGGCAGGCTGTGGTATAGACCAGCATCAAAGGCCCCTAAAGTTTGGGTTTCGAGAAATGCACTGTGAGCCACTAATTAAAGTCTTCACTCACTCCCTGATATTGACTATTCATGATGCCCTGATCTCTAGTGACTGGGTCTCTCCTGGGTAAATTAATATTCAGGGCCCTAAGGTTTATTGTGGTTTATTTATTAGTTGGTTTCATTCATTTATTCACACACATACTATACATATATATGTAGAGTGTCATTCTATCTATCAATCATCCATCTATCTGTCAACAAAAGTTCTCTGAAAAAGGAATTTGGAGGAAAGAGACTTTATTCCAGTGAACAGTTTGCAAACCAGGGAGACACAGCCTCCAATATAAAATGAAGGTATGTTCCAAAGAACAAAGGAAGACTTGGGTTTTAGAGCAAAAGTTCCCACCCAGGTTCCCAATCAGGTCTGTTTATTCAAATTAAAAAAAATGAAATTTGCTTAGTTCTGATTGGCTGATACGGCTGAGTACTGGTTGGTTGGTTCAGGTGAGCTCTAAAAGTCCCAAAGATAAAAAGGTGCAGGTTTGGGGGGGATCTCAGCATACCTGTATGACCCCTAGTCGGCAAATGGCCACTTGGCTCTATTTCAAATCTGGACCCAGTGAGCCACTAAGGATCTATATTGGAAGACTGGCCCTTCCAGGTTCACATTTGTTCACATCTACCTACCTACCTACCTACCTACTTACCTATCTGTCTGTCTGTCTACGGTGTTTATAAGTATCAAGCATGCCTGAAAATAAGGAAGCATTTGCACAATCTCTGGAGCATCTCCTACTTTTTCCTGCCTGTCCAGTTGCTGGAGGGACATAGGAGCTTGTCTCCGCTTCTTATCACTGTCATCTTCTTCCTCCTCTCCACTAACAGGCATTTGGTGTTCACACACTGTATAGGACGCTGGGTTAGGGACTGAGGTGAAGACTGGTCCCAGAGGGCTCCCTAAATAGCAAGAGGCCAACAGGCCACACCTGTGAGGTTTACCAGAAGCTAATGCGAAAGCAGGTCACCATGGGTTTCTGGAAAAGTGGGCTGTCTCTATTTTGATGTGGCCGGTCTCTGTGGCAACCCCATGAAAACTAAGAATGTCCTTATTGACAGGAAGGACTTCCACAAGACTGATCCTCCATCAGGGATGAGAATTCCCCCAGAGCTATTCCTGAGGACATGCAGGGAACCACAGAATCTCTGTGAACTTGGTGAATGAGCCTTTCCAGAGAGGAATGAAAGGGCAGGGGCAGGAAGCAAGGGGAATTCCAGAGTGTGCTGCACTAGGCCCCAGGCCCACGGCTCTCACTCCTTCCTGCTTCTCCCAAAGGTTCCCTGGGGTGTCCCCTGCCTTGAGGGAGCTTCCTTTGCTTTCCATGAGGACAGCCAGATAATATGCTTTACCACCAGCAAATCTCACCAGTGAAGATATCTATGTGCCCTGTTATTCACAAAGTGAGGAGGCAGATGCTGGATGATGGACAGAGCAAGCTGCGACCCTGAGGGCCCCTCTCCGAGCTGAGATGCACCTGGAGGGCACAACCTCGAGCATGAAGAGGGTAACCAGAATGGGGCCCTGGGTGGGCCCCTCCGCGGGCAGGATGTGACATACTTCTAGGGAGCATTAGGGCTCAATGGAAACTTTCCACTAAGACGTCAGAGGGGAATTGATGTGTAGTGTATAATCCTCACTTTGAGGCGCTATGTACACGTAGACATCTACATGAGAGCCTTCCTTCTTCCACATGGCTGGGCAGATAAGTCCACCCACCTGACTTCTGAGGCCCACTGAGAAGTGACAGAAAGTGCAAGAACAACACAGGTGCATTTCAGGAGAACTGCCACCACCATCTCTAAGGACAGCTGCAAGCCACCCTGCAAATGTTAATGAATTAGAATGCAAACTAAGGTTGGGGCCAAAGGAGGAACTGGAGGCTCTTTATTCTCCTTTTCACATCTGCTGGGACCTGTAGGAAGGGGAGTCGTTAGGGATGGGAGAAGGGAAGGAAATTTTCAGCTGAGGCACAGGTTCTGGTGGGGAGTTCTCACTGGCACTGTTGCGCCCCAGGGGCAGCGTGGATGTGTGGGGCATGGTAGTCAGCGTGCATGGATCTGTGCTCACCACCACTGTGCCTGGGCGCTTCCATCAGGTAAATATTCACTGAGCAACCACCCAGTGCCTGCCCAGTGCTGGGTGCTGGAGACCCAGGAGCCACCACCCAGATGGGGCCGGCCTTGCTGCGGCAAGAGGGTGCTGGGCTCTCTGCAGCATTATAGGACTCAAGGCTGACTTGACCTGCTTTGCAAACTAACCCAGGGCCCTTGTTTCTCTGGGTCACGTGCTATAGGTAAGATGGCCCTACTGTTTTACATTCTGTTATCTCAAACCAGAATACATTGGCTGACCAGCACAAGGCAGAATGTGTGAAAACAGAACTTTCCCAGAAAATCTGGGCCATGGGGCCCCTGCTCTGAATAGACGGGTGTGAAATGCCTGTGTCTGTGCTGTTCCATGCATCTGATGAACAAGCTGTCACCTTAGAAACCAGAGGGAAGAAGCCCACAGAGAGGTGAACACCCAGGAGGCAAACCATGGCATCTGGCTGGGGCATCCGGGTACTTGGTCAAGACCTGAAGCAACCATTGGCTATGAGGGCTTATTTCCCAAGGAAACAAAAAACGCAGTGTTTAAAGTGAGATACATGCATAAAGCACCCAGAGAAGTCATCTGCCTCTGTGTTGCTTGTTTAATAAAGGCAGGTGAAGATGGAACAGGAGCACTAACTCACAACACCGATTTAAAAGAAGTCAGCTGTATCATGGAGAACGCAAGTCAAAGAGGAGTTCTTTTCAAGCTCAAGATGCAATCTGCTGCTTTTCCTCAGCATTTGCCTCAATAAGGAACCAATTTGAATATTTTTAAACCCAGCATCTTTATGGTTCAGTAACGGGGCTGAGAGCCCTAAAATGGTTTTCAAGGATGTAAGTACAAACATACTGTGCATTGTAGTTTCCAATAATGATTGCAATGTCAGATGACATTGTATTTGTCTTCTATCAGTTTCTTAAAATAAATAAATAAATAAAAAGGTTGAGGGGGACGGGGGGCGGGGGGGCAGTGGGTGGTGCAACCAATCCCCTGCCATCTCGTCTCTGACCAGTAGAGGGAGAATGAACTTCATTCAGGGCAGCAAATTAGGCCTCAAGTTATCCCTAGGATGATGGTTATGTCCCTGATTCCCTGGGACGGTCTGGGTTCAGGCATTGGTCCTGGTGTTATTACTAGCAGTGCTTTCTTTCACTCTCAAAGCATGTCAGACTAAATATGCTGCATGGTCACTCCAAGCTGAGACACAGAATTCTGGTATGATCCTCAACTTTTCCGGGACACTTAAGTTTCATTTTTCATGGAAGAAATGCTCGGATTGCCTGTGCTTGGTTCCACCTTGATACTTGAGCCAGCTGATAAACAGCAACTTCAAGGCTGGCTCATGTTCTCTTTCCATCACTTTCCTTCCCCTCCAAGGGCAGGACTTATACTTTCCCAGCTGTGTTGCCATAAGAACTTCCCAACATGGCTTTAGGCTTATCACAACACAGCTTTAGGCTTCTGCACGCATGGCTCCCCTTCAAGGTCAAGGACCATGGTGGAATTTGTTGTGTGCCCAGCGCCTGGCACATGGTCTGGTGCGCACACATACTCAACAAATGCTTTGAGCACCAAATGACATCACCGGTCAGCGACCCTCAGCTTAGCACAAGTTTGTGGTCGTGGCCAGGCAGTGAATGAACCAGGGTGCTTAGCTGGAACTGTTTGTTGCTCATTTCTTAGGAATGAGTAACTCTCATGCCCTGCCCGCCTCAAAGGCTTGCAAAAGAGGCAAAAGAGCGATTAGAGATAGTGGATTTATTTTTGTGACCCGACAATCTGGCTGAGCTGGATCTGCTGGCCATGGGTTGATATCTGGAGTCCCCAAGCAAATGGGCCCTTCCTCCAGCTTTTGCCAGACTGACCTGGAAGATTGGCTTTTCTCCCTCTTTAGAGGGAGCTCAGGCTAACAGGTACTTCTTCAGATCTTTTCAAGGCAAACTTGAGAATGGTGATAGAGCCATGAGCTGAAGCTTAAATGATAAGCACAATTAGCTAGAGGCGGTAAGGAAAAGAGGGATGGGGTGTTATCAATGACCACATTCACGAGCCTGAATTAACGAATTCAACAGGAAAAACTCCATCTACCTTCTTTATGGCAACTCCTGGCAGCTGCCAACAACAGCTGGATGGCTTTGCAGGACTCTTGCCTAAACCAGAGAAAGACTAAGCATCAAAGGTAGCTCATCTTGTTAAGAAAGCATGTCTTTTTAATAAAGTGCGATGTCACTCATGACCAAAAAAACCCTTGCAAAAGGGACAGTAACATGCAGACAGATGTGCACCCTTACCCTGAGCATAAACGATCTGGCATGCCTTGCCTCCTCAGCCAGAGTCTCAAATGCCTGAAGAATCTGGGTCTTAAGTTTTCAACTTTCGTCTCCTTACCTAAGGCTACTCCACAATTTCTGGGTTTAGTCATCTGCAAGTGAATGCTGGGAAACAGCCTGTTTCTGTTGATTCCCCTTATCACCAAGCACCTAGGAGCAGGGCTCTGTGAGGAATGACTCACTCTGGGCAGTAGGACACATCTTACAAAGCAGGGGTGCTCCCAAAATAGGGAGCTTACTTGTTGGGACACAGTAAGATGTTTTTCCCTTTAGAAACAATATGAATGATGCTTAGGTTCCTAAACTGTCTCAGAAGACACGTAATCCAAGTGTAGGCTGTGAAATGCTAGTGTGCTGAGTTGGGGCTGAGAGCTGGGCCTGGCTGGCTGTGGGCTTCTACAGAGTAGTTGCAGCCCTGTGCACAGGCAGGGGGGGTGTCACCGACTCGCATGTGGGCAGGTCTTTGCTGCGCATCAGGTGCTTTAAGCTTCGGAACAACTGTGCAGGATTCTATTTTAGTATTCTGGAAGCATCATTGAGGAAGTAGTCCAGTGAAGTTAGCTCTAAAAAAACTCTTTACTCTAACAATTAAAAGAAATATGCCAAAGGATCCATAAGGGATGAATAAATTATTAAACTATTAAGAAGTTGCTATAAATATGCAGTGTTAATTCAATAATTCATAACGGACTGGTACAACAAGATTTTTTAAGGCTCATAAAATACTGCTGGCTTTGGCAGTAGCTAGTGTCCTGGGGCTCATGCCAATTGCTTCTTTACACAGCAGCCTGGGTGTGGGGGGCACAGGGAGCCTTCCCCTGGCTGGCTGCCCAAGGACTCCAGGTAGAGGACAGCGCAGGGCGTGGCTGTGGGGATGTGCCTTCACTGCCTCTCCAGCCTTGCTGGGGGCCAGGCACTGGCTTGTCTCTATGGCTTCACAAAAAATACAGCAGCGGTGAAGAGGGGGAGAATTCACAGCACCATGCTGTGGCAGAAAGCAGCATCCCGAGGGCTGGGCAACCTCTTGCCTGAACCTGGGAACAGGGCGTCCTGCCTGTCAAATACCAGCCAGCCTGGTGACCTTCATCTCCACAGGTGCCTTTGTACCCCAGAGTTTCCTTTATAGTCCCTGATCTCTTTTACCTGGAGCCCTTGGGGCTACATAGGTTTCAGAATTCAGGATTTTTCAAGTTTTATAAAGGCAATATGTTATAAAAATCATATATAGTGAACAGTTCTGGAGGGGCTTGGGCAGCACCCCATATTCAAACCCATTAATTTTTCTACAGCAAAATGTATGGATATTACACTAAGTAGGATTTAGGGACCATAAATATCCTCACATCAGCTCAATTTTTGCCACCATGAGTTTCAGTGTGAAAACATAAAGCCCTCTGCAGTTTTCTGAGTGCTCTGGAATGTGTATTTGCCTTGGAGACATGGGCACTTTCCGCTCACCACTTCCTATGTGTCTCTGTGCTGTCGCCCAGTCTGCTGCCAAGAAAGGGAAATGGATTAGAAACAGGTAAGACGGTAAAACTGTCAGGAGGTAAAAAGATTACTCCTGGATTACATGGAGATGCCATGGTCAGCTCTATACACTTATCTGTATAGAGTAAAATTGGATTCATTCAATTAAGTGAAACCCTTGGCAAAGCAGAATAGAACAAATGTAATCAGGGAATTTTCCCCAAATTGTATCTTGGTCTTTTCTGGGTTAATAGAACTGAGCACCAACACCTGTCTTCTGTTTGTGTGGCCTTTCACTGATTCTAGAGCCCGTTGCCTGTGATCCCTCAGTCTTTCCTGCGCAGTGTACAGGGCCAGGAGCCCACAAGCATCACTGACCTCCTTTTCATACAGGTGAGAAAGCAGCTTAGAGGTAGACAGTCCCTGTGGTCGAGGGAATGGGAGGAAGTGGAGCCAGGACAAGCACGTGGGTCCTCAAACTTTCTGGCTAGCTCTGGTCTTCCTACACCTGTCGGATGCACAACCTCAGAATTGTGGCCCAAAATACATTCTGCCTGGCTCTCATCCTGCAATGCAATTTGAGTAGCCTGTGGTCAACTAAATTCTGGAAACACTACTTCCTGTATCCTCCTCTGAGAGACTGAAATGCCCCTTAGTGTAATGGGGCTCTGAGTCATCTTAAGGAAACCAGATTAACTTCCTTTCACCCATTTCCTGATGCGTTTGAATCAGGAAGCCTTTTGGGCAGAACTTCCATTAGCATCAGCCCACCGCGGCCCACACTACACACGGTCGTGACACATGTATTAAAGGCTGAGTTGCAATTGTGTTCCATATTTTATGTAGAGGTGAAGGTGGTTTACACATTTTGGAAAGAGTTTTACCTCGGAGGCTAAATAGGGGTCACAGTGATCTAGTGGGAGGCCCAGGCTAGGGAATCCATTTCTCCATCCTCCTTTTCTCCACCACTGGGTCACGTGCTGTTTGGTCACTGGAAGGACAAGTCTGTGTGGCAGAAGCCTGGGCTCTCTCCACTGCTGTGTGAGAACAAGGCTGTGCATTTGGCCCCAGCCTTTCAGCTGCCTTGTCATTTGTGATGAAACAGAAGCAGTTCCATGCAGGGCCACATGCCCTCATGGTGTGTACTATCTGGGCGAAACCTGTCAGACAACGGGCATTTTTCATAGAGAAAGGAGAACTCAACTTTGGTCTAAGATGCTCTCTGCCCTCCTGCAGTTTTCCTTTCCTACTCAGTATCATCTTTCATGGGGAGAGAAGCAGATTTAAATGTAAGGTGCAGTCATACCTTTGAGTGCTGATTTTCTTTTGTTATGATTTGATATACCTATGTGTTGAAAAATTCCACAAATTATGAAATCCTTGGTTAGGTGGGTATGCTGGACCAGGTGTGCTTGGTGAGACATTAGTTCCATGAGCCATAAAAAAAGTGACATTCCTTTGGGGATTTACTGCCCCTGAATCATGTGAGAGCCCCAGAAACAAAGCATTTCTCAAATATGCATCATTTTAGGTAGATGAGAAAGAAGCCACAGTCACCTCCGCCCTCTGGACTGCAGAGAGCTTAGCTCACATCGGCATTTGCATCCAACAGCACAACATGGAAAGCAGTACACAACAAGAACAGGCAGAAGTGTCTTCATAAACACATTTTGCCTAAATATTCTGTATTAACCACAGCCATCCACTTACAGGGTGTTAGGATAACTTTTAGTTCTAGGTGCTTGACTATAAAATGATGGCGATACATCAACTACTAATGAACATACTACTAATAATAGCTAGTATTTCTTTCTGACTCTGGGCCCAGAACTATTCTATGTACTGGAGACACATTAACTCATGTAATCTTCACAACAGTCAGCTTAGGTAATATTATTAATAATCACAGTTTACAGATAAGGACACATGCACAGAGAGGTTGAATAACCTGCCTAAGGCTACACAGTGAGTAAGAGGAGAAGCTAGGAACCAAACTCACAAGTGTGACACCGAAGCCTGGGCTCCTAACTGCAGCTGATGCTTTCAAATCCAAACCTCAAATGCATTAATGCCTTATATGGCTTGGGCACAATCTTGAGAATTTATTCAAATGTTACCTGGTTTGTCAGAAAATCGGACAGAGATGGACTTGTTAAGACAAACTCACTTTACTAATCAGTGACGAGGCAGTTGAGAAACATTTTACCTGGAAGAATTTCTTGTCTCTTGTTTATGAGACAAAAATGATGATCGGATTTGATAAAGACACACTTTTACTAACCTAGAAACAGTATCCAAATTTAATACATTAAATTGTACCTAATGAAGAGGCCAACAGATGTGTGCACCTGATCCTATGCTGTAGGTGGGAGCACTGCCCTCGAGAAAAGGGCTCAGCATTCCAGAAAAGCCCAGAAAAACCCGATGCACACGGCATGCTTCAGGTCCATCTTCATGAACAACACGAACATCCTGTGTCCTCCCCTAATTAGGTAACCTGGTCACGCGCTTCCTCCTTTCTTGATCTGAATTCCCACAACTATAAGAGGGAAGGATGGCAGGCTAAGTTCAAAACCCACATGGAGAAGTCAGAGGGGACTGGCCTTAAAAAAAGCCATGGGTCTGTCCCCAAGTCAGTCGGCCAGTTTGCAACGTCTGAGGTGGCTGGGGCTCAATGTCAAATGAATAATGAAAACTCAACTGGGCATTTACATTTAAGCCAAGTGCTATGAAGGGGAAGGCCAAGGTGCTAAAGGAGCACACAGCAGGGGTTTAAACTGGTTTGGAGGGCCAGTGAGATTTCAGCTGATATCTGAAAGGTGTAGCTTAGTCAGCTGAGCAAGTGTTGAGAGGCAGACATGTGGGTGGGTTCGGGAATGGGAGAACTGCCCAAGGGTGCATTCTGCCTTTTCTCAACAGCAGCACAAACTTGAGTAATTTAAAGATTCATATTCAAAACCCCGTAACAATGTGGCCCCAGCACTGAGCTGAGGGCAGGAGAGCTGGTGGTGTGATGCACGGGTGATGTGGTGCATAAACTATGTGGTGCACAGGCAGTGTGATGCATAGGTGGTGTGATGCATGGGTGCTGTGATGCAGGGGTGGTGTGATTTGCGATCAGTGTGGTGCACAGGCAGTGTGATGTGATTTGTGAGCAGTGTGGTGCACAGGCGGCGTGATGTACAGGTGGTGTGATGCACGGGTGGTGTGATTTGCGATCAGTGTGGTGCACAGGCGGCGTGATGTACAGGTGGTGTGATGCATGGGTGGTGTGGTGTGTGGGTGGTATGGCACACAGGTGGCGTGGCATAGGAATCATGTGATGCACAGGTGCTATGGTGCAAAGATGGTGTGATGGATGGGTGGCACTGGATGAGTACTGGCTCTGCTCATCATCCAGTTCTCTTTTAGATTAAATTCTCCATGAATCACATTAATTTGGTGCCTCACCCCATGCTGTCGCTACCTCCAAGTGGCTCTAATTCTTATTTAGGCTTGAAATTCTTAAGAGTTGGATGCTACACTGAAGAGCTGAATCATCCTTTAATATTAAGTACAAAGGAATTTCACGGGCAATACAAACTTGAGCATTGTTACAACTCCAGGCAGATATACCAACAGGCAGATTATAAAGGGCATATGCTGTCAGAGCAGAGAAATAACTTGGGAGAATATAAACTGAAATGACCACTTTGAGGAGGAAAATTTTTAAACCAAATTATTAATTCTTCTCTACTCTGGAATTGCTTAAAAGATTTTCTATCAAATGGCTTTCCTACATTTTCAGTATGACCCACAATAAAAACCTGGATCATTTTACATTGTGATGCAGTGGGCACAAGTGCACACACACACATAGAGACACACAGACACAGACACACACATATACACACACAGATACACACAGACGCACATACACACATGCACAGACATACATACACACACACATGCAGACACATACACGCACACAGGCATACACATATACACATATCAGACACACACACACACACACACACGCACATATCTCCCTAAACAAACAATTCTGCCCCTTGTATCCTGGGATGCACTAATCCCATGTAATATGGGATCTGTATGGTCCCATCCCTGCTGATCTCCATCCACTCAACTGACTTCATGACCCACCAACGGGCTATAGCGTACAGTGTGAAAAGCACAGCGACTCTGAAACCATGTTATTAATGATAACAGTTTCCACACTTCCACTTTTCTTTGTCATCGTAAGCAATGGGGGAAAGTCCTTGTGCGGTTGTGCAGGTGGACTCCTACACTGCAGGCCCATATAGGAATGCGTTTGGGGTCAACAGATAAGGCTCTGGATGCTGTGAAATGTTCTCAGCACCTCTAACTAGGGTGCAGGAGCACAGGAGCACAGCTGTGCCTGTTGTTGGGTGAGTGATTTTTCTGACAGAGTAAAACCTTATTTCGTTGGATTTCACTAATTTGAAGTTCATGTTCATTGGGTCAAAGGTTATAGGCAACATAAACAAGATAGTAGAAAGAATATTAAAATCAAAAGACCCTCAATCTACAAATAATTGATACGTTCATTACAAGTAATCCTCCTTTGTGCTTTCAGTCACATCTCCTCTACGAGGAATTCACCTGGCACCTCTGGAATAGACAAGCATGTGCCATGGCTTGATCATGAAAGTACCACCATATTTCTTTGTATTTAATAATCTGGATTTTTAAAAAGCACATCTGACTACCATTCACTATAATTAACACAAATAGCTGAAGTTCTACTGTATGAGGTATGCATTATAAATGTTTTTAGGTTTGCTATTCAGGACGTGTACATGCATTCCTATAAAAACCCAGGTGAGTTACTGGGGAAAGAAGATGAATAAAAGTCCGACTATGCGATGCTGCAGCCGTGGAGCTCACACAGTGTGACTACTGCATGGTGTGGTGTGCCAGACCCAAACGCAGGACACTCCCAGAGTAACGAGGTAGGTAAGGGAGCCCAGTACATCAATCCCACCACTGGGGAGAGCTTGGAAAGGATTTTCAATTCCAACCTCATTGCTTGGGTGTGTTCAAAACATCCCACTGCACTGCCCAGAGGGTTGCCTCGTGGTCAGATGGGTTTGGCAAATGGTTAAACAGGGCTGTGTGGCTTTCTCCGAGGCATGGTCTCCAGGCCAGGTCACAAGCTAAGGTGCATAATGAATTTCCAGGAGAGAATCCTAGAGGCTGCTTGCCTCTGACCACATGACAGGAAGCCAAGGAGCAGGCTTGGAACTCTGCTGCACAGCAGGGCTCCCACCCTCCACAAGGGCATTGAAAATGCGGGCAATGGACCAGAGGCTGACAGTTACCCACCTGGAACATGTCCCAGGGAATACCCCCAAAGGGAAGAGTGCTGGGCACTGCAGCCCTTCTTGTATTCTTTAGGGCAATGATGTCCTGGGACCCAGGGCATCGGTATGGATTCACCTGGGACTGGTCAGAATGCACATTTCTATATACTACATAAGCCTTCCTCAAACACAGAGGCCCAGCGATCTGTGTGTAACCAGCCCCAGGTGATGCTGGCGCTGCTCGAGGCTGATTGCCAGGCTCTGTGATGAGGGAGAAGTGCCCACATAAAGGGGCTGCCTGGGAGTTTCCGTCACCTCCACCTTCAGAAACAAAACAGGGAAAAATCACTTCCTCAGCAAACGACCCCTCCCCTTCCCTCGGCTACAAAACAATCCAGCCCCGAAGCCTCAGGGAGAGGTGGCTAGGGCCCTTCTGAGGGCCTGCTTTTGGCCAGGGGCCATAAGGAAGCCTTCACAGCCTCAATCACACCAAATCCCCTGAAAAGTCCTGTAAACGGATATCACAGGCCCATCTCCAAGATGAGAAGCTGAGGCTCAGGGAGTTGCAGTTATCTGACCCAAGCCACAGAATGGCCCTGGCAGAGGCAGGTTTAGCTCCTGTTCTCTGTGTTCACCCCACTGCACTGAGAGGCCTCCTGGGAAACGTGTCCACAGCCCCAATACGGACAGAACCATGAGGGGGCCACAGAAGCCTTTCATGGGGCTTAGAGGCCACAGAGCGCTCTGAGTGAGGTCAGGAGGCCTCTGGCATCGGGCCTGGAAGTGTGGTGGGATGATGGGTGTGCTCTGGAGGGTGCAGAGGAAGGCACGAGGGTCCACACCAATGGACGGGCTGGTGGGAAGCACAGAGCCTGGGAGGGTGGCTGGAGAAGGTGCCCTGAAGGCAGGACGTGCCTTGACTTCTGCGGGTGACAGGGCAAGCAGGCTGGGAGTGTCCTTCAGCCCTGCACCTGTGCCTGAGTCCCAATCACCGGGTGTTAAGGGACACTGTGGAGTCAGTGAGAAGCAGGTATGAAAGGGAGGGGCAAATGGAATTGTCTGGGACAACTGAAGGTATCTCAGGCATCTGCATCAAGCTGCCCAGTTAGCAATACCAAGCTGAGCCAGGGGAAGTGGTGAGGGCTGAGGGGTTGTCCGCAGAGGCACGGTGTGAGAAACTGTGGCTGAAATGAATTTACCCTGGAGTGTGTTGTGTGAGGACAGAAGAGACAAAGAGAAAAGGCAGTGCAGCTAATAAATAACAACTGAGGTCTTTAATTAAACATCAGTGAATCTAAGACTTGAACTCTTGAAACATCTGAAGTTGTCAACGTGAAATAAATATGGCCATGGGGTCCACACTCCCATGTTTTGAAATGAGGGGAGAGAAAAGGGTTTTGCTCTGCTGTACACAGCAAGGGGAAGGTAGGTGTGAGCAGACCTCGGGATCAGCAGGGCCAAGAGCAGCGCATGGCTCCCAGTTGGTGGCTGAAGTCCGCTCACCCGGGGTGGCCTGGGGCTTTTACCTTCATCAGAATTTCATTTGAACTTTGCCCTGATGCCAGGCGATCCATGTCTGCATCCACCCTCTATGAAGGCCAGCCTCAGACAGGGTGGGACTGGAGACAAAGGTGGTCTCACCGGGGCGTAACTGCCCTGGTTTGAGGAAGGAGCAGTGTTTACAGGATTCTCCTAATGACTGCCCCCACACTGGTCCTCTGAGGACACACGTGCACCTACCTCCAGCGTTTATGCTCTGTGAGAGCCATAACTTCTACGCTCTCTTACTCTATCGGCATTAAAAATCCTCTGAACTCTGACAGCGCTTCCTGTGTTTCCTGGAGTCGGTGCTTCTCACCACCCTGCCCTCCAACTGTCTATCCCCATCTTCCTGATGAGACCTCAGCCACCTTACTCTGGGTGGGACGTCTGTTTACTCTTTCTCACACAGTGCTCTGAATAGAGCCTCAAGAACTGCTGATTCACTGGCTTCATTAAACCCAAGTTTGGGACTCAAGAGCAAGTTAGTTTTTCATTGAAAAATGACATGTGTCTAGCATTTGCAAGCACTGCGTGGGTACAAAGTAATATACTACATAATCCTTCCTCAAACGCAGGACCAGGCAGGGCAGGAAGGACTTGAGGCAGGCAACCACTGTGTGCCAAGTGAGAGGCTGTTCTGGCTGAATTTCACCCCCGTCCTTCCCAGCAACACATTCCTATGTTGAAGTCCTAACTCCCAGAATCTCTGAGTGTGACTCTACTTGGGGACAGGGCCTTTAAAGAGGTGATTAAGTTAAAACAACATCATTAGGGTGGACCCTCACCCAATATGATTGGTGTCCCTATAAGGGGAGAGCAGGACACAGACAGGCAGAGAGAGAAGACTGTTTGAGGACACAGGGAGAAGACGGCCATCTACAAGCCAATGAGAAAGGCCTCAGAAGGAACCAACCCTGCTGACACCTTGGTCTTTCAACCTCCAGAACTGTGAGACAGCAAACTTATGCTGTTTCATCCACCCAGTCTGTGGCACTTTGTTAAGGCAACCCTAGCAAACTAACACAGCAACACACACAGCATGTGCAGAAAGAATTCGGATGGGGGAAGCTCCTGTGGGCTGGGGTCATAAGGTAAGGCTTTGAAAAAGCCGCTTCAGTGGGGCCTGGAAGGACCGGCACAATTCAGGGTATGGAGGGACTGGGAGACCCCTCCACATAGGAAGGGCAGGAGAGGTGCAGAGGAGGACTGAGCACGGTGTATTCTGCCGAGTAGATTCTGGCCTCTCAGGTCCTGATTCATGGAAAAGGTAGACATTGATGTCTGTGAGGAGGGCTGGATGGGGTGGGGGAGACTGGGCAGGGCCTTAAATGACCGGTTACAAAGGGCAGGAACCCACAGGACCAACATGGCACAGGGGAGAGAGTTCTAGACTAGGGCAAGGGAAGCCCTGTGGGTCTACACATTAGCCTTGAAGCTGGCGGGAATGCCCTTAGCTTCTCAGGGCTTCTGTTATTCAGTTGCAGAATGACTACATTGAACTCTTTCAGTGGTTATCAACTTCTCTGTCTGTAGCAGTAGATCCTGTTTTAAAACATCAAATCTGAATGGAACCTCAAGATATCAAATGGATCTAGGTGGGGCTCCTATTGAAGTGGGGGAGGGAGAAGCCTGAGGTGGACCCCAAGGCATCTACTCATTAGTGCAGGCCTCCATACGACACATGTACCCATGAACTAGGCTGAGGGAAAACCAACCAACCAGCCGACCAACCAGCCAACCAACCAGCCAACCAATCTGCCTTACATCTTTATCTCTGTTGACATCTGACTGATATTTAACATGCCCTCTCAGGATGAACTCCACAGGCAACCTTCCCAAGCCAAAGGCTCCATAATCGATTCCTAGGAAGCAAAGGTTACAGGGTGGGGAAACTGGAATCTCAGCAAGACAACCTAACATTGGAATCGAAGGTCAACTGACTAGGGCAAGACTGAGACAAGGTGACCAGTAAGAGGTTCTGTGGCTAACCAAGTCTAGGATCTGTGGCAGTCAGAGCAGTTCCTTGTGGGAGTTACGTTCCAGGCACGACAGCAGGACTGGGCTGGGCAGCAGAGGAGGAGATCACAATGACTGATTTTCAAGCCCAGGAGGAGCAGGGAATGAGGGAGGCAGAAGAGTGAAACAGAGAACCACCACCAACAGCCATTCATAACGTGCTTTATCTTGCTCAAGGCTGGCATCTTCTCATCTGACAGGGGTTACTGTTTTACCCCCACTTTCCAGCTAAGAAGCCCCCCTGAGAGCTGAAGTGTTTTCCACAATCACACAGGCAACAGGTCCCAAAGCTGGTACTCAAACCCAAGTCTCCTGCCCCAAGCCCTGTGCACTCCGTCCACTAGAGGCTGAGGTAAAGCTGGACCAGCAAGGAGCCGTCCCTCCAGCCAGCAGGCACGCCTGGTGTGCTCTGGCGGGGAAGCGGGGCTGGGCAAGTGCTGCTGTGTTTATTCCTCATTCGGGTGATGACAAAGGCGGGAACATGCAAGTTCTCTAATGGACGGTAAACAGAAGAAAGCAGAGGTCTGAGAACTGAACGTCAGGGAGCAGTCAAGATCCCATCAGGCTGCCCATGTATTTCCTCTTAATATTTGACAATGAAAAGGGTAATTAGGACTCGCAGCAAAGCAGCCTTGCAATGGAATCACTTAAACTAGGCCGTGGGTTCTTTCCACATGGAAAGGGCATATGGGGTGTAGAACCGTGAGAGTCACGCTGAGATCCACACCTTTGGAAAGTTGTCTGATGTAATAAAAAATGAGAGTAGACATATATGTTTTGACGTAACACAGATCTAGGAGGTATAAGGTAAAGATTCTTAATCTAATGGGCCCAGAAATAAAATTCAGGACACCCATGAACTAGGCTGGGGGAAAACCAACCAACAAACCAGCCAACCCCACATCTTTATCTCCACTGACATCTGACTGATATTTAGCCGGCCTTCTCAGGGTGAACTCAGCAGCATCAGCAGTGCCTGTAATTTTTTCATCAATAGAAATCACAGATATTAATAGTTTTATATCACATTCCTGTTGTTGCACATACCTAGAATTACCGTTGACATTCATCACTACTCTAAAGTGATGGCAGTGATCAGACCTATCAGGAGACCTTGTTATTAAATCTTAAAAAAAATTACAATTTAAAGTAATATTTTGATAACTGTACCTCATACTTCTTACGGCAAGAAAACAGGTAATACAAATAAAAACAAAGTCAGGAAAAATATACAGAAAAAAATTCAAAAGGATTTGAAAAGTGAGGAAGCATAGATATGCAGATACATGGTGATATGGGGATCTGTGTCCCACCAATTCTCATGGTGGAATCATAATCCCTAATGTTGGAGGCTGGGCCTGGTGGGAGGCGACTGCATCATGGGGGTGGATTTCTCATGAACGGTTTAGTACCACCCCCCTGGTACTGTCCTCACAGTTGTGAGTGAGCTCTCGTGAGACCTGGTTGTTTAAAAGTGTGTAATACTTCCCCTCTTGCTCTCTTGCTCCTGCTCCCACCATGTGAGACGCCTGCTCCCCCTTTGCCTTCTGCCTGATTGGAAGCTCCCTGAGGCCTCCCCAGAAGCACAAGTTGCCATGTTTCCTGTTCGGCCTGCAGAACCATGAGCCAGTTCAACCTCTTTTCTTATAAATTACCCAGTCTCAGGTATTCCCAGGTATTTGCACTGCTATAGGGCAAAAATGGACTAACACATACGAATATACAGATATGCACGCCATAAGGGTCTCTGTGTCTTCCAGAGTTGTGCCACAAATGTGACTTAAATTTGCTTGTGTCCAAAGTGCAGGGAGTTATATGGACAGTTGCTGAGTTCCTGTTTTTGGAGGAGAGGAGGAGGCCCCAAATGTAAAATGTTGGAGAGGTTAAAGACACAGTAGCCTGATGTCCCTTGGGTTTGGTCCTTGGAAGGATGCTGCTGTACTTGCACTAGGGAGTATTTGTGAAGTAATAGGAATGGCAGCCAGATTACAGGGCCCAGGACAGCAACAGGAGCAACTTCCAACCCATCAGGCTGATGCCCCACCCACCTCCAGGTGCCACTCACTCCAGTTCTAAACAGTGCCTGGCCACACCTTGCACCACTCCACCCTTGGGGACATGGAGTAGAAGCCTGAGCTGCCGGGGGCTTCCTACAGCAAAATCTTCTGAGCTTGAGAAACGCAGGCAAACTGGCAATGTCTTGTGGGTCAATTACCAGGCAGTTCCTGAAGACCCAGCAAAGGTACTTTTGAAGAAGCTGCTGGGTCATTTCTAGGTACATAGCACCTCTCAGAAGCAAAAGAAAAATGCTAAGAAGAATTAACGCAGTTGTTAGGAAGTGAGTGAGTTAACTAAGGTCTCAAGGAAAACAGGGGTGAGTCTTCCGATGCCACGGAGAGAAAGGGCAGGCTGCTGTAGGCAGGGAGGCTGTTAGCCTCATTTATCATTCATGCCCCCTGGCCCTGGGAACTCACCATGGAATTCCAACAAGGAGCTGGCACTGAGGTATTTATTGCTTTCTTTGCATGTCAGCTTGTCACACGTAACAATTAATTTGATGATCCCAAATTGGACCTGACAGGAAACCTCTCGATAATACACCATGCCTAGATTTAGCAGAGATAAACACTGCTGTTAATTTCTCCAGCAGAGGATGTGAGTATCAACCCAGGGCTGCTTTCATTAATTTCCATCTCACACAATGTGGGCCCACCTCATATTGGCATTGCTCCCTTTAGCTGATAGCTGTGGCCAGTTTTAGAAGTGTGGTGTCCTAGGGTTGCCTGCCAATCATTTCCCATTTTCAAAGTGATGAGAACGTGACAGGGGACACAGACATTGAGCTCCATCGGTGAAGAAACAGCGGGCAGAATGAAGCTGGATAAGCCCTGAAACTGCTGGTAAGAAGATAAAATGCGACTAAGAGAAATTGTGCTTTCAATGAACTTTTCAGGAACACATCTATCGTGCAGAGTAAACTCCTTCGAAGTCTAGATATCTGTGGGTAGTAAGAAAAAATAATATTTTTTCTCTCCCTCCACCCCTATACTAACTGTGATGGTTAGTACTGAGTGTCAACTTGATTGGATTGAAGGATGCAATATTGATCCTGGTGTGTCTGTCTGTGAGGGTGTTGCCAAAGGAGATTAACATTTGAGTCAGTGGGCTGGAGAAGGCAGACTCACCCTTAATTGGGTGGGCACCATCTAATCAGCCATCAGCAAATATAAAGCAGGCAGAAAAACATGAAGCAAGAGACTAGCCTAGCCTCCCAGCCTACATCTTTCTCCCATGCTGGACGCTTCCTGCCCTCAAACATTGGACTCCAGGACTCCAAGTTCTTCAGTTTTGAGACTCGGACCTGGCTCTCCTGGCTCCTCAAGCTTGCAGACAGCCTATTCTGGGAACTTGTGATCGTGTAAGTTAATACTTAATAAACTCCCCTTTATATGTATGTATCTACCTATTAGTTCTGTCCCTCTAGGGAACTCTGAGGAATACAGATTTTGGTACCAGGAGTGGTTGTAGAGGAACAGAATATTAAGGATGGAGTTCTTTCATTGGTTTTGGGGTTTCTGGAGTTGGTTGCTTAATATGATTAGACCCCAAAATGCTAAGGACTCTGCTTCTAATAGTATGGAGAATACTGATAAGTCCTAGGCGGAAACTGTTTAGACTTATGCAAAATAAATGCATTTGGCACTCCTGATTCACCGCTTGTGAGAAGCAAGGAGTTCACTCACTCTATACATAATACCTTTGACCATATGTGGAGAACCAAGGAACATAATGCAGCTTGTTGGTTGCTCCCAAGTTCAGTGGACAAACTGATGAAAGAAAATGATGAACTCAGGGATTCTGTCTCCGGGCTTCAGAAGCAGATACTGAACCTCAAATCTGCTAAGATTGCCCTGAGTGAGAGTCTTACCTCCTGTAGAGAAAGAGCTGAAATTGTGGAAAAACAGACACAAGCCCTTATGATGTGAGTGGCTGACCTGAAACAAAAGGTTCGTGCACAGCCTCGCCAGGTGTCTACTGTTAAAGTGAGGGCATTGATTGGAAAAGAATGGGACCCTGCAACTTGGAATGGGGACATTTGGGAGGACCCTGATGAAGCTGGGCACACTGAGTTTGTAAACTCTGATGAACCATTTTTGCCAGAAGGAATTTCCCTATTCCCAGTAGTGGCAACATCCCCTTCCCGACCCATGCTGCCACCAGCCTTTGCACCTCTGTCTGAGGAGATAAACCCTGCGCTGCCTGAGGGAACAGTGATGACCTCTTCTGAGGCAGTTGCCAGGCAAGATAATGTTGATTCTCCTCAGAATCCACCCCAATACCTCTGTTTGCTAATTAGATACCAAGGTGGCAGGGGCCAAGTGGCAGCACTCGACCATCAAAGGCAAGGTGGGTGCAGCTACGACAATGAACGGCAGAGGCAATGAGGCAATCAGAATAGTCTGACTAGTGTAGAGCTATGGCATTGGCTAATTAATCACAGTGTTCCTAGAAGTGAAATTGATAGGAAGCTTACTGCATTCCTACTTAATTTATACAAGCGGAAAGCTTCTAGGTGAAATGGATAAAAGACTAATTTGAATTAGAAAAACAGAATCACGGCTCCTCAATCAATTTCCAGACTTGAGTCAGTTTACACACCCAGAACCCCTTGAATGAAGGGGAGGCTGGGTCCCCTTGAGGAAGGACCCTACTACATTACCAACAATTTATGCAACAAATCTTTCTCCCATCTTTCCCCAAGGTGACCTCTGGCTTTTTACCAGAGTAACTGTGGATTGGGGAAAGGGAAATGATCAGACATTTCAGGGACTACTGGACACTGGCTCTGAGCTGACGTTGATTCCAGGGGACTCAAAACATCATTGTGGTCCTCAGTTAAAGTAGGGGCTTATGAAGGTCATGTCATTAACGGAGCTTTAGCTCAGATCTGACTTACAGTGGGTCCAGCGGGTCCCTGGACTCATCCTGTGGTCAATCCCCCAGTGCCAGGCTGCATAATTGGCATAAACATACTTAGCAGGTGGCAGAACCCCAACATTGACTCCCTGACTAATGAGGTGAGGGCTATTATGGTGGGAAAGGCCAAATGGAAGCCATTAGAGTTGTCTCTATCTAGGAAAATAGTAAATCAAAAACAATATTGCATTCCTGGAGGGACTGCGGAGTCAGTGCCACCATCAAGGACTTGAAAGACGCAGGGGTGGTGACTCCCATGACATCCCTGTTCAACTCTCCCATTTGGCCTGTGCAGAAGACAGGTGGATCTTGGGGAATAACAGTGGATTATCATAAGCTTAACCTAGTGGTGACTCTAAGTGCAGCTGCTGTGCCAGATGTAGTTTCATTGCTTGAGCAAATTAACACATCTCCTGGTACCTGGTATGCAGCCATTGACTTGGCAAATGCCTTTTTCTCCATTTCTGTCCATAAGGCCCACCAGAAGCAATTTGCCTTCATCTGGCAAGACCAGCAATACACATTTACTGTCCTACCTCAGGGGTATATCAACTCTCTGGCTTTGTGTCATAATCTTATTCGGAGAGACCTTGATTGCTTTTTGCTTCTGCAAGATATCACACTGGTCCATTACATTGATGACCTTATGCTGATTGGATCCAGTGAGCAGGAAGTAGCAAACATATTGGACTTACTGGTGAAAACATTTGCACGCCAGAGAATGAAAAATCAATCCGACTAAAATTCAGATACCTTCTACCTCAGTAAAATTTCTAAGGGTCCAGTGGTGTACAGCCTGTCAAGATATTCCTTCTAAGGTAAAGGACAAGTTGCTGCATTTGGCCCCTCCTGCAACCAAGAAAGAGGCACAATGCCTAGGGGGCCTATTTGGATTTTGGAGGCAACACATTCCTCATTTTGATGTGTTACTCTGGTCCATTTATCAAGTGACCCGAAAGGCTGTCAGCTTTGAGTGGGGTCCAGAACAGGAGAGGGCTCTGCAACAGGTCCAGGCTGCTATGCAAGCTGCTCTGTCACTTGGGCCATATGACCCAGCAGATCCAACGGTGCTGGAGTTGTCAGTGGCAGATAGGGGTGCTGTTTGGAGCCTACAGCAGGGCCCCATAGGCTAATCACAGCAGAGGCCACTAGGATTTTGGAGCAAGGCCCTGCCATCTTCTGCAGATAACTACTCTCCTTTTGAGAGACAGCTCTTGGCCTGTTACTGGGCTTTGGTGGAAACTGAACATTTGACTATGGGTCATGAAGTCACCATGTGACCTGAACTGCCTACCATGAACTGGGTGCTTTCTGACCCATCTATCCATAAAGTGGGTCATGCACAGCAGCATTCCATCATCGAATGGAAGTGATATAAATGTGATTGGGCTTGAGCACGTCCTGAAGGCATAAGTAAGTTACATGAGGAAGTGGCTCAAATGCCCATGGTCTCCACTCCTGCCACCCTGCCTTCTCTCCCACAGCCTGCACTGATGGCCTCATGAGGAGTTCCCTATGATCAGTTGGCAGAGGAAGAGAAGACTAGAGCCTGGTTCACAGATGGTTCTGCACAATATGCAGGCACCACCCAAAAGTAGACAGCTGCAGCACTACAGCCCCTTTCTAGGACATCCCTGAAGGATGCAGTGAAGGGAAATCTTCCCAGTGGGCAGAACTTCCAGCAGTGCACCTGGTTGTGTACTTTGCATGGAAGGAGAAATAATCAAATGTGTGATTACATACTGATTCATGGGCTGCAGCCAATGGTTTGGCTGGATGGTCAGGGAGGTCATTCCAAGCGGTCTGATTCACCGTTTGTGAGAAGCAAGTTTATTGACTTTATACATAATACCTTTGACCATATGGTCTGACCAAGGAGACCATGGGCATTTGAGCCACTTCCTCATGTAACTTACTTGTGCCTTCAGGACTTCCTCAAGCCCAGTCATACTTACATCACTTCCATTTGATGATGGAATGCTGCTGTGCATGACCCACTTTATGGCTTGATGGGTCAGAAAGCACCCTGGATGGCTAGGGACTTCAAAGAAGCATGATTGGAAAATTGGTGACAAAGAAATTTGGGGAAGAGGTATGTGGATGGACTTCTCTCAGTGGTCAAAAACTGTGAAGATATTTGTATCCCCTGTGAGTGCTCACCAATGGGTGACCTCAGCAGAGGAGGATTTTAATAATCAAGTGGATGCGATGACCCGTTCTGTGGACACCACTCAGCCTCTTTCCCCAGCCACATGTCATCGCCCAATGGGCCCATGAACAAAGTGGCCATGGTGGCAGGGATGGAGGTTACGCATGGGCTCAGCAACATGGACTTCCATTCACCAAGGCTGACTTGGCTACAGCCACTGCTGAGTGCCCAATTTGCCAGCAGCAGAGACCAACACTGAGCCCTCAATACGGCACCATTCCTCGGGGTGATCAGCCAGCTACCTAGTGACTAGTTGATTATAATGGACCTTTTCCATCATGGAAGATGGCATCATGGCAGAAATTTATCCTCACTGGAATAGACACTTACTCTGGATATAGGTTTGCCTATCCTGCATGCAATGCTTCTGCCAAGACTACCAGCCGTGGACTCGCGGAATGCCTTATCCACTGTCATGGTATTCCAAACAGTATTGCCTCTGACCAAGGCACGCACTTTATGACTAAAGAAGTCTGACACTGGGCTCATGCTCATGGAATTCACTGGTCTTACCATGTTCTCCATCATCCTGAAGCAGCTGGATTGATAGAACAGTGGAGTGGCCTTTTGAAGTCACAATTACAACACTAACTAGGTGACAATACTTTGTAGGGCTGGGGCAAAGTTCTCCAAAAGGCTGTGTATGCTCTCAGTCAGCCTCCAATATATGTTACTGTTTCTCCCACAGCCAGGATTCACGGGTCCAGGAACTAAGAGGTGGAAGTGGAAGTGGCACTACTCACCATCACCCCTAATGATCCACTGGCAAAATTTTTGCTTCCTGTTCCCACAACATTATGTTCTGCTGGCCTAGAGGTCTTAGTTCCAAAGGGAGGAACGCGGCTACCAGGAGACACAACAATGATTCCATTAAACTTGAAGTTAAGATTGCCTGGACACTTTGGGCTCTTATTACCTTAAGTCAACAGGGTAAGAAGGGAGTTACAGTGTTGGCTGGGGTGATTGACCCAGACTCTCTAGATGAAATCAGTCTACAACTCCACAACAGAGATAAGGAAGAGTATGCATGGAATACAGGAGATCCATTAGGGTGTCTCTTAGTCTTACCATTGCCTGTGATTAAGGTCGACGGGAAACTACAACAGCCCAACCCAGGCAGGACTACAAATGGCTCAGACCCCTCAAGAATGAAGCAGGGAAAAAACCACAACCTGCTGAGGTGCTTGCTGAAGGCAAAGGGAATACAGATTGGGTAGAAGAAGGTAGTCATCAATACCAGCTACGACCATGTGACCAGTTCCGGCTCCAGAAATGGGGACTGTAATTGTCATGAGTATTTCCTCTTTCTTTTGCTAAAAACATGTTTGTGCATGTATACACTTGTACTAAGAAAATATCTTTATTGTATTTCCTTTTCCTTTATTGTGTGACATAAGATTTACTGACTTCATATCAGCATTTAAGTATTGCTAATCTTATGTAATAGTATTTGGGTTGGGGATCAGTGCGTTTCTGGTAGTACAAAGGATAGTTGTATTATGTTAGGTGTAATTATGATCTTATTGTATTTGAAGATTATGTATGATCTCAGGAAATGTGTATGGGTTCAAGTTGACAAGGGATGGACTTGTGGTGGTTAATAATGAGTGTCGACTTGATTGGATTGAAGGATGCAATATTGATCCTGGGTGCATCTGTGAGGGTGTTGTCAAAGGAGATTAACATTTGAGTCAGTGGGCTGGAGAAGGCAGATCCACCCTTAATCTGGTGGGCACCATCTAATCAGCCATCAACAAATATAAAGCAGGCAGAAAAACATGAAGCGAGAGACTGGCCTCACCTCCCAGCCTACATCTTTCTCCCATGCTGGACGCTTCCTGCCCTCGAACATCGGACTCCAAGTTCTTCAGTTTTGAGGCTCGGACCTAGCTCTTCTTGCTCCTCAAGCTTGCAGACAGCCTACTGTGGGACCTTGTAATTGTGTAAGTTAATACTTAATAAACTCTCTCTCTATATATATACACATACATATGCATACATATACATATACATGCATATATATACATATATACATATACATGCATATATATACATACATACATATATATACATATATACATATATATACATATATACACATATATACACACATATATATACATATATATATATGTTCACGACTGCAAGTGGTCAGATGCTGGCTGCTATACCCTGCCTGGACCCAGATGCCACAGCAATGTCACCTTAATGAAAACTATATGGGGGAAAATGACAACATCTAAGTGACAACACTTCACCCACCAATAGCAACGCCCTTCTCACACCCACCACCCAACGACTGATACTCATGCCAAATCTTTCTTGAAATTACTATTCCCCACCATCCTTTACAGACTGCACTTAAGAAGGAAGGAGCCCACAGAACCGAATATCAATCACAGAAGCTGCATAGCCAGACATTCAGTGTTCGATGTACCGAAAAATCCTCTTTACACGTCTTTATGCTTCTGGCCACTACAGCCGCAAAGTCCAGCCATTAGAAGGGACAGCCATCTTTCAGAGTCATGTCCCTTGATGAAATGTCAATGCCAAAGAAATATAGACAGATATGCCTTATGTATTTTGCCATGTCTCCTCCCTCTTGCCATCACAGTCTCCTCTAAAAGAGTAAGCAACTAAAAAAGAAAAGCTAAATGTTCAGTCCCTGTAAAACACCATTTACAATAACAAACTCACACTGATAGAAAAGGGAAGATACTGTATTAATAGCACATCAGGTCAAAAAATTAGAACATAAGAATGATAAAAACCATGGCAATTAATTCAACGCCCTATATATAGTCTATCCTGTAAATATAATTTGATTTGCACAGAGCTCCTCAGCTGGCTATTAGTACAGCGATCAGCTCAGGTCTTCTAGGCCAGTCCTTGCTTTGCAGCACGATGCCTTGTAAGAACAATTCAGTGGCTACAAAACCTTGGAAATAGTACTTAACTCCTTTGGGTCATCCAAGCAAAACTACTCTCGTGAAGCTCATTTCATTGGGATATTGGGGAAAGAAATAGCAGAGAAGGGATGGAGGCACATAAGAAACAATCATTAAGAAGACCCAGGCAAGAAACAAAACAATTCTTGAGCATTTTAAGTAAAGAAAAAGGCAGCATGTTACAGTCACTAATTAACACATAGCCCTTTCTGAGGAGAGATTCTATCACAGGCTCCAGGCCAGATACTAAAGCAAAAGAATGTGTGAAACCAAACTCCTACCTCATTAAAGATCTCTGGTCTGAGTTGGCCCTACATGTTATTATATGCCATTATCTTCATCTTCATTACAATGCTGAGTTGTGACACCTTCTATGTTGACAGAGCTCCTAAGGATACAGAAGGAGAGTCGCACATCTTGCTCTGTATCTTAGGGGACTGTCTGCTATCCAAGTGTACTTGCGGGTGTCTATTTGGAAGATTATTGAAGTAAATGCCAAAATACAAACGGTGCATTGTTTGGGTGCAGAAAAAAACATATAGCAAAAAAGTAAACCTGTGGGATGTGTTCAAGGCACCATACAGCAAAGGCAATCCATTTCCTTGTGCTACCCTCAAAATGTTATACAATAATTTCTGGTAAAAACTCTAAATTAAAACAATTTAAAAGCACAGCACCTCTAATCCTGTTTAAGCCTGAAATGATTTATAAATACCTACCCAGGAACTACTCTGCCACCAAAGGAATGCAGATGGCCTCAGTGAGGATTAATCCATCTCTGGAAGGTTCTTGAGGACTAACTTATCCTTTCTTATTTTCTCCAGAGTCTAGCAAGGTTCCACCTCTATAACAGAAACCCCATGAATATGGGACTGCTGTTAATTCACGCTGTGCTTTTAGTTCTTTTCAAAGCTTACAGATATTCATATTTTTCCCTCATTTTCTTTTCTCTATAAAAGTCCCATAAGAGAAAGAGACACATGCACAAATCTTGCACTACAGATGAGGAAACAGGCACCAAAGGTTCATGATTTACCAGGGGCCACCCAGGAGCAATAGGCCAGCACCCCAGGGCCCATCAGCTTAGGGCTTTCCTAGATTAAATGCTTTACACACATTTCAGGTAGACCAGGGGAGGCTGGCTCTTGTGGACTATGTGTACCTAAATTGCTTAAGAGTCATAAATGTGGTCCAAGATTTTCAAAAAGTCATAACCAGCACATGAACTAACAGACCAAAGACTCAGCCTAGGTGGGGTCAAACTAAAGCTGCAGAGGAAACATTCCTCCTTTCTGGTTCTGTGTCCCTAATGGATGAGGGCTCCAGTGACTTGGAGGGAAGAGTGCTGGTGCTCCCCAGGGCCTCTCAACCCGGGTGCGCAGCCATCTGGACAGAGTCAAGCTCTGACAAACCCAACAGCCGCCAGGGGGTGTAGCTCTCTACTCCCCCCAGGAGGAGAAGGTGGGGGTTCTGCAGCTGTGTGCTGACTTGAGCTTCTTCCTCCCCCCTCTCCCCTTCAGGCTCCCCTCTGACCCAACACCCCATGGGCTTGGCCTCGCTAAGGCTGGGAAAGGGCTGCATTTGTTTCTATCTCTGATCACATTTGGAATCCCTGGCAAAGTGAAAACAAACCTTCCATTCTTCAGCCGTGTTTGTTTTGGGCCCATTTGGCACCACCCTTCCCATTTCAGGCTTATTTTTTTTCCACTTATCGTCATCATGAATTTGGTAGAGGTGAGTCATTGGTTTTAACCCTGGCTCCAGCTTCCTCTCGTTTGTACTTTTCCAGTCTAATTTCCTTTATTTGCAGCGCCTTGAAAGTCTCCAATCGCTAGCCTCTGACATGGTTATGCCGGGTCCTGAGCTCGGGCTGTCTCCAGTCCTGAGGCGTGTGGGCTCCTGCACGCTGGGCCAGGGGTTTCTGAGTGGTTGTTGTGTTCCTGGTTCTGAGGCTCCTGCCCACAAGATCCGAAGACTCACCAGGGCAGCTGCTGACCTTCAGGTGGAGGCAGGGAGCCTCTGCAGAAGCCGGTGCCGCTGCAGAGCTGCTCCAACACTGCCGTGGTGTCTTATAAAGCCACAAAGCTTGAGTTGACAATTGGGGTAGAAGGAAAATCACTGAAACTCCTCTGTCTTAAATGAGCTTGATGGAAAGCAGTCCCTAATAATACAATCCTAGTGCTGAAAAGATGTCTCTCAACTTAAACATTTGAAGTAGGATTTTAGGCTTTCTTCTCAATAATTTCCCCACAACTCTTTGGGAAAAGGTGACTAGTTAACAGAGCAGAAACGGTGGGCAGGAGACTGGAAGTCTTTGGAGTCACACATTTGGATTCACATCTTATTTGTCAGTTACTTTGGTAATGACCTTAGGCATGCCATTAGTCTTTCTCAGTAGATATACCTGACCACAAAAGAGAGTCCCACCACTTACCTTGTAGGATGTGAAGACTAATAAGACTAAGTATGTAAAGCACCTGGTCTAAAGGTAGCTGTATTTGCTGTTATTTGGCTATTAGACTTCCTGAATACTGCTGAATTGCTTAAGTCATACTGGGGACAATCTTCTAAACTTCTCATTCCCCAAGGACCGATTAAGTTGAGACATAATCATAAAGTCAACAGGACACATGACAGATGCTTTCAAAATAGATTCAAGTCCCATGGAAAAAAATGTTCAATTCTGCCTGTTGGACAGTTGTCATTTATACTCTCTTCCGCCTCCCCTCTGGAGTCCTTATAAATATGGTGGCCAATTAGGAAGTTATCATTACTCACCCACAGTGAAAGAATAAACTGTTCATGAACCATTTTCTCCCTTTAACACAGTGTTCATACATTTCTGAAATGTGTAGGCTTCACTTGCATTGCAGAGACTGGGATGGTGTGTGTGTCTCAGATAAGTGCTGCTCACAGCGTGGTGGGGAACAAGCAGCACCACTAACTCTGGGAGCTCATGAGAAATAGTCTCAGGCCCACCCCAGCCCTGCTGAGGCAGAATCTGCATTCTGACCAGATTCTCAGGTGATCTGCAAGTGCATTCAAGTTTGGGAGGCTCCTTGGTCACACAGAGGAGGCAGAGGTGTGACGGTGAAGGTGCCGGCCCCGGCCCAGGAGGCGGGGTTCTGACTGCTCTTCAGCCCCTGCCACTTCAGCTTAGCTGAGGGACAACAGGCGAGTCATATCACCCTCCAAGCTTACCCTCGTTACATCCAAAATTGTGAAGGGCCTGAGGTTTTATGTCACTTGTCAGCTAATACGTCAGCCTGCCACTGTGTGTGCATGTGTGTGGAAAAGTGTGTGTGTGTGTGAGTATGAGTGTTCACAACAGAAGGTGCAAGACCTCTGAGTCAGAGAGAGCAGAAAGAACGACATCTTAGCACTAGTTTGCTAAGTGCCAGTCCCCACAGTGATGTGACATGGTGAGGGCCAAGTGTCACTTATGCATGTAGTGGAATCATCACAGAAGAGAAGCCCCAGAATTAGGGAACGCTGACCTTGTACAGGGCTGCTGGTGACCTTCCCTCTCCACTGTCGAGAGGGAGAGACAGAGACTTAGCTTGATCCTGGAATGTAAGCAACTGTTTTAGGGAAGTGGAAGGGAAACTTCTGTAAGCTGTATTGTCCTAAAATGTCTCCTTATACGAACATTATTAACTTGGCTGTAAATGTCTTTGCTCAGAGGACCTGGACTGTGCAGAAACATGACATGTCCATAGGAACTGTCTCTCAATGTGCCCATGTGTCAGGAGAATGGGTGGCTGGCACACAGCAGGCAACAGTACCTGGCCACTGCCCCGGGGGAGCTTGTAGTCTGAGAACCACCCACAATGGAACCACAGTGTCATGAGAGGGGAAGTCCCAGGTGCCTGTGGGAACGCACAGGGGTCAGCACACCCTGATGAAGGCAGGGCTGTCAGGAAAGGGTTCCTGGGGCTGGCTTCCAAGCTGAGACTTGACGTTTGGATTGGCTGGTTCTGAGTGCCAGGCAGGAAGCCCTGACAGTCGGCCGTGAGAGGGTGGTGGGGATGGGGCCTGCTGCCTTGCTCCTGATGCTCAAGGGCCCGACTTCATTCTGAGGGTTTAGATGGGGGGGACTGGGGAGAGGGAGAAATACATGTTGATTCCCTGGTTCTGGCTTGGACAACTCAATATCCAAGTTATGAGAGCCTAGTAACAAGATGGAAAGGGGAGCAGAGTTTGAGGGACGAAAATGGTGTGCTGTATGTAGGCAATCTGCTATGTTTCTGGGAGTATAAATTGAGATATCCAATCTATGCAGTCATCCCTTGGCATCCATGGGAGAGTGGTTCCAGCACCCCTGTGGATACCACAATCCCACAGATGCTCACATCCCTGATATAAAATAGTGTAGTATGTGCATATAACCTTCACACATCCTCCCATATACTTTAAATCATCTCCAGTTACTTACAATTCCTGATACGATGTAAATGCTATGTAAATAGCTGTTATCCTGTATTGTTTGGGGAACAGTGACAAGAAAAAAAAGTCTGTACCTGTTCAGTACAGATGCAATCATCCATTTTTTTCCTGAATATTTTCAGTTCACAGTTGGGTGACTCTGCCGTGGGTTGAACCCTTGGATGCAGAACCCACAGATACAGAAGGCTGACTGTCTATGATTAACAGGCAAAGAAAAGAACATGAAGGCGGTTGTAACTTACTTTTTTTTCCTGGATATCAGAAAGTGAAATGCTATTTTTTTGTATTTATTTACTAATATTTGTTTACAAATATTTATTCTTTTGAGAATTATTTGTTCATCTTCTTTTGAATTCACTGGGAATTTGATGTGTTTATGACTGATTTATATGAACTTCCCATTCATTTTCAGTCTGTATTAGGTTTTCAGCTATCACTGCTACTTTTTAGAAACCTTAAGTGTGGAGTTACTTAAAATCCTGGGGGAAAGATTTAGACTGAGCCCAAAGGATAGGCCAAAAAGACAAAAAAGAAGACCTCTGATGGACCAAGACTATGTTCTTTTGCCCTATTTTCAGAGCTTCAGGGAAATTAAATATAAACGGATGTATGGACAAGTCAATTCTGAGTTTAAGAAATTAAAGCAGTGCTACTAATTGATAATTTTACTGATTTGTTAATGTTCTTGAGAAAACTTGACCTTCCAGTAAGTCCAAGTAAACAGATACAATCACCAAACTCCTGGGTTCAAATTAATCACACACTAGGAAAAACATGTCTTGCCTTAGATACAACTTTCGATCACGACCACAGCACTGGACAGGGGGCTGAGGGGCTAACCCACGAAGAAGGTCTGGAGAGATACCCCTACGTGGCACCCTTGTGTCAAAGTGTGAATGAATTGGGGGGAGAGATGCGGAGAGGAAGAGGCAGGGGGAGAGGGCCAGTCAGCCCCATCCCCAGAATCAATGACATCATTTATTCTGCTTTTTTCAAAATGAACATTGATGCTGTTCCCCCAACCAGTACAGATTCACCATATTTCCACCTATCGAAATTCTATGTGCTCTTTTAGGTTCAAAGAGTATCAACTTTCTCATGTTAATTAAACAGCATGTTAATTGACAACATCCATGTTGTTAATTGTCCTAGTTTTTTTCTCAACCCACGGAACTTATTTAATATTGCAGGGTATCAACAACCCTTTTCCCACAAAGAGTGTAGGTTTCAAAAATGTCAAAACAATTCCCTCATGCCCACTTTCCACTGAAGCCAGGTATAGCTGAAAGTTAACCTTAGCTACAGAGGTCATGCTCTGCTGTTCTGTAGGTAGGAATGTTAGATAAATGCAATGAATTCATGCTCTTATAATCAAACAAACTTTATACCCCACCACCATCTTTGAAAATAGGCACCCATATCAGAACATGTGTATTTCTACTCCATCATCTTAGCTTCCCTCCCCTTCATTTCCTACCTCCCACGATGCTCCCCCAAAAAGTAAACAGCAATTACTTCTCTTAATTTAGATTGGCCAAGATTGCCCTAAATTTCATTATCACTCTGAAACTGCTACAAAGGAATGCTCAACAGATGTCATTTATAATCTTCTTTATTCCTGACTTAGATAAATTCAAAGTGATCTAGTTAGAGGTTTTGTCAAATTCTTGGAATACCAAAGATGTCCCCTATTTTCCAGTGTTCTTTCTTCGGTTGTCCCTACCTAGAATGCCAGAGCAACTACAGCCAACCACATTCTGACTAGCACACCAAACACTCTTGATCGTGCCTAGTTTGCAGGATCCTTAGCCTCAGGCTTGCCCATACATCCTGAAGCCATGTCCACAGAGATGCTACTCCAGTTCCCCTTAACAGAAAATTCATCCTTACGGCGACCCCAAGTTAACAGTGAAGCAGAAGTGCTCAGACATCCAGGAACTGCCAGAGCCTGCCTGGCGAGCTCCAGCATGCACTTGTGGGCCCACGAGGACCCTGCCTGCACAGCTGTGTCCTGGGACAGCTACCCTAGCATCTGTCTTCATTTCCTCTTTCCACATGCATTCTGCAGAAGGCCTTGGCTACCATTAATGGTGGTTACGAAAATTCAATCAGGCTGTCCTCACAGGCGGTTTTCTCAGGAGATAAAGACCCTTCACTGCCCCTTGCCTTCTGTGCTTTCTTTGCAGCATTGCTAAGTCTACTTGCCACAGCTCATCTTCAGCTGTCCATGTGCTTATCATCTGTTGTTCCCAGTGGCATGGCTGCCCTGTGAGAAGAGGGATTTTGTTTTGCTCACTAATGTGTCCCCACTGTGTAGAGTACCTGGCACAGACGAGGCACTTACAGACATCAGGGGAATAAGCAAATGCCCACGTGCAGCGAGTGGATGCTCAGATGTGCGTGCCAGGGAAAACAGCTAAGGGCTGCTGCTGAAAAAATTATGAGGACACGAAACCCTGTCCTATACAAATCTACTACAAGAGTGGGGGACTGAGAGCCCCGGTGGGGGGGAATCTTTCTCTACTGAGAGCCCTGGTCGAGAAGAATTTTTCTCTACTGAGAACCCTGGTTGGGGCAATCTTTCTGTACTGAGAGACCGGGTCGGGGGGAATCTTTCTCTATTGAGAGCCCTGGTAGGGGGAATCTTTCTGTACTGAGAGCCCGGGTCAGGGGGAATCTTTCTGTACTGAGAGCCCGGGTCGGGGGGAATCTTTCTCTATTGAGAGCCCTGGTAGGGGGGAATCTTTCTCTACTGAGAGCCCTGGTGGGGGGGAATCTTTCTCTATTGAGAGCCCTAGTGAGGGGGAATCTTTCTGTACTGAGAGCCCTGGTGGGGGGAATCTTTCTCTACTGAGAGCCCTGGTAGGGGGAATCCTTCTCTATTGAGAGCCCTGGTGGGGGGAATCCTTCTCTATTGAGAGCCCTGGTGGGGGGGAAATCTTTCTCTACTGAGAGCCCTGGTGGGGGGAATCTTTCTCTACTGAGAGCCCTAGTGAGGGGGAATCTTTCTCTACTGAGAGCCCTAGTGAGGGGGAATCTTTCTGTACTGAGAGCCATGGTGGGGGGAATCTTTCTCTATTGAGAGCCCTGGTGGGGGGGAATCTTTCTGTACTGAGAGCCCTGGTGGAGGGAATCTTTCTCTATTGAGAGCCCTAGTGGGGGGGAATCTTTCTGGACTGAGAGCCCTGGTGGGGGGAATCTTTCTCTACTGAGAGCCCTAGTGAGGGGGAATCTTTCTCTACTGAGAGCCCTAGTGAGGGGGAATCTTTCTGTACTGAGAGCCCTGGTGGGGGGAATCTTTCTCTATTGAGAGCCCTAGTGGGGGGGAATCTTTCTGTACTGAGAGCCCTGGTGGGGGGAATCTTTCTCTATTGAGAGCCCTGGTGGGGAGAATCTTTCTCTACTGAGAGCCCTGCGGGTGGAGGAAAGGGAGGAATCTCTCCATGGCTTTGGCTGGTGCCAGTTTTACCTCAGACCCTGGACCTGGATTCTGATCTCTTGCTACCAGCTGCATTGGCTTTGGATCCCGAGCCCTGTGTGAGGGTTCCTGAACCTCACTGCCCAGGCTCCAGGTCCTAACATCTGGCTCAGCAGTGCTCCCTGCACTTCATTCCTTTTCTGTAAAGACCTGGGCCACCTGCTCATCCCCACTACTCCAGGAGACCTCCCTAGCCTGGCTTCTGCCCGGCCACACTGCCTGTGGTGCTGGTCTTTGTGCCTGACTTCCCAACCTCCATGCCACTGTAAACCACATATCTAAGGCAATCTTAGCAATGTCTGACTTAGGGATAGGCAGGTCACCTGATTCTGGCCAATGAGTTTGCTAGGGGGCTTCTGGCGAAGCTTTACTTGCTCCTAAAAAGAGATGAAAGAGAAGATGCCTGTTTCTTCCTCTCAATGCCACTTGTCTGGGTGTGAAGCATGGATCTACTATGGCCAACCCTCTGCCAGCCTGTGGAGGCAGCTGCTCTAGGAGGAGGGCAGAGAGGTGGCCCTGGAAAAGCCCCAGGCACCCACCTCTCCTGTGGTCAACCCCATCCTGAGACTTCTTCAAGGAGTCAATGTGTCCTTGCTGCCTGGGCCTGCAGCCTGGCTGCATGAGATGCCTCTCTCCCCAACCCTGAAGAGTCCTGATGTCCCTGAGGAGTTCAGCCATGGACCTCCAGAAAGTCCTGTCACCACAGTGAGCTTCCGCTTTCTCAGTGATGACAATGTGCAGGCTGAACCTAGCCATGGTTCCCAATTTTCATGCCTAAGGACTTCCTTTTTATTGAGGTAACATTCATAGAACATAAAATCCATTTTAACCACCTTAAATTATACAATTTAGTGGCTTTTAATACATTCACTATGTTATGCAACCCACCACCACCATCTAATTCCAGAACTTTCATCATCCTCAAAAGCAATCGATACCCATTAAGCTGTCACTCACCATTCCCCTTTTTCTCCTCAGCCCCTGGCAATCAGTCATCTGCTGCCTGTGTCTATGCATTTGCTTATTCTGGATATTTCATATAAATGGCCTTGTTGAATATGTGGCCTGGTGTCTGGTTTCTTTTATGTAGCACAATGTTTTTAAAGTTCCTCCATGACTGTATCATTAATCAGCACTTCATTCTTTGTATGACTTACCATGTTTTGTTTCTCCACTCATTGGCTGATGAGCATTTGGGCTGTTTCAATTTTTTGGCTATTGTGAATAATGATGGGATGAACATTCATGTACAAGTTTCTGCTTGAGCACTTGTTTTCAGTTCTCTTGAGTGTATACCTAGGAAGGGAATTGCCAGGTCACATGGAAATGCTGTTTAGCTTTTTGAGGGTCCATCAAACTGCTTACCACAGCAGCAAGGGCCTTGTTTTTTGTTTTAAAAATATTTTTATTATGGTTAAAACACTTATCACAAAACTTACCATCTTAACCATTTTAAGTGTACAGCTTAGTAGTGTTAAGTATATTTACATTGTTGAGAAACAGATCTCCAGATCTTTGTCATCTTGCAAATCTGATACTCTGTACACATTAAACACTAATCCACATTTCCCTTTCCCCCAGTCCCTGGTAAGCACCATTCTAACTTTCTATGAGTCTGACTACTTTAGATACTGCATATACATAGAATCATGCAGTACTTTTCCTTTGGTAGCTGGTTTCTTTCACTAGGCATAATGACCTCCAGGTTCCCCCATGACGTGGCATATGACAGGATTTCCCCTTTTTAAGGTTGAATAATATTCCTGCGTGTGTGTGTGTGTGTGTGTGTGTGTGTGTGTGTGTGTGTGTGTGTGTGTGTATACCCTACATTTTGTTTCTCCATTCATCTGTTGATGGGCACGTGAGTTGCTTCCACCTCCTGGCTACTGTGAACAGTGCTGCTATGAACACAGGAGTACAGATATCTCTTGGTGACCCTGCTGCTTTCAATTCTTTTGGGTATATGCCCAGAAGAGGACGAGGGCTAATTTTTAACACAAAAAACTTTGTGGATTGCTACCCAATATATGTTTCACTTTTGGTATCTAGATCCTTCTGGATCTTTAGCAAAATCTGACATCTCACCTCTCAAGGCCTCCATTTAGGAGCACCTGGATTAAGTGATCCTCAGGTTGTGTCCAACTCTAAATCTGCTGATTCTATGAGAATCCCTTGGGTAGAACACCACCCTTGATACTCCAGCCCGTATTAATTCCACAGTAATGACTACAGTCCTGCCTTAGGGGATATGCACTATAAAAAATCAAAGTAAACACCTGCCGAGAGAGAAGGGAAGGCCCAACAGAACATGTGAGGATAAAGAATTTTCTTCCCCAACATGGCTACTACTGCATTCACCTTTTTTCACCAACTGGAAAATAAGAAGTAATCAAGTTAATTGACTATTTTATCTTTAGAGAATCAAAGTCCAAGATAATTATTACTGATTCAGCAAGTGTTTTCTGAGTGCTATGCCTTCTGAGACAATTGAAGTCAACAGGGCTTATCTAGATAAAAAGTACTTAAAAACTTCAGGCCTAGTCATTTTAATGTAATAAACTCAATAAGGGCTCTTACTTTCATGTGGTTATTATTACATATTTCATTCTATAAAATCCAAGCACTGGAGAGTTGATTTAAATTCAGTTCATATGTTTATGTAGTAAGAAAACACTCCTGATAAATAGTGCAACCTTTCAAGTCACACCATAAAAACAAAGGAGCCTCCGTTCCAAGAGGATGACTGCAGTGCAGACACACAGAGCAGAGCCTGGAAGGGAGAACTGATAGCCCCATTTCCTTTCTTCCCTCCTTCCATCAGATCAAAACAGTCCTGCCGGTGTAGATAGGAGTGTGGCAATCTTAGAAGGAGGCTGGGACCTGTGGAGGGAGAGAGAGCAGGAAGGGGCCATTCGGAAGCTCATAAATCACACCTGGTTTCCACATCCGTTATGTAGCCAGAGTTGTACAAATACTGTCTCAAAGCCTATTACCAGAAGCCACTGGCCCTAGAGGAAAGCCTGGCCGCCCGCACTTTCTTTCTTATCCCCAAATCTAAGGAGTTCAGCCAGGATCTCGGACATATGGGTACCCATATGCTGTGCCGCTCTGTGGCGAGGCTTTGATTCACTGCCTGCCAGCCTCAAGCCTTTCTCTGGCATCCACCTCCAGGACAGGAGGAATCAGGCTAGATTCACTGGGAATCCTGACAGTGCTATTACCCTGTGTTCCTAGGGCGACTCTGAGCAAAACTCCTTAAAATACTCACAGCGTCATTTCTACTGATCATGCTAAAATACACATATCCACAGGTGTTGGGAGAAATGTTTAATTTCTATTATATACAACAACAAAAGTGGTATTGGGCCATGATGAATTAATCCATGATTAAGGCAGTCCCATGTGCTTAAGAAGGCAATTATTTAGCTGGGAAAATGAGCTAAACATGAAGATATATTCTATTTACATTTATTTTTTATCTAAAGAAACAAAATGAATTAAGCTTTGCCACTATTTACTATGTGGCCCCCAGGCAGACTGTCCCTCACCGGCCTCCTGGTCCTGAGAGCTCCCAGGGAAGCCGTGGGGCCGCCACCCAAAGGCCTCCATGCCCTTCATCTGCTTTCAGTGTCTTGCAACATACCCATGACTCCATCTGGTTAACGGGGTAATGAGTTCAATTCTCTAGTATCATCCTCAATATATCCCAAGTGCCTCAAACTGTGCTCAGATGATGAATTTAGAGTGAATTTAAGCTAACTTTTACAAAATGGACAAGTAGCTTAAAAAAAATTCCTGAAAAAATAACCTCTGGAGGCCGAAGTTAATCTCAATACAAGCACAAGTGAACATAAGCAAAGGGAAGCGCTCCTGCCTGTCGTCATTGGTCTCCATGTTACAAATACCAACAACCTAGTCACATGTGACAAGAAGCAGCTCTCCCCAACAAAACCTGAAATTGCCTGGAAGCCCATTAGAAATTTAGATTTACATCCTGAATCATTAACGAGAAATCCCATCTCAAGGGTATCTGGACCTTGAGATGAGCTAATGATAGTACCAAGTCACTAGAAATAGCAAGACATTTAAAATACTGCTGATTTCATCTTTATCAAATATCTTACCATTCATTTTGTATATGTTTCATAACTTATATAGTGGTAATGCAGTGCACATGTATACTTTTAAAATGAATACTCATATGCTGGGGATGCATGCAGAAAACATTTTTCTTAATTGATGGAGTGTGTGATCAAATTTGGGGCCACACCACTGTACACAGCATGCCCTTGGTCAGGAAAATGGGCTGCTGCAGTGCTCAGCCTGAGCAACAGTAAACACTGGCATAGGGGAAGAGAGAATCATTTGCCATGTAAGCATCATAGTTAATAAATTATCGTGCTGTCATTGCTGTTGGAATGCCAACAGAGCCAGGTACTGCCAGCTGACGCCTAGTAGCACAAGGTGCTGCTTGCTTGTTGTGGGTTGAATTTACGTTTCCCCCAGAAACAGAGGTTGAGATCCTAGGCTCCAGTACTTAAGGGCATGACCTTATCTACAAACAGGGTTGTTGCAGATGTAATTAGTTAAGAAGAGGTCATACTGGAGAAGGGTAGGCCCCTAATGCAATAGGACAGGTGTCTTTATAAAAAGGGGAAGTTTGGTCACAGACAGGCACACAGGGAGAACGTCAGGCAAAGGCAGCAGAGTGAGGCTGCCACCAGCCAAGCACTATCAGAAGCTGCGAGACAGGCCTGCGACAGACCTTCCCCAGCGCCTGCAGAGGGAGTGTGGTCCTGCCAACACCTTGATCTCAAGCTTCTGGCCTCCACAACTGTGAGACGAAACATTTCTGTTTTTAAACCACCCAGTTTGTGCAACTGTGTTATGGGAGCACTAGGAAAACTAATGTGCTGCTTCTTGGTGGAGAGGCAGCCAGCCTGCCTGGAAGTTCTGCCCACTCTAACCTGGGTGGAGATGAGAATGGCTTTGTCCTAATGGCAGATCTCGAAGCTGCCATTAGGACAGCCTGCAGCCTCTGGAGAGGCTGCCAGACGCCAACCCTCCCTGGGCAGCCTCGCTTGCACAGATGTCATCCTGCATGGGGCTTCACACGCAGCGGATGCTGCCAGCAGACTCGGCTGCCGTCAGGGGGTTTGAGGGCTTGTGCTTGTTCTGTCAACTTTCTGCCGCCCAAGTTGCCACAGGCAAAACGCTTCCTTTTACCACTCCCTTGCTGGCACATAAACGGTGACACTTCAGCAATGCCCCATTTTGCCTACAAACTTGGTCTCTGAGTCTCAGTCTGACAAACCTGACAGGAAGAACTGCCCAACAGCAACGGGAATCTTCCTGATTCTCCTTCCCAGGGCAGATGGGCTATTTGTTACTATTTTATGCTGCCATGAAATCAGGCCTGCTTTTTATTCTGAGGGTCTTGCTGTACCTTCCTTACAGCTTCTCCCTGGAAGAGGCCTCTCAGTCCATAAGCAGTGACAACCAGTTACCCCCTCAAACAGACACTACATGTCACTCAGTGCCTGGGCCATGTTGCGGCTCTGCCTTTGGCCAGTGCAGGGCTCTGTGGCCCGTGGCACTCCAGCACCTGGGTCAGCTGCTGCTGGCAAGTGGTGGGCCCTGTCTGCCAGCACAGGGCACTCACAATATTGGAGCTGAGCCAGGTACGGTGGCTCACGCCTGTAATCCCAACACTTTGGGAGGCTGAGGCAGGCGATCACCTGAGGTCAGGAGTTTGAGAGCAGCCTGGCCAACATAGTGATATCCTGTCTCTACTAAAAATACAATAATTAGCTGGGCATGGTGGCATGTAGCCTGTAATCCCAGCTACTCGGGAGGCTGAGGCAGGAGAATCACTTGAACCTGGGAGGTAGAGCTTGCAGTGAGCTGAGATCACGCCACTGCACTCCAGCCTGGGCGACAGAGCAAGACTCTGTCTCAAAAAAAAAACAAAAACAAAAACAAAACAACAACAACAACAAAAAAAACTGGAGCTGAGAGCTGGCCGGTGCTCAGCATCCCTGGTCTACTGAAATCTCCACACACATGGTAGAGAACAGGGACACGCCCCTCTTAAAAGGCAGCTGGCAACTAGCCTGGATATAAAAGGTGACATTAGAACTTAAGGGTAATGTTGAAATTGGTTCACCAAACGGCTTAAAGTTCAAACATGCAGATCATGGCTAAAGATAAAAATTCCCAGGCATACATGCCTGAGATTTAAGCTGGCACATTGCTGGGCCATCTTTTAACTGAAGTTTTAAATTTTCTATTTATTATCTTAACAATGAACTTGACTGAGAGAACCATTAAAAATTGCTATAGATCACCATTTGGCATCTGCTACGGGTTGACTTGTGTCCTCCAAAAAAGGCATGCTGAAATCCTAACTCCCAGTACTTCAGAATGTGAGCTTATTTGGAAGTGGGATCTTTATTAATCCAGTTAAAATGAAGTCATCAGGATGGGTCCTAATCCAATATGACCAGTGTCCTTATGAAAAGGGGAAATTTGGACACAAAGACACACAAAGAGGAAAGATGATGTAGAGACACAGGGAGAAACCATGTAAAGGCACAGGACTGGAGTGATGCATCTACAAGCCAGGGGATGCCAGAGATTGCAGAAACCACCAGAAGCTAGGGGAGCAGCATGGAACACATGCTTCCCACAGCTCTCAGAAGCAACCAACCTGCCAACACCTTGCTTTCAGCATTCTGGCCTCCAGAACTGAGATGACAAATGTGTTATTTAAAGCCACCCAGGTTGTGGCATTTTGTTAAGGCAGCCCTGGGAAACAAATACAGTATATCTGCAGTAGTTACTGTTTCAGGCAAGCATCATCAGTGAATGCTGAAAGTAGCAGGCAAAAGTTTGATGAGAAACACAATACTCATAGAGTTGCAAAGTATTCCCCCATGAGATATGTATGAATTACAAAGGGTAAAATAGTAAATTGATAGTGGAGAAACTTGGCAGATGCCATCTTAACTGAACAATCAAAGCTGGCATCACCGGCCATGAGATGGGGAGTGTCGTGTACCTCCTGATCCAATGCATCAAGAAGGACAAGACCTCGCTTCTGTGCAGCCCCTGCCCTGAAAGCAGGACCTGAATCCAATCATGAAGGCACATCAGAAAAATTGAACTGAGGAAAATCCTACAAAATAAATGACCTATACTCTTCAAACATGTCAAGGTCATGAAAGATTTTAAAAAGCTGGATAACTGTTCTAGATTAAAGGCGACTAAAGATATATCACTAAATGAAGGTATAATCCTGGACTGAAATTTGTGGCAGTAGTGGGAAAATGGGCCAAGTCTGAAGAGTCTGTAGATTAGATAACACTACTGTTTCAATGTTAGTTTCCTGATTTTGATAATTATACAGTACTTGCTTTTAGTAAACACACACTAAAGCATTCCAGAGTAAAAGAGCTCTTCAGAAGAAAGTTCGTATAAACAGACAGATGTAGATTTAGATATATGTGAGCGTTAAGAAATGGGAGGAGCAGGGCTGGGTGCAGTGGCTCATGCCTGTAATCCCAGCACTTTGGGAGGCTGAGGAGGGTGGATCACAAGGTCAGGAGATCGAGACCATCCTGGCTAACACGCTGAAACTCTGTCACTACTAAAAATACAAAAAATTAGCCGAACGTGGTGGCATGTGCCTGTAGTCCCAGCTGCTGGGGAGGCTGAGGCAGGAGAATGGCGTGAACCTGGGAGGTGGAGCTTGCAGAGAGCCGAGATCGCACTACTGCATTCCAGCCTGGGTGACAGAGCAAGACTCTGAATCAAAAAAAAAAAAAAAAAAAAAAAAAGAAAGAAAGAAATGGGAGGAGCAGCAAGTGTGGTGAAATTTTACCATATGAGGAATATGGTGAGGGGTAGATGGGATTTTTTTAGTACTTTTTTTTTTTGGCAATTTTTCTGTATGTCTGAAATTATTTCAAAACAAAAAGTTTTAAAAAATCACCACAGATGTAATAACAGCTATCACTTAATACGTGACTGAGATGGTTGAGGTGTTTTTATATGTTGTCTAATTGACCAGTGAATTATAATCACATGAGGCAAATATTATGATTCCCACTGGCACTCTAGGCCTCACCCAGGACCAAGAAGAGGTCCATCTTGGTTGGAAAGGGATGAGGGAACTGAAAGGCTCTCGCCCACAAGGCTCAGCACACACACAGAGCCTGCTGAAGTCCAATGGCAGGGCAGGAAAATAGACACACCTTCCAGGCATTCATATCCTAAGCCACTACAAGTGGGAAGGTTATAATCCTACCTTCAATTAATTTGATATTTGTGAGGTCTTGAATCTAACTTAAGCAGCAATACAGCCCAGGCCCGGTTCAACTATAAATACTAAATTAACTCACACACACACACACACACACACACACACACACGAATGGGTTTGAACAGAAAAGGCATGCTGTTTTCTGGACTGATGTAAATATTATTTACTTCAGCTTCTAGTGTTATTTCTGTCTCTGTCATTCTTTTACACACCAGGTTTTACTTTACTTAAAAATTAAAAGACCCTCGAAGAAGTGATGTGACCCACTGTAAAGAAACAAACAGTTAACAGAATGAGGGACCAAGCCTGGATGTTGGACTCATCAGATGAAGATTTAAAATAACTGTGATAAATATCTGTGAAAAGACAGGAAATTTCAGCAGAGAAATGGAAGCTATACATTTTTAAAAGCCAAATGGAAGTGGAAATGAAAAACAGGATATCAAAGATGAATTCTTTCACTGGACTTATTGCCACACTGGGCACAAGAGAAAGGAGTCAGGTTCAAAAGAAACCATCTACACTGAAATAGGAGAGGAAAAAAGAGTCGGCGGCAGAGAGGAGAAAAACAGAGCATCCGAGGCCTGTGAACATATCAAATGTTCACTATGGGTACAACTAGAGTCTCAAAAAAAGAAGAGAAAAATGAAGCAAGGATATTTTTGAAAAGACAATGGCCAACAATTTTTCCAAGCTGATGACACCAAACCATAGATAAAAAATGCTCAGTGAATCCCAAGTAAGATACATACAAAGACAACCAAACTTGGTGCATCACAAACACACTGTTGAAAAACAGAAATAAAGAGAAAATCTTGAAAGTAACCATAGGTAAACAGAAACATTACATACAGAGAAAAATGACAAGAATTATGGCTGACTTCTCGCTGTACACAATGGAAGCCAGAAAAAAATGGAATGCCGTGTTTAACACATTGAAAGAAAAAATTTTTAACTAGGAATTCAATATATAGTGAAAACATCTTTCAAAAGTAAAAGCAAAACAAAGACATTTTCAGAAAGACAAAACCTGGAAGAATTCATCTCCAGCAGACATTTACTATCACAAATATTTTCAGAAAGAGAATAAAACAGACAGAAACCCAGTGGGAAGAAATAAAGGACACCAGACAGAATGAACATTAGATGTGCATAATGAATCTTTAAAAGATATTTCATATCTATCTTTCTTTAAACATCTTTAAAAGGCTACTATTAAAAACAATAACAATGTAAGTGGAAGTTGTAGCCAGTGGTGTGTTGGAGCTGACTTACACTGGCATGTAGAGCTGACTGTTCACATGTCTTCACAAGTCTATGTTTAGTGATGTCATGTTGTTAGTTTAAAATTGGCTGTAGCTGGGTGTGGTGGTTCACGCCTGTAATCCCAGCACTATGGGAGGCTGAGGTAGGAGGATTGCTTGAGCTCAAGAGTTTGAGACCAGCCTGGGCAATGTGGTGAGACCTGGTCTCTACAAAAAAAATTTAAAAATTTGCTGAGCGTGGTGGTGTACACCTCTAGTCCTAGCTACTTGCGAGGCAGAGGTGGGAGGACTGCTTGAGCCCAGGAGGCTGAGGCTGCAGTAAGCCAGGATTATGCTACTGCAATCCAGCCTGGGTGGCAGAGTGAGACCCTGTCTCAAAAAAAAGCAGGTGCGGTGGGGGGCTGTGGTAGGAGTATTCACACCATAAAATTAGCAAATGCTACAAATCGGGCTTTTAAAATTTTTTCTTGGAGGGCCAGGAGATAAGTAATCACCAGCACATTATTTTTTATAGTATTGGTAGAAGTAAAGTATATGACAAAACACAAAGTGGGTAGAGTGGTAATTAGAAGTATACTGTTGTAAGTTTCTTAAGTTGTTTATGAAGTAGTAGACTAGTTTCTGAAGGCAGACTAAGTTAAAATGAGGGTTGGCAAAGCTTTTCTATAAAGGGCGAGATAATAAGTTCAGTCCATCATTACTATTTATTTATTCCATTTTTGTAAACGTGCCTACTTGCTAAAATTTATTTGTAACCCCAAAATCAAACACACGTAGCACCTTCGTGGTCATTCACAGACACAGGCAGAGCAGCGAAGGCTTTTTGTAGTATTTTTTGTGACAATCAACCTGCATTTTCCCAGCTGAGGCTGAAGGTGGTGCTCTGCCTTCTTCCCGTTTTCATACTGTACACAATGTGCTTCTCATGGCTTCCACGGTAAAGACACTCTTTTCATTTTGTTTTGTAATTAATAGATATATTGGGGAAGATACTTTGAGACTACGCAAATATCCTGTTGACTACGTAAATATCGTGTTTTTCCTCAAACTTTTACCCATTAATTCTGACATCCATCAGTGGATCTTGTCTATAACAATTACTGTGCTGTTTGCCTCCTGGTGATATTCTAGTTACCTCCTTTCTTATACATTAAGTAACTGGAGTTCTTCTACAAAAAAGAGCTATCCGTTCTCCTGGCTTGTTAATTCAATTATTTATGTCAGTATGGACTCATGGATATTTATTTTACCGTATGGGTTAAAATCTAACACTATCGGCCGGGTGCGGTGGCTCATGCCTGTAATCCCAGCACTTTGGCAGGCTAAGACGGGCCAATCACAAGGTCAGGAGTTCAAGACCAGCCTAGCCAACATGGTGAAACCCCGTCTCTACTAAAAAAATTAGCCAGACGTGGTGGCAGGTGCCTGTAATCCCAGCTACTCGGGAGGCTGAGGCAGGAGAATCACTTGAAACCGGAAGACAGAGGTTGCAGTGAGCTGAGATCATACCACTGCACTCCAGCATGGGCAACAAGAGTGAAACTCCATCTCAAAAACAAAAACAAAAAAATCTAATACTATCACTTTGTTGCAAATTATTCCAGCTAAGGCCATAAGGAGATTCTTCAGGTGGGCTTCTATAACATTCTGCCCTGCCCCAAACCTTTCTGGAGAACTTCCTTATGTTCTGGCACTACAGTATATTCCAGGCTCATCTAGTATTTTTCCTGTCCTGGCCTGGAATCAACTACTTCTCCAAGGAACCGTGGTTCCTCTGACTGGGGAATGGTGTTTAGACACCACAGTCTGGGCCCTAGGGATGCTTATGGCTGCATGGGCGTCAGTTCTTTAGGCCCTCTCAGTGAACAAAGCTAGGAAATACAGGTATGACACTAACCCTCTCATCCATATTCATTTCTGTATATCTGTATAGGTATGTTTGTATCTACCATCCATCCATCCATCCATCCATCCATCTATCCATTCAGAACCATATGTTCATACAGATACTTCTAGTTCCCATCCAACAGCACCAAGTTCATTTCAGTCTTCTCCCTTTCCTATTTGTAACCTCTTTCTCTGACAGTGAGGAACTCGGCTCTTTGTTTGTTGAATCCTAGTATTCACATAAGGCAATTTCAGAATTGCTAAACCATGCCCCTTAAGAAGCCTGTTTACTAACTGAAGTACACCATTTATGCATAGTTTTTTATTGTCTTTAGCCTTATAGTATCCACTTAAAAATGTTGTTTTCCAAAGTTAATTAGGTAACTCCCTACTCCCTTAAATATGGTTATATCAAGCAATTGCATTTCCCACTCCCTTCAATCCGTCAGTGCTTGTACGCCATTCTGGGTCCCTCCCACCTCTTGGTTGATGTGAATTGTTGGCTTACTTGTCAGGTGTGTGAAACAGTGCCATGGTTCTAGGTCAGAACCATGCAAAAAGTCAAGCTCAGGGAAGAATTGTTCCTTATTCCCCATTTCTGTTTCTTCCTTCTTTCCACCCCTTTTCCATCCACCACTTGTCAGTGACCAAACCCGTTCTTTTCTGGTTTACCCCTCCTGTTATCCATTCCTTTTTAATATCTTGTACCAAGCCCAGATCATGGCAGAATGTCAGCAAATGTTTGACATTAAACTGTTTTCTCTAGTGAACCCTGACTCCTAAAGTCCATTCTATGTCTGCAGTCTCTCCTTTACATAATGAAACTGGCTACTTTATCTTATGACACTCGACAAAAGGCTTGGAAACCACCAGTTTCCTTAATTGGGTCGGCTCGAGATGGAATCAAGCAGCCACGCAGGAAAGTATTAGCTAATAATAATGAAGACTATTACTCTTCCTGGACATGAAGAACCACCAGTAACTAGAACTCAGGTTGACGGAAATTCTTTGGCAGCATTTTCACATTTTGGCTATATTTTTTTTAACACAGCATCTCAAAACAACTTGGTAGCATAAGAAATTACGTTTAAGTCTGTGGAAAGCTACAAGATTAAAGGGAATAAGAGTTGCATAAACAATTGCAAGAAAAATAACTAGTAAAAGTTGCAGGGCTTTTTTTTTCCTGTCAACACAGTAACATCTTTAATCTTCCACTTGTCCCTTTTCTCTGTAATCAGTACTTGATTTTCCAATTAATGGGGAAGGAAGCCACCAGAGATGAGTCAGTAAATTTAAAACTAGTCTTGAATGTCTGGCAAGGAAAAGAAAGTTTTGCAAATGTACATCTATAGCTAAGAAGGAAACTGGCATTTGGTGTTAGGTACTCATTTTCATATCTGAACAACACTGGGATCAAAATTAAAGAATATAAAACTTTAGGATCAGGGTAATGTGGATAGGAAAGTCACATGCTATAAGACATTTCCAAGAGGATAATTAAGTGTTTTATACATTCTGCAAGTAAGTAGGCTTTTCCATACCTGAAGTAAAACCAGCCTAGTCCCCTGAAACCTTATTGTAAAGTGATAATTAGACCACCTACTGACGGTGAGGCTGCAAAAGGGTAGGATTATGGGTTTGAGGAGCGCAGACAAGGTTATGGGCAACCCCAGAATCAGTAAGTTTCATTTACAGAGAGATCAGGATTGCAATCTATGTGGATCCAGGGACTTACGTGACATATCAGGGGCAAGGGCTTCCAAACCAAGACAGACTCAAGGCTGAATCCTGGCCAGGCCAATGACCGACTACATATCATTGGGTTGGAAACCTCCCTAAGCTTTGCTTTCTTCGTCTCTATAATGGACACAGTAATACCAACTTATAGGTGCGGTGAGCACTAAATTCAACGTGAAGCACTTAGCAGGTGCCCAGCACAAAACAAGAGCCCAATGGCTAAGCAAAGCCTCGTGGAGCAGCGTAAGGAATCCAGAAGCTGCCACCAGCACTGGAATGCTGGCACTGCCACTTACCCACCGTGTGCCCTCGGAAAAGTCACTTCACTCTCAGAGCTCTTGAAGAGGGAGTAGTAATTCAGAATGGGAGTAATAGCCAATAATAAACAGCTCTGAGATAGGGATGATAACAAACTGAGCAGTAGCACAGATCAAATGAATTAATATGAACAGAGCAGTTAGAACAGAGCCGAGCTCATTGCACTCTGTAAGAATGAGTGATGATGATGATTGATTATGATTATTCAATCAGTCCACCAGAGAAATGGGGAGTGGGAGTGCATGGTGGTAAAAGTAAACTATTACACAGAGTACCAGGCCTCGTGGAGTGTGTTAGAAAAAGCTGTTTTGGCAACTTACATCAATAGCTAAAGAGTGTACACAGGCTTACCCCGTTCTGTAAATGCTGTGTCGAGTTGTTTAACCCACAGCAGTAAACAGCCAAGCCAAAGTCAAGAGGACAAGTGCTAACACACTCATCAGGAATGTATCCTAGCAATTTGGCTGCAGGGAACAACAACAACAAAAGCCTTGCTCATGTGCTTTGCAAACCATACCCTGCAGTCGGCCTGCTTCAAAATATCTGGTTCTCTAGAGATAGAGAACAAATCTTTAAGGTAAATAAGATGCTACAATCTACAGCGCTGGGGTGCTCGATCTTTCCTCTTCAACTGTTCATCCTCTGGCATATTTATTTAAATTGATCATCTTCTAGAAAAGCTGCATGTCAACTCATGAAAAAAATCAACAGAAAGAAAACTAGTGGGCTGTTCTGTCCTTATTTCTAAACTTGCTAATAAATTACTATCTCTCATTGTATTGACACTGTGTTAGGTAGGGAACTAGCTATCTGTACCTTATTCCACTTAAACTCACCAAGAAAAGCAGTGTTTCATTAACTTTCCAGGAACTTTTTTTCCAGGCAAGGCGATATCTCTTGCCCTCTTTCTTCCTTGGGGAAACAGATGGTTATGAAGAAGGGCAATGACACCCCAGGTTTCCTAGAGGGAAATTACTACAGGCTTACACACTCTTAGCCTCGATTCCCAACTCAAGAATGCTCAGAAAATGGAAGGCTTCCTCATAACTTGTACGGAGGCAAAACTTAACCTGAAGTGACACTAGTCCCTAAATTTAAAAAAATTATCTAATTCGGTTTGAACATCACATATAGATTACAATATACTGCCTGAGACCCCACTGGGGGTACTATGTGGTATATGCAAGGTTTTATTCTCCTAGGGGGTACTATGTGGTATATGCAAGGTTTTATTCTCCTAAAAGCAGTAATATCCTCCTAGACTCCCAAATTTCTCCATTCTAAAATACGTCGGGCCGCAAGTCCTACAGATATACAATTGTGAACTTACAGGAGAGTTGCTGATGCTGTTACGTTCCAAACATAGCTTTGTGAATACAGTAAGTGAGAAAAATAATTCTAGCGTTTTTTTTTTGTTTTTTTTTTTTTGAGACAAGAGTTTTGTTCTGTTGCCCAGGCTGGAGTGCAGTGGCATGATCTTGGCTCAATGCAACCTCCGCCTCCTGAGTTCAGGGGGTTCTCCTGCCTCAGCCTCCTGAGTAGCTGGGATTACAGGCACATGCCACCACACCTGACTGATTTTTGTGTTTTTAGTAGAGACGGGGTTTCCCCATGTTGGCCAGGCTGGTCTCGCACCCCTGACCTCAAGTGATCCACCCACCTCGGCCTCCCAAAGTGCTGGGATTACTGGCGTGAGACACCGTGCCCGGACAATTCTAGCATTTTCTTTAAACTGCCTTCTTTTAAACCAGAACTGGGACTGAATCTTTACACTGCTAATCTCATGATTTAAAATGGACAATAATCACTAATAATCACTCAGAAATGTCACCCAAAATGCTGTTCTTCCCTCACGTGGCCGCTCCGTAACTCATACTGTATCAGGTTTTATAGACAATACTCAATGGGGAAGGCCACTTAGAAGCAGACAGGCAGGGTTACCAAGAACATGCACCACTTCCTCATGTGGGTGCCTACTCTTGGCAACTATCCATTTGGAAGCCTAGCCCGCTGAGCACTCCATGAGAACTGGGTTGAACTTCCTGCTACGTTACCTAGCACGGTGCATGATATGGGCAAGCTGATATCCTCTTTGGGGTTCTGTTTCCTTGTACATAAACTGGGGAGAATACCACCTACTATTCAGGACTGCTGGAATGAAATGAAATAAAAGCATGGGCCTAATCCACAGGAATCAAGGTTAGCTTCTTTCCACAGCCTCTTTCCCCTTCCACACCCTCTCCTCTTCTGACTGAGACATCATCTGGAGACAGGCTGTATAAGTAGAGAGCTTAGTGCTTTCTTCTACGTGGACGAGCTCCCGCAGAGGTGTGTTAGTGGTGCCTGTTTGCGTATTGCAAAGTCGAGAGAAATGGATTCCTTTCAAGGTCCCTGAACCCAACTGGAAATCTGAACCTTTAAGGAAAATAGGTGTTGAGCAGGGGAGGAGGGGTCTGCAAGGAGACCCCTGTGCAGGCCCCAGGAGGGTTGGCAGCAGAGGTATCATATAAGGACACCCAGTCACTCATAAGGGCATGGCCTTGTAATTCTAGATCTGGCTGATGATCCGAGGGAGGAAATGCTTCAACCATTCTGAAATCAGAAGTTCTTGCCCCAGCTACACAGACAGCCAGGTCCACCCCTGAGGTTCAACTAGTGCGGCAATTCTCAAGGGTCTCCATGTGATTTCAGTATGGAAGCCTAAGTTGCAAACTACTGCCCAGAAATTGTTAGTATTTGTTTCTCTGGAATGACAACAGAAACCTGGAGTACAAAAGACTCACAGGTGCAAGAATTTGCCTACTTCGTCCACTCTGGTGGTCCAGCCTTGGGAAGAGGGTGGCTGGCAGCTGTGTCCACCATCAGAAAACCAATGAGCCACAGGAAGCTGCTCCTGCTTGGCTTGGCTTGCCCTGGCTTCCAGGAAGGGAGGCACACTGGCTAAACCCAGGCACCTGGGCAGGTGGAGGTAGGTCTCTAACTGTGCAGACAGACGGGGCACCAGCCCCTGGGTGTGGGGTGGGGAACAGGGTGGGCGCGTGGCAACTGCTCAGGAAAGAGGACCTCTAGGGGCTCTATTTTCTCCCCTGACTGAAAACAAAGCCCCCTCCTCCCTGATTAGGAAGGGAAAAATACACAGAACAGGGCCCCACATAGCCCAGGAGTTATCAGAATCATAGAACAGAGAACAAATGTTAATGCTTAACCGAATAGGGTTTTTGGAAAACATGCTCAAGAGTCGCTAGCATCATCCCACCTGGGGCTTTCCCATTCCTGGTCATCCTTGTCTTTCTCTTCTTTGGTGTCTCCTGTATGTGGGTGTTTCTGCACAATTCGCATTCCACCAGCTTTCACTGAAATGAAAACAGAGAGTGTGGGATTAATGTGGAAATGGGGCTGCCTGTGGATCAGGGGGACCAGCTGGAAAGGTTCTGGTTGCTCAGTGGCCACAAGTCAGTCTGGAGAATCTGGCAATGAAAATGATTAACTAGGGAAGGTCAGGGTTGTCGGGGTAAATTCAAAATGATACAGCACTCAACATAATCTCTTACTACAGATCCACTCAGAAACTTTCCAAGGCTCTTGTTTTTCTATCTGGTCACCTTTCAAGTATTTTGTCAGAGCAGCAGTGTAACGAGGGCACAAACTACACAAAGAGAGTGGCTGCTGCTTTCAGTTCTCCACAGTCTCAACACAAGAGCTCACCTCAACCCTCCCCTGTGAAATTTACTTTCTCAAATATCGAAGATGTTTTTGATGGGGTGATATGGTGATGGGTGACATGGGACAGCTACTGTGCCTTCACAGAGCCCAGGCAAGTGGCAACAAAACTTCTACTGCAGCTTTGCCCAAACTGTGCTGTGAAACCCTACCGCTGGCAGATGTTAACTTAGTTTTAAAAAACAGCTTTATAGATATGTAATTCATGTAGAATACAATTCATTCATTTAAACTGTATAATTCGATGGTTTTGAGTGCATTCAGAATTGTACAACCATTGCCATAATCAATTTTAGGAGATTTTCATCACCCCAAACAGAAACCCCACAGCCATGAACAGTTACCCTCCATTCCACCCCTCCCAGCTCCTGGAAGCCAGTCACCTGGACTTGCTTATTTCGGACATGTGATATAAGTGGAATTATAAACTATGTGGCCTTTGGTGACTGGCTCCTTGCACTTAGCGTGTTTTCAAGGTTCATCCATGTTACAGCACGTGTAAGTATCTCATTCCTCTTCTTGTCAAATATTCTATTGCATGGATGTATCACATTGTATCTCTCCACTCATCAATTAGACATTTGCGTTGTTTCTACTTTTTTGGCTATTATGAACAATGCAGCTGTGAAGAACTTACACGTAAGTTTTTGTATGGACATATGTTTTCATTTCCTTGAGTATATACCGAGAAATGGAACTGCCAGGCCACATGGTGCCTCTGAATTTATCCTTCTGAAAACCACCAAGCTGTCTTCCAAAGCCTCCACACTATTTCACATTCCCACCAGTGTGTGGGTTCCAATTCTCCACATGTTCCCGACACTTACTATTGTGTGTCTTTTTAATTATAGCCATCCTAGTGGGTGTGAAGTGGTCTCTTATTGTGGTTTGATGTGCAATTCCTTTATGGCTAATATGTTAATACTGTGTTGTAAGGGGTCGGGTAATCTAGCATCTATTAAGAGTGGGAAATGCCAGGTTGAACAAAATTAAATAGGTTTCCCCAAGAGAGACCTTCTTGGCCCTTAGTGTGCTACCTGCATGAGGAAGACTTACAGGAGGCATACAGCTTGCCAGCTCTCCCCAGCCTATCTGACCACACAACTTTTTTTTTTTTTTTTTTTTTGGCTATAATACCAGTTATCCTCCATCAGGGCTACAGTGTTCCATGAACAGAATTTGGAAATGCTGGCTGGCCCTAAATCCAAAAAGCCAGCCTCGCATGGTAGCCACCAGCATGTGTTTGGGGTCGGCACGTTCCTCCACGCCCTCAGCTATGTGGTCTCAGACTAGTGTCTCAGATTCTCAAAGATTCCCTGCTTCATCTGCAGAAAGGAGATAAACCTCCTCAGACTATTAAGAAGAGAGAGGCGTTCGGGAGAGTGGGGTGCTGGCTAGAAAGCAGGGTCATTTTCCTTGTAGTCATTGGCCCCCCAGGCTCTGGATGTGGGCCTTACTGAGCTTTACCCTTCAAGTCTCTGAGTCTCTGCCACAAGACGGCTAACATCACGATACAGTCAACTTGCCACACCATGTCCTCTGGCATTTTAAACTGAGTGGACCCTGCCGAGTCACGAAAACCCAGGCCAACTTTCTTTATGCTGCTGATGAACGGGAAGGAGAATGGGAGAGGCAGCCTGGGGCTTACATGCTTCAGGTGTACTGGTCTTCAATTTCCCTGGGAGACTTGGCCAGCCCGACTGGAGGGAGATGGTGACGTTTGCTCCCAGGACCAGCACTGCCCCAGCAGCTGGCTGTTAGAAAAGGGCAAAAGAGAGCAAGGAAAATGACGACTATTTCCTCTGGCTTGGGTTTAGAACTAAAATCTCCCTGCTGCCCGCACCTCTTCTCAACGGAGAGGACATTCTACTTGGGGCAGAAGGAAACAGAATCCTGTTCAGTAATCCTCTCAAAAATCTGCTCTATATCCCATCAATTGATTTTTAATCACTCTATTTTTCATTCCTACAGCTTTTGTCTCAAATTCACCAGGTATTTGATGGGGTCTTATTCTTTTCTTGTGCGTTCAATTCCTTTATATATTTAATCATTTTAGTTGTATATCCAATTATTTGATTTTCTGAAGTCCTCTGGAGTCTAATCCTGCTGTCTGTTTTTGCCTGTGGATTCTTGCTCTTGTCCTGGGAGACTTGGAGGAGGAATCTGTCTTCACTGGGCTTTACCAGTAAGGATCTCATGGGGCCTGTGATGCAGACAGCAACCCTCTGGGGAGATGCTACACGTGTTTTTGTCAGGCCAGGAGTATAGGTGTCTGAAAATCCTTTTCAAGGCAGATTTCTCAGAAGACAAATTGCCAAACAGTACAAATACGAACTGAACTCATGTAAAAGCAAGCCTTTGTTTACAAATTCTCAAGGAGACCTCTGTCCCCATGTGGAGCCCAGCCTGACACAGTCCGGCTTCCTGGCCCTCCTAGGGCCACTGGGCAGGTTTCCCTCTTCCACCTTTCCCCAGGGGTGTGGCCTCTGAGCATCCAACCTTGGCTACTCCCTGCCTCCTGTGGGCCCACCTCTCATGCTAAAGGTCTGAATTTCAGTTCCTTCTTCGTTTTGGGTTTCCAGGAATTCCTTTCACTTCAAGGTCAAATTCTTTTAAAAAAGCAAAAAGCCAAAGACAAAACAGAAAAGACCTACCATTTGCAGGCAGCTTTTTAATCTAAGATTAAAAAGATTTCCCAGCCTACGTAGTTGGCCTCCCAATCAGAAATGGAGACTGAAAATACAATTATCTACCTACACCTTAGGGTCATTTTCCACTCTCTTGAAACACAGGATCTCAGAGTTATGAATGTTTCGGGCTCAAGGAAGAGCTTAGAAGAACTGTCCCACTAAATATTTTTTAAAAATTCATTTCCCTCCCTGCTCTATCCCACCTCTTTCCCATGCTCATCAGAAATTGATGAAAGATGCTATTACGGGCTGAATAGTGTCCCCCCAAAATTCATAGGTTGAAGTCCTAACTGACATACCCTTAAATTGTAATTGTATTTGGAGAGAGGGTCTTAAAAGACAATTAAGTTAAAATGAGGAATTGAGGTAGGGCTCTAATATAATAGAAATGGTGTCTCTATAAGAGAAAGAGACACCGGGTCGTGCACACACAAAGAAATGGCCTGCAAGGAAACAGCAAGAAAGTGCCATCTGCAAGCCCAGGAGAGAGGTCTCAGGAGAAAGCAGAGCTGCCAACACCTTGATCTTGGACTTCAGCCTCCCAAGCTGGGAGAAATAAATGTCTATGGTTTAAGCCACCCAGTCTGTGGTATTTTGTTAAGGCAGGCCAAACCAACAATACAGATGCCCATTTAAAAATGATCTCTGAATCTTTCCAACTTGGCACACATAAAACTTTTAAACTGTAACTCACAGATGTGTTCATAAAGTAAAAATAAAAAGAGCTGTGCAACTAACTATAAAGAAAACTAATGATGAATGTTAAGGTGACATTTGAAATGATCAAGTCTTCTGAAGCTCCTGCAGGGCAGCCTGTCCGCTCCTCTGCTGAAATAAGCACACAGTGTCAAGGCTCAGTCACCCAGCATTAGCACTTGCATTTAATTTAGTTTCTAAAAACAATTAACTTCATTAATCCCTCTCAGTTATGTTTGGTGATTAATGTAGCAATAAAAAGTGGCAATAATAACAATAATAACTCAAAGCTGAGACAGATTCATTTTAACTTACAATACTGCCAAAAAATATGACAGCACATATTTATTGTGATTGTTGTATCACTGTCTCTAGAACTCTTCATTTGTAAAACTACAAAAGAAGAATTACTTTTGCAGAAATCTTTGCAGAATTATTTGCAAATCAGTATTTTTAGGAGAAACAGAAAAACCTTAGATTTTTGTCGTGGTGGTTGTTATTCAAATGAGAGCTTCAAATGTAAAAAATAAGCTTCCTCTTAGCAGAAGTGCTGTGCAGAGGATAAGAACACAGATGCTGGAGCCAGAACCTTGGGATCAAATCCCAGTTCTGCCTGTGTGTGTGTGTGTGTGCATGTGCCTGTGCATAAGTGTGTGCACATGTGTGCATACGTATGTGCTTGTGTGTGTGGCTGTGTGTGGGCAAGTTGCTGAAGCTCTCTGTGCCTCAGGGTCTGCCACCTATGAAGAAAGAGTGAAAATGTTCCCCTCTCCCAGGGCCAGCTGAGGATTACATGAGTTAGGACACATGAAATGCCTCCAACAGGACCTGGCACACAGGATGTGCTCAACTGTTAGCTAGTCTTATTAAATGGGTTTTTAAGTTAGCATTTAGTACTCAAGAGAGGCCTCTGGAGTCCTCAAATCGTTGGTGCTTTTCCAGCTCTTCACCCTCTCTTCACAGCAGTTCCTTAAAGAGCGCTGCCCTACGGGTTGCTGGGGAATGAAGGCCATGCCCTGTAAAGCACCTGCCCATCGTGGTGCTGACCACCACCAGGACCTCCGTCATTACATCACCACCTGAGGAAGCTTTGGGAGAATCACAGATCCAACTTCTGCTCCTCATCACCACTCTGTGGCAGGCACCGCTCTAACCACTTGGAGTCCACGCATCTTTCACTGCACAGCAGCCCCACGGAGTAGATCCTGAGGCAGGGAGAAGGGGAAGCCAGCGGCCCCAAATCGCACAGCTGGCAAGCGGCAAACTGGGTTCCACCCTTAATCGTAGGTAAGCCTTTCCTTGATCAGATTCCTTCCAGGAAGCAGAGCACCATGGCTTCTGAGAGTAACTCAAAGGAACGGCCTACAGACAGGGCCAGGTTATTACACTACCTAGATAAGGGAAGGTGAGTTTGAAATGAAAAGCTCTCCACAGAGCAGCTGCCTGCCCAAGTGGGAAGGGGAGTGGAGGAAGCTTTACCTACGGTCACATCTGGGAGGTAAGCAAACACCAAGGAGGCAAATGACTATGTGGGACCCTGGGCCAAGCATCCGTCCTCAGGTGTCAGGATGCCTGGCTGTAAGATGCAGTCACTGGTGGCTTGCTATCTGCTAGTGCCAAATAGCAAACTAGAAAATGCTACTGCGGGAAGAAGAAAGGGGAAATACTGGAAGAGTTCCATGAACCAGGGAGCAATTTCCAGCAGGGAGCTAGGAAGGGCTGTTAACTCACACAAATGTCCCAAAAGCATCCACTGCAGGTACTGGAGTATGACTCACAAGTATATGCTACCTTTGTTCTTGCCTGAGAAGAGCTATGGAAATGTTATTCAAAGGGAAGCTCTTCTACCTAAAAGAAGTGACGAAAGGTTCTGAGGACTGTTCCAGTGGAAGGAACAAAACAAAACAGAAAACAACCAGTGCTGCAGGTTATGATTAAACCAAAGGATCTCAGGTAGAGCAATGTAGTGGCAGGTAAGCAAAGGGGCTGGTGAGATTAGGTGGGTAGAACTTCCCAATGCGAACAGGGCAAGGGACTATGGCCTATCTTAGTTAAGAAAAATGACTCCACCAGGAGAGAGGAGAATCACTGGCAAGTGGAGACTCACATCTATGGAAGCCCATGCACCTGAAGGTGGGAACCCTAAAAAGTGGAGAGGATAAAGGGGTGAGAGGCGGTAAGAACGTATGCAGAGAGTGGGTACTGACAGTCTGGCCCAATAACAGACATAAGTTATAGAAGACCCCAATGAGAACCTTGCCCCCAGACCAAGTGGAGCCCTTACAGGAGCTTTCAGGTGTGCATAGATAAGGTAGAAGTAATGGTTTGTGCTAAAAAATGAGCTGGAGCCCCAGATACTTTCCTGAATTTGCACTCTCGTTGGCTTCATACTGCTATTCTGTGCTCAGAATCATAGACTGTGAAGGTGAGAAGGCTCTTAAATTACACGGAGCAACCCTGTTAAAGAATGAAGTTCAGAGACATAGTGGGACCCCCCTGGGCCAAACACTCCATCTTCCACAGCAGTGTGTGTTCCATCCTTGACATAGTTTCTGACCCAAAGGACAAAATGAGTACTGACTGGGCCAGGATGGGCACCTTGCCGGACATCTGACTGGGCCCCTTTCAAGCTGGGAGGTACATGGAGCAGCTACATGTATATCCTTGAGTGCAGGGAGGCTGATTCAAAAAGTTTAGGGGAAAGTAGGATCGGCTGCCTGGAAGTGCTTTGGAAAAGCTGTCATTGGGAATTGGTTGAGGCTAGGACTAGTCAGGTGTTTGCCAGTCTCACTCCCAGCTTCCCCGTAGTTGGATTGGGGGCATCAAACTGGGTCCTGCCCAATAGTATGGGGAAAAGTGACTTTGGTGGGCAGCATCATGTCATCACGTCCCCCCACTCTGGAACCTGTGAGTGTGCTGGGCTACACGGCCAGGGGAAATGAGGGTTGTAGATGGAATTAAGGTTGCTCATCAGCTGACTGTAAGCTGAGGAAGAAGAAGGGAAACTGCTATTCTGTGCTTAGAATCATAGACTGAAGGTGAGGAGATTATTCTGGATTACCCAGGTGGGCCCATGTAATCTCAAGGGTCTCTGAATGTGAAAGAGGGAGGCGGAAGAGTCAGGGCTCTGAGTGTGTGATGTGAGGATGTGACTGGTCATTGCTGCCTTTGAAGAAGCTTTCCTTGGCTTGTGGAGGAAGGCGCCACGAGCCAAGGAAAGTGGGCAGCCTCTAGAAGCTGGAAAAGGCAAGAAAATGGGATTCTCCCCGATCCTCCAGAAGGAACCAGTTGCCCTGTGGATACTTTGATTTTAGCCCAGTGAGACCCATCTTGGACTTCTCACCTCTAGAACTGTAACATAATAAAACTGTGTTGTTTAGAACCACTAAGTTTATTGTGATTTGGTACAGCAGCCATAGGAAACTGATGTGATGATGCATACCACTTGTGGGCCACACCATACGGACCCCAGCACGGCGACCTACACTTGTCCCCTCAGCAGCAGCCACACAATGAAAAGCTAGTGTTATACAGCAAGGGGTGTCTGGGCCTCTGAATTGCTCTTTGTTAAGAAGACCCCACCCAGGAGAGAAATAAACCTGGATTAGTTTGGCCACTGAGAATTTAGGTTGTTTGTTACAACAGGAAGTACCATTCTCTATACCTAATATAGTACTTTATACAAAAGTGAACATTCTCTATAGAAACAAAAAAAACTTCTGAAGCTGGGAAGGGAAAAGCAGTCACAAAACCAAGTAAGAATGCACAGGGCACTGGCCGAAATGAAAAGGACACTCACAAAGACGTTAGAAGTCACAGATAACCAAAAATGGCTAGGGAAGGCTGGGTGCGGTGGCTCATGCCTGGAGTCCCAACACTTTGGGAGGCCAAGGTGGGCAGGTCGCTTGAGCCCAGGAGTTTGAGACCTGACTGGACAACATAGTAAAACCTTGTGTCTACACAAAATACACAAATTAGCTGGTTGTGGTGGTGCACACCTGTAGTCCCAGCTACTCAGCACACTGAGGCGAGAAGATCTCTTGAGCCCAGGAGGCCAAGGTTGCAGTGAGCCAAGATCACGCCACTGCACTCAAGCCTGAGAGAGACCCTGTCTAGACAAGAACAACAAAAAAAGGCTAGGGAAGAGGTGAAATGCCATGGGCCACCTTGACAGAAGGCTTCTGAAAAAAGATAGTAACTAAAGGGTCTTGTTTTCCTTGGCATGTTGGGAACAAGGGCAGACCTCTTACCTGGACCATTCAATTTCTGGTCCTGACTGGTTGACACTGGGACTATGCTTAGCAAATCTGTGACCACAGGGTTAATAGAAGACAAATTAGTCTTCTGTTTCTAGCAATGGATAATCTGAAAGTCTTTCTGCAGGGAGATAATTCAGGGAGAATTACACTAGACTTTTGAAAGGCATCCTTAACTCATGTCTGACGTATCAATTAGTGTAAGAGAGAACTAAGTTACTCTGAAGTTACTAAAAAAAGTAACATGGCTTGAAATAAATATAATCGTGCTTATATTTCCATTTAATTCACTTTGAGAGGGGATGTAGAGTCTGCTTTTCAAAGAAAACCACATGTAAGATTAGTAACATTCAAAGCTATCATGTAGCAGATTTATGAGAACTCTACTGACACATGGTTTTGGCTCCACTGGGAAATGGAGGGGAACAGGGCCAGCAAAATGTATTTAACAAAGAGATTTTACACATCTCACTGCCACAGACTCACAAAGACTGGCAGAAATGAGTAATAGCGAGGCTTATAATTAGGTCCTCTTTTCTGCTGTGGAATGCTATGACTGCTGTTAGATGAAACAGAAAGAATCTCGCTAATTCTAACTCTGCTAATCTGCATTTGCAATAACTCATCAAACAAGCACTCACCCCATTTCTCTGCAAATATTTTGTAGTCAAGAGCAGTGGTAAGGTCTCAAATCATTAAGGCTGGATTACTTCTACAGAGGACTGCAGACGACAGCACATTTGCCAGGACATGATGCAGTGCCATCCATCACTTGTAAATAACAATACCTGTATTTGCACAGCACCTTTCTCTAACACTCTTCAGAAGCCTTTACAAACTGCCTCATTCGTCTCCCACCTTGGGAGGAGGCACCTGGCCAGTGATGGAGTCGTCTGTCGGGCTGCTGAAGTTCCAAAAGGCAACAGCCTTTCCGGCCGCTCCCACTAGGTCACTAGCTCAGGGGAGTTGGCAACAGACACTCCAAACAATTGGGTCAGGTTTTTTTTTTTTAGACGAAATATTCGCTCTTCTTGCCCAGGCTGGAGTCCAGTGGTGTGATCCTGGCTCACCACAACCTCTGCCTCCCAGGTTCAAGCGATTTTCCTGCCTCAGCCTACAGAGTAGCTGAGATTACAGGCACCCACCAGCACACCCGACTAATTTTGTATTTTTGGTAGAGACGGGGTTTCACCATGTTGGCCAGGCTAGTCTTGAACTCCTGAGCTCAGGTGCTCTCCCCACCTGGGTCTCCCAAAGTGCTGGGATTATAGGCGTGAGCCACGACACCCGGCTCTGGGTCAGGTTTTTAAACGGCACTGTCCTCGGTATCTCAATGTTAAGATGACTGGTGATTTCATGAGTTAAACGTGCCAAGCGCTTAGAAGTGTGTCAGCACATTGTGACACTCAACAAACTTCATTAGTGTTTCCACCAGTCTGCTGCCTGAACCGGCCAAGAGGACCACCTGCATCCCTGCGCACAGTACAGAGAGCTCAGAGTTGAGGAAGGTGTGGGCCCGGTTTGCTATGGGGGCAGTGAGGGGTGAGAAGAGGCCCTGGGGAAACTCTGGAGTGCTTATTGAGTATTTTGTGCCACCCCGGGAATAAAGAGATCAAGAAGACCCAGCCCTGGAAGCAAGAAGACAGGCAGAGAGGCGAAGGTTAGTGCACGAAGGAAAACAAGGGGATTGCGGGGAATGTACAGGAGATATGGGCCAGACAGCAACAAAGAGAAGACACAAAAGAACATTAAGATAGTCACTGTAAGAGAATTTTATTATTTCTGATTGAGCATTGAGGCACAAGTCTGTTATCCAATTTAAGCACTTAATGAAAGCATTCTCAACATTTTTAAGGCAGTGATTTTGATTTATGAACTGTGCTCTTGGCTATCCTTGATGATTATCCTTTAGTGTAGTGGGCCGCCTTTTTTTTTTTTTTTTAAAAACTATCTACCCTTCAGAGCTGCCTACTCTCTGGCAATGCCAGACTAAACAAGAACACCAGAGCTTCCTGCCAGAAAAGGTTCACACATGGTCCTCTGTAACATCTAGGAAAGCGCATTTGAGGGGTGCTGTTGGCATCTGAGGGGTGCTGTTGGCATTTGAGGGGTGCTGTTGGCATTTGAGGGGTGCTGTTGGCATTTGAGGGATGCTGCTGGCATTTGAGGGGTGCTGCTATTGGGCCCCTCCTCTAACTATGGTCTTGGAGACAGATGACAGATGGTGACAGCCACCCGCAAGAGCTCACCCCGTAAGTCTAAAGGGGTTGCCCTGAAGTTACTAGAGGAGTTTACCTGGGGGATGAACAGTGCTGGTACCCTGATGCTGAAGCGGGACGTGAGACTCACTGCAGCAAACACAGCCCCACCCTGTGACTTGCCCCGAGGCCCAAACCTCGAATTTCATAAAGGAGAAAAACTGAGCCCCAGTGAAGCGTGAAGTGATGTCTTCAAACTTAGAACCCAAGCTCACTGCTACACTAGCACAAATAAGCTGCCTCTTCCCTCCTCAGGGGTAAATAAACTACTTACTCTGTAATTCACAAAGCCTAGCTGTTTACTCTGCAATTCAAAGAAAACCAGAGTCCAGCAAGGAATTTCTCCCAGGGAGTGAGTATGTACAGTTTATACCTCTGACCTTAAAAATCTCCATATGGGCACTTTGGAAGGCTGAGGTGGGTGGATCACCTGAAGTCAGGAGTTCAAGACCAGCCTGGCCAACATGGCAAAATCCGGTCTCTACTAAAAATACAAAAATCAGCCAGGTGTGGTGGCAGGCACCTGTAAACCCAGCTACTCGGGAGGCTGAGGCAGGAGAATCTCTTGAACCTAGAAGGCGGAGGTTGCAGTGAGCCAAGATCGTGCCACTGCACTCCCAGGTGACAGAGTGAGACTCTGTTTCAAAAAACAAAACAAAAAACTTCTTTATGGGTGTGTCTCTGTATGCAATTTAATTACTGTACTTTGGTTCTGTATCATTCCAACAGATACGCTTTAATGTAACCCATGTCCTGGGGAGTGGAGGGCCAGAGCAGGTGGCTGCTGCAGTTCCTGGAGGCAGCCCTGCCCGGGGTGGAAATCAAGGCGCTCCTCCCCACAGTGGACAGGGACCCGCTGTGGTGGAATGGAAGTCAGTTATCCTTAAAAGAAATCCCATCAAAAAAAAAACTCCCTTTGAAGTACTTTTTTTCTTAAAACCAATGCAACACAAATTCCCCCAAAACCATTTTCCATCACAGTGGAATGATTTTCTAAAACCCCATGCCTCTTAAGTTCTCTGGCATCAGTTAGACATTTTTCTTTCCCAGTGCCAGTTAGTTTTGTTGTAGAGAGCCTCCGTCACCACTGAAAAATATTGCCTACTCTGGACTGCAACATATTTAAAGAACGGCTCCTATTCATTGTGCTGGTGCAGAGAATTCCCGCCCTATAGCGGAGGACAGCAGAGAAGGATAATGGGAATCTTTTTTTTTTTTTTTTTTTTTTTTGAGATGGAGTCTCGCTCGCTTTGTCGCCAAGGCTGGAGTGCTTTGGCTCAATCTTGGCTCACTACAACTTCTGCCTCCCGGGTTCAAGCCATTCTCCTGCCTCGGCCTCCTGAATAGCTGGGATTACAGGCGCCCGCCACCATGCCCAGCTAATTTTTCTACTTTTAGTAGAGATGGGGTTTCACCATGTTATCCAGGCTAGTCTTGAACTCCTGACCTCAAGTGATCCACCCTCCTTGGCCTCCCAAACTGCTGGGGTTACAGGCATGAGCCACCGCGCCTGGCCAGGAATCTTTATTGTCAAGAAAATGGCGCAAATGTGCCACCAAAAGAAGCCATGTTTCTCAAAGACTTCTGTTCCTACAAGACTGAGTTTATGACACTAAGGCGTGCTATTAAGACCTAAAAGAACCTCACGCATCCATACATTGAAGTGACTTGGCTTCTGAGACCCAAGGCCTTTGATCTTCTCACCAGTGTCCCTCCATATGGGCCGACTGCCACTGGAAAGGAGAGTAGAAACGGAAACAGACCCGTCTGGACAGAATCCAAAGTGCAAACAGGAACTGTGCCCAGAGAGAGGAGGAGGTGGCAGAAGCATGAAGGCTGCTTAGATCCCTATGTTCTAAGAAAGACCGCTCTTTCCTGGCTTTAACTTCCTTGGCTCAGAAGTTTAGGATTTGCTCAAAATCAGAAAAAGCAACTTTGGGGGAAAAAAAAAATCTGGATGTGGAAGAAACTGGCGGTGAAAGTCATATTGAGTGATTAATGATAAAAATTATTTCCGCTCCTTGGTTCTTGAGTCGGTATGAAACGCTGGCAGCCTCTAATTAATCATCACCATGATATTAACACCACTGACTTTTCATTGCTTCTGCTACTTTCTTTCTAGACATCTGTATCCTCTAAGTAAATATTATCCGCCAAAACTTTGTTATAAGTTGTGCAACTGGGTTCGCCCAAGGCACCGGAGCCTGCGCGCAATCGCACAGGTACGCGGCCGCCCGCGGTCCTCAGGAAGAAACGCTTCGCCGCCGCCGGCAAGCGGGGCCGAAGCTCCGGCGGGCTCCTCCCGGGCCTGGGCGCCCGACCTCTCCGCGGCCCGCGCCCCTCGGGCGGGCATCAAGGCCCGGAACCCGTCTCAGCGCTCGCCGGGGCCCTCCCCGCGGAGCCCCCGCCCGGCGCCCCCGGGTTCGAGCCCGCCCCCGGCACCCGCGCGTGGAGAGAGAGGAAAAGAGTCAGTACCGGCGGGCGGGTGTCCAGCTTTAGTCTCTAGTTTCCCTTCGGGAGGCGAAGACATGACGCGGCGGGGCTTCCGCGGGGCCGAGGCGGCGGCGCGGTTCTCGGGCCGGGCGGGCGTGCGCGAGTGAGCTCAGGTGTGAGCGCCGGGGAGCGAGCGGGCGGGAGAACGACGCGCGCGCGTGGGGCGCCGGGGCCGCGCGAGCCGGGTGAGTGCCACTGCCGTTAAGGGGGCGCGGCCGCCGCGCGCCGACGTGGCGCAGCCGAGCCCACCGACGGCATGCGCACTGACGTCACCGCGGCCCGCCCGCCCTGCTGGGCCGCGAGCCAAGCATACGGTGCGTGCGCAGCCGGCCGCGCCACGTCGGATGCTGTGGCCGGGGGCGGGGGCGGGGGCGGGGGCGGGGGCGGAGGAGGGAGGGGAGAGAAGGGGTGAAGAAGTGAGAGGGAGAAGGAAGGAGAGGGAGGCGGGGTCCCCGACTGGCTGCGGGGACTGGAGTTGCGGAAAGTTAAGTAGGGCCCAGCTGAGGATGGCTCCTGCAGCGAACGCGCTCAGCCGGGCTCCTGGCTACGCGGCGACGGCTGGGTGACTGCGCCCCACAGTGCGGGCCAGGGCCGGGGCGTCCCGGCAGGGAGGCGACCGTCCCCTGAGGCCCTCAGCCCCTGCCGCGGCAGCGCCTAATGAAGCGCGGAAAGGAGAGCCCAGATGGCAGCGACGGGGGCCGAGAGAGCAGGAATTTGTTAAAAGACGATGCGAGGGGAGAGCCTGCTTTCCGAGTGAGGGCCAGCGCTGGGGAGCAGAGACGGTGGCTTCTGTCCCTGCCCTCCTCGTTATGAACCAAAAATAAAATTCTAAGCCCTGCAGCCAACGGATGGACCCTCCCCTCCGCCTGTGGCCTTCTAAGTTATCTTGAAAAACTAGTTCAGGCCTTGATGGGAAGCGGAAGTCAAACATGGCCTCACAAACATCCGCACGGAGACCCTAAGACTAATAGAGGACTCTGATAAGAAACATTTGCAGTGTATTCCCGGCTTCATCTGCATGATAACACCTTGGTCTCCACAACTCCTTCATGCAACCCGGACATTCCCTTCTACTGAGTCCAGGTCTTTAGATGATAACTCTCAACCAGTTGCCAATCAGAAAACCTTTAAATGTACCTATGACCCGGACGCCTCCACTTCACATTTTACCTCCTAAAGAGCCAACCTACATCTTACGTATTGATTGATGTCTCATGTCTCCCTCAAATGTATAAAACCAAGATGTTTCCTGGCCACCCTGGGCACATGTCATCAGAACCTCCTGAGGTTGTGTCAATGCACGTCCTTAACCTTGGCAAAATAAACTTCCTAAATTGAGACCACTCTCAGAAACTTTTGGTTTTCACCATCATCTTCCTGTTGCCGTGGCTGACCCCTGGCTCTCGTGCCTTGGATCGTGTTCTTCCCGCCTGCCCCAGTGTTTTGCAACTGCTGTTAACTTCCGCAATGCCTTGCTGGATTCGCATTCAGACAGGCCTAATCTCTTTAGCGAAGGAAACACCACCCCTCGCTTGGCTGTACTTTTCCCTTTGACAACAAAACTGTTCAGGGAGGCTGAGCTCCTCATCTCTTGTCACTCCCTCCAGTCCAGTTTGTCTGGTTTTCATCAAGTTCTGCTGCACTGCCCTCAACCATGGGAGGTCCTTTTGTGGAAGTCACTTATAACCTATGTGCTGCCAGATCCAATGGTCATTTTCTACTTTCATTCTATTTGAGCTCTTAGCAGCACTTGATGCAGCTGGCCGTCCCCCTCCTCCTTTGCTCCGGAGGTGCCACATCACTGCCTTACCCTCCAGTTCTCTGGCCACCCTGGCTGCTCACTCTGTCAGCTTGGCAGTTCGCCCTCTTCTAGATTTATAAACATTTGAGTATCGCAAGGCTCAGCATTGGCCTTCTTCTCTATCTAGACTTCCCATAGATAGTCACATGCAGCCTGTGGACGACTATCATGCAGATGCTTACAGGTGCCAAATCTGCAACCTCATTTCTCTATTTCTGCTCCTCCCCTGAACTCCAGACTCACCACCACCACCACCTGCAGACGCTTATGGGTGCCACATCTGCAACTTAATTTCTCTCTTTCTGCCCCTCCACTGAACTCCAAACTCACCACCGCCACCTTGGCTTCTCTATTTGTTGTCTAACTCAGTGCTGCGCAACTCTGTGCATCAGGGCACACATGGAGATGCACATAGCATACATTGGTCTTGCATTCCCCACTCCATACACACATTTCAACACCGGTAATAGGATAATTGTTGGCCAGGCTGCAGTCATGATATGCTTGCCATTGTCTTGCATTCACATCCAAACTTCCAAGTGGGTGCCAGCAGTTTAGAAGAGAATCCTGAAATTAATACTGGGTTACTCTTTAAAGAGATAGCACATCACTCACGTTCTTAAAGGTTTAAGGATACCTAACTGATTAATTTCATGAGTAACTTCCTTTTTATGTATGTGCAAAAGTGCTATATAGTTAAAAACTTATGTCGTATGTCTTAAGCCTAAAGAATTATTTCTTGGAAGTATAAAATGAAAATTTTAAGTTGAAAGAGCACATTGTGGTATCATTTAATTGGTAGTGTTTTTACCCTTAGTGGTACCTAAAACAAAGTTGCATGTTACGAGCCACAGCATCTTAGACTCAATAACAAATGCTATTGGTAAGGAACCCTGGGGGGTGGGGGAGAAAGCCTTCACAGGAAGGAGCAGAGCTCCAGAGGGGCCCTGGTGGCCCCTGGACTGCCCTGAGGTCTGACAGGTTGTGTCTCTTTGCCTGTGACCTGTTCTCCAGGTTTGTACTGATTGGGAAACTCTGGTTGTCTTACAGTAGGTAGCTAGTCGGCCTGAGCAGGGCAGGAGAGGACTCTTCCCCCACAACCCACACCACCAGAAATGTTGTGTGACCATCAGGTGATGGTCAGGAAGTTGTTACACTGTTTCTCTAAAATAATAATTGGTTGCAGTCAGTGCCAGGGAAAGGCAGTCTCCCAGTAGATAGAAAAAACCTGAAAGTGGTGGTCAGCAGCTTCCTGGTAAGATCTCTTTGCCACACATCGAGAGGCAAAATGGCAACGTTTGACTGGTATATGACCTTCTAGGAACATGAGGCTGGTAAGGGAAGATTGCCTCAAGTGAGCATGTGTACACTTCCAATAAACACACTGCCCCTGCTCACTTTCCAAGCGCTGGCAAGTCACTGTGCATGTGGACAGCCTACCCCAAGGGAAGAATCAGGGGATAAGACTGATCCCTGAAGAATCAAGGGATGCAAGACTCCAGAAGTATGCCAATGTATAAAACCCTAAGTCAAAGGTCAAACCGTGCACTTGATCTCTAAAGTTACCTGCTTGGCCATCTTCCAAGTGTACTTTCCTTTTGTTCCAGATCTAAAGCTTTTTAATAAACTTTCACTCCTCCTTTAAAGTTGCCTCAGTCTCTCTTTCTGCTTTATACCCCTCAGTTGAATTCTTCCTTCTGAAGAGGCAAGAATTGAGGTTGCTGCAGACCTGTACAGATTCACTGCCACTAACGTATTATATTTGGGTGCTACGTGATTCAGGTACATTCTGCTCCTGACAGTGTGACAGCCAAGTTAATTTTACATCTTCAAAGAACTCTTGATTTCCCACCTATCGGCAAATAGCTTCTCCTCTAGAATACAATCCAAGCTACTCATTACAGTGTGGAATAATCTGTCTACTCAATAGCATTTCTAATGAAGGAAATACTGTTAAGAAGGTAGTGAACTTCGCAAAAAAAAGACATTTATTTTTCAGCTTCCCTTGTAGCTAGGGGTAGCCAAGTGACACAGTTTTGACCATGGAAATCTGCTGGGGTGTTTTGGGGAAAATTTACATTCTTAATATGGGGACACCCCTTCCTCCTGGTGACATCATTTGTACCACCTTGAATTCAGACAGAAGGCCAAAGGTAGAACAATCATATCGCAACTGTGAGGCAATCAAAGGCATGAAAATCACAAGCTAAAGGTGACAGAGCAGGAAGGTCAAAGGCATGTGGGAATCTGAGGGTCCATGGAGGCGCTTCAGAGCTGTGGACTCCTCGTCCAGACTTTTTTGTTGTGTGGGAAACAAATTTCTATTAAATAAAGTCCTTGTGGTTGGTGTCTTCATGGGCAGCCAAATGCAACCCCTAGCACACATGGCCTACCAGACCCTGCATGATGGGGGTCCTGCCCAGTTGTGAGCTCCTCCCTCTTGGCTCCTCTGGCCACACTGGCCTTTCTGAGGTTCCTCTAGCAGGACAAGCCAATTCTTCCCCTTGGGACTTTGTGTTAGCCACTCCCACTGAGACAGCCAAGCATAAAGGGGTCCGCAGAGAAACTCTGACTACCTGCACACCGGAAGATGGGGTGGAGCCACAGAAGTTCACGCCCTTTACAGGGGAGAGGAGCCTGACCTCTTCCCGGGTGGAATCTGGGATTCAATCTGTGACGCGGGAAACCGGCTAGCAGGACTCTTGCTTTGCTGAAAGTCCCTGTTTCCTTTTTTTCCTTTTTGCCTAATAAATTCCATTTTCCCCACCCTTCAAAGTGTCTGTGAGCCTAATCTTTCGTGGTTATGTGACAAGGACGCTCTTTTTAGCTAGGCTAACAAGAAAGTCCTACAACACCACTGCCGAGAACTGTCTCTTCCAGATCCTCGCGTAGTTAACTTCTTCTTATTCTGGAATCAGCTTTTCAAGGGGCCTGCTCTGTCTTACTGTCTTTATAGCACTCTATCCTCATCTGAAATTCCTCATTTATCTGTCTGCTGGCTTATTGTTTTTCTCCACTGACTAGAATGTCAGCTCCATGAGGGGAGAAACCTAATCCATCTTGCCCACTAGGTATTCCCAGCACCTAAAACCATGGTGGGCACAGAAGAAGCATTCAACAGTTATTTTCTCCCCATAATTCTAGAACATAGATACATTTAATTTCTCACAACTGCTACCTAAATGAAGAGTAGCCAATGATGACTAAACAGAGAATGAAAAATGTATATAGCATATAGATGGCACATGGCCAGTGATCTTTTCTGACATTTGCTTTATCTTGTAAATACTTTGTGTGTGCATATGTGTGTGCACACGTGTGTGCATGCATGCATGGGAGTGTCCAGCCCCTCCAGCCCTAGATGCTGAGGATAAATGTCAGGCATCACCCACTGGTGATATAGATGTACTATGTAGATGTTCTATGTAGATGTACATACTCAGTAGATAGGATGAGAATTGTTGAATGAATAATCTTATTTGCATCTCACAATAACAGTAGGAGTAAGATGTACCAAGGAAAACAAAAACAAACAAACAAAATGGAGAAGAGAAGGATTGTTGGACTTATGTGGGATGCAACTCTGGTGAGTGTGACCTGGGACCCAGGCTGGATTTTCTAAGCCCCAGTTCCATTCCCCCAAGTGAGGGCTGACTTCTAAACAGAGTTTTGGGAACCATTTTCTTTTCTTCTCTAAATAGGCTGTTTTCTCTCTTTTTTTTTTTTTTTTTTAAGATGGGGTCTCTTTAGATGGGGTCTCACTCTGTCACCCCTGCTGGAGTGCAGTGGCACGATCTCAGTTCACTGCAACCTCTGCCTCCCAGGCTCAGGTGTTTGTCCCACCGCAGCCTCCCAAGTAGCTGGGACTACAGGCCCATGCCACCACGCCCAGCTAATTCTTCGTATTTCTGGTAGCGGCGGGGATTTGCCATGTTACCCAGGCTGGTCTTGAATTCTTGAGCTCAGATGATCCACCCATAAATAGGCTGTTTTCTAATCCCAAATGGTGGTAAATTCACTTAGTGTGAATGCTGTAAGCCCTGGAAAAAGTATTTGAAGAAGAAACGGAAAATGCAGATTCTCTTCTCCAGATGTGTATTTTGTGTCCGTGGCTACATCACTAAACCTTTCTGAGTCTCAGTGTCCTCATCTGCAAGTCAGAGATGTGAACACTAATGCCTCTCCCAGGAAGGTTGTGAGAATTAAGGGCTTTGACTAAACATGATTATGCCCGTACAGCTCCGTGTCACCCCACTTACCCCCTACAGGATCCTGAGACACAGGGGGTTCTCTGCCCTTTTTTGATGGAGAAATTGGATCTGTAGCTGGATTTTCTAAGCTTGGTGCAAGGATTGGTAGCTAGTGTGGGGAGACCCAAGAGAACCCAGCTCTTGCTATCTTATCCATTGTAAATTTAAAAGTGTTTTGTAAGCCATAATATACTAGAGAATGTACTGTTATTACTGCAAAGGGAGTTTCTTTTTATCAGCATTCATGAAATATACGAATAGTCCCAGTGTGTATTAAAATAATCCCACATAACAATCACTTCGATGAATATTGCTTTCTTTATTCCAGGCTGGTTTCTGTTTCCTGTCTTCTTGTGCTGTTGTCTGATAGATGAGAATTTTGTATTCTTATTTACTACTTCTATGGCTTGAATGTGTCTCCCAAAATTCATGTGTTGGAAACTTAATCCCCAATGCAATGGTGTTGAGAAGTGGGATCTTTAATAAGTGACTGGCTCATGAGGGCTCTGTTCTCATGAATGGATTTATGCTGTTATCACAGGAGTGGGCTCCCGATAAGAGGATGAATTCAGCCCTCCTTCCTCTTCTTTCACGTGTTCTCTTGCCCTTCCACCCTCCACCATGGGATGACACACCAAGAAGGCCTTCACCAGATGTGGGCCCTTGACCTTGGACTTCCCAGCCTCCAGAACTGTGAGAAATAAATATTTGTTTTTTATAAATTACACAGTCTCAGGTATTCTGTTATAGTAGCATAAAATGGACCAAGACAATGACCCAGGATTTCTCTGATTTCTCCTCCATTGTTAATTTTGCTCATAAGGGGAGAGCGTCAGTCATTCTTGACTTTGCTTTGTAACATCTAGGATATTTCTTATTATACTATGTAGTGTAGGCTTTAAATTAATTTTAATGTAATTTTTGACATACACACATACACATAAAACACTTGAAGAGGATATACATATCTCAAAATCAAATAAAAATGATAGAATATATTTTACACACACATATACACACATGTGCGTGTGCACACACACACACACACACAAGTGAGGGATCTTTGGGATTTCACTGGGCCTCAACTTATCACTCAGTGACAGTTTCAGGCATTTTTCAAAAGTAATTCAACAGCTAATAAAGAGCATGGAGGTCCATTTTAGTCACATATGAGGTTATACTTTAGTTAACAGTATTTGAAGAAAAAAATAACCAGGCTGAACCTTGGCAAAATATTCCTCTTATCTTTATTTAAAAGTTAGAAAATAGAAACTGCAAAAAAGTTGAGAGTAACACAACCATGAATATTGATTTTCTAGGGAATTTCGAATGCTTTGTAAGTTATTTATAAAAAATGTGTTTTAGCAGAGAAATGGGAAGTGGTAAGGAAAATTTTATGTCTAGCTCTTGCATTGAGTCATTATTTGACCTTGTGCAAGCTACTTATGCATTCTGTAATTACATTTCCATATTGGAGGCCATAATACCTATCTTACTTGAAGATTCAAATAGTTATTCAATATTATGTCTTAGCATTTACAGCCCTCGTGCTGTACTATGTGCCTCCTAGAGGTAGTTTTGGCAATCTCAGAGTTTTGATAGCATTAGTGACACCATTTTTCAGAAGGGCTGTTTTCACAGGCTTTGAAGTGAAGAAGGTCTCAAAGAAGAGGCTGTTGGCCTGGGTTATTTTTTCCTCCAAAGGAGCATGTTGTATCTTCTCTTACTGGCCATATGGACGTTTTGACTACATTCAAGAAAGAATTAATTTTTATGAATAAGTTTTTTAAAAAATACAAAAAAATACACTTTGGAAAACCTAAATAACAGATTAATGTCCAAAGGAAAAAGCAAGTCACCACTTCTCAACAATCCTACCAGCAGGTAAAGTTGACCACTTGTAACATTCTGTTGTACGTCCCTCCAGGCTTCCAGACAAAAATAGACAAGGATTCTTTTTAGCTATCTTATTTTGTAAATTGTCCCTTAATTTGTGTTTGATGTTTTTCTCATAGTTAAAAACAGGAGTTACAGGTTTTTGGAAGGAAGATCATAGTGACCTTTTTTTATCACATTATGTTAATGTGATTATTAACATAATGTTATTAATATGACTAATCACTGAAGATGTCAACCTGATCACCTCATGATAGAAAGCGTTTTTAAGTATGGCCATTTTATTAGATTTAAGTTAATTTATTGGTGAGTTCAGCTCTATAATAGGACTCAATATGAACATGGGCTAAATTCTTTGTATCACAACCTTGAAGTTCCCCAAGAATTGCTAAGAGTCTATATTAACAAGCCTATGCCTGGTCATGAGTCTGGAAGATACCTCTGGGCTCTTGCCATCTCAGCTTTATTTGCTCTCACTATTCTAGGGTTAGAGATGGCAAGTAATTTCCTTAAAAAAATTTAGAGCTTTTTTTTTCCTGCTGAAATTACTTGGTTTTTTTTTTAGACCATCTTTCTTCTCAACAAATGATTTCCTATAATTGATTAATTATTCCATTCAGGGTGAAGTATCTGTGTGTGACTTTGCAGGCTAGAGAGGGTTGTAAATAATGACTTCTGTCGGATCCTAGTCCTCAGTGTGTTTGCAGAAAAGCCAGCTCTGTTCTTGCTCAATTTTAGAAAAGGTCCGAGCTTGGGAAGTACAATTGCTGTTAATCCAGATAAGAACAAATCCCAAAGCCATCCTTCAGGTTTGGAGGGACCCTCTGGGGCACCATTCACAAGCTTTTCACTGACACAAGTTAATAAAATGCTTTTGGCCATGGAAAAAATAAAAGAAAATATACAATTTCAGTAGCTCACTGGAGACTTACAACATGACTATTCACGGCCTTAACAAAGAACCACAGGGCATTTGGGTAAAGAAAAGCTACACTTAGCATTCCAGGCAAGGTTGTGGCAAAGGTATAACTTGACATGACATCACTTAGCACAAATATTGGGGAATAACATGCTGGGTCTGGCTTAGTTTGGGTTTGGCTTATTTACTGTTCCTCTGTCCCTTAAGAATGTTGTTATTCTCCTTTTCTTTTCCCTTCTCTTTTCATTTCAGAAGGAGAAACCAACTCCAAGTTCTTATTGGAATATTTACAGGGTACTGGAGGGGCTCACAGTATTAAGGAGAAGACTCCGGCAGCCTCTGAAAGAAAGAAAACTAGGGAAGCTCTGGAAACACCAATAAACGACCTCTGTCTAGGACGCTGCTGGTGGATGACTCAATGTGATGGTTCATTTCATGTGTCAGCTTGGATGGGCTATAGGGTGCAGGTATTGGGTCAAACATTATTCTAGATGTATCTGTGAAGCTCTATTTTAGATGAGATAGACACTGAAATGGGTGAACTTTGAGTAAAGAAGAGCACTCGCTATAATGTGGGTGAGCCTCTTCCAATCAGGTGAAGACCTTAGCAGAAAAAAAACTGACTGTAGGCGTCCCAATCTCATGAGCCAACTCCTTAAAATAAATCTCTCTCTGTGTGTGTCTCTCTGTCTCTCTCTCTCTGTCTCTCTCTCTCTCTCTCACACACACACACACACACACACACACACACACACACACCCTGTTGGTTCTGTTTCTCTGGAGCACCCTGACTGACATGCTCAGTTATGACTTTCCTCTCTCCTGGATCTCCATTCCAGACCTGATGCAGTGAGCATGCAACATTCTTGGACCTGAACCTACTTTGATTCAGGTGCTATGCTGTACATGACCTTCCTGGGTGTAAGCTGAAGTGGAGAGAACATTTACAACTTAGTGAGCTAATCAAGCAGCCCTGTCAACTGACAACCAGGATGGATGTCCTCATACCATATCACATTTGGCTATATTCTGTTATCTATCATAAGTTACTGATCCTCCTGCCACGTTTTTCTGAAATTTGATTTCAAGAGATGAGGGCACTCCTATTATCCAGTGTTTTACCCCAGAGCCTATCTTTACCCATTAGGAATGTAACCCCTTAACCTCATACCTTGTGTAACTCCAAGTTGTAAAACACATTTAACATAATTGCATCTGCTCCTAAACCTCTCCCTTGTAGGGAATAGTGTTCATAAATTGTGCCTATTGTTAAAGACTTAAGCTGCAAAATGACCTCGTACTAATTTAGTTCATCATCGCAGATTATATCTTACATAAATTCTCTTGCTAATCAGATTTTCAGAACTCAGTTCTAGTTTTTCTCCTTTCTAACTTGCAAACTGCACATAAACAAAAAGCAATAATGGCTTTTTGTTTATTATTGTTGGTAAGAACACTTAATGAGACATCTACCCTCTTAACAAACCTTTGAGTAATACTGTATTGCTAACTACAGGCATGACGCTGTGTAGCAGATCTCTAGAATGTATTCATCTTGCAAACTGTAAGATACACCAAGAGATATGTCTTCCCCTCTCCCAGCCTTTGGCACTACCATTTTACTCTGTTTCTATGAGTTTGACTGTTGTGGCTTGCTCATGTAAGTGGGGTCTTGCAGTATTTGGCCGAGTAGTTTCCCACTGTGCACAGATGTCACATTTTCTGTATTCATCTGTCGATGGACACTTACATTGCTTCTGTTCTAATGAATTCATTACACAACGGGAAGTCTTGCTTTCCACCTCCTTTCCCCCCAACTCCCACCTACCTTGCTGGCCTTTCTGATACTAAAGTCTGCCTGTCCCATGGAGCCAGCTCTTTCCATCAACAGCCCTACGCTCTCTGCTTTGTTTGATCTCAGTTCCCTGGTGTTTGTTTCCACTTCCAACTTTCACTTAGGTGTCTGGAGAGCTGAGTGGTCCTTGAGGGTCCAAACAGCAAAGTACAGGAGCTGAGAGACTGAAAGGAAGTCTGTCCTTATCATCAGCCCAAGTGTGGTGGTCATGGTAGACATCTGCTGACCCTGAGCCTCCCTCCTGGAGTCTCTTTTCTGTTCCTACAGTCCCAACGCTGTAGTAACGGAGAGGAGGGAGGCATGGTTGGCTACTAGGCTCTGAAGGTAAATCTAGAAATCTCAAGGCCGGGAAGGGAGTTGTTGATTTCATAGACTTTCTTTTATTCAAGAAAATATTTTTGAGCACCTTCCTTTTGCCAGGCACCTTTCTAGAAAGTGAAGATAAAGTTTCAGCTCTCTCAGAGCTTATACTCTAGTCCAATGGAGGCCGACACAGTACATGGTGACGAGTAACAGAGGTAGGCTTCTGGTATTCTCCTCTAAAACAGACTGAAATGCTGAATGATGATCCAGTTTCTAAAGCTTTCCGATATTAATATAATGTGTTGTTTCTGGACAGTTCCTTGGAACACATTTTAAAAGATGAAAGTCAGGTGCCAAGGCATTCATGCTTTATGTTATGTGCAGGCAAGATCTTTCAGGAAGCAATTTTGGGTAGGGAGAGGCTGGCTTGCGTACACTTTATCCCTTTCGGTTATTCATGCCAGAGAGATGGGGCAAGTCTTTTGAAGACAGTCCTTCATTCTCTCTAGCAGGTGTCAGTAAACTGTGGCTAAAGGACAAGTCCAGTCCACTGCCTATTTTTGTAAATAATGTTCTAATGGAACACAGCCACATCACTCACTTAAGTATTGTCTGTGGCCGCTTTTGTGCTACAAGAGCAGAATTGAGTAGTTGCAACAGAGGTGGCATGGGCTGTAAAGCAGAAGTATTAATTTGACCCTCTAGAGAAAGTGTGTAGGCCCCTTCTCTACAACAGTGGTTTTAGTGTGGTCCCTGGAGCAGTAGCATCTGCACCACTGAGAGGTTATAAAGAAATCCAAGTTCTTATCCTACCATAGATCTGCTAAATCTGAAACCCTGGGCTGGGCCCCAGCAATCCATGTTTTCATAAGCCCTCCTGGTGGTTCTAACGCATGCTAAAGTTTGAGAACCGCTGAACATCACTAATCTATAGTTTCTAGGGGACTATTGCCTGCTAGGAAGTCAGAAGCCTGCAGCAGTTTTGAAATACTGATATCTCCTTATTCTTTTACATGATTGCTTATAAACTGAGTGCTGTGTGTCATGATGTATTGGGTGATGCATTTCAAGAGAAGCTATGTGTAATGGCGCTAATGATTAAGAATTGTGCTTACAGCAGAAAGGATCATTAACTGATTTTATAACACTTATGAGGACTAATATTTAGCTCATTGATTTGTGAACATCGCATCAATGTTCCTTTTTAAAGTTAAATCTCTTTAAATTAATTTCGATCACAGTTGAGGAGAAGACGTTGACTGATGGCATTGTGTTCATGTGCTGTGATTGTGAACAGCTCCTGGTGTTTTCCCAGGTGGCCATGAATGGGTCTGATTTATGGATTCCCCTGAAAGGCACAAGAAAAGCATGAATGTCATGGTGTCCTTCTTGGCTGGGGTCAGTTGTGATGCTGCCACTGGAGGCTGCTGCCTCTTGCCCACTGTTACCCTCCTTTAAGGAAGAAAAGGCTGGCAGGCAGGGCACACACCAAGTCGAGTTTCAGTTTTGGGATATCTGAGATGTGGTGTAAAGGACAGAATGGAAGGGCAAGCCCCGGGAGCTGTCAGCTTGAGGCCTGAAATAACAGACTTCTCTACTTCTGTGAGTGGATTAGGAAAGAGAAGACTCAGTCAGACTTCTTCAAATTTTCGACTTGGCTGACTCTTGTTTCTGGACATTCAGACTTAAAACATCTTCATGGGCAAGTGCCTTCCTCTACCTTAATTTCAGGTTTAGTAATTATTATTATGAGCTTTTTTTTTCTCATTTATATTGCCTGTATCTCCTAAATAGATGGGATTTTCATGGACAGCCTCATGATTTTTTTTTTTGCCATATTATCAACTCAAAGAAATGTATGATATCACTGTTCCAACTGATTAGGTAGACATTCATCATTAGGGTGACAAAGAGAAGATTTCACATCTTACCACTCTCACCCCAGTGGTTCAACAACTTTTTAAATGATTGTAGATGACAGGAGAAGTCACAGGTCAGGGGTCACTACTTGGATGGTGATTGCCAATACAACCTTTTAATATAATCTGCCCATATTTATGTTGAAGCGTTTTATACACGTGGTACTTTAACGCTGTGTCAGAAATAATAATGTTCTAGCTGTACTGTACCATTATCGCTAATTGTAATTTTATTCTCAACTAGAGTACCTTTGAGTATTGTTTACTACAGGGTTGGTAAACAGTAGTCTGCAAGGCAGGTCTGACCTGGTGCCTGTTTGTGTAAAGTTTTATTGGAACACAGTCATGCCCATTTCTTTACATATTGTTCATTGCTGCTTTTTGGCTACAATGGCGGGGTTGAGGAGTCGTGGCAGACACATTTGGCCCCCAAAGTACAATAAATTGACTCTAGCCCTTTGCAGAAGGTTTGCCATCCCCTGCTCTGCTGCATCACTTCACACACCAACAAAGGCAGCAGCTCAAGGTTAGGCATAGACATTTGTAGACACAAAATCAGATCACAAATGCCTTCCTTCACATTTTAGCTCACATGCAGGTATCAGCAAAGAAGAGGAAACAAAGTGCTTTGTACTCAGAAAGTATTTCAGATAATGAATCACTTTATGATTTTCCATGATTTATTTTTAACTCTTACTTTTCCAATTATTTATTTATTTATTTATTTATGAAATGGAGTCTCACTGTGTCACCCAGGCTGGAGTGCTGTGGTGCGATCTCGCCTCACTGCAGCCTCCTCCTCCCGGGTTCATGCCATTCTCCTGCCTCAGCCTCCCGAGTAGCTGGGACTGCAGGCACTCGCCATCACGCTCGACTAATTTTTTGTATTTTTAGTAGAGACAGGGTTTCACCGTGTTAGCCAGGATGGTCTTGATCTCCTGACCTCATGATCCGCCTGCCTCGGCCTCCCAAAGTGCTGGGATTACAGGCGTGAGCCACCGCACCTGGCCAAGTATTTTAAGGCTTCTATTCAAAACTAAAACGAACTGTTAGAAAAAATGTAATATCTGAAATATATCATTCTGAATATATTTTTGTAAATATCTAATCACAAATGGTCATTTTTTAATGGAATAGTAAAGGCCAGACTTGATCTAACACCAGCAACAGTAAACAAGTGGGAGAAAAACAAACATCTCTCCATGAATCCAATTGCGTGAGTGCCCTTGTTCACTACAGAGTGCTTTTCTTGATGATGAAATAAGAATGTCTACCTTTAGAACAATTGTCATTCAGTGGGAGGTATGGAGTCAGCCTGGAGCACCTCTAAAAATAAAAAAATTATGAAATTCAGAAACTTATAAAATTCAAACATATTCCCTTTTCCTAGCAGGCAGTAAAATGACAGCCGTGTGAAACTCATGATTACAGTTAAGAAAGGAATAGAACAGAGGTCCCATTTGATCACTGTTGGGGTTAGACCTATTAGAAGATGCATGCTCTGGAAAAAGAAGCCAATGACGAGAGCAAAAGGGCCGAGCAGCCAGGGTTGTTGCTGTTTATGTCTTTGTTGACCTATCCATCCATAATCATATATTTTGAGCACCAGCTTTGCACGAGGCATCACCTTAGAGGTAAAAAAGAAAAAAATGAAATAAAAATAAGTCTTCCTCTAGCCTTATCATAGTTCTGCGAGGTCTTGGGTCTTTGGGGAGAACAGAGAGACCCCAGCCCCAGTGTTCACATCGCTTTGCCAATGCCCACACTTATGTGGGTATCTATCTGCAGCTCCATCATGCCCTGGAATGGCTCTAAGACATGCTTCTGTGCTTCTTGCTGCAGCTCCTCCCAGTGGCCAACAGCAATGATCTGTCCCCTGTCTAGGGGCTCCCATATACCCACTCTCCACCTGCCAGCAGAGCCCAGTCTGCACCCTCAGGTGGAGGGACAAACACAAGATGGGCCTGAGACGGGCTGGCTGAGCCTGAATCCAGCATTCTACCTTGATGAATCTCCTACTCTCTTGGCTTTCGATTCCCCCAGGGTAGAGCAAGGGGCTGTGTTCAGAGATGGATGGCTCCTCCAGCTTTAACCTGTTGAGTCTGCACAGGGAGCCATCTCCTGGTTGCAACCAAGTCAGGGCATGGAGTGGAGCAAGAGTTAGAGGCCCCACAGCAGGAGTGGACTCCACACCAAGATCCTCAGCTTAGCCTGGGAAGTTTGGATTTCTTTGGTTACGTTTAAGACACAAAACTGATTGAAGAGAGATTCACAATAGAGATTATGGAAACTAGCAAATAAACGGAAACATTGCTTCCGGCCCGTGAGTGGCAGGTTAGAGATTTAGCTGGGAACCTGGAACTTTGTCTTCCAATTCTGCTTCTGCCACTTGCTGGCTGTAAGATTTGGGGCAAGTTACTTCACCTATTCATACCTCAGTTTCTTCAAGAGTGAAATGGGAATATGAGGGGCCTGCCTCAGTGGGCCCTTGTTTAAAGAAGCTATTATGTTTAAAGACTATAGAACAACACAGGCAAACTGTGAGCACATGTTAGGCTGGTGCAGCACAGCCTCAGGGAACAGAGAGAAGGCCAGGGCTCTGGCCCTCATCTCTAACCCTGAGTGGTGACTCAGGCTGCTGCCCCAATGGCCTAAACAGTAGCTGCAGAGGCCTGACAAAACCCAAAAGCTATACAAAGGCTCAGGTCTTGGAGATCAGTCTAGGTTTTCACTGGTGAGAAGGAAGAGGCCCTTCAGAAGATCCTAGAGAAGCCCCCAGGCTCTGACATCCACGGCCAGTCCACAAACTCTCTACCACTGCTAGGCAAACAGGCAGCAACGGCTCTCCCTCCTTCCTCATTCCCACCAGCCTCCCAGTCCAGGCGTCTTTTTCTCTTTAAAGGTTCCCAGATGTGAATTTGAAAGGTAAGGAAGGAGAGGCAGACAAGAGAAGGGAAAAGATGTGGTTGGAGTTGCCCCTGATACTCACATTCTTCTAGAAAGAACATTCCTCAGCCTCCCACTGTATGCAAGGCTCTGAGCAGCTGATCGTCCAGACTAGTGAAGGCCCAGCTCTGTTCTGATGGGCTGAGATGGAAGAGAAAGATGTGTTAGGCAGAAAGAGAAAATATGTGTGTGGCAGAGGACAGAGGCTGCTTCAGACAACTGCTTGCAGGAGCTACAGGGCATGTACGCACACACATGCACACATGTAGGTGTACATGCACATATATAGGTACACACATGCACACACATGGGCACACATAGGTGTACACCTGCACACATGCATGCACACAGTCACATGCATGAATGCACACATAAACACAGGCACACACACACAGGCCTTCCGCATACATAAATACACACACAGGTATACACACACTCAGGCAGAGCTACTTTCAGCTGCATGATGGTAGGCAGAGGCAGTGACAGTAGGAATGTCCAGCTTACTTATCTGCTGGTGAAGACCCAGATCAATTTCCCAGGTGGTGACTTTCTGTCCAACATTAGTCCCCTGTCTTCTAGGGTTTTAGGCATTGAGAAATTGACAGCCATGGGCCCTGGAGGTCTGTAATTGTTTAGCAATCAGCTCTCTGGGGGTCAGGGATATGGGGGAGAGCCCTGATTTGTAGAGTTTGCCCATTTCTGTGGTGTAAACACTCCACTCATAAATGATTTCAGGCTACCAAAATAATGTCACTGAAAACACTGTTGGTAGGAGGCACTAGTAGTCTGCTCTTGTAAACAATACAGCTGGCTTAGGTACTAAGGAATCACAAGTTGGGTAAAGTGAAGGAATGGTTTTCCAAATCAAAAGACCACCATGATACCAAACACCAACAAGAAACAGAACTGACACACCATCTCATCTACTGGACAAAATCTACTTGTTCAATTGATAACATGTGCTCCAGTCAACTAAAACAGTGGAGAAATCTTAGAAAGAAAACATTCCCTTTTGATTTATGACACAATGTATAGTTAACAAATGTAGAATTTTTTCCTGTCTGGAAATTGGCAAAATGATAAATATTACTGTATAAGCTCTGGGAGACATCTACTCTGATGAGATTTTCAGTTGTTTTGTTTTGGTTTTGTTTATAATAATTTTGAACAGCTTTGTATCACACTGAGTTAGGGGAAAGGAGAATTTACGAGAAATGCACCCTAAGTGAGGCCAGTGTATAAGGATGTACCACCTCACATGTGTGGGATAGTTTTGCAAGAGGGATTAATGGTCATCTGAACCTTCAGAAAGACTGGAGTGGGCAGCAGCAAACTCCCCCTTCCTGAGAAATTGCTAAGTCCTTCTGCAAGCAACAGCCTTGTGCCATCATTTGGCAAAATCCTCATCAAACAACTTCTTTCATTCCTCTGCTTCCACCCAGTTGTTGCAGCTCAAATTTTTATTAGGTTTTCTGGATGTAAACTTGAGATGGCTCCCAATGCAAACAGAGAAAACTCCTGTTACAGTCCATTTAAATAACTGCCCACTTGAATAGGGGAAGAGGAAACACATTCTGTATTTATTCAAAAGCAATGGAGCCTCAAACAATAAGTGAAGATTATAATATTCTTGAGGGAGGCAAAATTTTCAGTTTCAATATAAACTACACAATTGGTTATCTCTGTACCACTCAGAAAGTATCCCAGCCAAATGAGTGAAATATGCTCTGGACAGCCAAGATCCTTTACAGAACAGCAATCAAAACAAAGGAAAAAAAAGAGATAAAAATAGAACATCTCTCCCTGACACTAGCCCCCAAGCACAAAGCTATAAACCTATCAGAAGCGTAGGTTTAACATCTCATCCTTCAGGAAAATATTAATGAAGCTATAAGACGATCAGAGCTTGGATTTATGAGGCATCAGCTTCTTTCCAACTCCAGATAAACATTAAGCTCCAGCTTATAAGAGGAAAGGAGTTGATGAGTCTGGGTATAATCACTTTAAGTAAATGTAGTATCCAAAGTCTCAAAAACAAACAACTCAAAAAACAAATAAATACATAGGAAAGGGGCAGCAAACAGCTGCCTACTTTACATGTAATCTGGTCAAGCTTCACACACCTCCATCTGCAAGAGGCTCCTGAGGAGGAAACCAGGATTCACAAAGGCAAACTTCCACCCACATTCTCACAGCTGGTCAGTGGAAGAGACAGAATCAAACCTAAGGCTCTTCTGCCTTTTGCCATGAAAATAGCATATAGGTCTGAAGAAGATAATAAATTGTTGGAGCAGGAATAGAGGCACCCAGCACTTGCCTCCTCCACAAAGAAGGACCAAAACAGCAAACAGATAACCACACGTCGAATAGTGCATCTAGGATAATACACTGGAATTCAGCAGGGAAGTGGTAGGGACACTTTGAAGCATGGAGGTGGGGAAAGCAAAGCAGCTGGTCCACCTAAGATTGGTATAAAGCCAGAAGGAACTCCCCATTGTGGGGAAAAGATAGGCAAGAGATTCCCAACAGTCCACATTCCCACCACAGACTCCTGCAATACTGGTCATGAGAGAACCCCTTGGCCTTCACAGGCCCTGAGACTAGTACAGGGAGCTGCCTGGAGTATACATGACTGCATTGTCCTAGAGAGGAAATGCTGGATCCTTCTCATTCCTTAAGACCCAAGCTGCTATGGCATGGCACCATTTTGAGAGTCCAGCCTCCACCAGACTACATTCTGCCCTGGAGCCCAATATCCCCTGCATCTCCACATCCATGGAGTACCCCCTGAGCTGCCCCCATGTCCACCCAGAGGTCTTTAGCATCACAACACCATCTGGACCCAGTGGTTTGGCTGGATCCTCAGCACTCTAGCCCATGCAGTGTCCTATGGCCACACAGAGAGCAGGCAGTGCACCACACAGGAAGGCTACCCTCAGAACAGAGGGAGCCCAAGTGCATGCTCTCCAGAGCCTGGGAGCCACCTGCCCAGGGCTGCTGCCACCAGAAGCACCCCACCCCTCCAGTAGTGGGGCCACTGCACACCTGCATGCTGTCCAGCTCCAGTCTACAGCTCCCAGCGTGAGCAACACAGAAGACGGGTGATTTCTGCATTTCCAACTGAGGTACTGGGTTCATCTCACTGGGGCTTGTTGGACAGTGGGTGCAGCCCATGGAGTGTGAGCCAAAGCAGGGCGGGGCATCGCCTCACCTGGGAAGTGCAAGGGGTCAGGGAATTCCCTTTCCTAGGCAAGGGAAGCTGTGACAGACAGTATTTGGAAAATCAGAACACTCCCACCCTAATACTACGCTCTTCCAATGGTCTTAGCAAACAGCACACCAGGAGATTATATTCCGTGCCTGGCTCAGAGGGTCCCATGCCCAAGGAGCCTTGCTCACTGCTAGCACAGCAGTCTGAGATAGAACTGCAAGGAGGCAGTGAGGCTGGGGGAGGGGCGTCCGCCATTGCTGAGGCTTGAGTAAGTAAACAAAGCATCTGGGAAGCTCGAACTGGGTGGAGCCCGCCGCAGCTCAAGAAGGCCTGCCTGCCTCTGTAGACTCCACCTCTGGGGGCAGGGCATAGCTGAACAAAAGGAAGCAGAAATTTTTGCAGACTTAAACATTCCTGTCTGACAGCTTTGAAGAGAGTAGTGGTTCTCCCAGCATAGAGTTTGAGATCTGAGAATGGACAGAGTGCCTCCTCAAGATGGTCCCTGACCCCCAAGTAGCCTAACTGGGAGACATGTCCCAGTAGGGGCTGACTGACACCTCATACATCTGGGTGCCTCTCTAAGATGAAGCTTCCAGAGGAAGGATCAGGCAGCAACATTTGCCGTTCTGCAATATTTGCTGTTCTGCAGCCTCTGCTGGTGATACCCAGGCAAACAGGGTCTGGAGTGGACCTCCAGCAAACTCCAACAGACCTGCAGCTGAGGGTCATGACTGTTAGAAGGAAAACTAACAAACAGAAAGGACATCCACACCAAAACCCCATCTGTACGTCACCATCATCAAAGATCAAAGGTAGATAAAACCACAAAGATGGGGAGAAACCAGAGCAGAAAAGGTGAAAATTCTAAAAATCAGAGCACCTCTTCTCCTCCAAAGGAACACAGCTCCTCACCAGCAACAGAACAAAGCTGGACAGAGAATGACTTTGATGAGATGAGAGGAGAAGGCTTCAGATGATTGGTAATAATAAACTACTCTGAGCTAAAGGAGGTTGTTTGAACCCATCGGAAAGAAGCTGAAAACCTTGAAAAAAGATTAGACAAATGGCTAACTAGAATAAATAAGCATAGAGAGTACCTTTTTTTTTTTTGAGATGGAGTCTCGCTCTGTCGCCCAGGCTGGAGTGCAGTGGCAGAATCTCGGCTCACTGCAAGCTCTGCCGCCCGGGTTTATGCCATTCTCCTGCCTCAGCCTCCTGAGTAGCTAGGACTACAGGCACCCACCACCACACCTGGCTAATTTTTTGTATTTTTAGTAGAGATGGGGTTTCACCGTGTTAGCCAGGATGGTCTCAATCTCCTGACCTCGTGATCCGCCCACCTCGGCCTCCCAAAGTGCGGGGATTACAGGTGTGAGCCACTGCGCCTGGCCCAAGAAGACCTTAAATGACCTGATGGAGCAGAAAACCATGGCACAAGAACTACATGATGCATGCACAAGCTTCAGTTGCTGATTCAATCAAGTGGAAGAAAGGGTATCAGTGATTGAAGATCAGATGAAAGAAATGAAGTGAGAAGAGAAGTTTGGAGAAAAAAGAGTAAAAATAAATGAACAAAGCCTCCAAGAAATATGGGACTATGTGAAAAGACCAAATCTACGTCTGATTGGTGTACCTGAAAGTGACGAGGAGAATGGAACCAAGCTGGAAAACACTCTGCAGGATATTATCTAGGAGAACTTCCCCAATCTAGCAAGGCAGGCCAACATTCAAATTCAGGAAGTACAGAGAACACCACAAAGATACTCTTTGAGAAGAGCAACTCCAAGACACATAATTGTCAGATTCACCAAAGTTGAAATGAAGGAAAAAATGTTAAGGGCAGCCATAGAGAAAGGTCGGGTTACCCACAAAGGGAAGCCCATCAGACTAACAGTGGATCTCTCGGCAGAAGCTCTACAAGCCAGAAGAGAGTGGGGGCCAATATTCAATATTCTTAAAGGAAAGAATTTTCAACCCAGAATTTCATATCCAGCCAAACTAAACTTCATAAGTGAAGGAGAAATAAAATACTTTACAGACAAACAAATGCTAGGAGATTTTGTCACCACCAGGCCTGCCCTAAAAGAGCTCCTGAAGGAAGCACTAAACATGGAAAGGAAAAACTGGTACCAGCCGCTGCAAAAACACGCCAAATTGTAAAGACCATCAATGCTAGGAAGAAACTACATCAACTAATGAGCAAAATAACCAGCTAACATCATAATGACAGGATCAAATTCACACATAACAATATTAACCTTAAATGTAAATGGACTAAATGCTCCAGTTAAAAGACACAGACTGGCAAATTGGATAAAGAGTCAAGACCCATCAGTGTGCTGTGTTCAGGAGACCCATCTCACGTGCAGAGACACACATAGGCTCAAAATAAAGGGATGAAGGAAGATCTACCAAGCAAATGGAAAACAAAAAAAAAAAGCAGGGTTGCAATCCTAGTCTCTGATAAAACAGACTTTAAACCAACAAAGATCAAAAGACTCAAAGAAGGCCATTACATAATGGTAAAGGGATCAATTCAACAAGAAGAATTAACTTTCCTAAATATATATGCACCCAATAAAGGAAGACCCAGATTCATAAAGCAAGTCCTTAGAGACCTACGAAGAGACTTAGACTCCCACACAATAATAATGGGAGACTTTAACACCCCACTGTCAACATTAGACAGATCAATGAGACAGAAAGTTAACAAGGATATCCAGGAATTGAACTCAGCTCTGCACCAAGCAGACCTAATAGACATCTACAGAACTCTCCACCCCAAATCAACGGAATATACATTCTTCTCAGCACCACATCACACTTATTCTAAAATTGACCACATAGTTGGAAGTAAAGCACTCCTCAGCAAATGTAAAAGAACAGAAATTATAACAAACTGTCTCTCAGACCACAGTGCAATCAAACTACAACTCAGGATTAAGAAACTCACTCAAAACTGCTCGACTACATGGAAACTGAACAACCTGCTCCTGAATGACTACTGGGTACATAATGAAATGAAGGCAGAAATAAAGATGTTCTTTGAAACCAATAGGAACAAAGACACAACATACCAGAATCTCTGGGACACATTTAAAGCAGTGTGTAGAGGGAAATTTATAGCACTAAATGCCCACAAGAGAAAGCAGGAAAGATCTAAAATTGACACCCTAACATCACAATTAAAAGAACTAGAGAAGCAAGAGCAAACACATTCAAAACTAGTGGAAGGCAAGAAATAACTAAGATCAGAGCAGAACTGAAGGAAATAGAGACACAAAAAACCTTTCAAAAAAATCAATGAATCCAGGAGCTGGCTTTTTGAAAAGATCAGCAAAATTGATAGACCACTAGCAAGACTAATAAAGAAGAAAAGAGAGAAGAATCAAATAGATGCAATAAAAAATGATAAAGGGGATATCACCATCAATCATACAGAAATACAGACTACCATCAGAGAATACTATAAACACCTCTACGCAAATAAACTAGAAAATCTAGAAGAAATGGATGAATTCCTGGATACATACACCCTCCCAAGACTAAACCAGGAAGATGTTGAATCCCTGAATAGACCAATAACAGGCTCTGAAATTCAGGCAATAATTAATAGCCTACCAACCAAAAAAAGTCCAGGACCAGATGGATTCACAGCTGAATTCTACCAGAGATACAAAGAGGAGCTGGTACCATTCCTTCTGAAACTATTCCAATCAATAGAAAAAGAGGGCTGAGGTGATGGGGTTTTCTAAATATACAATCATGTCATCTGCAAACAGGGACAATTTGACTTCATCTTTTCCTAATTGAATACCCTTTATTTCTTTCTCCTGCCTGATTGCCCTGGCCAGAACTTCCAACACTATGTTGAATAGGAGTGGTGAGAGAGGGCATCCCTGTCTTGTGCCAGTTTTCAAAGGGAATGCTTCCAGTTTTAGCCACCACACCTGGCTAATTTTTTGTATTTTTAGTAGATACGGGGTTTCACCATGTTAGCCAGGATGGTCTCGATCAGGAAAGGGAATTCTTATACACTGTTGGTGGGAATGTAAATTAGTGCAGCCATTGTAGAAAACAGTGTAGAGATATCAAAAAAACAAGAATAGAACTACCATACAATCTAGCAATCCTACTACTGGGTGTTTATCCAAAAGAAAAAAAGTCACAGATTGCTTGAGTTCAGGAGTTCAAGATCAGCCTGGGCAACATGGCAAAACCCCGTCTCTACAAAGAATACAAAAATTAACCAGGTGTGGTAACATGCGCCTGTAGTCCCAGATACTTAGAGGGCTGAGGTGGTAGGATTTCTTTAGCCTAGGAGGTAGAGGCATATTATGCCACTGCACTGCAGCCTGGGTGACAGTGAGATCAGGTCTTTAAAAACACACACACACACACACACACACACACACACACACACACACACACACACATACATGAAAGGAAATTAGCATATCCAAGGGATAACTGCATTCCCATGTTTACTGCAGCACTATTTGCAATAGCAAAGATATAGAATCAATGTAAGTGTCCATCAACAGGCAAATGGATAAAGAAAATCTGTATATATACACAATTGAATATTATTGAGCCATTTAAAAAGAATAAAATCTTGTAATTCATGGTAAATGGATGAGCTTAGAGACCACAATGTTAAGTGAAATGTCAGGCACAGGAAGATATGTACTACATGTTCTCTCTTATATGTGGGAGTTAATAAAAAATTTGAGTTCATGGAAGTAGAGAGTAGAATCGTGAGTATCAGAGGTTGGGGAGAGTAAAGGGGAGAGGGAGATAGGGAGGATCTGGTTAATGGATACAAAATTACAGCTAGACAGAATAAGTTCAAGTGTTCTATATTGCTGTAGGGTGACTACAGTTAACAAAAATTTATTATATATTTTCAAATTAGTAGAAGAAAGGATTTTGAATGTTCATGATATGAAGAAATAAATGTTCGAGATAATGGGTATGCTAATTACCCTGATTTGATCATTACACACTGTATACATGTATTGAAATATTTCTCTGTATCCCATAAAGATGCACAACATATAGAATAAAAAAAGAATCAAACCCAAGTTTTCCTGGCTCAAGATTACTTATCTTTTCACCATGTCAGGAGGGTGCCCCATTATCAAAAGTATTATTTACATAACAACCTTTTAAAAAAATAACTTCCCCTTCATCAATTTAAAAGCTATAAGCATTTCATTTTGTGCACTTTCTAGAAACTTGTACCTTAAAAGCACTGAGGTGAATTTATTTTCTGAGTTGCAGGGGAAACAGATAGAACAGGGGTAGAGAAAGATACAACCTTGTGTTCACCAGAAGGCTGAGACATTAGGATCCTGAGGCCTTCAAGTTGAGTCCTTCCTCTACCATTTTGGAGCTGTGTAATCTTCAGCAAGTTAGTAAACCTCTCTGAATCTCAGCTGTCCTCCTTTGTAAACTGGAGTGAATAATAGATATCACTGCATGTAATAGGCATCACTGTTCAAAGTGTTTGATTAGATAAACTAGGTCTTGCTTGGCACATACAGAAGGCTGTGATTTTCAGCTATTATTTCTGTATTCATCAATCCTAAGATGCATTTTTTTTCACAATTTAACATTTTTTCAGTGCATCTGACTGCCTATGGCATCTGTGTCAAATTTTAATGTGTCACTGTGTCAAATTTTAATGATGCATCTTACAATCAGTGGAGTCTTGATTTGATGAATTGTGGTCTTGTAATTATCAGTACTATTATTACCAAAGAGATCTGGCCATAAAATAATAATGAGACTGTTTCCACAAGCTGTAGACAATAAGCACCTTATTATTTTATAATAGCATGGCACAAATTTCCTGCTGGAAGACTCTCCTGGGGGCTTCCATGTAATGGCTAAGATGGATGAATATTGCCTTCTGGCAGTAATGGACTTTCTGTAGGTCTGTCTTATGTTAAGCAATCTCAAGATGTGAAAATCCAGATTTCTGTTTTAAAAATTAATTAGAAGGTGACACTTCAAAATAGAAGAGCTTCACAAAAGTATCCATTTGGAGCAGTATTTCTCAATATTTCTTTCCTCATTACCTCCCTCCCCAATAACAAGGCTTTTTAGACATTTTTGTCCTAATCACTCCCCCAATGAAATTTTAATATTGAAGACATACTGTATACCTATTTATGTATTGTTTGTATATTTTTTCTTAACACATGAAATGATATATAAAAGATGTATAAAAGAGTACCATTTGTTGCACACACCCTCTCATTCAAATTTTCACCCCCTTGAGTACAATATCTCCTCTTTGAGAATGCATACATTAGAGACAGACCTTAAAGGACATTTAAAATATCGTATGGCTTTGGAAATTTTAATTTGCACTCAATTTTCCTAGGACACATCAACTACAGATAGGAAGGCATACAAGTATATTAGATAAAATGTCACCGTGGGGTGTCCACTCCATGTTGATTACAGGCTAATGTCTGCCTAGTTGTTTTTTAGACCATGCTACCCAACCAAAACACCAGGAGGAAGGGACACCTGTGAGCCATTTGTAATTCCTATAATGGAAGAAAACTTGTCTCAAAGTTAAGTTGACTTTTAAAAATGTGCCTAGGTGTTATTCAATCACAGCATTTCATTTGTTAACGTTATTTCTACAATGGCTCCCAAATATTTTTTCTTTTCTCACATTATTATTTCTTTAATACCAGAAATCAACACCCTGATCAAAAGTTTCCAGAAATATTCCCTATAGTTGAACCCCAAGGGAAGGATTCTTTATATCCATCATCTTAAGGGCCATGGTCAGACGAAAGTTCCCTGGGCCCTCACCTGCCTTCAGGCCCCGGGCCTTAGAGGAAGGACTCTTGAAGCAGCACAAAAAGCTGCTTCCTGTTTCCCACTTCCCACTTCCTGCTTCTGGCTTCCCACTTCCTGCTTCCTGCTTCTGGCTTTGGCTGAGCATCCGAAGGAGGAACAATGCTGGGTTCCTGGGCTATGGTGCTTTTGCCTCAGAGTGGATGGGGGAAACCGTGGCAGAGGCTTGGTCCAGAAGATGGGCAGAGGTACTCAGGGGGCCAGGCTCAGGCCACCCCACCCCACTGCTCAGGAGATAGGCAGTTTAGTTTGATGTTTGAAATACCATTTCAAGAGGCCCGCCACTCCACTATGAGGTAAATAGCCTAAAATGTTAAAAATAAAACAAACATCTCCACTAAAAATACAAAAATTAGGCAGATGTCGTGGCACGCACCTGTAATCCCAGCTACTCAGGAGGCTGAGGCAGGAGAATTACTTGAACCTGGGAGGTGGAGGTTGCAGTGAGCAGAGATTGCACCATTGCACTCCAGCCTGGGCAAAAGAGTGAGACTCTGTCTCAAAAAAATAAATAAATAAAAAATAAAATAAAAATAAAATAATAAAACAAAAAACACAGGCTGTGAGAATTTTCATCTGAGTTTTAGCTTAGTACAAGGACTCTGGAAGACTCTGGAGCATTCACCGTGGCTATCATCTGTGTCTTTCTGAGCCTTGGGAAAAGCAAGGTACCTGCTTAGAGGCTTTTCTCCTTTCTGGGGCTTGATGACCTTGTGTCACCCTTCCATGCAGTGGAAGGACTATTCCACTGTGACAGTATTTACTCTGTTATGTACCCCAAACCTGGCTACCTCCATGCCTCACTGAAGCAGGCAGGGCCAGTGCTGTCCTTGACACTCCTTTTTCCTTGTGCAATGCTGTGTTGGGGTCTCTGACTTGGAAGGAGGTTGGCCAAGTTCAAGGTTCACAAGGATGCCTGTACCCAGCCATTCTGCCAGCAGACTGCAGACATATGAGCCAGCCAAGCTGAGAACGCTGAGCCTGGCCTAGGTCAGCAGAACCTCCCCACCCAACTCAGAAATGACACACTGACACATGGTTGTGTGTGTGTGTGTGTTTCAGAGTCTCACTCTGTTGCCCAGGCTGGAGTGCAGTGGCGTGATCTCAGCTCTCTGCAACCCCCATCTCCCAGGTTCAAGCAATTCTCCTGCCTCAGCCTCCCGAGTAGCCGGGATTACAGGTACGTGCCACCACGCCCGTCTAATTTTTGTATTTTTAGTAGAGACAGGGTTTCGCCATGTTGGCCAGGCTGGTCTTGAACTCCTGACCTCAGGTGATCCACCTGCCTTGGCATCCCAAAGTGCTGGGATTACAGGCATGAGCCACCACACCCGGCCGGTTGTGGTTTTCAGGCAGTGTATTTGGGGGTATTGTGTTGCTCATTGATAACTAATTGAAACACCTGGAGCACAATAAACATTGAGTAAATGTAGCTAGCATCTTTAGCTTTTTATTCAGCTCCCCATGTAAGTACTGGTTTCTCCATGGTGAGCCTCCGCCCCTTCCTGCGTGACTGTCCTCGCTAGTCCCTGCTGGCCTCTGCTGTCCATGCTAAGCACAGGTTCAACCAGCTTCATAGGCACTGAACATCCTCTGCGTCATGCTTTTCATTCCTGACACACAGTTCAAGGAAAAACAAACCCAAAGTGGCTTTTCCTAATAGAAGAAAGCGTAGAATATATAAATTCCCAGAACCAGATTTTCACACAATGAAGGCAAGGTGAGAACTCCTTGATTCCAGCCACTGCTGTCTGATGTCAGTTTGACTTCCTTTTATTTCTTTTAAGCAGGGAAATGAACATTAATCTTCACCCTCACAATTGTCCCAGGCAAGCCACAAAGTGCTGAGCACAAGGGGAAGGCTGGCTAAGTATGTGTGGAGTGGAATTGGATTAGATGGGGAGAAACTCTGGTTACCTCTGAACTTGATTTCTACTTGGGCCAGCTATGTGCCGTTTGACCTTGGCCCAAACAGCCCTCCTCTCTATCTGTGCTGCTTCTTCTGTAAAATAGGAATAATTACGTCAGCTCAACTCATCTCATCCATTGTTGCAAGGAGTAAATTAGATGGCACGTGTGAAAATGCTTTGTAAACTACTGAGAACTGTGTAATGCATTGTAAGGCATTGTCATGATTGCTACTATTTCAAGTCCAATGGGGGAGATTGGATCGAAGAAGAATGGCAGACAGCCCAGGGTTGTGGGGGCAGTGAGGCTGACTTGTTTATCAGTAGAAAAAGCATTCTGACTCATCTCAGAAAAGAATCTTGGCAAACACAAAGAAAATAGTCTGGAGAAAGCTGATGAGCCCACAGTTGGAATTCTGTATTGGGGTTTAGAAATGTGAGCACCAGGATGCTGAAAACATGAGCACCAGGATGCTGAAAACATTGAAAAGAGTCCAGGCAAAAGCAGGGCAGTTACTAGAGAACAGAAGTCTCAACTTGTGAAGAATTCAGTGTGAAACACATGCGCTTTGGCCACCAGGAAATTATACTTGTTTGCCCAAGTTTTTTCCAAGAGGAAGATGCTTCAGGGATATGTAACACGCTCTTGTGGAAAGAATGCTGGTTTATAGGCCTCTGCACAGGGACTCCCCTAAACCTCTACCCCAAGTCTGGATGAAGAAAACAGTGAGAGGTGCACCAGATGAGGAGCCAAAGCTTTTCACAAGAACCAAATAATGTTTTACCAGTTAGGGTGCTTTTGGCTGTAAGTAATAGACCAGATAACAAAGAAGCTAAGGTCATTTATTATTTCCTTCACAAGAAGTTCAGAGATAGGCCAGTACCAGGCTTGGTTAACTCAGCAGTGCAACAAAATCCTCTAAAACTCAATTCCTCCCCCCTTCTCTCTCTGCGATCCTCGTGGGCTTGATTTATCCTTTTAGGGTTGGCTTCCCTCATGATGCAGAGATGGCTATGACAATTCCAGGCATGCCATGTAGATGACAACATCTCTGTCCCTTTTTAAGAGTAAGGGATAATTTCCCAGAGGTTCCCCAGCAGATTCTTACTTCCACTGCCCTTGACCATGACTGTGATCTCTTTCCAAGCTGTATTAGTCCGGGTTCTCCTGAGAAACAGAACTAATAGGAGATAGATATATTTATGTACATACACTCAAGTGTGTATGTGTTTGTGTGTGTGTGTATATATATAAAATAAAGAATTGGCTTACATGATTATGGAGGCTGAAATGTCCCCAGATCTGCAGTGCAAAGGCCTGAGATTCAGGAGAGCTAATGATGTTAAGTTCTAGCATGAGTCCAAAGCAGAAGAGAGACGTCCCAGCCCAAAGTCAGGCAGGCAGAGAGAGCAAATTCTCTCTTGCTCAGCCTTTTGTTCTAATCAGGCCTTCAACAGATTGGATGAGGCCCATCCACATTGGGGAGGGCAATCTGCTTCACTCAGTCTACCAATTCCCATGCTAATCTCACCTGGAAACACCATCACAGACTCACCCAGAAATAAAGTTTACCCAAATATCCAGATGCCTCATGGCACAGTCAAGTTGACACAACAGTAACCATCACACAATCTTAAACTAGCCACCAACAAGGGGAGTAAAATGACTATGAATGGCCGAGACCAATCCCAATTCACTCTAGGGCTAGAGGGGGAGCTCAGCCCCCAGAAGCTCAAGGCCTTCCAGTCCCTGGACACAGCTGGGGTTCTGTTGGCAAGTAATAGGGGGAAGAGCTGTGGGGCAGTGACCAAGAATGGCTGCACCCTCTGCTCCATGTAACTCACCGAGGAGGTCCCCAAAATGTAATGCATGACAGGATGTTAGCTAACACTTGCTGGGCACGTACTCTGCACTAGGTGTGGTACTAAGCACTTGGTAGGTGTCATCTCATTCAATCAGTTTAACAACCTGAAGCTCCTTGTGTTGGGCTTTGTTGGGAGGTGAGATGGACCTTAATAACTGAATCTTCCTGGAAGAGCCCAGGGTTAATCCTCTTAATATCAAATTGCTCTCCATAAATAACTGCTTTGCTGTGGTTCTTGTGAATTCCTTCTTCTTTTCTTTCTAGTAGTTGACTTCACTTTAGACAACTGCAATTTCTACTCTGGCATGATTTCTCAGAGGCGGTCCTCAACAAACATGCCTGGGGTCAGGGAGAGAGTCCAGTGATATGAAAAACTAGCCCAGAATGGAAAACTCCTTGAAGTTCTGCAATTATATATTATTTTTTATTTTGTTTTTGATTTTTTGAATTGAATTTGATTTGTTGAATAAATTAATTCAAGCAATACAAAAGTACTGTTGAGAGCAAGTGTGCCTCCCACCTTAGTCCCTGCCCAAATCAGCTCTCCCATGGATCCATTCATCCTTCCCTTCCTAGTTATTGATAAACTATTGTTACGCAAAGGTCTGTGCCAGGTTCAAGCTGACTCGTGGAGTTCCAATGGAGTTATCTTTAGTTCTTCCCTCCCACACAGGAAGCACCCATCAGGTGCCAAGTCCTAAACATCCATCTTGACAAAATCTCTGAAGTCCTCATTCCCTGTTTGTTTATTGTTTCTCCTTGGACTCATTCTGCCAGCCTCCAGTGGCCTCCATGACAACATTGCCTCCTTCTCTGTTGTCTCCGTCTTCTTTAAGTGCATTTTTTATAAAGATACACTACGTTATAGGTGGAATACTGTGTCGCTCCAAATGCACACGTTGATGTTCTAACCCAGTAACTCAGAATGTCACTGTAGTTGCAGGTAGGGTCTTTAAAGAGGCAATTAAATTTAAGTGAGGTCTTTGAGGTGAGCCCTAATCCAATCTGACCGGTGTCCTTAATAGTAAGAGGTGATTAGGACACAGACACACACAGGGATAGACCATGTGAAGACACAGGGAGAAGACGGCTATCTACAAGCTGAGGACTGAGGCCTCAGAAGAAACAAGACCTAGTGACGCTTTGATATTAGACTTCCAGCCTCCAGAACTGTGAGAACATAAATTTGTGTTTGAGCCACACGGTGTGTGGCACTTTGTTATGGAAGGCCTCGCGGGCAAACACAGACTACGTACAATCCAGCCACTCACTTGCTGAAAGCTCTGTAGTGGCTTCTGGCTGTTTAACAGTGAGGCAGCACTGGCCCACCTCTCAGGGCCCTTCTGATCTGGCGTGGACCTGCCTCTACTGTCCCGCTTGCTTACCATCCATGCTCTGGGCTTCAGCTCACACTGGGCTGATTCCCATCCAGGGAACACGGCTGTGCTTCCTTGCCTTTCGCCTTTGCACAGGCTGTTCCCTCTGCAAAAAACATATTTGCATTTCCCATCACGCCCCTCCCATTTCTACCTGTTGAAATCACGTCCATCACTCAAACCCAGCCACAGTGCCATCTCCTTTAGAAAGGCATATGCTTTCCTAAAGCCACAATCTAGTTGGGTCCCTCCTTTTCACCTCCCTCATTGTTACAGGTAGTCAGACAGCATGAGCAGGGCAGAAGAGGGCTCTCCCATCCACTAGGAAGGTTGGGTAATGGTTCAGCAACGATCACAATGCCTCTCTAAAAATGGTAAATTGGCAGCCAGTGCCAGGGAGAGGCCATTTCCTGCTGGCCCACACCTGTTGCACTAAAGTGTTCACTGAATGCAGACACCAGGGAGAAGCAACTTCCTGAGCATATACATAAAGAGACAAAATGGCAGAGTATGACCTTCCAAGGGCACCCCACAGGAAAGGGAAGAAAGCCTCAGATGGGCATGTGCACAGCTTCCTAAACACACTGTGGGTGCTCACTTCCCAAGGGTAAGGGGAGCACTGTGTATGTGGGCAGCCCAGCCTAACGGAAGAATCGTGGAAAAGGGGCAGCCTATAAGGCCCTAGCATCAAGGTTAAACACCGCACTTGTTCTTCAAGTCACCCGCTTGGGTTTCTTCCAAGCCTACTTTCCTTTCTTTCCTGTTCTAAAGTCTTTTAAAATAAACTTACACTCCTGCTCCAAAACTTCCTTGGTCTCTTTTTCTACCTTATGCCTCTCAGTCAAATTCTTTCTTCTTTTTTTTTTTTTTTTTAGATGGAGTCTTGCTCTGTCTTCAGGCTGGGGTGCAGTGACGTGATCTCGGCTCACTGCAACCTCTGCCTCCCGGGTTCAAGCAATTCTCCTGCCTCAGCCTCCTGAGTACCTGGGACTATAGGCATGTGCCACCACGTCCAGCTAATTTTTGTATTTTTAGTAGAGATGGGGTTTCACCACGTTGGTGAGAATGGTCTTGGTCTCCTGACCTCATGATCCACCTGCTTGGGCCTCCCAAAGTGCTGGGATTACAGGTGTGAGCGACCGTGCCCGGCTAAATTCTTTCTTCTGTGGAGGCAAGAATTGAGGTTGCTGCAGGCCCATATGGATTCGCCAGTAACTCAGACATCTTCCACCAGGGTAACACCATCATCATTTGTAAAAGTCTCATGCCGGGATCAGACCTGCCCCGTATTCTATTCAGGTGTGCACTCAGTTGCCTTCCTATTTGACTTGCTCACCTTTCAGCGTGTCATCTAGGAGGACTAGACAAGTAGCACATTTTCACAAACACGAATGGAATGAACATGACAGGCCAGATTGGAAAATAGGATCAAAAATAAGTCAAAAAATGAAAATTATGTCTATGGAAAAAAAGAAATAGGAAACACGACTCAAATTGTGTCAACCCTAGGATGACCTGCAGGAAGTTGAAACCCTGGGTGGGAGAAGTACTGAATAGAAGAGAGAATGCTGCTCCCCTGACACTGCAGCTATATCGGAAAATACATTCTAAGTCTACTTAAGATAGAATTCCGGTTGAATATTCTGAAATGTGTTCTTACATGGAAGACATTTGACCCCTGGAGACAACTCAACAGAAGCTTTGCCTTGGAAAGCTGGTTGGATGGAGAGGTTTTGTGAGGTCTTTTTACTCTGGAATCTGAGATGCCTGGTGGAACTTGAGCAGCACTGTTCAGCAGGGGGCAGGCCACCAAGAGCACACATATACCCTTAAAAACCATCTGCTCTGCAAACATGCAGAAATCATTAATACATTGCAAGCGTGGTTTTGCCCAGACCTGCTGCAAAATGATCACAGGCAAAGTGGTTTGCGTACTCTCCCCCTCACTGATGGCTCTTTGGGCCGTCAGTTGAACAAGGAACCCACACGGAGCTAAAATGTACAAACGACAAATAAAATGTTGCCTCTCTCTCCAGACTCTCACAAAATCAGGAAAAACAAAAAAAACCTTTCTTTCCATTTCTGCAAGAAAGAAATGAGAGCTAAAACTGTTAGCCATGTGAAATCTAGTGGGGAAACCTGTTTTTTTTTTCCTATGAGTCTTAAAGCAGCAATAATTTGTTTTCCTTTCTTTTCCTTTCTTTTTTCTCCCCTCTGCCACATTAGAGAGGCTTGCTGACAAAGACTTGAGTAGGTTCTATAAGGAGCCCCAGGCATCCCCAGATGTGGTGCACATTGAGATGGATGGAGAAGTTGTGTATGGCGGAGGAAACTAGGAGTGCCGCAGGATAGAAATCCACTGGGAGTAAGACGGGTTGGTGTCCCTCTGGAATCCGTGTTGCTGCCACTGCTCGGTAGAGAAGGGTGGGTGGAGTCATGTCCCTGGAACCTGCCTGACAGTGTTGCCAGTTCTCCTGCTTCACTTCTGGGGCTGCCCCCGTGTCCCTGATGTCAAAGCCATGAAGTTACTTCTGGGAGGGGAGAAATCAAGCTGGAGACCCTGAGACAGGGGTGAAATCAGAACCTGCTGCGCTGGTGGAATTTGGCAGATGCCTCCATGCTGTGAAGGGGCCATGGGCACCGAAAGGTCTCCCCACCCCTGCACCCTCTCACTCTGATGCCAAGGGCCTTTAGTTCCCCAGAAGCAGAACTGGAGCTGGGGAAGACTACATGAGGGATTCATGAAGCCAGAATTCTTAGGAGGAGGAGGGATCAGGAAGACACACGGTGGAAGGCACGGGGCTAGGTGGGGATGTGGCCTCTGCTGGAGACCAACTTCTGCCGGATCCCATGGCAGCTCCATCGGGTCCCTTTTGAGGTGAGGACATTGGCCTTTTGTATCTCTATGTTTTGTCTTTGACCACTGGCCATGGTGATGGTGTTGGGTGACTGACAAGGTAGCTCTGTGCTGGGCTGCACTTCCTTCCGCTGAAAGTCATTAGGATGCCTCGCGGCTCCTTGTGAGGTTGGACATGGCGGATGAGCACTGAAGGTGGCAGGATGCTTCAGTACAGAGACAGATGGTAGATGTTCTGGCTTTTCAGGCCACCTGATATGGTTAGGCTTTGTGCCCCCACTCAAATCTCATCTGGAATTGTAATCCCCATAATGCCCATGTGTTCAGAGAGAGACCAGGTGGAGGTAATTGAATCATGAGAGTGGTTCCCCCATGCTGTTCTCATGATGGTGAGTTCTCACGAGAGTTGATGGTTTTATAAGGGGCTCTTCCCTGCTTAACTAGGCATTCTCCTTCCTGCCACCTCGTGAAGAAGGTGCCTTGCATCCCTGTTGCCTTCCACCATGATTGTAAGTTTCCTGAGGCCTCCCTAGCCATGCAGAACTGTGAGTCAATTAAACCTCTTCTCTTTATTAATTACCTAGTCTCGGGCAGTTCTTATAGCAGTGTGAGAATGGACCAATACACCACCTGTGGTCTCTGTTGTATATTCTTTTTTGTTTTATTTCACCACTCTTTATAGAAACTCCATCATTGGCCTGAGAGCCACACAGAAACAATCCCTGATTGACTAAATCCATTAATTCATAAGGGATTGCAAAATGGTGATGGCCTAACTCTTCACGCTTCATTCACTAGCTGAATTATTTCTATAAAGAAAAAGATTCTGCCAGTCACCTATTTAATACCCTGAGGGACAGTTCATTTAGGAAAGACACGATAAATGCTTGGATTTTTCTGTTTACTTACTATCTTAGCCCATTCCAGGCTGCTATAACAATACACATGAGACTGGGTGATTGATAAAGAACACACACTCATTTCTCACCATTTTGGAGGCTGGAAGTCCAGGATCAAGGCACCTAGAGTTTTGTTGTTTGATGAGGGCCTGTTCTCTGCTTCCAAGATAGAGCCTTGTTGCCAGAGGTGATCAATACTGTATTCTCATGTGGCAGGAGAGATGGAGGGGCCAAAGGCCTGGCTAGTTCCCCAGAGCCCTTTCATAAGGGTTCTAATCCCATTCATGAAGGCAGAGCCCTCACAATCTAACCACCTCCCAAAGGCCAACCTCTTAATACTGTTATCACACTGGGTCTTAGGTTCCCATGTATGCATTTTTGGGGATACATACATTCAGATCATAGCATGTACTGATTTTAATAATAATGAGTTTGTTTCTAGACATTCTCCAGAGATAATCAAGATTTTTTTTTTTTCCTCTTAGTATAATTGTGAACTTAGGGATGTAAGCATATTGACAGGTTCAGGATCAAATTTGCCATCTTTGGGCAGTTTGGCCTCTGAATATTTTTCAACAGTTTTATTGAGATATATAATTCACATACAGTACAAACACCCATTTAAAGGGCACAATTCAATGGTTTTTAGTATATTCACAGAGTTGCACAACCATCACCACAATTAATTTTAGAACATTTTTGTCATCCCCGAAAGAAACCCTGTACCCACCAGCAGTCATTCTCCATTTCCCTCCACCTACCTCTTCCATCCCTGTACCCCACCCCCAGACCTAGGCAACCACTAATCCACTTTCTAGACGAGACTGTTCTGGACAATTCATATACACTGAATGATATAATAGGCGGTCTTTTGTGACTGGCTGCTTTCATTTAGTAAAATGTTTTCAAGGGTCCTCTACATTGTAGCATGTATCAATATTTCATTTCTTCTAATTGCCAATTAATATTCCATTCTGTGGATGTACCACTTTGTATTTATCCATCCATTGGTTGATGGACATTTGGTTGTTTCCTCTTGGCTTCTGAGTCTTTTTGATAGCTCCCTAGCAGTCTTTGGCAGCTTCCTTCCTTTCTAGCATAATACGAAGTTCCAGACTCTTCTTATATATGTCTACCGCAGGCTTGGGAAAACTCACTCTCCAAGGAGCACATATTCGTTTTAATGGGAAATGCAATGTCAAGATAAAACCTGGGTGCTAGGGATGTTTATTGTTACTGGGCTGGTCATTGATTCTAGGACTTGCAACAGACAGAGACAAAACATTTTTTTGGTTGTTTACTTGTTTGTTTATTTGCTGTTTAAGATAAACTTTACCTGGTGAATGTCCTGAAGCTTCCAGTTCAAAGTTAGGACCACAGAGTTTTTACTTAGCTTCATCAATATTACAATTGTATTTTTTTCTATGCTAAAATGTCAGATTCTCAGTGACACCAAAGTAATGACTCATTTGCATTATCCCATAAGACACGCAGACACAAGTTTCATGTCGCAATATCAAAACTTGTGGGAGCAATGTATTTACTGAAAACAGTTTAAAATTTGTTCAAAGTTATTTTTGCCTTACAGATTTGTCACTGGAGATGTACAGTTGGAAATGTATTTTAACGGCATTTGGAATAGTTCCTCTTTGTGGTTATGCTATCAACTGGTTGCCACTTAAGTTCATTTAGTTCACTTTATTTTTGATTTTTAGAGATTGATTTTATAGAAATTAATTTTGTTTTCTAATTATGTTCTAAAGTTAAAACTACAAGGTAAGATTTATTCAAAGAAGTCCGGCTTCTATTCCTGTCCCTTCTATTTTACTCCCTTTTGTTTCGATAAGGCAACCACTAAAGACAATTATCTTCTTTTACTTTAAATTTTAAGCAAATTCTATATATATGTTCAATCCCCCTTCTTAGACTACTGTATTTACTATTCTCCATCTTGCTTTTCTCATTGGACCATAAATCTTGGAGATCACTTCATAATGGAAATCTTTCTTAGTCTTTTTTAACAGCTGCATAGTACCCTAATACTTTCTATATGCACCCCAGTTAATTCACCTTGTACCTGATTGACAGACATTTGGATTGTTCCAAGTTTTATGCAGTCTCACAAATAGTGCTGCAATGAATCGCCTATACATTTTCAGATTTTTGCCAGAATATCATTGGCTAAGAGCATAGAAGTGGGATAGCCAAGCTAAAGGAGCATACTTTGTGTAACTTGGGTTTTTCTAAGGCATGATTTCCGTTAGGGGTTGCAAAACGGTGATAGGTATTTAAATTTTATCATTCTTTATTTATTAGCTAGAACAGCTCTATAAAAAGAAAGCTCCCCTTACCACCTCTTTGACTACACTGAGGGACAGTCCATTTAGGAAAGGCAGGACAAATGCTTGATTCTTTTTACTTACTGATTTTCACAAAAATGAATTGGTTCTCAGGCAACTTCCAGAGGTAATCAATGAAGATTTGTTTGCCCACATGTATCATTATGAACATATAAATTCAATCATATTTGATGTGTTTAAATCCAATGTCATCTTAGTATAATATTAATTTCCTTTATTATAAGTGAGGTTGGGCACCATTTCATGTGCCTAAGAGTCAGTCACATTAATTCTTTCATAAACTATCTGCTCATATTTCTAGACTACTGTTGGTCAAGTTGTGAGCCTTTTTTTCTCTTTTTAGAATCTCTTTTATATATTGTTATTGACTTTTGATACATGTGTTTTTTCTTAGTTTATCATTTCCCTTTTCTACTTTGCTTATGCTGTTAATTTTTCATAAAAAAGGTTTTTTGGTGATCAAATTAATCAAATGTTATATTTAATGCTTCAGATTTCAAGTCATAATTAGGAAAGTTTTCTTCATTCGCAGGATAAAGAGGAATTCAGCCACATTTCCTTCTAGTACCTTATGGTTTGGTTTCGTTTTTACATTTAAATACATACCATTTGAAATTTATCCTATCATATAGCATGAGTAAAGATTCCATTTTATTTTCTTCCATATGGCTATCCAGTTATCCTAACACCACCTGTGAAAGAGTCTATCTTTTCCCTACTGACTTCAGATTTTGACTTTATTGTATACTACATTTTAATAATCACATAAGTCTGTTTCTAGAGTTTATATTCTGAATCATGTGTACCTATTTAAGCATTAATATAAAGCTTTTGAAATGATGGCAGCTTTGTAGGAAGTTTTAATATCTGAGAGGTCTTTCCACCACCCTCCCTGCCATTCCTCTCCTTTCTTAAGCTGCTATGCTTACTCGTATGTTAATACAAATACATTCTATATAATCAGCCTGTCTGGCCTAGGTAAAAAACTTGGGAATTTTTCAACTTTGTATTACATTACATTTCATTTATATGTTAGCTTAGTGAGTTCTGATTTTTTTTTTTTTTTATGCTGAGTCTTCCTATACAAGGACATGGAGTGTCTTTCCATTTGTTCAAGTCTACTTTTGTGCCTCTCTCGTGAGTGTTTTATGGTTTTCTTCATGCAGGTTTTGGGCACTTCTTTGCTACCACAAATGTGGTGGTCTCTTCTATCTTCTTACTGGTTTTTGTTTACAATATATGATGAGTATTTATTTTTCTTTGTTAATTCTAAAAATTGCTCCCTTCCTAACACTGCTCTCAGTGTTATAGTATCTTTTCCTTTGATTCTTTTGAATTTTCCAGATACATAATCATAAAGTGAAAAATTTTTTATATTAGAAACTCCAAGGGAATGTTTGAAACACGGATCTCTGAGAAAGTGTGTCCCTTGTGAACCATGGGAATGAAGTCAAGGCAGTTGCCACAACTTGTTGGCAACATGCTAGAAAAATATATATTCAAGGAAAGGAAATATAGCTTTTTAAGGACTCTAATGACAATCTCAAAGCTTTAAGGTTGGAGACAACATTGCAAAAATATAGAATTATTAATTGTCTTTGTCTCTCTACTCTTTTTCTGACAGCCCTTCCTTCTCCATGTCCTTTACTCCTTTGTTTTATATATTGCCACAGCATACAGAAATGTTCTTCCCTCACAGATCCTACATCTTTCTACCTTCTTAGCTTCTTCTTTTAGCTCCTCCTTGCTCTTTTGCCTGCATCTTCTATTCCTTTTATTCCTCTATTTTTTTTGTCATATGTGTTTATTTCCCATTGGTAAGGACATTGGAGTATAACTAGTATTAAGCAAAAAAAAAAAAAAGTCAAATCCAGAAAATGTCTTGAAATACTATTATAAAACATTACACTATACATGTCTTTAATAATGTTCCTAGAAAAACTTATTTTTGTGTAAAACACATAGTACATAGTACAGCTTATCCTAAAGATTGTAGATAATAAGAATAATGGTGAAAATCTCCATTTAGTGGGCAATTCCTAAGTGCCAGATACAATGCTGTGTACTGTACTAAAAACTCATCTATTCATTCTATAAATATTGATTGAGTTCCAGGCAGTATTCATTCTGCTGTGGATAAAATAGATGAAATCTCTGCCCTCATTGAACTTACATTCTAGGAAGAAGACATAAAATGATGAAATATTATAAATCAATAAGATACGATCAATGCTAGCTCTACTCTTCTAGGAGGCAGAGGTTGAAGCAAGGATTTGGGAGGTGCAAGGCTGGACTTGGAGAATATAGAAAGGAGAGGAGAGAGATAAGAGATGTGAGGCTGGGAGACTCAGGCAGGAGAATCGCTTGAACCCGGGAGGTGGAAGTTGCAGTGAGCTGAGATCGCGCCACTGCACTCCAGCCTGGGTGACAGAGCAAGACGCCATTAAAAAAAAAAAAAAAAAGAAAAGAGAGATGTGAAGCAATGTGATGTATATTGAGTTGGCTGCAGCATCATGAGCTGCCAATAGGCACAGCAGGTTGCATCTTCTTTGGCTTGTCAGAGTTCTAGGGAAGGATGGCAAGGAGGAACTGCATCTTGGTATATTCACAAAAGGCAGGGGTTTATTAGCCTGGCTCCCTCCCATCTTCTCTTTTGCATTGGTGAAAGGCCACCCTATGTGGAATTAACTTCCTCACATTGCCAGATTGTACCTTCTGGACCTCTGGTCGTCTACCGGAAAACCACACCCAACCCAAGTCTAGTGGCAGATGGGTGACCCAGCAGAAGTAGGGTGCTGACCAAGAGAAAGGAAGAAGGGTGAAGTCGAGGTGAACAAAATGTGCTGGCTTGTGCCCATTGTGGCTGACACAGTCCTCAGGAGGGAGAGACACAACAGATGAAATCAGAGAGGTAAGGAGGGTGGGGAGTGGACAGATCCTGTGGAAACTTCTAAGTTCTTGCAAGGACATTGCTTTTTACTTTGCATGAGCTGGGAAGCCATTGAAGGGAGGTGTTGGAGCAGAGGAGTGACATGATGGGACTCATGCTTTTAAAGGACCATGACAACCCTGCAAAGTTAGTAATTCAGGCTTTAGAATTGAAATAATTTCCCGAAGGTCACAGAGAGAGGTAGTAGAGTCAGGATTTGAACCCAGGTCCTCTTACTCTAAAGTCCTTGTGCTATCTAGTAGGGGCATTTCCTTTCTAATATATTAGTTGCAAACTTTTTATTCATTTATAAATTTATATATTGATTTTATGCCTCCTTTTTGAGCCTGTACATTTCTGCTTGATGGAGAGTAGAATGGTGTTAGGTCTGTGTTTCTTCATTCATTCCAAAAATATGCATTCATTCCCTGCTGTGTGCATGGCATCATAAATTGTGCTACAAAGAATAAAAAGGTGGACAAGGTCCTTTCTCTCAAGAAACGTATAGACTAGCTATAAAGAGAAGACAGGATTTGTATTTAAATTATTTAAGTCCAATGATTTTCACTTTTGGGGGGGTTCTTGCTTATTTCATAGAATTCCCTAAAAGAAAATTGCTATTTCTTTTAAAGAACAGCCCCATCTGAGAGCTGGCAGCAGACAAAATATGGGATTCCCTCTTCGATTTTATAGATTTTGACTTCCAGCTTGACTGTTCAGTTAGCACATTAAAAGATGACTCCCTCCCTCCCCAACCCTAAGCCTCGCAAACCCAACCTGTGATCAGAAAATCCAGCTGTGCACTTTCTATTTCTTGCCTCATTGCCAGGAATAAAGATTCAGCAATCTCTGCCTAACCGACAATGTTGTCAGTGACACCTGAGGCAAAGTAAAAACAGCTCAGCAGTTCTGCAGCCGCTGAGCCGCTGAGCTGCTGTGGCATTGCATTAGTCAAAGCAAGGATTCCTAGGCAGCCCCCCTCCTCCCTCCCATCTCTCACTGGGGGGCAGCTTCTGCTGCAGTGGGCAAGAATATTCAGTATCAGAATCTGCTCCTCTCATTTTGATGAGGAACTGTGACAGGGCTAAATGTCAAATCTTGATCCAAAGACTGTTCTGTTTGCCTTCAGCCAGTATTTCAAGTATTTTCAGGACTTGAGTCGTACAGTCATGCCCTTTGTTTTCCTGCAGAAGACTCAGGCAAGCAACACATTTTAGGACAACAGCCCTGGATAAGGATTCAGGACACATGGGCTTCAGATCTGCCTCTAGCACCATCTGCCTGTGGACTGCCCACTCTCCAAGGAGTACGCCATGAAGGCCTCTAAGTTCCTGTACCCTACATGAGCTTTGTTTGGGTCTTGCAGAATCCCCAACGGGAGGCCAACAGAGTCATACCTGGCCTTTGCAGCTCTGAAAATTCCCACATGAGAAAGCGCATCCATATTCCGCTTGAGTTTGCCTCCTTTTTCTGTGTGAACATGCAAACTCTCTCTGGCTCTACAGATTAGAATAAACCCTCTCATGACCCTTACCAGAAATACACAACGATTTTCATCTTAGCCAGTTTGTTCTCAGCTAATACATCCTTTTGAGCCTCTTTGTTTTTTTGTCTTCATATGCATTTGTTTATTTTCCTTTGGTAGAAACATTGGAGTATAATTAGGACTAAGCTGTGGTTTTGTATAGCTACCCTTAACATTCTATATCCTGGACTTGTTATCCTTTGCTTATGACTGTTATCCACAGGTTCTTCTTACATGGCTGTGCAAGTCACTTATTCATTCATTCGTTCAATTAATATATGTTTATTAAGAGTTTATTACATGCCAGGTGCTATGAAACCCAGCATCCACCCTGCCTCTCTTGGGAGGCTGATGGTTCTGGGGTTTATATATATGCCTATTCGAGTATCTTTCCTATTTGAATATCTTTGCTGTGATACTCAAATAGGAATAGATACTATTTAAGTGTCACAGGAATAGGCATATATATATAGACCTATAATGCCTATTTGAGTATCTATTCCTATTTGAGTGTCTTTCCTGTGACAACTTTACAAAAAAAGATGACTTTCAGAGAGCTATAACTTTTTCTTCGTTTTTACTGATCATGTTTCTATACCTTAAAACTTCTCCAAGATTCAGTATTTAGAAGTTATTACAAATTCTTCATTTATTTGTATGGAAAAATCTACTTAGCAATGGTGAACTTTTTTTTATCCCCAAAGTACCAAAAAAGATAGAAATGATTTAAAGAAAGATTACTTTTAATTTCGATTTTTTGTTGTTGTTGAGATGGAGTTTCGCTCTTGTTGCCCAGGCTGGAGTGCAATGGCATGATCTTGGCTCACTGCAACCTCTGCTTCCCAGGTTCCAGCGATTCTCCTGCCTCAGCCTCCTGAGTAGCTGGGATTACAGGTGCGTGCCACCGTGCCTGGCTATTTTTGTATTTTTAGTAGAGACGGGGTTTCTCCATGTTGGTCAGGCTGGTCTGGAACTCCCTACTTCAGGTGATCTGCCCACCTTGGCCTCCCAAAGTGCTGGGATTACAGGCATGAGCCATTGCGCCCGGCCTTAATCCACCACCCGCCCTTTTTTTTTTTTAAATAAGTTGTTTGGACAAGTTCCTCTGAGCTACAAAATCGTAAACAATAGTGATATCAGTTTTGAAATAAAACTGAGGATTTCTACCTAGAATAAAATACACTTGAAGCTGCAGAACTTAGCCTGCCAACCAAATAGTTTTGCACTGATTATGAAAAAAGCATCATTCTTTTTCATGTGTAGCAATTGAATTTACTTATGTATCTGCCAAATCGCATATAAGCATAAACATTTAGTTTTCAATTCTCATATCCTTTCAATTTATTTGTCATTAAAAATGTATTTTTATTGTCAATTCCCATTTAAATTAAATTGTGCATGTGTGTGAAGTGTGTATTCAAATGAAGGTGATATAGTATATTGTGGTAGTAGAAGGATACTGAGGCTTGGGATGAAGAGTTTAATGTGTAATCTAGACTACCACATTTCTTCTGATGAAAACAGTCCCACATCTATCCTAAACCATCAGGCACTTTCAGATTTCTTCTTTCTTTCCTATGTGAGGCTCAGCAGAAGTGTAGTGATGATAGAAGTAAGAACGGGCAGAACTAAATGCAGGGAGTGTTAACAATACAGGCATACTTATTGTCTTACACCTCACCGTGCTTTGCAGATAGTGCGTTTTTTACAAACTGAAGGTTGGTGGTAACCAGGCATGAAGCAAGTCTCTTGGTAACATTTTTTTCCAACAACATGTGCTCACCTTGTGTCTCTGTATCACATTTTGGTAATTCTTCCAATATTTCAAGCTTTTTCATTATTATTATACCTGTTATGGCGATCTGTCATCCTTGAGTTTTGATGTTACTATTGTAATTGTGTTGGGTTACCATAAACCGTACCCATATGACAGTGAACTTAATCAATAACTCTTGTGTTTTCTGACTGCTGCACTGACTGGCTGTTCCCCTATCTCTCTCCCTCTCCTTGAGCCTCCCTATTCCCTAAGACATAAAAATATTGAAATCAGGTCAATTAATAACTCTACACCGGCCTATAAGTGTTCAAATGAAAGGAAGAGTTGCATGTCTGTCACTTTCAATCAAAAGCCAGAAATGATTACGCTTAGTGAGGAAGGCATGTCAGAAACTCAGACAGGCCGAAAACTGGGCCTCTTGCACCAAATAGCCAAGTTGTGAATGCTAAGGAAGAGTTCTTGGAGGATATTAAAAGTGCTACTCCAGTGAACACATGAATGACAAGAAAATGAAACAGCCTTATTGCTGATATGGAGAAAGTTTGAGTGGTCTGGATAGACGATGGATAGAAGATCCAAGCAGCCATAATGTTCCCTTAAGCCAAAGTCTAATCCAGAGCAAGGCCCTAACTCAATTCTATGAAGGCTGAGACAGATGAGGAAGCTGCAGAACAAAAGTTGAAAGGTGGCAGAGATTGGCTTATGAGGTTTAAGGAAAGAAACCATCTCCAGAACATAAACATGCAAGGTGAAGCAGGACGTGCTGATGGAAAAGCTGCAGCAAGCTATCTAGAAGATCTAGCTAAGACAATTGGTGAAGGTGGTTACACTAAACAACAGATTTTCAATGTAGATGAAATAGCCTTCTATCGGAGGAAGATGCCATCTTGGACTTTCACAGCTAGAGAGAAGTCAGTGCTTGGTTTCAAAGCTTCAAAGGACATGCTGACTTTTTTGTTAGGGGCCAATGCAGCTGGTGACTAGGTTGAAGCCACTGTTTATTTACCATTTGGAACATTGTAGAGCCCTTAAGAGTTATGCTAAACCTATTCTGCCTGTGCTTCATAAATGGAACAAGAAAGCCTGGATGACAGCACATCTGTTTACAGAATGATTTACTGAATATTTTAAGCCCACTGTTGAGACCTACTTCTCAGAAACAAAGATTTCTTTCAAAATATTACTGCAGATTTACAATGCACCTGGTCACCCAAGAGCTCTGATGGTGATATAGAAGAAGATTAATGTTATTTTCATGCCTGTGAAGACAATATTCATTCTGCAGCCCATGGATCAAGGAGTAACTTTGCCTTTTGAGCATTATTATTTAAGAAATACATTTCATAAAATTATTTGGCTATGGATAGTGATTCTACTGGATCTGGGCAAAGTAAATTGAAAACGTTTCTGGAAAGGAGTCACCTTCCAGATGCCATTAAGGACATTTGAGATTTATGGGAGGTGGTCCAAATATCGATATTATTAGGAGTTTGGAAGAAGTTGATTCCAACCCTTATGGATGACTTGGAGGAGTTCAAGACTGCAGTGGAGGAAGAAACTGCAGATATGGTGGAAATAGCAAGAGAACTTGAATTAGAAGTGGAGCCTGAAGATGGGATTGAATTGCTGCAATCTCCTGATAAAACTTGAATGGATGTGGAGTTGCTTCATATGGATTAGCAAAGAAAGTGTTCACTTGAGATGGAATCTACTCCTGGTGAAGATGCCTTAGGTGCTGTTGAAATGACAACAGAGTATTTAGAATATTAAACAAACTTAGTTGATAAAGCAGGAGCTTGAGACAATTGACTCCAATTTTGAAAGTTCTACTGTGGGTAAATTGCATGCTACAGAGAAGTCTTCCATGAAAGGAAGAGTCAATCAATGCAGAAAACTTCATTGTTGTCTTATTTTCAGAAATTGCCACAACCACCCGAACCTTCAGAAACCACCATCCTGATCAGTCAGCAGCCATCAACATTGAGGCAAAGCCCTCCACCAGCAAAATGATTTTGACTTGCTGAAGGCTCAAATGATCATTAGCATTTTTAGCAATAAAGTATTTTTAAATTAAGGTACATGTGGCTGGGTGCAGTGGCTCATGCCTGTAATCCCAGCACTTTGGGAGGCCGAGGTGGGCGGATCACAAGGTCAGGAGATCGAGACCATCCTGGCTAACACGCTGAAACCCTGTCTCTACTAAAAATACAAAAAATTAGCCAGGCCTGGTGGCAGGCGCCTGTAGTCCCAGCTACTCAGAAGGCTGAGGCAAGAGAATGGCGTGAACCTGGGAGGCGGAGGTTGCAGTGAGCAGAGATTGTGCCACTGTACTCCAGCCTGGGTGACAGAGCGAGACTCCATCTCAAAAAAAAAAAAAAAAAGGTATGTACATTTTTTAAAAGACATAATGCTATTATACACTTAATAGACTATAGTACAGTATAATTATAACTTTTATATTCACTGGGAAATGAAATCTTTTGTGTAACCTGATTTATTGCAATATTCACTTTATTGTAGTGGTCTGGAATTGAACCCACAATATCTTGGAGGGATGTCTGCAGCATAATTCACATTCTACCATATCTGAAATCAGAACGTGTCTTACAGTTGACAGGACGTGTCTTAGATCTGATGAAATATAGTTATTAGTGGGCTGGACAGCAGGAATCTTACTGCTTGTTGATTGAGTAACTGTGATGATGCCTGTTTCAGCTTGGAATCTCCACCATCTCTAGTATATTGCCTTACACACACACAGTAGATTCTCAAATATTTGTCACCGAAGGCAATTATTGATAAAATATACATGAATAATACTGAATTATTAATAACTTTAGAGAATAGTGTTAGCTAATTTAATTAGTTAGAATGGAGGACTGTTTGTCTAGGTTAGGTTAATAGTCTCATTTGAATACTTTTGAATACATTTATGTGGTATCAACTTATGGCCTCTGCTTTGATCAGTGAATTAAATAAACCCATTAAAATGTTTCCCAGTTCCCTTTAATTTGAAAGTCTTAGAGATATTACTTTTGGGCCTTCAGAGCATTCCCAGGTATGATGATTCCTGAGAAGTCAGCTGATTTCTAGGATCACCTGACAGTGAGAAGATACCTGGGGGTCTACTTAGGATGGAGATGACTCCTAGGGTTGTTTAGTTAGCCTTCAAAAAAAAAACAAAAACAAACAAACAAAAACAAAACACCTTTTGAGTGCCTCTCATGTGCACTGGGATACAGTGGTGAGCAAGACAGGTGAGGTCTGCGTTCTGGTGAATGTTGGCATGATGTATGCAAACACACCAGTGCGATGCTCACCATTCAGTAGGTGTGCCATAGGTGTTAGTTTCTTTGTTCCAGATAGAGTTTCTAAGCTGAAAATAGCAGGGAAACCAGCTTCTCCCCATCTGCATTCTCAACTGGACTTCAATCCCATGGTACTGTTTTCTTGTGGCAAGACTTTTGCTTTGGTACTCTAGAAAAAGACATGTGCCTGCTACTTATGAGAGCCTGGCGGGAAGAAGCTGCTGCAGACATCTGTACACATTAAAATCTAAGAAAATGCTCCCAATCCTTTAAGAAAACCATTACTTGGCTCACTGCAAGCTAATTGCATTTGTTCAGTCATTGTGAAAATGGATGCAGATTGGGATAAGCTAAGAAATACCCTACTATTAAATCACAAAATAGAGCCACTTCTTCAGGAGACACCATGGCCTGAGATGAGGCTTTCTCCAAGAAGTGGGAAATTGCTTGGTAAATTTCTCTTTTCTGCTTAAGTAACTCTTTTAATTAATTTTTACTGACCTACTCCTCCTTTGACATAAAGGGAGTGGGCATATAAAGAATTGGGCTTTGCTGGCAGTACCTTCCAGAGTCAAAAAGTGAAGATAAGGGAGATGGATTTGTTCTTTCAATTTGAAACAGAGCTTTGGTGTGTTAGGATCTGCACCTTTGTTAATTAGCCACAATGGACACAATGTTATTTTATTTTCTTATTTCTGCAATCATCTGATAAGAGCTTACTTTTGAAATAAAATGTTATGATGCAATAACAATCACATTTTAATGGAAAGAAGTACACAACATTAAGATAAAAATACTTGAGATATCTCTATTTAAAGGAGAGGGGTTAAAACATGTATCTATGATTCATAGTCTGACCTTGAAAAGTTAGCCACCTTGTTAGCCTCATGGATACTCTATTGTGAAAAGATTGCAAAAGTCCTTCGGCTAAAACCTTGTTCAAAGTTTGCCCATATATAAAAATAGATATTATAATTTAAAACTGATGATAGTTTTGTACTATTGACCAAATGAGACACACAGCACTGAAGTTTATGGACTTTATAATTATTTATGCTTTTCAGAGTTTTAATGATTCAGTAAAGGGTGAGGACAGTCTCTCCAAATCACAGCAGGCCTAACAATTCTCCTTCCTGGGTAGCCAAGTCCATCTGTTTTTAAACTGGGAGGGAGCTGCTGACACTTTATTAAGCTGTTGTTTTGCTTAAATTGCAGTTATCTAAAGTGACACTTCCCCTCCAGTCCTGCTTTCCAAAGTGTAGCAACCGTAACATACACAAACATACGTGGCTGCCCCTCCAGTTGATTAATATACAGAGTCAATATTTTTGCTTTATTTTAAAGCATCACAGCATGTGGCTGTGTTTCTTGGATATTTACTTTTTCTACCTCTCTTTTCTCTTTTTTTCCTTTCACTCCTGACATAAGAGTGGATACACTGAATATTCTACTTCTAGCAAGAGGAAGTCCTGTTTGCTGTTTGTGTAAACACTTATGCTGATTACAACCTCCAGAATCCTTAGACATATTCATCGTTGCAGGTCTCAAAATGATACAGAACAATGGACTTCTAGACTCAGTGACTTACCTCCTTAGTGAAGAAATCTTTTCCTGAAATTTCAGCTTCATTATTTTTCTTCTGACTGCGGTTTTCCTGCATGTCAGTTTACGTTGATCTGGTCTGTGAACCTGCACCTCTCTTCTGCAGAGATGCCTTGCTGATCCATGTGGATGGACATTTCATGCGCAAACAGAGGTGCTTTAAGTGCCGTGGTCTGGCTGAGCCACCGCATCTAAACAGCATCTGCTAGGAATAGTTTTCAAAGGAATCATCAGATTCTAGAGATGGAGCCTCAGTTGCATGCTCTTGATACTTATGTGCATGTTTTTTATTTACAGATTTCTTTTTTTTTTCTTTTTTTTTTTTTGAGATGGAATCTCACTGTGTCACCCAGGCTGGAGTTCAGTGGCGTGATCTTGGCTCATTGCAACCTCCACCTCCCGGGTTCAGGCGATTCTCCTGTCTCAGCCTCCTGAGTAGCTGGGATTACAGGGGCATATGACCACACCCGGCTGATTTTTGTATTTGTAGTAGAGACAAGGTTTCACCATGTTGGTCAGGCTGGTCTCGAACTCCTGACCTCAGTTGATCCACCTGCCTCAGCCTCCCAAAATGTTGGGATTACAAGATTTCTTCAGTTAACTTTCAGCCATTGTTTGCCGAAGAAAAATGAAAGACATAAAATAAAATGAGGATAAGTACAATGGTCTTAGAAGAATCAGAGAAGATAAACACTTTGCATTCCAAATGTTTGGAATCTTCCCTTCTCTCACTCCCTCGAGTTTCGTTATTTCCTTTTCATTTACTTACTGGTCAAAGCCCACAGTCACTGTGCTGGTGGCAGAGAACCTGACTTAGATGGTTTTCCATCTTCAGGTAAGAGGATTAACAGGAAAGATGTGTGGACAGAGTTCTGGGGACTTGGGTGTGTGAGAGGTAGGACTTGGCAGTCCAGGGAAGAACCTGGAAAATCTCATGGAGCCTGAGAAGCAGACTTTCAAGAGAAGGAAACTCCTGCAGCATGGTGTTAAATCCTCCAAGTGTGTTTGCAGATGTAGAAGTACGTGTGAGTGAGATACTAGAATTAAATCATGCAAAAGAGCAGGCAAATTGTCCACGGAAGAAACCAGGGCACCAGCAAAGTGGGAAGCCAAAAAATGAGCACACCCTTATTCCTAGTTATTGTGAAGCCAAAATAATCCTTAGGTATTGTACTTCAGAATTACATTGCAAAAATTTATTTTTGCCTGTAATAATGCATTCTACACTAGCCTAGCTCCTGCATTTTAGAAAGGCACAGTCCCCTAGATGTGTGGACATCAAGGATGATATACTTTGCATGCTCAGGCTCCAATGGCAAGAAGATTCTTCTTACATCCTGTTTCTAGGAACTCTTCCCACACTTCCTATCCTCCCAGGCCTCTCTTTCAGAAGGTGTGGGGTTAATAGACAAGAGAGAGGGCAGGGAATTAGAGAGGAGGCAATCTTGCCCTCCACATTTCCTCTTTTGACCTAGCCCCACAGACTTTCTGAAATGATCCCAACCAGGTTACCCACAGGACAAGTCTTAGTAAGAGCTAAAAGGTAGTTCTTGTGCCTCCCCTGTTGAACATCAAGTTGCTACTCTTAGCTTTGGCTGAAACTCCATTCATCAGGATAAATGTAGACTTCAAGGCTTGCTATATAAATATAATGGGAGACAGCAGGTTGGTATAAAAGGCTTTCCACCAAAGTACACATTATGGAATCAGATTCTATCCTGTTTTATAAAAATAAACTGTCTAGACAAAAAGAGGGGAAAAGAAAAGCTAGATTCTAGAGATCTTGGTTAAACCTAGGGACTTAACTATTTTTTTTTCATCAGGTTTGATTTATTGAAGGTCAGGGCAAAAACTGACCTTAAAGGTCAGCTAGTTCTATCCCATCATTTCGCAAGTGGGGACAGTGTGCCCCTGTCTCAGGTTAGTACTTTTATAGAACATTAGGACAGTGAGGTTAGTACCTTGCTAAGGATCATCGAGCTGGCCAATTGCAGAGGTGGGTCTAGGACCAGGTCCCCTGATTAGCAGCCCTGTGGTTTTTTTTTTTTCATTGCAACATATTTCCAATGTCCCCAGAAGTGAAATGAAAACCATGGGTTATCTTACCTGCCCAGGCTCTTCACAGAGGTTACCTAAATGGGGATCAGAGTGGGGAGGGTAATGAATTGGGAAACCTAAGAAAGAATTGCAGAGCAAACCCATCAGCCACTCCCTAATTACCTCTTTCTGTAAATCCTCTCCAGGAGCCTACATCTACAACTCAGCTGGGGCTTAATGTGACTATATTTGATAACTTTAAAGTTCTCAATGCTTTAATACCTGTCTAAATTTGATGACTTTAAAGTTCTCAATACTTTAATATCTGTCTAAATTTGATTAATTTGGGGCTATCTGTTCTAGTTGGATTTTTTAAAAAATTCAGATATTGTCTGAACCATTGTGTTATGCCTTGTCTTCCCCATCCTTCTTTTTTTCCTCTTAGGTTCTATGTTTTCAAACTCAGAAACCACGCAGAAACCCACAGATCTTTGCAACCCCACAGGTTAGAAAATCTCTTGTGAACCCTCACCACCAGGGCCCTGGGTCTGATACACACAGCTGTGTAGAGTCTTAGCGGAACAGTCACTTGGGCTTACACAGAGACCTAACAGTTTTACAGACTCTGGCCCCAGGGATCCTGGCATGGTGGGAGTTCGACCTGTACATTCCCCTAAGAAGAGGGCTGAATCCAGGGAGCCAAGCAACCTTGTTCCACAGGCCCTACTTCTATGGCACCTCACAAGTTAAGATTCACTGGCTTGAAATTCCTGCCCGCCAGTGCCTCAGGCTGGAGACTGCCTGAGATGAATGAGTTCCAGGGGGAAGGGGTGGCCACCATTTTTGTGGTTAGGTCAGCTCAGCCATTCTAGCCTGCTGGCTCTGGGGAGCCTAGGTGGTCCTGATGTGGAGGAATCCCCCACAATGCAGCACAGCTGCTGTGCCAGATTGTGGCCAGACTGCTTCTTTAAGTGGGACACCAATCCATCCCTCCTCACTGGGTGGGGCCTCCCTGTGGGAATTTCAGCAAGTCCAGCCAGGGTTATATGGACAGAACTCTGATATCTCCTTGGGATGGAGTTCCTGGGAGGAGGGGTGGTTGAGGTCTGTGCAGTTCAGTTGACTCAGCCTTTCCAGCCTGCTGGCTGTTGAGAGTCCAGGTGGTCTAAACATGAAAGAGTTCTCCACAATGCAGCACACTTGCTCTACCAATAATCAGCCAGACTGCTTCTTTAAGTGGGTTCCCGATCCCGTCCCTCCTGACTGAGTGTGACCTCCAAGTAAGAGTCTCCAGATACCTCCTACAGAAGTGTCTAAGCCCGCAACAGGTCAGTCCCACCCTGGGATGGAGCTCCAAGAGAAAGGAGCAGGCTGCTGTCTTTACTGTTTCACAGTCTTCACTGGTGATACCTCCAGGTAAAGGAAAACTGAGGCAACTAGGGTCTGGAGTGATTCCCCAGCAAACCACAGCAGCCCTACAGAAGAGTGGCTTGACTATTAAAAGAAAAACAAACAGAAAACAACAACAACATCAAAAAAGACCCCACAAAAACCCCATTCAAAGGTCAGCATCTTTAAAAATCTAAGGCAGATAAGCCCACAAAGATAAGAAAGAATCAACACAAAAATGCTGAAAACTCAAAAGCCAGAATGGCTCTTCTCCAAATGACTGCAACACCTCTCCAGCAAGGGCACAGAACTGGGCTGAGGCTGAGATGGCTGAATTGATAGGATTAGGATTCAGAAGGTGGGTAATTGTGTAATTCACTGAGCTAAAGGATCATGTTGTAACCTAATGCAAAGAAGTTAAGAATCATGACAGGAGCTGATAATCAGAATAGCCAGTTTAGAGAGAACATAACTGACCTGATGGAGCTGAAAAACACAAGAAATTCACAATGCAATTACAAGTACCAATAGCAAAACAGACCAAGTGGGGAAAAGATCTCAGAGCTTGAAGACTATCTTTCTGAAATAAGATACACAGACAAGAATAGAGAACAAAGAATGAAAAGAAATGAACAACACCTCCGAGAAATATGGGACTATGTAAAAAGACTGAACCTATGATCGATTGGGGTACCTGAAAGAGATGGGAGAATGGGCCAAGTTGGAAAACATACTTCAGGATATCATCCAGGAGAACTTCTCCAATCTAGCAAGACAGGCCAACACTCAAATTCAGGAAATGCAGACAACCCCCGTAAGATACTCCACAAGAAGATGAACCCCAAGACACATAATCATCAGATACTCCAAGGTCAAAATGAAAGAAAAATGTTAAGGGAAGCTAGAGAGAAAGACCAGGTCACTTACAAAGGGAAACCCATCAGACTAACAGTGGACCTCTCAGTGGAAACCCTACAAACCAGAAAAGATTGGGGGCTAAATTTCATATCTGGCCAAACTAAGCTTCTTAAGGGAAGGAGAAATAAGATTCTTTTCAGACAAGCAAATGTTGAGAGAATTCATCACCACCAGGCCGGCCTTGCAAGAGCTCCTGAAGGAAGCACTAAATAATGGAAAGAAAAAACTGTTACCAGCCACTACAAAAACACACTGAAGTACACAGACAAGGGACACTATGAAGCAACCAAATAAACAAGTCTGCAAAACAACAAGCTAGCATCATGATGACAGGATCAAATTCACACATAACACTACAAACCTTAAATGTAAATGGGCTAAATGCCCCAATTAAAAGACACAGAATGGAAAGCTGCATAAAGAGTCAAGACCTATAGGTACGCTGTCTTTAGGAGACCCATCTCACGTGCAAAGACACACAGAGGCTCAAAATAAAGAGATAAAGGAAAACTTACCAAGCAAATGAAAAACAGAAAAAAGCAGGGATTACAATCCTAGTTTCTGAAAAAACAGACTTTAAACCAACAAAAATTAAAAAAAATACAAAGAAGGGCATTACATAATGGCAAAAGGTTCAATTCAACAAGAAGAGCTAACTATCCTAAATATATATGCACCCAACACAGGAGCACCAGATTCATAAAGCAATATCTTAGAGACCTACAAAGAGACTTAGACTCCCACACAATAATAGTGGGAGACTTTAACACCCCACTGACAATATTAGACAGATTATTGAGACAGAAAATTAACAAAGATATTCAGGACCTGAACTCAGCTCTGGATCAAGCAGACCTGATAGATATCTACAGAACTCTCCACCCCAAAACAACAGAGTATACATTCTTCTCATCACCACATGGCACTTACTGTAAAACTGATCACATAATTAGAAATAAAACAATCCTCAGCAAATGCAAAAGAACTGAAATCATAACAAACAGTTTCACAGACCACAGTGCAATCAAATTAGAACTCAAGACTAAGAAATTCACTCAAAGCCTCACAACTACATGGAAATTGAACAACTTGCTCCTGCATGACTCTTGGGTAAATAATGAAATTAAGGCAGAAATCAAGAAATTATTTGAAACCAATGAGAACAGAGACAATGCTCCGTAATATCTGGGATGCAGGTAAATCAGTGTTAAGAGGCAAATTTATGGCACTAAATGCCCACATCAAAAGGCTAGGAAGATCTCAAATTAACCTAACAACACAACTAAAAGAACTAGAGAACCAAGAGCAAACAAACCTCAAAGCTAGCAGAAGACAAGAAATAACCAAGATCAGAGCAGAACTGAAGGAGATAGACATGAAAACCCCTTAAAAAATCAATGAATCTGGGAGCTGCTTTTTTTGGAAAAAAAAAAAAATAGACCACTAGCTAGACTAATAAAGAAGAAAAGAGAGAAGAATCAAACAGACACAGTCAGAAATGATAAAGGCAATATCACTACTAATGCCACAGAAATACAGACAACCATCAGAGAATACTGTAAATACCTCTGTGCGTATAAACTAGAAAACCAAGAAGAAACTGGTAAATTCCTGAACACATACACCCTCCCAACACTGAACCATGAAGAAAATGGACCCCTGAATAGACCAATAACAAGTTCTGAAATTAAGGTAGTAATAAATAGCTTACCAACCAAAAAAAGCCCAGAACCAGACAGATTCACAGCTGAATTATATCAGAGGAAAAAAGAAGAACTGGTACCATTTCTACTGAAACTATTCCAAAAATTGGAAAAGGAGGGACTCATTCCTAACTCATTCTATGAGGGCAGCCTCATCCTGACACCAAAACCTGGCAGAGATACAACAAAGAAAGAAAAAGTCAGGCCAATATCCCTGATAAACACTGATGCAAAAATCTTCAATAAAATACTGGCAAGCCAAATCCAGCAGCACATAAAAAAGCTTATCTACCACGATCAGGTTGGCTTCATCCCTGGATGCAAGGTTGCTTCAACATATGCAAATCAATAAATGTGATTCATCACATGAACAGAACTAAAGACAAAACCACGATTATCTTAATAGAAGCAGAAAAGGCCTTCAATAAAATTCAACATCCTTTCATGATAAAAGCTCTCAATAAATTAGGTATTGAAGGAACATACCTCAAAATAATAAAGGCCATATATGACAAGCCCACAGCCAATATCATACTGAATGGACAAAAGCTGGAAGCATTCCCCTTGAAAACTGGCACAAGACAAGGATGCCCTCTCTCACTTCTCCTATTCAACATAGTACTGGAAGTCATGGCCAGGGCAATCAGGCAAGAGAAAGAAATAAAGCATATTCAAATAGGAAGAGAGGAAGTCAAATTGTCTTTGTTTGTAGATGACATAATCCTATTTTTAGAAAATCCCATTGTCTCAGCTCCAAAGCTTCTTAAGCTGATAAGCAAGCCTTCAAGATACAAAATCAATGCTCAAAAATTGCTAGCATTCCTATACACCAACAACAGACAAGCAGAGAGCCAAATCATGAATAAATTCCCATTCACCATAGCTACAAAAACAATAAAATAACTAGGAATACAGCTAACAAGGGAAACAAATAACCTCTTCTAGGAGAAATATAAACCACTGCTCAAGGAAATTAGAGAGGACACAAACAATGGAAAACCATTTCATGCACATAGATGGGAAGAATCAATATTGTGAAAATGCCCATACTGCTCAAAGTAATTTATAGATTCAATGCTATTCTTATTAAACTTGATATTCTTCATAGAATTAGAAGAAACTATTTTAAAATTCATGTGGAACAGCAACAACAAAAAATTCATATAGCCAAGACAATCCTAAGCAAAAAGAACAAAGCTGGAGGCATCATACTACCCAACTTTAAACTATACTACAAGGCTACAATAACCAAAATAGCATGGTACTTGTACAAAAACAGACACATAGACCAAAGGAACAGAATAGAGAACTCAGAAATAAGACCACACACCTACAACCATCTGATCTTTGACAAACCTGACAAAAACAAGCAATGGGGAAAGGATTCTCTATTTAACAAATGGTGCTGGGAGAACTGGCTAGCCATATGCAGAAAATTGAAATTGGACCCCTTCCTCACACATACAAAACTTAAGATGGATTAGAGACTTAAATGTAAAACCCAAAACTATAAAAAGTCTGGAAGACAACCTAGGCTACATGCCATTAAGGACATAGGCACAGGCAAAGATTTCTTGACTAAAATGTTGCTTTTGTTGCAATTGCTTTTGGCATTTTATCATTTCAAACGAGATCTAATTAAACTAAAGAGTTTCTGCACAGCAAAAACAAAACAAAACTATCATCAGAGTGAACAGACAACTTACAGAACGGGAGAATTTTTTTTTGCAATCTATACATCTGACAAAGGTCTAATATCCAGAGTCTACAAAGAACTTAAACAAATGTACAAGAAAAAAAAAACCCTATTAAAACTGGGCAAAGGACATGAACAAACATTTCTCAAAAGAAGATATTCATGTGGCTAGCAAACATAAAAAAAAGTCAACATAACTGATCAATAGAGAAATGCAAAAATCATAATGAGATACCATCTTATGCCACTCAGAAGGGCAATTATTAAAAGTCCAGAAACAACAGATGCTGGCAAGTTTGCAGGGAAAAAGGAACACTTTTACACTGTTGGTGGAAGTGTAAATTAGTTCAACCATTGTGGAAGACAGTGTGATGATTTCTCAAAGATCTAAAGGCAGAAATACCATTTGACCCAGCAATCCCATTACTAGTTATATACCCAAACGAATATAAATCATTCTATTATAAAGATACATGCATGTGTATGTTTATTGCAGCACTATTCACAATAGCAAAGACAAGGAATCACCCCAAATGGCCATCAATGATAGACTGGTACATATACACCATGGAATATTATGCAGCCATAAAAAGTCAAAAAAAGGACAAGATCATGTCCTTTGCAAGCACATGGATGCAGCTGGAAGCTTTTATCCTCAGCAAACTAACACAGGAACAGAAAACCAAACACTGCATGCTCTCACTTATAAGTGGGAATGGAATGAAGAGAACACATGGGCACATGTGGGGAACAACACATGCTGGGGCCTGTCAGAGATGGGGGTAGTGGGAAGGAGATCATCAGGAAGAATAGCTAAGGGATGCTGGGCTTAATACCTAGGTGATGGGTTGATAGGTGAAACAAACCATCATGGCACACGTATACCTATGTAAGAAACCCACACATCCTGAACATGTACCCCTGAACTTAAAAGTTGAAGGAAAAATAGAAAAAGAGCTGTAAACGTATTAGATTCTGCAGAACTGGGCCCTACATTTTCATTCATTGAGAGTCTCAAAGGTCTGTTGAAAAAACCTAAAATTAACAAAGGTTTTATTTGGGAAAACGAGTTAATTTTTGTCAGAACTAATGATGTTAAAGAAAAAAAGCTATCATTTCAAGCAAAGGGGAATGGTTTTCTGTTTCAGAATTTTCTAGTAGTTCTCTCCCTCTTGGAGTACAATCAAGTGTCATAATATTGTTAATTGCTCTGTGTTCTTCTGGGTGCTGCAGTATATTGAGTAAAATGTTAGAATGTTATGGAGTAGATGACCAGTTTACTTGACTACAAATGAGAAGATGAACAAGCTGCTTTTTGTCTTTACTAACTAACCATTTGTTCTAGGAGCTCCCATTTTCAGGTTATTTTAATGAGTCCGTCAAACCAGGGGGTATGGTGGATGGAATAGGCAGCTGCACCTTGTGCCTGGGAAACATAGCACTTTTGGAACATGGATCTCCACACTCAAAAATACTTCCATGTTATATGGGAATCATGGGATTTCTGAACTGACCAAATCCTCAGATTATATCTGATCCTCTCTCATTTTAAAGCCAAGATGATGAAGGTGTAGAGTGACTGCAAGTCCTACATAGACCATGAATCCAGAGCCCATTTCCTGACTTCTGTTCTGCTTATTGAAGAGAGGGCTGTTGCCTTTAGTCTGGGGACATGAAGACACCCAGATCAGTGTTTTCCTATCTCCAGACTAAATGGAAGTGCTAGTGAGCTAACAAAATGCCAGTGGGCTTTTGAGATGTCTGGAGACAGTTTTTATTTGTTACATCTGGGCAAGATGCTACTGGCATCTAGTAGGTAGAGGACAAGGATGCCAATAAACATCCTAACCAGCGCAGGAAAGCCTCGAATTATCCAGCCAGAAGGCCAGTAGTGCCCAAGTTGAGAAACCCTGCTCCAGGGGAGTTGTTGAACTTTGGAGTTGACAAGACTTGGATTCAAACCCTGATCTGCTGGTTGCTGGCTTTCTGGGTAGGCTAATCGATCTCTTTATATTTCAGTTCCTCCTCTATAAAATGGGCTTCACCATAGCACCAATTGCATAGGATTGTCACGAGGGTTAAATAAGATGCTGCACATAAGACACGGGGATTTGCACACAGCTGGTGCTAAATCAGTGTTACTTACTGATGTTATTAAAACCTGCAGAAATGAATTTTCATGCTATTTTGGTTACTGTAGCCCTGTAGTATAGTTTGAAGTCAAGTAGCATAATGCCTTCAGCTTTGTTGTTTTTGCTTAAGATTGCCTTGCCTATTCAGGCTCTTTTTTTTTTTATTCCATATGAATTTTAAAATAGTTTTTTTCTAGCTCTGTAAAGAATGTCATTGGTAGTTTAATAGTAATAGCATTGAATCTATAAATCACTTTAGGCAGTGCAACCATTTTAATGATTTTGAATTTTCCTATCTATGAACACAGAATATTTTTCCATTTGTTTGTGTCATCTCTGATTTCTTTGAGCAGTGTTTTGTAGTTCTCCTTGTCAAGATCTTTCACCTCATTGGTTAGCTGTATTCCTAGGTATTTTATTCTTTTTGTGGCAATTGTGAATGGGACTGAGTTCCTGATTTAGCTCTTGGCTTGACTGTTGTTGTTGTATAAAAATGTTAGTGGTCTTTGTACATTGATTTTGTATCCTGAGAGTTTGCTGAAGTTATTTATCAGCTTAAGGAGCTTGTGAGCTGAGGTGATGGGATTTTCTAGAAATAGGCTTAGGTTGTCTGCAGACAGGGATAGTTTGAGTCTCCCTCTTTTTATTCGGATGGCCTTTATTTCTTTCTCTTATCTGATTGCTCTGGCCATGACTTACAATACTATGTTGAATAGGAGTGGTGAGAGAGGGCATCCTTGTCTTGTGCCAGTTTTCAAGGGGAATGCTTCCAGCTTTTGCCCATTCAGTATGATGTTGGCCATGGGTTTGTCATAAATGGCTATTATTTTGAGGTATGTTCATTCAATACCTAGTTTATTAAGAGTTTTTAACATGAAGGGGTGTTGAGTTTTATTGAAAGCCTTTTCTGCATCTAGTGAGATAATCATGTGGCTTTTGTCTTTAGTTCTGTTTATGTGATAACATTTATTGATTTGCACATGTTGAGCCAACCTTGCATCCCAGTGATAAAGCCTACTTGAGCACGGTGAGTAAGCTTTTGATGTGCTACTGGATTCGGTTTGCCAGTATTTTGTTGAGGATTTCTGCATCAGTGTTCATCAAAGATACTGGCCTGAAGTTTTCTTTTTTTGTGTGTGTCTCTGCCAGGTTTTGGTATTAGGATGATGCTGAATTCACAAAATGAGTTAGGGAGGAATCCTTCCTCTTCAATTTTTCAGAATAGTTTTAGCAGGAATGGTACCAGCTCTTCATTGTACATCTGGTACAATTAAGCTGTGAATCCGTCCAGTCCTGGGCTTTCTTTTTTTTTTTTTTTTTTGGTTGGTAGGCTATTTATTACTGATTCAATTTCAGAGTTTGTTATTGGTCTTTTCAGGGATTCATTTTCTTCCTGACTCAGTCTTGGGAGGGTGTATGTTTCCAGGAATTGATCCATTTTGTCTAGATTTTTTAGTTTGTGTCATAGAGATGTTCATAATATTCTCTGATGATTGTATTTCTGTGGGATCATTGGTAGTATCCCCTTTGTCATTTCTAATTGTGTGTATTTGGATTCTCTCTCTTATTAGTCTAGCTAGCAGTCTGTCTATTTTTGTTAATTTTTCTCAAAAAACCAACTTCTGGATTTGTTGATCTTTTGAATGGTTTTTCCATATCTCAATCTCCTTCAATTCAGCTCTGATTTTGGTTATTTCTTATCTTCTGCTAGCTTTGGGGTTTATTTGCTCTTGGTTCTCTAGTTCTTTTAGTTGTGATGTTAGGCTGTTAAATCGAGATCTTTCTAACTTTCAGATTTGGAAATTTAGTGCTATAAATTTCCTTCATAATCCTGCCTTAGCTGTGTCCCAGAGATTCTGGTATGTTATATCTTTGTTCTCATTAGTTTCAAATACTTCCTGATTTTTGCCTTAATTTCATTATTTACCCAAAAGTCATTTAGGAGCTAGTTGTTCAGTTTCCATGTAATTGTATGGTTTCAGTGAAATTCTTAGTCTTGATTTCTAATTTGATTGAGTAATGTTCTGAGAGAGTGGTTGTTATTATTTCAGTTCTTTTGCATTTGCCAAGGAGTGTTGTGTGTTTGATTATGTGGTTGATTTTAGAGTATGTGCCATGTGGCAATGAGAAGAATGTATAGTCTGTTATTTTTGGGTGGAGAGTTCTGTAGATGTCTATCAGGTCCATTTGATCCAGTCCTGAGTTCAGGTCCTGAATATCTTTGTTAATTTTCTGTCTCAATGACCTGTCTAAACTGTCAGTGGGGTGTTGAAGTCTCTCACTATTATTGTGTGGGAGTCTAAGTCTCTTTGAACATCTCTAAGAGCTTGCTTTGAGTGTTCCTGTGTTAGGTGCATATATCTTTAAGACAGTTAGGTCTTCTTGTTGAATTGAATCCTTTACCATTATGTAATGCCCTTCTTTGTTTTTTTTGATCTTTGTTGGTTTAAATTCTGTTTTGTCTAAAATTAGGATTGCAACCACTGCATTTTTCTGTTTTCCATCTACTTGGTAGATATTTCTCTATCCCTTTATTTTGAGCCTATGTGAGTCATTGCATGTAACATGGGTCTCTTGAAGATAGCATACCAATGAGTATTGGTTCTTTATTCAGCTTGTCATTCTGTGCCTTTTAACTGGGGGCATTTAACCTGTTTACATTCAAGGTTAGTATTGCTATGTGTGGATTTGATCCTGTCATCATGATGTTAACTGGTTATTATGCAGACTTTATTTGTGTGGTTGCTTTATAGTCACTGGTCTGTGTACTTCGGTGTGTTTTAGTAGTGACTAGCAATAGTCTTTCCTTTCCAGAGTCAGTGCCTCCTTCAGGAGCTCTTGTAAGACAGGTCTGATGGTAATGAATTCCCTCAGCATTTGCTTGTCTGAAAAATATTTTATTTCTTCTTTGCTTATGAAACTTAATTTGGTCAGATATGAAATTCTGAGTTGGAAATTCTTTTCTTTAAGAATGTTGAATATTGGCCTCCAATTTCTTCTGGCTTGTAGCGTTTCTGCTGAGATGTCTGTTGTTAGGCTGATGGGCTTCCCTTTGTAGGTGACCTGACCTTTCTCTCTAGCTGCCTTTAACACTTTTCCTTTCATTTTGACCTGGGAGAATCTGATGATTATGTGTCTTGGGGATGATCTCCTGAGGTAACTTACTGGGGTTCTCTACATTTCATAAATTTGAATGTTGGCCTCTCTGGCTAAATTGGGGAAGTTCTCCCGGATGATATCCTAAAATATGTTTTCCAAGTTGCTTACACTCTCCCCATCCTTTTCAGGGACACCAATGAGTCATAGATTTGGTCTCTTTACGTAATCCTATATTTCTCAGATGTTTTGTTTGTTCCTTTTCATTCTTTTTTCTCTATTCTTGTCCTACTGTCTTTTTTTCAGAAAACCAGCCTTCAATCCCTGAGATTCTTTCCTCTGTTTTGTCTATTCTGCTACTAACACTTGTGATTGCATTATGCAATTGTTGTATTTGGTTTTTCAGCTCTATCAGGTTGGTTCCATTCTTTTCCATACTGGCTGTTTTGTCTGTTAGCTCCTGTATTGTTTTATTGTGATTCCTAGCTTCCTTGGATTGGGTTTCAAAGTACTCTTGTATCTTAATAATTTTTTTCCTGTCCATATTCAGAATTCTACTTCTGTTATTTAAGCCATCTCAGCCCAGTTCAGAACCCTTGCTGGAGAGGTGGTGCAGTTGCTTGGAAGAAAGAAGGCATTCTGGTTTTTTAAGGTTTCAGAGTTCTTGCATTGGTTCTTTTTCATCTCTGTGGGCTGATGTTTCTTCAATCTTTAAAGTTGCTAACCTCTGGATGGCTTTTCTTTTCTTTTATCCTATTTGATGACCTTGAGGGTTTGATTATGGTTTAAGGTGAATTCAGCCACTGGTTTCATTTCTGGAAAAGTTTTAGGATCCAGTGCTCAGCTCCTAACTCCTGGACTGTGTGCTCTAACTCTGAGGAATTTGTATCAGGCCTGACTTTGTTCTCTGGCTTCTCGAGGTTTGAAATTCACTGCACTGGGGTGGGGCAGGACGGGTAGGGAGAAAGTGCTGTCTGACCACTGGTCACTACACTCTGATGAGTGGTGTCTGCCAAAGCATTTCATAGTGTTGCAGGAATAGGATCCATTTGTGTTCTCATATGCCAGCAGCAGAAGCAGCAGGATTGCAGAGAGGTGTACTCTTGTCAGTGGTGGCAGGGTGCTAGTGGGTGCCTGGGTACCTGCCTCTGTGTGGGCATTTACCACAGTGGTGGAGGCATCATGGCTGAGCAAGGCAGAGGGGCCCCCGCTAGTGACTCTGTATATATTCACGCTGGTGGTGGTGGTGACACAGGGGTGAAAGGAACAGGTCTGTGTGTGCTCTCTGTGAGCCAGAGGCAGGGGTGGTAGCTCAGGGTGGGGGAGGGTCTGCTATTCTCTGTGCCTAGTTTAACTTCTGCAGCAGTGTTGGTGCAAGGGCAGAACACTGGCAGGGGCAGAACACTGTGCCTGCCAAGGCTCTGACTACAATGGCCATCCGGCATTGGGAGTGGTAGCAGGCCGCACTCCCACTGCAGCAATGGCAGAGCAGGGTGCATGTACACATGCATGCTGGAGGGGCAAGGAAGGTAAAACCCACCTACCCACGCATGCACCAGCAAAGTGATATGGAAGGCTAGTGTGGGCCTGGGAGGAGGCTGCAGGGTGGGGAGGGAGGGAGTGGGCTGGTGTGTGGCCATGGGGGCTGCCCTACTGGAGCTCTCCATGGGTCAGGCATGGCCCACCAGTGCAGGAGCTATTATGTGGCCCCCAGGGCACCCTAGGTTGCCCTGCAAGCAGGTACAATGAGGCTGGGGTCCTGAGAGAGGCCAGCAGACCCAGGGGTGCTCAGGTTGGACCAGGCCCATCTGATGGGAAAGACCGCCAGGCAGAGTTCAGGTCTGAGAGTTACCCTAGGGCTAAAGCCTCCTATGGGAGCAAGCTGAACCTAGGGGGAGGGCCATCCCTGGCTATGCTCTGCACTAGCTGCTCCCACACCAAACCCTCTGGGCCCCACATCATCTGGCTTGCTGTTCCTACCACTTCTCTAATCAGCTCTTGCTGCCAACTCCAGTGTCCATGGTGGTCGAGGGGTTTCCTCCTGCTAGGGTTCTATGGGCCCATGGAGAGAGGGGTTGCTCCTTACCAGTTCAGCTCACTTGCTTCCCTGGAGTCATTGGGGGCCAGGAAAGAGTCCCAGGGCAACGTAGCCCTGTGCAGAGTTCTCAGCTTCCTCTCTCTTCAGCCCAGCTTCTGTGGTCTTCCCTCCATCCACTCTCAGTGCCTTCTCTCTGAAGATCTGTTAGGAGTGTGCCAATCGTCTTGGTCCCTTGTCATGGCTGTTCTGCCTGGCTCCATCTACTTGGCCATCTTGTCCTCTCCCTGATTTCTTACTATAGAAACCTTAGCTCTTTTTTACACTTGTTTGACAGCTCTCCTCTTCCCTCTGTTATCTTTTGAACTTTTTCAGCTTGTCTTTCTATTGTCATATTCTTATTTTCTAGGAGATTATTTTTGTTCTCACATTGTTTCTTTTAAAATTATCTCCTGTTTTTGTTTCATGCATGTGCTGTCCTTTCTCATAATTCTGAAGATATTATAGTTGTTTTTTGCTTCTTTTTCTGTTTCTTCTGCTTCTGTGCATCGCTTGTTTCCTCAGAATTGTTTTACTTTCTTTTGACACACAGAGCCTCTAATTGGCTTTTAAATTCTCACTTTTAAATATGCACCCAAAATTAACAGACATTTGAGGAAAGTGTTTTTATATTAAAAAAAAAAAGAGTAGATGAAACTACAGAACACTAAGGAAATAAATTGAAGAGGACACCAAAAAATGGAAAGATATTCCATGTTCATGGATTGGAAGAATCAATATTGTTAAAATGTCTATATCACCTAAAATGATCTACAGAGTCAATGAAATCCCTATTAAAATACCAAATAAATTCTTCACAGAAATAGGAAAAAAAATCCCAAAATTTGTACAGAACCACAAAATACCTAGAATAACCAAAGCTATCCTGAGAAAAAAGAACAAAACTGGAGGAATCACATTACCTGACTTAAAATTATACTACAGATCTATAGTAACCAAAACAGCATGGTACTGGCATAAAAACAGACATACAGACCAATGGAATAGAATAGAAAACCCAGAAACAAATCCACACACCTACAATGAACTCATTTTCGACAAAGGTGCCAAGAACATACATTAGGAAAAAGACAGTCTCTGATAAATGGTGCTAGGCAAACTAGATATCCATATGAAGAAAAATGAAACTAGACCCATATCTCTTGCCATATATAAAAATCAAATAAAAATGGATTAAAGATTTAAATTGAGGACCTCAAACTATGAAATTACTAAAAGAAAATACTGGGAAAACTCTCCAGGAATTGGTCTGGGCAAAAAGTTCTTGAATACTACCCCGGAAAGCACAGGCAACCAAAGTAAAAATGGACAAATGAGATCACATCAAGTTAAAAAGCTTCTGCACAGCAAAGGAAACAATCAACAAAGTGAAGAGACGACCCAAAGAGTGGAACAAAATATTTTAAAACTACCTATCTGACAAGGGATTAATAATCAGATGACATAAGGAGCTCAAATAACTCTACAGAAAAATTTTAACAATTCAAAAATGGGCAAAAGATTTGAATAGATATTTCTCAAAAGAAGGCAAGCAAATGGCAAACAAGTATATGAAAAGGTGCTCAACATTACTCCTTACAGAGTGTTTTTGCATTTGCCTTTGCTAGTAACCACAGAGTTTCACTTCTCTGAGATTGTTGTTATTTTTTGAGATTCCTGCACTATTTGAATAGTGTACATTTAGACGGCACACCTATACTATGTACAAAATTACTGTTTTGATTTCTCAAACTTGAGACCTTAAAATTATTTTTCACCCAGATCCACAGGCAGAGATAAGCCTCCTTTACACTTTCTTGGGTGGTTAGGACGATATTTCTCCTTACTTTTTGTGCTGATTATTAAGCTACGGGCCCTCAACTTTAACCCCTCCTTCCATACTCTGTCTTATAATGCCAGGACTGTGATTCTACAAAACACATTTCCCCTTTGCCATGTGGCTGTTTTTTAGCTTTTGCCAATAGGGGGCTCCACATGAGGGTGGAAGACAGGAGAGAGAAAGGACTTGCCACTTCCTGTTTGTTTGCTATTCCTGAAGCATCACCCTGGTGATGGTCCACCGGTCCAACAATGGCAATGGTTCCAGTTCTTGGCTTCTTTACACCATCAGTGCCAGCCTCATTTCATCCCATCTCCAGAGACAGCAGTACCAGCTGAGCAGCACTCCCTCCTTAGAGGTCTGGGTCTTAGTTCTGTGGGGACCCTCCTGCAAGGTTCTCATGACTACACACCTGGGCAAGAACACATAGGTCCAGACCAATAATTCTGTGGTAGACAGCTTCTAAAATGGCCCCAAATCATCTCTGTCTCTGGGTATTTATGCTCTTGTATAATTCCTACCCCTTGAGTGTGGCTAGACCTAACAAAAAAATAAAATATGGCACAACTGATGGGATGCCACTTCTGAGATTACGTTACAGAAAGACTCTGGCTTCCATCTTGCCCTCTCTTGGCTCTTGCTTGCTCTGAGGGAAACCGGCTGCCATGTTGCAAGATGCCTTATGGAGAGGCCCAGTGGTGAGAAGCCGAGGGAAGGTCCTGGCCAATACCTAGAAATGAATTGAGGCCCTCAGGCCAACAGCTTGTGAGGAACTGAATCCTGCCAACAGCCCCATGAGTAGGCTTGGAAGTAGATTCACTCCCATTGGACACCTGAGTGCAGCCTTGTGAGAGACTCTGAGTCTGATGGCCCAGCTAAGCCACACGAGGATGCTTCACCCACAGAAACTGTGAGATAATTAATGTTTGTGGTTTAAAACTGTGAAGTTTTGGAATAATTTTTACACAGCCCTAGATAACAATACAACCTCATTTCTGATAACAGAATAACTTTTGAATGGAGGCAGAAGATCTTCAAAGGTGCTGACTTTATGTAAGGCTGGCAGTTCCAGCTCTCTCTAGCTCCCACCAGTCTAAGACCTCGTCACCTCTCCCAGCACAGGCAATAAAACCCTGGCCCTGAGCTGTTGGGGCTTTTGTCTAACATCTGTATCTCCAGGGCATCATCTCCCTGCAAGCTCCCTCCTAGTTTCTGGCAGTACCTGAAAATTTCCCTTACTTTTGAACTTAATTGTGTACTTTTAAACATTTTGTAATATTTATCCAGAATTTATCTGTGCTTTAGGAAGAAGTGGATGTCCCCATCAGCTCAGTTCTCCCCATTGCCAGAAATCCAAAGGCAAGCAGAAGTCTCTGGACAGTCATACACAGGATAATTAAACCCAGGGAGTCTCTGTATTTTAATTCTCAGTATTGAAATGGATTGATTTTTACCAGTTGTTAAAACACAGACTCTAGTTCATAATATAAATGATCTCCCTGGGTGAATGCCACTAGGGCAATCGGGTAGCTTAATTTCTTCCTCCCTGATGACTTACAACTTGGAACAGACAGGAAAGTAGGGTATCAAAACAAATACTTGAAGGCCAAAGATAAAAAATGTTAATAATTAGTAACAGCTAGAAGCAAAGTTAATTCTCAGTGGGCCCATAATGCCAGTTATTTAATGCAAATTAACAAATGGCATTTTAATGTAAAGGACTTGAAAGCTAATATTCTAATTTTCCAAGTAAGATCAATAATTCAACAACCAATAATGTGTTCGAGGAAGGAATAACTTTATTTCAGAGATAAGTGAAATGCTAAGTGAAGTTTATATTTGTGGATCCAAAATTAGACTAAATTAGAGTTAGGTGCCACATGCATTGGAAAGAAGGCCTCATAAAAATGAAAAGTGTGAGCATTAGTTGAACACAGAGTGATAAAATTTTGTGATATAATACTAGATAATGAGATGCTCTTATTTCTTTGACAGATTATGAAGGATAATTCTGAATTAAAGTGGTGTTGTTTTGAATTCTTGGATCTTGTGTTTTAAATAAAAGTTTAGTCAATGAATCATGAAACAGCATTCCAACTTCTGACCTTGGGTTGCTCTGGATGAATAATTTTGACTTGAAGTATAAAAACACACCCCTATATTCAGACTGTAAAATTGCCGTGGCCGGGAATGACATGATTTTAGCATCTAGTTTATACAAGGTGCTAAATAAGACCACATGAAGTTGATAACTTCCATTTGTGTAGGACCTTGCAGTGGACAAACACATTCTCATACTTTCTCTCCTTTGATCCTTAAAACAAGCCTGCATGGTAGATGCTCTTAGCCTCATTTGATAGGTGAGGGAATTGAGAAATTATTATTTACCCGAGTCATAAAATTTGCAAATGAAGGATTCCTCCCTGGACCTTTGCAGTGTGTTGCTGTATGTGGAGTGAGTTTTAAAAAATTATTTGTACAAATTTATGGGGTACATGTGCAATTTTCCCACATGCATAGATTGTGTAGTGGTGAAGCCAGGGCTTTTATGGTACCAATTACCCGAATAACATACATTGTACCCGTTCACTAATTTATCATCCTCTCCCCTCCCACCTTCTCACCCTTCCAAGTTTCCAGGATCTATTATTCCACTCCGTATGTCCACGTGAACACATTTTTTAGCACCTATTTAGGAGTAAGAACATGGGATATTTGTCTTTTTGTGCTTGGTGCCAAATAATGACCTCCAGTTCCAACCATGTTGCTGCAGAAGACATGATTCCATTCTTTTTTATGGCTTTTCACTCCATGATGTGTATTTACCATATTTTCTTTAATCATTCATCTGTTGATGGCCTTAGATTGATTCCATGTCTTTGCTCTTGTGACTAGCATTGCAATAAACACACGAGTGCAGGTATCTTTTTAAATATAATGATTTCTTTTCTTTTGGGTAGATACCCAGTAGTGAGATTGCTGGGTCGAATGGTAGTCCAACTTTTAGTTCTTTGAGAAACCTCCGCACTGTTTTCCATAGAGGTGTACTAACTTACATTCCCACCAGCAGTGTATATGAGTGACTTCTACTGCCATAGACACTCTCTTCCTCCTGCTGTGTCTGTGCATTTGCTTTCCATAATGGCTGGCAAAGACAGATGAGTGGCCCCCTTTATCACCTTCACTGCTGTCAAGTGTGTTTGGTCATGCAGCTGCCCTAGCACTTGTTTATAGTCTTTTGTTTTGAATGTGCTATTTATCAGACAGAATTCAAATGCAACTTCAATCATGGTGAACTACAAATACCTTCTTTTGTGGCACATTCTCTACCCTCCTCCCACCCTGGTATTATTTTCTTACTCTAGTTAAAAAAAGAAAAACTTTGTATTGAAGTACACCATGCATACAGAAAAACTCTATGCAATAAATAAATTTTCAGCAATGCCCATATATTCAGGGCCCAAAGCAAGAAAAAAGTTACTAGCCCTCCAGAAACACCCCTGTATCCCTCTATCCCCTCTGTTACCACCCACTGTAAAGGTAATGGTTGGTCTAATTTCTAATGGCCTACATTAGTTTGGCCTATTTACATAGTTTATATAAATGAAATCTTTCCTGTCTGGCTTTTCTTGTTCAACAATATGTTTGAGAGACTCATCCATGTCATAGAATGTAGTTGTACAATGTTTGTTCTCAATGCTGCATAATATTCCATTGTGTGGACTCTGTTATTTTATTAAAATATTATTACATATAAAATATAATATACAAGACAGTAGACATATATTCTAGAATAATCATATTTATCCATTTTATAGTTGATGGACATTTGGGTGGTCTCTTAAATTTGGCTATTATTAGTAGTCCTGATCTGAACATTTTAGTATAGGTTTTTTTTATGAACTTAAATATGTAGTTTTTTGTGGTAAGAATGTCTCAATTTTTGTATCCTGACATTCTTCCACTGGCAGAAACAAAAATATATAAAGAGCATAATTTTTCCTTGATATATTTTATGTTAATGTTAATAACCTAAATCACATTTTCTGTAAAGTTAAGATTGCTAGTAACAAACATGCCTCATTTGTTTAAAATTTGTAACAATTCAGACTGAAACTCAACAGATGTCTCTTATTTAGCAAACATTTTCTTTAAAAATAACATCAATTAATATTTTAATATAAAGCATATTGACCGGGCAAGGTAGCTCACGCCTGTAATCCCAGCACTTTGGGAGGCAGAGGTAGGTGGATCACCTGAGGTCAGGAGTTGGAGGCCAACCTGGTCAATATGGTGAAACCCGTCTCTACTAAAAATACAAAAGTTAACCAGGTGTGGTGGTGCACACCTGTAATCCTAGCTACTCAGGAGGCTGAGGCAAGAGAATCGCTTGAACCTGGGAGATGGAGGTTGCAGTGAGCCCAGATTGTGCCACTGCACTCCAGCCTGGGTGACACAGCGAGACTCCATCTCAAAAAAAAAAAAAATATATATATATATCTATATATATATGTATAATATATATGGGATATATTTCAAATACAAGATCTGGTCATGAAATGCTTTAGAAACTACATTTACATATATAGCTCGCAAGATAATTACAAATGGATCTTCTTTAAATATGAAAACTAGGTATCCAAGGAAGCATCCTTTATAATAAACTTGTTAGCAGACCTGAATTGGCCATACTTAAAAATGGAAAATTTCTTTTTTTTTTTTTTTTGTTTTTGAGATGCAGTCTCACTCTGTCGCCCAGGCTGGAGTGCAGTGGCACAATCTCGGCTCATGACAACCTCCATCTCCCAGGTTCAAGTGATTCTGCCTCAGCCTCCCAAGTAGCTGGGATTACAGGCATGCACCACCATGCCTGGCTAGTTTTTGTATTTTTAGTAGAGACAGGGTTTCGCCATGTTGGCCAGGCTGCTCTCGAACTCCTGACCTCAGGTGATCTGCCTGCCTCGGCCTCCCAAAGTGCTGGGATCACAGGCGTGAGCCACCGTGCCTGGCCAAAAACATGGACAATTTCTTTTACAAGTTATGCTATATTCTGTTCATTTCAAATCATCTGGATTTAGATGTGGCCCTGGTATTAATCTAGCTTGCACAGAACACTGATCTGAACGTAGAACTTTCCCCCCAATTAATCAGGAAGAACACAGTAGTAAAATAATCCTCATCATATTTAAACATTCATGGAGCAGTTTGTACAGGAAGCATGGCGTTGGCTGGAAAGGACTGTGGTCGGGGAAAGTATGTGTGACCAGGGCATGCACGTCCTCTCTCCTCCCTCCACCCAGTGCTTCTGCAGACTTATAAACATGGATTTATAAATATGTCATTCCAAACCCTTTTCTCACTAAGCATCCCCTCCCCCTTTGTTTATTATCTAGCCCTGTGGCTTAGGAGAGTTCTGTTTTGACTAAGCCAGCGTCTCTTTTCAAAATAATTCTCTCACCGCCTCCTAAAAATAAAGTTTTTCCCTCTGCTACACAATGAATTGGAAGAGTCGGGTGCCCTGGAAGCCCAGGAGAAGAGCATTAGCACAGCTCTGGGAGGTGGGGGGATAGAGGAGAGAGGGCCTCAAGATGCTTCCAGGGGAGGTGAGCTTTAGATGGAGAACCTGAGCATGAGTACTGGTGCCGTGGGGGTGGGGTTTGGGTTAGCCTGTGTGTTTGGGTCAGAATGAGCTGTGTGTGGGAAAGAGCAGGGTCCTTTCCACGAGCCAGTGGCCCTCTCCTCACAGCAGTGTACATGAGCGTTGGTTGCCCACGTAGCTGACATTGTTGGAGAGGTGGCTCTGTGAGATATATATTTAGTAAAATTAATCATATTCTGATAAACTCTTGTGTATAATCCAGGAATGCAAATCTTAGAGGTGGCACAGCAGTGGGGAGAAGGCCAGCTGTGAGTCCACACTCTTAAGTATGAAACCTGGGTTGTCACATCCTAGATGTGTGGTCCTGGGAAGGGTAGGTATATTCTTCTTCACCTGTAAAATGGGAATAAAAATAACACACATCTCAGAGAATCATCCTGAAGGTGATACTGAAATTACACATGCAAAAAGCTGTGCACAGTGCCTGGTCCACAGTTAGCACCCAGCAAATTGGTAATTAAGTAATTAATCAATTAACGGTAAAACTCTTAATTGCACTTTATTAAGTTTTTCTCTGGAAGTTCTTCAGAGAATTGATTATTGAGAACAACACTGATGTCCCTCAGTCAGTTCAGGCTATCACAGAATACCAGACTGGATGACTTCAATAACAAACATTTCTTTCTCATAGTTCTGGGGGCTGGAAATCTAAGATCAGGGTGCCAGCATGGTTAGGTTCTGGTGAGAACCTTCTTCCTGGTTATGTCCTCCTCTGGCCTTCTTTGGTGTGGGTGGAGAGAGAGAGAGACAGATGGAGAGAGAGAAAGAGAGAGAGAGAGAGAGAGAGAGAGAGATCCTGTGTCTTTTTGTAAGGTTATGTCATCTCACCTTCATGACTTAATCTAACCCTAATTGCCTCCCAAAGGGCCCACCTCCAAATATTATCCCATTGGAGACTCTGGTTTCAACATAGAAATTTAGCGGCGGGGGAAGGGCAGGGGTGGGGGGTACGGGGCGGACACAAATATTCTGTCTGTAGCAAACAACAACATTTATAAAGTACATTAAAATTCATAAAATGCTTTCATATACCTTCTTTGAGCCACATAATAATCTAGGCAGAAAATAGGGATGAGGAAATTGAGGTTCAGAAATGTTAAATGTTTCAGCCAACAAAGCTCACAGATGGAATCCATCTCCGGCTGGAATAGAACCATGCTGCAGATGCTCAGACTGGAAGTTTACAGTCAGGCCCCAGAGATGCCCTTTCGAACTTTACCTTTCAAATTCCCCACAGAAGAGCATGAGGCAAACTGGGCTCATACCCGACTGCCTCCTGAGCGTGTCAGAAGATCAAAGGAGATAGCGTGTGGAGAATCTCTTTCTGTAGTGTAGTATGCCATGTTTTTAGCTGTTTTTAGTTGTAGTCCTCTTTTGTTTAGTAGCAGCTTAGCCTACCAATGTGATATAGCTCAGGCAGCAATTTTTAACTCCTTAAAGTTTTGCCAAGAAAATTTGAAGTTTCATATGAAAAGGCAGACATTATTAATAGCATGTCAACAAATATTTGGAATGAGTGGTTTTTCTGGCTTCCCGTGCCAGAAAAACCACTTGCTTGATTTCACCGTAACAAGTGTTTACCATAGTGATTTCACGTCATGTCATTTTAGGTTGGGATCAGGATTGGTCCAATTAAAACTTCACATCTTAAAGGAAGGTTTCCTTTCTTTCCCGAATTACTGATGAAGAAAGTTTTTGTGTGTGCATGCATGCAAGGATATGCACATATGTGTGCAAACGTGTGGTGGAGCATGGGAATAAAGAGATTATAGAAGAAGAGAGGTGTTTCACCTTTTCAGATATTCTGTGCTCGATCTTTTCAGCTCTCTGGTCTTTCTGATACAAGCTTCCTCTTTCCATCAAATGCTTGACGGGAAGCGGAATCTTCTGGATTCAGAATACCGGCTGTTCCCTCCCTGTGCCCTGATATGTCTGAAGGACACACTTTTCTGTGGCTTTACCTGTTCTTCTCAAAGGGGTAAAATAGCTGAGCCCTCCTTTCCACGTCACTGAATTCTAACCTTCCTGCCAATGGAAGCTCCAATCCTGCCTGCTCTGTCTCACCCCCTCTATCCACCAGAGCTAGAAAGGATTTTTTCTCCCTAATGAAGCCTGTGATTTCCTAGTGGCCCTTAGCTGCCAGCATAGGCAGTCTGCATTGTATTTTTGTTTATTTGTTATTTTAGAGACAGAGTCTTGTTCTGTCATCCAGGCTGCAGTGCAACAGTGCAATCAGAACTCCTGGGCTCAAGTGATCCTCCTGCCTTAGCCTCCTGAGTAGCTAGGACTACAGTCATGCACCATCATGCCCAGCTAATTACAAATATATATATTTTATAGAGTCAGGGTCTCACTAAGTCACCCAGGCTGGTCTGGAACTCCTGGCTTCAAGTGATCCTCCCACCTTGGCCTCCCAAAGAACTTGGATTATAGGTGTGAGCCATGACAGCTGATCTGCATTGTGTTTTAGATAATAATAGTCACATCAGCCAGCTTGTATTGAGGACTTGCACTGTGCCAAGCTCCGTCCTACGTGCCTTACTCAAAATAGCTCATTTAACTCTGAAAATAAGTAGACAACAATTTGTAGACGGCAAAGGGACTATTTTTTGCTCCCTAGCAATATTTTGAAGGATACTGAGACTTAGTATGTTTTTTGGGGTGGTGGATGGGGAGTGATGAGGTGAACCTTGGATGTGATAGGAACAGAATAATTTACCAGGAGAAAACCTTCCACATCTTTGCCATCCCTTTTCCTCCCCAATTTTTTATTATAACTTTGTTCAAATGTACACAAATATGGGATAATAGTATGATAAATAACTAAATTTTAAGCCTAACAATTTTTAGTATTACACATGTGGAATTTATACATATATGTATGTTATAAATGTGTTTTTTGTGGAATCATTCAAAAATGAATTGCTGATATCATCACATTCATCCCTAGAAAGTACAGCATGCATCAGCCTCTTACGTGGCCATGATACTGTTATCACACCTAGGAAGGTTAACAATAAAATTGGATGTGGATTGTCTTTGTCTCTTCATCCCTATTTGATCAGTAAAAAGGCAATAGAACAAAACAATTAAAATTTGGATTTCTAACAATCTAGCATTCCACATTCTTTGGTTACCTGTACATGGTATAGTCAATCTTTCTATTTGCTTGGAAAGCACTTGCTACTTTGATGTGGGAGAGATACTATCTTTTACTACTTTGAAAATTTGATTTCACCTTCTTAATATGGTAAATATGGACATGCCCATGGCATGATTGGGAAAATTAAGAATGAACATTATAGATTAAAAATTTCAGCCCCTATAGATTGGAACTCTAGATTTTTTCCCCCCAAAAATCCAGTTAAATTTAGGGATAATCAATAATTCATAGATACAACCTCTAACCAAGGATTTAACAGTTTAATGAACAAGAAACCATACATTAGTCCAAAATTTAACAGTTAATAGATAAGACTTCAACCTCCATTTCTAAGAGTGTGCACCAGCTGGGGATTCAGTTACATTTGTGAGCTGGTGACAGATTATGGCTTTTTCCATTTACGAAAGAAATCACTGTTTTTGCTGACTCTAGAAAAAATATAACTTTTAAAATATTGAAGAAATAGGCCAGGTGCAGTGGCTCATGCCTGTGATCCCAGCACTTCGGGAGGCCAAGGCAGGCGGATCACCTGAGGTTGGGAGTTCGAGACTAGCCTGACCAACATGGAGAAACCTCATCTCTACTAAAAATACAAAATTAGCCGGGCATGGTGGCACATGCCTGTAATGCCAGTTACTTGGGAGGCTGAGGCAGGAGAATCGCTTGAACCTGGGAGGTGAAGGTTGCAGTGAGCCGAGATCACTCCATTGCACTCCAGCCTGGGCAACAAGGGCGAAACACCATCTCAAAAAAAAAAAAAAAAAAAAATTGAAGAAATAATGTGTAAACTTTGCTTCATATTTATTTCCTCCAAGCCAACTAGTATCTCAAGACTTTTCATACTGGATATAGTTGTCTAAACACAGTATATTATCTTCCAAGTATTCAATTATACTTGATTAATTTGCCTGAAAAGTTTTTACTGTGAATGGCATTTGTGATTAATCTGACAATAATGATTGATATTAGCTTGTCTCTGACAGAGACAATGTTTGCTTCTTCCTTTCCAGGTTTGGAACTATGCTTGGTCGTTCCTAGTACTTGTGGAAAGAGGTAAGTGTTATATGATACCTTAGAAGTGAATATCCAAGTAACCAAGAAATATTCAATGATCATATTGTGCTGACCTGGGAGGAAATCCTAGTTTTTGCTTTTGATAAGAGCCTGTACTTTTCATGGTGGCATGAATTGTTCCAGAAAGACATAATGGTCCTTGCTAAGAAGCTTCTGAAACTTCTGAATTTTAGGGAATACCAACTGTGTGTCAAGTGTACTTAAAATATCTGATATGACACCTTTCTAAAATGAAATCAAGCTTTTATGAGTTGAATTGTGTCCCTGCCAAAAGTATGTTAAAGTCCTAACCCCCAGAACCTTAGAATGTGACCTTATTTGGAGATAGTGTCTTTTCAGATCAAGTTAAAATAAGTCGTTAGGGAGGGCCTTAATCCAGTATGACTGGTTTCTTTATAAAAAGGGGAAATTTAGACACAGAAATCAGGATGGTGTTTCTCTAGGCTAAGGAACACAAAGAGTTCCAGCAAACCACCCAAGACTAAGGGAGAGGCCTAGAACAGATTCTTCCTCACAGCCTCGGAAGGGACCAACCCTGCCAACGCTTTGATCTCGGACTTCTAGCTTCCAGAACTGTGAGCCAATTTCCATTGTTTAAGCCTCGCAGTTGTGGTGCTTTGTTATGGCAGCCCTAGCAAATGAACACCTAGGTCAACTACTTGAGCTCATGTATGCGGATGTGAGGTGTAATAGTTTCTCAGTGGCTGGGTTGCAACTAATATTAGTATACAATTTCCTCTGGGGAATTAAGTAGTGTTCTTTATATTTACTTAAGATGCTCTTTTTCTTATATTCCTACAAAGTAAAATTATTTTATTTTAAAGCGAATCATGTGGATATCCACATACGTAACTAATTAGCTATTCATTGACCATTGAAATATTAGTAATGATGATATCATTCTCCTTGGGGTAGGGAAGCTGAATGTTTTAGTCTGCTCCACATCTCCTTATCTGGGAAACATTCCTGAGCTACTGTCTAGTCCCTACTCTGTCCTTGTGGTATGGTTAAAACTATGTATTCTAGCTGGTCCCAGGGATAGCCAATAAAACTTATCCATGTCTCTGGTCACTGTAATTGGTTCAGCAATGAGAATATGACCCAAGGTAGACCAATCAGAGGGTTTCCCAGGCATTTTGCTGGCATGATCAGGAAAAATGTTATTTTTATCAATAATTAAAAGTCCTAAGGTCAGTGTAGACTTCTCTTTTAGGATGGGATCCTCACTGAAAATGATGGAGCCAAGCTGGGTCAGGAGGAATAGGGTCAGTCAGAATTCTTAATCCATGAATCAAACCCTTCCTGAAATCAGAAACATTCCTTGGACTTTCCACTTATACAAACCAATAACTTTTCTCTTGTGCTTTAAGCCACTTTGAGTTGGGCACTTACAAGGAAAAGTGTTTTAATGCATCTGTGATGTGTAATCTTTACTTATTTTTTGCCCCTTTACATCCTCTGAAAGCCTTGGATTATTCCAGTGTTTGGAGCACAGTACATTAAGAGTTGGTTGAATTTTTTATCCTACATTGTCAGAATAAAATTAATTTCCAAATTAAACAAAATGACACTGTGATGATTTTCCCTGTAATATGCAATGATGTCAAGCACTATTCACTATTGTCACTGTGGCAGGTGAGTTTTCCAGTGATGGCCACATGTGTAGTATGTACATATATCCCCTCATATGCTCTTATTTCAATGCAATTGTCTATCTTCCCACAGAGAAGTCATGTCTGTGTTTCTTCCCTATGAATGTGAGACTTGTGACTGCTCCAATCATGAGAAAATGGTGGAAGTGACAGTACGTGACCAAAGCTTAAAGGGTACAACCTCCCTTTATATGGACCTGGCCCTCTCTCAGATGTTTACCCTTGGAACCACTTGCAGCTCTGTGAGGACAAACAAGGAGAAGTCCACATGAAGAGGAGCTGGGCTCCTAGACTCCACTAGCATCACCTACCAGACAAGTGAGTGAACAAGCCTTCAGATCACTTCTGCCCCCAGTGTTCAAGGTCCTAGATATCGCGGAGCAGAGATGAGTCATGGTCACACCGCGTTATTTCAGTTTCTAAACCCCTGAATATATGAGCATAACAAATAGCTTTACATCACTGTTAGGGTAATTTTTATGCAGCCATCCTGAGATCATTCATTTGTAATGTGTTGTGCTGGCTAGACTGAACTACGTTTCTCAGAATTCCCTTATGTTTTGGTCAGGGCAGGCCTCAGGAGAGAGTCTTATGGGAGATTTGGAAGGTGGAAGTAAAGTGGCAGCTTTTTTGTATTTTTTAAGCTCACATGCATGGTTGCTGGCCCATTGGCTGGCTGGCATTAGGCAGCAACCTGACCGGCAGCCTGTAGCTCTCCTGCACTAGTGTGTGCTTAGCTCCCTGACAAAGGCCTAAACTTCTTCAGGACTCCTGCATCATAAACCTTAGAAGCAATAAAAACTGATATGTTATGAGATCCAGTTTGTCCTCTGGGTACCACCTTGCCCATGCCCCTCTTCTAGTTTATAACCATCTTCTCTTCCTGCTTGCCTGCCTTGTAGACCTCAAGCATCGTCATCAGACTCCAGGACAACAGCTTTGCAGATGCCACTTAACCAGCTCCTGCAACTATGTAAGGTCAAATCCCTGTTTATAGGAGAGAGAGGCAGAGGAACATGGCCAAACAGAAGCTCACTGATTGTCCTCCCTGTAGGAACACCAAATTGAACAACTATCCACACAGAAAGCACCTTTATAAGAACCAAAAAATCAGGTGATTACTGTAAAAGGCACTAAAGAGGGTAGGAAAGGCAGTCTTAAATTGCTGATTCCACCCCTTCCCCATCCTCCAGCAGTGACCTTGTGGCATGGAGAATCTGTGCATTTAGGGTAAGAAGAGTGTAGTGATCATGAGACTGTGTTGGAATACTCAGTGCTTCCCTGTCAGAGAGCAACATCTGGAAGAATTCAACTGGTGCCCATGAAAGAAACATTTAGACCAGCTCAAACCAGAGGGTAATAGCCCAATCTGAATTCAGGGAAGACTCATCACTGTGGGCTAAAGTGCTCTCGGGTCGTAAATAAACTTGAAACACAGTCTAGGCCACAAGGACTGCAATTGCTGGGCAAGTCCTGCTGCTGTGCTGGGCTCAAAGCCAGTGGACCTGGGGGACACGTGAGCCAGTGAGATAGTGAATGGAGTGCTTACATCACCTTTAATCCAATTCCAGCCATCACAGCTCAAAACTCCAGAAGAGATTCCTTCCCTCCACTTGAGGAGAGAAAAGAGAAAAGAGGATTTTGTCTTGAAACTTGGATACCAGCTCATCCACAGTAGGATAGGGTACAAGGTACAGTAGGATAGAGTCCTGAGGTCCCTATTCCAGGACCTGGCTCCTGGGTGACATCTCTGGACACACTCTGGGCCAGAAGAGAATCCACTGCCTTGAAGGACAGGACCCAGTCTTGGCAGGATTTATCACCTGCTAACTGAAGAGCCCTTGCGCCCTGAATAACCAGTGGCAATACTCAGGTACTATGTCGAGGACCTTGGTTGAGTTGCTGAGACTTGCTCACTTCAGGTGAGACTCAGCATATTCCCAGTTGGGGTGGCTATGGGGTGAAACTCTTGCTTGACTGAGAAAAGGAGAGGGAAAAATACAGGGGGCTCTGTCTTGCACCTTAGGTACCAGCTCGGCTACAGTGGTTTAGATCACCAAGTGGGTTCTTGGGGTCCCTGATTCCAGGACTTGACTTTTGGATAACATTTCTGGACATGCCTGGGGCCAATGGGGAGGCCACTGCCCTGAAGGGTGAGCCCCAAGCCAGGCAGCATTCACCACAAGTTGATTTAAGAGCCCTTGGGCCTTACAGGAACATCAGTGATAATCTGGCAATACTCCCTGTGGCTTGTGGTGGTGGTGGCTACAGGGTGAGGCTCCTCTGCCTTTGGAAAGTGGAGGGAAGAAGGACTGCATCTTGTGTTTTGGGTGCCAGCTCAGCTGCAGTACGATAGAATGCCACGTAGACTTCTAAAGATTCTGACTCAAGACACTGGCTCCTGGATGGCATCTCTGGATCTACCCAGCCCTGGGGGATCTAGCTGCCCTGAAAAGAACGACACAAGCCTAGCTGGCTTTGCCACCTGCTGATTGTAGAGACCTAGGGCCTTGAGTGAACATAGGAGGTAGCCAGGCAATGGATACCACAGGCCTTGGGTGAGACCCAGTACCATGCTGTCTTCAGATGTGAACCAGTGCAGTCTCAGTGGTGGTGGCCATGGGGGTGCTTGTGTCATCCCTCCCCCAGCCCCAGGCAGTTCAGCACAGAAAGAGAGAGACTCTGTTTGTTTGGGAGAAAGTAAGGGGAGAGAACAAGAGTCTCTGCCTGGTAATCCAGAGAATTCTTCCAGATCTTATCCAAGTCACCAAGACAGCACCTCTATGAGTCTGCAAGAGCCACAGCATTACTGGGTGTGGGATGCCTCCTAATGCAAATAGGGCTGCAATGACCAAAAAATAGATTTAAACACCCAAGTCACTTCAAATATCTGGAATGCCTTCCCAAGAAGGACAGGTACGAATAAGCCCAGACTGCAAAGACTACAATAAATACTTAACTCTTCAATGTCCAGACACCAGTGAACACCCACAAGTATCAAGACTATCCAGGAAAACATGACCTCACCAAATGAACTAAATACTTGCCAGGAACCAATCTCAGAGAGACAGATATCTGACCTTTCAAACAGAGAATTTAAAATAGTTGTTTTGAGGAAACGCAAAGAAATTCAAGACAGCACAGGGAAGGAATTCGGAATTCTATTACATTAAATTTAATAAAGAGATGGAAATAATTAAGAAGAATCAAGGAGAAATTCTGGAGTTGAGAAGTGCAATTGCAACACTGAAGACTGCATCACAGGCTTTCAGAAGTGGAATTGATCAAGTAGAAGAAAAACTGAGTAAGCTTGAAGGCAGGCTACTTGAAAATACACAGTCAGAGAAGACAAAAGAAAAGAGAATTTAAAAAATAAAGCATGCCAACAAGATTTAGAAAATAGGCTCAAAGGGGCAAATCTGAGTTTTGGCCTGAAAGAGGAGGTACAGAGAGAGATAGGGGTAGAAACTTTATTCAAAGGGATAATAACGGAGAACTCCCCAAACTTAGAGAAAGATATCAATATTCAAGTGCAAGGCGGTTATAGAACACCAAGCAGGTTTAACCCAAAGAAGACTCACTCAAGACACTTAATAATCAAACTCCCGGAGGTCAAGGATAAAGGATCCTAAAAGCATCAAGGGAAAAGAAATAAATAACATATAATTTAGCTCTAATATGTCTGGTAGCAGACTTTTCAGTGGAAACCTGACAGGCCAGGAGAGAGTGACACAACACATTTAAAGTGCTGAAGGAAAAAACCTTTAACCTTAGAATAGCATATCTGGCAAAAAAAAAAAAAAAAAAAAATCCCTCAAACGTGAAGGAGAAATAAAGACTTTCCCAGACAAACAAAAGCTGAGGTATTTCATCAACACCAGACCTGTCCTACAAAAAATGCTATGGAGAGTTCTTCAATTAGAAAGAAAAGAACATTAATGAGCAACATGAAATCATCTGAAGGTGTAAAACTCACTGGTAATAGTAAGTACACAGAAAAACACAGAATATTCTAACATTGTAATTGGGGTGTGTAAACCACTTATATCTTGAGTAGAAAGACTCAAAGAACTGATAAAAAATAATAACTACCACAACTTTTCAAGACATAGTACAATAAGATATAAATAGAAACAACAAAAAGTTAAAAAGTGGAGGGACAAAGTTAAAGTGTAGAGTTTTTATTAGTTTTCTCCTTGCTTGTTTGTTAGTTTCTTTGCTTATGAGGTCAGTGTTAAATTGTCCTCAGCTTAAAATAATGAGTTATAAGATATTATTTGTAAGCATTATGGTAACTTCAAATAAAAAATAGACAACAGATATACCAAAAATAAAAGCAAGGAATTAAAACATACCACCAGGAAAAATCACCTTCACTAAAAGGAAGGATAGAAGGAAGAGAAGACCACAAAACAACCAGAAAACAACAAAATGGCAGGAATAAGTCCTTACTTATCAATAATAACACTAAATGTGAAAGGACTAAACTCTCCAATCAAAATACAAGGTAGCTGAATGGATTAAAAAAAAAAGACCCAATGATCTATTGCCTACAAGAAGCACACTTCACCTATAAAGACACAAATAGACTGAAAATAAAGGGATGAAAAAGATATTCCATGCTAATGGAAACCAAGAAAATAGTTAAAGAGGAGTAGCTATATTTATAACAGATGAAATAGATTTCAAGGGAAAAAAAGACAAAGAAGGTCATTATACAGTAATAAAGGAGTCAATTCAGCTAGTGGATGTAACAACTATAAATATATATATGTACTCAGCACTGAAGCACTCAGATATATAAAGCAAATATTATTAGAACTAAGGAGATAAACCCCAATAAAATAATAACTGGAGACTTCAACACCCTTTCAGCATTGGATTGATCCTCCAGACAGAAAATCAACAAAGAAACATTAGACTTAATCTGCACTATAGACCAAATGAACCTAATAGGTATTTACAGAACATTTCATCCAACGGTTGCAGTATACACTTTCTTCTCCTCACCACTTGGATCATTCACAAGGTTAGGCCACTGTATTAGTCCATTTTCACACTGCTGATAAAGGCATAACTGAGACTAGGCAATTTACAAAAGAGTTTATTGGACTTACATTTCCACATGGCTAGGGAGGCCTGTCAATCATGGTGGAAGGCAAGGAGGAGCAAGTCACATCTTACATGGATGGAAGCAAGCAAAGAGAGAGCTTGTGCAGAAAAACTCCTGCTTTTAAAACCGTCAGATCTCATGAGACCTATTCACTATCATGAGAACAGCACTGGAAAGACCTACCTCCATAATTCAATGATCTCCCACTGGGTCCTTCCCACAACACGTGGGAATTATGGGAGCTACAAGATGAGATTTGGGTGGGGACACAGAGCAAAATCATATCATTCCACTCTTGGACCCTCCCAAATCTCATATCTTCACATTTCAAAACGAATCATGCCCTTCCAACAGTCCCTCAAAGTCTTAACTCATTTCAGCATTAACTCAAAAGTCCACAGTACAAAGTCTCATCCAAGACAAGGCATGTTCTTTCTGCATGTGAGCCTGTAAAATCAAAAGCAAATTAGTTACTTCCTAGACACAATGTGGGTATAGGCATTGGGTAAATACTGCCATTCCAAATGAGAGAAATCAGCCAAAACAAAGGGATTACAGGCCCTATTCAAGTCCAAAATCCAGTGAGGCAGTCAAATCTTAAAGCTTCAAAATGATCTCCTTTGACTCCATGTCTCATATCTAGTTCACACTGATGCAAGAGGTAGGTTCCCATGGTCTTGGGCAGCTCCGCCCCTGTGGCTCTGCAGGATACACCTCCCTCCCAGCTGCTTTCATGGGCTGGTGTTGAGTGTCTGTGGCTTTTCCAGGCAAACAGTGCAAGCTGTTAGTGGATCTACCATTCTGGGGTCTGGAGGATGGTGGTCCTCTTCTCACAGCTCCACTAAGCAGTGCCCCAGTAGAGACTCTGCGTGGGGACTCTGACCCCACATTTCCCTTCCACATTGCCCTAGCAGAGTTTATCCATGAGGGCCTCACCCCTGCAGCAAACTTCTCCCTGGGCATCCAGGCATTTCCATACATCTTCTGAAATTTAGGCAGAGGTTCCCAAACCCCAAGTTTTGGCTTCTGTGCACTTGCAGGCTCAACACCACATGGAAGCTGCCAAGGCTTGGGGCTTGCACTCTCTGAAGCCATGGCCCAAGCTGTACGTTGGCCCCTTTCAGCCATGGCTGGAGCAACTAGGACACAGGGCAGCAAGTCCCTAGGCTGCACAAAGCTCGGGGACCCTGGGCCCAGCCCACGAAACCATTTTCTTCTAGGCCTCTGAGCCTGTGATGGGAGGGGCTGATGTAAAGACCTCTGACATGCCCTGGAGACATTTTCCCCATTGTCTTAGGGATTAACACGTGGCTCCTGTTACTTATGCAAATTTCTGCAGCCTGCTTGAATTTCTCAGAAAATGGGTTTTTCATTTCTATCACATTGTCAAGCTGCAAATCTTCTGAACTTTTATGCTCTGCTTCCCTTATAAAACTGAATGCTGTTAACAGCACCCAAGTCACCTCTTGAACGCTTTGCTGCTTAGAAATTTCTTCTGCAAGATACCCTAAATCATCTCTCTCAAGTTCAAAGTTCCACAGATTTCTAGGGCAGGAGCAAAATGCTGCCAGTCTCTTTGCTAAAACATAATAAGAATCACCTTTGCTCCATTTCCCAACAAGTTCCTCATCTCATCTGAGACCACCTCAGCCTGGACCTTATTGTCCACATTACTATCAGGTTTTTGGTCAGAGCCATTCAACAAGTCTCTAGGAAGTTCCAAACTCTCCCATATTTTCCTCTCTTCTTCTGAGACCTCCAAACTCTTCCAACCTCTGCCTGTTACCAAGTTCCAAAGTTGCTTCCATATTTTCAGTTACCTTTTCAGCAATGTCCTACTCTACTGGTACCAATTTAGTGTATTAGCCCATTTTCACACTGCTGATAAAGACATACCTGATACTGGGCAATTTGCAAAAGAAAGAGGTTTATTGGACTTACAGTTCCACATGGCTGGGCATGCCTCACAATCATGGCAGAAGGCAAGGAGGAGCAAGTCACATCTTATGTGGATGGCAGCAGGCAAAGAGAGAGCATGTACAGAAAAACTCCTGGCTTTAAAACCATCAGATCTCATGAGACCCATTCACTATCATGAGAACAGAACTGGAAAGGTCCACCTCCATAATTCAATCATCTCCCCCGGGTCCCTCCCACAATACATGGGAATTATGGGAGCTACAAGATGAGATTTTGGTGGGGACACAGAGCCAAACCATATCAGCCACAAAACAGGTCTTAAAACATTCAAACAAATCAAAGTTACATCAGACATCTTCTCAGACAATGGAATAAAATTGTCTGACAATTCTCAGACAATGGAATAAAACTAGAAATTACTAAGAAAAGAAATTTTGGAAACTATACAAACACATGGAAATTAAACACTGTACTGCTGAATGACCAGTATGTCAATGAATAAACTAGAAGGAAATCGAAAAAATTTTCTTGAAACAAATGTTAATGGGAACACAATATACCAAAACCTATGGGATAAGGCAAAAGCAGTAGTAAGAGGAAAGTTTATAGGTATAAGCACTTACATCAAAAAGTAGAAATACTTTAAATAATCAACCTAATAATGCATCTTTAAGAACTAGAAAAGCAAGAGCAAACCAAACCCAAAATTAGTAGAAGAAATAATAAAGATTAAAGCAGGAATAAATGAAATGAAGAAAATACAAAAGATCAATTAAATAAAAAGTTGGTTGTGAAAACATAAACAAAATGGACAAAACTTTAGCCAGACTAAGAAAAATGGAGAGAAGACCCAATAAATAAAATCAGAGAAGAAAAGGGAGACACTTCAACTGATACTGCAGAAACTCCAGGATTATTAGAAGCTAGTATGAGCAACTATATGGCAATAAATTGGAAAACCTACAAGAAGTAGATAAATTCCTAGACACATAAAATCTCCCAAGATTAAACTATGAAGAAATCCAAAACGTGAACAGACCAATAACAAATAACAAGATTTAAGCTGTAATACAAATTCTACCAGCAAAGAAAAGCCTGGGATGTGATGGCTTCACTGCTGAATTTTATCAACATTTAAAAAAGAACTAATAAGAATCCTACTCAAACTATTTCACAAAATAGAGGGAACACTTTCCAACTCATTCTATGAGGCCAGTATTACCCTGATACCAAAACCAGAAAAAGACACATAAAAAAAGAAAACTACAGACCAATATCCCCAATGAACATTGATGCAAAAATCCTCTACAAAATACTAGCAAACTGAGTTCAACAACACATTTAAAAGATCATTCATCATGACCAAGTGGGGTTTATTCCAAGGAAGCAAGGATGGTTCAACATATGCAAATCAATGTGATACATCATATCAACAGAATGAAGGACAAAAACCATATAATTATTTCAATTGATCCTGAAAAAACATTTCATAAAATTTAACACCCCTTTGCAATAAAAAACCCTGTGAGGGAACATGTGTCAACACAGTAAAGGCCATATATGACCACATATGACAGACCCACAGCTAGTATCATATTAAATGGGGAAGAACTGAAAGCCTTTTCCCTAAGATCTGGAGCATGACAAGGATGACCACTTTCACCACTGTTATTTGACATAGTACTGGAAATCCAAACTAGAGTGATTAGATAAGAGAAAGAAATAAAGGGCATCCAAATTGGAAAGGAAGGAGTGAAATTATCCTTGTTTGCAGATGATATGACACTTGGAAAAACTTAAAGACTCCACCAAAAACTGTTAGAACTGATAAAACAAATTTGGTAAAATTTCAGGATACAAAATCAACATACAAAAATCAGTAGTATTTTTATATGCCAACAGCAAACGGTCTGAGAAAGAAATCAAGAAAGTAATCTCATTTATACCATTTATAATAGCTACAAATAAAACACTTGAAAATTACCTTAAAGAAAGATGTGAAAGATCTCTACAATAAAAAGTATAAAACATTGATGAAAGGAATTGAAGAGGACACAAAAAAAGAAAGATATTCTACATTCATGAATTGGAAGAATCAATATTGTTAAAATGTCCATACTGCCTGAAGCAATCTACAGATTCAATGTAATCCCTTTAAAAATACCCCATTCTTCACAGAAATAGAAAAAACAATTCTAAAATTCCTAAAATTTATATTGAACACAAAAGACCCAGAATAATCAAAGCTATCCTGAGAAAAAAAGAACAAAACTGGAGGAATCACATTACCTGACTCCAAATTATACTACAAAATCTGTAGTAACCAAAACAGCATGGTCCTAGCATAAAAACAAACACATATACCAATGAAACAGAATAGAGCACCCAGAAATAAATGCATAAATCTACAATGAACTCATTTTTGACAAAGGTGCCAAGAACATACCTTGGGGAAAAGACAATCTTTTCAATAAATGGTGCTGGGAAAACTGTATATCCATATGCAGAAGAATGAAACTAGACCCCTGTCTCTCACCATATATAAAAATCAAATCAAAATGGATTAAAGACTTAAATCTAAGACCTCACACCATGAAACTATTGAAAGAAAACTCTCGGCCAGGCGCGGTGGCTCACGCCTGTAATCCCAGCACTTTGGGAGGCCGAGGTGGGCGGATCATGAGGTCAGGAGATCGAGACCATCCTGGCTAACATGGTGAAACCCCGTCTCTACTAAAAATACAAAAAAATTAGCCTGGCGTGGTGGCAGACGCCTGTAGTCCTAGCCACTCAGGAGGCTGAGGCAGGAGAATGGAGTGAACCCAGGAGGCAGAGCTTGCAGTGAGCCGAGATTGTGCCACTGAACTCCAGCCTGGGCGACAGAGCGAGACTCCGTCTCAAAAACAAAAAAAAAAAGAAAACTCTCCCAGACATTGAACAAGGCAAACATTTCTTGAGTAATATCCCATAAGCCCAGGCAATCAAAGGAAAAAATGGACAAATGAGGATCATATCAAGTTAAAAGGCTTCTGCACAGCAAACAGCAAAGTGAAGAGACAACCCACAGAATAGGGGAAAATGTTTGCAAACTATCCACCCGACAAGGAATTAATAACCAGAATACATAAGAAGTTCAAATAACGCTATAGGAAAAAAGCTAATAATCTAATTTAAAAATAGTCAAAGGATCTAAATAGGCATTTCTCAAAAGAAGACATATAAATGGCAAACAGATATATGAAAAGGTACTAAACATCACTGATCATTAAGAAATGCAAATCAAACTACAATGAAATATCATCTCACCTCGGTTAAAATGGCTTTTTATCTAAAAGATAGGCAATAACAAATGCTGGCAAGAATGTGGAGACAAGTGAACCCTTGTGCAGTGTTGGTGGGACTGTTAATTACTATTAAGACTACTTACTACCAATTAGTTACTTTTGTGGGTACAACAACTATGGAGAACAGTTTGAAGGTTCCTGAAAAAACTAAAAATTGAGTACTATATGATCCAGCAATCCCACTGCTGGGTATATACCCAAAGGTAAGAAAATCAGTATATTAAAGAGATTTCTGCACTCCTCTGTTAAGCAGCACTGCTCAAAATAGCCAAGATTTGGAAGCAATCTAAATGTCCATCAGCAGACAAATGGATAAAAAAAAATGTGGTACATATACACAATGGGAGTACTATTCAGTCATAAAAAAGAATGAGATCCTGTTATTTGCAACAACATGGATGGAACTGGGGATTGTTATGTTGTGAAATATGCCAGGCACAGAACTTTGCATGTTTTCACTTCTTTGTGGGAGCTAAAAATTAAAGCAGTTGACTCATGGAGGTAGAGTAGAACAATGGCTACCAGAAGTGGAGCACGAAAAGGGGGACGATTAATGTGTACAGAGATATAGTTAGATAGAATGAATAAGACCTAGTATTTGATAACACAGCAGGGTGACTACAGTCAGCAATAATTTATTGTACATTTAAAAATAACTAAAAAAGTATAACTGGATTTTTATAACACAAAGAAAGGATAAATGTTTGAGGTGATGGATACTCCACTTACCCTAATGTGATTATTATGCATTGTATGCCTGTATCAAAATATCTCATGACCCCATAACTACATACACCTGCTATGGTACCCAAGAAAATGAAAAATTTTAAAAACCCTCTTTATATTATATATAATGCCTAATATATAATATTCAATTATAAACTATACTGCAATATATAATTTAAAATATATATGACAAGATACTATATATAATATGTAACATATAATAGATGTCCTCACATACATATTATATACATGTATGTATGCCTATATATCTCCTGGATTCTGCTTCTTTGATTGAACCCTGATTGATACACATAGTAATTGGATACACATAGTATTCAATAAATGGCTTTCTTCTGTTTCATTTTATTCCCCTCTTGTCACTCAATATTGCACAGCCACTTGCTTCTGGTTATTGCTCACAGCATCCTGCACTTGTTCCCTGTTTACATGAGTACTGCCGCAATCCTCACTAATTTGCAAGTCTGAAAGCATTTTGATGACGTAAATAACCTTTGAATGCAAGCTGTGTCTGAGAAAAACTTTCCCACGTATATAAGAATAGATTTATATCCACATTGGACTCAAATATCCACATGAAGATAAAGGCTTCCTTCTTCCTCATTTCCTGGATGACTCTTCATCCAACTTTTTAGGTCAAGGCGTCTTAGTCTGCTCAGGCTGCTATTACAAAATACTATAAACTCGTGACTTAATCAACAGATGTTTATTTCTTACCTTTTGGAAGCCAGAAGTCTAGCACCAGGGTGCCAGCATGGTCAGTGTCTGTTGAGGGCCCTCTTCCTGGCTTTCAGAGAGCTGCCTTCTTACTGCGTCCTCGCATGATGGAGACAGCGTTCTGGTCTCCTATTATTAGGACACTAAGCCCATCATGGGAGCCCTACCCTCATGACCTCATCTAAACCTAATTACCTCCCAAAGATCCCCCTCCAAATGTCATCACAATAGGGTTTAAGGCTTCATTATATGAGTTTAAGGGGGGCACAAACATTCAGTTTATAACACAAGGTAAGAAATAAATCCAATTAACCTATAAAGACTTCTGAAGGATTTAAGTATTTGCTCATTGTTGGCTGTGTTTGGAAGTTGGCTGCTGAAAGGTATACTCTGCACACGAGACATATATTGGGAGGGTATACTTGAGGAAGATGGTCTCCAGTTCCTCTACAGTGTTAAGGCTGATGTATGTCACTCCTACACCAGTATTTAATTGTACATTGTCCCCATCATATGCTAATTGTGAAGCTTCCTCAGCAAAGAGAAAACCACTGCAGCCAGGGACACTGGTGGAGAATATGCTGATGACTCAGAGTGAAGCATGGCAACTCTTAGAAAAATGACAACTGTATTCTCTGCTAGTGGAGGTACCCTCAAAGAGAAATGTCCTGTACAGCCCAATATATTACATTGTTAGTCTTAGATGTAGTGAGATGCATCAACATACTAGGAATATAAAGCAAGTAGGTAGAATTACTGTTTTCACTCCAGGATCAGGAAAGGCATCTAAGCATCAAACACACTGGGATAAATTGCATATGGCAGTATGTCTCCTGGCTCTGAGCGATGCCCCTTCCTCCTGCTCACACAAACCTCCTTGGCCACAGTTGGTTGGACTGAGTATTGACACGTGACCCATGTTGGGCCAGGTAGATTCTTTTTCCTGCGAACTTGGATTTTCATCAAGAAATACTATGTGTTACTTAAATGGCAACATATCAACATGGCATATCAGAATTATTTCAGGTGCAAGTGGCTGACATCCAGTCTAAGTGGCTTAAACAGAAGAGGATTTATTGACTCCATGACTGAAAAGTCTAAAGGTAAAACTCAGTGGAGGTTTAGATTGATCCAAAGATCTAAAAATTGCAACAGGACTAAGGTTCTTTTTCCATTTCCCGACTGTTTCTTCTGGGTTGGTGCAATCTCAGATTGTGGTGTCAAGAAGGCTACAGAAGCTCCAGTTTACAACTCCCAAGTTTGAGTCCAAGGGGAAGAGCGCATCCTTCATTACCCAAAGTCCTAGCAAGAGTCTCTTTGCATCTCACTGACTCTGATTGAATCACATGTCTATAGCCGAACCACTCCCCATAGGTGGGAAAATGTGATGCTCTGACGGTCGCTCACCCAGAGCTAGAGGTAAAAGTCAAGCATTTAGAAAAATAGGGAAAGCAAAAGTAAGAGACAATCTCAAGCTACCAAATGTTCATTACCTCAATGTCTGGAGCTATGAGGCAGCCATGTTCCACCATGCAGACAGAGAAGCAGAGGAAGCACTGGCTAAAACGAGAGAAAAGACTGGCATAGACATTATAGGGTCCAAGGGGTAGGTTTCCCTCAGCCCCTTGAAGGTTCACTGAAAAATTAATTCACAAAAGAAAGATGAATAGGAGAAAAGGCATATATATTGACTTAATGTGTGTACACGGGAGCCTTGAGAATGAGGCCCCCTTTAGGAGAAGCTGTCCATTTTTATGTTTAGGTACAACAAAGTATGGACAGCCATGTAGAAATACGATTGGAGAAAAAGGGTGTGACCTAATGCTAATAGACTGAGTGGGAAAACCCAACAAAGCCTATCTGACTAGATTCTTCTTGGCCTCTCTGAGCACTGTTCCTTCCTTCTGGGGATGGGGCAGGACCTTCTCTGCAATAGGCATCTTATGATCTACAGTCAGACAAGGTAGGTCCGATAATTTTCTTTATGGCCAGTTTTTATTCAGAACGGGAAAGGGAAAGCTAGCGTAATAATTTTAGGTTTTATGGATAGCTTTCAGGAAAGGAGGCTGTGGTTTCTACGGTTTGCCTTGGGGAAGAGGGATTCTAGTTTCCATGGCTAGCCTCAGGGGAAATTGAGTCTGAGAGACAGGGTGGTAGGAGGTCAGAGAAAAACTTTGCTTCTAAGGCCTTCATGTTGGGGTATTGTTTTCTGAGCCCCAAAGCCATGCAGAAGGAACAAGAGACAGAAAACAGAAAGGGCACTTCCCAGGTCCCTGTGGTTTTACAGGGCATGTTTCCATCTCTTCCTGAGGCTTGATGCAAACCTGTTCTTAGGATCTGTGAGACTCCTCTGTGGCTTGATAGTATGTCCTCTTTTCCTCTCTTTTTCTTTTGTTCCTCTGAAGGTAACTTGCATTGGTTTCTATTACTCACAGGCAGTGACATTAATCCTAGGAGCCCATCAGAGTCTTTACATAGCTCTGTGACGGGAAAACAAATGGAGCATATCCCAGGCCTAGGAATTGTCTGTCTTGGAAGGAAAAGTAACAAAACTGTGTGCCAGAATGTGAGAGAGAATGCTGGACATTTGTTGTTTTTCCCATCAACATCTTCTCCTTGCCCCATGGGGTATCATTGCTCCACAATTCTCCAGGGATGCATTGTGGGTAAAACTGACTCCATGTTTAAGCCAATCAGCACGTTCCATACATCTGCCAGAGTGACTGACTTCCTAATGGTCAGATGATATGAATCCTGCCCATGACAGCTAAGAAGTTTCAGTTCTCATGCTTTTGTTGGAACTGTCAGTGAAACATATTCTCCTTTCCTGTTGGTATGAATGTGAAAGGATCACGGGACTGGAATTATGGAAGATAGTTTGTCAACACATGAGTCCTGTGCATGAACTGAACACCAGGAAAGCATAGTTGAGAAATTTAGACAGGAGCTCCAGCCCAGGGAAGTCATTTGAGCCCTGGATCAAGCTGTACCTGAAACTGGAGCTCCCTCTGGATTCTTTAGTTTTGTGAGTTAATAAATTCTTTTTTCTTTTCTTAATCTGATTTGAGTTAGAGTTTTGTCACTTGCAGCAGAAGGAATCATAACTAATACAGTTATGGGAAGTTATGTTTGAGGAAAGGTGTCAGGTAATCTATAAGATGGAGAGGCTGAACTATAAACAGAGCAGGTCCTAAAACTCCAGTAGGCACGCTTTCTCCTTTTCTTGAAATCATAAAACACTACAATTGACATGGCATATATCACACATTGCCTTGAACTGCAATTACAGTTCTTGTATGGTAGGTACAAATTTCACAACCATAAAACTCCGGTGTGCAGAAATGTAACTTTCTTTATTGTTTTATAATTGAGCTTAATTTAGCTCACAAACCCTCATTTCTGCTAATGGTAGGGAACTTAATCTTGCCAATTCCAGGCAATTCTGTCAGTCCTGGTTTAAAGCTCTGTATCTTTCAATTACTTTAGGATTCCAAGTTCCTCTACTCCTTTCTTTTTCCCTAAGGTGATCTGTGTTCTAGCAAACATGGCAAGGAGGCAAATGTCTGGTCTGGGAGTTGACCTCGGGCCAGTGGGCAACAGGCTGTAATTGGTCCAGGAGAGCTGGGCACTCATCCTTGTTGGCTCTGTCCCCACCCAGTTCTTAGCTCAGCTTCTGCAGATTCAGCCATGACTTTGTCTAGTTCCTAGTTTGGGCTGCCCACATAGTCCCTGGCCTTACATCATGGTCACCTCCCTACCAGGCACACCAGCCCTCAATTCTCAGCTCCCTTTGGCATTCGAATCCAACGTTTGGGGACTTCTGGGTTTCCACATCCTGCAGGAGTGAGGGTGTTGGGAGGATGGGTCCTCTCGGCATCCTGTCTGCCTGAATCATCTCTGCTCCCATTTCTGCATTATAGGAACCAACTGTGATGGTTAATTTTATGTGGCAACTTGATTGGGCCAAGGGACGTCCAGATATCTCACCAAACATTCTTTCTCCACAGTCTGTGAGGGTGTTTCCGGAAGAGATTAGCATCTGAATTGGTGGACTGAGTCAAGCAGATGGCCCTCTCCAATGTGGGTGCAGGCCACCCAATCTGTTGCAGGCCTGAGTAGAATAAAAAGGTAGAGGAAGGGAGGGTTCTTTCTCTGTGTCTTCTTCTGACTGCTTGAACTGGGACTTTGATCTTCCATCCTCAGCACTCGTGGTTCTCAGCCTTCAGACTTGAAATGGAAATCACAGCACCAGCTCTGCGCTTCTCAGGCCTTGACCTATACCATTGACTCCTGGGTCTCTAGCTGTAGGTGGCATATAATGGGACTTCTCAGTCTCCACGATTGAATGAGTCAATACTGTATTATCTATCTATCTATCTATCTATCTATCTATCTATCTATCTATCTATCTATCTATCTATCTATCTGTCAGTCATCTCTGTGTGTGTATATCCCCTATCTGTTTCTCTGGAGGGCCTGCCTAATATAATACACCACCATATGTGGCTCAGGAGGCAGCTTCCTCCTGGATATTCAGGAAAATCAGTTCTGCTCTTGGACCCTCAAGCCCTCAAACCTGCTGGGTGTGATCTCAAGGGAGGGTGCAGGCCTCCCCCTCCTCTCACCTTGCTTGCTTCCCTCCTGTGAGATCTGCAGCTCCCACCCAGGAGGGCTATTGTCCTCACCATGTGCCGTGGTTTGTTGAGCTCTTTGCTCTGGGACCCTCCTGGCTGGCTCTTGATGTTTCTTGAAATACAACAAAAGATCTTTTTCCTCTCACCTGTCTGGATTTTATAAATGAAAATCATGGTCTTTAAGACCATGCCTCCAAGACCAATTAAGACCATGTCTCAATTGCCAGAAATTCACTCCAAAGGTCCAAGTTCCAGAGTTTAAATACATGTACTGGCTTCCTCATTGGGTCAGCTCTTCCCTGCTGCCACAGGCCTCAGACTTGCGGTTTTGCTTTAGTGGAGGAAGCACTGCAGGGCAGAGACAAGGAAAAGAGTTCCAGAGAAGGAAAGCCACTTGGTACTATTTCACAACAGGATCTGGCTCAGTGAGCCACAGCTACTCCTCCAACCACAGAAGCGCCTCCAGTCTTGCTCCCCATGTGGGATGGCCATTGCTGTGGGGTTTGCAGGTTGCTTGACACCTTTGTGGAGCCAAACTCCACCAGCGCTACTGAGAAGTGCAGCTAGTAGAAGGAACTGTCCCTTCCAGCTTAACTATCCTTTTTTTAAGGCCAGTTGGCCCCAGGTGGTCATTGTTCTTTTAGCCTCTGAAAGTTGGCCTCAGTGTTTTATTTCAGTAGCTTCTTGTCAATAAACCAACACTGAGTTCCCTGCAGTGTTGGCCTAGGCTGTGGTGGCCCCTGTGGGACTCCTAACTCATCCTCAGTGCTGTGAGTTGAATGGTCTGCCATAAAGATGTGTTGAAATTCTAGCCCCTGGTGGCAGTGAATGTGACCTTGTTTGGAAACGGTCTTTGCAGATGTGATTAGTTAAGGATCAAGATGAGATCTTGCTGGATTAGGGTGTTGCCTGAACTTAATGACTGGTGTCCTTATAAAAAAAGGAGAGGACACACAGAGACCCAGACTCACAGGGAGAAAGCCACACAATGATGGAGGCAGAGCTGGCAGTGAGGCATCTACCGGCCAAGGGACACCAGGGACTGCTGGGAGCTGCCAGGAGCTGGAAGAAGCAGGGAGGATCCTTCCCTGGGGACTTTGGAGGAGTGTGGCTCTGCTGACACTTTGACTTTGGACTTCTGACCTCCAGAACTAACAGAGAATAGGTTTCTCTTGTTTTAAACAGAAATGTTTGCTTCTTTAGTGCGACTTTGTTCCAGCAGCCCTAGGAAACACTCAGGAACCTCAATCATGACCCATTTCTCTGCACTCAGTCCTAGGTTCAGACACTCTAAAGGCTTGAGACATTGCAGGGATCCAGAGGCTGCTAAATAGAGAGTGGACCCCTCCTAGGTCCCCTTTCCTGGGCTGGTGTCCCCAGCTGTTGTGAGTCTGGGCTGCTGACAGCTCAGACGGCTGTCCTCTTTAAGAAGTTTCCCCTGTGGAACAAGAGCTGCCTCACCCAGGAGGCTTCACAGCACCCCTAGTGGGGTGGGCAGCCCACAGTCAATGACTGGTTGGCATGGGACAAAGGCTGCTCTCCTTGTGCAAATGGGGTGCAGTTCCTTGTTCCTGAGCTCTCTGTGGGGTCAGGCTGAGGGTCCTGGCTACCCCCTCCCTTCCAGTGGGTACAGTGCTCCATCCTCTCTGTGCCTCCGAGGCCTGGCTCAGGTTTGGCCTCTAGCGAAGCTGACCTATCACCATCAGATTGGAACTCCCTGAGGGTAGGGCCTATGTGCTTAGTGGCCCTCTCCTTTGCTGGGTAAGGTGTGGCCTAAGGCAGGGATTCTTAATCTTTAATGTGCATGTGGAGAGCTTATTTAAACGCCTCTTCCTGGGCCTAACTCCAGAAGAGTCTGGTCCCGAGAACTGGCATTTCTAATCAGCTCCCAGGTGCTGCTGCTGCATTTTGAGACTTACTGGCCTAAGCTCTGTGGATTAATGGGATCTTGTCGGGTCGGGGCAGGCCTGGTGACCGAGAGGACAAGCACACCAGAGGTCCACAGACATTTGTTTGCATGTGGGATTTTTGAGGCTGGGCAGAGAATGTAAGGAGTGTGTGTGCAGGGTTGGGAGTTGGTAGGAGATGAAGAATCTGTTGTGGTGTTTTCAAAGGTGGATTCCTGGGCCCAGTCCCCTGGCCTGTGTCTAAGCTCTTAGGAGTGAACAGTTGTGGGTAGAAGCCTAAGGAATTGTTTATCTCGAGATCTTTTTGAGATGGAGGGGTCCCAAAAGCCATTCCATTAGGCAGAAGAGGCAAAGCTTGACTAAGAGAAGAAAATTCTCACATGTGTGTGCCTGCACCTGTCACTGCATGTATGTGTGCGCCTGCACCTGTCACTGCATGTATGTGTGCATATGCAGTCATGTACATATGTGTGCCTGCATACATGCACCAGAGCACGTGCATGTGTGGCCCCAGGCTTGCTGAGTGCTTTCTGCTTTACTTGGGCAAGGCAGAGCCACCACCAGCTGCAGTGGCTTCCCACACAAAAGCTGAGATAGCCCCACCCTGACACACACATGTGAGTCGTCTCTATTTGAATTCTTCCCTCTGTTGTGCAGCAATCTATTTTTGTATGAGAGCCCTAGACTCATTTGTGGTTCCCGAAAATTTGGGGTTTGCTGTTTCCAGCCTTCCTCTCCTGCAGCGCAGCCGCTGTGCCTGTGTTTCATCTCCCTCTGCCTTTGCCCTGCCGATGACACAGAGGGAAGCTTAGAATTCTCCCTGCTTTGTGGTTCTATTCACCTCTGTGATCAGTTGTTTTGTGGCTATAGTTACTCTACTTTGCAGAAAGGGGATTTGAATTCTTTGGATTCTTTGTTCACAAACAAACCAGTGCCAGAGCCACTGCCTCTTCGCCGCCTGCAAAGTGCGCTGCGCTGCCTGCCAGCAGGGGGCGGGGGTCCATCCTCGTTTCTATCAGATTCCCGGACACGCTGCAAGCTCCGGGGTCCGTCCCTGTGTGTGCCTTCCTCTTTTGTACAAGTTACAAAGGAGGGGCTTAGGTTCAGGGTCGACTTAATCGCATTCCTGTCCCTGGCACATCCCCATTAGCCCTCTGAGATGCTGCTACCGCTACCTTTTCTGTAGTTTTGTCCTTCCTTGCAGCCCCCTCTCCATGTCCCCATCCTCCATTGGTACCTACTCGAACATATTCAACAAGTGTTTGTACCTGCGGGAGATGGGAATGGAGCCCCACCTGGACCCCCTTGCCAGGTGGTGAACCTGACACTCTGCAGCCCTGAGCGTTGGCTGCAGACAGCTCACAGCTGCGGGGGCTGGGGATGGTGACGGCCGCTCTTGCTGAAGGGAGCTGCCAGGCTGAGACTTTGCACACCGCTGGGTGCGGGGGAGTCCCCAAGCCAGTGCTTGTCTGATAGAGGGGACAAAAGGCCAGTCCCCTTACCTCAAGGCGAAGTCCAAGCTGGGATGCGTCAGAGCTCCAGGGGATCTTTCTAGACTTTCTCCAAACCCTTGTTCTCGCTGAGCTGCAGCCTCGCACTATTCTGGGTCCCTCCCTTACCTCCGTTCTCCTGGAAGCTTCCCTTAGCGCATCACACACACCCAAATCCCATCTCAGACTGTGTCTCTGGGGACTTGCATGAAGATGGGATCTGTGTAGAATGTGTAGACTTGTGTGTGTGCACTTGTGCCCGTGTGTGCTTAACACAGCCCCCCATGGACTGTGGATGCCTACTGGAATGATATCCTGGGCACCCACACTCTTCCCTTAAGCACCGTCTGTCTGGGCTCTATCCCTGGCACGATCCATTCATCCAGCCCGCTGCCTCTTCCTACCCATATGTATTCCAGAGGGTGCTACCACATCCTATGCAGCCACTTCTCTAGTGACGACCACTTAGGTGGCCTCTTCCTCTACATCCTCAATGGGCATCCTTGTGCATGGACCCTTGGACTCATGTCTCAGAATCTCCACATGGCCCCTGGGAGTGGGTCTGAGTGATGGGTGTGTGCAAACTTAGCTTCCCAGAGTCCTGCAGATTGCTTCCCAGGGTGCACTCATAGCCCAACAACAGCACACAAGTGTCCAGTTCCCCCACATCCTCTCCTGCGGCAGGGAGGGGCCTGCCTTCCCCTGTGTGCTGTTCTGATGTTAATTTTTCGTTCTGATATTTTTCTGTTCATTGCTAGTGACTTTTAGCATCTCTGCATGTTGGGTGTTGGCACTTCCCCTTTTGCAAACCATCTACTAACTTTTTGTAAAAGATTTATTAATTTTAGATGCTCTGTTTATTCTAGACGTGAATCCCTCGTTTTATACAATGGAAATATCTTCTCTAAGCAGGCTGTCTCTTTCCTTGTTGTTGGCATCCTCTTTCAGCAGAAATCCTTCAGAGTTGCTGCCTTATGCTCTCATCGTTGTATGGAGGTTCTGATAAGACAGCTCATTTCTATTTCACCTGTCTTTTGCTGCAGTCCTCCAGCCAGGACTCAGGTATGAGTCCACAGGGGGCTGTGTTAAAGGACACCGAATTACAGAGACCATCTTCACACAAAATCATGCTTCCCTTTCGTCCTGACCCATAAACCCTACTTTTGCTCCCTGGCCTCTCTTCTGTGAGTGGGAGTGCTTTTTCTAGAGCTTTTCCATTTTTCAGGCAGAGAGACCCCAGATGGGCCATCTCACTAAACCCTGGAGGTGCCGAGACTCACTTGAGCCGCACAGAAAACACATGTCAGCATGCCACGCGCATCCCCTGCCGTAGTGTAAGCAACAGGAGTCTAATTCCTCCATAGCCTCTCTGGAGAGGAACTTTTCATCTTTGTGCGTCTCAATAGGTCCCCAGTCATGCATTGCTGCTCTTATAGCGAGCAAACAATATTCCAGAAAATGCCCAGATGCATACACAGTGCCGAGTAGCACAAGAAGGAAAGTTTTATTTAGTGGGGTCCTCTGGGGACACCTGGTGGGCTCTCTCTGAGGGTTGGATGCATGGGTAGTTGACTCTTTGAGGAAGAGAATTGAGGGGCTGGCCGTGGTTTCCCACATGAATGACTATGAGGGGTCTGCAGACTGGGATCCCAGGGTGGTGGGCACGGACAGCGGGGCTGGCATTGCTGGCAAGACTGGCTCCCAGCCTGACAATTGCCTAGGCCTGGCTTCAGCAAGCTGCTTCTGCAAAGGGCCAGAGAGTAAATATTTTGGGTTTTGCTGGCCATATGGTCTCTGCTGCAGCTATCCAACTCTGCCAATGTAGTATACAAGCAGGAATGGGCACTGTGTGAATGAATGAACGTGCTGGGTTTCAATAAAGCTTTATTTACAAAAACAGGCCAGATTTGATCTGTGGGTCACTGTTGGCTAACTGCCAGCCTATGCTGTTGCATGTGCCTTTAGTGGAGCCGTGAGCTGATATTTTCACAAGGTTCCAAAGTTTCACGGTTGCTTTGGATTGGCTTGAATAAGGCTAAAATCACCAAAACTAAGATGTAGCGGATTTCTGATAATGTTTTCACTATACTAATTATATCTGATATATAATGGAGTGCCCAGGGCAAGATTTAAAATGGGGAGTTGTATGGGCAGCTCACCAGGATGAAAGCAGTTTGTGTTTAAGCTTGCTCTGACCCACGGCCCCAGGGCCGGCTCTACCGCCACCAACTCAAATAAGACTTTTATTACGGGTTAGTCAGAGCACGTAGAACAAATCCGCATTATCTTCAGTGCCCTGAATCAACACCAGTGTAAATGAGTTAGAGGAATGTCCTGGAGCCGAGGTCAGCGACTTTTGGCCCATAGGTCGAATGCAGAACACTGCCTGTTTTTGTGAGTAAAGTTGTGTTGGAACACAGCTATTTTAGTCCACTCGTGTGTGCTGCAAGAACAAAATAACGGGGACTAGGTAATGTATAAAGAATAGAAATGTATTTCTCACCGTTCTGGAGGCTGGGGAGTCCAAGATGAACGTGCCTGCATCTGGTGTCTGGTGATGGACTTCTCGTTGAGTGTCCCGTGTTGCAAGGTGGAAGGGCAAGAGGAACAAAGGCCGTGTCCTCACCCGGCTCCCCTTGCAGAAGTGTAAGCTGGCCAAATGCTGCCGGAAGCTTCTTTTATGAGGGTCTTAATCCCACCTAAGGGGGAGGAGCCCCCATAGCCTAATCATCTCTTAAAGGCCTCACCTCTGAATTCCTTCACATTGGCAACACCTGAATTTTGGAGGAGACACGTTTGAATCGTAGCAACCACTGTGGCCAGTCATTTGCACGTTGCCTATGACTGCCCTTGCAGGAGAATCTCAGAGCTGAGCAATTGCAGCAGAGACTGTAAGGCCCTTGAAACCTAAAATGTTTGCTGCCTGGCCCTCTACAGAAACATTGGATGATCCCTGCACTAGAGCCCCAAAGGGGAAAAGAATTATTAAGATCTGCTGTCTCTCCTTTCTGATAGTGTGGTGTAGATTTAGCTGTGACTGAGAATCTGAAATAACAGTGACTGGTACTGCCCCTGCTGCACTCAGCACTGTCTGTGGTGAACACCCTCTGTGCCTCTCATTTTGCTGCCACCACTGTGGGGCTGCCACAGGCTCTGGTGCTCTGGTTGCCTGCAACTGTGGGGTGGCGGCTTACCAATGCACTAGGTAGAGAGCCAGGCAGCTATCCTGCCCATCGCTCACATCCACGGCTCCCATCTTTTCTTCCTGTGGGTGCTGACTTGTGGAGGGAGATGTTTTCCTCAGCATGCATGAATCAGTTAGGATTCAACTCAGCTGTGAATAATGGAAAACCCAAATAACAATGATGTAAGCAAGATGGAATTTAAAAAAACAACTCATAGTGGTCTGGAAACTCCACAATTATCAGAGATTCGACTGTTTCTACTTCTCTCTCTCTCTCTTTTTGTATCCTTAGCATATGTTTTCTCTTCCCAAGTTTGCCTCATGGTAGCAAGATGGTTGCTGAAGATCAGTAGTCACACTTCTATCCCAGGTGGTATTTATTTTCAGGGCCACAGAAAGGAGGAGGGTACATAAGGGAAGTAGGGCACATCTATAAACAGAGGCAGTTCCATTTAAATAACTTTTCTGGAAGCTCCATCAACAACTTCTGCTTATATCTTGTTATAGATTAAATTGTGTCTGCCCCACCTGACCTAAAAAAGATATGTTGAGTCCTAAATCCCCAGTATCTCAGAATGTGACCTTATTTGGAAATAGGGTCATTGTAGATGTAATTAGTTAAGACGAGGTCATCCTGGTGTCAAGTGGGCTCCTGGTGCAATATGACTGGTGTCCTCGTAAGAAGATGGCATGTGAGGACAGAGACACAGAGGAAGAACACCACATGACAAGGGAGGCTGAGATTGGAATGATGCAGCTACAAGCCAAGGGACTCAACGACTGTCTGCAAACTGCAGAAGGCTAGCAAGTGTCAAGGAAGGATTTCCTCATGGGTTTCACAGGCAGCACAGCCCTGCCATCACCTTGATCTTGGACTTCTAGGCTCCAGAACTGTGAGACAATACAGTTCGGTTGTTTTAAGTCACTGCATTGTTATGGCAGCCCCAGGAATATATACATAACTCAATGGCTGGAGGTACCTGAAAGGGAGACTGAGAAATGTCATTTTTCTGGCCCATTTTCACTGTAGGGAGGAATTAGAGGACAGTCCTGGGGATGGCAGTGCAGCCTCTGCTACAGATGCTCTGGAATGAGGCTTCAGTGGAAACTTCTCATCTCTTGAGCGCTTCTCCAAAGCACCTTTCCCCTGAAAAACAGGTGGGGATGGTAGATTTTACTGTGGTGCTCTTCCATTTGGAAAAGAGTTTAGTTTTTTCTTCTACTAATTTGTGATCTCTAGCTTCATTTCCAGACCTTCCTGATATCCACCCTGTTCCATAAAAGAAACATTGCTGACCTCATAATTCTTATGGCTTAAGTTCATGGCCCTCAGATGACTCTTGATGGTGTGGGTGGGAGACAGCTTCTGTCCCTGACTCTGGCAGCCAGCCTTGGCCACTGTCTTAGCTCCCTGTGGACAAGTCCAGACTACCTGAGGCCATTGACCTTCCTGCTATACCTCTTTTTCTCTTTGAGCATGTAATTCCTTTAAGGATTAAACCTTAGGAGATTTCCAAAATGTCGCTAAGCTCTGCACTCCTAAGTTGTGAGGACAGCCTCTGTAAGTAGGGCATCTAAGGTCATGGAGAGGACCTTTTTGCAGTTAATCTTGACTAAAATGGCAAATAGAATGTGATGTCATCAACCTGTTGACATGAAATTAAGGCTTTCTTCTGTTCTTCAGTCCCATTTTCTCTTTTAGGTGGCTGTCTCTGGTCCTGCATGTCTGATCTCCCGCTAATTCCTGTCCCACCACCTTCTCGTTCCAGTTTGCTGCCCTAGGACCCTCTTGGTTTCTGATTATTATGGCAAGTCCAAGGAGATGTAGAAATTCAAAGTGTGGTTGTTTGAATGAAGGCAGGAGTTGGATTACCCACATTAGAATGAGATCTGAGTGATACCTGCAAAGGAAAGTCTGCAGCTCCTAAGCTGTCCCTTCATTGCTCAGATTCATTGGAACATTTATTCTCTTTGATTCAATATGAAAAAATGATAATTTAGTGCTAACATGATACTCCAAATAACTGGGTACCAACCTGTTAGTTTTATGGAATTCTTCATGAGAGTAACGGTTGTTTGTTTTTGTTTTTTTTTGAGACAGTCTCGCTCTGTTGCCCAGGCGGAGTGCAGTGGCACGATCTCGGCTCACTGCAACCTCCACCACCCAGGTTCAAGTGATTCTTGTGCCGCAGCCTCCTGAGTAGCTGGGATTACAGGCGTGCATCACCATGCCTGGCTGATTTTTGCATTCTTAGTAGAGATTGGGTTTCACCCTGTTGGCCAGGCTGGTCTTGAACTCCTGGCCTCAAGGGATCCCCTACGTTGGCCTCCCAAAGTGCCTGGAATACAGGCCTGAGCCACTACGCCCAGCCATAACTTTTTTTTTTTTTTTTTTTTTTAACCCATAGGTTTTGCTGGTCTCAGGCATACTTATATGTCTTAGTCTGTTCAGGATGCTATAACAAAATATCATAGATGGGGTTGCTTTTAAGCAACAGAACTTTACTTCTTACAGTTTTAGAGGCTGAGAAAGTCCAAGATCAAAGCACTGGCAGGTTCAATGTCTGGCTAGGGCCTGTTTCCTGGTTTGTAGACGGTACCTTCTTTCTGCCTCCCACGTGTTCCACATGGCGGAAGGACTGAGGGATCGCTATCAATCCTCTTTCATAAGGGCATTAATCCCATTCATGAGGGCTCCCAATCACCTCCCAAAGTCCCCACCTTTTAATACCATTACCTTGGGGGTGAAGATTTCAGCATATTAATTTTGGGGGACACAAACATTTGGACCATAGCATTACATCCACCTTTTCTAAATGCATTAAAACTGGTAAGGGATATTAGCATGTCAGGACTCTTTCTTTCCAAAGCCATGTTGTTGTTTTCTTCCACTTTTCGAGGTTGTTGCAAACTGAATTGCTAGTGATTCTTCTCCCGAGCCCATCTCAGCAAAGAAAATAAATTTATCCATAAAACAACAACCCAGGCCACTGGGTCGGCCTCGTAGCAACCACCACGGGGGAAAGGAAGAACCCAGGGCTTCCTAAGGTAGTTCTCGGCATAACCACCAGGGGGCACTGCTAAAGTGCTGTCTCCTGGTCCTGGGCCTCCTAAGTTGGGGATGATGTGGTCTGCTGTGCAATGAGCATCTCGGTCACACCTTGAGTGCAATTAGATTAAAATGTGTCAATTATTGGCTGTGTTCCAGGTGTTTTTCTGTGTTATCTCATTTAATTCCATTATTTGCCTGTGTGGGAGGTATTTCGAATTTCACTTTACAGGTTGGCAACTAAAGTTTTTGCTCATGAGCTATCTCACATCCTAGGTGCTTGTAAGAGGTGAAACCAGTTTTTTGTTTTTGTTTTTGTTTTTGAGACGGAGTTTCGCTCTTTTACCCAGGTTGGAGTGAAGTGGCGTGATCTCGGCTCACTGCGATCTCCACCCCTCGGGGTCAAGTGATTCTCCTGCCTCGGCCTCCCAAGTAGCTGGGATTACAGGTGCCTGCTACCACGCCCAGCTATTTTTTTTTTTTTTTTTTTTTTGAGACGGACTCTTGCTCTGTCACCCAGGCTGGAGTGCAGTGGCGCAATCTTGGCTCACTGCAAGCTCCGCCTCCTGGGTTCACACTACTCTGCCTAAGCCTCCCGAGCAGCTGGGATTACAGGCGCCCGCCACCATGCTAGTTTTTTTTGTATTTTTAGTAGAAACAGGGTTTCACCGTGTTAACCAGGATGGTCTCGATCTCCTGACCTCGTGATCCACCCGCCTCGGCCTCCCAAAGTGCTGGGATTACAGGCGTGAGCCACCGTGCCTGGCCTAATTTTTGTATTTTTAGTAGAGACAGGATTTCGCCATGTTGGCCAGGCTGGTCTTGAACTCCTGACCTCAAGTGATCCACCAGCCTTGACCTCTCAAACTGTTAGGATTACAGGCATGAGCCACTGTGCCCAACTGAAACAAGTTTTTAAAGTCTCTAATTGTCCATCTACAAAGCTCTCAGTCTTAAGAACAAAATCTACAGGAAATTAGGGAAGGAGAGAAGCAGCATCTTGCTCTTTCTAGGCAAGAAGTTCCAGCTGTAAGACTGGATGCTGGGGACGGCTTCATTTCTTTCACTTGAGAAACTGAGGATTTCCACAGTGCAAACCTTGCTTAATGTGTATATCAGTCAGTCAGGAGAGGCTCAGCTGCTGTAACAGATACTCCCCAGAAACTAGGTGGCTTGAAGTAACAAAGGCTCATTCCTCACTCAGACTTCTTGACCACAGTGGCTTTCTAGGGAGTTTCTGCTCACCCTAGGTGTGCAGGTTCCTGGCCAATACAATGATGCTGGTCTGGGAATTTGCCAGTTGCTGTGCATGAGAGAAAAAGAGAAAAATTTAGGAGGGTCTTGAACTGGCAGCCACATGCTCCTGTCCAGAGGTGACGCTCATCACTTCTGTTTGCAATGTGTTGATCAGAACTAGTCACATGGCCCCACTTATGTCCTCGAGGGAGCCAGGAATTCTATCACATTCCCAGGAGCACTAAGGACTACTGATGACCACCACAGAGCCTCTATCAGGGCTGAATAATTACAATTTGGATTTTTTTTTTTTTTAGATGGAGTTTCACTCTTGTTGCCCAGGCTGGAGTGCAATGGTGCCATCTCGGCTCACTGCAACCTCCAACGCCCGGGTTCAAGCGATTCTCCTGCCTTGGCCTCCTGAGTAGCTGGGATTACAGGCACCCACCATCATACCCAGCTAATTTTTTGTGTTTTTAGTAGAGACGGGGTTTCACCATGTAGCCAGGCTGGTCTCCAACTCCTGACCTCAGGTGATCCACCTGCCTCAGCCTCCCAAAGTGGGAGGCCTGATTACAGGCACGAGCCACCGTGCCCAGCCACAATTTGGATATTTTATTAATCATGAGTTCTTTTTTTAACATTCATTTTTATTTTTAAAAACATTGCATTAAGACATTCTTTATTTTGATTTCTGAGTTTCTGGCTCTCCCGTACATTTTGCATCTAAGACCCGTGCTTGCTGCGAACAGAGGGAGGATAAAAAATAACAATTTTGACTGAAATTTTGTTTTCATGAGAGAGCCCTAGAGAAAAGCAGTACTTACAGAGAGGCAAGAATATAGTTGACATCTACATAAATATTGACAGAAAAAGAAAAGGATGAGAAACACACTGTAACAGAAAAGAGAAAACAAAAAGGAGGTCAATTTGAGATTGAGATTGCTGAGGTACATGCTGCTCGGGCTCTTTATTTAGTCAGCACATGGTATAGGAAAACTTTTGTGTTCAATTTCCCCAGTGACCTTCCAAGTACATTATGAAGACAATTAAAACCCGTATCCCAGAACCACAAAGTTTTCAGCGATTGGGCTAATGTTAATCAGTGTGAATTGAACGAAAACAGCTTGTTCAAGTAAAATCGATTGAAATCTTGACGAGCAAAAATGGAAATTTTGGTTGCAAGTGTTTACTTTCTTTTTGTAGGAACACTGTTGTATAAGATTTTTAAAAGTACAAATTACTGGAAGCCCACAGATGCTTCTGTAAGATGCCAGAGAAATTAATTTTGGTAAAGATCTAGGATGTTTTCAATTTATCGAACTGTACATATATAGCAATTTAACTTATCTTGGTACTTGGTATGATTTTTCTTTTAACCAATGTCTTGAATTTTGTTCTTGTGTGGATTTCATTTGAGTGTGAATCTATAAAATTGACCTAGATTCCTTCTCGGCAGTAGAATTGATCTCCTTTTTTTTCCCGATTTGCCTTGTAAAATGCATCTGTGAACTTGCCTGATAAAGTTGAAAAGAGAACTTCTTCAAAGATCAAAATTATTTGCTAAATGTGTTTCTATACTTGGAACATCAGTGAAATATACACCTAAATATGGGGTGAAAGTAAGAGAAACTTCTTGACTACAACATTGCTTTAATCTTGGGGACTTTACGTTCCTTAGAAAATCCCAACATCCCGAGGGCAACCTCACAATGGATATGATCACTACATAAGTATCCAGGAAAATAAAAACAGCTTGAGTTTTTGAGGAACTCTCTTTTTAAAACTCTTGAAGTACCGTGTATTGTGCTCTGAAGGGTGATGCTGAGTACTTGGCATTAGCTTTTCTTAGGGATTTGTTCACATGGTCCCCTTCAGAAGAATGACTTGGCAAACAAACTTTGCTGTCACTGGGAGTCTTTTAACACCACCTCAGTAAACCGCAGCCAGGGGGCTCGCTTTCCCCATTGCCTCACTGGGGAAAATTAAGGTCTTAGAGAGAAGCATTAATATCTGGGAGAGGTTGGTTAATGGGTACAAAAATACAATTAGAAAGAGTAAGTTGTAGTATTTAATCGTAGAGAAATTGTAGTTGAAATAATCTATTGTATATTTCAAAAGAGCTAGAAGAGAATTGTAATGTCCCCAACACAAAGAAAAGATAAATGTTTGAAGTGATGAATATCTCAATTACCCTGACTTGATCATTACACACTGTGTACAGGTATCAATATATCACATGTACTCCCCAAATAGGTACAACTATCATAAAGTAGTTATATAATACAACTACAATAAAGATAATACAATAATGTCTGTTCCCTGGGATCAAGCTTACTAGGAGAAGAGGGCCTGGAGGCAGGGAACCTAAGGACTTCCCAGAACTAAATCAAGTGGAAATGCTTCAGCTATGACAGGAAATATCCTCTTCATTTACATAGGGCGTGCACCAAGTAAATGACTTTGTAACTTTACTTCATCCTCTTCATTTACATAGGGCGTACACCAAGTAACCAATGGAAACCTCTAGAGAGTATTTAAACCCCAGAAAATTCTGTAACTGGGCTCTTGAGCCCCTATACTCAGGCCCGCTCCCACACCGTGGAGTGTACTTTCAACACATCTCTCTGTTTGTTGCTTCATTCTTTCCTTGCTTTGTGTGTTTTGTCCAATTCTTGGGAACCTGGACACCCTCCACCAGTAACACTGTGGCCCTTGGGGAACGAGTCATTAAAATTTTAACGACAAGTGCAGCTCTTCGAAGGATATTCCAGTCAAAGGAAGAGCATCAAAGAAGAGGTTTTTTGCTTGGGTTACTGGCAATCAAAGAATGTGTCACTAACACCTGGACGGGGTTTTGAAGTACTAGCAGGAGTTCCTCAGGTTCACAGAGGAGTGCTATGAGGGAGGACAGCCAAGGTATGTGGAGCAGGTGCGGAGAGGGGGGGGCACATGGAGCAGAGGGCCTTGGTGCCTCTCCAGGGCCCTTTTCCGGATCTGTGAACCAACCTTAACTCTCTTGCAGGAGATGGAAGGGCCTGGATGTTTAGGTTACCCTCGCCTCCCACAAGAGTTGCCCATGGTTCAAAAGCCAATTGTCTCCGTCGCTAAGGGTGGGACAGAATCCAAGGCACAACCTATACTCTAGGGGCCCCTTGGGTTGAAGCTGAGTCCGTGACCACCCCTGAAAATGCACTGTTGCTGGCTTCTCCTCCTCCCTACTTGGCTTTGCCCACCTCTTTCTGTCCCTGCGGGAGAACATCCTCAGGAAATCCCCGGGGCCTGGGTCCTTGCTCAGGGCCTCCTGGGAGAACCCAGCCTCAGAGGATGCGTTTCAGGACAGGAACTCCCAGAAGGACCATGGGAGTTGTGTGTTTGGAAATTGTAAATATAAGATCAAACGAATGGATACGGCCGGTGAAAATACTTTGTAAACTACAAGTGCTTTACCCTATTAGCAGTAATTGTTTTCCATTTACAACTGTCTTTCCCAACAGGCCTTGGGAATACTTTATTGGGTCAGTTCATCCTCCTCCTACCGCTGTTGCCAGCGCCCTTTATAACATTCTGTGTGATGAGTGCACCTGCTACCTGGGGAGGTGGGTGGGGCGAATGAAAGTCGATTACTTAAATCTGGATGACAAATGCCCTGCCTTTACTCCCCTGGATTCAAAGCTTTTATTTGGCCCAATGGAGCTTTCCTGGGGCTTCATCTCTTAGCACATTGCTTACTATCGCAGAGCTATTTGTTTTATAAACTCAACTCCTTAAACCCAATGAAAAACAATGGCTTCAAAGCAGCTTTTTCCATTCTGTGAACACAGGAAAAAAAATAGCAGTAAATCAGAAACTTCTCATCTGAGACAGTTATTTTATCTTTTTGGCACTGGCCCTTAGAGAACAGGAGGTAGAATCCACCCGAGCCCCTCGTCTCTCTGTGGAGTCTTCCACAACGTGCATAACATCCCAGCCGCTGTGGAACGTGGCCGAGGCCAGCCCCAGCTTGATTTAATGCTCTCCGTAGCTGAGTTTCTTTGCCCCAGGCTCAATAAGCTGTAAAGAATAGATCCTCTGACAAATTGACAGCTTTTGCTTCAGAGATGTAAAGCCAATGGGAAAACCTACAACAGGGCAATTCTCTTTTTATTCAATTCATTTGGAGAAATAATCATCAGAATAATGATCTATTTTAGGGAAAGGTGGATGGAAACTTAGGCTATTTGTAGAATTTTCTCCTAGGTTTAAAATAACATTATCCTAAACTCTTCCTTTCCTTCCTTCCTCCCTCCCCTCCTTCCTTCCTCTCTACCTTGAACTTGACTACAGCCTTATACTTTGTGTGAGGTTCAGTGTGAATTCAGAAGAGAACTTATAAAACATCTATAAAATTAAAAGAAATCAATTGGCACTGCAGCCCTATAAACTCTTCTTCCATAAAAGCCATTCTGTGCCACTTCTCATCTCCTGGGAGGCAAGAGTGGTAAAGGCTCACACTTCCAGGGGAGGGCAAGTTCAATGGCAAGCTATCTGACTTTGGGCGACTATAATCCTATGAATCTCAGTTTGCTGAGGTGCAAAAAGGTGATAATTATGCCTCCTGTGCTGGGTAATAGAAAGCAAACAGATAATGCCCTTTCATGGAAACTAGCACATACTAAGAGTTAATCAAAGATAGGCATTATTATCATTCTTGCTACACAAACTTGGATAAACAAAGCAAGGGCTGGGAACAGGAAAGGAAAGAGAAAGCTTAAGGAAAAATTAGATTTTTTTTTTAAAAATGCAGCATTGGAAGAGCTATTTAAATGGTTTCTTTAAGTCTGTTGTGGAGAGAAAACTGCATATATGGGTGTGGGTGGGTGCAGAGGGTGGGGGTTGACTGACAAGAGCATCAGGGTGTTGGGGACCCCTTCAGATACATGAGAATTCCCCTTGGCAATGTCCAAAGTGGACCGGAAGGTGGGAGTCAACACTAGCAGCATTTTTTTTTTTTTTTTTTTGGGAGACAGCATCTCACTCTGTCACCCAGGCTGGAGTACAGTGGCGTCATCTTGGCTCACTGCAACCTCGGCCTCCCAGGTTCAAGCAATTCTCCTGCCTCAGCCTCCCAAGTAGCTGGGATTACAGGCACCCGCCACCAAGCCCAGCTAATTCTTGTATTTTTTTTTTTTTTTTAGTAGAGACGGAGTTACACTGTATTGGCCAGCCTGGACTCAAACTCCTGACCCTGTTATCTGCATGCTTTGGCCTCCCAAAGTGCTGGGATTATAGGTGTGAGCCACTGTGCCTGGCAAGCAGCAACTATTTTAATCCCAAACACAGCTTCCTTCGCCATCCAGTTCCTTCTTCTCTTCTCCCACCTCCTCCTTCTCCTCCTCCTCTCTCTTTTGTATAACCCTCTATATTTCATCAGAAATACAGTCAAGAAGGGGTCATTGGAGCATGATAAGCAAACAATCTTCACAGTCATCACAGGGCCAGGATAGAGTTTTGTCATTTTTTCTTTTTTCCATGATTTTATATTCCACCTTGTCTGCAGTCAGAAATTGGCATTTGAAAATGCAGTTTATATGGTCCTGTTTAGAAAGTTAGGGTGAGGCTTGCTTTTTTGAGCTGGCAAGAACAATAAAGACCTAGGAAGATGACAGGATAGGGGAAGAGGAGCTTTGTTAGATGGGCGACGTGCTGACGGTTTTGGAAGCTGCGTTGAAATTGAATTTCTTGCACAAACGTCGTCGACACATGCACTTTCCCATCCTCATGGCAGATGTCATAAGAGAATTATTGGTGTAGTGAATTCTTGCCCAATTTCTCCCGCTTTAATCCCATTTTACACATACTTCTTGGCTTCCCTGTTATAAAAGCCAGAGCGTTTTTGAAAGCAAATGCCCTAAAAATTCACACATTCTCGTTCTACAGGGAGACATCGCCAAAAGCTAAAATATCCAGGAAAGGGAGAGATGATGCATAAACTAATCACCAAGAAAATGATAAAAATTCATCACTAGAAAGTCTGGCTTTTTAAGTATCCTTTTCTAGATTCAGTTTTTTAAGAACCAGGTCAAAACCTGATACTTTGGAAGGAAGACCTTACAAATTACATTGGAAAATCCTGGAGTGTTTATGTATTACCCTCATTGCACCTGAGAAAAATCTTTTGAATAAATATATGTAGGTACTGCATCTCTGAATAATTTTTTGTTAGGGCAAAAGATCCATTAAGGTAAATATCATCAATCAGACAATTATAAGTATTCAAAATGATTGATTCTATCGAATTAAGAGTGATTTCAGGGATATGAAACTCCTTAATTCACACATTAAAAAATTTTACCACTTATTTTTCATTAATGTACAGTAAAAATGATAATAAATCAAGCAGATCTCAGTTTGAACAGAGGTGATTGTAGTTGATACTTAAAAAATAGCCTCATTAAGACTCACGTTTATTAATGATCTACCCTGTCACACACACTGGCCAAAGTTTGATCTGGAGTCCTAGCATGTATGTATTGATTTATGAACCTGCTTTGGATTATTACCTGAGCAGAGAAATTGTATTCAGCCACAGAATTCAGGCTTTGAATTTTGGAACTTTCTATCCAGGGTCCAGTAAATGTCAGCGTGGAAGGTAATGGGCCAGGCAAATAAACCCCCGTCATGATCATGCGGGTGGGATGATCTCGCTGTAGCCTGACTTGGGTGAGTTAGTTTACATGAAGCTGCTGCCTGAATTCGCTATGTGGCCAGGCTTTGCCAACATATTCATGTGTAGGAAGCGTGGACGTTTCCTCTCCAGTGTTTGAAAATCTTGTGTGTGAGTTTCCTATGAATGCCGTAACAAATTGCCACAAAGCTGGTGGCTTAAAATAACACAAAGGTATTCTCTCACAGCTCTGGAGGCCAGAAGTCTGAAATCACTGGGCTGAAATCAAGGCGTTGGTGGAGCCACACACCCCGCTGGAAGCTCCAGGGAAGATTCATTTCTTTGCTTTTTCCAGCTTGTCGTGGCCGCCTTTGTTCCTTGGTTTGTAGCTCCTTCCTCCATCCACAAAGTGCATCACCTCAACCTCTGCCTCTGTCTCTGCAGTCACTTTTCCTTAGAAGGTCACACTCACAGTTCCAGGGATAGCAACTTGGCTATCTTTGGGGGCCTTTATTCAGCCGACCCCATCGTAGAATACAAACTATGAAATGTGACCACGTCCTTATTAAAAACCAGTCGGGTGTGGCGTCTTATGCCTCTAATCCCAACACTTTGGGAGGCCGAGGCAGGCAGATCACCTGAGGTCAGGAGTTCGAGACCAGCCTGGCCAACATGATGAAACACCATTGCTACTGAAAACACAAAAATTAGCTGGGCGTGGTGGTGGGCACCTGTAATCCCAGCTAGTCAGGAGGTGGAGGCACAAGAATTGCTTGAACCCAGGAGGTGGAGGTTGCAGTGAGCCAAGATCATGCCACTGCACTCCAGCCTGGGCAACAGAGCGAGACTGTGTCTAAAAAAAAAAACAAACAAGTAATTCTAGGGCAGTTTACATTTTATTTAAATTTCTTAAACTAAGAAAATAATATGCACATGGTAAAACAAAACAAAAAAACCAAGCAGTACAAATGATGGACAATGAAAAGTGAGCGGGCCTTTCACTCCTGACGGTGTTCTGTGGATAGGAACTGCCCTGGCTTTACAACTGAAGGCCCCACATCGCAGGAGGTCCCTCAGTCCCAGACAAACCAGACAGCAGCTTACCCTGTTCCAGTTCCATACCCTACCCCAGAGCTTGCCATAGTTACTTGTTTTTTGTGTATCCTTCTGAAAGTTTCCACATATATAACACAAATTTTTAACTCAATTGGAAAATACCTTTTTAATTATCTTGGCATTTTTTTCCTTATCGGCGCATCTAGTTTTATCTCTCTCCCTCTTTTTTTTTTAATCCATTATGTGGTATTTCATTGAATGAATGTACCATGATTCATTAAAACATTCCTTTTTAACAGTAAACATGTGAATTATTTTCAGGACTTTCTTTGCCACTACAGTGTAATTTACATCATTGTATGCATATTTCTTTCCCTATATATTGTTAGTTTATTGCTGAACATCATTCCATTGTATAAATATACTACAATTTGCTTCCTTTTCCCTTGGTAAATAGACATTTTATTGTTTCCAGTTTTTGGCTATGAATAAAGCTGCTGCATTTATTATAAATTTTTGTATGAACATACGTTTTCATTTCTCTTGAATAAATACCAAGAGTAGAGTGGCTGGGTCGTGGAGCTTTTGCACGGTCAGCTTTACAAGACCCTGCCAAATACTTTTCAAAGGTATTTGTATACATTTTCTCACCTGCCAGCACTGTATGAGAGTCCAGTTGCCCTACATTCTTGCCAACACATGGTATTGTCAGTCTTTTCCACATTAGCCATTCAGATGGATGTGTAATGGTATTTCATTGTGGTTTTAATTTGCATTTTTTGATCACGAATGAGTTTAAATGATTCTTCATTGGTTTATCGGCCATCTGGTTGTCTTCTTAAGGAGTTGCCTGTTCACGTCTTCTTCCTATTGTTCTGTCGGGTTGCCTGCCATGTTCTTAGTGACTTGAAGGAGTTCTTTTCATATTCTGGATATAAATCTTTTATCAGATTGCAATGGACAAATGTTTGTGTCGCCCCCAAATTCATACATTGAAGTCCTAATCCCTAATGTGATAGAATTAGTAGGAGAGGACTTTGGGAGGAAATTAGATCATGAGGGTGGTACCCTCATAAATGGGGTCAGTGCCCTCATGATAGGCACCCCTGAGAGTTCTGCCTGTTGTCGCCATGTGAGGATACAATGAGAAGGTGGCCATCTGTTCCAGGAAGCAGGCCTTCAGCAGACATGAATCTTCCAGTTCCTTGATCTTAAACTTCTTAGCCTCCAGAAGAAGTGTGAGAAATAAATTTCTGTTGTTTATTAACCACCCAGTCTATGGTATTGTGTTATAACCGCCTGAACTGCCTAGGACATAGATGTATGGACTGAAAAGATTATTTCTCCCTGGGTTCCCATTCACTCTCTTACTAGTGTCTTTTATTGAACAGAGGTTCTTCATGATAACCTCTTCCGGTTTATCAAACTTTTTTCGTGGTCAATGCCCTTTTAGGTCCTTCTGGATCATTTTTAGAAATCTTTGGCTATTCCAAGGTCATACCAATGCTCTCCTATGTGATCTAGGAATATAAACCACCTGGAATTTATTACTGTGCTTGTTGTGAGGGACTAAGACTCATTTTTTAAAATATGACTATTTAATTGACTCAGCACCATTTATTCGAGGGACCTTCTTTTCCACATCACTCTGTAATGCCGCCTTCGTCATAAATCAAGTGAATGTATACCTGTGGGTCTTTTTCTAGACTCTCTATTCTGTTTCACTAGATGTAATTTGATAAAGGAAAAATAAAGAATTCTGACCTTTCTTGCATCTGCGTGCCTTGAAGCATATTTGTACCATCTGGATAACATCGTTTTGATCAGAATATGCCCAAGGAGTGTTTTGAGTGCTTTAACTTGTTCCCTTCAGTAAGATAAAGTGCTTCAGTTCATCCTAATTAGCTTCTCTATCCTTTTTCCATGTTTTAGGAGGAAATAAGCCAGTGACAGCTTTGGGGGAGGGTCTCTCGGGAAAGCTTCCACTGGAGAGTACTCTGGGCCGGGCCTGCTGAAGTCAGGGGCTCTGCCCGGGCATTGGCCTGTTTCTCCAGCGTTCCTCTTCTTATCATGCACCAGCTTATTTCTTCCTGGCTCAACATAACCTTGATGTTTTTTTCCAAGTGGTCAAAACCCTGTCTGTTCATTCTCACCTTTGCTCATCCTGGGTGCCTCTCCCAGCAAGGCCTCTCCCCTGTTTTGGGTCTACACAAAGTTTATCCCCCAGTCTGATGTCTTCTATAAAGCCTCTCCTAGTCACGTCAGCCCTTATCAATCTTTCTCTCCTCAGAACCCTACAGCTGCTGTTATTTCTGAATCGCTTGTTCCGGCCTTTGTATCATTATTAAATATTTCACAAGTGCTTGTCTTGTCTCTCAGGCTGGAAGCCCAGCTCTGCAGGAGGTGGAAGCCCAGCTCTGCAGGAGGTCAAAGCCCCTCTCTTAAAGCAGTTGCTCAATAAATATTTCACCCAGGATGAAGGAAAGCATGGTCAGGGAGTGGGGGCAGCGGGGAGTGATGTGCTTTAGGGTGCTGAGGTGCAGAGGAAGGGCCTGCTCCCAGTGGGGAATTCAGACAGTGCCCCACACGCCCCAAATGCCTGGCGTTCATATGGTGTCGGCTTATTGAGAACTGCCCTAAAACCCTCGGTTCATGTTTCAAAGTGTGACTCAGAAAAGACACCAGCTCTTACATGGGGCAGAGGGTGGCATAACTTGGGATGATAAGACAACTCAGTTCTGAGTCAGAACTTTCATTTCAGTGGAAAATGGAAGCAACGCTGACATTCTCCTTCCACCTGAGAGCAAGCCTGACACCAAGAAAGCTGTGGGAATAGGAGGGATGGGCCCGGACACCGCCATCTCCAAACTGCTCAAGATGTGTCATCTGCATAGATAAACTGGCACACCTGTGGATGGGACATCCTTTAAGTAGATGTTAAACAAGATCCAAGATTGGCGTAATGAGCCTTCAGTGGACTGTCATGATTAACTGCGCATGCTGGCTGGCACACCAGAGAAAGCTGATGAGTTGGAGGTAAAGTGAGACAAATATGGAAAGACATTCCAGTTGTTTGGGGGATTTTTGTCACTTCCTCCAGATGGATGATTTTGGGTTTTTGTCCCTGGGTCTTGATAGATGTTCTCCACTTAACTTCCCTGAGGTTTCTGGCAGGATGGAGGGAGGTGATCTGCAGTCTGTTTCCCTATTAAAAACCATTTCCCCGGACTTGAAAAGTTGCCAACTCAGTCGTCTCTGATTTACTGATTTCTAACAAGTGTGCAGTGTAAAAATAAAGCCCCTGGTCGGTTTTTGGGGCGACTTGCATCATTTGTAGTCACCCGATGATGGGTTTGCTGTTTGCTATGGGAACATCCCAAGGAACTCATTAATCATTTCCTCCTGAATATCCCTTAGGTCCCAAGCAGAGGTGAATGGAAATAGAATTAGATGGCATAATGCATTTCTGATAACAACAGCTCAAGACTCACGGCTTAAGAGCCTGAACCTTAAATTCCCCCTAGTGTTCCCTGAGTGGAGAGATGTTTCACCCCACAGGGGTCCTAGACTGTGCAGAGCTTCTCCATCTGCCCAGAGAGGGTGCTTAGCTCATCAGGGACTGCAGAGGGAAGCTCAGCCAAGAGGAAGTATGAGTATGTTAATGGGAAAGTGAGCCCTCGCCGCGTGCTGCCTGCCCCTAAAAGCTGAAAAAGAGGAAGTATTATGTCTTGGGTTTAGGACCACTGGGCTCCCAGCTCCTGGTTTTTCATGCAGTCCCAGGCTTGAGACCTCCTCCCTGGTCCTGGCTCAGAGCCCAAGTCTTACCCTGGACTAAGGAAAAGAATGCCACATACCCCTCCCCACAACATGAACTCCCCCAAATGGTGCCAAATATGCACAATGGGAATGTATTTGTCTCAGATGATTTTGAGAAGCTCTGGTTATTTATGGCCTTTAGTTATAAATCAAGCAAAGGAGGTATCTGATAACAATCCTTCATTGAAGAAGGAAAGGCAGGATTATGGTATGGAGTCCTTCATTCACTTCTCCTAGGTTAGAGACCAGAGAAGCCTGGATTACTCATAGCAACCATTCCTATATGGATAGGGGATGTCAGCTGCTGGAAAGGGCCATTGTATTAACCTGGTGATCAAGCAAAACACTGTATGTTGCTGTACAAGTCAGGGTTCTCCAGAGGGACAGAACTAATAGGATAGATGTATATATGAAAGGGAGTTTATTAAGGAGAATTGACTCACACGATCACAAGGTGAAGTCCCACGGTAGGCCGTCTGCAAGCTGAGGAGCAAGGAAGCCAGTAGTGACTCAATCCGAGTCCCAAAACCTCAAAAGTAGGGAAGCTGACAGGGCAGCCTTCAGTCTGTGGCCAAAGGCCTGAGAGCCCCCAGCAAACCACTGGTGTAAGTCCCAGAGTCCAAAGACCAAAGAACCTGGAGTCTGATGTCCAAGGGCAGGAAGTATCTAGCACAGGAGAAGGAAGAAAACCAGGAACCTCAGCAAGCCAGCTTATCCCACCTTCTTCCACCTGCTGTGTTCTAGCCAGGCTGGCAGCTGATTGGATGGTGCCTACCCACATTGAGGGAGGGTCTTCCTCTCCCAGTCCACCGACTCAAAGGTTAATCTTCTCTGGCAGCACTGTCACAGACACACCCAGAAACAATACTTTGCCAGCCATCTAGGCAGCATTCAATCCAATAAAATTGACACCTAATGTTAACCATCACTGTTGCTTACCTCAGTAGCAAGATCACTATATTGACGGTTTTAGTGCTATCTCAAAAAGGTGGGGCAGGGGCTGAGGGGCAAGGGCGGATGATTTGTAAAGTTTTTAGGGTTAGTTTAAGGTAGTTCGTTGAATGCAGGGGAAAGGAGATGCTGATTGGGATCAGGCAAAATTTGTGATGGAATAGTTCAGGCATGGTGGGCACAGCTAGACAAAAGTTTCAAGGCAGACTTGAGGAGTAAATAGATGTGTCATAAACCCAGCAGAGAGATCTATTTTTCCAAGAAGTGGGTTACTACCCCGATGAGGGCAAGCTGAGTAGTCTACTGTTTAGATAGATTTTCAAGAAGTTCTTAAAACAAAATAATAAAGTAAGTCTTCCTCAGTAAGAATTCCCTGGAAAAGTAATGTTAACATAGCCTGTTGGAGTAAAGTGGTGTCAATGTAAGCAAGAAGCTGTGTGGCTAAAGACAGTTTTACCATTCTACCCTTTGCTTATAATTTTAGCATCTGCGTGGAGGGAGGGAATGTCTATGTGGTTCTCAGCTACCTAATAAATGTGGAGGATATTTCTCAAATGGGATAAGCTGAAGGCAAGAGTAGACCAATCCTGATGAAATCGTGTTTCTTTCTAAGAGAGATATAGGAAGGAGAGGCAAGAAAAGAATCTCTTCAATACTTCTCATGTGATGGGCACTATGTTCACAAGCATTTTCTCATTTTAACTGTTACGCTGATCTTACAAAGTTGATATTATTCCCGTTAATTGGTTAGGAAGACTGAGGCTTGAAGAAGATATGTACCTTATGTTAAAGACTCCCCTTAACCTAACTCCGGTCAGGCTCCTCTAAGCCCTCAAATCCCCAACCTTGGGTTCTATCCTTGGCCTTTTTATTCCAGTTTTAGCAAGAATTCTGCTGGGTCAGTTTAGTGAAAATCTCCCACCCTTGATACTTGATCCATTTCCTCATCCCCCATCCTGGCCTCCCTTTAGCAATAATCCTGTCACGTCAATCTAACAAGAATCCTTTAGCTTTCATGTTTCCTCTTAATAATTTTTTACCCACTGACCCTCACTTTGCTCCTTGGCTACCAATTCGCACTTGCCCTTGTTGACTGTAGAGTTGACGCCATCTCTCTCTCCTACTGCAAAGCCCCACGATAGGGTCCCCTTGAATAAAGCCTGCCTTCCCATTATTAACATGTGTCATATCAATTTTTCTTAAATAGTTACACAGTCAGGAAGTGGAGAAGCTGGGATGGGAACCTGTCTGTAGGTGTCCAATCTTGAGCTACGCACTGTGCTGTCACTATGCTGGTGCAATGGAGGCCACCCTTGTGGGCTACACTCCCATCCTGCGTCCTCACACCATCTGCTGTGTGGGCCTTCCCTTGGCTACTCTTGGGAGAAACCGAGTGTCGGGCCTGGATAAATGCCTTGCTCTCCAGGGTCACTGCATCCTGCTGTTGCATGTGCTGGTCTTCCCATAGTGGCTGCTGCTAGAGTTCTCAATGTCACCCCTGCTTTAAAGTCCTGAAGGACCTCCCCTCACCAGTAGGGCAAAATCTAAATTCCTCTGTGACAAGAATCATCACTAGCTCAATTTTGGAATGGTAGAGGAGCCACAGAAAGGATATGGGAGAAAATGCAAAATCCAGTGGCATATTATTACAATTATGATACAGCTGTGTTCAAGGGTAAAGAAACATGGAATTCATTGATGTAGCGATAAAAACAGCTTGTAAATAATCTTTTCCTGCACAAATGCTCATCTCCTCTGTTCCCCCACCTTCTTTGCCACCACCTTTAATATACCTTGGACTATTTTTTTTTTTCTCACAGGTCCCTCACCTCTAAAATCTCCAAACCTTTCTGCTAAGTTATCTCCTTCTGATAACATTTAAAGGCTTTATCCTGAAGTCTCCCACATCTGGATAGCCTTCTACTAGAGAGAATTAAGCTCTCCTGTCTGTGTGCCCTTCAGAATGTAACCACGTGATTTCCCCAGCCCTGTGTCCTACCCATCTCCATCCATCCATTTAGCCATCTCACCATTCTTTAATGCATCCATTTGTCAATTCATTTATTTATTTTTTCATTCATTCATCCTTGCATCCCCTACTCCTTCCATTTATCCATGGAGGAAATGTTTGTTTAAAACCCTATATGAAACCTGATCCTGGATTTCATCTTCTTTTGGATCAGATTGGCCTCATTCTGTTCCAAGGCCACAGAGTCAAGGGACAATTCCAGAAAACCATCTCAGGAGTGTGGCTCTCAATCTCATGTTGCATTTTATGTTGGATCGGTCCAGCCTCTCCTCGGTACAGCACTGTTAATTGTTTTCTCAACCAAGGGAGATCCAAGACAGTAATGTTCAGTCTGATTTTAGATGAAGAATCCAAGACTTCTGCCATGGTCATTGAAGCATTACTCCAAATTGCCAAGATATGGAATCAATTATATCTTGATATGTTCCTCAGTGGATGAATGGATAAAGAAATATGTACATACACAATGGAATACTATTTAGCCATAAAAGGAAGGAATTCTGTGGTTTACAATGTGGATGAGCCTGGAGGACATTATGTTAAGTGAAATAAGCCAGACACAGAAAGACAACTACTACATGATCTTACTTATATGTGGAATCTAGAAGGTGAACTCAGAAACAGGGAGTAGAATGGTGGTTCCAGAGGTTGTGGCAGGGTGGGGAAGAAGGGGCAAGATGTTGGTCAAAGAATACAAAACTTCTGGTAGACAGGAGGAATAAATTGAAGAGATCTGATGTACATCATGGTGACTACAGTTTAAAAAACAATGTGTTGCATACTTGAAAATTTCTAACAGAGTAGGTTTTAAGTGTTTTTGCTGCAAAGAAGTAAGTATATGAGGCAATGTATATGCCAATTAGCTTGATTTAGCCATGCTGCAATGTGTGCATATATCAAAAGACACCATAAATAGATGCAATTTTTATCTGTTGATTAAAAAAATAAACAAAAACAAGAAAAAAAAGAATCCAGGTGTGCTGGGTCCTGCTTCTTCTGACCTAGAGAACACCCAGAATAAGTGCAGTGGTGCCAAGGACCGAACAGTTAAAGTCAGTGCAGCTATATCCGTTAATTTTAGCTTTAGGAGGGTTATAAATATAGAGAATCATGCATATTTCACCATCAAACTGATACTCAATTACTCTTTTTTTTGTCATCTCAAGAGCAAATGAACTCTGGTAAATGGACTGAGAAGAGAAACTTTGGAAAGTGACACCAAGCAATCAGACACAGAAAAAATGACCCCAATGTTTGGAGATTTCTAACTGATCATTCTTTCTTAGATGCCTCCTGTCGTGGGAATAGAAAAGAGTGGGGGATAATTTTTGACTTTGCTTTAAAATTTTCATAATAGGAAAAGGCTCCCATTCTAATTCAAGAGATGACACCTTAACAACCTTTCTCCTCATAAAACATTCCCCAGCTCCTTGTGGCTGTTGCGTAACCAGGAGGGTCCTGCCATGAAATAGAACTGGAGTTTCTTCCCCAGTCATAGCCACACTTCCCAAGGGAACTGGATGTCTGTGATCGTTATGAATTAAAGGCTCAGTCTTCATTACATCAGTGTCAGCCTGTATTAACAGATCTCAACATTTTCTCTAAAGGCAGGTATTTTTATTTGTCGAGGAATCAGGACTCTCTTCTCTGATTCTGACTTACAGCCTGCAAATCCAGTGTGCACGGCTCATTTTTCTTTTCCTTCTCCACTGAGATTGGCTTGTGTGACTATTCCATTCATCAGGCATGGAGTGAGGGAAACGCACACTTCATTTGCTTTGTGGCCACTGCCTTATTTTCCCTATTTTGGTCTGAAAAGAACCAATAAACCTTCTATCTTCAAATTTTCAGAGGAGTACTTTCCATCTAGCTGGTTCTTGAATGCTTTAAAATGGAAAAAAGAACAGAAAACAGGTTGCTGTTTGGGTGATTTGCAAGCGCTCTGAAATTACTGTTTTTCTGCTTCACAGACTCGGTGACTGACAGTGCCTTCCCCCAGATAGTCAGCCAGTGGCATTGGCCACGACGGTGCTGCTCCAAATTGAGTATTTTTTTCTTAATGTCAGTGTCTACTGAATGAAAACTAGAATTAATTTTTCATGGGCTAATAGTTGTGCATAGCTACAGTGTACCTGCTGAGTTTACGGACTTTGCAAATAACATTTAGTCTCCTTTTTTTTTTTTTCTTTTTGTCATCCCTGGTCTCTGGAGAATTTTACTTTTCGACGGTTTTAGCCCTTCCTCATATCTGGCTGATTTTGATAAGAGCAGATGAATTACCCAACGTGGAATATGAGAAAATTCTTTGTAGAGGGGGTCCAGTGGTCATAGGTGCATTTGACTGGGGCTCCAATTTGTGCACAGCCCCCTTGTGCCCCAGCTGTGTCCGGGGTGAGAAGCCACTGGCCTGAGGTCACTGTAGCACACCTTTCCTCCCTATAGACCAAGGTTTCTCCCTCTTGGCACTATTCACATTTGGTTTGGGGGGCTGCCCTGTGCATTATTGGATGTTTAGTGGTACCCTGGCTTCTACACATTAGATACCAGTAGCACTGTTTCCCCAGGCGGTGACAACCAAAACTGCTTTCAGACATTGCCAAATGCCTCTGGGGTGGTGATGGGGAATGGTCCCCACATGAAGATGTTCTCCCTCTGGGCTCCTTGAGTGAGAGTCCCAGGTGAGAGTTGGGATGAATGCAGAAAGAGGAGGAAAAGAGGGCAGGAAATCAGGAAAAAGATGGACTCTGGGGCGCGTCGGCCTTTGCTGAGATCCAGATGAAAAAATTCGCTGGTTACCTACTCTGGCTAAGTGTTAGAATTACCTGGGGAGCTTTAAAAAAATCCACTGTCCGAGCCTGGCCCAAGGATCCTGAATTAATTGGTTTGAGGACGTACCCTGCTATCAGCATTTTCTTCTCAAGTCCCCTTGGTGGCTGTAATGTGCGGCCAGGGTTGAAGACCAAGGTCAGGAGCAGAGTCGCTCACTGTGAGGCCGTGCTCGTCCTGCCGGCGGCTGCATGAGGCCGGGAGCTGTGCTGTCGAGGCATTCACTTTACCTTCCTGAATTTTTCTCAACAAGTGTCTTCGAGTTCTCGAAGCTGAGACCCTGGGCATTACTAATGTCACCTGGGCTGCTCAAGTAGCTCCTTCGAATAACCACCAAAAGAACTCAACCCCAGCTTGACCAACATGGAGAAACCCCGTCTCTACTAAAAATACAGAAAATTAGCCGGGTGCGGTGGCGCATGCCAGTAATCCCAGCTACTCGGGAGGCTGAGGTAGGAGAATCGCTTGAACCCAGGAGGCGGAGGTTGCAGTGAGCCGGGATCGCGCCACTGTACTCCAGCCTGGGCAACAAGAGGGAAACTCCGTCTCAGGGAAAAAAAAAAAAAAAAGAACTCAACCAGTGAAAAAAGCAGGCCCCACCTCAGTCATACATAGACTTCTGCTGCATTTCTTAGAAAATGCTCCTTTGCCTTCTTTTGCCAGCAGGTGAGTGCACGCATTTGTCTAAGCGACAGGGAACTGCCCGTGCAAGGAAGGAGGGCCGAGCGGGTGGAGAGGGATGTGGAAATGGGAGCCACCTGCGATGCTCTGTATCTCCCTGTAGGGATGGCAGTAGCTAAAGAATGGTGAGAACCAGAACACCAGAGACAGGGAGGGAGAGATGAACAACCAGGTAGTCATCTAACCTCAAATAACAGCATAACAGTTATAAACAGCAAATTCTACCAAGTATTCAATTAACCCCAATGGAAATAGAAAAGGAGGAGCAGAGAAACCAAAAATAGATGGGATGAACAAGAAACAAATAGTAAAATAGTAGATCCGAATCCCACTTTATCTTTCAAATGTAAATGTAAGAGCCCATCATGTGTAAATGGACTAAACACTCTAAGAGGCAGAGGTAGTCTGGATGGATATAAAAGCAAGGCCCAACTCAAGAAAGCAAGATGTGCTTTAAATACACAGATATAGATAGGTTGAAAGACATGCAAGTAAGTAGGTGTTAAAAGATGTACCATGCGTATAGCGTAAAAATACTGGGGTAGCTATATATTAATATCAGATAATACACATCACAACAAAAAATATTACCAGAGATAAAGAGGGACACTTTATAATGACAAAGGGTCAATTAATCAGGAAGTTAAAACAATCATAGATGTATATGTCCCAAATCACAGATCTTCAAATAAAAATACACATGACTAATTTAAAGCAAACGTTATACCATGCCATGTGGAATTTATAATAGATATGATAGCTACAGCATCTAGGATGGAAGACAGATCAAGTGACCAGTAAGGCTGCAAGTTTCATTATGTTATATGAAGTAGTACCTTAGAAGTAAGTAGGCTGTGCACTATGTACCATAGCAAAGACTTGGAACCAACCCAAATGCCCAGCAATGATAGACTGAATAAAGAAAATGTGGCACGTATTCACCATGGAATACTATGCAGCCATAAAAAAGGATGAGTTCATGTCCTTTGCAGGTACATGGATGAAGCTGGAAACCATCATTCTCAGCAAACTAACACGGGATGAAGCTGGAAACCATCATTCTCAGCAAACTAACACAGGAACAGAAAACCAAACACCACATGTTCCCACTCATAAGTGGGAGTTGAACAATGAGAACACATGGACACAGGGAGGGGAACATCACACACTGGGGCCTGTCGGGGGGTGGCGGGCTGGGGGAGGGATAGCATTAGGAGAAATACCTAATGTAGATGATGGGTTGATGGGTGCAGCAAACCACCATGGCACGTGTATACCTATGTAACAAATCTGCACGTTCTGCACATGTATCACAGCACTTAAAGTTTAATTAACAAAAAAAAGAAGTAGGCTGTGAAAAGATAAAGATGTATAGTCTAATCCCTAGAATGACCACTTAAAGTGCAAAGATAAATAGTTAAAAAATCAATAGCTGTATTACAGTGGCATTCTAACAAATATTCATTCAACACACCAATGCACACATACTCCCACTCCTCACATACCTCTTTCTTTTGGATGATGGAATCTACCAAACGAATAATAACATAGTGGATCTTTCATGAAGGCAAGTACTTCCTTAGCTTTTCTAATATAAAGTAGCTCCATAATTAGTTGTAATTTCGGTAAATTATTGCCCATTATAAACTGCTAATTCGATACATGTTCATTCCTTTCCGTAGCTAATTTAGAAAGTCTTCACAGTGGGGTTGATTCTGGTTTGTGGATTTTGTGCGTCTGGTTTTGTCAAGTAGAATGGTCCAACTATCAGTTCCAGGCCTCAGTAGAAAGTAACCCACGTAGTCTCACTTTCCTGAGGATCCTCAATAAACTTCCTAGAAGATGTAACTCTTGAGATTTCCTGAATGCTGAGTTCTGCCAGTGACAGGTGTAATCACCGTTTACATTCCTGATGTTAGTAGAGAAAAATGAGGCAGGCCCATTGGGGAACTCACACAGGAATAGACAATGATTTAACGCATAACAATGTGATGATCGTGGCTTTGGGTCTGGTCACTGTTTCCGTGAGCATGTACCAAGATGGTATGAGCTGTCCTTGCAGCAAGATGGAAAGTGCATTCCACTAGCTCCCTTAGACCTTCTCGCATGGATTGTGGTTCCCTGTGGGCCCCCCACATCCTGTATTCGTTTGATTGACTTCTCAGTCAAGTCTCTACATTTGTTTTATTAATGTCACTTTGAAATCTTGTCAAGAGGCAGGCATGGTGGCTCATGCCTGTAATCCCAGCACTTGGGAGGCTAAGGCAGGTGGATCAACTGAGGTCAAGAGTTCGAAACCAGGCTGACCAATGTGGTGAAACCCCGTCTCTACTAAAAATACAAAAATTAGCCGGGTGTGGTTGTGGGAGCCTGTAATCCCAGCTACTTGGGAGGCTGAGACAGGGGAATCGCTTGAACCCAGGAGGCAGATGTTGCAGTGAGCCGATATCGTGCCATTGCACTCCAGCCTGGGCAACAAGAGCAAAACTCCATCCCCCTTCCCCACAAAGGAGTTAATTGGATTAAAATGAATGAGAAACAGTACATAGGGAGGGTAGGTGAGAGCTCTACAGGATAGATAGTAATTGAAGAATGGGTAAACTGTTAACAGAGGTAGGTGAATGAAGTGGAGAAAACAGTGTAATTAAAGACATAGAGGTGAGAACTCACTGGAAAGTGATCCAGGCTCAGGAAGCAAGGGAGCTGGCCAGCATGTGGAGGTGGCATTGGAGGTTTGTGGTAAGGCCAGAGAGATGGACAGGAGGCAGATTCTGGAGGGCTTTGAACACGAAGTCCAAACTTTTGTTACATAACTTGACACAAAATTTTGAAAAGCACTTTTTTTTAAGCTAGAAGGTGTCTTGTTTGGGGCTAGGCTTTAGGAAGATGCACCTAGCACCAGTCTGTGTTGGAGGAATTAGAGAGAGGGGAGGGGTTGACATGTGACCTGGCTCCTCTTTTGTCTACATGAAAGGATTTCTGGATGGAGTAGGGCAATCACTTTCCTTCCTCTCCGGCCTTTTTCTTTTTCTTTCTTTTTTTTTTTTTGACAAGTGGATGGCTGCCTCAAATGAAACACCTTGAAAACTCAAAATGTCAGACTCAAAGAGTCCTCTCCCACATTGAGAGCTTTAGAGAGCTAGTGACAGGCACTCAGAAAAGAGAGCCCATATGGCCTGCTTCAGTAAAGGGATGCTTGAGTTGTTAATTCCTAAAAAAACCATCGTCCGTGTAACAGTTGCTTCCATGCCCTCTCAGCATTGAAATGGGACTTCCCATTATTCCTCAAGTCTTCTCTCTTCCCTCTTTAATTCACAAAAGATTTTCTGAGAGCTTACCGTGTGTCAGGCACTGTTAGGACTTGGAATATTCTATTTAGTTCTTTTTCTAAAAACATCCATTGCTGTGATGATGATTATTACATATGTGATATATATCTTATTATTATCCTTGCTTCAGTTTACTTATGAGGAAACAGAGACTCAGAGAGGTTAAGTAACTTTCTCAATGTCACACAGCCAGAAGGAAACCGAGATGTGGTTTCCAATGTCTTGTCTGGACAAATTAAATATTACATGAAGAACATCATAACAAAAAATATTACCAGAGACAAAGAGGGACACTGTATTAGTCTGTTCTTATGCTGTTAATAAAGATATACCCAAGACTGGGTAATTTATAAAGGAAAGAGGTTTAATTGACTCACAGTTCCACATGGCTGGGGAGGCCTCACAATCATGGCGGAAAGTGAATGAGGAGCAAAGTCACATCTTACGTGGCTGCAGGCAGGAGAGCTTGTGCAGGGGGACTCCCATTTATGAAACCATCCTATCTCATGAGACTCATGCACTAGCACAAGAACAGCATGGAGGAAACCACCCCCATGATTCAATTATCTCCACCTGGCCCTGCCCTTGACACATGGGGATTATTGCAATTAAAAGTGAGATTTGGGTGGGGACACAGCTAAACCATATCAGACATTTTATAATGATAAAGGGTCAATTAATCAGGAAGTTAAGACAATCATAAGTGTATATCTCCCAAATTACAGATCTTCAAATAAAAATACATGTGACTAATTTAAAGTGAACATTATACCATGACATGTGAGATTTATAATGTATATAAATACAAACATTATAAAAAGTAACATGTACAATAGTAATGTCTGTAATACCTTTACATACAATTACTATACTATTTAATATCTTTTGATTATCAAGTGGTTACTATGTCCCAGCACTTTAGACACATACATTAATTCTCACAACCCCATTATAAGGTATTATTATCCCAAAATGTGGCAGAGAGAGCTAAGATTACTGCCTAAGTTCTCTTAGCTAGTAATTAAGTGAGCTGGATTGAACTCTTAGTAAGTGGTATGGGGTGTAGACACTGGAATTTGGGTTTATCTGACCCAAAACCTGTGGTTAAATTTGTTTGAAGAAGAGTCTAATGATCATCTACCTCTTCCACCATTTACCTAAGGTTTTCTGAGCACCTACAATGTTCTAGACACTTTACATGTGATCACATTTAGTCCTGAACTCTGTGAGGTGGGCATTCTTCTCCTTTCAAAGAATGGGGATCCAAGTCTCCAAGCAGCAAAATTATTCACCAGGATCATTTGCCAGCAAGTGGCTGATGAGAGATTAAAATCCAAGTGCGTCAGACGTTAGATACTGCTTCATACAAAAATCTGTCTTTCACCAAGAAAACCCATGCTTCAACAGAGTTACATAGTTCTCCATTTTGTTCCCACAGGCTAGACTAGGAGGGAGGAGCTGCCCCGAAGGCCTGGGTTTCTTCTTAGACCCTCTCAGGTCAGGTTCAGGGGATAGCATTTCTCTCTGGCTGAGAACTGCTATAGAGTTTCCATGTTTCATATACCATACAATGATGTTAAAAAACACAATTTCAATGTATTTAGTTTAAAAATTTAATTGGCTTTTGTTAGCAACTCATGAATTGGGCAGCCTCTCATCTAAAAATGGAGAGACACTCCATTAGGCATGGCCAAAGTGGATTTTTATAAAGTAGCTTGAGTAGGAACAAGGAAATGGCATAATCTAAAAAGGGGATTGGGAAACACCAGGTTACTTTACTTGTAAGGGGTAACGTAGAGGAGGCTTCCTTATCATGCTGCCTAACACTCGACCGTTTGTGGATTTGGCCACCATCTCTCTCCTGATTTCTCAGAAGGTCAGATAAACAACTAAGTTTTGGTTTGGTGATGTGGAACTTTAGCATAAGTGAGTCCATTTTGGTTTGATCTGCTGGGGCCTAGTGCAGAAGCTCAGTCCATATCAATAGGCTCTCGTAAATTTTATTTAACAGTGATTAAAATGGGAAACCATTAAAATTAAAATTATAGCAACTGACTTATGAGAAAATGTTTATTACGTACTGTTAAGTGGGGAAAGGCAGGATGCAATAAAGATCTGCATAAAATAGAAATGCATATCTACAGAATCTGGAATGAAGTACACAAAAGTGGAGAGTGAGAAAGGTCATATTATGGGTGATTTTTTGGTTGGGGGGGGTGCCATTTTTGAAATTGTCTTTAGTGTTCCTTCTCAGTATGGGTTTTCATGTAGGGAAGGGGATTTGTATTGGAGAGTCACATATTAAAAACATATAAATCACAAGTTGTATTAGTCCATTTTCATGCTTCTGATAAAGACATACCTGAGACTGGGCAATTTACAAAAGAAAGAAGTTTATTGGTCTTACAGTTCTACATGACTGGGGAGGCCTCACAATCATTGTGGAAGGCAAGGAGGAGCAAGTCACACCTTATGTGGATAGCAGCAGGCAAAAAGAGAGAGAGAGCTTGTGCAGGGAAACTCCCATTTTTAAAACCATCAGATCTCATGAGACTATTCACTATCATGAGAACAGCACAGGAAAGACCTCCCCCATGATTCAATTACCTCCCACCAGCTTCTTCCCATGACACATGGGGATTGTGGGAGTTACAATTCAAGATAAGATTTGGGTGGAGTCACAACCAAACCATATCACAAATATTCATAGCTCTCTGAATTTTCCCAGACTGAACACCCTGTGTACCAAGCACTCAGATCAAGAAACAGAGCATTGTCAGGATCCAGAAACCTCGCATCCTCCACTCCTATTATTCTTAAAGTAAATTAGAAAAACCCATTCTCTGAGCATGGAATGGATTGCTCTTAAGTATGCAATAAGAAGATCTTGGCCAGAAAGCCAAGGAAGAGGAGGCTGATCACTTGAGTCAGTAAGGACTGAGCCTTCCTGGGGCTTCCTACTCATCATTCATTCTTACTCTGGAAATAGCAGAGGTCGGGTGGGCCGTTTTCAGAACAGGAGCTGGTAACTTGGTTATGCACCTAACCGGAAACAAGAAGAGAAAGGGGCTGGTGTCTGTCCAGGAGATGAGAAGTGGTGCTGAGGACTAGCCCAGAAACACTATCCCCCACTGAAGTTACAGGCCCAGTGGAGCTGGAACCCCAGAGCCTGCAGAGAACAAACACTGATGGGCCTTCCAGAAAGAGAGACAAGGCTCAAGAGCATAATTCAGAGAAGTGAACAGACCAAATAGACATAGTTCAAAAACAAGGGAACAGCAGCCAAGGGCCTGGAGCCAGGGAAGAAGGGGTTGACACCCAGAAGTTGGGCCCTGGAGTTACACAGAAAAGTGCTTCCAGCATTCCTTCAGTGCTCATGGAGCCCCTGTTGCCTGGATGCAGTGGTGAATGAGATAGAATGAGACAGATGCTGTGGCTGCCCTCATGGGCCTGATATCCACAGAGGGATGACAGCTATGATGGGGGAGCCAGGCAGGGGAGGGGCTGTGTGTTCAAGGCTGTAGGAATGCACAGGTGAAACCCCACCTGAAGGCCAGGTAAAGTGCGCATGTTGAGTTTGGGGAACAGAAAGCCCATCTCATGGCAGAAACAGAGCAAACTGGGAGAGACGGATTGGACTGGAGTCACAGCCAGCTCCCAGGGACCATTGCAGGGAGCAGAAGCACAACATCCCAACATGTCTCCAATTGGTTAGAAAACCAGGCCGGGCACGGTGACTCACGCCTGTAATCCCAGCACTTTGGGAGGCCGAGGTGGGCAGATCATGAGGTCAAGAGATTGAAGCCATCCTGGCCAACATGGTGAAACCCCATCTCTACTAAAAATACAAAAATCAGCTGAGCATGGTGGCGGGCACCTGTAGTCCCAGCTACTTGGGAGGCTGAGACAGGAGAATCACTTGAACCTGGGAGGCAGAGGTTGCAGTGAGCTGAGATCACACCACTGCACTCCAGCCTGGCAACAGAGAGACTCCGTCTAAAAAAAAAAAAAAGCCAGTGACGTTGCACACTCAGTAACACTGCAAATATGCAAATATAACAATTTGCAAACATATTCAGAAATGCCAAGTAAAATGTAAATTTATAAAACTATAAATGTTAAAAATATGTGATCATAGCCACATAAATTCTCAGCAGATTAAATGAATACAAATAAAACATTAGTCAAAAAATAACTATTGACCCAAAGTGAAACTAATTTAAGTAACCGTGAATTTTGATTCACGATTATAAAATACGATGTAATCTTTCTTTTAAAATGCTGTATAAAAATATAAAATTGTCTCAACAGTTCATTTATGAGCTTTTTTGAGGGCAAATTCTTCCAGCTACTGAAAAATATCTTTCTTAATCTATATGCAATGAGTTGAAGAAACAGTGGTGGACTAATTCTAAGTTAATAAAAAAAGTTCTTTCTGACTCCAGAAAAATTCAAATAATTCTATTTCTTATTTGATAATTTTAAAGATATATGATTGAACACTCTTTTTTTCAGGAACTGCACTCTCATTGCTGAAGAGCTGCTATGGGTTGAATTCTGCCTCCTCCAAAATTCATATGTTGAAGCCCTAACTTCCAATGTCACTGCATTTGGGGACAGGTCCTCTAAGAGGGTGATTAAGGTTAAATGGGGTCATAAGGATGGGATATCAGTCCAATATGACTCACGTATCATAAGAAGATGAAGAGACACCAGGGATATGCACACACAGAAAAAAGGTCATGCCACAGGTGGACACAGAGAGAAGGCAGCCATCTGCAAGCCAAGGAGAGAGGCCTCAGGGGAAACCAGCCCTGCTGCCACCTTGATCTTGGACTTCCAGCCTCTAGACCTGTGTAAAGATAAATTTCTGTTGTTTAAGTCATCCAGTCTTTGGTTATTTTGTTATGGCAGCTCCAGCTGACTAATCCATGAGTTATATATTTGGTTGTCATTTCTAAGAGAGTATGTTATTTGATCTTTGTTGGCTTTGCTTTCATCAGGCATAGATGGTGAATCCAGTGCAGGGTGACTATACCAATTTTCATACTATCATTTTTTTATCCAATTTGTTTGGAAATTATAAAAACCAGAGGAAGATTTGTTCTTGGAATGGAAACTTTGCCAATACCACAACATGATTGCTTACCCTGGCTTACTCTGGCAGAGACTTGTTTAGACTTGCAGTTTGGTTATAGTTTTGTTGTTGTTGTTATTGTTGTTTATCTTAATTGAATAATTGAGTCATTGATGTTGAGCAAAAACCAAATGATTCAGCGTTCATTTATGATTTAAAAATATAAAAATAATCATTTTACAACAAATGCATTCACTTCTTAGTACTTGAAAATAGCCTAGTTATTAAAATACTAAAACACCTAAAACCCACTTACTGGCTGTATATGTGGGAGCAGCCTCTCTAAATTTCTCTGAAATTCACTTTTCTTAGCTATGAAATTATATTTTTATATATATATATATAAAATATACACACATATATACATATATGTGTGTATATACATAATATACATATACATATATATATACATACACACATATACATATATATGGAATAGGGCTGTGGTCAAGATGAGAATCATGCATGTAAAATGTTGGACAAAGAGCCCGTTGGTAGAAGACATTGGGTAACTGGCTACTGTTGCTGTCTCAAGACAGCACAAGGTGCAGGTGTTCTGGGACCCTGGGTACATGGGATCTATCCACAGCTTTGTCATGGAGCCAGAAAAGCAGAATTCAGGTTGGCTGGAGCCACCTCTGGCAACTCTGGGAAATGGCCATAACCACTGTAACCAGGCTGTTACGTAGGCTATTATTTGGTTTGTCAGGGACCCAGGGGCCAAGAACCCAGCTGTTCATACAACTAAATGTGAAAAGCAAGGTTGACACAGAGGAGGACACTCTAACAATTGTGCACCAAGCTAATGTTTTCACTAAGAAGTTCTGTCATTGTGCATGAGTTTGGTTCTGCTCCAACTTTATCTGCCCAAGAAATGAAGGCAGAATGGTTGGGATAGGGTGCTTTAGAGATGGGTTCAGGAAAGGGTGAGTCAGCCTGCCTTGCTTGCAGATGAGCATGGTTTTATATCTGCCCTCCATCAGGGCGGGGTTGCTGGGAGAAAAATGTTCGTCTCCACATGTTGGCCAACACAGCAAGGCTGTCTATGTGTCAGACTGTTCCTAGGCAAAATCTAGGAGTGCAAAGTAGGTGTTGCCTGTTTTTGAGCCCTTTATTCATAATGTTGGGGCCTAAAAGCCCAGCTGCCCCCATTGGTGTCCCTAGACCCCTTCCGTGATTGTCCTGTCACTAATTGGAGCCCCATTGGGTCCTTCCACCAACTCCTGCCTGCAGTCCTGTCTTGTCTCCTTTCTGTCATTAAAACCTTCCCGTAGAGCATTCGCTTAGCATAATGCTCCCCTTCTTGCCAATGCCTGCCAGTCCTGACTGCACGAGGAATCACCCAGAGATCTCATTTAAAATCTCAACACCTGAGCCCCACCCGGAGGACCTGTTGATCTAGTTCTGGGAGGCAGAGCTTGGAAGCCCATATGTCATCCAGTGCTTGGCTGGTTCTGGTTTGTAGTTGGGTCTGGGGACTCAGCTCTAGCAGACCAGGGAGATAATGAGCTCCAGTTAAGTCAGCCAATCCTAGAGACTGCAGTAGCTGACACAGCAGCACTCTTCCTAGAAAACAGAAGTCCTTGTGCCAGTTAAAAATCTCAGAGGATCTTCCAGAGTGGGGTCATTGGAGATCTCAGCATGGTGGTCTGGGCAGTGTAGGAGGGCGACACGGACAGGCTGGAAAAGCTTGGCTCTTTCTCAAGCCAATGCTGATTAGGGGATTCATCTGTGGGGTATAAATGGCAAAAGAGTGGGGACATTGTGATATCATTTCTGTGTGTGTGTATCCATCTCCCTCCCCTCAGTGACCTAGAGTACCATGAAGTGGAAACTCAAAGAATTTTGGTATCTGCTGGGTGTGGGATAGGACGAGGGATTGGTCATATTTTAGGTACTGATTCATTTTGGACAGAAATGGGAGTTGAGAGACACTCCTTTAGGAATAACTTGGAAAATTCTCATTAAAAATAATGATGATGATAATAAAACAACTTAGTGCTTTCCACTTGGCTTTATGTACCGGATGATTTAATGCAACAATGATGCAGCCGTGCATGGCTGGCCGATGCTGGAAGCCCCCACCCCACCCCAAAACATCTCCTGACTAGCCTAACTAGCCATTCTATGCACTCAATACTTTAATTTGCACCTTCTATTCATTCACTCCTAACCTGGTGACACCCCCTAGATTACTGATCTCTGCGGTTCAATTTCTTCATCTCCATAAACGATATAAATGCCTAGGGAATCCCAGTGTGTGAGAATTCCAACTCTCTCTCTCTGTTTCCACCTGGCCAGAAGTGATGATCACAAAATGATACAGAACAGAATATATTTTTCTAGACTTCACTTCCTTGCACAAAACGAGTAGTGAAACAAGTCTCTGAAGCTGTGTCTCTCTGAAAGGGTAGAGTCGGAATGCGTGCTCTGTGGCTGTCTTATTTGTGTTTCCAGGAGGCCAGCCTGTTTGTATTCTATATAACATATATGGCACTCTCCCTTCCTTAACTCGATTCTCCACACTTCCCACACACTAGCTTTTTATTTTTATTTTTATTTTTAGCCAGAAAGAATGCTGTGTTTCTTGCTGTTTTCATGTTCGCATTAGAGGAACAGCAGCACGCTGTCAGGGGTGGCTGGTAATAGACTCTGGATAACAAGCACCCAGCTCAGCCTGGGGCTCCCTCGGGAAACAGAATTGGATGATGGAAGAAAATAATGTCAGGGTTCAGGGAGGAACGTCTCAGCTAGCCCATCACATAAACATTAAAAATAAAATTAGAATACATGCCTTATGATTCCTCAGCTGGAGAAGCAAAATAAATGGAAAAAATTATCCCCAAGCCGTAATAGCTTGGCTCCAAAGAATGGCTTCTTTCCTCTCACCGGGTTGCAGCATCCTTCCCAAACATTGCCCTCGTAAGTGTCCAGGAACTGTGACCTGGAGGCCCTCAGGATCTCTCCCTCAGGCCAAGGCAGGCAATTACATCAGCCCAGGGGTTTGGTTTCAAGTTGTCAGGGGTCAGTGATGCAGGTCACTCAGTTCCCAGGGCCCTTCCTGAGAATTGGTGCTGGGAATAAGTAGGATGGATAGAACATCCAGTTGGGATGTCTAGCACCGATTTGGATGTTGGCACCAGGAGCCAAATGACCTAGTTTCAAAGTCCAGCCCTACAACTTACTAGGACTCTGAGTTACATAACCTCTAGGTGCTTCAATTTGCTTATCTGTGGAATGGGAGTGAGGTAAACTCCACCGGATAGATACATTGGGAAGCATAACAAACTTAATGCATGTAAACTCCCTTTTTGTTTTTAATGGAGATCGGGTTTTGCCATGTTGGCCAGGCTGGTCTCGAACGCCTGACCTCAGGTGATCCACCCACTCGGGCTCCCAAAGTGCTGGGATTATAGGCATGAGCCACTGCGCCTGGCCCCAGTTTTCTTTTTTTTCTTTTTTTTTTTAGGCGGAGTGTCACTCTGTCGCCCAAGCTCTGGAGTGCAGTGGAGTGATCTTGGCTCACTGCAACCTCCACATACTGGATTCAAGCGATTCTCCTGCCTCAGCCTCCTAAGTAGCTGGGATTACAGGCGCATGCCAACATGCCCAGCTAATTTTTTTTTTCTTTTTGTATTTTTAGTAGAGATAGAGTTTCACTATGTCGGCCAGGCTGGTCTCGAACTCCTGACCTAGTAATCTGCCCACCTCGGCCTCTCAAAGTGCTGGGATTACAGGCTTGAGCCACTGTGTCCGGCCTAATGCGCGTAAATTCTTATAACAGTGCTGAGCACAGATACGTAACACTGTTAGTTGCTATTAGTATGTTTAGCATTTTGGAGACCCTGTACCCCATTTTATTAAAGAGCAACTTTCTATAACCTTATGGGAAAAGCCTTTGGGACAGGATACCAGGGGTTGGCAGCCCAGAGTCCACTCTGCTCCCATGTTCTATGTGAGCACAGGTGTGCACCTCATTCTGGATCCCACACTGTTGATCTGTAATCTAGGAGCAATAATGCCTGGCTTACGTGTGGGTTTCCTTGGATTGCCGTGAAGATAACATTAGATGCAAAATGCCCGTAGTTTTAAGCAGATCTCACAAGTTATAATTTTTCTGCTCTGGGTCTCTGATACATCTTTTTTTCCTCTTGCCAAGTGGATCAAATCCCATTTTGTTACTCAGCCATCAGATTGGATTGCAGAAGCTCAGATACCAAGATGTTAACTCTTTGGACTGCACCATCATCCAGCTCACCAGGCACTGTATTATTTGGGCAATTAGAAATCTCTTGAGTTTATTATGGAACCTCATTTTAAATACATGTTTTTAGACTTGGTGTCTCTGCTGTGGCGTATAACAAATGAAAAATATATCACCTGTCACCATCTGACATGGTGCAGAGTTACTTGCTAGTGGTTGGTATATTATGCACTTCCTTGCTCTGGAATGAATGAACACTTCGTTTATTCCAGGGGCTGGTTTAATTCACTCCTGTATCTACAGCACCTAGGAAGTGGCCTGACACATAATCCTCTCTCAAATAGCTGTTGAATGAACAGATGACTCACAGCTCAACTGAAGCACAAGCACCTTTTCATCAACAGGTTCAAAGTTTCAGGGAGAAGAAACAGTGTTGCTTTAGTTGAGAGTTTAAACAGTTAGATACTTAGAATAATTATCATAGTGTAAGAGCTACATCCTGTGGGGGCACAAGGAGGCCTGGGACCTGGGTCCTTTGCAGAGAGTTGAAAATCTAGTTGGGGAGATGATGAGTGAAAGGAAAACCAGGACAAGATGGGGAAACAGTAAATGCCAGATCAGAGCTTTCTGAGTGGAGTGAGGTCAAAGAGGAAAAGCAGATGGAAGAGGAAAGGAGAGAAAGGACACAGGCAGACAGGGGAAGGCTTTGTATAGCAGTGGGGTGGGCTCCTCTCCATAAAGGATGAGTGTGATTTCAATAGGGAAAAAGGGACAAGCAGCCCAGAAGGGGGAACATGGAAAGATGTGTGTTCAGCCCCACCTGAGCAGGGCACGTGGCCTGACGACATCAAACCTCACTGCACGTGAGGGAAGAGGAAGAAGGCAGAGGAGTTGCAGCCAGGCCAGGGAACGTCTCTATGGGGCTGGCCAAGGTGTTTGATTGATGTTGCCCAGACTTGCTGATGGTAAGAATCACTTGTCCAAAAAATACAAAAAACAAGACATTTTTAAAGACTTCTTGGGCACTCATGAAGTCTGATGTTCAAGGGCAGGAAGCATTCAGCATGGGAGAAAGATGAAGACAGGAAGACTCAGCCAGTCTGCTCATTCCACTTTCTTCTGCCTGCTTTGTTCTACCCACACTGGCAGCTGATTAGATGGTGCCCACCCAGGCCGGATGCAGTGGCTCATGCCTGTAATCCCAGCACTTTGGGAGGCCAAAGTGGTTGGATCACTTGAGGTCAGGAGTTTGAGTCCAGCCTGGCCAATGCAGTGAAATGCTGTCTCTACCAAAAATTAGCTGGGTGTGGTGGCAGGCACCTGTAATCCCAGCTACTCTGGAGGCTGAGGCAGAAGAATGGCTTGAACCTGGGAGGCGGAGGTTGCAGTGAGCTGAGACTGGGCCATTGCGCTACAGCCTGGGTGACAGAGCAAGACTCTGTCTCAAAAAAAAAGAAAAAAAGATGGTGCCCACCCAGATTGAGGGTGGATCTCCCTTCCTCAGCCCACTGACTCAAATGTTAATCTCCTTTGGCAACACCCTCACAGACACACCCAGAAACAATGCTTTGCATCCTTCAATCCAATCAAGTTGACACTCGATATTAACAATCACAGGCACTCTTCTAGGCTTATTGAACCAGAATCTCCAGGATTCTCCTTTGAAAAATTCAACCAGTCAGTCAATCAAGACAAATAGCCCAGGCAAGTTTGGGAAGTACACGGTATAGGTGATGAACAGACATGGACAGCTGGGAGTGGAGATATGATTTGACAAGAGCTGTGTCTTAGGAAGAATAATTGGGAGGCGATTTGGAGGTGGGGATTGGTGGAGGAGAATGGAGATTGGAAATCAGTTACAAGGCTACTGAGAAAATCTGAGTGGGTAGAAGTAAGGGCTGAAGCCACGGAAGCTGCCGTGGGTCTAAAGTCAACGGGATGCCATGAGTTAGACCCAGTATGGAAGGGACAACTGGTGGGACGCAACAGAGGAGAGAGAGGAAGTCATTTAATGACTGGGAGGCTACAGGAAGGGTGAAAGCATACATAGAAAGAATAAATTTCAGGCAGGGCACTAACTATACAGCAAGGTGATGGCCTTGGTCTCAGAGAATTTGTGGATCTTATAATAATGGGTGTTCCTTTGGAAGACTAAGAAATTGAACTTGTGGGACTGGGGTGTTGGAGAGAGGCAGGCCTGGAGATTAGAAATGACCCTTTTTTGTAGGATAGTACAATTTACTTGTAAACAATGCTGGGATTTGGGGCACTGATCCCTGCAGTTTAAAATCCACATATAGCTTTTGACTACCCCAAAACTTAACTACTAATGGCCTCCTGTTGACTGGAAGCTTTATGGATAACATAAACCGTCACTTATTACATCTTTTCTATGTTATATGTATTATATACTGCATTCTTTACAATCGAATAAGCTAGAGAGAGAAAATGTTATGTAGAAAAGATATTTACTATGTATTAGGTGGAAGTGGATCATCATCTTTACATAGAGTCTCAGTGGGGGCAGAGGTGGAGGAGGTGGAAGGGGAGGCAAGACAGGCAGGCGCACTGGGTAGAACTTTTATTGAAAAAAATTCACATATAAGTATGCCGTTTCAACCCATGTTGTTCAACGGTCAACTGAATATTTGCAGCAAAACTGGCAGCCAAGCTGAGAAAAATGAAGAATGAAAAAGGTAAAATGCTATTCAGGCCGCAGTTTACACTAAGCCTGTGCAGGGAAGGAAAGCATCTAAAACTGCTGATCCAGCCCAAAGCATGCTGTGCCCACAGTGGAGAGTCGTATTTATTTAGAGGCAGGCTGGTTTGACTTCATCTGGTGAGGATTACATCCCCTACTAGGGCCGGCATTGTGCCTTCATTCTCTCATTCATCAGCTAATTCCTTACAGGTACTGTGCCCTGGACTTGTTTCGTTCAAAATACATCTTTTTCCCCCCTCAGCAAAATAGAGCAGAGTTGACAAGAAGTTCTGATAATTACTCCCTAAACAATAAATCACTATGCTGGTGAAGTGTGTTAACTCTACATGGGACATGAATGCGTTTCAAGGGAAACCCTCTCAAGACAAATGGCACCAAGTGCTGTGATTACAGCTTCAACAGACATGCAGACAGGGCTGCTTCAGGCCCTGTGCTGACTGCCAGGCTAGCAGGAACTTTCAGAAACAGCCACAGTAGGAATGCTGGAGAGAGGGAGCCTTGCTCCTCAATCTGCCATGCTTTGTCCTTGGGAGAAGTGGAGAAGACGAGCACAGGAAGGGAGGGTGCTCAGTTTTCACCCACTTGTTTATCCATTCATTCCTCAGGTCCAGGATGGCACCCAGTTGTCGCAAGCCCTTGCGGGTGACCTGTGTTCCCAGCCGTCGTCTCCATGATGGGTCCATCCTGACCACTGTTTCCTTTGTTATTCAGGATGCTAATTCTTGCAAATATCACCCTTTCAATCAAATTTTATTGAGCACCTACTATTCTATAGGTGCAGAGAAAGGGCTGGAATATGAAAATGACTGTCCCGGTGCTTGTCCTCAAGGAATATACAAACTATTGGGGGAGATAGCTGCTTATATAAACAAATTTTTAAAAAGACTCTCATTTGATCTAGGTAGAAGCTGCACCAAGGTCCAATGTTTGAAGAATCCAGGGAGGCTTCCTAGAGCAGAACATAGTGAATGGGACTTTGAGGGAAGGCAGGAGGCACAGCACCACAAACAGCATGGTCCACTGGGGAAACAGTAGTTGTTTAGAGGATAAATGGATAGAGTACCAGTGGCATGGTTTTATTTTTAAATTGTATTCCCTTCTGTATGTGGTTTTACCATTGTTGTAGTCACTTTGTCATTAAATGACTTCCTCTCCTGCCTATGCTGGGTCCCACCAGTTTTCCCTTTTATGTTGGGTTTTGTTCACAGCACCCTGGGGATTAATGTAGGGGGTACTAGAGTTGGGAAGCAGCAGAAAGCATGAGAGTTTGAATGGATTCTTGCAATTCCCTTGTTAAAATCTTTAAGCAGCAGACTGACAAGATCATATGTGCAACTTTGAGAGATCTCTCTAGCCTGAGAATGAAATAACAGTAACAAGAGGCAAGAGAGAGAGAGAACCATTCAAAAACACCATTTGTTCACACATTCATTCAACAAATATTTTTTGAAGGCCTACTCTGTGCCGGGAGACAGGCTAGGTGCTGGGAATATAGTTGTGACCAAAACAGTTTACAAGTTAGTAGGAAAGTTGGGTTTAAATAAATAGACACCAAAGTCAATACATATTTATAATCTGTGGAATGAATGGAATTCCACGATGCTATAAACAAGTATGGCAGGGTGTTTCATTTCAATGGGTGATCAGGGCAAGGCCTTTTCAAGGAAATGGCATTTATCTGAGACCAAAAGAATAAGTAGAATTTAACCTGCCGTCTTTCAAAGAAAGACTGGAAGCAGAGAAGCCAATTAGGAAGCTAGTTCAGTTATCCCTTGCAAAGAAGAGGGAATGCCATTGGAAATGTGGGGAAGACACCTGATTGGAGAGGTCTTTTTGGAGATGCAGAGTTGGCAAGCCTGCTGCAATGTGTTGAGAAGAGATGAGGCTATGAATCAATTCAGATTAAGATAGCATGGATTTGAAAGAGGTTTGGAGAGGAAAATCCATAGGACTGCATGAAGAATAGTGTGGAGTCTGTGTCAGGGATGGTGAAGCCTAGGATGATTGCTGGTTTTCTGGCTCTGTAACTTGGACAGACAGAGGCACAAGGAACCATAGGTGGCAGTAGGAGCTGATGATTGTTTCAGTTTTGAGATGTGTCTGAGATTCCTGTGGCACATCCAGGGAGATATGTCTACACAGTATACAGGTGTGGCCTGGGCTGGGTAGCATGTAGGAACCAATCAAAGTACAAAGGTGGATGAGTCCAGAATGTGTGTAGGATCCAGCAAAACCATTGCTGAGCCATGCACCTGAAATGTGAACTGATCCTATGTTACTGACACTCTTACATCAGACATGAAAGCAAGAGACAGACAAGAATGGTGGCAAATTGATAATTGCATCTCAATGCCTTTTTTAATTCCTAAAATTACTCGAAGTCTCAATTTAATGCAATTTCATTCTGTTCATTTAAAGTCCATTATCCAATTAGCAATGGTTCTCTCTGGGGCTTGAGATTGGGAAGAGGTGGTTGAGGGGAACATTTCACTTATGTTATGAAACTTTTGGTTTTATTTTGCAGCAACCAAATATTCCTTATATAAGCAATAGATAAACAGAGTACTTTAAAATATTTGTTTACAATAAAATTGGGCTTCCTTTCATATGTTAAATACAACTTATGTGCCAGAAAAGTGTGAAAGGAAAATAGAATCTTGGGACCCCAAACTCACTATGCCAAAGGAAAAGTTAAGCTTGGGAACTGAGTCATGTAAAAACTGCCTTCCTTCTGTCCCCAGACAGATAGCTGTAATTTCACATGTTTACTTTCTCTTATGTAAAATATAGATTTATTGAGCATGAGAGGAATGCATAATTGACTTATTGTTCTACTCCCTTTCTTTTCAAATACAAAATGTAGATTCACGGAGTGCTAATCAGAGCCTCACAAGAATGGAACCGCTTGCCTCATTACCTATTCTGACTTCTTCTTATTTTTTTCTTTTTTCTTCCCCTCCTTCTTGCACTTTCCCCTTTAAATATTAAAGTTCTCAAGACCCTTTTTGGAAAAAGCAAAGGACACAGGCCCTACCGTGACTTCTGTTTCTTTTTCCCAGGTGCATCCTCAACACAGGCAAAATAAACCTCTAAATGGATTGAGATCTGCCTCTGTCACTTTTGGTTTACAAAAGTGTATACTGTTAAAGACTTTTCATACACTTTTTTTTTATTTTTCAAAAAGAAAAAAAAATTTACTCCTCCTCACCCCATCAAAAGTTCCACCCATGACTTGGCCACTATAAATGAGTTCTGGAGAAGTGGAGGTGGCTAGGGAAGCAAGGACTGAAGATGCTCAAACACTGGGCTGCAAGCATATCAGGGTCCTGCTCACAGCTAAGACCTGCTCAGGGCCATCCTTTTCTTCAAAAACAGACTGAAACACGGAGGGTTTTCTCTGAAGCCATAGGTTGTAGAAGTCCTTGGGTGACAGGTGATTGACTGGAAGTAGAGGCGTATAGGAGATCCTGAAAATGGTGAGCATTGCAGAGATTCCACCTTTTCTCAAACCCACTCGTGTCTGCTACACATTGACGGTGACTTTGCAAATAACACTTCTCGGCTGTCTCTGTGTGTTTAAGTGGCACATTGAAAAACAAGACAAAGGCTCGTGAAAGTGCATGTAATAATTTCTTTTCTAATGAAATCTGGAGAACATTCAGACTTTTTCTTCTTTAACGGTGACTCATTGATTTGTTTATGACTCAGGAAAACTTACCCACTGGACTCAGTTCCCTGACTCTGCTCATGTTGGTTGTTGTCTTCTTCCTGGGGTCAAGGATTGCTTTGATGATCTCACTCCTTCTACAAACTCAGGGGGGCTATTGAAAGATCATGGCTGATTACAGAGTTCCTTTTGCTATGGCTAAGACTCAGTCACATTCTTAGGAAAAGACCAAAATGTGCTAATGAGATTTTTCAAATAAGCAAGATAAAAGGAGTTTTTGCAGAGAGGAAGCTAAGAGTTAGATTTAGTTGTATAAAAGATATAGGAGAAGCAGGGGGTGATCAGCTCTGGATTCACTGTGAGTCCAGGAATCTCAGATGTGACTGTTAACAGTGCCCTGTTTTAGTTCAATAGCACATTTTAAACGAAGATAAATGAAAGAAACCTCTTTAAAAGAAGATGAGGCTAAGAAAAAGGTATTCGTTCTAATGAAAGCCGACTGTTCTGCTTGAGACATCTGCTTGTTTGGTGTCATCTTGCTGTACAGGGCCACACTATGAGGCATGTAGGTCAGTAGTGGGAAGAGCAGTTGATGAGCTAAACGAAGCAAAAGAAAAGCCAGGCAATTGGTTAACTGATTATTTGGGCATGTGTGCATCAGACACTTAATTCAACATACCTTAAATGTACATTAATCAGTCAGCAATATCATCTGTGTGACACCGCTCTGGAAAACCAAGGCAGAGGAGAAAAAATAAATCAAAGAATGATCTACTTCTTCATCTACTAGAGAGACAAATTCACTCAAAATGACTTTTAGACATTTCTAGAACTATTTCAAATGAAGTGGGCTGCTTAGGAATTGAAGCAGATCAATTTGGAAGATTAGAAAAGGAGAAGCTTGGACGCTGTTTATTTTACCATTGCATGTAGGAGTCAAAGTCTCACTCCTGAGACACAGGCAGGTTGTGCTGAATAAGGTCGTAAACCACTAATTCTCTCTTTCTGATGACCCTGAATTTCTGTCAAATTCAATGATTCTGAATCCACATAGTTAAACTCTGGCACATAGTTGGTGCAGGAATTTCAAGGTCCAGGTCTTACTGCCGAGGTCTTAGCAGCCTGGCGAAGTGCAGGTCCACTCAGTGCTGCAGACACTGGATGTTTCCATCTGGCAAACAGTCTATGGGGTGCTACAAATTTTCCCCCATGTAAAGTCTCACAAGGCCACATAAATTTTCCAAATTACAATCACTTGAACCCTTATCCTGCTCAGTTGCAGGACAGCAAATTCTGCTCTCCAAGGATATCTGGGAAGCCTCAGGGATTTCTTAGATGTTCCCCAGTCTCTCTTGGTTGCCAGGCCAGCTGCCACCTAGCTCAGGACCACTGCTCAATCTGCTCTGCCTGTGGTTCACACCAGCTCTTCCGCAAGTTGCCTTCTGCAGAGAAAGCATTTCTGTGCTTGTTGTAGAATTCTCCTTTTTCTCAGTCTTCCATAGGTTGAGCATCAGCCACTACTCCTCCAGCAAATGTTGCCAAGTCTCTCTCCTTGAGCCTCTTTCTGTTCGGCTTTGGGGAATCATCACACTAAAAGCCCCGTGGTCATAGACAAGTCTTGGCTTTGACTATGGGTGACATGGGTGCTCTTGCAGGCACCTTGCCTACCAATTATCATCATCTTGACCAAGTGCAAACAGTGTCTGGGCACTTGGCCTCTGCTGCTACTGGCACCAGCCCCTCTTTTGACCTTGTTGCTGTGCCATTGTAGCCACCTGCACAGGACCAGGCAGGGCTGCCTCTTGCCCAGTTCAAGATGCACCTGCTCTTCTGGGCTCCCCCTTCTTTCCACCAGAGTAAGTTACAAAGGTTGTCTTCCTCCATTTTAGTGATTGCCCATCTGACCTCCCAGGAACTGAGGTGTGGGGGAGTCTGTGCTCTGAGTCTAAGCAGGTAGATCTCACCCCTCTCCTTTGGGGCCTCTTACTACATATATTTAGAGAATTAGGAAAATGCCAGCACAGAGCCAAGTGGTGGTTCAGGCTGTTCCCATGTTGTATGCCTCATGAGCCAAGATACCAATTTCTGCCTCTTTCAAAGCATATTGTAGTATTCCATTTTTGGCAAGATTCTCTCCAGAGTCCTGTGTCATTTCCAAACAGTCTCATGAATCACCTGTGGCTTTAATCCACAAAGCAGCATATGCTAATTGCTACAGTCTCTGATAAGTGTAGGGTACAGTGTCTGGGTCTTTAGCCTATATTTATTCATCCCAGAGACATTAATTTATGCATTTATGCATCCATTGAAGAAGCACTTATTGTGAACTCTACTATGGACTAGGCCACGTGGTAAGGGAGGTGCAAATGGATTTGAGACATGGGTCATATCTTCCAGTAGCTTTCAATCCAGATGGCCAAGTTCACCTGTGAAACATCTGAAACTGTTTCTGCTTCTATCCTCACTAGAGTGACCTTAGGCAAATCTTTTAAGTCCTCTGGGTCTCAGTTTCCTCATAGGAAAAATGGAATTAAAAACACCTGTCATGCATGTCTCTTTGAACTCTTGTGCAGAACAGGTTCAGATTGTCTAATACCAGAAAGCAGAATTGGAGCAAATGGCACAAAATGGCAGGTTCTCCAATATAATCTCAGAAGGGATTAACTAACCATCCAAAGTAACCACCATAAGTGTGCTGCCTGCCCTACAGTGAGCTCTCTGTGCTTGCAGGCATTCACATGCAGATGAGGTGGGTGCTTGCTAGAGATGCTGCAGTTGTGTTAGAAACTTAACTTCATCCCCCAAGATGCTGTGAAACACGTGAACGGATGTAACAATGCAGGGTGGTCTTGGTCTTTGGTTGAGTTTCTTTTTATTTAAAAGACATTCATTGGGCATCTACTTTGCACAAAAACTCTGCGCTCTGCCCAGAGGGCATGAATAGGTGAGAGGGGTGGAGTCTCTGTCCTTACAGAGGCAAACATTTTGATGAGGAGATAAACACACATGGTGTGAAAGAGTGAATCAAGTCAAAGAAAAGTACAGAGAATGTGAGTGAGGACACCTGGAGCTCAAAACCTTGAGCTTTTACCCTGGAGTGTGAGTGCTGTGTGCTTCCCCATTATTCTGGAGTCAAGGTTTATGAGAGGAAAAGGAATTCTACTGGGCTTTGGAGCAGGAAGGACATTGTAGGTACCAGAGTGAGCTAGACATGAAATGTGTTCTCAAATTGGAGACATATGGACCCTATAAAAATATTTTGACCATCTAAAGTTGACATAAACTTTTTTTTAATCATAAAGCTATTTAAATACAGACAAAACTGAGGATAAATTTCTTAGGATTATGGTATAGCATATTTATAAATTATATATATACTAAACCATGAAACTAAGAACATTCATGTTTAATTTAATTTAATTTGATTTGATGGGTGTTTTTCTGAACCTAAATTGCTAATAATAGACTTAAGAATGAAGTTTAGACATCAATTTGCCAAGTGTTGTTGAAGTAAATGGAAGAACTAAAATTCTTCAGGTTATTGGCCTGCAAAGTCCTGTTCTTGCTCATCAAGGCAAGGACTAGTAAAAGAAGCAACTCCTAAAGTAGAATAGGAGAATAATCCTAGTATTAAGGAGTGTGGCAAATCTGTTGCCTCCTGCCATCCTTGGCATGTGCCTACTAGCAGGTAAGTCATGGGGCTAGTCCACAGAACTAGTGAGATAAAAGCTAAACTCCCAAATCTGTGTTACAGCAAAGGGGGGAGGGGAAGCTGATTAGCTTAATGCAATCATGAACACATCCAATATTAATGTGGGCTTAAAGAGGTTTGCAGTTAATATTGCAGAAATACATATTGAAAAAGAATAATGAACCTCTAATTACATAAGGCTTGGGTCTTATTTCTTGGAATAACGAAAATGATCAGATGAGGATTTTTAGTGAATATTGACTGGGAACGTTTACAAAATAATAACAACCATTGTAATCATTGTGAGTGAAGGCTGTCTTGAATCCATTGAAAAACAACATGAGGCTACTTTAAAAAGTTATAAGTTATTTACAACAATATTTTTCTGCTATTGCACAGAATGTCATTGTTCAGAATTTTCTACAGGTTGACTTTGACACTAAGACAGATAATGGATTTTTTACCCTTCTGCCTAAAACTTTTCCGACCAATAATCTTAATTGACCTCTACTGTCTACCTCATGGCAGGAACCTGTCAACATTAAGAAAGAAATACAAGGTTTATTATGATTGCCCTCTTAAAATCCTGCTGCAAAGGACACTATTTTTACTTTATTGTTTTTCGTCCGAATTTCTTTGTTTTCCTTTCTTAGTAAGAAGGGCAGCTAGTCACTCTAATGTTTTGTGGCTGCCTGAAAATGTACTGTGAGCCATACTGAGGTTATCATAACTTGGATAAAACATTGGCAATATCCCCTATTCAGCTCTTGAAGGAAGTGCCTTGTTTTATTTGCTAAGGGAAGTCTGAAAAAGGGAAAAACACAGTTCTCACAAATAAAACACAGATTGTACAGATGGTAGTAAAATATGTCTTCAGTCTACACAAGAATCATTTTACCTGCAGCAGGAGAAACAAGTAAGGCTGGGAGACATCATAACTGCAGTGGTTGTAAAACAAGGCTGTCTTTGGATTTCATTACTAAAGATGAAAATAAAATCATAGAGGTGTAAAAATTGAGAAAACTGTCAAAAAGCACCCCACACCTCTCATCTTAAAATCCATGATCTCCTTAGAAAGTTCTTTCATTTCTTCAAGGAACTGATAAATCCTAGGGCCTATAAACTGTTCCAGGGCAGAAAGAAATAAGCTTTCCTCTTCTAACCTGATGTCAGCTTAACCCTCTTGCCAACAGGGCAACCACAAATGGGAAAACTACCCAATCCAATCCAGCTTGAACCATAAAAGCAAACGTCTTTAATACAGTGTCAGCAGATAAATAGGTGTGTATTTTTAAAAGTAATATTCAAAGGTCAGGTTCCAGGAATGTAAGGATGGTTTAACATGAAAAAATCTATTAATATAGTATGCTCTTTTAATAGATCAAATGATGAAAAATCATATGATTGTCTTTATACATCAAAAGATAATATTTAACACATATGCAAGGCTAACAAGTCTTATTAAAATAGATGGAAAGATGCCTTGTAGTAAGATATGAGATAAAAACCACAATACATTCATGTTATATATATATGTCTGTCACATGTGTGCATACATCATACTCCACATCTCTAAGTCACATATGTCTTATCACTGCATTGAAACAATAGCCAATGTCATGTTCGATGGTGCAATATGTGAATAGAGGACTTTTCTCAACAGCATCTAACATTGTTCTGGAAATGCTATAATAAAATTAGGAAAAAATCAGAATCAGAGTGTTATACTGTGGTAAGACAAAGACAGTTTATATTTTCAGATAATATGTTTACTACCAGGAAAACCCAACAAAATCCAGTGGAAAAACTCTTAGAACCAACAGAAAAACTAAGTAAGCCATCTGGTTACAATATGAGCATACAAAAAGCAATAATGTTTTTACTTATAAATTAGTATATTTCAGACATATAGAACAAAATAAGAAAACCATAGAAACACTTGTGGACCCACTATCCAGTTTAAGAAATTAAACATTGCCACTGCAGTTGAAGCCCTGCATGTTCTTCTCCTGATCACATTCTTCCCTTAGAGGTAAATCCTTATTGTGAATTTGGTGTTGATCATTTTCATGCACTTTTTAATACATTTTAAAATATGAGCTAGGCATGGTGGCTTACACCTGTAATCCCAGCATTTTGGGGGGCTGAGGTGGTAGGATCACTTGAGGCCAGGAGTTTGAGACCATTCCTGGTGATATGGTTTGGCTGCGTCTCCACCCAAATCACATCTTGAATTGTAGCTCCCATAATTCCCACACCTTGTGGGAGGGACCTGGTGGGAGATAACTGAATCATGGAGGCAGTTTCCCCCATACTGTTCTCATGGTAGTGAATAAGTCTCATAAGATGTGATGGTTTTATAAGGGGAAACCCCTCTTGCTTAGCTCTCATTCCCTCTTGCCTGCCCCCATGTAAGAAGTGTCTTTTGCTTTCTTCCATGATTGTGAGGCCTCCCCAGCCACACGGAACTGTGAGTCCATTAAACCTCTTTTTCTTTATAAATTACCCATTCTCAGGTATGTCTTTATCAGTAGCATGAAAACAGACTAATACACCCGGCAACATAGCAAGGCCCTGTCTCTACAAAAATAAAAAAGATACAAAAAACAAAATTATCCAGAAGTGATGGAGCACAACTGGGAGGCTGAGGCCAGAGGATCACTTGAGCCCAGAAGTTCCGAGTTGCAGTGAGCTATGATCATGCCACTGCATTCCAGCCTGGGTGACAGAGTGAGTCCCTATCTCAGAAAAACAATAAATAAAATTTTCAAAAATGTATGTCTTCTTAAATTTCATTGGCTGTTTGGCTGCTGTCTCAAGGAAATGGCATTCTACTGGAAGGGTTCTTTGTTGGCCCACCTGTTTCAATCAGCACTGAATTTGTGGGATTCACCTGAGTGGGTGCGTGGGGCTCTAGCCATCATTGCCTTACTATGAATTATTATAGTGCATGAATAGAGCTCTATTTATCCCATTGTTTGCTGTCATGAGCATTCATATATATATCTCTTTGTCTCAAGTGTTTCTCCAGATCCCAGGGATCTAGAGTACGTACCAGGGACTGAAGAGAATCCCATATCTTCTCTTTTCCAGACAGAACCCACAGCTCTGAATTCATGTTCCAACCAGCAGTGCACACAAGCTCTCACAGCCTCACACCCGCCCCCAAACACTTGCTCTTGACAATCAACATTTTACGATACCAACAATAAATATGCAGAAAGTATAATGAAAATAGAAGATTCCATTTGCAAATGCAGTGATAAAAGTTTTAGAAATAAAATTAGCAAATGTGGTATAGAATTTATGTGAAGAAAACAAAAACTTTTCTTTAAAGACTATAAACAAAGACTTGAGGAAATAAAAAGTGATACATTTTCCTTAGGTACAAAGACTCTAAATTGAAAATATAAAATTTTAAATCTTATCTTAAACAATCATGGCTACTTTCCCATATACATATTTTTTTCTGTTGCACTTTTCATAAGTATAACAGAGAAAAAATATATATGGGAAAGTAGCCATGACTGTTAAAGAAATGGGAAAGAGGGTGAAACAAGTACAACCAGATACTAAGTTATTTTATTACACACTCAAAACAGTACAGTGCTCATGCAAGAAAATGAGACTGGCCACTGAAACCAAGTGTGGTGGCTCTCACCTGTAGTCACAGCTACTGGGGAGGCTGAGGAGGGAGGATTTCTTGCACCCAGGTGTTTGAGGCAAGCCTGGGCAACATAGTGAGATGCCCCATCTCTAAAAACAAACAAAAAAAAAAGATTGATTACTGAAGTGGTCACTCTAGAAAAAACCTCAAGTATAAAATAAATTTAAAAAGTGGCGTCTCAAATCATTGGGAAAAAGATATATTTTATAAATGTATTGGGTTTTTGGCTAATAACTTAGAAAAAAACAAATCTGAATTCTTACCTTACGATGTATACACACAAAATTCAGGGTAATTAAATACTTTAATTTAAAAAATAAAATTAAAATGATTGAATAAACTTCTCAGTGATTTTGTCTATGATATTGGGCACAAAACCAGAAACCACCACGGAGAGATTTGACTACACCAAAATGCAAATCTTTGGTTCAATGACAAAATCTATACATATAAAGAAAAATAAACTAGAAAAAATATTATAAGGATAGTCTAGACATAAGAGTTTCTATCAATATAAGAAAAAGACATATCTCAATAGAAAAACAAGTACACAAACAAGCAATTTGTAAAAGAAGAAATATAACACCATCAGTAATTAAAATGCATATTAAAGCAATAATAAGATACCCAGGATGGCTGGATTGTGGTAAATAAGCAATAACAAATCATGACACATTTTTGGAGGGAAATTTGTATATATTTCAAAAGTCAAATTGTACATAACTTTTGACCCAGAAACTCTATTTCTAGAAATTCATCACCAGGGAAATAGAGACAGGGAAAAATGTGTGGGCAGCAGCGGGTGGTATAAGAGTCCGCACAGGAAACCAGATAAGCCTGGGTCTGAATCTCAGCCCAGTGACTTTCTAAGCCTTGGCCTTCTCATAAGTATAACAAAATAATTAATCACGCCTCTTAGAGTTGTTGTGGGAATTAAATGAAGCAATGTGCTTTGAGTGCTTAACAAAACACCTGACATATTATAAGTACTCTAAATTTTCACTACTATCATTGTCATTACTATTAAGGTCTATCTATAGATAGGCACATTGCATTAATAGTAATGACAATGACAGTAGTGAAATTGTCATTACTATTAAGTAATACAGCCCTTTAGTCATTGAAATGATGATGCAAAATCAAGTCTACTGACACAGCAAGATGCCTAAGATATAGTATTAAATGAAAATGCAATTGATATACAGCATTTTAATATAATTATATTTCTGAGCTCTCTCTCTCTATATATATATATGTATGTATACTCTTGCTACCTCAGGATCAAGAGTGCTGGCCAGTAGCTACTTAATGTAAATCTGTGTAAGTGGTCACATAAGTTCTGTAGTTAAAAAAAGAAAGTAAAGAAGAAAGAAATGTTTATCTTGAAGATTTAAATAAAATCTTTTGAGAAATTTTATATTTTATCCTTAGCAAACTTTAAGATTATGACTAAGTACTAATTATTAAAATAAATGCATAATAAACTCTGTTGATCAATTTTTGATATATTTTTTCTTCTAAAATGTGTATGAACAACTATTAAGCACCTACGGTGTGCAGGCACTTTGCAGATACTGAGGACAGCAAAGAATGAACAAAATAAATGCTTACCCATGTGGAGCTCAGTTTCTAGAGGGGAAGACAGATGAAGCAAATCAGCAGACGTAAGTGCTTGAGGCACTGTAGATGTAGGTGAAGAATATTGAGAGCTGGTGGGAAGGGACACGCTCTCTGAAGGGGAAGCAGAGGGAGGACCTTTGGGAAGTGGGTATGGATCCCTAGGGGAAGAGAGCTCTAGGCAAGGGAACAAGTGGTGCAAAGACCATGAGCTAGGGTCATGCCTGACGTGCTTCAGGAACAGCAGTAGGGCCCATAAGGCTGGACCAGATCTGCGGAGACAGACAGGAACACGTGCAGCAAACTGAGGAGGAGCCTGCAAGGAAAGGAAAGTCAAGAGGATTGGTCACCTGGACACCAAGTGAAAGAAGCGTTTCAGGAAGCAGAGAGATAACTTAGTGCTGAGAGGTCAAATCCTCAAGAACTGAGAAAAACCATTGCATTGGCAACCTGGAGGTCACTGGACAAGGGCAGCTTCCCTGGAGAGGTGGCAAAGAAAGCATTCTTGCAGTGAGAGAGGACTTGGCGACAAGAGCAGATAATTCATTTAATGAGTTTTCCCATCAAGAGGAGCAGAAAGATGAGAAAGAAGTTAGGGATCAGAGTGGGTTAAGAAAAGGGTTCTTATTTGGCTATTGGAGAAATGGCAGCCTGTTTGAGTGACAGTGAAGGGAATGATCTGGTAGAGAAGGAAATGGACGAAGTCAGAAGAGAACAGGGCTGGAGTCAGGCCCAGGAGCAGTGAGAGGGATCAGATCCAGGGCCCGATGTCAGCTGGCCTTGGCATCAACAGTTCACCTACCTACCACATTCCTCCCCACCCTGGCTTTACAACAGGTGATAAAATAGGCCCCCAAAAGGCCCCCCTGGGGCACCCAAAAAACTTTCATTGCCCAGGCCACACCACGGATCATTCAAATAAGTGCATTGCCTTAATGAAGGTCATCTTTTGACAAATTTCCAGTTTTCCTTTAGTGTCAATTTATATTTTATTTGACTCTGTCACCATCAGTGAGAGACTACCTAGCTACGATTCTCAATTTATGGATAGCGTTCACTGGGGAGGGAGGCTCAGTGAGCATCCGTCTCTCTCTCCCCTTCTTTCTTATAACTATGATTTACTAACATAAAAGTTTCTAACACGTGGCAGACATTTAATACATTTACTAAATCAAAATAAAACAAATAAAAAAATGGTTGGAAACAGCTAAACTTAAAAGGACACTTCTCTCCCCTTCCAGGCATCCATGGATGTGTCCCAAACCAAAGTGATGGAAATAAACCAGATTTCAAACTTGGGATATTCCTGATGATTCCAGGGAAGATAACAAAACCCAGACTTTGGCATCAGTTTTTAGTTCTGGAGTCCAAGGTCAAGGCACCAATAGATTCAGTGTCTGGGGCGGGCCCATTCCTCATAGACAATGGCTTCTATGTGTCCTCATGTGGCGGAAAGCAGTGATCATTTGCATACTTAATGCCCAGATATTTTCACATGGTAGAAAGCAGTGATCATTTGCATACTTAATGCCCAGATATTTTTCACATGGTAGAAAACAGTGATAGTGGGCATTTCCTTTGCTGATTTTGTTGTTCTTGCTAGTTATAATATTTGCTTTCTTTTAAAATGTTGATTATAAGCACTCAGATAATAAACTAGCAAAAAATATATAGGAAGTCTAGAAGGCAATATACTACATTAACTTTTTTATTTAGCCTTAAAAAGAAAGGAATTTCTGATATATGCTACAATGTGGATAAACTTTGAGGATATTATATTAGATGAAATGAGCCAGTCACAAAAAGAAAAATACCAGATGATTCCATCTATGTGAAGTATCCAGAGTGGTCAAACTCATAGAAACAGAAAGGAAAATTGTGGTTGCCAGAGACTAGGGGGAGAGAGAAATGGGGATTGTGTTTAATGGGTGCAGAGTTTCAGATTTAAGGCGAGAAAGTGCTGGAGATTGGTTGCCCAGCAATGTGAATACACTCAATACTACTTAACACTTAAAATGGGTTAGGATAAATTTTATGTGTATTTTATCACTATAAAAAATTTTAAAAAGAAAGAAGGAAAATATGAGATAAAGAGAGAAGAAAGAGAAAGAAAGAAAAAAGAGAGAGAGAAAAAAAGAAAGAAAGAGAGAAAGGAAGGGAGGGAGAGCAGGAAAGAAAAGGAAGGAAGGAAGGAAAGAAGGAAGGAAGGAAGTGAGGGAAAGAAGGAAGGAAGGGAGGGAGGGAAGGAAAGAAGGGAGGGAGGGAGGGAAGGAAAAGAGGGAGGGAGGGAGGAAGGAAGGAAGGAAGGAAGGAAGGAAGGAGACTGTTACCAGGCTTTGTTTCAGGGCTGTAAGAGCTTGAAGATTGCGTGGACATTGGAATGAGGGAATACCATGTCCTCTGAAAGTCATGTTTAGCTCTCTGGATCTGTAAAACGTTAGGATTCCTTCCTCACACTTGCAAAAAATTTAATTATTGAAAAAGGGTTTTATAACATGATTTGTAGCCTCTGTTTTGGGTTTAGACCAAGAGTACTATGAAAGCCTCATATAAATACAAGTTTTAACATTTTGGCTAGTTGAGTCTGAGGAAAAAAATGAATTTTTTGGATTCACTTTCAATACAATCTATTTTTCCAGTCTCTAGTTTACAGTGTGATTCATTTCAAAAGGGATCTATTTAAGGCAATGGGGCTTTAAGCAGGACTTGCATAAAATGAAGCCGCTGCTTCTAATTCATCATTCAGGAACCCAAACTTTGTAATTATGTGGCCAACCATTTCCAATCATGACTCAGCCGGTCGTGAATCTAAATAGAATGGCTCACCCACTGCAATTACGTAAGTTCCCCTTATCAGGCAGGTTGACAGTCCTCATTGCTGGCTTTCTGTCAACTTTTACAGGAGACTTCTCTTTGAGATGTGCAGCTGTACCTCCAGGCTCCCCAGTCAGCTTGATAACTCCGGCAAGGACAGGGGGGTCACCTGAGGACTGGAATCCTGGGGGTCTCTTCATCTAGGCATGAGGATGAGACTCCAACTGCTCCATCCCCCTCACACCCCATCATGATACTTGAAGTATAGACATTATTCAGCCACTGCTTTTTGATCTCAAGAGGCCACATCTTCAGTGTGGTATATATCTGAATTACGTACTAGTCACTCCTCTTGTGCATTATAGGTTCGTGGCTTTTAAAAAAATTCAGTCACTGGAACTTCAGAAGTAATACGTGCTGCTGGTAAAAATCCAAACACTGCCGGAGAATCTAAAGTCAAATTTAAAATGCTCCCTTCCCTCCTTCTAAGTCTACCCCTAATGAGGCATTTTGGTATATTTTCTTCCATACTCTTTTCTTTTCTTAGGAATGTATGCATGCATGAATGTGTGTATGCATGTGAATGTATCATGCATGACTGTGTATAAGCATGTATGCATGTGCGTATGCATGCATGAATGTGTGTATGCACGTATGCATGGGAATGTATGCATGCATGTGTGTGTATGCACGTGTGCATGTGTGTATGCATGTGAATGTATGCATGCATGTGTATGCATATCTATTCTTTTTAGGTCAACCGTATCATACTAAACACTGTATTCATTAATTTGATGTTTTTCACTCAGCCATTTTATAGGCATCTTTCAAATATATTTTGTCAACCTCATTCTTACAAATTGCCGAATAGCACATGGCACTCAGTCATCCAGGATATGCAGGCAGTTTGCCATTTCAGACCAAGCTGTGACAATCACTTATTTGCCTACATTCCTGAGCATTGATTCTTTTATTTCTAACAGATGATGTCCAGAAGTGGTAATGCTAGTCCCAATAATATATGCATTTTTTTTTTTACCTTTACAGATGACACTTTCATGTTCTTTTTGAACTTTTTTCCTTTTTGGCAAATGTAGTGATCTTGATATGGGCAAATATAGGAAAATTGAGGGCATTTGTGGGAGTAGAATCTCTTTCGACCCAAACTAATTGATATATGTTCCCAAACACGATGCTAAGGTTTAAGAAAATGCAAGCTATTTAAGACATGATTAATCTGCACGTACCTCTAAGTTTCCTGATTCACTGTATGATGTAACTGCTAAACTGCAAGAACTCTTTACTGAGAGTTTAGAGAGGTAAAGAAAGACAAGCACTGCGTGGGTAGGTGCTGATAATAATGATGAAGACGATGGTAACAGTAACAGCCTCGGCTGACCTTCATCCAAGATGCGCTTGGCTGCTTATGGCTGGTGTTCATTCTGACCAGTCAGTGCCTATGCTAATCTGGTTGTAAAATATGTTTAATATCACCGCTGAAAATAATACCTTCCATTTATTTTAACTGAGCACAATGATCTCTTTTAAGACTCACAATTCTAGATGGAAGCTATGGTTATCACCTCCATCACCTCAAGGAAACCGAGGCTCAGAGATCAATGTGCTCAAAGCAAGCAGCTAGGAGGTAATGGGGCTGGGATTTGAGCCTGGGCTGGCTGGCCATATGCTATTGCTTGCTGCAGTGGCATCTGTGTTGGTGTAGGCAGAAAAGACTCCACAGTGCAAGGTGACTTAGAGAAAGTATTGACAATCTAATAGGACACCAGGAGGAGAGGAGAGCATCCTAGGCATGGTCTGGGCAAAGCCCCTGAGCTGGGAATGAGAGAGTGCTGGCCACTGATTTCCTTCTGTCTGAAGACAACTGTGGGCTCTTGGGGATTTTGCCCAAACCTTCCTCCCCAGTCTTGTCACTCCCCATTGTTCTTGGCGTTCTGTGTTCAGCCCAGTTGGACTGTAGAACTCACTACTCTACAAACAGGCTTTGACACTTGTTATAAGTCACCCTGGCTCTCTTTCCTAATCTGTGTCTGCCCACGTTGGTCACCCTTCTAAGCATATTCAATCCATCATACCCCTCACAGAATCACCTTCATCCTTCAAGGCCAGAAAGGTGGTCCCTCGCGGAGCTCTCTTGGTCTGATGTTTGCACCTCTCCTAAAGCGCAATTATTTTAAATCTTAGAGCTATTCATGGGCATGGTTTTTGGCACTTACTCTACTGTAGGCTCTGTCACTATTCTAGGAACACTCATAGTAGGTAGCACCTAGCACGCACTGCACACGCACAATAACAAACAGTCTGAATATTTTAGAGTCAAGAAAAAGGTTTTCAAAGGAAATCTTGGGCATCAAATGAAGGATTGAGGCCCAAAATCTTATTACCCATATGATAATTATTGGAAATCATTGTTTATCTTGACACAAGTTTGATAGGTGCATGCTTTGGTGAGATTGAGTGAGGCACAGGGCGAATTCAAAGACAGAATTCTATTGCTTCACTAAAGTGGAGTAATGGGATGGAGAAGAATGTTATATACTGCTGGGAAGTATTTAGAGGATATATGGTTTGGAGACAGAATATATGGTTAATGAGGAAAGTTGGGCAGAGAGATGGCCTCAAGGCAGGAGGTGCAGCAGAATCAAAGGCTGGATTCAGAAGTGGGCTGGAAAGAAAAGGGAGGATGGAGGCAAAGGCAGCTTGAAGGATCTCAGACTAGAGATGTTGGGTTTAGAGAAAGGAGGAAGATTAACAACTGAATTTCCTAATTTTTGTGCTTTTAAAGCTCTGGCTGCCCCCCACTTGGCATTGTGCAAAGACGTATAAAGTTACACATCTCTGGAAAGTTCCTTTTGGACAAAGTTTGTGAAAAATACATTATTATTATGTTAAAATCACACATATATTAGAAGCAGGAAATGTTAATATAAAAAAGTAAACTACCAACAATTTCATTTTAGAGTTGGGTTTTTCTGTGTTCCAAACTCAGACTACCCAGGCTATAAACTCACTGTATCTGCTGTAAGGACCTAGTGGGGGCAGTGTTTGAGAAACGCTATGCTGAGGTCAAGATGCTGCTGAGAGGTCAGGTGAACATGTCCAGAGTCAGGGAAATATGGGAGGTAGCAAGAGGCCGCCTGTACAAGCCCCTTTCCCAAGGCGGGGGGCAGAAGAGACTTCCCCAAATAAAATCCCCACATGCTGTGCCTGTCTAGACATCAGTATCTCGGAGAACTTGAGCACACCATTTTTTTTTTTTTTTTGAGTTTCCCCAAGTCTCATCTTGCTAGGAAAGGAGGTCTAATTCCTTCTACAATTCGTCACGTTTATTCCTAATGCATTCAGTCATTCAACAGATATTTATTTAATTCCTGATGCGTCTGGCATGGTCTGAATGGCGTCTTTAACTTGCTTACTTTCTTCTGAAAGTCTCTTATCATCTCTATATTGCTCATAAAACGAGGACCTCGACCAGGTGCGGTGGCTCACGCCTGTAATCCTAACACTTTGGGAGGCCGAGGCGGGCGGATCACGCGGTCAGGAGATCGAGACCATTCTGGCTAACAGGGTGAAACCCCATCTCTACTAAAAATACAAAAAATTAGCCGGGCGTTGTGGCGGGCGCCTGTAGTCCCAGCTACTCGGGAGACTGAGACAGGAGAATGGCGTGAACCTGGGAGGCGGAGCTTGCAGTGAGCCGAGATTGCGCCACTGCACTTCAGCCGGGGCGACAGAGCAAGACTCCGTCTCAAAAAATAAAAAATAAAATAAAAATAAAATAAAATAAAATAAAAATAAAAATAATAAAATAAAAATAACAATAAAATAAAATAAAGCGAGGACCTCAAAGGGCACTGAGTCATCAGCTGTAGTTTGGTCACGTCACATTAGAAATGAACTCTCCCTTTCCTTGTTCAGGATGTAGGACTTCATCCGGGAAGGCTAAGGCTGTATTGGCCTGCAGGGAACCCCCTCTCACTATGTACTTACTGTAGATTTGAAATCCCAGATTATTTTCCTGCTACTCCTGCAGACTCATATCTTCCTATCCATACCTACTCTTTTGGAGAGTTGGAGCTCTGATTTACCCACATAGAGGTTCATCCCGCTAGTCCAGGCTGTGGTTAAGATTGCGGTTTCTTCCTGATGTGATCCCTTGGATCCTGACGGGGATATGAGATGTATTTGTTCACACCACGGGCTGCTGAGCTGGCCTTGCACCTCCACATCCCTGGACAGGCTTGGTGAAAGACAGTGGGTAAGATGAACAGGGAGCATAGTCAGATTTATCTTCTTTCTCCTAAACTTTAACTCTCTATAGGAAACTTTGCTTTTCAGTGAACTTAGAACACAACTATTACAAACAGATTCTGTGTATTCTACTAGTAACAATGGGAATGGTTAAAAGTGCTGCTAGCAAAAAGTATGCAGTGAGCTCACTGTGAATTTTTATGGGGACAGTGACTTCTTTTTAAAAACCAACTAATTTTTAATTGACAATAAAACATTATATAAATTGATGGTATACAATATAATGTTTTGATATCTGCATACATTGTGGACTGGCTAACTCAAGTTAGTTAACATATATGGATTACCTCACATTTTTCTGTGGAGAGAACACTTAAAATTGACTCTCTTAGCAATTTTCAAGTATATATTGCTAGTAACTATAGTCCCCGTGTTGTACAATAGACGTCTTGAATGGATTCCTCCTCTAACTAAAGTTTTGTGTCTTTCTCCCTACTCCCCCTGCTCCCCAACCTCTGCAACCCCCATTTTCCTGTTTCTATGGGTTTGCCTTTTTTAAGAGACAATGACTTTCTGTTAAGGCTGTAGATACAACACTGGTGAAATGTGTTATTTCACAAATGACTGACTCTAACGTGTGTGTGTGTGTGTGTAAATAAATAAAATTTGATTTTTTATCTGAGCAAATTTTTGTTCATTACCCAAAAGAGGAGTTTTTTAGGTTCAGGGAGAGCAAAATAAAGTTCCTTGATATGTTAATTTATAGTTCCTCTCTGTCTTTGCTCCTGGCCTTCAGGAGGGTGTCAGTAAATGGCAGCCAATGAATTGCCAGACAATCCTGCCTTCCAATGCTGGGAGACTGGCATAGCAGGAATGGCAGCAGGTAAAGGGACCGTCAGGAAGCTGGTGGATCCTGGACAAACATACCCGAGACTCAGTTTCCCCAGTGGCCTCCTTGTCTATGTCATAATGTTGTAGTGAGAAGCAAATAACACATTCAGTGTGAAAGTACTTTACAAACTGGAACCTGCTGTTCAAATGTCAAGCGTTATCATTTAGTAACTCCAGGATTACCCAAATTTACACTGAGACATCACCCCTCACATGATTAACACCTTGGTTCACACAAGAGCACTTTAAATGGTTGATAGGTTCAGGTCAGGTAATACAGAAGAAGAAAAATTCAAATAGAGAACAAAAAGAAATTGGTCATTGAAAAAAACAAAATTACAGTGTTTGAACGTAGAGATGAGCCAGCCATAAGAAGCCCTTGGATTAGTAAGTTTATGGTGTCAGGAAATTGACTGCTGGAAGGTGTTTTCAATGATATTTCATTGAGACAAAGAGGAAGAGCATTGTTAGTCAGGACATAGCTAGGCTTGATAGTTTCCTTCCTGATGCTGAAATAGACTCTACTGTTTTCTCTTTGCTTTGTACTTGTTGGTGTATCGTCCCCAAAGCTCACTAATTTAGTTCACTCTTTCACTATGTGTCCCTGAAACATCTACACAGACCTTCAACAACCAAAGCGCTTGCACAGCAAAGGAGTCGGATGAAAGGGGATAAGCAGAGGGTCAATGTAAACAAGGGCAGAGAGCCGAAGCCACCACCTAAAAACTGATCAGAGCCACAGGAGTGGTCACCGGCAGGCCACTGGCACCAGTTTTCTTTCAGTGTTTGCTCAGATGGCATGCAGTGATTGTCTGTTCCTGTACCTATTCTCTTTGATTCTCTAGACCCTGAGTCCATGAGGAAGGCACAGGAAAAGCACATATCCAATCCAAACAGTGAAAGGTGTCATTTAGGCGTGTTTCTCCCCTCTTTAACTTCAGGGAGAATGGAAGAAAAGTGGGACAGATTGAATGATAAATATACTCACAAAGTAAATGACTTTCTCAGGACACATATCATATTTGGACAAGTTTTGTTGGCCCCAAGCTAAATGACAGCATAAGGATCTCATTGTGTTTTTCATTTTATTGACTTTAATTGGCTCACAAGTTTGACAATTTACTGCTGTAATCAGTATTATTTTTTAAAGCCAATAGTCTTAACAGTTAAGTTTGCCCAAACTCACCCAGCTCAACTTCACAAATTTTAAGATACAAGCATATATATTTTTTGACAGTTTCTAGTACCAAGTCCACAGTGTGGCCATAATAAGATATAGTAGAGCAATAACATATAAAAAGGTTCTTTATAAATGGAGCTTTCAGAAGTTCATAAAACAGTTGAAAATGAGCCAAAAGTTTTTACACTATGGAGAAAGTGAGAGATTGCTCAAAAAATGCATTTCAGCATAAATTGGTGGACGTAAATGAGTGGACCACAAAATCTTAGTCATTTGTCCTATTTGCAAAGGGGCTATAATTTGTCTGCTAGTTATTTTAATGAATATCCTTTGTATTTGCTTGGATTTCTGGTTTCCTCCCCAATCTGTGTGCAGATGACGGTATTTTTAAAGTAAAGGCCCATGTATAAAAGGTGCAGTGGTTAAATGTGGGAAAGGCCATCTCAGTCTTCCAACCCTTTCTCTTTACCCACAACTCCAAATCTTAGATTTGAAGGTGCCTCTGGTGGTAACTCAGAACCTACAGAAATCGTAGAGACATTTAAAGGAGCTCTTCTTGACCAGGGAGGTGCCTGGCTTTCTGGGCAGCTACTTGAGTTCCCAAAGACATCATTGAAATATTTGGAAATGCCCCTGCCAAAATATCCCAGCCATCTGATTTGGCCTAAGCAATGTATAGTTTCTGTATTTTAGTTTAGTTTCAATTCAGTACTTAGTTGTTTCCTTGCTTGGGAAGAATTCTAGAAGAGGCAATTGTCCATCGTTGGCTGGTTTTACTTCCCTTTGTTTTTGAAAGGCTCTGTTTTTTTTTTTATGTGGGATCAAAATAATATTAGGAGGTAAATTTGGAGGATGACATTTCTTTAGATGATGTGAAAAACAATTCAGCCTTACCACTTTCATGTGCTAGTAGGGCTGACATAGAGAGTGGAAAGAAAATGTCATAGACATCTCCTATACAAGAAGTAATCTGATCATTGGCAAACATGACAGGTTGCTGAGAGGAGAGCGAGCCTTCTTTCAAATGCTTGCAGATGCTCACTGGAAAGAGATGACGGCAGAGTTAAGCTTCCTTTGCCTGTACTCTATTTCATGTCGTGTTATTAATACATTGTCTTCCAAGGGGACCAAATGAGACCTACTAGTCTTACTCTGAACTGGAGTCTAGCTTTACATCCTTGTCTGGAATAAGGGCTGATAAACAAAAACATGTGTAATCTGCTTTTCTGGGGACCCTAGAAGAGAGAGAGGTGTGTGCTTCTCTGAGGACAAGAGAAGGAATGAGCACAGTCTCTGAAGAGACAGAACTCTTAGGATTTATCATGGTGTGGGATCAGCCACATTTTTATCAACTCAAAGATCTCAATTAGGTTAGCTGATGAGGAAAAGATACTTTCTGCACAGCTGTTTGATTTTTCATCATTTGACAAGACCTGCAAAAAATTACTTTTATCAATATACAAGGAGCATATAGTAGCTCGTTGTTCAGCTGAAGTGGCCAGTGGCCAACATGGTGAGGCGTGAGGCATCCTCCTGATCCCAAGCCTCCTGTCTGGCCCAGAACAGCTCTGCAATTACCCTCGTTCTCACTCCCTTGGGATAAGTAGTGATTTCCAAACCCTGGCTATACTTAGAGTCATCTGGAGGGGATTTAAAAAAAATACTGATATCTGGGTTCCACTCCAGACCTACAAAATCAGAATATTTATGGGTGGGGCCTGGGCATTTGGTATTTTTTAAAGTGCTCCAGGTGATTCTAGTGTTCAGGTACCAGAGAACTAGAGGGCGAGGACTATTCAGTGACTCCATCTCTTCTGTTAAACAGAGAGGTTTTCTGGCAGAGGGAACACATGACATCACCATAAGTCATCAAGACCATTTACACCGGCCGGGCACAGTGGCTCATGCCTGTAATCCCAGCACTTTGGGAGGCCAAGGCAGTCAGATCACCTGAGGTCAGGAGTTCGAGACCAGCCTGGCCAACATGGTGAAACCCCCATCTCTACTAAAAATACAAAAATTAGCCACGCAGTGGTGCATGCCTGTAATCCCAGCTGCTTGGGAGGCTGAGGCAGGAGAATTGCTTGACCCAGGAGGCAGAGGTTGCAGTGAGCCGAGGTTGTGCCATTGCACTCCAGTCTGGGCAACAAGAATGAAACTCTGACACACACACACAAATTTACACCTTTGCTGGAAGCATCTGGCAGGAGATGAGTCTAGTGTTGGAATAGGTGGGTTGACACTGATGAGAAGTGAGGAGGAAAATGCCAATGACTCTGGGATGTCAGAGGGCCTAGAAAACTAAGGTGAAAATCATGCCAAAGGAGGTTTGAAAAAAGAGAATGAGAAGGCACAGGAAGACAAAATTAATTTAGTTTCCAATTTTGCCAGGGCCAATCAATTACTGGAACAGCAGGTGGTGGGTGAGGGATGCAGAGAAGGGAATTAACTTAGAACTTTCCAGTTTGGAGGTCAGATGGTGTAATTCATTATGGAAGCTGAAAAGGACATGGGCAAATTTTTACCCTCAAAATATTTTTGGCTGCAGGCACACCGCCCGGGGAAACCCCCCAGGATCTTTATGTTCAAGGGAATGAGCAGTCATTATTAGTCTGCTGTAGTCCAGGACCAAGAATTCCCTTTTGGAACGTGGCTCTCAATTTTACACTTTTGTGTAGCTAACTCAACCTTTCCATGAGTAATTCAATGCAGGTTGACAATTTATTTCCTAAAATATAACAGTGCCCCATTGTCATGCCCGGTTGAAGTGAGGGTCTCTGTGGATCCTGCTAATAGTTGAAAAATCACAAACAGCCATCGTAAGCAGCATGAGGCAAAAAGCAAAAACCAAAAGTGTCTCTCCTGATGAGAAATTTTTGGAAGTCAGGGCTGTGCATGTCAATAGTATGGTTGTTGGTAGAAAAATTTTCTTTAGTTAATATAAACTCAATTAGTCCTTGGTTTTAATTTGCTTTTATTTATTTTTATCAAAATATAGGTTAGGCCATGGAAAACAGTGATTTAAAGATGTATTTTTCATCACCTGAGCCCAAGAAGTTGAGGCTGCAGTGAGTTGTCGAGTGACACTGCACTCCAGCATGGGTGACAGAGTGAGACCCTGTCTCAAAAACAAAAAGATGATGCATGTAAAAGAAATTACCATCTCTGAAATCTGAATGTCTTAAAATAGGTAGGGTTTTATATTAGGAGAAATAAGGTTGCTCTCCCAGGCTTTACCAATCTCCTCTTTCCTCCATGTTCACGACCCATTATTTCCAAAAGCTGTGACATTTCCTGTATATTGGCTTATCCCTCATGGCAGCGTTTCTCAGATGCATGAATGCTTGACTCTACTCCTCAGAGAATAGCAGCTGCCTGGGGTCCTGGGCTTTGTCTAGATATACTCCCTATCACTCAGTCTTTAAACCAAGTGCCACTGAGGAGACTCCCTGGATGTTCCCAGGTAACATCAGGGAGAGAACTGAATGGCTTTGTCATGGAAATTCTCCTCAAAGCATGTGGTTGACCTATTTTTGTATTCCAGAAACACTTTTCTATGCTTCAGTTCAAAAGCTTAGAATTCTGTTAATGCTCAGCTTGTAGCTCTAACAGCTCTAACAGGCTTACTTGGGAAAACTCCCCCCGAAGCAGAAATCCTTCCCCAGCATCTGTCATCACCAGCTTCTGCTTGGTCCTCATGATGGGAACCTGATGCTTGCTGAGACAGTCTGTCCACTATTTGATAGAAAGTTCTGCCTAAGAAAATTCCCACAATATTCAGTCCAAGAGGACCCCAACTGATCCCGAGTTCTTCAGGCTCCCAGGGGCCATTCCTGCTTGCAGTAAGCGAATGCCCAGAATCCAAGGCTCCATCTCGCATGACTGCAAGAGTCTAGTCCCTTCCCGAGGAATCCCGGGAGTGCTCACCTGTTGCCTTCCCTCCTCACTCCTGCTCCACATGCCTACTTTCAGATATATTTGCCATAGTCCATGCACCATCTTGGTGCACTTCTCCGTGCTGGTGGAGCTCTCATGGTCTCATAACTCCTCATGTCTGAACTCACACTTGACTCCTCTCTTAATCCCCAAGGCATAGCACCATCGACACAGTGGTGTTTAAAATACCTTAATGAAGATCTGACAGTAATGTAAGGGAATTAGCATTCAGGAAAGGACAACTTTAATTTGAAGGCAGTGGCTCATGACACCCCATCAGGCCCATGTGGCTGTCTCCCTCCTTAGGCTGTGTGTGCGAACATTTTGCTGGGCCCATCTTTCCTATTTAGCATCCACTTTGTCATTTCCTCTTCTCCAGCAAGTCCCAGGGGCTCCAGTTACCCCTCTCTGCCGTTCCACCCATCTCCATTATAAAAAAATCTCTCAAAGATGCCCATGATGAAAATAGCCTTTTCTATTAATGTGATGAAAATTTAACATCTCAGTTTTAAGCATTTACATTGGGAATACTTCCCAAAGTTCAAGGACAACAAAAAGCTTCTTGTTTTAAAACTTTCAGAATGTAATTACTCACAAAAGTGAAATAGAGTCTTTCCCAAGGGCAAACTCACCCTTTACCTTTAGAGGCATAGGGCATATATTTCTGGCATTCTAACAAATAGCAGTTTGTTCCCAATTCAGACTGTCAAAAGTTTGGAAACACTGTGGTTCAGTCACAGAGCCTGCTACTATGAAGTTTACAAATGCATACCAACTACAGGTGTGTGAACATACAGGTTGCACAGGCAAATGAAGACATAAAACAAGTGTAATGCCATTGCGGCGAAATTTGGAGTGCATACTGTCTAACATTTCCTTTTACAATATCTAAAAATTAAATATTACATTAAAATGAAAGGAAACTCATTTTAACCTGAAATCTTCCCAATATTTGCTTCCTCTGATTCTAGTTTTTTCCTATGAAATTAGGATTAGAACAAATCTAATCTCTTCAACATCATTCAAATATGAAGAATGCACTCTTGTCTCATCAAGTCTTCCCAAAATTTTTAAAAAGAAATTTAACCTTATGCTGTCATGTAGGTTTAGCATGAGATGTAGTATTTAATATCTTGATCATTAATTAAGAAAATGGAACCAGAAACCAGAGCAAAAAAGCTGAAAATTCTAAAAACCAGAGTGCCTCTTCTCCTCCAAAGGATTGTAGCTCCTCGCCAGCAATAGAACAAAGCTGGACAGAGAATGACTTTGATGAGCTGACAGAAGTAGGCTTCAGAAGGTCGGTAATAACAAACTTCTCCGAGCTAAAGGAGGATATTCAAACCCATTGCAAGGCTGCTAAAAACCTTGAAAAAAGATTAGACAAATGGCTAACTAGAATAAACAGTGTAGAGAAGACCTTAAATGACCTGATGGGGCTGAAAACCATGGCATGAGAACTACATGCTTTGGAAGAACATTCCATGCTCATGGATAGGAAGAATCAATACCATGAAAATGGCCATACTGCCCAAAGTAATTTATAGATTCAATGCCATCCCCATCAAGCTACCAATGACTTTTTTCACAGAATTGGAAAAAACTACTTTAAAGTTCATATGGAATCAGAAAAGAGCCCACATTGCCAAGTCAATCCTAAGCAAAAAAGAACAAAGCTGGAGGCATCACACTACCTGACTTCAAACTATACTACAAGGCTACAGTAATCAAAACAGCATGGTACTTGTACCAAAACAGAGATATAGACCAATGGAACAGAATAGAGGCCTCAGAAATAACACCACACATCTACAACCATCTGATCTTTGACAAACCTGACAAAAACAAGAAATGGGGAAAGGATTCCCTATTTAATAAATGGTGCTGGGAAAACTGGCTAGCCATATGTAGAAAGCTGAAACTGGATCCCTTCCTTACACCTTACACAAAAATTAATTCAAGATGGATTAAAGACTTAAATGTTAGACCTAAAACATAAAAACCCTAGAAGAACACCTAGGCAATACCATTCAGGACATAGGCATGGGCAAGTACTTCATGACTAAAACACCAAAAGCAATGGAAACAAAAGCCAAAATTGACAAATGGGGTCTAATTAAACTAAAGAGCTTCTGCACAGCCAAAGAAACTATCATCAGAGTGAACAGGCAACCTACAGAATGGGAGAAAATTTTTGCAATCTACTCATCTGACAAAGGGCTAATATCCAGAATTTACAAAGAACTTAAACAAATTTACAAGAAAAAATCAAACAACCCCATCAAAAAGTGGGCAAAGGATATGGACATTTCTCAAAAGATGACATTTATGCACCCAACAGACACATGAAAAAATGCTCATCATCACTGATCATCAGAGAAATGCAAATCAAAACCACAATGAGATACCATCTCACACCAGTTAGAATGGCAATCAATAAAAAGTCAGGAAACAACAGATGCTGGAGAGGATGTGGAGAAATAGGAATGTTTTACACTGTTGGTGGGAGTGTAAACTAGTTCAACCATTGTGGAAGACAGTGTGGTGATTCCTTAAGGATCTAGACTTAGAAATACCATTTGACCCAGCGATCCCATTACTGGGTATATACCCAAAGGATTATAAATCATGCCACTATAAAGACACATGCACACGTATGTTTATTGTGGCACTATTCACAATAGCAAAGACTTGGAACCAACCCAAATGTCCATCAATGATAGACTGGATTAAGAAAATGTGGCACATATACACCACGGAATACTATGCAGCTATAAAAAAGAATCAGTTCATGTCCTTTGCAGGGCCATGAATGAAGCTGGAAACCATCATTCTCAGCAAACTACCACAAGGACAGAACACCAAACACTGCATGTTCTCACTCATAGGTAGGAATTGAACAATGAGAACACTTGGACACAGGGTGGGGAACATCACACACTGGGGCCTGTTGTGGGTTGGGGGCAGGCGGAGGGATAGCACTGGGAAAAATACCTAATGTAAATGATGGGTTGATGGGTGCAGCAGGCCAACATGGCACACGTATACCTATGTAACGAGCCTGCACATTGTGCACATGTACCCTAGAACGTAAAGTATAAAAAAAAAGGAAAAGAAAACTGAAGTAGGCCAAATTAGGATTTGAGGATAATCAGAGCCTTCAAGTTGGGGTCATCCATTCTAGCCTCCAGTTTATTGATATTTCTTTCACAGTGTCCTTGAAAATAGGATGTTTTGTTAAAAAAATTTAAAGATATATTTTCAGAATAATTCCATTGTAATCTGTAATGCAGTGGCAGATATCTCAAGTAAATGGAGGTCAAATGTTTAAAAACACAGTGTCATTTGAAAAGATGCTGAAGTTCATTTACTGATATAAATGATCAAAATGGCAATTTTACAGTGTTGGTCCTTTAACCTTAATTTGAGGAAATGGAAGAATAAATTTGTGTTGTCCATAGTAGGTACCACCCTTTTATCCTTAAATGCTGACAAAGGAAAAAAGTGATACCTGAAGTATAGCTTAGTAAAAGTTATTGTAGGATTTCATATTATTTTTAAGTACTTGTAATTTGTAAGTAAAAGATTTTGATTTTTCTTACCTTCAAAAAAGCATGTAACTCCATCAATCAGGTAAATACACAATATAGAGTGATGGCATGGATTATTTATACATTTGCTGCTTAATTTCTTAAATTACAGAATTTTGTAATTATTTTTTGTTATTTATTTCTAGCTAAATTTCACTGGAGCCAGAGACAATATGTTGTATAAGTCTGATGTTTTGAATTGTGTTGAGATGCTCTTTGTGAAATAGCATATGGACATTTTTGTTAAATGTTTCTCATGCATATAAAACATTGCGGGCTCTGCAGTTGCCAAGTGTACAATTCTTTACATGGCAATTGCTTCATGTTAATTATGTTGTCCCAATCTTTTTTATTCTTTTTTTCCTCTGTGTGTGCTACCAGTCACTGAGAAATGTTAAAATCTCTCACTATAATTGCACATTTGTCTATTTTTCCCTTTAGTTCTGTCAATTTTTGATTTATATATTTTGAAGCTGTGTTATCAGGTGCATATACCACTTGTTATATCTTCCTGGTGGATTGACCTTTTAATTTTTCTTTATAAAATATTTCTCTTTCTCTCTAGTAATGCTTCTCGTCTTAAAGACTGCTTTGATATTAATAAAGCTACACCAGCTTTCTTTCAGTCAGCATTTATAATATGGTATGTTTTTCCCATTCTTTTCTGCCAACTGTTGGGAGTTTCTAAATAATTAGGCTTTGTTTTCTTCTAAGTCTTAGAATGTTTTTTTCATTAAAGCATTTGTTTTTTCACATTTAATATAATTACTGATACATTTGGGCTTATAGTTACCATCTTATATTTGCATTAGCTGGTTTTTTTTTGTTCTTTATTTTAGAATTTTCAAGTTTTTTTCTAACTATTCCATGATCTCCTCTATTAATTTTCTTTTTATTTTCTACTTCCTACTTTTTAAAAATACTTAGAGATTACAAGGTGCATCCTTAGTTTAAGGTCTAAAATAACTTACTAGTACTAAGTTATTACATCAGTCTACTTCTTGGACAATGCAAACACATTAGAAAACATTAACTTTTAACATTTACCACATAATGTCTTGTGTATTATTCTGATAAATTTTAATTTCACACATCTTAAATGTTTTTAAGATGTGATTATTGTTTTCTACAATTATTATTCATTGGGATTTATTCACATTTTAAAAAATATATATATTTTTATTTCTCCCACATATCCATGCTTTTGGCTAAGATCATATTTCTTCTGCCTGAAAAACTCCTGTTAGGTTAATACAGGTTTGTTGGTGAAAAATCTTTATCTTAGCCTAACTTTTCAAAGATACTTTCCCTGAGTGTTGAGTTCTATGTTGGCAGTTATTTTCCTTCATTATGTTTAAATATGTCACTACATGGTTGCTTGGCTTCAGTCGAGTCTATTAAAAAGTCAACTGTCCATCTTCTTGTTGCTTTCCAGAAGATAATAGGCCTTTTCCACACTCTGGATGCTTTTAAGATTTTCTCAGTCTTTGATTTTCAGCTGAAATGTGCTTACGTGTAATTTTCTTTGTATTTATATTACTTGAGTTTGTAACACTTTTAAAACCTGTAGTCTGATTTTTTAATCAATTAAAAAAATCTCAGCCATTATTTCTTCAATTACTTCTGTTCTACTCCGTCTGCACCATTTCTGAGACTCATACAATACACACACAATTCAATTACACATATGTTAGACATTTTTACCATGCCCTACAGTTCTCATGTCTCATGCTCTTGTTTACTTGTTTCCTTTTCTTTCTGTGCTTCGGTATGGATATTCTTTAATGACATACCTTCCAAATCATTAATCCTCTTTTTAGTGGTGTCTAATATCCTTTGAAACACATCTCTTTTAGTTATTGTACTTTTCAGTTTTAGAATTTCCATTTGATGGTATTTTAATAGATTTCAGTTCTCTAGTAAAATTCTCTATTTTGTCTTAAAGTCTGTCAATAACAGCGAGAGTCCAGTCTCTAAACTCTTTTTAACTTAGATCACCTGGGGTGTGTTTTTATTGTCTTTTCTTCTTTTTCCTGTCTCTTATATGTCCTGTCTCTTGATATACCTGCTAACTTTTCATTGAATGCTGTAAATTGACACACATTCACTCATATTCTAAGAAATTGTAGAGGCTCTGGATGATTTTACCTTCCAACAAGGATTTTCTTTAACTCTTGATATGGAGTTAGGAGCAGATAACCTTTATCCAACTGAAGATGACACTGATTACAGTCTAATTTTCAGTCTATCAAAGGTCTAGTCTGTTTCCAGTTTACCTTTATTCCTAGAGTGTAGTCCTTCAGGGGTCCCAACTGCAAACTGGAATATTTTCCAGGAGCTCTCCACTTTGGTTGGCATCCAATCCCAATTTTTGTTTCCCCAACAGTGTAAAGATGACTGTAGCTCTGCTTAGTTTCTTAGCCTTCTGCGCGCTTTTTTTTGGTCTCAATTTCCACACAGTTTTTGGACTGCATATCTTAAGAGAATGCTTTGAGGAAGTGACTTAAACTATCGAATTTTGTTGTCTTCACTTTTCTTCACTTGAGGATCTTGGTATCTCAAGTCCTGACTACTTTGGCAGGCCTGTATGTCTAATCTTTCTCTCTTCTCTTGTATCTGCATATCAATTGCTGGGCTTAGGGCCCACCTTAAATACAGGATAATCTCATTCTGAGATCTTTAACTTAATTACATCTGCAAGGACTCTATTTCCCAGTAAAGTCACATTGACAAGTACTGGGGTTTGGAACTTAAGTATGTCTTTGGGGGACAGTATTCAAACTGTAAACACACACAAAAGCTTAGAAAATATAGAAGAGCTATGTCAACAAATGTTGCCATCCTGAGCTAAATTGGAGAAACAGGGTAAATGTCTAGGAATAACATCCTCCCTGAGTTGTCCACAGAAACTTGAATGTTTTGATAGGAAATGCACTGGGCAGTATTTTATTTCTTACCAAGCTTAGCTTAACTAAGAGGTTGGACTCATGTTAGCAGGAAGGGTTTCTTCAGCCTCATCTACAGCAGGCAGAGGTCAATGCTCACAGGGATATGGCTTCACTGCCTGCTGCACAGAGCAGTTATTTCCTCCACAAAGGAAATGCACTGGCAAGCCCCAGGCCATGGCTAGAAGGATTTGAATAATCAATTGGATAGGATGACTGGTTCTGTGGACAGCACTCAGCCTCTTTCCCCAGCCACCTGTCATTGCCCATGGGCCCATGAACAAAATGGCCATGGTGGCAGGGATGGAGGTTACGCATGGGCTCAGCAACATGGACTTCTACTCACCAAGGCTGACCTGGCTACAGCCACTGCTGGGAGCCCAATTTGCCAGCAGCAGAGACCAACACTGAGCCCTTGATTTGGCACCATTTCTTGGGGTGATCAGCCAGCTACCTGGTGGCAGGTTGATGATATCGGACCTCTTCCACCATGGAAAGGGCAGAGGTTTGTCCTCAATGGAATAGACACTTACTCTGGATATGGGTTTGCTTATCCTGCATGCAATGCTTCTGCCAAGGCTACCATCCGTGGACTCATGGAATGCCTTATCCACTGTCATGGTATTCCACACAGTATTGGTTCTGACCAAGGCATTCACTTTACAGCTAAAGAAGTGTGACAGGGGACATATGCTCATGGAATTAACTGGTCTTACCATGTTCCCTATCATCTGAAAAAGGTTCCCTGCTCCTCCATCTAAGCACGTAGGTTCCACTTGTGGCTGCAAGCTTGGTTCGTGTGGGCATGCTCAGGTTATATGACCTTTAAACTAGGGGCCCATGGTAACTGAAAAACAACCCACAACCTTGTTACATAAAAGGAGAACCAGATTGGTCTGGTGCAGTTACACATGTAATGATTGAAGCTGTGTTATTAATAAAATGCTTAGAATGAATGATTATCTAGACGGAATTAGAATGGAGGACACAGGGACAGCTTTATACCATTCAGAGGTGTCTCCATTGGTAGAGTCTGGAGATGGCAGCACATGTCTACCCAAAAGGGAAATTTCAGATCACAGCCTGTCAACATCCAGACTCCTGGGGTCTGGGAAATGTGAGAGAACACATGAATATCCAATGAGCCACAGGTTCTCTGCCCCAGGTCCCCATTCACATTTCATCTTGATCTAACTTCATCCCAGTTTCGTATTTTCCCCAACAGGCTAAGCTACTTTTTCTTCTTTTCTCTCCTCCTTTTCCCCCTTGTCTTCCATTCCTTCATCTCTGTTTCCTAATCTTTGCTTGATGCCATTATCGCTTCCCGTTCACAAAAGCAGTCTCCACTCTAGGGGGTGTAGGTGGAGGGGTCAATTAAGGCTGCACTGATCACCACATTCAACGAGTTCCATCAAGTGGCATCCCCTTTTCAGAACTGTTCACTTAAACCGATGGTTCTCACACGGGAGTGTACGTCAGCATCCTCCAAAGGGCTTATGAAAGCGCATAATTCTGGTTCAGTAGGTTTGGGGTGGGGCTGGAGAATTTATTTTTTAAACGGGTTTTCAGGTGATTTTAATTCTGTTGACCTGCTCAATACATTTTGAAAAACAGTTAAACCTGCATTTGGGAGGCAGACTATTTCCATTTTCATGGATGTATTATCATTTAGAGACCCACATTCTCTTCCTACTAACACAGCTGGGGCAGTGTGGTCAGGCTGGGAAGCGTGGGAGCAGAAATATTTGTTATTTGTTCTGAAAGGCTGAGGGGTAGTTTTGTGGTCAATTCTAAGAGGTGCCTGGGCTTGCTGGAAGCAGCTTTTCCCATTCCTTTTGGGCTGCCAACTGGGGACTGTTCTCTTAGCCCAGAGCTTTGTCAATGGGAATGTTTACCTGGTGCAGATGGGAAAAACTTCATTCAGCCTGCACTGAGTGGGGTCCCTTCTGTGTAATGTATGATGTAGGTTTGGGACTGGCTTTTTGGTTTGATGGCCAGGTTTACTAACATTTTGCCCAAATCTAATTCAAAGAAAACAAGGTACGAGAATAAAATTGTGGAGTAAGGCATCTCAACATTACTGTCTTCTCACTTCAGACCAGTTAATGAGATGTTGTAAAAGTGGCTGAGAGAACTAACATGTGACCCACTGATTGTTTCCCGCTGATCTCCTGCGTAGCCCATCCTTACTTCCTGCTGTGCCTGCCACTTGTGTAGGGAATCATAACTTACAATAACCCCTTTCTCTTTCAGGGAACACAAAAAATAATTAAGATCTAACTTATTGTTAGATATCTTTGTGAACAGATGAGTCCTTTCTATTCCTCTTTTATCTCCACACCTCTTTCTCTGTTCCAAATTTGGGAAGCCCTCAGTTTGATAGACATCTTGAGTCTGATTGCCTTTCACCTCCCTGGGGACAGAATTGAATTGAGCGAGTGTGAGGATGCCAGATGGCAGGGTAGGGGGCTGCCTTCTGATGAGAGCAGGGATTGAGGGACAGGGCTCTCACTAATGGTGTACGATATGATTATACTCATGCTCCGATAGAACCTTCAGTAAAACTTCCTCGTTCACTAATGCCTTGTGCAATCCTTTTATGGGGGTTGGGGGTATGAGCACTAAGAACTCTTAAGTTGGCATCAGATGACCCCATGGGATGACAGCCACATCTCACCCACAAGGTCCACATTCAGCTGTAGGAGTTCTCCTGGGCACAGACCAATGCTCTAGGTTGGCAATGCTGACATTATGGGGACTCAGTATTTAGGTTTTATCATTCTTGTGAAATATTTCCCTTGTGTCTTTTCTATTTGTCCATATTTAAATTCATGCAGCAGACATTTATTGAATCCTTGCTGTGCATTACATGCTGAAGGAACAAGAAAGATAAAGGTAGCTAATGTTTATATTTTTCTTTAGAGCTTAAAAATGCTGTTGCACTTATCAATCTCTTGGATCCAATACTGCCTCTGCTCTCAAATTATGATGATATCATAAATATGCCTTGTTTAACTGAAGTCAGGTGTTTGAGAAAAATGAAACAGTATTGAGAGGTACAGGTGTTAACCTTACAATAAGAGCAGGATTTTAAAGGAAGAGAAGACAATTCTTAAAAATGGCAAGATGGATTAGACTTAATGCCTCACATCAATGAAGGGATTTCAAGTGAGTGGCTGTGTATTTTTTAATAGACCACAAAAAAAATTCTATGTAGAAAACTGAAGAATTAAAATGGTCGACAGCTTTCCTTGCCTATTTTTGTCCTTTTCTAAATGTACTCCTTATGGAGAGAAGAGTCGTGATGACAGCCCACAGAAGTGACGAGTGCTTGGGGTCAAATGGGTTTGCTTTGGGGTTGCCAGGAAAGCTTCTGTTTGGATTTGCTGCCATGGCCTGCAGCAAAGGAAGCCTGCAATTTTAGCTCTGGAAATAGTATTCAGCTTAAGGTAAGTTAAAAAAAAAATAAGCACCTGTCTCTTCTGAAGACATGTTGTCTTAGACAAATCATTCTTGACTTTCTAGTTGAGATGGGCCTTAGGTTGCCTGGAACTACATAAAGATCCTTGGCGTTCATTCTTCCATTGAACCTCTCAGAAAAAAAAAGAATGTCCATTCTGTGCTACTTAGGGCACAAAAAAGATAATTTTGGTAATATAAATGAGATAGAATATACCATGGCACTACATTATAATGATACTTTCCTGGAATGATGATGGTGGTGATTTTGATTTAGAAATCTGCATGAGATTCTGATCCCACATTCCAAGGAGAGCTTTGGAATGGCTTGGGGGCCTTGTATTCCCCAAGAAATCTTCATTACAATCAGCTCTGGCAATTTATAGAAGACTTCAAATTCTGAGAACTTTAGTCTGTTGAATATAAAAAAGAAGGAACAAAATCAATCCCTTCGTGGAGGGGCTACATGTCATATTTACGATGAAAAGGAAATGCCATTTGTGCATTTTAGGTTGAACTTTAGAATTCTTCCAGCTCCACTATACGAGGCAAAAGAAATAATTGGTTTGTAGCCAGTAATAAAGGCAATCAGCCATAAGGTTTGCTTTGCTAAGTTGTCCCTCCTGTCACATATATGTGCAGTTACACACCAGGAAAGGGACAGTGCCAGGTTCCTCATTAGCCACTGTGTTTGTTTATGCTGGGGAAGAAGCTGACCACTTACAAAGAGCCAGCTGTGCATGAGCCGGCCTCACCGTGGTGCCCATGAAGGCTGCAGCCCCTGCCTGCACAGAATCTATGGAACAATACTGTTTATCTCACCTAAATTGGTTAATTACACGGTTTCATTCTGTGTGATAAATTCAATGATAGGGGAGGGGAAGAAGCACATGTGAGGAACACCTGCTCCTCCTAGGAGTCAGAGGAACGAGGTTGCTCTGTGAGCGTGCCAGCACCAGGTTGGAGGGTGCCCTAGACATTGATCTCTACCTCTGAAGCCACCAGGTGGGGTATGGAGTGGCTGGTGGGGTGGGGTCTGATCCTCTGGCCAGAGAAATCTCAGCTGGCCTCTCGGTTCCCCTCAATCTATTAATTACTTGGTGCCATTCAAATATGATCATTTCTCTGGATGTCACTACATGAACAATATTGGGAAGCACCATGCTGGAAGATAGGTCCTTAGAGAAGATGGCTAATGCAAGGCTTCCAGTTCAAGAAAGAGAATCCTAGGCAGAAACTAAGCATATGAAAAAGATCAGAGATAACCAGTACCATGACAGTCAGGGTGACAGTGTTTGATTCAGCTGGAGAGAAGGCAGAAGGGAGAGGCAAAGGGCCAGGAATGGAGGGCCTTATAAGGCCCTTTAACCTCCCCCTAAATCTGAGCAGAGCCATTGAAGGACTATAAGTGGGCTGATCATTCCATCTGTTCTGGTTAGAGGAGGCTGGAGCATTGGAACCTGGCAGCATGCAAACTGAGTGAGCAGCTTGGGATTTTTTGCAGGGAAACCTGATCAAGGGCTCAACCAAGGCCATAACAATTGTTAAAGCAATCTTTTGCAAACTGTGCAGTGAATCACAAATGTGGATTTTAAAATAGGCCTGAGCAGACTGCCTGTATGAATTGAAGACAAGTTCTGTAACTACCAGTTAGGGCAGCTGAATAGATTATTGATTCTTTAATTTCAGGCCACAAAGAAATCATTACATGGAGTTATGAGAGTTTAGGTTAAATTAAAAAAAATTAAATATTTTTAGCAGAGTACATTTTGCTTGCCTAGGGAGATTGCTTCTCCAGAGCCACTTAGAAATGTCTTATACAGGTACTATCATGGTGGCTGGGACAGTCAAACAAGAAGGTCAGAGAAAAAAGGAGGTGCCCTCCTGGGTACTTCTAGTCTTAGGGGATTTTATTCTTAGAGTGTGATGTTAATCTTACAACTGGGGATTTGTGCATCAGCCACCAGGCGCCGTGTTATTTCCCCTTCAGTCTCTGGTAACCAATGATTCTACTATGACCGACTGACATTTTCGCATTCTCACTGAGACCCTGGTGTGTGGATGTGTGTAATGGTGTTACATTAGGACTGTTCTAGTACTTTTATGTTTTGGATGTTGGGGCATGGATTCAGAATAGTTTATCCTATTCTGAGCCATGCTGTCGTGGAATTTGCTGAGCTGCGATGGGTGTCTTAAATATATGAGAGTGAATCTCTAGTTTGTTAGCATTTGGAGTTTCCTGAAGTGTAACCAGTTATGTTGCCTAAACAAAAGGGGATGTTTGGGCTTGACTTTGTTAGTAGAAACACTGCCTAACTGCAAAAGTACCTGCAGGGCATGACGGCGTGTTCTCCTCTGAAGGTCTTTAAGAATAGCATGGATTCCGCCTGGGCGCGGCAGCTCACGTCAGTAATCCCAGCACTCTGGGAGGCCGAGGCGGGTGGATCACATGAGGTCAGGAGTTTGAGACTAGCCTGGCCAACATGGTGAAACCCCATCTCTACTAAAAATACAAACATTATCCAGGTGTGGTGTTGGGCACCTGTAATCCCAGCTAACCGGGGGGCTGAGGCAGGAGAATCGCTTGAACCCAGGAGGCAGAGGTTGCAGTGAGCCGAGATCGCACCGCTGTGCTCCAGCCTGGCAGCCTGGGCGAGAGAGTGAGACTCCGTCTCAAAAACACAACAAACCAAAAAAAGAATAACAGAGTCAATTCCTTTGCTCACAGTGGCTAAAACAGTTCCTACCTGAAGAAAACAGAAGTGGATCTCATGACATCTTGAGTATTTTGCAGTCCCATTATCCATTTCAAAAACGAGCCTTTTATTCAGCCTAACACTGCATCTAATAGAATAAGATTTTTGAGAGTGAGCTTTTGAAATTATAATGTTGGGATGTTGCTAGATGCTCTTTGAGTGATGAGATTTTAATTTTGAAAACCAGCAGTGAAACACTCACCAACATGTTCCTTCTAGATGAAGCTGCAACTGCAAGACAGTTGTTACTCTTTCGATAACTCGAAGGCAGTTTTAATTATTAACTAATTAGGGTGGAAACAGAGGCTTGTCATTTTCATTATTCTCATGGCACACATTGTTAATAATTTTCTGGCTTTTGGCATAGTGATATAGGGCACTTCAGTTATGGCTTAAAAAAGGGGAGGAGGGCACATCTTGGAGGTGGATTAAATAAAGATTTAGCTTCTTTGCCTCAGGATTGATATGTGCCATTTTAAAGCAAGGCTCATGAGATCTCTGGATCGAGAGGTCAGTACTAAATACAGGAATGAAAATGCTGCAGGCTCTGGGGAAGGGAGGTGGTTAGTTCTGCCCTGCCTGGGGAGAAGGGGTTCATAGCAAGCAATTTCACATGGGCTTTGAAGAAGTCAGAATCGGGTAAGGATGGGGTGTGGGAGAGAGAATATATGACAAAGAGAACCAGAGGGAAAAGGACATGGATGTGAGGCTGTCGAGCATTTATTCAGTCAACAAATATTTATTGCTGTCTGCTATATGCCACATACATTCTAAGCCCTGGGCACAGCAGAAAATTAAATGGGCATGTTTCTACTTTCCTGGAGGTCCTAGTCAATTGACAGTGCTCCAAGGATTGTAAGCAGCATGGTAAAGTTGGCGTCGGACAGGGAGCAGGTGTCACAGTGTCCAGTGTCCAGTGGTGAAAGACCATGCGATGCTGGGTCAAGGAACTCAGGCTCTGCTCTCTGGTCTCAAGGCAGCCCCTTTGCTAAGTGGCTCTATGGCTCCAGATTTTGTGGTAGGAGGACCTCAGCCACCCCTCCAAATATACCCAGTTATTTCTGGGAGCAAGTCCCTTGACGTGCCTCTCGTGCATCGCACAGGTTTTCAACAACAGTCCTCTTGCAGTCTTCACCCTGTCTTTCCTTTCCTGCCCTGGCTGAGGCTCCCAGCTTCCCGCGGTATGGCCCAGGTTTCAAGTCCCGAGAAAAACCTTATCACACGGGCACCACCTCATAGGAACAGGAGAGATCCTTGAGTAAGTGAGGAGATTTTACGTCCTAATTGGAGTAGTGATTACATGAGTGAATACTTTTGTTGGAAGGTACTATATTGTATCCTTAAAATGGGAACATTTTATAAATTATTTTATATCACAATAAAGTTAATTTTAAAAGAAAATAAAAATTGTGATGTCCATCTTTTTAGTAACCTCAAATCTTTTTACTTATTAAGGAGATCTATAATTTATTTATTGTTTACTATGTATTGAATGCTATGTGTTTTACATTAATTATTCCATATACCTAGGATGAAAATACTACTATCATACCCAATTTGTGGCTGGGGAAACTGAGGCTCCCAGAGGCAAAGTAATGAAGGAGCTAAACTGGTATCCCTGCAGTAAGGGTTGGAGACAGGATTGGAGCACAGCCTTTCTCAATCCAAGTCCTTGCCCTTATCCATTCTGTGAAGCAGCCTCTTTTGTCACAAAGGTTATAATTTTACTTCCTCAGTAAAATAAAAAAGAAGTCACCTGTTTAGCATCTGAGCTTTGGGGTGCTGGTGTGGGGGCTCAGAGCTTTACGCAGGGTGCCACGGGAGTGGCCAGCACATCTCCAGTCCTGTTTCTCGATTGCCAGCCCTTCCTCTCAAGTAACAATGCTGGAGTCAGCAGGCAGGAGGCTGTGAACACAGCACTTAATGATTCAGTCCTGTTGCTCCCTGAGCCAGCTGGAGAAGCCTGGCTCACACAGCCCGAGAGATCTCTCAGGCATGGAGCTCAGGTAACCTTCTCCACCTACCTCTTTTTTTTTTTTTTTTTTAGATGGAGTCTCTTTCTGTCACCCAGGCTGGAGTGCAGTGGCGCAATCTCGGCTCACTGCAACCTCCACCTCCCGGGTTCATGCCATTCTCCTGCCTCGGCCTCCTGAGTAGCTGGGACTACAGACACCCGCCACCACGCCTGACTAAGCTTTTGTATTTTTAGTAGAGACAGGGTTTCACCGTGTTAGCCAGGATGGTCTCTATCTCCTGACCTCGTGATCCGCCCGCCTCGGCCTCCCAAAGTGCTGGGATTACAGGCCTGATCCACCGCGCCCGGCCCTTCTCTTTCCATTTAGCGGCATCATTCTTCATCTGTGGCCAATGCTATCCTAGACCATCACTCAAGGTGAAGCCAGGGTTGGACTGCTGTGTTTAGAGAAGCCTCAGGTTAGTCTTTGTAGGTTTTGTTCACTTTATAGATCACCCAGGGAGGGCATAAGCCAGTGGGCCATTCTCACCCCTGAGGACGGAACTAGACCCTTGGGGAAATCCACACCTCCCCTGCCCCAACTCCTGTCTCTGAGTCCATCTGTCCCCAGGATGGACTAGAGGAGAACAGTGATGTCCCGCAGCCTAAAGACTGAAGCCTCTCCCTTGCCCCACGCCCCATGAGGAATCAAGGGTCACTCTGAAGAGAAACTGAATTGAAACTAGTTCCAGTTATTGAACACCTGAGCTAATGGACTGAGGTCATCCATCTCTATGTACATAGTAGTCTGGAGTGTGAGTTTTGGGGATTTGGGTGGACCATGGAGGGCCAGGCCTTCTACAGGGCATTGTCCTTCTACGTTCTGGGAGAGAAAGTGGGAGAGGAGGGTGTTGGCCCCATGGGCAGGTCACACCATAGACTCTTACATGGCTATTTGCAATAGCTCTGAGCCCCACTCAGGGCAGAGAGGGGATATCTAGAGGTGGCTCTGAGAGAAGATAAAAACTTCTTTAGCAAATTTACTTCTTGAGAGAGGGAAAAGGAGGGGCCCAGTGACCTCCAGGTTGTACAAGGATATTCTCCTGAACCCATCAGCTTTCCTAGCACCTAACCAAATGGAGACACATAGACATACCCCATGAATGGGGATCTAGGAGGATTTCAGATAATATTCAAATGTCTTTTCAATGGTCTTTCTGCGTCCAAACTAATTTCAATTCAAAACACACACTGCTTCATGCATGGTGAGATAGAACTGCTTCTCTCAGGATGTCACCTCACTCAAACTGTTACTGTCTCTCAAGGCAACATTAACATAGGAAAACCCACAGTACTGACCTCCACACCCTGTCTCCCAACCTTACAATTTGTATCACAAACAGTGATGGAAGAAGAAAGAGAATAAAGAATAAATTAAGGGGATAGATGAATGTAAAAGTGAAGATTAGAAAGATGAAGTAAAGAACAGAGAGGTCTTTCTGGGGATAGAGGGACCCCGAAGAAGAAGAGCTGCTGGTTTCAGAAGAACAAAATTGTGGTCACCTCATCTCAAAAAGGGTCACTTATTTCCTTTATGGGTCCCATATTTCCTTTATGGGTCCCTTCCTGCCACCCCTTCTGTCTGAAACTCATTTTCGTGTTATCCTTTTGTCCTTCCTTCTATAAACTAAAAATAAAGACCCAAGCAACAATGCTCCACCCCCCACCCCACCCACTGACTGGGCCCACTTATGGCCAAGAGGACCCCAGAAAATCCTTAAAAGTGAGTTCCTTGCTTTTACACTGTTGGTGGGAGTGTAAATTAGTTCAACCATTGTGGAACACAGTGTGGTGATTCCTCAAGGATCTAGGACCAGAAATACTATTTGACCCAGCCATCCCATTACTGGGTATATACCCAAAGGATTACAAATCGTTCTACTATAAAGACACGTGCACATGTATGTTTATCACAGCACTATTTACAATAGCAAAGACTTGGAACCAACCCAAATGCCCATCAATGATAGACTGGATAAAGAAAATGTGGCACATATACACCGTGGAATACTATGCAGCAATAAAAAAGAATGAATTCATGTCCTTTGCAGGGCATGGATGAAGCTGGAAACCATCATTCTCAGCAGACTAACACAGGAATAGAAAACCAAACACTGCATGTTCTCACTCATAAGTGGGAGTTGAACAATGAGAACATATGGACACAGGGAGGGAACTTCACACATCGGGGCCTGTCAGGGGGGTAGGGGGCAAGGCAACGTAGAGCATTAGGACATATACCCAATGCATGCGGGCTTAAAACCTAGATGATGGGTTGATGGGTACAGCAAACCACAATGGCACATGTATACCTATGTAACAAACCTGCACGTTCTGCATATGTATCCCAGAATTTAAAGTAAAATTAAAAAAAATCACACAAAACAAAAAAACTGAGTTCCTGGCCATGATGGGATGGGAGATCAGAGGCCTTGTTACATCCCTTCCCTTTGGTGGTTCAGACACAACAATTGGCCGGCATTACTGTTAAAATAGAGATCGTAAGACAGGCAGAACAGACGCTTTGTGGCAACAGGGTGCCAAATTATAAACAGGGCCCAAGGCCATTCCAGGCAAGGGTTAAGTCACACATCCGTAAACTTAAAGAATCAACTACATTTTAACTGCCAGGAGGTTACTCTTTTTCTCTAGCAGCTAAACAAGCACTGGCCCTGAAATAAGCAATATGGAAGCAATTGCAGCTCAGCCACCTCCAAACACTGACTAAGCCCTGCTGCTCCACCAGCCATAACTATAGCTTTAATTGGACAAAACACTGATTTCAGTAACTTTCTCCGGTAAGACGACCACCAACTGTGGACTGGATCTGGGCAGTTTACAGTGGGTGCACACTTGCCTGCCTTACTGTCCTGAAAAGACCTTTTGACGTATAGGGCCTAATTGTAATACATTTAAATGTTAAGTCTCCACCCCAAACTGAACATGGGTCATATGTTACACGCATGTTTATTCAATATACATGTGTCAGGACCACCCTCATGAATATTTGTAGTTCTTCCTGTAACCTGTTGAATATGTATGTTTAGCCAGCCTGTTCAGCATAAAGCTCCCACCCCAACCCTTTCTCCTTCAAAGTGTCCGTCTCTGGGCTTCAACCAAGGCCTGTGTTGCCCAGCCCTCGGGGTGGCCACCTTACAGGTGGCAGCTCTTTACAAGAAATAGTCTCCTCTCCTTTTCCAAACTTTATGAGTGTTGTTTTTTTTTTTTGAGACAGAGTCTCACTCTGTCGCCCAGGCTGGAGTGCAGTGGCGCGATCTCCGCTCACTGCAAGCTCCGCCTCCCGGGTTCACGCCATTCTCCTGCCTCAGCCTCCCCCGTAGCTGGGACTACAGGCGCCCGCCACCACACCCAGCTGATTTTTTTTGTACTTTTAGTGGAGACGGGGTTTCACTGTGTTAGCCAGGATGGTCTCGATCTCCTGACCTCGTGATCCACCCGCCTCGGCCTCCCAAAGTGCTGGCATTACAGGCGTGAGCACCGCGCCCGGCCCTGAGTTTTTAAATTGTTGTTAACATTTCCTTCTTTCCTTCCTTTACTTCCCTCTCCTCTTTTTCTTTTTCCCTCCCTCACTTCCTCATTCCTTCCTTTTTTTCCTTTTTTCTTTCTTTTTTGAGAAGCGCCAAACTCTCCTGTAATGGTAGAGAAAAAGAGGATCACTTAGGAGTTTCGATGGTTTAATTTCTGGGCTAGTTCAGATATGTCAATGTTTTTAGTATCAACAGTCCTAAGGACATTTTGCTTTTTTCACCAGAAGCTGTTTTTTAATTAAGTTAACGTTGTCTACTGTCTCACTGTTGATTTTCATTTTTTTTTTTTAAATCATGTAAGATCTTCCTGTAAGCAACTTCAGAATATCCTCTTTTCACATTTAAGGCTGCAGTAATTAGACCCAGATTTGCTGAGCCTGTGGGAATCCTACAACCAAAGTGATCTTAATGGCATTTTAATGTTTGAACTCTTCTGTTCTTATGTGCGAGGTTACCAAGCAGATAAAAGAAGTGGCTTTGACATCCTGGTGCTTATTAGAGTTTAGAAAATGCCCTTTAAGGGTGAAAGGTTTGTGAGTTTTTCTTTACTAAATGAGAAACAGTGAAACCAGCAAACCTGTATCAGTACTCACAATGTATTTTGCGTTTTTGGTCTCTTTATACTTCAGATACTTTGAGATATTCTTGGGTAAATACTTATGTAAGAGGATTTTATGAATGACAGCACCTTGATTTTATGAATGACAATACCTTGTAAATCAGGAAACAGTAAAAAAAAAAAAAAGTGTTCAATGGTTTGTAATAGGAGAGATTTTGTATCTTCAAAGGAAAGGTATGTATTTTGCAAATTAAAGACAAGGTGGTATTTGGGGTTTGAGAAGACTTTGCATGAGATTACTTTATAAAGCCTTATAAAAACACCCAGTTCACAGATGCCAATTTTATTGGTATTACCTCCATGTGATTTATGATAGATGATCAAATGAAGAAAAAGCTAAAACAGATTAACCAAAGCATGAAATCATTATTGTCTCAGGCTGTTACCTCACTTAAATTTTCTCCAGTTTTAGGGGTCCAAGAACTGTCACCTGGACTATCGCTGGAGGATATATCCTATTCCCCAAATCCTACAAACTTCACTTTCAATTCAATAATAAAATTCTTTGCTGGTTGTTTCCTTTGACCCATCCAATTCTTTTCTAAGTGCGAGATAATTTCTAAGCAGAGACCCACTTTGTTATTCTTGTAGAACCAGTCCATTAGCTCAGTAATATTTCCCTCCTGATAATTACACAGCACCTGTTTATGTCACTGCATTCATGGAGCACTCATTGTGTGCAAAGCATTATGCCAGGACTGTAGGACTTCAAGATACCCAGGACAGTCCTTGAGTTGCTGTTCTCTTTTGGAAAGTCTGCAAAATGAATCAATAAGTGATTTCAATACAATGGTGTGATAGCGATGTAACAGATTCCTGGGGAAGCTACAAGGGCAGACTCACAGTTGAGTTGGGACCTTAAAATGCAGGTCTTGAGTGGTGTATTAGTCTGTTCTCATGCTGCTAATAAAGACCTACCCAAGACTGGGTAATTTATAAAGGAAAGAGGCTTAATTGACTCACTGTTCCACATGGCTGGGGAGGCCTCACAATCATAGCGGAAGGCGAATAAGGAGCAGAGTCACATCTTATACGGCAGCAGGCGAGAGAGTTTGGGCAGGGGAACTCCTATTTATAAAACCATCAGATCTCGTGAGGCTTATTCACTACCACGAGAACAGTATAGGGAAAACTGCACCCATGATTCAATTATCTCCACCTGATCCTGCCCTTGACATGTGGGGATTATTATAATTTAAGGTGAGAGTTGGGTGAGGACGCAGCCAAACCATATCAACTGGAAATACGACTGCGGGTATCAGTCCACAGCTGAAGGTTGAGATCACCGATTTACCTAAGAGTAGGGGATAGAGCAGGAGGAAGAGAGGTTTGGGGAAGCTCAACATTTACTGAGTGAATGAAGGAAGAAGAATATCGGGAAGCTCCAGGAAAGAAGTTGTCAGGGAGATGGAGGAAGGACCAGTGTTGTTCCAGAATCTTCACTTCCCATCCCAGATCCATCCACATGGAGCTGATATGCCTCTCCTTACTGCTGCTAGTTCCACCTCCTTTCCTCTTGTGAATTCTTCAAGAAGAACGGAAATGTTTGCTTCCACTGTGCAAGTCCCCAGATTGGTTAACATTCTCTGTAATGAAGGATTCTGTCTTGAGTGGCCTCATGAATATGAAGCACTGTATGTCATTGTGTCTTTTGGGTCCATGCCCTTAAGAAAGGCTATTTTTTCTTAGATGTGGGATATCATTACAATTACCTTCTACAGAAACTAGGGCTGCTCATTTCTGATTAGCAATAAATATCTTTAAAGAATGGTGCACAGTTTGGAGAAAATTTGAACAAGTAAACATACCTGTGAACAGTTAGATATCTTTCCTATTTAACTCACAACTTTCTCAGTCACTGCTCAATGTGATACTCATTTTCACACAAGTTTATGAAGAATTAATTCATTCTGATATGGTGTTACTCCTCAGTATTTTTTGTTATCAAATAATCCTAAACCAATTTTTCTAGGTGTTAATGACCTTGTAACTTTTCTTTTGCTTTCATTTGCCCCAATTATCACGGTATCAGGGAAGGTCTGACTACATCATATTGTAAACTCTTTGAGAATTGGTACCCTTCTTTTACTTCTTTGTACTTACTTAATCCTCTCTATGGAAAATGATCCATAAATATATATTGATAAAACAATTGGTTACAACTTGTCAGTGAAATGAACAGTTAGCATTCCCAAGATCCCAATTTTTTCTCAGCCTGCTGCTCCGTTTTTAGACCCAATAGAAATGGAAAAACAAAATCATATCCTAAGATATGCTGATTAGTGTGAACATCCCAAAAGGGTCTTTTTCCAATAAGAAAAGAACCTCATACAAATTTTACCAATCGCTATAAGGATTTTCCCCCCGTTGGATGTGTTAAAAAAAAAACTGCACAATGTTGGCCTTCATCATTGAAATTCACTATTTTTGGGTATGAAGAGAACTAACTGAGTCAAAAGCCTGTCTCATTTTAAAGACAGTCCATCCTTTTCAGAAAACTTACCCTTTAAACTTGGTTAACTTAAACAGAGTGGGTTAAATAAAATTTGAAATAGAGATATAAACATATTTCCCACTATTAACTAGTGTGTGTGAATATCCTCTAAGTAAATTCTTCATTAACCTAGGCATGCATGGGAACTGGAGTCCAGGGGGCCCAGAGGGGGTGATGTCTGTGTGTGTTTCCTATTGCTGCTGTCACAAACTACCAAACGCATTGAGTCTGCAGACAACACACATTGATTATCCTACAATTCTGGACATCAGAAGCCGCAATTAAGTCATAAGGGGGAAGAAATGTGTTGGCAGGACTGCACTCCTCCTGCAGGCCCTGGGGAGAATTCATTTCCTTTCCTTTTCCAGTCCTAGAGGCCGGCTCCATTCCTTTGTTCATAACACCATTCAGTGAACAATCCCAGCACGCCCAGCTCTGCAGACATCACCGCATCTCTGTCTGACTCTGGCCCTCTCCACTCCCTCTCAGAAGGACACTTGTGGTCACATTTGGCCCATTGGCTAATCCAGGATTACACCCCCATCTCAAGATCTCTAATTTAACGACATCTGCAAAGCCCCTTTGCCATATAAGGTCAGGTAGTCAAAGGTTGTGGGGACTAGGGTGTAGCATCTTTGAGGAGCTGTTATTCAGCCTTTAGCACAAAGGGTGTCTGGCTGGTAGAAGGTCCTCTGCAGCCCAGAGGGTCTGGCTGACTCTATTCTCCGTTTCCCCACTTTTCTTTCCAATGTGCCACATTTCTTCATTTCTCTCCTCTCCTACCTTTTATTTTGCATGTGCCCTGTTCTTAGTCATTGCAAAAGGACCAAGGCAGGAGTAATGAATATATACCTTTAATACATCAAGGGGATATACAGCCTGTACATGATAACATGAGCTCTCAATTCTGGATGAGTTATGAAATGAGATAGGGGAAGACACAAGGGATTGTGGCAGCCTGAAATATGCCCCATTGTGCACTCAGCAACAGGCATGATAAGCAGCTCAATGCCACGTCTTCATCACAGTCCCAGAGTAAATGTGTTTTATTGATTTTTATGTTTAAAAGTCTCATCTACTCAAGTAGTGTGTTTAATGCTACAAGTACAACAAAAATAAGTTAAAACTCTAACAGGCAAAACAAGTCTTACAATATATTGAAAAAGCTGCAGCAATTTGTTTAACTATTTGCAAGTTTATTTATACAGTAGTTGACTTTTCAGTTATCCTTTTGGTTTCTCCTAGCTTTTAGTAAACAATATAAGTGCTCTTGTCCAATTTAAGGATGATCACTTTGAAAACCATACAAAGGTTTGGTGCTGGGAGAATTTCTTCCCACAGCGATTACTTGAAGATGTGAGTTTCTATTGGAAGGTGAAAGACCACTGTTGATAAAAGTTTAAAAAAATCATTTACATTTAAATTTAAATTGAGAGATGCTTGTCCCATTAGCAATAATTTTTATAGAGCAAGTAAATCTTCATTTATCTATCATCCCCAAAGTTTATTCTAAGCACAATTGTAAAGCATTTCCTGGATGGGCACAGTGGCTTACGCCTGTAATCCTAGCACTTTGGAAGGTGGAGGCAGGCAGATCAACTTGAGGGCAAGAGTTCAAGACCAGCCTGGCTAACATGGTGGAACACCATCTCTACTAAAAATACAAAAAAATTAGCTGGGTGTGGTGGTGCAAGCCTGTAATCCCAGCTACTTGGGAAACTGAGGCATGAGAATTGCTTGAGCCTGGAAAGCAGAGGTTGTAGCGAGCCAAGATTGTGCCACTGCACTCCAGCCTGGGTGACAGAGTGCTACTCTGTCTCAAAGAAAAAAAGCATTTTCCCACCTCCCTTTCCTGTTCTTCTGGCCTCCTTGTTTACCCCTAATTCACGCTTTGCTGGTACCTAGTGCTATTGTGCACTTCCCAGCCTCTCCAGAGACTCCTGGTGCAGAGCCTCAGCTGGGCTAGCCCTCCTTACCCCCTGCTTCCTTCCAGAATCTTCCATGAAACTTCAAAGATCTTTTCTTCAGAGGACTGTCATCAGGTCCCTACCAGTTATCCCACGTCAGACAACCTGATTTTTGTGAAGGCACTGGTATGCTTCTGTCATCCTCTCTGGAATGGCTGGAAATACAGGACTTTAACTAGAATTCCCAGTGTGAATTCTTTAGAACACAAGTTTCCTAGCAGGTGAATAGTTGCCACATAAAAAAATAGGTTCAGTTACCAAATAAATCTTGGAAATTTGTAGTGTGCATTGGCACATGTGAGAATAAAATACTCCAAATAACTTATTTAAGGTCACTTAACACAATATTTCCCATCATACCATCTACAGGACCAGGGGACCTGAGACCTCGTCAAGAATAAAGGGTCTTTAAAGATGAACCATCATCCTCAGTAATGGACAGGAAACCATTTTGGAAAGCATCAGCACAAAGCAAAGCAGAGAAGTTGCTCAGCTGGTGTTTGGGATTGAAAGCCTTTAACAGCAAGGGCAAGAACACTCAACTCAAATGCAGGTGGAAGAAGGGAGACCGTTGGTTCACTTATTATAAAATGTAAGAGTAGATTTGTTTCAGCTGGGGCTTGGCCTCCACTAACAAATGTTAGGAAAGTCAACTCAAACTTTAGCAGAAGAAGGAAAATTCTTGGGTTGTTTACTAAAAATCCCAAAATGAGGATAGGCCGAGGCATTCTAACATAGTCATTGGGGACTGGTGTTTTTCTATCTCCTGGCTCTGACTTCTGCCTCTTTGATTTCATTCTCAGGACCCCAGGTGGTGTCTTTGCCAGCTCTGAACTCACATCTTCCTCACTGCAAAGGAAAAGTCAGAAAAGTCTTCTTGCATTTCACTGATTCTGCTGATTGGATGACATAATCCTCTCTGAACCCATCATGGTGGCCAGGGAGATACCATACTCTGATTGGTCAAGTCTGAGTCCTGGGACCAGGGCAAGGGCCAACTCCACCCAATGCACATGGTCAGAAGATAGGCAAGATAGTGGTCTGCAAGAGAAAAATTGTGGCATTATTACCAGAAGTAGAGTGAATGGGTTTTTGGTGGCTGGAATACAACTGCAGCTGAGAGGAAACCATTAGCCAGCATGTGGTTTTGTCTTTATGTATTTAAAGCAATTCAGTTTTACAGGATTAAAGAATTAGCAGGTTAGTGGTGCAGATAATCAAGATGCCTGCAGTTATTATAGAAAATGCTAGATAAAGAAGATGTCCCCAGAATATGAAGCAAAGTTTAGCCTCTGAAAATGTGACTATCCAAAATTCACCTCATAGAGTATTCATCAGTGCTCTGTTCCTTAGTAAGTTGGTTTCCTTAAGGGTAAGGACTTTATCTCCACCTCCCTGTTACTCAGCATAATACTTTGTGCTGAAGAACTTGTTAGAAGACCATTCTTCACTGAATTAATGAATAAATTTGCAGATATAATTTAAGATGATATTTTTAAAATATATGTCCTGGGGTGCTTGGAAAACACCCCTGTCCAGTAAAAAGGGAATGTTTTTTGGACCATACTGTGCTAACAGGGAAAATCGGTAACCTAATAAGTTGTTCTGAACGTGTCTGAAGGCTATGGGAAAGCAAAATCTTGGTCTAGGAGAAGTCTAGGAAGGGAGAACAAAGAGCTGGGGCTTTACAAAATCAATGGGAGAGGGGCCCTGTGCAGCTGTCTAAGTCTGGTCAGCCTGCTATAGACTGGCAGGCTTATAAACAATAGAAATTACTTCTCACAGCTCTGGAGGCTGGAAGTCCAAGGCCAGGATGGCAGCATGGTTGAGTTCTGGTGAGGGTGCCCTTCTGGGTTACAGACGGCTGACTTCTCACTATAACCTCACAGGACAGTGGGAGTGAGGGGCTTCCATTGGTATACATATATAGGCACTGATGCCACTCGCAAGGGCTCTGCTTCTGTGACCTAATCACCCCCCAAAGGCTCTACCTCCTAACACCATCACCTTGGGATTTCAATATATAGATTTTGGGGGGACACAAACTCAAACTAGCTTAATTCTGTGTAGCTTTCTTCTCTCCTGTATCTGACCCACAAATTCAAGCCTCCCTGGTCTCCCCAAACTTTGGGTTCTCTCTCTCTTCAACTCAGCAAGGTACTGCTTGAGGTTCCCTCCCTGTCCCCCATGTAGTGTGCTGTTGAGACCACAAGGCTTGGCTCATCTTGTTTCCTTCCACTCAGGGACCATAGTCCTGTGCAGCCCTTTGTGCAAACCCTTTTACTGCATCCATTTTCTCCAGTTCTCTGCATGTTCAAGGTGAGAGGGGAAATCTGGCTCCTGTTACTCCATCTTGGCCTTTGACACGTGCAGTGAATACATTGTGCCTGGCTGCGAGTGCAGGCCTAAGGAGGACACGTGGAATGGACAGAGGAAGGAGGGAAGATACAACTGGCTCCAGAGTTCTGACTGCTGGACACCATCCTCACAGCTTCTCCTGGTTCTCTGATGAATGACAATGGCTAAATGTAATTTGAATCCCCAAGATGTCCTAGTGGACATTTATCACATTTTCTGGAGGTGGGGCATTGTTAGGACATATTTGCTTTAGTCTAAGTCCAGTCTTCCCAAGGCAGAGACCAGAACATTTGGATCCTGAGTGGTCACTAAGTCAGCGATGCAGGCATGTGACCTGGGCTCCAACCATCAGCTTCTGCCCTGAGGCCTTTCAGTTGAGTGACTTGAGGAATGTGGCTCTGGGCAGAATCCATTCTCTCAGGACAGGTGGTGGCACAGCTGTCTCGCAAGACCCTCTGTCTTAATCCATTTGTATTGCTATAAAGAAATACCTGAGGCTGAGTAATTCATAAAGAAGAGGTTCATTTGGCTCACAGTTCTTCAGGCTGTACAAGAAGCATAGTGCCAGCATCTGCTTCTGGTGAAGTTTTAGGTTGCTTCCACTCATGGTGGAAGGCGAAGGGGAGCCAGTGTGTGCAGAGATCATATGGCGAGATAGGAAGCGAGAGAGGCAGGCGAGGGAACTAATAGACCAAGAACTCACTCACTCTCCTCACCCCAAGGAGGACATTAATGTATTCCTGAGGAATCTGCCCTACTACCCACAGTCCTTATTAGGTGATGCCTTCAACATTAGAGATCAGAGTTCAACATGAGATTTGAAAGGGTCAAGCAAATCAAATTATAGTACCCTCCCTGGGCAAAAGTGGGTTGATGTGGACTGAGGCTACCATGCTGTTTCCTCTGGCACCCAGAAGACAACAGCAGAGGCTTGGCTCCCTGGCCAGGCAGCTCACGGCTGGATTTTAGCCACTGTGCCCAGAACCTTAGCTTTTGGTCTGTTTCACCAGCCATCCCAACAATTCTGTAAAAGTACCTCCTTGTTCTTCTTCATCAACCGGAGTTGGCTGAATTCCACTCTTATTTGGAAGACTTATTGTCTTGGTTGTATTATTATTTGACTAAGTAGCAAATGACTGGCAAAGAGATAACTGAAAAATAGGATGTAATTTTATCAAATAAAGAAAGTCTACATTTAAATAGCTGCTTCCAAGTAGATGTAGGTCCTCATTTATAAGCCATCTATGTACATCATAGACCAATGCTGAAGACCAGAGGAGAGCAAAGGCATTAATTATTCCAAGACTTATCTCTTTCTATTGTCAACTGTAACATTTTTCCACTGGAAATAAAATCTTCTATTAGTCTAGTAATTGTTTCTGAATATTTTAATGACCTGTGTCAGCACTATACAAACCATATATTTTCTGAACAAGTTTCTAGGCTTCACAAGCATTTCCGGAGATGGACATTAGTAATCAAGGTATAGGATGTACTAAGCTGACAAATGGTTTTCTCTAATAGAAGGCTTGGAAATAGCATCTGATTTCATTAATTTTATAACTTCTCATTCATTTACATTTGTAAGTTGAACATGTACCCGCTATGCTTCAATTCATTCTTTTGAAAGAAATGCACAGACCAGGGTCATTGTTATGGATAAATGTGCACCTTTTAAAAACAGCATGGGTAGTTGTGGCTTAGAGTGGAAATAATGATGTCAACTGAGCCACCAGGATGATGCATGCCCCAGGAGTCAACTAGATAAGATGTGGTCATGGAAGATATGAAATTCTATCTTAATAAAGCACCATCAAGTCCTTGTCTTTTAAACATAAAATAACTTATTCCCAGTCGGTGATAGAAAGCATATCACTTGGAGTTTCTGGTAGGAGTTGCTTTAGAGTGGAAGCATATATTCAAATTTTGAATGGTATACTTCGCTCCTCACCAATATTACTTGGTGACATTTGTATGGACAGGCAAGAAGCTACTTTGTTATGCAAACCTTTGAAAGGGGATGAGAGAGAATAAAAAAATCAACAACCAAATAAATGAATGGGCTATGAACATAATAGGTGAGACATTGAACTAGCTGTTGTTTATCCTGGCAAGAAGTTGAGAGTGTTTTTAAAATAGTATCTAAATCCAAAACCAAGCCATTGTAACAAGAAAGAAAAGCCTCATTGGGCTTTTTGTGGTGTGTGAAGCAAAACTGTAGATATAGAGAATAAATTCACTAGAAGAAACCTTGGAAGTGCATTTAGTTCAATGCTCTCATTCTGTCAATGGGGGAAACTGAGGCCCAGCCAAGAAAGTGATCTACCCAAGGTCGCTTATTAGTTAGTGGGAAAGTGCTATAGACTTAATGTTTGTGTCCCTCTGAAATTCATATGTTGAAATTCTAACTCCTGAGGTGATGGTATTAGAAGGTGGGACCACTGGGGGATGACTAAGTCATGAAGGTGGAGGTCTCTTGCATGAGAGTAGAGCCCTCATAAAAGAGACCACAGAGAGCTCTCTCCTCCCTTTCTGCCATGTGAAGGTAGAGTGAGAAGACGGCCATCTATGAACCAGGAAGCAGGTTGTCGTCAGACTCCAAAACTGCCATGGCCTTGATCTTGGACTTCCCAGCCTCTAGAACTGTGAGAAATAAATGTTGTTTAAGCCACCCAGTCTATGTCATTTTTGTTATAGCAACCCAAACAGGCTAAGACAGAGCATGTAAGTTTAGAAGACTGTGTCAAAGGATGGAGCACTGTGAAAACTTTACCATTTGATCCAGCAATCCCACTACTGGGTATCTACCCAGAGGAAAAGAAGCCATTATTCAAAAAAGATACTTGCACATGCATGTTTATAGCAGCACAATTCACAATTGCAAAAACGTGGAACCAACCGAAATGTCCATCAATCAACTAGTGGATAAAGAAACTGTGGTATATATGATGGAATACTACTCGGCCATAAAAAGGAATGAATTAATGGCATTCGCAGCAACCTGGATGATTGGAGACTATTATTCTAAGTGAAGTAACTCAGGAATGAAAAACCAAGCATCCTATGTTCTCACTCATAAGTGGAAGCTAAACTATGAGGATGCAAAGGCATAAGAATGACACAATGAACTCTGGGGACTCGGTGGGTAAGGGTCGGAAGGGTGTCAGAGATAAAAGACTACAAATTGTGTGCAATGCATACTGCTTGGGTAATGGGTGCACCAAAATCTCACAAGTCACCACTAAAGAACTTACTCATGTAACCAACACTACCTCTTCCCCAATAACCTATGGAAATAAACTTTTTTAAATAAATAAATAAGAGTTAGTTACATGAAAAAAAGATGCTAATACCTACATAATGTGCCCATCGTGATGAGTAAAAATCTAGGGAATATTTGCAAAGTAAGGAGCTCCCAGCTCCTCCATGCTGTAGGCAGCAAGGTGAGCAATATTCTCCAGGGATAATTGTTTTAATAGGAAAAGTTGCCTGGGTTTCCATAGACCTGAATGGGCACTCTCCTATTGAACACAGGACCTGAATAAAACCCTATAATGATAGGCTTTTGCACTAACAGCCCCCTCAATGCTGGATCAAGATGCAAAAAGGCATGGCTGAAATGAGATGACATCCAAATGCAATTAAAAAGATCAAAGGCATAGATGCAAGAAGAGAGTGCCTGATAAAAATAATTTTTATTTGCAAAATCAAAAACAAACAAAACCCTCCCCAAACAAAAAAAAGACCTAGAGTTTTAGTTGATTCAAGCTTACGGTGCACCAAGGGTGTGATGTGATTGTCCTATAAACTGAAAGAAAACTTAGGCTGAATTAATCGGACTCAGTGTCCAAAAGCCCTAGAGGAAGTAACAAATAGGGGGTATAGATTCAAGTTCAATATAACAGGGAACTTTCTTGCTATTTATTGTGTTATTAGATTGGGCTGATAATTTGGTGTGCATTTCTGGAAGGTTGTGAACAGCTGGGTGAACATCTGTCAAAGAGGCTGCAAACTTGATTCTGCTTTTGACAAGGTGACCCCCAGCTCCACTCTAACTCTAGGGTGTAAGTCTAAAGTCTAGCTTTACTCTCCAAGTCCCACCACATACTGTGTGACCTTAGACAAGTTATGAAACCTCTCTGAGTCTCTTTTCCTTGGCTTTAAGATCAGGAAGATTAAATATATCTCTCAGAAATTATTTTAAAAAATCAGTTTAAGATATGTAAAGCAAAGCCCCTGGTATAGTGCCTGGTACATAATAATTTTTAAAAATATTTGTGTTGTCAGAACTGTCCATTCTTCCATTTATAACAACTCATTCAGGGATGAGCGTGTGAATCCCATAACAATTAATGAGATAGACTGTGATTTCCACCAAGGCTTCGTGGAGTTCTTCTTGCTTAATGGATTTAAGGCTGAGACGGCACTTCCTAGAGATCCTATTACATCTGAACTCTGAGATTAGGACCAGGACAGCTGCAGACAAAGGCAAGAGCCAGAGAGAAACAAGCCTGTGAGGACTTTGGTCCACCATGCCTAAAGCTTGATGACTTCTAGGCTTCTCATTTACATGTGTCAATTAATTCCATTTTGCTTCCTGCAGGGTTTCAGAAAAACTTAACTAAAGAATTGTGACAGATGCAGTCCTGGAGAAAGACATTCTCGTATCCTTACAGTTTTATTATTGTTGCTCCCATGCAAAGCCCCAACTTGGCAACAACTTTTCCTTTCTTCCATGCATGGAGCTATGAAGCCACCATGGGCACTACTTTTCTTAATTATCTACCTCTTCTTACAGCCCGGGGCAGACAACTTGACACATCGAGGACACATTGACCTGAAAAGTCTATTGTTGTTTTTGGCAGCTCTCAGCTTACAGATCATACCTTTAAAACCACAGCTGTGTCTTCTTTAGTTCACCCTCGAGGTGCCAAAAGCCTAATCAATAATGAATAGCCATGATGTCTTCAAACTGACTTTAGCATCTGGCCTGAGGAGGGGCACACCAAGTCTGGGTCTCATGGCAAGCAAAAGTTGGAACGAAAATAGAAATGCTGAGGCAAGCTCAATCACAATGTAGATTCACCAGAGGTTCTCTTCTTTGAATGTTACATTTCTGCCATCACCTGCTTGCTAGTTAAATTAACCGTCAAAACCTGCGACAAATTGTGGCAAGGCTGAAGTGAACTAACATGGAAGCTCCATGACCATCACTGAACAAGGTTGTTGAAGCCACAGCTCTGACACTTTCTGATGTCAGCTTGTCTGAATGACCCCTGGAGATTCTTCTGACAACCTCCAAGGAGGCCATGGGTCTATTGATGGACACGAATCTGAATTTTAGTGGCCAAGCTGCTGGAGGAAGAGTTTTAAGGGCCTAGTGGTTTCCATAGATACGAGTCATTCAATGCTGATGTTCTTCCCAGAGGTGCCTCTTTCTTCTGTTAGTGTTGTATAGTCCCCTTGCAAAAGCAGCAAGGACCCTTACCCCAAATTTAGTTCAGGTATGGAGGTTGATGACTCTCCATGCACAAAAGTGTTTGAGAGAAGGTTTATTGCTCACACAAGGGACTCTCTGGTAGAACTGAGCAGGTGCCAGCAGGCCCGGGGTTGGCTCAGGCAGAGTGGAAGAATGGGCTTGGGCCTTCAAATAAGTGGCTAAGAGCCCAGCACATGCTCACTGGATTTAGGGCCCAGTGAAATCCAGTTTGACTTAATCTCTCACCTTGATTACATCTGCAGAGATCTATTCCCAAATGAGGGCACATTCTGAGCTTCTGGGTGGACATGAATACTTGGAAGAAACAGTTCAACCCAGTCCACAAAGTGAAAGCACTTCATTATCACTTCTGAAAAATCACCTTTATCACACTTACCATATTGCTGAATTTCTGCTTCCCCAAATGGGACTGGAAAGAACCTTCACAGGCTCATGGGATTCCCAGGAAAGTTTGACCCTGGAAGAGGATTGAGACCTAAAGAATGGATTTGCTCAAAGCAGAGCTGAGACGGGGAAGCGGTGGAACAGGGATGCCACCTCTTCAGCCCTCACCTGAGGGCAACACTGGCTGGGGGTGGAGAACCTTAGTGTCCCATACTGGCCTGTTTTCCCAGCAGAGACACAGCTGAGTCAGCAACAGTGAGTGTGACATTTGGAAGCATCATGGCCTCAGGATGAGTGTGGTCACCAGTGCTGTTAAATATAGTTCTCATGGCTGGTGCCCCATTAAGACAGATTTGATGCTTGGTGACACATTCAATTTGAAAATTTCCCACAGTTAGGCTGGATTCAGTGGCATCCCCCTTTGATTCCTGTGGGGCTGCCATAACAAAGTACCACAGGCTGGGTGCTTAAACAACAGATATGTATTTTCTCACAGTTCTGGAGGCTGGAAGTCCAAGATCAAGGCGCTGTCAATGTTGATTTCACTCTGAGGCCTCTCTTTCTGGCTTGCAGATAGCTGTCTTCTCACTGTGTCCTCACATGGGCTTTCCTATGTCCCTATATATGTTCAAGTGTTTTTTTTTTTCTTATAAAAACACCAGTCCTGTGGGATTAGGGCTCCCTCTAATTACTTTGTTTTAACTTAATTACCTCCTTAGAGGTAATTTAATAGGGTCACATTCTGAACTACTGTGGCCCGGGACTTCAACACATGAATTTGCAGGAGACACAGTTAAGCCCATATCAATCCCTTCCACACATTTGTGTTGAGTGAGCAAAGTGCATGCCTTCCTTTGTTACACATTTCTGTCTCTGAAAGTTATGACTGTCTGTCAAGGAAGGGTCTAGACTTTAGATGGCAGGGCCATGAGGCACAGCCAGGCTGAGAGCTCAAAATCGTGACTCAGTTCAGCGTGTGGGGTGCACGAATGCTGAGGGGTGGGAGCTGAGGTGCAGCACTGACAGTTTCTTGACTTTTCCCTTAGAGAATCCCAGTCTTCAGGGGGTCTTTTCAAGACATTTATACCTTGACTTCCATCCGTGCTGGAAACGTTTACCCACCTTTGCAATTGGCAGGCCAGGTTGCAAATAAACCTACTTCTAAGCATGAGACTCAAAAATACGAGGGACTCTGTTATAACTGTAATTCCAGTTACAGAGAAGAACTTAATATAAGATAGATTATTTGAGGGCCTTGTTCTAGGAATGTATATACAGCAAGAAGCTATTTTAATCCCAGCTCTTTGGGAGGCCGAGGTGGGTGGATCACCTGCGGTCAGGAGTTCAAGACAAACCTGGCCAACATGGTGAAACCCTGTTTCTACTAAAAGTATAAAAATTAGCTGGGTGTGGTGGTGGGTGCCTGTAGTCCCAGCTACTCAGAAGGCTGAGGCAGGAGAATCACTTGAACCTGGGAGGCAGGGGTTGCTGTGAGCCGAGATCGCCACTGCTCTCCAGCCTGGGCGACAGCAGTGAAACTCCGTCTCAAAAAAAAAAAAAAAAAAAAAAGGAGAGTGTTTTGTTGTTGTTGTTTTTTCTATAGACTCTGATGATGATGCTATTGCAAAAGCCAGGTGTGGAAGACAGAATAATAGTCCTTCAAAGATGTCCACATTCCAATCTCCAGAACCTGTATGTTATCTTACATGGCAAGAGGGACTTTGCAGATGGGGTTAAAGAACATAAGGTGGGGAAATTATCCTGGATTATCTGGGTGGACCCAGTGTAATCAGAAGGGTCCTTATAAAGGAGAGAGGGAAAAAGGAGACAGGGGTGGGGGAGTAGAAGAGAGAAGGAGTTTTAGCCATGCTACATGGCTGGATTTGAAGATGGAGCCAAGGAAAACAGGCAGCTTGGAAAAGACAAGGAAACAGATCCTTCCTTAAAGCCCCCATAGGGGCACAGCCACATAGCCCTGCCATCCCATCTTGGACCTCCAGAACTGGAAAATAACACATTTCTGTTTTAAGCCATGAAATCTGTAGTAATTTTTTACAGCAGCAATAGGACACTAAAACCTCAGGGTAATTAAGTTACTGTATCTTGAGCAGCCAGAAGTAACTTGGTAACATTATCACTGAACAATTGCCTCAGCATCTTCAAGGTGCAAACAGTGGCCTATTTTTTTATTTTTCTAAAACAAGAAATGCACCATCTGTCAATTTAATGGCTACCTTTCCCTCATCTGAGTTGATCCAGCATCTGAGGCTTACAGAGTCCAGCAGAAACGGGGTCCCAGGTTCATAATCTACACTTGTTCTAAATGCTGCTGTCCCTGGGCTGAGCTGGGCAGGGTGTTACACTGCCCACCCCTTTACCAATCCCTCTTCTACACATCACCTTTCCTCAATTCCTCCTAATATGCTTCACCTTGGAGACCTCCCTCCTTCCTCCACATCCCCTGCAACACACTGATGCTCTTTTCCCTACTCCAAGAACCTACTACTGGCATCCCTCTAAAGCCCACCTCTCCCTCTAGGTATGGCCATCTGGCTCCATCTCATGTCTACTCTTGCATGGATGACAGCCATCACATCCCTCCATCCAGAAAACAGTCTCCTTCAGGTACTAGAATGTATCCACCTTGGAGAGCTTTGGGTGGTTATTAACAACACTGGTTTTCTCATTATATTTGTTTCCAAAAACTTTTATATAATGCCTCTTACGTGGTAACTTCAGTGATTGTGGGCTAACTGAATGAATGTTAATAATATACATTAGATGTGGCTGTTTGAGGTATTTCATGGTTCCATATGAATTTTAGAATTATTTTTTCTATTTCTGTGAAAAATGTCATTGAGATTTTGATAGGAATTTTATTGAAACTGTAGGTTGTTTTCTTGAAAAGTAGCAAAACTGGAGGCATCAAACTTCCTGATTTCAGAATATATTACAAAGCTACAGTAATTAAAACAGTATGGTACTGGCATAAAGACAAGCTTATGGTACCAATGGAACAGAATAGAAAGCTGAGAAATCAACCCACACATATACAATCAATTTTTCCTTCAAAAGGTGATAAGGGTGCCAAGAACAGACAATGGGAAAAGAATCATCTCTTCAAAAAATGGTGTTGGGAAAAGTGGATGTTCACATGCAAAAGGATAAAATTGGACCCTTATTTTACTCCATACGCAAAGTAAACTGAAAATGACTCATAGACTTAAACATAAGTCCTGCAACTATAAGATTCCTAGAAGAAAACAGGGGAATAGCATCATGACATTGATCCTGGCAATGATTTAATGGGTCTGACAGTAGAAGCAAAGTTCAACACTGACAAAATTAGACAAATGGAGCTGCATGAAACTGACAAGCTTCTGCACAGCAAAGGAAACAATCAACAGAGTGAAAAGGCAATTTACAGAATAGAAGAAAATGTTGGCAAACCATCAGATAAGGGGTTAATTTCTACAATATAAAAAGAACTCCTACAACTCAGTAGCAACAAAACTAATAACCTGATTTAAGACAGTGTAAATACTTAAATAGACATTTATCCCAAGAAGCCATGCAAATGGCCAACAGGTACATGAAAACATGCCTGACATTACTAGTCATCAGGGAAATGCAAATCAATGTCACAATGAAATATCACTCACACCTGTTCAAAAAGATGAACAATAACAAGGGTTGGCCAGGATGTGAAGAAAAGGGAGCCCTTGTACACTGTTGGTACAGCAAAATGGTACAGCTGCTATGGAAAACAGTATGGAGGTTCCTCAAAAAATAAAAAAAATAAAAATACCATATCAATATGGTTTGGCTGTGTCCCCATCCAAATCTCATCTTGAATTCCCACGTGTAGTGAGAGAGACCCTGTGGGAGGTAATTGAATCATGGGGGCAGGTCTTTCCCATGCTATTCTTGTGACAGTGAGTAAGTCTAACGAGATATGATGGGTTTATAATGGGGAGTTTCCCTGCCCAATCTCTCTTTTTATGCCTGCTGCCATCCATGTAAGATGTGACTTGCTCTTCCTTGCCTTCTGCCATGACTGTGAGGCCTCCCCAGCCACATAGAACTGTGAATCCAGTTAAACCTCTTTCTTTTGTAAATTGCCCAGTTTCAGGTATGTCTTCATCAGCAGCATGAAAACTGACTAATACACATATCATCTAGCAATCCTACTTCTAGGTACTTATCTAAAAGTATTGAAACAGGATCTTGAAGAGATATTAGCATTCTAACATAGTTTGTGACACTACTGACAATAGTCAAAATGTGGAAGCAACTTGTGTTCAGTGACAGATGAATGGATAAAGAAAATATGGTATGTACATACAAAAATATTATTCAGTCCTAACCAGGTGCGGTGGTACACACCTGTAATCCCAGCTGAGGCAGGAGATTGCTTGAGTCCGGGAGTTTGAGGCTGCAGTGTTCTCTGATTGTGACTGTGAATAGCTGCTACACTCCAGCCTGGGCAACATAGCAAGACCCTCTCTCTAAAAATAATATACATATATTTTTTAAAAAGGAAATCCTGCAGTATCAGATAACTTGAATGAAACTTGAGGACATTATGCTAAGATAAATAAGCAGTCACAGAAGGATGTATACTGCATGATTCCACTTAAATGAAGTATCTAAAATAGTCAAATTCAAAAAATCAGGGAGTAGAATAGTTGTTGTCAGGGGCTGGGGGAAGGGGAAATGGGGAGTTGCCAGTCAAAGGGCGTAAAGTTTCAGTTAAGCAAGATGAACAAGTTCTAGAGATCCGCTGTGCAATGTTGTCCCTATAGTTAACAATACTGTATTGTACACTTAAAAATTTGTTAGAGGGTGGATCTCATGTTAAGTGTTCTTACCATCACCACCACCACAACAAAACACAACCAAAACCAAAAAAGGTTGCACACTCGTACAGTAGTTAAAAATGTTATGGGCAATGGTATGCTAGAGCTGGCCTGTAATGGCTCACAAGAGCTGATTGTTAAATTTTCAGGAAGATCCTCGTTAAATATAGCCATTATTAAGTGTTAAATGGTATAAATTTACAATTAAACAAATTAAATTGAAAGTAAAGGTAATAAATATTCAGAATACATCACAAACGTAATTATTTCACTACATTCTACTACTATCTATGTTCTAGAGGTTACCTAAGTTATTATCTATTTTATCTGCATCCTGGAAAGTACATACAGGTTTACAACCAACCACCACTTTCAACTCTGCATTCAGAGACATCATATTGGCAGGTTGAAATTGGTTATGGTGTGTGAAGTTACACCACAGAAACTGGCAAATGCCATAAATCACATATTTTTTTTTTTGAGTCAGTTGTTAAATGTTCACCAGACACCACTGTTCCTAAGCCAGTTCTTCACAAAAGACTTCACAAAGACTCCAAAATGGAAGCAGAACTGATATTACCACCAATTTACTAATACAGAAAGAGAGACCCAGACATTAATTAGCTTGTCCAAAGAAGCATTCGGAGTCCTACTATACTCCATATTTTTACCATTATATAATTTTAAAATCATTTATTAATAATTGAAAGAGTCTCAATTATCTATGATCATCTATGATAATTGAAATTAATTATTAAATTCTTACATTTATTTTTACTTTTTCCTATAAAGCATAATACATTATAAAAATCATGGTAGAAATATAGATTAAACTAGGGTTGCCAGGTAAAACACAGGACATCTAGATAAATTTTAACTTCAGATAAATTATGAAAACATTATTTAGTATGTTACAAATATTGCACGGGACACATTTATAACAAAAGAAAGTTGGAGGTCGGGTGTGGTGGCTTACACCTGTAATCCCAGCACTCTGGGAGGCCAAGGTGGGTAGATCACAAGATCAGGAGTTCGAGACCAGCCTGGCCAACATGGCGAAACCCCATCTCTACTAAAAATACAAATTAGCTGGGCATGGTGATGCATGCCTGTAATCCCAGCTACTTGGGAGGCTGAGGCAGGAGAATTGCTTGAACCCGGGAGGTAGAGGTTGTGGTAAGCCAAGATCGTGCCATTGCACTCCAGCCTGGGCAACAAGAGCAAAACTCCATCTCAAAAAAAAAAAAAAAAAAATTGAGGTTATTTCACTCAAATTCAGTGAAACACTAGCTATGCTTTCATATTAACAAGACAGGAAGTTTTCTTACTCTATTTCTATTAAATTATTTTTTTAATCTGTAAGGTACATGGACGTACTTTGGTCAAGAATTAGGCCGAGGCAGACATCCAGGCCTGCATGACTCAGCGGGACTGGTACGCAGGTGCACACCTCCACTTGTTACATAACCTGTTTGTGTAAGCTCATACTTGGCTCTATGCCACTATTGTCTTTTTTTTTGAGATGGAGTTTCACTTTCTCATTGCCCGGGCTGGAGTGCAATGGTGCAATTTCAGCTCACTATAACCTCTGCCTCCCAGGTTCAAGCGATTCTCCTGCCTCAGCCTCCTGACTAGCTGGAACTACAGGTGTGTGCCACCACGCCCATCTAATTTTTTGTATTTTTAGTAGAGATGGGGTTTCACCATGTTGGTCAGGCTGGTCTCAAACTCCTGACCTCAGGTGATCCACCTGCCTCAGCCTCCCAAAGTGCTGGGATTACAGGCGTGAGCCACCGTGCCCGGCCGTATGCCACTATTATCTGTAAAGGGTATAACTGCCCTGCTGATGCTGATACATGCTGCTTGGCTCTCATACCCAGAGAGAGAGAGAGTAATGCTACTGACACCTGTAAGGGAGAGCTGGCCTTGTAGGTAAAGGAGTGCAGCTGTAGGTGTGGGGGCGGCAGGGGCTGTGGAGCCAGCTGCTGAGAGGAGCCACAGAGCTGGAGCAGACGGCCAAGATAAGGGTGGACAGTGCAAGAGAGAGCTAGAGTGAGTAAGCTGCTGATGAAAGAGCTACTGAATAAAACTACATTTCACCCACCTACGGCCCTCCAAGTGTTCTTTCAGCTATCTGCCACCTACCCACTCCTCTCAGACCTCAGCATGGGCTAGAACCTGACCCTGGGCCTGACATTTGCTGTAAGAGTGGACCTGACAAAATGACTTTCTTTACCACGTCCTCTGGTCAGTTCTACCTTTAAACCTTTGCTAGGGTCAAAGTTAATTGCATAAATAAATTGCTTACGATTACCTAGTGCAGGTACGATAACCTAGCGACTTTGAATTTCTACCTAAAAGGGACTGCCAATCTCCTTTCTGACTTTTTAGACATCTCTGGAACAGTCTAAAACAAAATAGAAGCATTTAAAAACACCATTTCCTTTTCCATTCATGGCCGTTTCATCACACAGTTTGCACAGTCATCTCCTCCTGGGGGGGATAGAACAGTCTCCTTGTCATTAGCACACTCTGGGGTCAGGTGTATCTTGGCCAGTGGCTTTAGTTTTTTACGGATTAGAAATTCTTAGGAAAGTAAGTAAAGCTGCCCTTCAGAATCTTGGGTCTTGAGTGAACAGAAAATCTGGTTGGGATACCTCTCTAATGGAGCTCAGGAGTGTGCCTGGACCAGTGAAGCAGTTGTTGGCAGGTTGATTATTGCACCTGTAATGCCGAGTGTCTGGCTATTGAAAGCTGGCGGCATTCATCTGGGCCATGTTTCATTTGCTGCGAATGCTCTTTATTTTTAACAGGGCCCAAGGATTAGTGGCAAAGAGCTCCCCTTAGAAGGTATGGGACTGGGAGTTGTGGAAACAGAGCAGGCAGTTACATTGCATTGGTAATTTAGGTGGCGTGTGTTAGCAGAAAAGGAAGCGATAAAGGGCCTTGCATTTTGGAGGCATTCCCATTTGGAAACAGTATTCTCAAAGCCCGACTCAGAAGAAAGACGTATCATTGCTCAGTTTCCTAGCCTGTGTGTTATTCCTTAGTTGTTTCAACAATTTGATCATCTTTCAATGATTGTTCTCATTGGTTATACATTGTGAACACATGAAGAACATAATTACTTAAGAACCTGAAATTGCTCTTAATAGTGTATTGAGGCAATAATACAATTTCAAATGCTTTCAGTTGTAAATCTGCAGCATATTTTACTGGTGGTTGAATGAATAAGATATATCAGGATGGTAACTACAGAAAGTGTCTATGGAACACTTTTCTGCTTACCAAAATTGGCATTGAGTTTTAAAAAAGTAATTATATTTTCCTAACTTTTCAGAAAAGTATGTTCTTTTTATAATAAAATGACAATATGAGTACTTAACTGGGTTTTGTGTTGAGATTGCTTCCATCGGTCCAGGCTTCTGTTACTTCCTAGGAGTGGGCAGGAAGGGTCTCTATAATGTGATCGTGAGTACTTGACCATTGCCTGTTGTGGAATATTCTTGTGATTGGTGCTTTTTAGTGCTCTTAGAAGAGAGCCAGGTTATTTCTATCTCCTGTTCTGCTCTCCTCCACTTTGGCTTTAGCCTAATTGGGCTCCTCATGGTCATAAGATGGCTGCCAGGAACAACAGTGGCTGAATGCTTCCTTCTCATTCAGCTGGAGGAAAATAAAAACTCAGGATCCAAAACCTTTTCTCCGCTCACATTTACGTTAGTTACATTATTTGTTTTTCACTTCTTCTAGCAAAACTCATCATTTTTGCCATTATTAAGAAATATTGGCTAAATGTTTGAAAGAGGAAGCTGAACCCATTGCTGCAAAATGTTACAAGCTTTGTGGTAGATTGTACCAAAAAGGCCACTGTAGTATTTCTATCCCACAGGCTCTTCCAGAATCTTGCCACTCTTCCATCAAGAAACACAGTCTGTTTCCCACCCCATCCCCTGAAACTGAGCATTATTTTGCCGCTGCATTGACTGATGGAATGCATCCCGACTTTTGCGCCTGGCTTTTTGCCTTGGGATATGGGTTTTGGGAGCTTTGAGATAATATGTAAGAAGTTTGGCTGCCCTGAAGCATCCCTGCTGGAGAGACCTGGTGGAGCGAGCTCAGAGGACGCCTGAGGAGCCACAGCTGTCCCTGTACCAGCTACTTGAGTCTTCCCAGCCCAAGTGCCAGACAGCTAAGTGATTGAGCCTTTAAGTGAGTCCAGCTTTCAGCCCCGTGCCTCCGCAGCTGACTCTGAGTGCAGCACAGCTGAGTTGTCCCAGTGGAGTACAATCCAGGTTACAAAGTCTTGAACAAAGTAAGTGTTTCTCTCTCTCTTTTTCTTTCTTTAAAGCACAACTTTTGAAGCAGTTTGTTACAGAGCAATAGAAAATCAGAATTAGTCTAGTTTAAATTCTGTACGTGTGTGATTTTCAACTCTGTCTTTGATAATTAAGAGTTGGCTGTATATTCAGGTAGTAGAAATGGGATAGTGTTTCCATTGATGACAGGTTAGCTCAGGTGTGCACATGCAGTCTTAATGTGGCCGATGGTTTGGGTGTAATTCCCACAAAGGCCAGTTTACTTTCCCCTGCTCCATGACTTAACTGTGTGGTTATCTCACAGATGTCTGCTTGCAATTATGAGGCATGAAGAATCCTTGCAGCCATTAGGAAATAGGCACCTGGCTTCTCTGCTGAGCGAGCGAGTAATGGAAGCTGTGATGAGAACTCTGAACAAAAACATAGTGTCGGTTCCATCAAGGGCCAGGCTTCTGGTAGACTGATCATATGAGAAGTGAGGATAAGTAGCCTGGAGCAGATGGGGTTGTAATGGGGTAGTAAGGATGAAAGTCTAGAAGAGAGATCAGTAATTGATGTGGCAGGTACTGGTGGTGTCGGCTGCATGGTGAACAGCAATAGACACCCAAACTCACAGAGCTAAGGATCAGACTTATTCCATGTTGCCCTGTGTGGATGTCATGGTGCTGAGTAAAGGGTGGACCCTGAAAAATTAGACTGAATTAGACTTTTTCCTCTTTATGTCCCCTTTGCTTGGCACACTCGTAATCATCTCTTGAGCAGAAAAGCCCCAGTTGAATATCCAGCTGCAAAATTTTATATTCAGCTGCATGATATCACAGCATCTTCCCCTTCCCCCCATTTTTTTTTGAGACAAAATTTTGCTCTTGTTGCCAGGCTGGAGTGCAATGGCACAATCTTGGCTCACCGCAAACTCCGCCTCCTGGGTTCAAGTGATTCTCCTGCCTCAGCCTCCCGAGTAGCTGGGATTACAGGCATGCGCCACCACGCCCCACTAATTTTGTATTTTTAGTAGAGATGGGGTTTCTCCATGTTGGTCAGGCTGGTCTCAAACTCCCGACCTCAGGTGATCTGCCTGCCTCGGCCTCCCAAAGTGCTGGGGTTACAGGTGTGAGCCACCGTGCCTGGCCCTTATTCCCCTTTGCTAAAAGAAAGCAAGGCTGAGGATACTAGTAGTGAGCAGGACAAGGAGAACAAATGTTAAAATACAATGAAGGCAATACAATACCATACAAATAGAAGGGGTTGTTTCTAAACCATTTGCACAAGCATGAATTACCTTTGCCTTGGTTTAAAAGTTTATTTTGCTGTCCTAAAATAGTTCTTCATTCCTTATGTGATTGTCCCAGCCCAGGGTCTCAGCTCAATTGCTAGCCCATTCCCAAACTTTTCACTGCCTCAGCCTCCTACCTCCCGTTCACTCACCCTCACCTGCTTCCGGAGCTACTCCCGAAAGTCCTGCGCAGTCTGCACATTGCAATGTGCAAAGGTTTGTTTTCGGCCATTTTTCTTCTTGTCATCCTCTGTGCCCACCAGTGGCATTTGCTGCTCTCTGCACGTGAAATGCTGTCCTTCCCTGGTTTGGATAAAGTACACTGGTCTCATTCTTCCCGCCTCCACCCCACCTGGCTTTCTCCTCAGTCTTCTTCTGCCTCACGCTGCTTCCCCAGGGGTTCTCATCATGCTGGGACTCTCTTTTCTCCAAATCTTCTTTTTCATGGATGCTCTGTCCACACCCACTTTCCAGCTTTTAACCTCAAAGAGACACCCAATTCCACATCTCTAGTTCAAAGTACCATTTGCACATCCCACCGCCCTCTGTAATTGCCATCAGCATGGGCAACTTCACATGTCCAAAACCAAGTGGATTTTCCTCGCTGGAAAAGTTTTTCCTCCTTGTCATGGATGAGTAGAAACTCAACTAGCAAAGCAGGCACTTGACCTTCCGTCTCTTCATCAGTTCCATCATAAGTAACTTGTCTACACCTAAAGCCTCATCAGCCACGAAGGATAAGGAAGAAATAAGACCCACCCCCAACTCCCTAAGCACACTAGGTAATAAAGAAAGTGGAGTTTTAAGTCAAGTTTGGGCCTTAGTAAGACAATGGAATTCTTGACATAAACTTCAACAATAACTACATAAAAATCACACATTTTTATGTGGTTATAATATGTGCTGGACTTCTGGTTACCTAGGCTCACACCTCAGAGGGATCTTTGGGTACCTCCATCCTTCACTGAGCAGTAGCCAAGGTCTACTAATTTTATTTCTACAGTATTTCACATTAGTTTTATTTCTCTTGACTGTCATTCTTTTAGCTCAGACGCTTATGTGTTTTTTGGATCATGGCTGTCAAACTTTAATGTTCCAAAAAATCACCTTTTGATAATGCAGATTCTGGTGTGGGACCCAATAGTCTGCATTTCTAGTGAGCTACCAGCCGATGCTGATGCTGCTAATCCCCGGACTACACTTTGAGTAACGAGGTTCTAGGTTAATTATTACAACAGCCTCAGAAGTGATTCTCCCTAAACCAGTGGTTCTCAACATATGGCCCCCAGACAAGCAACATTAACATCGCTTGGAAACATCTTGGAAATGCAAATTCTTAGCCAGTTCCAGTCCTACCCAATCAGAAACTCTCTGAATAAGCCATCCAGGTGATGTACTCCAGGTGATTCTAATGGATGCTGAAGTCTGAGACTCACTTATCTAGATCTTACCTTTACAACCATCACACACACCCACACCCCAGAATCTTTGCAACAATGTTGTAAAATTTTTTTGTAGTGTTTCTGCAATATGGCTTTCTTCTTTTTGTCTGTTTGTTTATTTATTTATTTATTTATTTAGAGACAGGATCTCACTATGTTGCTTAGGCTAATCTCCACCTCCAGGACTCAAGTGATTCTCTCACCTCAGCCTCCCCAGTAGCTGGGACTACAGGCACACGCTACCACACCTGTCACAATAGAGCTTTCAAGGGCCTCAAACTTTGTCCCTAGTGGGTTTCTCTCTCGCTCCATCCTCCTCCTACTCCTAATTTTGGAGTGAAATGTATTGCAAATTGTTCTCTGTTCATTCCCTATCCTTCCTCCATCTTCTCCTTCACTTGTTTCTTTTTCCTGAAGCACCCTCATCATTGCTCATTGGAAGCCTCTCCACTCCTTACGTTCTTGCCAAACACCATCTCTGCTGTCTCGTATTCCTCAGATCACTCAGCTAGGAGTGCATCTTTTCCCTTCCTTTAACTCAGTAGTGGTTAGCGTATCGTGCATCACACTAGAGTAGTGGTTCTCAACTGGGGCCGATTTTGCCCCCTGGGGACATTTGCTTATACCTGGAGATGGTTTTGATTGTCACAGCTGCAGATGGTGGTGCTGTAAGCATCAAGTGGGTAGAGGCCAAGGATGTTGATAAATATCCTAGAATGCATAGGAAAGCATTTCACACCACCCCCAGACAATTATTCAGCCCAAAAATCAGTAATGCACTGGCCGAGAAGCCCTGCAGTAGAGCAGTATGTTTATCTTGTATTTTCTCTGAGATTGTTGTCCTCACCACCCTGGGGTTATGTCTTTGTCATGCATGCAAGTTCCAGTACAGAGAACCAGGTGCTTCATAATGTCTTCATTTTATTGAGAAACTGAGCAATCAAATATTGTAAAGTTTAAAAATGTGTGATTTTTATGTGGTTATTGTTGAAGTTTATGTGGAGAATTCCATTGTCTTACAGGCCCAAACTTGAGTTAAAACTCCACTTTCGTTATTAATTACCTAGTGTGCTTAGGGAGTTGGGGGTGGGTCTTATTTCTTCTCTATCCTTCGTGGCTGATGAGCTTTAGGGGCAGACAAGTTACTTATGATGGAACTGATGAAGAGACGGAGGGTCAAGTGCCTGATTTGCTAGTTTGGAACTGGGTATTGCGACAGGGGCTGTATTAGAAACCTTCTGTCTGGAAAAAACATTAATGGGTCCCCTGCTTGGGTGTATTCTAGTTGTTGTTTGCAAGCAACTGGAGATCTTGGTCTCTTTGCTTTGTACAGCCAAGCATTGTCGAGGACACCCAGAAGTCTCATTCCTATGTACCTACAGGTTACAAAGCGGTATGTTGCCTTGCGATGAGGTGGTGTGCACGAGGCTCTCTTGCCCACAGGGACCTCTCCGCAGGATGGAGACCAGCACACTTTAATGTAGATTCTGATCTGAAATGCACCACAGGAAGGGAACTGGTTCTGAGAGCCGAACCAGGCTTTGGTAACTCATAAGTCCAGTTCTCTTATTAAGCACTTGGGTACAAGCTCATCTGTGTGAATCCCTTGGGGCAAACTGAACTAAGAAATTTTCTGATTTTAGAAGGTAATTTGGGTGTGCACCACAAAGTCCATAACAAGCTCAGCAGAGTCTGGGCAGGACCTGGTAGTCAAATGCACCATGTGTGAGAAACATCGGAGGAGTCTCATGAGGTCGGAGAAACAAAGACCATTCATAGCTTGGAGTTTGTTCAGGTGAGCTTTTGCTACCAAGTGCATTACAGAGTGTTTTTTTGGTTTTGGAGATTTGGGGATTTTAGAGAGACCCAGGGATACAAGGCTGCTGATAGGAAGGTCAGTTTGGTCTTGATGAGATGGTTACCCGGCATGAGTTTCTATTATAATCTCATTTCGACCACAGTGTAGAAATGAAATGTCAGATGGGGAGTGGAGCCATGGGGCCTTACAGGAAACGTTGCCATGGAAAATCCTGCAACATGTCAGCAGTCTCCGGCATGTCAGCAGCCTCCAGCCTGTGATGTGCAGATCTCTAAAGCACTCCATGGGCTCCCCTGATTGCTGGCTTATTTTTTTCTCTTTGTCACACAGAGGTTCCTTTGGTCTTGAGATAAAGGTCAGGTTTCTGTGAACCGACTGGCCGCAGCCTTTCTTCTCCTGCCGTCTGAGGTGGAGGTGAGCTGAGGCGCCTGGAGTGTTCTATTTGGTAGGTAAGAGACCCCAACAGCCTGGATGAATACTTTTGTAAACAGCATTTTGTCAGACAAGAGCCATGTTCATTTCCCTGTTGCCGTGTGAGTGAGAATACTGTATCTTCAGACAGTCAGACCTCACTTCTCGGGGGCACGGTTCTCAGAGACGAAGGGGACAGTATCAGACATTAAAAAGGAGCTGAAGAGAAACAAGACATACCAAATACACTGAGGTTTTTTGTTTGTTTTTCCTACTGAGTTTAAACACTGCTTTTTTAAACAGCAGCTTTCCATAATGCACGAGTCTCATTAATATGAAATGGGTCATCATTGGTTAACCTTCACTTAGGTTAGCTCCAAATACAATGTGACATCTTATGTCACCCTGATTCTTCTAAACCTGATATTTTATTGTCTAATGCACAACTCTTAATGAGGATCATAACATTAATGTGTGATAATAAAAAGATCTTATTGTTAAATGCTACTATTATCCATAATGGTATAATGGTATAGGGACTGTTTCTTAATCAGTCCCTGGTGACCAATACCCTCAAGAACAAAAAAAAAAGGGGGTCTGTGTTGTACATCTTATTAAGTGCATTGGGTTTTTATGGTCTACCATAGGGACTGAACAGAAAAAGAAATTTCCTCGCTTCCCCTCTTTCCTCTGAAAAACACCATTCCCATTTCTGTAGGAAAATTCAGGGTCTGGAGGCTCTTGTAGATGCAAGACACAGCCACTTGTGGGAGGGGGCCTTACTTACTTTCAGGACAATCAAAGCCAAAACAAAGGTTTCTTGTCACTTGGGGCTTTTATCCAATACATCCCATGTTACAAACAATAAATCACTGGCTGACCAACCTTCTTTGCCAAGGGAACCTGTGGGGGCTTTAGGCTATTTCATAGTTCAAGTAAGACCCCATCTATTGACTTACCTACCTCCATCTACCTATCCATCCACCATCTATCATCTATCTATAGCTATGTATTATCTGTCATCTCTCTCTCTCTCTCTCTGTCTATATCTATCCTCAATCTATTTGTATATGTGCCTAAAAAGGAAAAATGGATTGGCTTGAATAATTACAAACACTTTTAAATTTTTCCCACTATCTCTCCTTCTGATGCTGGAGGCTCCTAGCTGAGTCAGCTAATCACAGCCTGGCACAATGTGCTCTCAAAGAATTATGGGATGCAAAGACATCCTTGGTCTTCATGAGTCGCAAATGTAGGGCATGCATTAAGACTCAAAAATCATAAAGAAAATATACGGTTTCTACTAGGAGGAGGAATTCCATAGCACATTAATTCTGTGGCACAACTCCAACCAGAGAATGAGTCCTATTGCTTTCTTCTGGAAAGGTTAAGCCAGCCCTTATGTTATAGGGAAGTCATGTCCATATCACATTCTCTTTACTGTTGCATTGTATGATACAGATGAAGTGGAAACCCTGTCTTCAATGTGCCATGTTTCTCTCTCTCTAGAGGGTCTGAAGCATTCCTGTGAGGGAATCCAGAAATGTGGAGTCCTGTATGTCCAACTAGTACATAATTCACACATACATTTCTGTCTACTGCTCTATTCTGAAAGTTAACTTTTCATTTCCAAAACTATGCGTGAATTGACTATCATCATTTGATTGTTGTTAAATTTGGAGAAAGAACCATTTACTTGAGACTTGGAGCTGAATTAAACTATGTAGCGTGAAGGGAAGCCAGTTTTAAAGGACGATGGCAGCCAATTTCTTTTGTTACTGATGTTTTTATTTTTTCCAAGAACAGTTAACATTTACTAGGCACCTATTGGCCTCAGCCACTTGCATCTAAAGAGCAAAGCTAGTTTACCCGCGGCCCATGTTCTTTTCGATGGTTAGCCTTATTTCTTAGCTCTGTTAACCACTATTCTAACGTTAGCTTCAAGTTCAGTTTTAATAATCTATTCCATAGTTGTGTACTGCTCCCTGCCACATGAACAAAAAGTTTGGGGGAATAAGGCGAGCAGTTTACATTTTCTGTGGATACTTCAAGTAATTGGCCCCAAAGTGAAACTGAATTGGCCATGGTTTATCGTGTTCTGAGGGGATAAAATGTGTAAGGAAACGGACCTGTAGAGAGGGTTGATATCCAAGTATGCGTGAATGTGTGAAAATCCTATAACTCCACTTCAACTGGCCTAATATCCTGAGTCACTAGATGGTCAGAAGAATAGATACAGTACAAAAGGAACAAACTGATGTACATTTATACTAAAAAACCAAAAACAAAGTTTGTACAAGATGAACAGCAAATGAAATAGCTTCTGTCAAAATAAAATCTCACACAGGTAATTTTTCTAGTACGTGGACATACATACACCCACACACACAGACACACAAGCAAGAATGTGTATTTTGTAAGATATAGGTTCTTGGAAATAGACATTCTTAGCAAATATGGATGACAGATCAATTGTAATTTATTTTCTTTTAACACTGTATCATCATAAAGAAAACTGGTATAAATGAAAAAATCTATTTCAAATATCTACATCTAAAATTTTAGGCAGTGAAAAAGCACTTTGTTGACAAGGAGTGTGGAATGATGTATGTTAATTGTCAGAAACTGCTGAATGCCTTGTTTAGTTGTCACAAACAAATTCACATATCAGAACGAACAATACTGCTAAATATTCCTTTTTTCCTGCTTTTTTTTTTTTTTGTTAAAACATACTGGGAGAAAGTAAAGAAAAACTGGAAATCCATACATCTTTCAAAAGTTTGAAATTGAAGCAATATTTAGAACCATAGATGAGGAAACACGGCGGCATTGGTGTAATATACACAACGCGCTTTTCTTCTTTAATCTGTAATGTACATCAAATACTTTACAACAATGCATTAACAAAAGGCAAGAAACATCTTGCTGTACAGAGGAACCCCAATGCAACCTGAAGCCTAGAGTCACAACGGATGAAGAGAGTAAACAAAGCGTGAGAAGCCGTCCCCCACACAGTGTGTAAACTATTCTGTGTCTTGTGCTTAACGATAACCCTTACGCCCCACCGGCCCGAATGCCTCGTCTCTCCTCCCATCAACCACGTTCAGTATAAAGCACTTCTCGTTACTCTACAGCTCACGCTAGAAAGGTGCTGCCCACTGTCATATTTAGGATCACTTTAGCTTTCTACTGATTTCCAAGTTAACTTGCGATTCATTTAGCTTTCTAAAATAGCTCTTAATATTTCCTTACTGGTTATCACAGCCTTCCTATGGAACAGGCTTTAACAAACTAAATTTGCAGGAGAAAAAAACAAAACAGAAAGAAATGTCTTGTGGTATGCATGCACATGCACTGTTCCCGGAGCGCCTGTGCCCTGCTCCTCACACCCAGGAGTCGGGGGAGGCCGGGTAGTGGCTCGTTTCATAGTTCAGTTCACTGTAGGGACGGGCAGCTGAGTAGAAGTCAACGTAGTTGCCGGTGGACTTGAGACCCAGGTGCATGGTGTACTCGCTGGCGGGAGGGCGATGGTGGACCTGGTCCTCGAAGAAGGACTCATCGTAATTTCTTGTGGAATTCTGAAATGGCTGGTAGGTCTCGTAATCTTTTCTGCTGGGCTCCTGTGGGACTGGCTGTGCTGAAACCTAAACGGGAAAGAAGAGCCACACTGGGTTACTTGGTTTCCCTTGACTCAGCCTGCCTCTTGCCCCGGCACCCAACTCTCCTTCAAAGAATAGGCTGTGTATATCCAGGCATTCACCACTGTGGCCCTGCTTCTCCAAAACTGCCAACTGTCATTGGCTTTCCTTTTGAAAATTGGATCCTAGGTCCACGTGCTATCATTCTACATAATCTTTATCATGGCAAAATATACATAACATAAAACAGCTTGCTTTAAGAAATGTTGAAGTGTAAGATTAATTAGGTGGCATTAAGAACATTCACAGTGTTGTGCAACCATCACCACCATCCGTTTCCACCACTTTTTAAATCATCCCAAACAGAAACTCTGTGCCCATTAAATGTAATTCCTCATCCCCTCTCTCTCAGCCCATGGCAAGCACCATTCTACTTTCTGTCTCTAGAAATCTGCCTAATATAGGCACTGCAGAGAGTGTTTGTCCTTGTGTGACTGGCTTCTTTCACTTAGCATAAAGTTTGCATGGTCCATCCATGGTGTTGCACATGGCAGACCTTGATCCGTTTTTGTGGCTGAATAATATTCCACTGTATGATGTGCATTGCTCCACTGATGAATGCACTGAAGGCCATGACTTTACCTCAATGTAGCAAAACTGCACTTGCACCCCCATGATTGTATATATATAAGAATAAAATAGTCCATGGTATGCATAGACCACATTTTATTTATCCATTCATCCATTGATGGACGCTTGGGTTATTTTTACCTTTTAGCTGCTGTAAATAATGTTGCAATAAACATTGGTGCATTTGTATCTGTTCTAGTCCCTGGGGTCCCTTTTCAAGCACCTGCCCCTGAAATGAGCAGAACCTCCCAAGGTATAGGGTGAGGTTAACCCTACAGCAAGTGCATACCGGGATGCACAAAGCTCTGCTAATGTGCAGTAATTGGGGAGGAGATCTGGTGTGAATTATTAAACACTCTTAAAGAAATACTGTTTGATCACTTTTGGGTGGACTCAGTGACTCCCTATTAATTTAACTAAAGTTCAGCACGGAAACGTTCTCTAGAAATTGGTCTTAGTTAATAGATAATGATTTGTAATTAGCACGTTGTGTGTAAATGAATGCTTTTAAAGGCTTACACATAATTCTTCTCTCAAGTAAGTGAAACTCCCTCTTATATATGTCATTGATTTATACTAGTAATCAACCTGATCTTCAAAGAAGTGGTGAACTTCATCACAGCAGCTGTCTAGGATGTCCCACGTGTCTAGTTAGTGGTAGCTGAATGAATGAGGTTTCTGTCTACCTACAGAAGTCCAAAAGTCCATAGAGGATAAACCTTTGTTAGCCTGAGAGCTAACAAAGGATGAGAGGAACATTTGGAATGAATGTGCAACATCTGCAATTAAATACTGCTAAGTCCAGGTCTACTGGACTGCGTTGCTAGGTTGGGGTGCCCTTTGCTATTCTTTGAAGAGCTCTGCTTGTGTGCTGCTGAACTCCACTCCAACACAGGGCTGTTTTCCAAGTGCAAGACATGCAAAGGCTCAGAATCTAGAAGTTTGGAAAAATTATACAGGGAGGGAACTAGATTTGCTGTGTTTCTTGTTCAGCAGGGCACCCTATTCAACATTTAGCAAATTCTTTAATACTCCAGTAGTCATAAATATTTATGTGTGTTTGTGTCTGTCTACATCAATATCTATAATCTATCATCTGTCTGTCTTCCTATCCACCCACCAATCCATCCATCCATCCATCCCTCAAGCAAACTCCCACCTTATAGATGAGAAAACTGAAGCACAGAGAAGTTAAGAAACTTCTCCAAAACGTCATAGCTAGTGGTGTTGTGAACTGGAACTGGAACATACGGCTGGCTGACTCTAAAACCCAGGTGTTCTACCAACGTAGTCCAGTCCCATCAGAGCCAAGGTGGCCAAACCTTGGAGGACAGGCCTCAAGGAGCTGACTCTAGGCTCTAAGATAAGAAAGTCGGTGGACAAAAGAGACCAAGAAGCGGTGTGTTTTCTTATGGATTTTTGGGGGCCAGGGAAGGCAGTGCAGGGGACAGGGACATCTTCAGGAGGAGTCACTCACAAGGGTTATAGCTCTCCTCCAAAGTGGCTTCTGCTTTCATTTTTTTGGTTCTTTTGCACAACCTCGTTCAAATTGCTTTGACTGTTGTCATGTTCTCTCTGGTTGGTGAACATTTGGGAGCTGGGTATCAGCTTTTTCAGCCTCTTACCCCAGAGAATTAACTTCTTCATTCATCTGTACTGTTCATAAAATCCCACACCAATCACTTCTGAGGTTTGGTGCCCCAGTCCCAAAAGTGTGTACAAATGAACTGTCACAGGTGACACGTGTCACTGCTGCACCCGGAGAGACAGAATTTGCTCACTGTGGTATTTGCTCTTGTGGTATGGACATTTCTGTGGTATTTGCTCTTGTGGTATCTTGTGGTATTTGCTCTTGTGGTATGGACGTCTTGTGGTATTTGCTCTTGTGGTATGGACGTTTGCTGGTGAAACACATCCACAGTGGAGGAATATTGGCTGCATTTTAAACTTTAAGGGAATATCTGACAGTTGAAAATCTGGCTGATGAAATGACCCCTCCCAAAGCCCTCCTCACATAAGAGCTAAAAATAAATGCATTAAAAATTGCACAGTTTGCATCAGCCAGATTTGGATGAGGGATGTAGAATGATGCCCCAATAGAGCAGAGGGGATTTCTGAATCTGGGTGTCTGTTACGGTCTAGAGAAGCCCAGGAATACGCAAGCCCGAAGCTTTTGCCTTCTTTGCCTTAACGCTGCATCTTGTTTTGGAAAGGGGTGGTGACCAGCAGCTCACTCCAGGGTCAATATGCTCACGCTCTCTGCGCTCTGTTCCATGGCTTCTGTTTCTACCAAGTCATCTTTGCTGAACTTTTTCCTCAACAGTAGAATATTCACTCTAAATTATGAAGGATAGTGTCATGACACCTTCCAACTCTGTTAGCATAATGACAAAAGACTTCTTTGGGTTTATTCCTTAATGAATTTGCCAGGAAACTGGATTTATTTTGAACACAAGGGAAATAGTAGCCCAGTATAGCTCTTCCAACTTTTCCATGTCTCAGAGTGTTCATAGAAAGACTCAGAGTGTTCACAGAAAATGAAGGAGGCCAGATATGAAGTATCAGTGGTCTTCAAAGCATAATCCCAAGACCAGCAGCATCAGCATCACCTGGGAACTTGTTAGAAATGCAGATTACTGGGTCCCACTCCAGACCTACTGAATCAGGGCCTCTGGCGATGGGCCCCAGCAATCTGTGCTTTAACAGCCCTTTGGGGAATTCTGGCTCATGCTCCAATTTGAGAACCATTGGCACAGAGGTAAAAAAAATGGGACAGGAAGACAGAAGAACCAAGATGAGTATTTGCCTCTTCCTGGCTGGGGGACTGAAGGAAACACGTATCCTCCTGGGATCTCATCTTCCTCATTTCTGCAGACAATTACAACTGGCCTGCTCACGTGACAGTGGAACTAAGGACACCAGGAAGGAACTCAAGATTCCGGTTTTGTTATCATTTAAATATTGGTCATCAAAACAGCAAAGCTCTTTGTTTCTAGTTCCTGAACAAAAATCCTGTTGTCAGCTAGATAGATACCGTTCAACATGATATTTCTCTTTGTAATTATGGGGTGGACTGGTAGAAGCTCAAAAGGATGTTTGGAAAGTATGCATAGTTAAGTCTTTTTTTTTTTTTGAGACAGGGTCTCGCTTTGTCACTCAGGCTGGAGTGCAGTAGTGCAATTATGGCTCACTGTAGCCTCCACCTTCCAGGTTCAAGCCTTCCTCCTGCCTCAGCATCCCAGCTAGCTGGGACTACAGGCACACACCACCATGCCCAGCTAATTTTTGTATTTTTTGTAGACACACAGTTTTGCTATGTTGCCCAAGCTGGTCTTGAACTCCTGAGCTCAAGCGATCTGCCTGCCTCGGCCTCCCAAAATGCTAGGATTACAGGCATTAGCCACTGCACCTAGTCAGTTAAGTCTTAAAGTGATGTCTGTAACCCGTTGACCTCAGACATTCAAACCAAAGATCACGAACTGTGTTTTATACTACTGATTGTTTCTTCTAGGAGGCTTTAAGCTCAGAGTTCACTGAAAATGTGCCTGAGTCCCAGGTCACAGGAGCAGCACCCACGTGTGGCCATGTGTCTGGTGCAGGCGTCTCTTTCTCAGCTCTCACTGTCTTTTGCCTTATCTTGGAGATCCACTTGAAACTGATTTCCCTCCATGAATTGCTTCCCCATAAGCTCAGTCACTACCCAGTGTGAAGCCTGTGAGACCTGGCTGGTGACTGAGCCACCCGGGAGACAGGAGCGCTCAGCAGAGGACAAGCTTCGATGCTGAAACTGACCAAACCCTGGAGGATCCCTCCTGGTGAAACTGTTCCAGGCGCAAAGTTCTGGGGTAACTTTTGGCCCAGGGAAGCTCCCAACATGAAAGCATTCCACCTAGAATGGTTGGTTACACCTCTATGGCCAGAGAATCCAAGTCAGGGATACTGTTTATGAGTCCTCTCTAGGACTCCCAACCGGAAGAGAGTGAAAACATGTCTTTTGAAGGGTTAGGATGGTTGCACTTTATTGAGTCCCCAAAGAGAAAACTGCAAGTGAAGACAAGGTTTATTCCTATAACATAGTCTAAAAGAAGTAAAATGCTTTCTTTCCTTCCTCTCCAAGTTCAATGGAGTGTCATTATGATCTCCTTGGAAATACTTTTTGGGGAGGGGGGGGAACCCTCTCTTTGGTGGACGTTTAAAAATGGATGTTAGGCTAAGATAGAATGATCCAATTATCCACTTCCCTTGGCTGGTCCCTTACAGGGAATGATGGTGGTCCTGAGCTATGAAGATAGGACTCAGCTCTGCCGGGGGCTTGCCTGCAATGCCTCGGTCCTGACGAGAGATGCGGAGCTTGCTCTCCATCCAGGGTGGATTTTAGCAACATTTGCCTGAGGCCCAGTGGCCTTGGTGTTTCACTCTGAGACTGAGTCAAGCACATTCTGGAGACCTCTGGGAGAAAGGCTATGGCTAGGTGGTGTTCACACTCATGGCAAGGATGCCATCTTAGCACATTAATTCTCATTTGCTTAAATGCTCGGGATCTGCTTACGTAAAAAGAAGGTGCCCCTTAGAGCCATTATAGACTGTCCTCTAAATCTAGATGGCAAGCAGTCTTTTGGAACCTACTGCAGCCACTCTGTGAGATGCCAGAGACCCCTGGCCATGTCAGGGCGTTTCTTCAATGCCAACTCCCGGGGAAGGAAGGCTGGTGCAGAGGGAGCTGGTTCCAATGAGGAGCTTCTCTCTACCTGAGGGGACTCAAGATGAATCTCACACTCTTGGCGGCAAAATCATGGTCCTATTACAACCTGACAAGAATCTGTAATAATTGGCAATAATCTGCTTACTGTACATCCAGAATTTCATAATATTTGCTGCAAGAAGCATGATTGATTTCCATAAATGAAGTTGGCATTTCTAATACATTTTGTTTCTGTTTGCCTTTATGGAGGCAGGTTGGCAAGTGAATAGTTGGGGCCTCCCTGGTGACCTGGTGTCTACAGCTCATGACCCTATTTATTTAGTCATTGGCTTCTTTGCTTTTAGCAAATACTAGAACTGAGGGGAGGCTGATTAGATGTTAGCAACACATCAAATAGGCCATGGGGGCCAAGCCATTCACCAGGGGGTCACAGACAACACCATATGTTTTCCAGAGTGCTGCACATGGAGTGGGCTGATGCCCACCATGGGAAGGAGAGATGTATGAAGTTTCTGATCAACGAGGGGGAACAACTGTGTCTTTTGGCTTTTATAGTTCCTGCAGAGCCAGAGAAAATGAGCCTTCAATAAATGTTTGCAGAGTAACACACACATATACTCTCTCTCTCTCTCTCAGATTGGTTCCTTAAGAATCTACTGTTCAGATATATAGACTAAAGGAATAGAACAGAGGCCTTAGAAATAACACCACACATCTACAACCATCTGATCTTTGACAAACCTGACACAAACAAGCAATGGGGAAAAGATTCCCTATTTAATAAATGTTGTTGGGAAAACTAGCTAGCCATATGCAGAAAACTGAAACTGGACCCCTTCCTTACACCTTATACAAAAATCAACTCAAGATGTATCAAAGACTTAAACATACGACCCAGGACCATAGGAATCATAGAAGAAAACCTGGGCAATACCATTCAGGATGTAGGCATGGGCAAAGACTTCATGTCCAAAACTCCAAAAGCAATGGCAACAAAAGTCAAAATCGACAAATGGGATCTAATTAAATTAAGAGCTCCTGCACGGCAAAAGAAACTATCATCAGAGTGAACAGGCAACTATAGAATGGGAGAAATTTTTTGCAATCTATCCATCTGACGAAGGGCTAATATCCAGAATCTATAAAGAACTTAAACAAATTTACAAGAAAAAAAAAACCCATCAAAAAGTGAGCAAAGGATATGAACAGACACTTCTCAAAAGAAGACTTTTATGCAGCCAACAGACATATGAAAAAATGCTCTTCATCACTGGCCATCAGAGAAATGCAAATCAAAACCACAATGAGATACCATCTCACACCAGTCAGAATGGCGATCATTAAAAAGTCAGGAAACGAGATGCTGGAGAGGATGTGGAGAAATAGGAACGCTTTTACACTGTTGGTGGGAGTGTAAATTAGTTCAACCATTGTGGAAGACAGTGTGGCGATTCCTCAAGGATTTAGAACCAGAAATACCATTTGACCCAGTGATCCCATTACTGGGTATATACCCAAAGGGTTATAAATCATTCTACTATAAAGACACATGTACACGTACATTTATTGTGGCACTCTATTCACAATAGCAAGCACTTGGAACCAACCCAAATGTCCATCAATGATAGACTGGATAAAGAAAATGTGGCACATATATACCATGGAATACTATGCAGCCATAAAAAAAGGATGAGTTCATGTCCTTTGCAGGGACATGGATGAAGCTGGAAACATCATTCTCAGGAAACTATCACAAGAACAGAAAACCAAACACTGCATGTTCTCACTCATAAGTGGGAGTTGAACAATGAGAACACATGGACATAGGGGAACATCACACACTGGGGCCTGCTGGGGGTCAGGGGCTAGGGGAGGGATAACATTAGGAGAAATACCTAATTTGGATGTCGGGTTGATGGGTGCAGAAAACCACCGTGGCACGTGTATACCTATGTACCAAAACTGCACATTCTGCACATGTACCCCAGAACTTAAAGTATAATAATAAAAATAAAATAATAATAATAATAAAAAGAATCTACTGTTCAGTTCTCCTCAAACCTGAATGTGCACACAAGCGCATCTAATTAGAATGCAACTGTGCTGCAGAAAATCTTGGACGGGTTAGGGTTAGGAGCCAGAGAAGAATCTCTCCTGTGTTTCTAACAAGATTCTGGGTAACATTGATGCTGCTGGTTCCCCAACTAGACTTTGAGTAGCAAGACACTACAATGCATTTCATGTATTGCAGAATAATAGAACTTATTTATGTGTTCTTTTACAAGTTCTCTATTGAACTTGCTGTGTCTCCTTTATTGGTAGTGATCATGTATAATGAATGCTTCCTTCCTAATGCATTTGCAGGGTTACAGGAGCTACTCCATCTCTGTCCAGTAATTAGACAATTCCTGTTTAGTGACATCTTACAGTTGTCTATTTGGGGGTTTCTTTTAGTTTTGCACCATAGCAGAATACTTGCTTTCTGCACCAGATCAAGCATGAGGTTCAAAGGCCGTTTGCACATTTGAGGCTGTTCTGCCGAGTCCAACACACACACACACACACACAGAGACACACACACGCTGCAACAGGCGTGAGGAGAGGGCCTCAGGGGACGTTGCCTTCTTTTTCAGTTCTTTATGTATGTTGGATGAAAGTTTATGTTTAAAATTCCAGGTTATTTCACATGAGTCACACTGAAAAGGAAATACAAACGTGTTGCATTTACTTTACCTGGTTGTGTTTGATGTCTTCAGCGGGCGCACCATAAGAATTCCTATACAAAGTTGAAATTCCAGTGTTTTGAGCTAAAAGCAAAAGGAAAACAAAAGTTTAGCAAAGAAAACAACATTACAAATAAGGAATAGTTGTTATTGAAGCAAGTTCTTGCCCTAACAAAGCTTGTTTTCTTGGGGACCATTCCAAGTAGAAGACATTCTTTGGCCCTGAACACTTCATTTTACATACAGATATTAAAAAAGGAGAACAGTTATTCTAGAAAATCCCCACAGCATGTCAGCCGCTTGCAATAATGTTCACATCACAGACAGGGTCAGGGCAGATGCTGCAAACAGATGGTCATTTTGTAAGTTTTATGGCCTTCTTTTCTGGTGAAAACTGGCAGGTAATAAAGGCTTGTCACCTGCACTGAAGCATGCAGGAGTCTGTATCAGCAGCTTAGCTTTTAGCCGGAGAGTGACAAGAATAAAATTTCTAATTTGAGCTCACAGAAGTGCTTGATCATCTTTCAGACAGTTCATTTCTTACAGACCCAAAGGACGGGCAGGGGGCATCGCCTGCATGTCCCCCATGTATCTGGAAGCCTGCGGCTTTGGAATCAAACTAGATGCAGAGGGAGGATCCCACTCTGTTGTCTGGCTTGCCTGTCGTCTAGACGAAAGAGATGAAGGTCTCCTCTAGTTGCCAGCAGCTTCTGAAGGCCCAGAGAGGGGGCCTATTAGCCCACTTCCTTATGGGAAACCCTTGAAGCTCAAGCCACCCACTCAGAGGAAGGGCACAGGCCACCACTCCCTTCACAGCTGCTGAAGGGTCATGGTTCAAGAAATCTTTGGTAGAATGACCATATCACCTAGCAATCCCACTGCTGGGTGTATATTAGAAAGAAAGGAAATCAGTGTATCAAAAGATATCTGCATTCCCATGTTTATTGCAGTGCTGTTGACAATAGCCTAGATGTGGAATCAACCCAAGTGTCCACCAACAGATGAATGGTTAAAGAAAATGTGGTATATGTACACAATAGAGTACTGTTTGGCCATAAAAAGAATGAAATCCTGTCACTTGCAGCAACGTGGTGGAACTGGAGGTGATTTATGTTAAGTGAAACAAGCCAGGCACAGAAAGACAAATATGGTATGTTCTCACGCACATGTGGAATATGCGGAAGCTAAAAAAAATTGATCTATGAAGATGGACAGTAGAATGATGGTTATCAGAGACTGAGAAGTGGAGTTGGGAGAGAGGAATAAGAGGGGATGGTTAATGGGTAGAAAAATACAGTTAGAAGAGAAAAGATCTAGTGTTTCATAGCACCATAGGGCAACCATAATTCACAGTAATTTATTGTATATTTCAGAACAACTAGAATAATGGAATTGGGATGTTCCTAACATAAATAATAAATGTTTAAGGTGATGGTATCTCATTACCCTTATTTGATTGTTATACACTGTATACTTGTATCAAAAAATCACATGGACCCCATAAGTAAGTACAACTATTATGTATTCATAAATTTTTTTTTAAAAAAGCTTTGGAAAATGCTGTCTTGTGTCAGTGGGGTATAAAACACTCTAAAACTAGGAAGGGCTCATTGTTTGCTTCCAGTATTTAGGGGATAATGAAGTAGGATCACTCTACCTATAGGCCACAAGAGAAAGGTCAGTATAACCTCTCAAGGTCTAAGTTCACTCCACCCATGATTTTTTACCTAAGAGTTCACTACAGCTGTGCAATAAAATTCCTCCTGGAGAATTCAGCTTAGAAAGTGAGAGCCGAAAGTCCATTTTTCCATTTTAAAGACCATTCTGTTATCCTCTCTGGTTGAATGCATGTCACTCCTGTCTCTGTATTATGGTGCAAACCACCATCTCTCTCTGGACCATTGCTACCAAATCCTCCTCGAAGGCCCAACTTCCACTCTGCCCAGCCTGATTCCTCCATCCACCCTGTTACCAACAGTTAGAATGCTGTCTTTGTAACACAAGTTGGGTTCTGTCTCTTTCTCTGCTTGTAATGCTCCAATGCCCTTCACCCTGAGACGGCTCTCCACTATGGCCATGAGGCCCTGCAAGGTTTGTTTCCTGCCTAAAATCCTAACACATTTCTCCCTCCTCTCCTCCTGTTAAAGGAGTCCCAGCTTTGCCGACCCTCCTTCCTCAGAGCGGGCCAAACTTGTTTAGCTTCGGTGAGGTTGTCTTTGCTGATCTTTCTCCCTGGAACTCGCTTCCCTCAGACTTCAAATGTCTCCTCCTCCCACGTCAAGTGAAGTAACCCCTTCCGCCTGCACCCCCATCTCATTACCCTGATCAGTTTCTTCTTCCTACTAAACACAGTGCAGTATCATCTTGCTGGGAACTTGTTATACTGTTTACCTTATGTACTGTCTGCCTTCCTCTTCCAGAGCAGAAGGCCCTTGAGAGAGAAACAGTCTGTCCTGCTGCTACCTCCGTATGTATCCTCAGAACCTGGCACAGCACCTGGCCTCAGTGGACACCCATAGAGTAAGTGCCCCATTTGCTGAATGAATAAATGGGTAAACCTTAGATAGATCTGCCTTCAGAGCTATAATTTGCTGATAGAAAATGTCACTTGAGGAATAAGGTGAAATTTTGTTTTTTCTGTTGCTCAGAATTAAATGCATATATTTTTTAGAACGTTTGCACTATTGCAGTCTTGGCCTCCCTCCCTGTTGTGAAATCATAAACAGACACTGAGACGCTCTCACCAGAGGAATCTTAAAAGCACGAGGCACAGTTTGTGGCTTCTGAGCCTAGGATGTTAATACTGGAAGTTCTTTCCCCTCACTCGTTTAAACGAGACCATAGCTGAGACTGAATTACCTTTACAGACACGTGAGGCAGAGGAATTCACAGAGGCTCTGCCCTCATATGACCGAGCTAATAGTGGACTCACAGAAGAATGCCTTTCTATTTTTCTAACAGCCCCCAAATACCCAATTCCCAACTGAATCAACACATTGAAGACTAGAACGACTTTCAAAGGCATAAGAGGCCGGGTGTGGTGGCTCATGCCTGTAATCCCAGCAGTTTGAGAGGATGAGGCGGGAAGATCACTTGATGTCAGGAGTTCAAGACCAGCCTGGCCAACATGGTTAAACCCTGTCTCTACTAAAAATATAAAAATTAGCCGGGCATGGTGGCAGGTGCCTGTAATCCCAGCTACTCGAAACGCTGAGGCAGGAGAATTGCTTGAACCCGGGAGGTGGAGGTTACAGTGAGCTGAGATTGCGCCACTGCACTCCAGCCTGGGCGACACAGTGAAACTCCGTCTCAAAAATAAATAAATAAATAAATAAATAAATAAATAAATACATAAATAAATGGCATAAGAAAGACACTGACAAAAAACAAACAGACCATTGGATGAAAGGGTATGTGGGAAGTTCAGATGGGAAGGGAAAACCTCCAGGTGAATTTAAAACTCAGGCAGTGGAGCTGCTGGGATGCTGCAGCCCTTTCTTGAGGTGAACTGAACACGTGAGGTTCCCAGGCATGCAGGGCTGCAAGAACTCGCTATGGAAGCCGGCATGCCTGAATGAATAGCCAACTGGATTTCTCAGGGCTCTCCAGTGGCAGAGAAACACTTAGGAGAGAAGAATTTTATGAGGCTTCATCCAAGCTAGAAAATGAATCCAGAAAAGGAGGGTGGGGGAAGCCTGGAATAAACACCTAGATGGATCTGAACTTCTAAGAGCTCAGCAGAAGAGATGACAGCTCCATCAAAGAGATGTTTGCACTTCCAGCCCTCATAGGCTGCATTTTGGGGATGAAGCTTCCCTTGTGGTTTTCATATCAGAGGGAATGTTTTCTTGGCAGGGAATGAAACAAGGAAGATGGCAGTTTTTCAGGTTATCTTTCAATGCACTGAACTTTAAATGTTCCGTAGATTTGTTCTTGAACAAGAAAAAGCATTGCTTTTGATGTTGGGGCCACAAGAAATCTGATTTTGCAAGTAAACCCTGGAATGATGGGCATTTGCTAACATCCTGCAAGGTGGGGGTTGTAAACTCAATATCCCCATCAATATGTGAAAGACTGGCTTCCACCTGGCTTGGCTGGGGACTTATTCATACCACTACTGAAAGTGGCAAACCACCACTATCCTCACTTCTGCTATCCCACCATCACCTCCATCACCCTCACTACCACCACCACCACCATCATTGTTGTGATAATAACAATCGGCGTTTACATAGCACCCATTGGCTTTAGAGGAACTTCCCTATATACACATAATATTCAATAAAGATCTCAATGTTCTTTCTGGCTTGCTACATGATTGAGAGTGTACTCCTGAATTGCATTTTTAAGTAAGTTAGAGCAAAGCTGTTTAAGCCTCTAAATAAGTTTGAAGAATTACATACACTGAAATTGTCAAGATCCCTGCCATTTTCTAAGAAGATTAAATATCAGAAACATAGTAAATTTTATGTTTTATTTTATTTTGAGTCCAGGGCACAATTATGTGCCATTGGAACTGTTTTGACATAAACACGCACACCCACACCTGAAGGCCTTTTGAATGATTCTCTTGGGCAAGAGAGTTAAAGAGAAACATGAAACTGAATAATAATGCAGTCGATCTCACAACTGTTCCTTAATCTCAGTGTATCATCCCAGACAGCTGGTGATGTGGCTACCCAGGGCAATGATAACTGCACATTGAAAGGGTCAGTTGAATTTGGTGTCATGACTAGCTCAGCATAATCAGTACAAATGGGATCCTCTGCCGAATGTCTAGACTCCAGGGACTCAGAATTCAGATTCACAGCTTTCTTTGTTCCTGTTCATCTACGCGGCAACATGTAAGGGGAAACAGTGAATGTGAATAGTAACCTAGAGTCCATGTAATGAGTTAGGTTCTCCCGTTCAGGAAACGTCTCAGGAGCAGCGCTGAGGTGTTCCCTTGTAGGGTCTGCACATGGAGGCAGAATGTGCTCCTGGGGGCAGGGATAAGAAACATCCGTTTATTATAGTTTTCTTTACGCAGCTGAGCAGAGTTAACACGGAAAACACTGCCGCTGGGGTAAATGCATTTGCTATTAGAAAAATTTATCTTCGCTGTCCTGGTTTGGAAGGCATTTTAATAAATCATCCAATTTGTCTGCTCTGCTTCCCTGCCAGTCTACACCTAAATACTACTGGAGAACTGCCTCCTGCTCTTCAGATTCCTCTCCTAAGAGGGTCTCAGTGTCTGCACGGCGCCCTTTGCGCCCCAGCTTTATGAATGCTCTAACATGGCCTTGTTCTATTAAAGGCTCTTCCTCATAGCCTATTTTCAGCAGGGACCCATCTCCATGCCCATGTGGTAAAGAGGATGTGGGGTCCCCGTTGAAAGGTCCTCAGGGCTCCGGCAGCTTTGCTTTTAAGGTATAACTCCCTCTACAGCCAGAGCCCACATCCTGCTTCTTGGAGGAGGGCCATCCAGGGAGAGGGTGAGGTATGGAGAGCTTGGAGGGGGCTGTGAGTGCCTCAACAGAAGCATATACAGAGTGTACAAGACGTACAGACTATACAGTGACTTAAGGGTAAGCCCTGTTATCAGATGGGCTGGGCATGGCACAGTGGAGGGGGCAGAGACAGATACCCACTGTACCAATTCTGGCCTCCATAGAGTCTTGGCTGATGAGAAAGGAAGGCAATGGCTGTGACTGAGATCGTGAGGGATGACGAGCGTGAAAGATGAATGCCTCCCCAGGGAATCTGCAGTCATCAGCTCTAAGGAAGCTTCTTTGGGATATGTCACGTAAGAGGTTGTATCATGGCAAGAGGGGAAAATATCTCAACAGCAGTTTCATGCAGTTCCCCTTAAATCCTCCTCCTGCCCTCCTCTTTCCATTCCCCGTCCCTCCCCTCCCCACTCCCCTCTCCTCCCCTCCCCACTCTATTCCCCTCCCCACCTCCCCTCCCCTCCCCTCCCCTTCCACCTTCTTTTCAGTTCCCTCCATTCCTAATGCACAGGGCCTAACTACACTGCCTCCATCGAGTCCCCTCCCCAGTGGGTGATGTCAATGAGGAAGAAATATGTGGGAATATTCTCTCTAATTTGAAAGAATATTATGAGCTGGGCAAACAAGAGGAAAGGACCGATAAAACATGGGTAGAAAACATTTTATCTTAGTTATGCCTCTATTCTTAGTCCCAATTCTTGGAAATCATCATTATCAAGCTCTCAAGTGACTGGACAGCTGCTAAGTCCTGCTCAGCAGCCAAGCGCAGCCAGCCCCGTGAAGCCTGATGTCCCATATCTCTGCCTTGTCGCGGGTCAAGCCACCAAGTTCCAGGAGGGGGCGCGCGAGGGGCGCTCACCTGTCATGGCATCTTTCCTGGAAGTGTGTTCGCCTTTAGCTCCGTGGTAGGTGGCGTTGCTGCCGGTGCACTCGTAGTCTGTTTTCCTTTCTTTGAGGCTGATCATTTCCCGAGGTGAAGCTGGGGCACTTGCTACATAAAGAAATCAAAAGGGGGATTTTCTGCATCTCATCCCACAGCGTGTGTGCCTTCCACACAGTCAGGGTCCTCACTATGCATGGTCCCGCATCTCAATGCCTACGTGAGGACCTGATGGGTTTTCTTTTTAATTTTTATTTTTTGGCAGTTTTGGCTCTTGTCCCTGCCCCATTCCCTCACCTGTGACAACTGATGCTTTATAGTTAGAGGGCATGTGATTTGGAGGCTGGCAACTGGGGACCACATCCTGGGGCCATCTTCCTCAGAGAGAGATCATGGAGGGGACGTGACCTGCCCAAGGTGTGTGGGGCAGTTTAGGAATGAGACTGCTTTTGGTTTCTTCCTTTCTCTTCTCTTTTCCTTCCCTTTCCTTCCCGTGCTCCCTTCCTTAATTAGATGTGTTTCAGAAGATCTATTACTGATATTGACTAATCCTTGATTAAAATAAATGCAGTTTTACTTAAACACTGAGTCACCTAGAAACTGCCTTTAAAAAAGTCAGAGGAAACAGCTCTCTACACAGGATGATTTGTGGGGCAAAAATAACCAAGCCCACAAAGACCTTCTTTGTCTGTGGCTGGGGTGGGCTGGGGAGGGGCATGGAGGCAGCTCTAGTTCCTGCTAGGGCATTCTTGCTCCAGCTTTTTGCATAAACACCCCAATAATCTCTGAGGCCCTCCTTACACCTCAGCCACTCACTGCCTGTCTGGCTGGGAGGCTGAGCCCTGCCGTTCCTCTTACACCCATTTCTAAAGTGCTGGGTTGTAATTGGAGGATCCTCCTGGGAAATTCCAGGAGTCCTTAAAAAACTGGTACTAGAAGAGAGGAAAAGCTGAACTCAGAGGCAAGGAAGTCAGTAAAAGGAGGTTGAATTTTCATGAGTGACTGAATGGATTGGCAGCAACTCAACCTTCCTGCCAGTGCAGAGGGGCACTGGGAGAGGTTGGCAGGAGCCATGCGTCTGGGTGAGGGGGCAGCTGGTCGCGCACCCCACCCTGTGGGCACCTGCAGCTGTGTCCAGCTCCGCAGGAGCTCAGGTGCCGTGTCCTTCTGTCAGGAAGCTCTCCCCAGCTCCCATAGCCCAGGGCAGTGCTTCAGAGCCTTGTTTACCCTCAACACTCACTTGAGAATTTATGGATGCCCAGAGCCCATCCTGGACCTTTTGAGTCTGAATTTTCAGTGACGGGCTTCAGAATCCATATTTACTGAGCATACTTGGTGACTATTAAGGCTAGGAATCCCTAGAGCACTCTGATTTTTAGGATAAATCTCTCTTTCCTTTGCTAGTGTCAAAGCTCCTCCCCAGCCAAACTTCAGTTTACCTTCGAGCTTATCATTCACACCCTCTGTAGGGTCTCTTTGCTCCTTGGGTCTGTGGTCCCCCAAGGCACCTCTCATGTCACTGAGTCATGTGATTCAGTTTGTCACCCTTATATCTTCTATGTACAAATTCCTGTGCTAGCCACTGTGCAAGGCAGACATGCAGATCACGTGGCTCTTCCTGAACTTGTGCAGCTCTCAATCGAGTAAGGAAATGGATGTCCAAATAAAGTAGAATGAGAGGCAGAAGTGCCCAACAGACGTTACAGCCAAGTGCTGGGAAGATAAACATGGGTTGTTGCCACCCTCTCAAACCTATCAAAATAAAATCACGCCTCAATGCTCAGCTCTTGAAGCCATCACGGGTTTTGGATCCTGGATGCCTATTAGAATTCATTACCTGGAATCCTTTAAAAAAAATACTGAGGCTTGAACCCCACCCAATGCCAGCTGGCCAGAAGTCCTGGGTACAAATGCAATGGCAGACAGGGAAGAAAACCATGCAGCTCAGACAGCTGCAGCACCTTCATCACTTGTAGGACAAGCCTGGAGCTGCAATGACTTGATCAAGGACTGAACCTCCCTGATCCACAGTGACCCTGTGTAGGTGGAGAGAATGCCCAGGCTCTGCTGTGAGGGAAGAGAGGTTCCAGGGGAGAGGACAAAGGCTGGGACTTGGGCCATCTCTGTCCCGAATGTGAATCTGGGGAGATGTGAGGGGCAGCCACTGTGTCGTATGAAGATTGGGGTTCTGTTGCTTGGAGAGGGAACCTCTGCAAGAACAACTGAGTCCTTAGCAAGCTCTGTGCCCTGTCACTCAACTGGGCTCTGCATCCAGTTCCTGTCTGCTCGCTGGTTCCTCGCTAACCTCTTCCACCTGCTGCCCCCTTCTCTTTGGTTCACCATCTTTCTCTTCCAGGAAAGTCTCTCTTCCTGCCTTTGCCCTTTTGCCTCTGGGTCTTCCCTAATAAAGGTTAGCCTTTTATGAGTTACTGCCACATAATCATGAAGGGACAATATTTTAAAACCTGTTGACCACAGCTTTTAAAATTAGAATCCAATATTGCCCAGATGGTGGTGTTTATTAAACCACATCAAGTGTGTAATTATCTCCTGAGACCTCACACACAGCGGTGCTCCAAGTCTCTGGTAAATCAGGATTAAGTTCTGGGAAAAATCAAATCACGCAAACAAGTGTTTATTAGGTGTCTGGATGTGCCTCGCCTAGGAAGTCCTGAGGCAGCGCACTGTCTGCATGGCTGGTTGAACACAGCCCTGCCTGCTCGCGAGAAAAGGCTGCTTCTCTCTTCCAGCCCTTGCCGATCCATCATGTCGTTTCATTCTCATAACACTGATTGGCTCACTGTAATTCTTAATAATCACTGCTTTCCAAAAGACACCATCCATATGCTTTCCACACTCCATGCGCTTTATCTTTTTAAGCCTGCTGGAATTACAGAAATAAGAGGCCTAAGAGGCCACCTCCATGCTTCTGAGATGGGTGGACGTTTCCACAGGTACAGGGGGTTCCTGATCGTCACCCAGGGTTGGACTAAATGTGATAAGCAATGACAGTACACTAGAAGGATCAGCTTTCACAGAGCTGGGAGCGGGCCATTTATTTCAGTCAGATATTGGCCATTCATTTCTCATCATGTTGACAGTAAAGTCTGGCGTGGAGTTCTGCAACCATCATTCTCGCGGGTAGGGAGACCACTTTGCTGGGCAATGCTCTCTACCAGGTCCTCCCAGGTGTCATTTCAGAGAATAGGATTTCCTCAGCAGGGAGAGGGCAGAGAAGAGTAGGAAGAAAGCTTTCATAAATAAGAGCCTACATAGCTGTCATCTGTGTGGGTGCATATAACTTGTTATCCATCTTTCACTCTCAGAACAAAATCAAAATGCAGAAATCAAAATAAAAGTTTTAAAAACTAAACTGTGAGGAAAACAGCAAATTTATGCCATTTATATTACTAAATGGTGTGTTCACATTTGCCTTTCATCTTTCCTCTGATTTTTGGCATTTCTTAATGTGAATTAAAAAGGGTATAAAAATCAAGTATTTTTACGAATACAAGAAGTTCAAAATTTAAGCAATAGGAATGTGACAAAATTAGAAAAAAATTAAATGGAATGACATGGAAGTTATAGTTGGCTACGATAATAATTTATCAGTGGCATCTGCCGGTTTATCATTAATAATGAAAAGCCAATTAGATGTGGAACAGTTATGAAAGCATCAGTGCTATGTGTCAAATGTATATCACACTGAAGGAAGAAAGCACATTTGGTCTCCTCAACTTTTTATCCCAATTATGACAAAATGCAACTCAAACTATTTTTATTTTATTTATTTATTTATTTATTGAGACGGAGTCTCACTCTGTCACCCAGGCTGGGGTGCAGTGGCGCGATCTCTGCTCACTGAAATCTCGGCCTCCCGGGTTCAAGTGATTCTCCTGCCTCAGCCTCCCGAGTAGCTGGGATTACAGGCGTGTGCCAACAAGCCCGGCTAATTTTTGTATTTTTACTAGAGACGGGGTTTCACCATGTTGCCCAGGATGGTTTCGAACTCCCGAGCTCAGGCAATCCGCCTGCCTCAGCCTCTTAACATGCTGGGATTACAGGCATGAGCCACCTCGCCAGGCCAACTCAAACTATTTTAAGTTGGAAAAATTGTCCACGGAAACCCCGGATTTGCAGACACATGACAGTTTTCTTTATACTCGTTCCTCCTGAATTCAGGTTCATTACGTGCATGTCATGCATAAGAACCTGTTAGAGAAGGAGATTTGCTCTGAGTCTGTGTATACAAAACACAGAGTGGCCACCACAGTACAAAGAACAGATTCATTTCCTACTTCTAGCGAAGGTCTGAATGGAAGGCTCTCCTCTGAGTACGGGTTGGCTCACGGACTGGGAAGGACCGTCTTTGCTCAACGAGAAATAAAGCCTGGCTGGCTAGCCACGGCAGCCTCTTACCTGAGCGGTTGTTGGGAGACACGCGCACAGGGGAGATGGAGGGCGTGCGGGAGGAGGAGTAGGGCCTTTGCCGGTCCCTCTCGATGGTTGAAGACGAGGCTACAAAGTGGTATTGTGACCATCCATCCTGCAAAACACAGCACGCTCCTGTTAGATGGGCAAGACAGAGTGATTTTTCACCTCCGGACATTTTTAAGTTCCAAGTATCTGGATTTGCATAATATTTCTATGGTGTGTCAGAAGAGGTTCTTGAAGTTCTGCGCTCTCATGGAGGTGAACAGAGCCAAATGTGAATGAAGACACACCTCCTTCCCTCCAGAGAGCCTGGCGGGTAGGGCCTGCTTTCCTTCATGAATGTTGAATAAATGGTCCCTTTACAAACCCGCTCTGGTCAGAAGCTTCGACTTCGATGAAAATACGATGCTCAGAATGTTAGGGGACCCGGAAACTGTCTATTTTTTGCCGACCTGGTTCCAGCTCTGCCTGGCTCCCTCTTCCGCTGCCTCAAGATTTTCCACAAGGGTTTACCCCTTTGCTCCCAGGACCTATCTGTTGGCAACCAGAATCCAGGGCAGCGTCCTCCCTTCCCGTTTACCTGCCTGTGTCCTTTCCAGCCCCAAATGCCCACCCTCGCCTGTCTCCAAGCTGGTCTGCTCCAGGAATGATATTTTTCAATATAGAGCATATTCAAAATGCATCCTACCAAGCCTCCGTTAGGCTTCTGACATCTAGTTAATATACAGAAAGCATCTATACTATTTTTCCTTATAAAAACCGCATAAATATATCACAGATTATTTTGTGAATTTACAAAGCATAAAGAAGAAAATAAAAATAGGTGGTAATTCCACCCTCTCCACCTGAGAGAACTCCTGTTAACCTGTCATGGTATTTCCTTCCAGTCTTTTTTTCTTTTTTAAATAGATTTTATTTTTATCAAAGTAACATGTTAAATAGTACTAACATTATAGCAAAGAAAAGCAGTCACCTGCTCCACCCCCAAATCCTCCTTTACAGAGGCCATTGCTTTCAATTCTTTTAGATTTTTTATTTTTTTCCCCTGACAACATTTAGACTTTTAAGGGGCTCAATGCTTTGTTCTCTTGGGATTGTTCAGAGAATCTTGCCACACAGTTAGCACCTAGTAAGTAAGCTGGGTAATATCTTTTAAAATCATGCACCTCTCATTCTGGCTTTATCCTATCAGTCAAGTAGAACAGGAATAACGAGAATTAGATACACAAAGATTAGTCTTGGTGTATCTAATAAGAATTAGGAACATGGAAATGAGTATGCATTTTGTTCTTTATTAATTCATCTATTTATGTTTTCAATGATTTTTGATAGAGTTTTGAGCCCCTTAAAAGTCTAAATATTATCAGAAAAAAAAGCTAAAGAATTGAAAACAAGTGCCAATGTAAAGTGGGAACAGGGGCTGGGACAGTGCCTGCTTTCCTTTGCTATAATGTCAGTAATATTGGACATATTACTCTAATGGAAATAAAACCAAACTAATGGATACCATTATCTGCATTCTACAGGAAGAATTTGAGCCTTCGAAAGTAAATAGGCCACCCAAAGTCAAACAATACACAAGTTACAAAAAACATATTAATACTAACGTGGCATTCTAACAAGTGCTTGGAAGGAAAAACCAAGCCGGATTAGGGGATAGACGAGCAGGGGCGGGGATAGAGGAGCGGGGTGGGGGGAGATGGAGGAGCTGGGACGGGGATGGAGGAGCGGGGGCGGGGACGGAGGAAGGGGGCGGGGATGGAGGAGCGGGGGCCGGGGAAGGAGGAGGGGGGCGGGGAAGGAGGAAGGGGCCGGGGAAAGAGGAGGGGGGCGGGGAACGAGGAACGGGGCGGGGAAGGAGGAAAGGGGTGGGGAAAGAGGAGCGGGGGCCGGGAAGGAGGAAGGGGGGCGGGGAAGGAGGGGCGGGGTGGGTATAGAAAAGTAGGGGTGAGGATGCTGGCATCTCTATTTTGTGGAGTGGGGTCAGGGAGGTGCTGTCGGGAGCCTTAACGTTGCAGAAGGACCTGCAGATGACAATTGAACCAGACCCTGGTGACACAGATCTTGGCTTCCCAGCCCACAGAAGAACAGATGTGAAGGCCCTGGGTGGGAACGGCTTCGCTGGTGTGAGAACAGGCTCCTGGGACTGAATAGGCGTGAGCAGGGGGCCAGGAAGACAGGAAAGCTCTGGGTGTCCAGGACAGTTTGGGGAGGAGTAGCCACAGCAAAGCTGCTTGGGAGGTCACTCCCCTGGACAGAGGAGAGATGGCCCAGGCTTGAAGGGTGCTGGTGGTGGGAAGCGTGCAGATCTGGTATCCACACTGGAGGGTTTGCTGGTGGCATGGCTATTGGTGTGGGAAAGAGGAATCAAGCCTTACCGCAGTGCTTCTGGTGTGAACCACAGGGGCCTGAGGTCCCCTTCACTGAGCCAGGAACAATGGGAGGGAGGGAAGCAGCTTTAGGGAGTGGAACTAGGACTGCCTCATGGGGACGTATATGGTTACCGAAGAGGGACAGAGAAGGAAGCAGGATCTGCAAACTGGGATCTCAGGGCTGGAGGCAGAATTTTGGACGTCAGCATATAGATATTATTTAAAGCAAAGAGAATGGATGCAAACCTGTAAGCGAATGCAAATAAAGAAAAGCAGAAGGCAGAGGCTGAGTCAGCCTGAGGACATTCCAATATTGAGAGGGGTGCAAAGAGTAGGGGAAGCTTCAAAGGAGACCAAGAAGGAACCCAGTGAACTACAGGAAGCATCAGGAGGGTGTGACTGTGGCATCAGGCAAGACCAAAGGAGCAATGCGTGAGGAGGAGAAGGAGACCAACCGAATACCGAGGAGGACCAAGAGCTGCCTGGTGGTCTGGGAGGAAGGAAGTCCTCGTGACGGGGACAAAAGTGCTTTCTTTGGTCAGGTTGGTAAATGTCTAACTCCAGCGGTCCCAAAAGATAATGAGAATTGGTGAAGGGGAGACAGTGAGTACAGACAAGCCTTTGGCAAAGTTTTATTTTAAACGGAAATGGAGAAATGGGCTTGAAGAGAGTGAGGGCTGGAGAGATGTTTTCATAGATCACCTAGAAGATATTGCAGTATTTCGTGTGCTGATGGGAATGACTGAATGCAGAGAAGGAAAAACCTGGGGACATAGGAGAGAAAGGGAAAAATGGCAGGAAGAACATTCTCAAGACAGGAAAGGTGGATAAGATTAAGTGAGCAATGGGGTCACTGCCCACAGAAACAGACTGTGGCCATGGACATGGGGAAGAGACTGGTAGATGGGGTGACAGGAAGATAAGGATATTCACTCTTGATTTTTTTGTTTTTTGCATTTTCTTATGGAAAATGAGAAGAAGTGAGGTCATCTGCTGAGAATAAGGAAGGGTTGGAGCTTAGAGAACAGAGAGAAGAGAGAAAGGGAAGGGAGGAAGGAAGGGGACGGGGATGTGGAGTGGTCCTTGAGTTGGGTGGGGAGCGAGCTGACTGGCCAGGGCAAGTGGCCGGGGTGCCGGACAGGGCTGGAGGCTGTGGCAATGAACCAAAAAGGAGCTGACTGGTCAGCATCCGTGTGTGCCTCTCTCCAGCCACAGTCAGCTGCCCTAGGGCAGGTGTGGAGTGGGTAGAGTTGATGGGTCATCAGGCAACTTGGAGAGAGACAAGGGAACGTCACGGAAGCTAAGCCCAGTAGGGAGGAAAATGTAGGTGCTAGAGACGATATGGAGAGTGTATATTGATCAGGGTACTGGTGGGCTTATGAGGGCCACAGGCTGTTGGGAGGATACTTCACAGGTGCTGGGGGTTTTCTTGAGGGAGGGGAGCGGAGATCCTTCTCAAAAGAGCAATGAGGAGGGGGCAAGAAAGACGACTGCTCCAAGAAGGACGTCTGTTCCACCTCCAGGGTGGGACACAAGGGAGGGAGGGTGGGTGGGAAATTAAACAGCCCTCGAGGAGGGGGCTCGGGGGGCTGTGTCCTCAGGGCCGACAGGAGATGAGCAGAAGAGGTTTGCGAAACGGACACAGGGGATTTTGCTGATTTATTTATTTATTTTTCTTTTGAGACAGAGTCTCGCTCTGTCACCAGGCTGGAGTGCAATGGCGTGATCTTGGCTCGCTGCAAACTCCACCTCCTGGGTTCAAGCAATTCTCGTGCCTCAGCCTCCCAAATATCTGGGATTACAGGCATGCACCACCACACCCAGCTAATTTTTATATTTTTAGTAGAGACGGAGTTTCACCATGTTGGCCAGGATGGTCTTGATCTCCTGACCTCTTGATCCGCCTGCCTCAGCCTCCCAAAGTGTTGGGATTACAGGTGTGAGCCACTGTGCCCGGCCAATTTTGCTGATTTTTAACCACAGGTTAAAGAGGGAAAAGAAATGGGAGGTGGACAGAAGACAGGTGGAATATATGGGGGATAACTGGCTGCTCAGAGCCTTTGATCGAGGGGTCCAAGTAATGATGGTCGTCCCAGGAGGCTTGGGTGATTGTGACAGCTGAGGTGATGAGAGATGAAGGGTGTAAGTTACAAATAAATGCCTCCTTAGGGAAGGGTGGGGGTGGTAGGTAGGTATCACGGCAGGAGAAAATGTCTCCACTGGAGTTCTGTGGGGTTCTCTGAAATCCTCCGGAGGGTGGAGGCAAACACAGAGGAGGAGCAGTCTTACCAAAAACACGTTCAGGATGGAAGATATTTCAACAATGTATGTGTCCATTACTTATGTATGGGAACGATTAAAAACATTTTTTTTAGGCCAGGAGCGGTGGCTCACGCCTGTAATCCCAGCACTTTGGGAGGCCGAGGCGGGCAGATCACGAGGTCAAGAGATCAAGACCATTCTGGCCAACATGGTGAAACCCCGTCTTTACCAAAAATACAAAAATTAGCTGGGCGTGGCAGTGCGTGCCTGTAATCCTAGCTACTCGGGAGGCTGAGGCAGGAGAATCACTTGAAGCTGGGAGGCGGAGATTGCAGTGAGCTGAGATCACACCACTGCACTCCAGCCTGGCAACAGAGCTAGACTCCATCTTAAAAAAAAAAAAAAAAAATTTAAATCCCTGTCTTTTGAAGGAAATGCTTTGTAGAGGGCAGAAGTCCTAAATATGACTGAATGGGGACAGATCATTTTATGTTTGTCTCATTGCAATGTAGAAGGTGTGCTTTGGGATTCCAAGTAGTGGCTCGGGACAGTCGTTTAGTCAAAACCTTGGCTTCTTTGGCTATGAATGTGATGATATTCTGTGTGGTATTAAAGGTGAACAAGGTACTTTACAATGTGAATATTGGCTAAATATTTATTATGTTCTAAGACCTAAGGACACACTAGACCTAAATGTGGCACAGCTGTAGGACTGGTTTCACTTGGTGAGACATCAGTAGGTTTGTTAGCATTGCTCTCTTATGCAGGTGATTGGAGATATGTGTTGCTCAGCAACTCAGATTTCATGATGTTTAGACTATACTGCAACCATTTAAGTATTTACATTTCTGGAAATGTCAGAAAACTGAGTGTAATAACAAAATTGCTTACAAAGGAACTCCTATATGGATGCACTCAAAAAATTTTCAAATCCTTCATAAAATCAAATATGGAAAATGCAAATGCCTGGCAGAAGTGTGGTCCTGCAGGTAACTTGTCTGTATGTGATTGGGTTAGTATACAACTGAGGGTGATGACAGCGGAGTGTGGTGGGAGAAACGGAGAAGCAATCCCTGACTCAGACCCTCTGAGGATGGCCAGGGACTGCATGCCTGTGGGTATAGGCACTTTGAATGGAGGGGAGAAGGGAGCTTAAGGAATGGGGCAGAGTAAACACCCAATAAATATCTTCGTTAGAGCTGTTTCCTGACCCACAGCTCAGAAGCCCCAGGAGGAACAGAATACCTTCTACACTGCAATGAGACAAACATAAAATTTGTGTGCTGTGAGAAGAGGTGATCTTCTCCATCTCCCCTCTCTCATTCATCGATGCAGAGTGAAGGCTACAGTGACTAAACTGCACAACTTCAACACTGCTATGCTCAACAATGCCCAGAAAGGACTTTAAAACTTTAGTTCCGATGCCACATACAGTTGGCCCTCTGTATCTGTGGGTTCCACATCCATGGATTTCACCAACCTAGGGTGGAAAATATTCCAAAACATATTGTCTGTACTGAACATGTACATGTTGTTTTTTCTTGTCATCCTTCCCTAAACAATGCAATTATTTTCATAGCACATTGTATTAACATTACATATTATAATTAATCTAGAAATGATTTAAAGTTTACAGGAAAATGTGCGTAGGTTATATGCAAATACTGCACCATTTTATTAATACAGCCGGGACTTGAGCATCTACAAATTCTGGTATCCTTGGGAAGTCCTGTAACCAATTTCCCACAGATATAGAGGAGCAGCTGCCAAATGTCATGGAAACTCATGGAACACTAGATGCTAGAGGCTAGGGTGCAGCTGGCCCATGGCATAGATCAATCACCACTCATTACAAACACCTTGAGCACAAATCTCATGGCCTTCCTCATCTTTTATTGTATAAAATCTTTAGTCATTCAATTAAAATAATGTTTCACTTTTTAAATAAGAAGGGAAAGTTATTGCTAAGCTGACATTCCTTCTATTCCACTAGCCATGTATATTTTTGTTATCTAGCCAGCTAGCAATCAATCTATTATTCATTTGCTTCCCACTGTCACTCAGAATGGCTTGGAGGTGGTTCACATAAATATATACAACTCGGGCACATATCATTTCAATCATTATTTGCCTCTTTAATCACTGTATTTTCTTGTTAAAATATCAACTTATTGTAGGCCAGAGACTTCTTTTGTGAATTCTGTTATATTGGGCATTTTACCTTAGCTCTTCTTTGCACCACCTGTACAGCTCATAGGGGTTAGATAAGAAAGCCCAGGGAAGAAGCAGGGAGAGTGAAGAATCACCACGGTAACCGGGGAAGGGCCATGAATCCTTCCTATTGATGATAAAGAACTCTTTTACTATCTGTCGTTCACCTTCAACAGACTGACCCACAAGTTGTGCCCTTCAGCTGAAGACGCAGCTAAGCTGTCAAAAATGTGATATGATATCTGTGCCTCAAATTGGTTTTTATTTTTAACACATTACACTTAAAACTGGAGGTTGTTAAATTGTTCCAAGTATATAGAGATAGAAATCCAAAAAAGAAGATGAGTTCAAAGTCACTGAACTTTAAATTGCCACCAGGAACAATCTGATGTTCTTTATCTTACACCCTTTAGCTGTCCCTCCACCACTTTCAGCCTCTGTGCTCAAGTTTTCAATGTGTTTCTTATGAAACTTTATTATTCCCCAAAGCTACAATCGTCCATACGGGCATTTCCAATGTGCACGACAATCGGGCGATGTTCATCCCCACAGCCCCACTACCATCGGTCTTCACGGTATTTCTAGGACGTGGTCAGTCTGTTTAGTTGATACAGGTCTTCTTTTTATGGATTTCGACGGCCCTGAATCTATAACACTCTCCATTTTATATTTCTGAACATCCTGTAAACATCGCCAAGAAGAATGTATTAGTAGAGAGACTTCTACTAACAGTTTGAATGAGGGGACTAAGTAGCTTTCATTCGGACTGGTCTACAGGAGGTTAGGACAACACACACTTGAGCCACAGCTTCTTATTCTAGAAATTGTGTGGCTGAGCGCAGTGGCTCACGCCTGTAATCCCAGCACTTTGGGAGGCCGAGGCGGGCAGATCATGAGGTCAGGAGTTTGAGACCAGCCTGACCAACAGGGTGAAACCCCGTCTCTACTAAAAACACAAAAATTAGCTGGGCGTCGTGGTGGGTGCCTGTAATCCCAGCTACTCGGGAGGCTGAGGCAGGAGAATCGCTTGAAACCGTAAGGCAGAGGTTGCAGTGAGCCGAGATTGTGCCACTGCACTCCAGCCTGGGTGAAAGAATGAAACTCTGTCTCAAGAAAGAAAAAAATGTGCACGACATTCAGTTCAGATGAGCACAGGAGTTTGTTAGCTTTGTATGCAGGGGATGAGCTAGAACTGTCTGGCAAGGCTCAAAACTATTCTCATGAATATCTTTTCACTACTTGGCTTGCTAACCCTGGGTGTCTCAGCAGATAGAGAGGTGGAATTAGAGAGCTGTCAGGAGTTGGCCCTTCTCTCACAATTACTGGTAAGCTCCATCTCAGCTTCTTTTCCACACATTAAGGGCAATGTGACTCATCAGGCTGGGGAGTTTTAAAAATAGTAATGCCTGGGCCCCAGCCCTGAGGTTCTCTTTAGGTTATTCCGGGTAGGGCCTGGGTATCCTTATTTTCAAAAGCTCCACTCCTCCCCCAAATGGATGCTAATGAACAGCCAGGGCTGTGAACCATTGGCTTGGGGTTTCTTTGCATAGGTGTCAGTGACAAGTTGGGGCACATTTTTTAAAGTGCTAAATCCCAGGAGGCCCTTCAGTCTCCATTCCCAAGGTTGACTTCTATAGTAACAAAACAGGTCAAAATCTCAGGCCAGAGAGGTGCCACACACACTGAGCCCCAATCACACCTGATCACCCAGCATGCACTGCTTATGAGACTCAATTTCAAACATCCCCACCTTTGATCAGGCAGCTCTATGACATAGCAGGGCACCTTGTCTTTTTCTACCTGTTAAATCTTATCCTGCTTGGTTCTGTATTAGGCAAACAGGAGGCAGGTAATGCATGTTCATTCAATTACTATTGCCAAATAAATTATGCCACCCTGGTTTGGGGGGAGTTTTCAGTAATGCAACCAGTTTTCTTTCCATGATAGTAATAAAATGCTTTTACATCACAATACAGACTTTAGCAATGCAGGCTGTCTCCCTAGCTGTGAGGCAGCAAGGGTGCCTCATTTATTTCTGAAGCCGTGGTATCTAGCATAGTACCTGGAACACAGAGGTGCCTAATCAATGCTAGCTGGAGTCAATGATTTAAGATGACAGTATTAATTATTGTAAAATGAAATGATAATCAATTTCACAGGTTTTATAGCTAGCATCCACGGTTCTTACACTCTATTCTATAAGAAATAAATACATTCAGAGCCTTAGAACCTTTTTCTTTTAATTGTAGCTCAGAGTAACCTCATCAGAATCATCTTCTGCTGTTGGTAGATCTGTCTTTTATGACATACTCGCAACTGTGCTAAAGGTAGTGTTAGCTTAGGTAAAATAGTACCTAACAACAATCACAAGAAAAGTGGCCTTTGGCTTGCCTGCTCTATTTTAAATGGTAATTCCTCTCCACTGACCATGTTTCAGTGTGAGTACATACAATTGCCTCCTCTTTAACCGGTCTGGAAAATAATTTTGAAGCATCATTATCTCTGCCACCTCTGGCCCCTGGGTGGGTGCTGACTCAGTTGGAGCACACAGCTTGTCCCTCCACCTCCAGTGCTTCTTGCCCCATGGAGCTCAGAAGAAGATACAGGTACCTGCCCATGGCAAATGCATTCAGTTCCCCACAAACACAGATCCATAGGGGAATCAGGAAACAGGATAAAAGGGGAGAGTATATTACCTTTCTCATTAGCTATGCCCCAATTCCTTTTAGGGCTGGGTACAGCAGTCCACACCTGCTTCCAGAATGTGCCTACTAAACTGAAGGGGTTGGTTTCTGGATGGGTCACCTTGTGGGAATATTACTGGGTAGGGAACAGTGATGACCAGTGGTGCTCCAGAAAACATGCAGAGCATGTCAATAAGAGAGTGGAGAGAATTTAGATGTGGTGGAATGAGAATGACCCATGTGTTCTGAGGCTCCCGCCTCCCTCTATGAAGGGACATCCTGCCATTTTGAGTTGAGCAGGTGAGAGCACCCTACTTCTGCTGAATCACAGAAAGGATGGAGAAGGATACTCCTTGATGGAGGAGGAGGAAAGGGGATTAGGGAGAGAAGTTGGCTCATTCCATGTAATAGAGTTTAGAGAGAAGGTGGGAGGGGAGAGTGAATATTTCAAGGGCTGCTCAAATGAAGGTTGAGTGGATTTGGTGATTATGGGGAGAGAAAACAGGCTAAATACCAAATCCTCATTAAGGTGTTTCAACAGATGAGATTTAGCAGAAAATGGAATTTTGAGTTACGTGCATGGTGGCTTCTGACCCTGCTCCTGGAAGACAACTTTTAGAAACTTGACCCTGATGGGGTGGAGGGTGACCCAGTGAATAGCCACAGCTGTGATGATATGGTCAATGTTGATGTTTCTATTGATAATTTTGTTTCCAAAGAGAGTTTTGGAAACTTTGTCTTCTATCCTTAGAAGTTAGATTCATCAACTATTTTCTTATAAGAGACTTCTCTGACCCAGGAGCTTCAAGAAATAATTAACTTTGAAAATGAACAATGCTTGTTTATTTCTACTGGGGATATTAATTGGAACCCAAAATAATGACTAGGACACTGTTGGCCTATGTATGGCCTTTTTCTACCTGTTTTTTAAAAAGTTCTGGAAGTTTTTTAATGTAGCAAGATTTGGCCTCTAAGCGAGGATTCCTCAGTGGCCATACACAGACTATTTGGTACTGAAGTCACAAACACAAGCTTTTCACCTTAGCTGTCCTTGAAGGCTCTACAGCCCACAAAGCTTGTCAAGTCTAATTTTTTTTTTAAGTGACTTGAGATATAAAGAAAAGTGTGGCAAAAATCTGTTGGGCTTTTAGTAACCCAAGCTCACCCATGCACCAGCCTGTAACACTCAGGGCTTAGTACTTACATTCACAAGCAAGACTACTTCGCTGGGGACCTATTTTTCAGATGAAAGTCAAAACAGAAATCATTGCCTTAGGTAACCAGCTAAGACATTAATGCTCACGTATCAGAAGCCTGATTGTTCAAAATTGTACCAGTTTTCCAGTCATTTTTGAGTGGAAGAAACCTATTAATGTAATCACATTAAGCAGAGAATGAAAATATTTCAAATTAGTGGCATTTACACATACACTTCCTTCTTATTTCAAGAAAAGGTATTAAATACAATAAACTGAAGGTAGAATATTCTGATGCACAGTCTGTGTGACTAAAGACCAAGCCAGATTTTGCTTAACTACAAAACCTTCTGCTCCTCTCTGCTGTAATAAAACAAGCTCCCATCTATTTTTAAGGTAAACTGTTTGTTAAAGATTCATTAAAACTAATTCCATCAACAATTCCAAGAGCTATTAGAGTTAAATATTTAAACTAAATTTTAAGGGCCAAAAGGGAGTATTTGCAGTTTAATGTACAAATAAATACCACCTGACATACCAGTTGCTGTCATTAGTTTGTTTCAGCTCTGTTGCTTCTAATGAAATTTAATTAAATTGATTTGGATACTTAAAGGTACAGTACGTATAAGCATAAGGATCTTGTGCAACACCATCTTTTAAAAGCAAATACTGTGTAAATCTGTTTTAGGAATTCAATTTACTGCTACTGGGCTAATTCTAAAGAACCAGTGTAACCAAGAAGATTTGAAAAGTTGGAAAAAATGTATATGATTTAGTAGAAGAAAGTATACCATTGTTAACCGCTAGGAGTTAATAGGTACCAATGGAATGCAAAAAACCAAAACAAACAAAGAAACGAAAACACCTGGGAAATTGAAATAAGACCATATCAGTCCTCTTACCTCCCTGGCTTTGCTTTTGAGGCCTTAAAACAAAGATCTGACTTGGATGAGCTTTAACAATGTCCTCTGTGTTTCAATTAGTACTGCAAAGTTAAGTTCAGGATAAAACTGAACAGTCCAGTCTTCAGATTTAGGAATACAAATGTCTAGCTTCTAATATGTCATTTGAGCATTTGAACAGTCAGCTATTTTACATATACACTCATCACTGGGGAACAAATTCGATGTTTACGCTGGGTCTCAACTTCAAGTTCTCTATATTCCAGTCTCCTTCAAAATGCTTCTGACAGGCCGGGCGCAGTGGCTAATGCCTGGAATCCCAGCACTTTGAGAGGCCGAGGTGGGTGGATCACCTGAGATCGGGAGTTTGAGATCAGCCTCAGCAACATGGAGAAACCCTGTCTCTACTAAAAGTACAAAATTAGCTGGGCATGGTGGCACGTGCCTATAATCTCAGCTACTTGGGAGGCTGAGGCAGGAGAATTGCTTGAACTGTTTCGTTTTTGCAGAGGTTGCAGTAAGCTGAGATCATGCCATTACACTCCAGCCTGGGCAACAAGAGTGAAACTCCTTCTCACAAAAAAAAAAAAAAAAAAAAGAAAAATGCTAATGACAATGTGAATGGAAGCAGAGTCACTGAACATGCCCTCTGCTAGGCTTACACTCTGGGGTAGCTACACTGGTGCTTTTATTCAATAAAAATTAGTAAGTAGCTAGCACCATGCTGAGCACAGGGCAAGAAAAGAGAGACTGGCATGGTTGTTGAGGGGAAGATGAAGGAGAAACAGGTGTTCAGACATGATCACATCAATAGCCAGGCTGTAAGAGCCATGAAGGAAAAGTACAGGTTATTGGGAAGGACTGCTATTAGCCTTAGAGAGCTGGGGAAAGTCAGGAAGTTTTTCTGGAGGGTGTTATAGTTACACTGGGGCAGCAATAACCAGGATTGGAGGCAGAGAAGGGGAGGCATTCCTGGGGGAGGAATTGACCTGTGCCCAGGCAATGCCAAGGCTCTGAGGTGGAAACTGCTTTGTACCTGCAGAGGAAGAGCAAGGGGAAGCAAGAACAGCGTGGCTGAGGCAAAGCGATCGCAGGCAGGGTGGACGGAAGTCAGCGCAGGGAGGTGAGCAGGACTTTGTGAGAAAATGGAAGGTACTGAAGAGTTTTAATCAGGAGAATGGCCAGGTCAGATCGGGATTTTTAAAAGTATATTCTGAATGCTTAATGGAAAATAGACTGAAGATGGTAACGTTGATTCCAGAAAACCAATTAGGCAGTAATATTGTACCAGGACCAGGGACAGATGATGATGGAAGTAAGGATGGGAGACATAGTTGGGTATGGGAGATATTTAGGAAATATATCATCAGGGTTTGTGAAAAATAGAGTGGAGATAAGAAAGAAGGAAGTATTAGTTGGATAACTCTCAGATTTCTGAAAAGAACAACAAGGTGGGTTGGGTGCTATTTACTGAGATGGGCAACCACGGAAGAAGAATAGATTTAGGGAATATACTGAGAGCTAAGCACTGGATGTATGGACAGTTACAGCTGATGAGCCATCTAAGTGCAGATGTCATGTGGGTAGTTGTATGGATGGGTTTAGTGTTAAACAGTGAAGACCAGATAGAGAAATAAATGTGGATACAAACTAGTCTTCAAATGCATTTAAAAACCATGGGAGCAGGGTGCAGCAAACCACCATGGCATCTGTATACCTATGTAACAAACCTGCATGTTCTGCACATGTATCCCAGAACTCAAAGTATAATTAAAAAACAATTGTCTTAAGATGGTAGTGGTTTGTGAAGGGATCTTGCCTATATGCTGTGAAGTTCTCATGAGACAGGTTCTATTAAAAAAAACAACAACAAAAAAACCATGGGAGCAGATGAGATCATCTACATTAGCAGGTATAGGGTCCCAAACAAGGATGTTGCAGGGAAGACCAGGACCAGGGTATTGGCAAAAAAGACTGAGAAGGGGCGCTTTCCCACATAGAGAAAAATAAGAATAGTGACAAAGCAGCCAGGGAGGAGGCTGTTTAACAGAGAAAGATGTGTCAGGGCCTCCCCAGTCCATGCCCTTTTCTTCCTGGATGCCCATCTAGACCACATGTCCCAGCCTCTCCTTGTGGCAGCCTTTCACACCCACGTGATGGAGATCTAGCCAATGGAGGTGAGGCAGTGGGCATGTGTGTTGCCAGGTATAGCTGCGGCCCTTACGGCGTGCCAGAGCCACAGATGGAAGGAGGAGTCTGGGTCCCGAGTGCCCACATGGAGAAGAGCTGACCCATCTACTTGAACACCTGTCCAGGATGACTACAGGAGCAAGAAAATAAACTTTCGTGTAGTTGGATCATTAGATGTTTAGGTCTGCGTGTTACAGTGGGGAGCCCTCCCTAAGTCACACAGGCAATGAGACTCGTTGGATGCTCCAGTTAGGAGCCCTTTCCGTGGAGGCATGAGGACTGACTGCTAGGGGTTGATGAGCACAACAGAATGTAAGAAAGGCACCATGAATGAACTCCAACCTTCCTAGAAACCTCATTGTGAAGGCTGGACCATGGGAGAGCAGAAAGTGAGAAGGCAGAAGATGGAGAAGGATGGGGAGAGGACATTTCTCAAACATCGTAAGATAGAAGCACGAAGAGCATATGTATCTCTAGGGGAAGAATGACCAGAGGGAGAGGATGAAGAAACAGGAGGAGGAAAATGGACAATGTCAGGAGAAAACGACTTAACAAGAGGCCTGGACCATAAATAGGGAATAAATATATATTTCTATTTTAAAATAGAACCCAATAAAAGTAAGCACAAAGTGAAACAATCAAGAAAAAATTGCTAAAACGCATGCCACTGTGTAACTGGGGAAAGGTAACCCAATGTGGATGTATCCACTTCAGAATTTCCAGAACCTAGAAGGGAGCAGATGATCCAGCAGGTACTCAGTAAATATGCATTGAAGGTACGAATGAATGTAAGCTACTAGGAGTGGCCATTTGCTAGTAGGATTGACAGGACTGCTCTAAGAGGAATCACATGGTATTAAGGAGAATAAGAAAATGGGGGTACTATCGCATAGACTGGCATAGAGAAAAACCCAATTGCTGTATACTTTTATTTTATGCTACATACCTTACCAGCGGCCAATCTGTCATCTGGTTAAATGGAGCACTGGCGGTGAGGACGGCATGAACAGCTCTCTCAGAGCAGTTCATGGGAACTGTGAGTTCACTCAGCTTTAACCTCGGGAACTGCTGGCAGCCTGTCACGGGCACGTGGTTATGACAGGACACGTGGCAACAACAAGAAACATCTGAGACAGTTCCACATTCTGTGACCTCACTTCTTCCCTTGGTTGTTGCTAATGTTCTTATATTGTTCCAGCTACAAAACGGAGTCTGAAAACGTACAGTTCTCTTTCCATCGAACTGGCTGGCCTCCCTGCATAGGGCAAAGGAGTCATGGACTTGGGGCCGTTTTCAAGGTTGAAGCCAATTGGTAATTACTGTGGAAGTATTTCCAACGAAATGACAGCACTGTGGGATCTCCCAAGAATGTGGCTTTTATAAAAACTGGGCACAGATACTCAAAAGGAGCATTGGTGCTGTTGCACACATAGCGTGGATGTCCACGGAATGAACATCTCCGTAGCCTTTCTTCACTTTCGCACCGTGTAATGAAACTCGGCTTTTCAGTTAAGCCCCTAGACAGGGAGATGTGGGTGGCCACTTGATTAAGAACTGGAAGTATTTACATTCTTGTCTCTAAAAGAAAAAGGCATGCCCTCCCTGGCTCTTTTCCATTCCAGTTGTTTGGAATGTGGGCAAACTGATAGCCAATGTGGATAATACAGATGAGGGCAACACTCCAGAGGTGGTGAGCATGGAGTTAGGAGGAGCCAAACCCCTGGCTCTGGCAGGCGTTATATCAGACTTTGATCATTACACTCAGGCTTTTATGTGAGAGGGAGTGGGAGACTGAATAATACTGCCTCCCCCATAGAAGATGTCACCATCCTAATTCCCAGAACCGGTGAATATGCTACCTTAAATGGCCAAAGGAACTTTGCAGATGTGATGAAGTTAAAGACCTTGAAAGGGAGAGATCATTCTGAATATCCCAGTAGGCCCAATGTCATCTCAAGGGTTGTTCCTTATAAGAGAGATTTGGGGGGTCACAGAGCAGGCAGTACGACAACATAAGCAAAGAAATTTCAAAGATGCGGTACTGCTGCCTCTGATGGTGGAGAAGGAGGCCACCAGCCAAGGAATGCAGGCAGCCTTTAGAAGCTGGAAAAGGCAAGGAAACAGATTCTCTAGAAAACTTGTAGATAATTAAATACTGATGATAAGGTAGTATGCCAGGATGTTAATGTAATTTTCTTATCGTCTCTGTTCTGGCTAAGGTCCCAAGCAAGGCAAAGAATAATAGATGCCCCCTTGCCCCACTTTCTCGAAGTCTTAGACCTTCCACTCGGAGTTGCAAAAATGGTGGACAAAATAGGGTTCTGCAGTATTAGCATATGACTCAACTCCAGATTATATAAGATTAGGCTGAGGGTGGAAGCGGCTGGTGGTGAGAACTTCCTTGGAAGTAATCAATTGGTTGGGGATTCCTCAGCCTCCCTCTCCAGAAGCCCAGGGAGTGGACTATGTAAAGACCTTCACCATGAGCTCCCTGAAGTTTGGGGGTGGCAGGCCTGGTGTCTTCAGTGGCATTAGCGGGGCAATACAGAGATTCAGTGCCAGAGGTGAACTGACCATGGAGCCATGAACTTTCATGCCCGCCCATCGCATGGGCCCCTTCCAGGGTCTGTACCTAATTTTATATTCATAAAGTGTACTCTTCTTCTTAAATAGGACTTCCAAAATGACAAAAGCTACAGGGGCACAAAATTTGTATCTTCCCTGGTCTGTGTGTAGTCTGAGGCTGATTGAGAATTCTGAGGCGGATGGCTGTGGAGGTCAGGCATCCCCAGTTGGGAGGTCCTTGGTTGCAGGGTGGTACTTCTGAGCAACCCACCCCACTGCCCTCATGAGAGATGGAGCTAGCCAGCAGACATCTCCCATGGGCAGAGTGTACCAGAGCCAGGATATAACCAAGATGGTCAGGTTCTGCTCTCCTCTCCTTGAGTCTCCTTTCCCACTTAGCTCAACCTCATTGGGAGGCATTGAGACAGGGGAAGCCACAGCTTATGAGAAGGGGAGGGAGAAGAGATGGAGCTGGGAAGAGAGAAGAAACTGATCACGCTGTCTCTCAAGCACACCGAGTTCTCAAAGATGTGATATCACCCAATCTACTGGATCCACCAGAAAACGAGGGAGTAAGTTTGAGTTAATTGCCCCAAAGTAAGTGAGAAGAATGGATGTAGACTTACATTAAACTTACTGAGTTTACTAGCTCCTGATCTGGTCCTTTGATTCTGCCTTTTGTCTCTGGGGTATTTTTGTAGGGTTTGATTCAAAAATGTTACGAGCGAAGCCTTGTGAAATGGTGGAATTATAGAGGAAGTGTTTAGTTTGGGTACTGCTATATGGGATTTCCCCTGACTTGGGGATCTATCCCAGCAACAGCTGTAACTTAGTGACTTCTTGTTTAGCAACTGCCATGTGCATTGATTTCCACTTTTGCACAATTGATTTTTGCTTCTTTTCCCATTTGTGCCTTTGCTTTTGGACAGATATCATATGAGTGTCTGAGAGTTGTCTCAGAGAGGTCAGGAGACCTTGTGAAGAAAGACCTTCTTTGTCAATACCAAACATCAACAAGTAAACGTCCAGATTTATGAAGGAGACAGTATGGTAGCTGAGTTTAACCTTAGCCTTTTTGTTTTCTACCCTTACTTGACATCAAGTGATTTAGAAAAGAAAGAACTTGAGGAGCTACAATTGCAAACCTTGTGGACACTAGCCTTGGGTTGTTTTAAAATCTGGCTGAAAGTCCTTATGTTCTTCCAATAATCTGTTGTTGAAGAATTTTCCAGCACAGTAGGAAGATTAATAAATTCCCATTAAGCAATTTCCTTGATAAAATGACAGCTCTACATTTGGTAGTTTATTTCTATAGAGGATTTACTGCTTTTTCATCCCTATCTTAGATACCCAGAAAGTAGAATCTATTAATTCTCAAAATGGCAACATATTGGAAGACATATTAAAGCCCTTCAGTATTCCTCACCCTTCATACTGCAAAGCTTAAATAAAATTATGAATTTTGACTATATTGTGTTTTTCCTCGACAATATTTCAAAGTATCTTTCTAATTCTCACTGGAATCTGGTATTGTTTTTCAAATGTCCAGCAGATGAGGGTGATGGAGTAATGTTAAACATGAGAACATGACTTCAGTTTGCAGGGCCATGGCTACTGGCTCATCTATGTAGAGTGGTCAGTCTCCCACAAGCAAGCTGCGAAAGATGACAAAAGGCTGTATTCACTCCTTCATCCACTCTGATTTGGACATGTGAGGAAATCTACAGGCATTCCCTTACCCATCTATAATTACTTATTGATTTCTTGTTTTGTGAGTGCAATGGCCGCAAGAGCCAATGAAATGAATCCAAGAGCAGTAAGGAAAGAGAGCCTGGTGTGAGACAGGCCATGAAGGGCATGACTCCACTCCCATCAAAGCTCATTCTTCACTTGCTGTGCAACCCAAGAGTCTATCTTCTCTGACAATAAAAGGAAGGACATTGAAAGATTAGTTTTACGTTTTCTTTCTCTCATCACGAAGGCAAGAGTGAATACAGTGTCTCTATTCAGAGAAATATGATCTTACTCTGTTTCAAGCACAGGCAGTCTGGCATTCTTCAAGACATGAGCTCACTGTGCAAGATAACAACATTGTGTGTGGGGTGGAGTGGAGGGGGGCACAACCATAAAAACACCAGACCACTAATATTAGGAGGGATAATGCATCTGGTTTCTAACCCCATTGCTTGTCAACAAGAGGTTGGGTCTGACGTCTGATCTACCTGTGATTTGATCCATACGCTTAGGAACTATGGATTTTATTTATTTTTTATTTTTATTTTTTGAGACAGGGCCTCACTCTGTCACCCAGGCTGGAGTGCAGTGGTGTGATCTCTGCTCAATGCAGCCTCCACCTCTTGGGTTCAAGCGATTCTCCCACCTCTGCCTCCCGAGTAGCTGGGATTACAGGCGGATTGCACTGCCACACCCGGCTAATTTTTGTATTTTTAGTAGAGATGGGGTTTTACCATGTTGGCCAGGCTGGTGTTGAACTCCTGACCTCAAGTGATCCGCCTATCTCGGCCTCCCAAAGTGCTGGGATTACAGGCATGAGCCACCATGCCCCGCCTGAACTATGGATTTTAATTCATTCGGAGAGATACTGAGTGGACGCTGTTCTCTCTGAAGCACTTTGAGATTCTTAGAGCAAAATGAGCTTCAGGACCATAAGCTGAACATTGGAAAAATCATCTACCACTTTAACAACAGGGACTGCCCTGACCCTTTCCATAGTAACTTTACAGGGTCTGTTTGAATGGCCTGGCTTGTCTTCCAGGCAAGCAGTCCACGGAGAGGCAAGGGCACGGAAGCATGCAGGTAGCATCCCCTCCATTCTGATCACCAGCTTTCAGCACCTAGCACTCTCTGTTGTAAACATGGGACTCTGTTTCCTATAGGAATATCGCTAGCAGGCAGAGCTGCATGGGAGAAAGGAGAAAGACCGTGGGAAAGCAGAAAGACAGTGGGACTAGAGGAGACAGAGTAGAGAGACCAGGGGGAGAGGAGCTGTAAAAATGTAGGCAGAGGTGACTAGTGATGATGATGATGATGATGATAAAATGAAATCCTCAGATCCAAACCTTCAGCTGCCTGTGGACAGGATGGCAGAGACGGCACTTGCCAATCAAACAGCTTGGAAAAGGGTTGTTGAATTAATGGCAGCAACTCCCATGGATATATTACTTTCCATTTTACAAAGCACTGTGATGACTGCTGTTCCATTTGAGACATCAGCAATCCACTGAGGCAAGTGTTATGGCTTTCCCATCATGGATGGGAAAACCAAGGGAGGGGGTGGGATTGAGGGAGAGATGCCCACAGACTTCATGAAAGGCCATGAAGGTTCTTTAACACAAAGGTCAAGGAAAGATACAGACTTGGATACATAAAGTGGAAGGAAGGCATCATGGTGACCCAGGCTTCCAAACCTCCAAAGATCTGAGGGCTTGTCCCGCTGCTTCCAGAGAACATGCTGCCAGGTCTAAGAATAGCCAGAGACCATTTTAAGAGGTCGTTTACTTTCCTGGTGGCTCTTCATCAGGAATGGCTGCTTATCAGGTACAGATAACCGGCTGCCAAGCAACCCTAGCGCATCTGAAACCTGGTGAATCGGAGGGCTACTCATGGTGTTCCGCCCCTCAGCAGAGGTGGCCAGAGGGCTGCCGGAAGTCAGTTCTTACACTGATGGACAAGGGGTCTCAAGTCACCTGCCCAAGGTCATGCTGCTGGTAAGTGGCAGGGCTGTGCTGTGGACCCCTGGCCATGCACTCTTTGTATTTCACCAAATTGTAGGATGAGCCTTTCAGACACCAATGTGATCTCCAGTTTTATGAGTAGAAGTTGAGTGTCCCTCATCAGGAAAGCATAGTCTCTGTCTATTCTCCTCTGCTTCAAACAAGCTTGGAGGAATACGTTCATTTTGGGGTGCTATATTACCAAAGGGATACCAACAAACTTACATGCATTTGGCAAAAAAGGATAGCATGGTGAAGGCTGTGGAAAGGCTGACATATTAGAATTCAGCATGTGATGGGATTCATGCTAACCCCAAATATGGCACCTTGGCATTTGGGAAAACAACAGAGGCAGAAAGATCTCTCTCACCTTCCCCTCACGCTTCTTCCCTTAAGCAGGTCATAAAACCCTCATTCGAGAGGTGCCTCCTTATACTGGAGCAAAGGAACAGCCTTATCTCTGAACTCACAGGGGCCCACAGAGGAATCCGTAAGATCTCCTTGTTTATCAACATTAGATCATACCCTTTTGTCCTCCAATCAGACTTCTCCATGGGTGTCCACTCTCCATCAAACTTAAGCATAAAAATACACAAGTTTACCTGTTTCTTTGGGCCTTTATTTCCTTACAGAGGTTCTCATATAATTAATTGGCATGCAATTATCTCATGTAATTTTCTAATTATATAGATAATTTTGTATGCTTTTCTCTTGTTACTATAATTTGTCTTTCATTATAGGGGCTTCAGCCATGAACCTAGTGATGGGTGAGGGAGGATATTTCTTTTCCTCCCCTACACATTTTAGACCTAGAAAAGAAATGACCTTGTAGATAAAGATGGCTAGCTTCAAATCCAGGAAGGCTATTGCAGAGAAGACAGATTAGACTTTTCCAGTACAGCTTTTAGAGGACAGAAGTTGCAAATAATGAGATTTTTGCTTAATATAAGTAAGAAGTTTTGGATGATTACAGTTACCCCAAAATGGGATAACATGCCTCATTAGGTTGTGATTACAGCTGACATTAAAGCCATTTGGGAAGAAAATGACTGCTGGAACGGTACTGCCTTTCTTCTCCTGCCACAAACCTTTTGCAGGGGTTATGCAGCCCCCTGTCCCCATCCTCCCTGGCAGGGGGCTGTGGCGATGGGACTGAGCTCTCACCCCGGGGTGTGAGCCCGAGACTGGCAACTTCTGTGCCACTTGCCCTCCCCTCTCCCCTCTCTCACCCTATGGGCTGGAATGAGAAGTGGGCAGAGCCAGGGTGCTTTGCTTACACAGGCAGGAATGATGTTTCTTTTGCAAGGCAGAGCAATGTGACAGGCATCAAGGTCACCTGCTGGCCTTGGGCCACCTGCCTGAGCACGTACAGCTCCATGAGAGGGAAAGGGATCCCTGTGTAGTCTCAGCTCCTATAGTTTTGGGTCCCAACCAATGCAACTACTTCTTGGAGATGTTGTGCAGATTATTAAGGTATCATCTAAGAATTTATACATGATGATTTCTATAATCTTTTAATTCTATGACCTCCCCCTCACCCATCTTCTTTCCTTCAAAACCAGCCATCCTGACAGTTCCCCAACCATAGTCAAACATAAGCACCCTATTATTTCAGTCACTCCATTTCTTTTTAAGTCCCAAGGTTCTAAAAAGTCAAGAACTTTCCATCTCCTACTTCTCTTGTACCCCGACATCCAGTCTCTTCCCATGGCACATCGTCTTTTCCTTTAGAAAATATCCTCTGCAATGACACAAAACATCTAAGTTCTATTTGCGGTTATCTAAACTTAAAGACTGGCTTTAAAAGGGTGATGCATTCTTTAGCCTGCAAGTGATCACATTCTCCTACATCTGTTGATGTTCCATTAGGGCAAAATAACCCAGAAGGCCAAGCTTCACAAAAGTCAAAGGTTCCGATGATACAAATATGCTTTGGTTCCAAATGCAGCATGAATCAAACATAGTTTTATATTAATCAATACACCCAGCTGGAAGAATATTCTGATTTGAATCAGAATGTGTCTCCCTAGATAACATAAAGTAGGTGAGCTAATGAAATGACATTCTGGCCTCTGTACCTGGGTTCGACAAGAAAATGAGCATGACAGATGGCGCCGAATTCTGTTCCACGGACATGTAACTCTCAATCCAATTCCCATCTCTCCCCTCACACTTTCCCTTTTATCCATAATGTCCTTATCTCTTACCTCCTAATTATGCAAACTCCATAAATGCCTCTCCAGATTTGGTCTATAAGTTTCTTTCCCTTAATTCATGCTTTAAAATTTGTAGTATGTAATTCAGAACTGAATGAAGTTGCCCATTATAGTTTCATATTTCATCTTTACCCCTAGTACCTCCTTCCCATATCTTATGTTTTCCTTTGGAACGCTTCCTTTGCTAAGCCTAGAATAGATGTTTAATAAATAGATTCGAAGCATGGATAATTAAAAGATATGGATCAGACATTTTTTCAATGATATGCAAATTGTCAGTGAAGAACAAAATAGAAATCTATTTCCCCACTGATTAAAAACAATTCATAAAGATGAATGAATTTGGTTTTCTCACAAAGGAGCTTTTCAAAAGGAAAGCTTTTTTGAATTTTGAGCTTTGCTATTAGCAGCACTTATGACACTGGGCACAAAGATCTTCCTTTCATTTCACAACTGCATAATTTGGTAATTATTAAGAACAGCTCTTTCTCGATATTTTTAAATCATGGGTCCACTGAAAACATCACCATTCATTTGTCCAGTCCATCCTTCTTGAATCTCTTCAAATGAAACATATTTTAAGCATCTTCAACTCTTGAGTTTTAGCTCCATTAAATTCCTGTCAACACATTCTTTTTTTCATGGAAATAGACAGACAATTATGCTTTTTGAACTCTACTAACAACAATGAAAAACATTAAGATGGAAGACTCATATGACTATTCAAGAAAGAGCCTGGAGAGTGTCTAAAAGCTGCTTCCCTTCAATGCACAGAAGTATCAGAAGGTTTATTTCAGCAAACAGGAAACGTTCAGGATCTAAAGGAAAGAGGGTTTTATTTCAGGCAGTAATATTTCATTGAGCTTCTGGAGCCACTGATTCAGAATGGCCAGTTCCTTTCTAATTTATACCATGTTCCTCATTTCTGGCTGCCTATTTAGCTGAAGGACTCTTTCCTGGGCGAGACTTCATTTGCCTCCTGGAGGAATTCAAGAAGGAATTAACTAAGGAGGCTGGGATAGGAATTTCAAACAAAATAGAATGGAAGCCAAAACATTGTAGATAAAAGGCTTATGCTAACCCATTATATGAAATGCTTTGGGAAGGACTTAACAGTTGTCCCTTGAGCCATATGGGTTTAACACTGTGGGTCCACTAATATGCAGATTTTTTTCAACCAAATGCAGATAAAAAATACAGTATTTGCGAGATGCAAAACCCATGTATAAGGAGGGCTGACTAATTTCCATAGGGCCTTGAATATTCACGGATTTTGCTATCTGCCGCAGTCCTGGAACCAATCCCCTGTGTATACTGAGGGATGACTCTCATTGATCTAGAACTTCCACTTAATTTTGCATTCTGTTTCAACTTAAACACACTTCCTCTTAGGGAACAGGAAAATTTTGAAAGAGAAATATATAGGCTACACTTTATAAAACTTCAAGTGCAAAGTAATGAATAGTTAAGGGAAGTTAGAAAGGCCTTGGGGGAAATCTAGAAATAGACTCTAACTTAGTTGAGACAGCTATTAAATATTTTTTTCCCCCATTGCTTAGAAAAATACAAATTTTCCCTCTGGCAAGATGGGTCTCATTCCCTATGATGTGAGCCCCTTACTGTGGTCCCACGTCCCTGGCCAGTGAGTGGCCGGTGACCTGGGGGATGGGGGCTATAGATGGGGATGGAGGCAGCAATGATCTTGGCTTTCCCACTCCCTGCAAGTGGCCAGGGGGCTGCAGGTGGGTGCTGTGGGCAGTTGCTGATGGAAGCCCAGGCACCCTTCTGTAGTCCTGTTTGTGCTTCCTGAATCCCTGCATGGAAACCAATGCCTATGCCATTCTCCCCGCTTATTGGTGATGTCCTCTATCCCCTATATATTTTTTTTTTTGAGATGGAGTCTCGCTCTGTTGCCCAGGCTACAGTCCAGTAGTGCGATCTCAGCTCACCTCAACCTCTGCCTCCCAGGTTCAAGTGATTCTCCTGCCTCAGCCTCCTGAGTAGCTGGGATTACAGGCGCTGCTACCACGCCGAGCTTTTTATTTTTTTTTGAATTATTAGTAGAGACTGGGTTTCACCATGTTGGCCAGGCTGGTCTCAAACTCCTGACCTCAGGTGATCTGCCTACCTCAGCCTCCCAACATGCTGGGATTACAGGTGTGAGCCACTGCACATGGCCTTCTACCCCTATTTGTTAACTCGAATTTAAACTCCCATGCTTGCTGGCCTTGTCACAATAAAACAACAACTTCTGGGAAATGTTAAAAAAAAAAAATTCTCCCCTCCTAACCAAAAAGGAAAAGTTAGGCACCCCTTATTGAGCAGATTTTGGAAATGAGGCCTTGAATAAAACTTTCTAGATGTGACTTTTTTCTCTTAAGGGATTTTTGAGCCATGTTGGGGGTGAAGACTCTTTGGAGGTATGCGATATGAATTCCTGCCTGCCTTGTGAGAGGAACAAATGCCGAGCATCTTGGTGATCCACGTTTGTCACTGGGAGCACTGTCTTTTTCCTTCTGGCCAGTAACACTGTGAGGTTCTCAGGGGCTTAGTGACGTGGGCCAGACAGTTGAGTCTCCTATTCAGTGTTCCTAGTTTGCAGTGGTTCTTGATTTCCTGAATTACGTGCTCTGTTTCTCTCTTTCCATATATAAAGATATATATACATATATATATATATCTTTCCATATATATATATATCTTTCCATATATATATATATATATTTCCAAAATTACTTGTTAACATTTGTTGATTTTTTTTTCCCCAAAATCCCTCTGTCATTACTTGTTAGTCTACTGTAGAATACTGAAGCTCAGGAAAATGAGCTTATTTTCTTTTCTGTAAGATGACTTAGGGTAAGACCCTGTGAGCACAGGTCTGTCCAGTCCAGAAAGTTCATGGATCTTAGGAGCTACTCAGGGGACACATTGCCTCTTTTCTGGCTTCTTCACTGATTCTCGTTTCAGTTGTGTTTCAATGACTGAGGCTGTGGGAAAGTGCCCTCCACGTCTGTGACGCCTCTCAGGGTCCCGTGTTGAGTGTTTGGACTCAGGGCCCAGGTGAAGCCAGCCTTACCTTTTTGTAGAGACTCCTCAGATCTCGGTACTGCCACATGCTGTTGAGGACCTGAGATGCAGCCTTGACCACTTTTGGAGAGTGTCTGATGAAGAAAAGACAGGAAAGGCAAGATGTGAGTGGGACAGCTGTGTCACATTTCTGTAATTCTTGTAGTATTTCAAACCTCTTCATTATTATTATATCTATTATGGTGATCTATGATCAGTGCTCCCTGATATTACTACTGTAATTGTTTTGGAGCACCACGAACTGCACCCACCTAAGACAGCAACCGTAATCAAGAAATATTGTGTGTTCCGACTGCTCCACAGACTGGCCCTTCCTCCTCTCTCTCCTCAGGCCTCCCTCTTCCATAAGACAAAACAATGTAGAAATTAGGCCAATTAATAACCCTACAATGGCTCCCAAGTGTTCAAGTGAAAGAAAGGGTTGCACGCCTCTTACTTTAAATCAAAAGCAAGAGATGATTAAGCTTAGCGAGGAAGGCACGCCACAACCCAAGACGGGCCAAAAGCTGGGCCTCTTGTGCCAAACAGTGAGCCAAGTTGTGAATGCAAAGGAAAAGTTCTTGAAGAAAATTAAAAGTGCTACCCCAGTGAACACACGAATAATAAGAAAGTAAAACAGGCTTATTGCTGATATGGAGAAAGTTTGAGTGGTTTGGATAAAAGATCATATCAACCACAACATTCCCTTCAGCTAAAACCCAATCCACAGCAAGGCCCTGACTCTTTTTTTTTTTTTTTTTTTTTGAGACTGAGTCTTGCTCTGTTGCCTAGGCTGGAGTGCAGTGGCGAGATCTTGGCTCACTGCAACCTCTGCCTCGCGGGTTCAAGCGATTCTCCTTCCTCAGCCTCCTGAGTAGCTGGGATTACAGGCGTGTGCCACCATGCCCAGCTATTTTGTATTTTTAGTAGAGATGGGGTTTCACCATGTTGGTCAGGCTGGTCTCGAACTCCTGACCTCGTGATCCACCCGCCTCAGCCTACCAAAGTGCTGGGATTACAGACGTGATCCACCGTGCCCAGCCAACTCTCTTAATTATATGATGGCTTGGTGAGGTAAAAAAGCTACAGGAGAAAAGTTTAAAGCTAGCAGAAGTTGATTAATGACTTTTAAGGAAAGAAGATATTTCTACAACATAAACAAAAATATTTGTGTGATTTGCTTTATTGAGATATTTGCTTTATTGCAGTAGTGTGGAACCAAAACTACAATATCTCTAAGGTATGCCTGTAATTCCTTTGACTTAAAGACAGAGAATTTTAGATCCTTTCATGAATCCAGATGAAGCTGCATTTCATTCTCATATAATCGATGCTGAACAAAGATTAAATGTGATGTTTTGTTGTATTTTATCATTTAGCTAAATATTTGTTCATGACAATAGCCAAGCAACTCTAGAAAAACATATATTAATATTCAGGTCGTGATAGTGTAGTTGAAATACAATTAGTGTGCAAAAATGCTTCTGAGTAGAAACAAAAGTGTAGTTTTTGTTTCTATCTTTTGCATAGTTACAAAACCAAAAGAGACTGTGAATGTGTAACGAACAGCAGGTTTTAACCTCTCAATTAAAATGCCAATACATCACAGTGTTATACTAACATGTGAAGGTTAAAGAAACTTTGCTTTCTTTTTAGACTTTAATTTTGATGCATTCACTAGATGGATGCCATGGAAATTTCTACCTGAAAAACTCTTCTAAATATTGATTGAAGGGCTTGGACAATTGTGTGTTTCTAATGTGACAAGTGATTATAACCCAAGCCACAATACACAGTTCTTTACTGACAGTAACAGTTAAGACTGTTAATAGCTTTTCCGTCTTATGACAAAATATAGTGACACATTCAACACTACTTCCCATATAACTGTTAAAATTGGGGAAAAAAAACCAAATGTATTCTTGAGACAGATGAACATGATAGAATGTCCATAATGTATGTTTAAAATGATGTGAAAAGAATAAATAATTAAGATTTCAAAATGGCGAGTATAAGACTACTATAAGAGTTAATAACAATTACACAATTGGAGTTTGATCTTCACTAGAGCTGTCACATCAGGGGTGGTGAGGACTTCAGTTGGTGCAGTTCATTGTGGCTGTCAACACAGCTGTGCCAGCGGTGGGATCACAGAACACTAGCCCCCTTGGTTGTGTCCGCCAGACGCTGTGAGTTGTGCAGTTCTGATAGACTGTGATTGGCAACTCGCCAATCTGACTCATTAACATCACTGCACATTTAAGCTTGTATATATATATATGTATATATAAAGAACATGTATAAATACATAAACTAGAGCATCATAGCAAGGCACGTTTCTTCCATCTGTGTTTTCCCATACTATCACAAATAAAAATCAGGTTTGAACTGAACTTATTTCTAGAAATAAGTTTTTAAGGAATAATTTAGGGTGGGCAAATTAGCAATCATTTTATAAATAAGCTATGGTGTATTTGTATACCTACCGTTCCCAATTATTAAATTATCCTCAGTTCCAAAAATTTGATTTTCAATAAATAAATTCTATTTCCTTAAAATTTGTCTAGAAGTCCATGGGAATCTCCATACCTACTATTATAATAGAATTGAGTCAGAAATGGTGAGTTTCATGCTCAAATTTGGAGCAATTCTCCTGAATTCATTTTGTTTTAAGAGCAGTGAAAAGCAATAATAAAACTGAAGTGTAGGTAGGAGACGAGGATAAATGTAGTTATAAAAACCTTGTTTTGATCTCCAAATTAGTCAGTATATATATAAAAAAAGAGATAAGCTACATGAAACAGTGAATGAGACTGACTAAGCAGGAGAACTGTAACCAGGAAGATGCTTGATTCAATCCAATTTAACACTTCTTATTAAACTCGTAAATCCAGGCTGTTGGCATTGGAAAAAGAGATAAAGGAACAACAAGACAGAATGAGCGCCTATTCTATAAGTAAATTTTCAGCCAAATTAAAGGGCATTTATGAGATCATCTTTAGTGAAAAAAATCTTCCCATTAACAATAATCAAGATTGGACCTGGCTTATCAGGACCTTAGCAACATGGATCTGTATTATTTTATAGATGGTTTCTTCAAGTGATTTGTAATATCATTTCATAGATGGTTTCTTCGAGTGATTTGTAAATTAGTTTCACCAAATAATTTTATTTGACCATAGGACTCAATAAAACTTTTTTTTCTCTTTAGGCCCATTTAGTGATGCTTATTGCAGTAGGAATGCTCATAAAGTTGGAGAGAATTAATATATGCCAAACCACTCCTCAAAGCTCTCTAACTGTATAATTCAGAGAAAATACTTTAATCTTTGAATGTCTCATGAATATAGACAAGAATATATCAGATTGTTTTGCAGACTACGGTTTTATTGTGTGTGTGGGTGTGTATGCTCAAGAAAGCATTACCATATTAAGATCTTAATGCTCAAAACAGGTAAGCACTTCAATTAGAGATTCCAAAGGTCTATTGAAGCTAAATAAAGAAGAAAACCATATGGTTTCCTGCCTACGTAGGATAGCACTTTATTGTAAGTACAATATCATAAGATATAGCTCAAGCCAACAGTCTCCACTGCGCAATTATTATATGAGTCCAGTGGGGCTTTTCTACTTAATATGAGAAAACATTCAAATCCAAATGCAAAATTGTTGATTGAGCCTATTTGGAGGTCTCTGGGTGCTTAAACAGAAACTCCGAATCTTCTATAATACATTGGTACTATCCTGAATTAAGTGAAATAATGAGACAGAATTTCCAGAAAGTTTCAAAGTGCGTCCCTCAAAGTGTTTAATAACAACAAACTATTTAGCATTTACATGTAAAAGAATGGGGGGTGGGGGTGGCTTGGCAGGGAATGAAAAGTCAAGAAATAGACTCTTGATAACAAAATGTTTACCCTTTTAATCTTATTTAATTACATCGAGGGACTTCCAAGAGGCAAAATTTAATTAAGGTTAGTGAAGGTTTCTGTAAAATTGACACCTTGCTGATATACCGATGCGCTGGCTTGTGAAGCTATTTTCCAGCTGTATATAGTAAGATACTGTTGGTTCTTAAAAACTAGGAGGCATTCTTATTCAAGGAGGTGCAGTTGCTTTGACACCAAGTCTCATCTCTTTTTGTTCTATCTGCACGAAGGCCCTCCTTTCTCACCACTATCTGCACTGCCTGGGAAATTTCTACTCATTCTTTAAGATTTGATTATCAACTCTTCCAGCTAGCATATTGTGACAGCCTCTCCCTTAGGTTTAGATTGGAAAGTATAGGCATAGTGACTTGTTAAATTAAATATTTGCCCCACATCTCACAGCTTGTAAGGGAGGGTACTAGATGAGAACTGAGTTCTCTGACTCCATCATGCCCTGTCTCCTCCCCCATCCTTCCTGCATGGTGACTTGCTATGACTTGGTGGCTACTGTGATGTTGGTAAGGTGGACCTGACTTGGTTGCAGAGCTGAAGAGGCACAGAGCAGAGGGATGTAGAGACATCATCAACACACGGACTTCCCACCACAGAGGAACAACAACAAAATACCTTCATGTATCCAGGTTGAACTCGTGTCGCTGCCATGTGGAAGGAGCACATGGGTGTGCTGGATCGTCAAGTCCATTTTACCAACAGTAAGAGAGAAGACTGGAAACCATTTGCCATTTTCCTTCTCTTGATTCTCAGAGACAAATGCTTTCCAGTGACAGTCATAGTACTACCCGTCATCAGGAGTTGAAAGGCACATTCAGAACCAATTTTACCAGGACAGAGATATGGCGTCACCAGGTAACTTACTTATCTCCTTTGCTTTTGGAGATGCCGACCAACTTCTCGATGCCACCGGCATCCCGTAAGGCCTTGGCGTTCTCCATGTTCTTGGTAATCACTTCGTGCAGTGTGCAGCAGACAGCTGTCACTGTGTCATCCGACATGGCCTTGCTTGCAGTGTTGTTGCTGTTGTTCCCTCCTGGAAGCCTGTGGACTAGGTCTCGCATGGCGTATTTGCCTGGAAAAGAAAATAAAGAGAAGAGTTGAAAGGAGGTCAAGGTGAAGGCAGAGATAGTGGCAGAGGTGGGTATGGGGGAGAAGAGAATACGAGAGGCCACGTTTATGCAAAATTGTTTGTTTCCCATCACTGAATGTTCCCTATTGGGTAGTTTTACACACATCTACAGAGAAAAACAGTCATTCCTCATGGCAGTGCATCCACTCTGCTGCTAGATTGACCTGGGATCAAATCACTGGCCAAGTTATTTCATGCCTCTGAAGCCTCAGTTTTTTCAATCTCTAAAGGAAGACAATAATGGTACCTGCCATACAAGGTTGCTGTAAAGCATAAATGAGTGAATGTATGGAAATGAACAAGGACACAGGACTCCATAGGTATTAGCTATTATTATGTTCTTGCTTGATGTTTATAGAAGTCAAGAAAAATGTATGGGAATTCTAACATAACCCTCAAAAATACCTTAATGAAAGCTATGTTGCGGCCTGTATTTTTTAAAAACAGTCAAAGCAAAAATGTGTGGGGAACATGATCACATATGTGAGTACTGAGCTTTGATTCATTTAAAGCAAGGAGAAACACTGAAAGCAGGAGAGAGGTACTTGACAATCTATAACTATGTGTCCTCTGAACTATAGTAACCTGATGCTGTTTGTCTCTCTGATGGGATTTTATTGTGTAGTTCTACCAGGTAACACTTACTAATTTGGTGTGTTTTTGTGTGAAAAATATAATACAATCCAATTCTGCTTCCTTAATTCACTTTAACATTATTAATCTTACTATTCCCAATGACAAAGGTACTTATAATGACATATTTATGGAGTACTTTTAGTTTACAAAGCACTTTAGGCATTACCAATAGCCCTGCAAGACAATTAATTTATCCCACCTGCAGCTTCCATTTCTGCTCCTTTAATTGACTTCTGGAAGTAAGTAAATGAGTGCCTGTAGCAAAGCTGGCTGTTCTCACATTTTTCAGATGGAATTGGCAAGTGCCTAAAGTTAGATCCCTTTCTTGTCTCCCATCCCCCAATTAGGCACATTTAGCTAGCTCCTAAAGGCTGTTTGAAATATTTCACCTCCATGTACATATCTATAAATAATAGTCTTCTTCTGCTATTTAATTCTCTGGTGTATGGTGCCTGGCAGCAGGAAGGGAACCTTGTGGGAGTAGGCGATGATATCTTAATTCCAGGCAGTGATACATAAAACACAGGCCCTTGTAATTTTGGTATCTGCTCTTATCCTATGTTTAGGTGGCTTATTTTAGCTTAGAGAGAAAATGCTGATACTTAAATTACTGAAATAGAAAAGTGTGTTCATTCACTTGATGATAGCTGAGGAAGTGTCTGACAAAAATGGTTTGCCTGCAAACCCCCAAATGTAGCATATTTATTTTCTAATGACAGCACCTAAAATAGTTTATCTATTTATCATTAAATCAGCCTTAACTCTGGTTAAGAGTTTACTTTCGTAGGGCTCAGCATGCTGGAGATTCTACCAGTTCATTAACCCCCACAAACCATTAGAAGACAAATTTGAGCTCCACAGACATGAAATGATCAATGTGTTCCTTTTTCCTTTTTCTTATAAGGAAAGTGATGAAGGAAGGGCAAAATAACTGAAAAAATACTCCAGTCATTGTATATACGGGGACATTTACACCCTTGACTGTGTATGGAGGACTGGTTTCATGACCTTGGACACTGTCAAGGTTAAAACCAAAAATGAAGAGAGGGTTAAGAATTTGGCTGTAGCATTTTTTAGTTTTGTTGGTATTATCATTTTGAAAATTATGTCAGATAAATATGAAGATGTAGTCTCATCCTCCATGGCTTTCCAATCCTTGAGTCCTGATTAAGATGCGGGTCTCCCTGTAATGTTAGTTTATTTATAGATAATAAGTAGATGGCAGGGTACCCAACCCCTGCAGAGCAGCCTCTTCCACTCACCCCAATGTGCCATTCAAGTACTATCATTTTCCATGTGCCCCATGGTATGGAAAAGACCAGGAGTCACTGTTATATTTAACTTACCCCAACTTTACTGTCGAGGAAACTCATTGGATTTATCTTATTTCTAGTATTTCCAATATAGGTTACTGACATTTTACTAGGCAATTGGAGATTTTTCATTAAGTCTATTTATCAGTCTACTATTTATCAGTCTATCTGGAGGAATATATTTTAGTCCAAATTTTTGACCATCCAAGTAAAGAAACAAATCAGGTAATATTATTCCACGGAGAAGAAAACCTCGGGGCAGTTTGTTAATTATTTTAAAAGTTTACAATTCTTTTTTAGCCTTTGATTATGTGTTGAAAAATGCTGTCTTTTTACAGTGAAATTTAAATCCTATCTTCACAAGAAATTTGGGTAGCAAAAAAAGATTTTTAGCTCTTTCTAGTGTTTAGAAACTTTGAAGCTGATTAGGGAAATAATAAAATGTGGGACATAGAATAATTACAGATGCAAGTGACCTTGTGTTGTATGTTTATAACAGTAGTTCAGGGAAGAGACAAGTTAGATAGGACTGGAGTTATTATGGAAGGCTTGATTCAGGAGGTGTACATTTAGGATTTTTTCTTGTATGTCAAGGGGGCAACAAGAACAACTTGATATTTTACAAAAAGAATTCTGGTGCATTAAGAAGGAAGGTTTCAGAATAGTAAAACTGAGGGTGGAAGAAACATAGTCTTTTTCTTGACAATAATGTTCTCTTCTTCTAGACTTCTAGTGAAATTATAAGCACTACAACTCAAGGTAGTGTGCTTCTATAACTGTTCCATATCCTGTATTTTCTTTTTAACCTAAGTTTCTAAACACTTGAAAGAGCTAAAAAGCTATTCTTGCTGCCCAGTAGGAGGAATCTTGATTCCTCTCCTTCTACTGTTTCAGGCAGACTTTTGGGTCTTTGAGGTCTGAGATTTCTTCAGAGGGTAAAAGAAGTTAATTCCCTTTTTTTGTATCACATTGGCAACAGGAAACTGCAAAGTGGGTGGTTCAAACTTTTTTTATAGTTTCACACCATCAAGGTGGTCAAATTGTTTCCTTTTCTTTTTAGAGAGAGAAATGGATGGAGGTAGGGTTCTTTTAGGACTGGGGAAGAAAGAGGCTGGATCACCAGGTGGAGGTTGTGGGCAGTTCTTCACAGTCCCAGGGACAGAAAGGGCACCTAGAGCCCAGCTGTGGTCCTGTGGTGCACTGAGATTCTCTGTGGATGCAGAGCATAAGCTTCCTCCTGTGTTTGAGCCTGGCATGGGGCAGAAGAAGTGCCTGTCTTGGAATGACCTGCTTAGGCCCTCAAAAGGAGCAGGCACCAGTAACCACTGCAAATAGATGACTGCTCCAGCTGACTACTCCACCTTCTTCTTCTTTTTTTTTTTTTTTTTTTTTAAGACAGTCTCACTCTGTTGTCCAGGCTGGAGTGCAGTGGTATGATCTCATCTCAATGCAACCTCCATCTCCTGGGTTCAAGCGATTCTTCTGCCTCAGCCTCCCGAGTAGCTGGGACTACAGGCACATGCCACCACACCTGGCTACCTTTTGAATTTTAGTATAGATGGGGTTTCACCATGTTAGCCAGGCTGGTCTCAAACTCCTGACCTCAAGTGATCTGCCTGCCTCTGCCTCCCAAAGTGCTGGGATTACAGGTGTAAGCCACCATGCACAGCTGACTCTACCTTCTAGATTTAATTTGATTAAAAGATATGACACAGACTGAAAATAATAGAGTGATTCATTCATTTGGCAGGAAACTATAATATTTCAGGAACAAACAAGAACCTGTGACTACAAAAAGGTGGTCATGGGAGGATCAAGGACATGAGAGCAGCCATTATGGAAATTCTTAAGAAGCAACTGACAGGGCTTGGAGCCCAGGGAAATGTTGAGGTAATGCAGGGAAACAGGATTCAGAGATTTCACGCGGGAATAACACAGAGGGTAGTAAAAACCAAGTGAATTTTAAAGCTTAATATTAATGGATAAATTGAATGTTATTTTTCCACACAAAGAAAAACATGCAAAATTAGTTATATTACTTATATGAGAGAATCACGTACCAAAATCCCGTCAGAGAGACAAGCAGGTCATCAGGTTCAAAGAATACCTGGATTTATGAAAGCAAAGTGGATACCTTGCCTTGCTTCTATTTTGAATAAATGTGCTACCAACGATCCACTATCATGGACTCACATCTGAAAAAGGGAAATCATGGTGCTCGCTTCGGCAGCACATATACTAAAATTGGAATGATACAGAGAAAGATTAGCATGGCCCCTGTGCAAAGATAATACATAAATTTGTGAGGCGTTCCATCTTTTGTTTTTTTAAAAAGAAAAGCTTGTTCTTTGTCAGATCAAAACAATACAAAACAAGACTGTACCACCACCACTACCACAAACAAAGTCACTCTTTCTTGCTACAGTTCCCAATAGAAATGAATCCTTGGGCCATTTCTTTTAAGTTACTTAGTCTCTAGTAACAATGACTATATGTCTGATTTTTGCAATACTGGTAAGAGACTACCATTGGTGATAACATAATTGTGCAGAAAAAGGACTGTATTTTCATCAATGATGGACTAACTGAAACCTTGTAACTTTGCTACCCTTTCCACTGTGTGTATGTGTGTGTGTGTGTGTTTCCTTCAAATACCTGTATTTTGTATTTGGTGAACCAGTTTTCTAAATCCAGATTTTCTTGAAAAACTGCAAGTAAAGATTATTTTCTCTTTACAGTGCTTCATTCTCGAACTCTTCTGTTAAGCATTGTTGGGCACACCAAGGTACCCCAAGGGACTCACTCAGGAGACCTAACAAACCATGTTGCCCAAGAAAGGCACTCCTTGCAGACCGCTTGTGCAGAAAGGAGCTGGTGGGGATTTCATGATGAGGTAACAGCCTTGCTCTCGTTGACTGCTTCGGTTTCCATGTTGTGTTTGTGACTTTCTGTTTCTATTTCTGAACTAAGCCTGTATTTGTTACTGATGTGCATACTACCATTTGGTTTTCGCATTGGTGGCAGGAATGTTGAGTGGTGGTCTTATGGTCTAAAGACCTGCATTCTCTAAGGCAGCAGACAACAGGGAAGTCACTTGAGTTCCTTCCTACACTTACTATAGATCTCTTCTGATCACTGATGGAGTCCTATGTGTAGATGGTCTTTGTTGTGCACCATTATAAACTTAAATGTCTCAAACTGATTAGAGAAAATATATTTTTCCAGAAGGTCAGCTGGACTGGAGAGCAACCCCGGATGAGAAACATCACAACTCCTTTGTCTTCGAGGTTTAAGTAGTTCTATGGCCCTCCTGTTTCTGCAGCTGCTAAAACTGATCTGTGGGTTTTTGCTGAGGTGCTCTGAGTTTATTTTTTCTAAAAAACTTCTTTATTGCAGTAAAATACTTATAAAATTTACCATTTTATCCATTTTAAGTATATAGTTCATTGATATTATGTAGACTCATATCATTCTACAATCATATATCTCCAAAACTCTTTTCATCTTGCAAAATTGAAACTTTAAAAGCATTTAAACAACTCCCCAACCCTTCCCTTCAGTCCCTGGAAACCCCCATTCTACTTTCTGTCTCTTTGAATTTGACAACCAGGTACCTCATATAAATGGCATCATAAAGGATTTGTCTTTTTGTGATTGGATTATTTCACTTAGCATAATGTTCTTAAGGTTCATCCATGTTGTAGCATATGTCAGAATGTACACTCTTTTTTTCTTTTTTTCCAAGCAGGGTCTCATTCTGTCATCCAGGGTGTAGTGCACTGGTGCAATTTCAGCTGACTGCAACCTCTGCCTCCTGGGTTCAAGCAATTCTCATTCCTCAGCCTCCTGAGTAGCTGAGATTACAGGTATGTGACACCCCACCCAGCTAATTTTTTGTATGTTTAGTAGATACAGGGTGTCACTATGTTGGCCAGGCTGGTTTGAACTCCTGGCCTCAAGTGATCTGCCCACCTTGGCCTTCCAAAGTGCTGGCAGTACAGGCGTGAGCCACTGCACCCAGACAGAACTTTCTTTTCAAGACTGAATAATATTCCATTGCATGTATATATCATATTTTGCTATTCTTCTGTTGACGAAAAATTGGGTTGATACTTCATTTTCACTCTTGAGAATAATGGTGTGAACACGGATGTACAAATATCCTTTTACTTTCAATCTATTTCTGTCTTTGAATCTAAAGTAAGTTTTTTGTAGGCAACATATAATTGCATCATATTTTTTTAATGCACTCTGTCAATCTCTGTCTTTGATTGGAGAGTTTATCCATGTATATTTAAAGTAATTACTCATAAAAAGGGTCTTATTTCTAGCGTTTTTCTGTTTTCTATATGCCTTGTAGCTTTTTTGTTTGTCCCTAATTTCCTGCACCACTATCTCCTTTGTGTTGATTGTTTTCTGTAGTGAAATGTTTTAATTTCCTTATTTTCTTTCGTCTATATAGTTTAATGATTTTCTTTGTGGTTACCACAGGGATTACATTTAACATTATACCATTATAATTTGAATTTATACCAGGTTAACTTCAATAACATACAAACACTTTGTTCATTTACAGTTCCATCTCACACTTTTCAGTTATTGATGTCACACAATTACATCTTTAAACATTGTGTGTCCAAAAACATAAATAATTGGTTTTTAAAAACGAATTATGTAGAAAATTTCTCTTTAATTATGTAGAAAAAAATGTGGAGTTAGGAAACAAAGTCACAATAATGCTAGCCTTTAAACTAGTAATTGCTTTTTCTTAAATGTACTGAATTATGTAGAAAACAAAAGTAGCATTATAAACCATTGTTAAAACAATATGAGCTTTATAATTGCCCATGTATTTATCTCTACTAAGATCTTTATTTCTTCTTATACCTTTGAATTACTGTTTAGTGTTCTTGCATTTCAACATGCAGGACTCCCTTTAGGATTTCTTACAGAGCAGGTCTAGTGGTAGTGAACTCTCTTAGTTTCTGTTTATCAGGGAATGTCTTAAGTTTTCCCTCACTTCTGCTGGACATAGGATTCTTGGCTGACAGTTTTTTTTTTCTTTCGGCACCATGACTATATCAACCTACTACCTCTGGTCTTCAAAATTTTGATTAAAAAATCAGCTGATAACCTTATTTTGGATTTCTTGTGTGTGATGAGTCACTTCTCTCTGCTTTCAAGATTCTTTATCTATGTCTTTCAACAATTTGATTGTAATGTGTTTCAGTCTAGGTATCTTTGAGCTTATCCTATTTGAATCTCATTGAGTCTTGAATGTTTATATTTATGCCTTTTGTTAAATTTGGTAAGTTTTCAGCCATTATTTCCTCTAATAATCTCTCTATCCCTTTCCCACTTTTTTTCTCCTGAGTCTTTTGTAGTGTGTATTTGATCTTCTTGATGATGTCCACAGAACCCTTAAGCTCTGCTCCTTTTCTTCGATCTTTTTTCTTTCTGTTCTCCAAAGTCAGTAATTTAAATTTTCCTGTCTTTCAACTTTGCTGATTCTTTCTTCTGCCTGCTCAAATCTGCCTTTTCATTTCTTTAGTGAATTTTTCATTTCAATTATTGTACTTTTCAGCTCTAAATTTTTTGGTTTGTTTTTAGGTTTTCTATGCCTTTATTTATGTTTCCATTTTGTTCACACATCATGTTCTTGACTCTCTTCATATCTTCCTTTAATTCTTTGAACATCTTTAAAACAGTTGTTTTAAAGTCTTTGTCTAGTAGATCTACCTTTGTGCCATTTTTCAGCTATGGTTTCTGTTTTTTTTTTTTTTTTTTTTTAGTTTGTTTGTTGTTTTTCCTTGAACTGGTCATACTTCCCTGTTTCATTGTATGCCTTGTGGTTTTTTATTGTTGTTGAAACTGAAAATTTGAATGTAATAATGGGTTATCTGGAAATCAGATTCTTCCTCTTTTCCAGGGTTTGTAATTTTTTGTTTTTGTTTTGTTTTTGACTGTTTTAGGCTGTCTCTGTGTTGAGAATTAGCCTTAAGATCTTCACAGATGTTTTCTGAGCATGAGAGTTTCCCTGGGCATGCATACTGGCTCTCTTATTTCTCTTGTATATGCAGTTGCTTTTGAATATGCTAGTCTTTAATGACTGGCTCCCAAAAAGGGAAAAGAAAAACATAAAGTGGATGAGGAGGGTGACGGTGTCAGCTCTTTAAATCCTCTGAAAATAACTTCAGCCAAAGATAGAGGGGCTTGCAATCATGGTATGGGTATGTGCAACAATGGCTGCTTGCCTCTGTGTTTGTGTCACTGTAGTGAGAAGCAGCAATCAGCAGAAAGAACAGATCCACGATATTTAGAGGACGGGGTCTTTTGTGTCAACCCTGGTTTCTGCCAGCTGCAAGTAAGCTGCTCTAGGAACATGTGCACAGCTGCCTGCTACAGGGCTGAGGGGTGGGGGATGGGTAGCTACTGTGAGCTAAGCTGAGATTGACCAAATATACTGTACTTTACTGTCCAAGCCTTCTGAAATTTTTAAGTCTTCAATAGACTCCAGAGTTTCAAAATAGTTATATCAGTGTGATGGTTAATATTAGGTGTCAGCTTAATTGGATTGAAGGATGCCTCGGTGGGCTGGTAAAGTAGTGTTTCTGGTGTGTCTGTGAGGGTGTTGCCAGGGGAGATTAACATTTGAGTCAGTGGATTGGGAGAGACAGACCCACCCTCAAGGTGGGTGGGCACCATCCAGTCGGCTGCCAGCATGGCTAGAACAAAAGCAGGTGGAAAAAGGTGTGATAAGATGGCTTGCTGAACCTTCTGGCTTTCACCTTTCTCCCATGCTGGATGCTTCTTGCCCTTGAACGTCAGACTCCAGTTCTTTGGCATCTGGACTCTTGGACTTACACCACTGGTTTGACAGGGGCTTTTGGGCCTTCGGCCACAGACTGAAGGCTGCACTGTTGTCCTTCCCTACTTTTGAGACTTTTGGTGTCAGACTGAGCCACTGATGGCTTCTTTCTTCATCATCTTGCAGATGGCCTATCATGGGGCTTCACCTTGTGATCATGTAAGCCAATTCTCCTTAATAAACTTCCTTTCATATATACATATATCCTATTAGTTCTGTCCCTCTGGAGAATCCTGACTAATAGACAGATTCTGCCAATGTGATTGTGTCCAGGTGGTGAGACAAATTCCTGGTGCTTCCTACTTCTCCATCAGCCTAGAATCCTCTCCCGTCTCTGAATTTACTTTTCATCAATAATTGATGATATAAAAGTGAGGAGCTGATTTCCATGTGATTGGATGTCTGTAAGTTAGTGTGAAAAGGATTAAAGGGTTTTTTTCCTTTTGTATATAAAAGGTTGTTTGATGTTTACAATGCTGGAATGTTTTGTCTCTCATTTCTCTTTTGGGAAGTATTTGGAGCTTAATTTATAGAAATCTGTCATTTGCACACTATAAATATATCTAATTTAAACACAGTCTATCATCAAAGGGGAAAAATATATGCAAAAAATATATATTTTAAAACTGGTTAGTGTGGCTTACAGACCAAATTGGTGAAGCATTCAAAATGGTATTGCTTAGTTACTGAAAATGTCTGAATGCTTGTTAATGTGGGAAAAGTCTCTTCTGGATTGTCCGGAGATCTCTGACCTCTGGAAACATCTGGAAGGTTCTGAGTGCTTATTTTTTTTTCCCCTAAAACAAAATACATGGAATACTACTTAGCAATCAAAAGGAACACTATGTGCTACAACGTGAAAAGATTTGAATGGTATTATGCTAAGTGAAAAAAGCCAGTCTCAAAAGGTTCTATATTGTAAGATACCACTTATATAACATTCTTGAAATAACAAAATTATAGAGATGGAGAACAAATTAATGATTGCTAGGAGTTTAGGATACTTAGGAAGACTGTGACTATGACAAGATGGTACAACAAATATCATTGGGTTGAGGGAATAATTCTGTATTTTGATAGCCTTGATGGTTACACAAATCCACACATGTGATGACACTGTACACATATACTGCAATGTTAATTTCCTGATTTATTGTGTTATAGTTACATAAGATATAGCCATTGCTGGAAACTGGCTGAGGGATGCATAGGACCCCTCCTTACTATCTTTGCAATTTCCTGTGAATCCATAATTTTTTTAAAGTTAAAAATTAGAAAAGTCACACAGAAATATAGAAATATGCCAATAAACATGTGCTGACAAAAAGGTGTTAATAAATCTTAAAATGTATCCCCTGGTTCAATCCACAATGGACTTGACAAGGATTACAAAAAAATAGCACATATGAGATAAGAAGACATCCAGTCAGAAGTTCCTGAATCCTCCAGCTTACCCAAGAGTTTGCTGGGGATTCTTCTGTTGTATGTGTATAAACATTTTCTGTGTCTAGAAATTGGTATAACTTTTCTATTCTCTGGATGAGACTGATAAATGGAGCTCCCAATTTGATTGGCTTATGTAAACAAGTAAGTCCTTGTATATGTAATTACAACAAGAAAACTAAAAAATTGCCAATGAAAATACTCTCAGAATGCTTTAAGTTGCTGGTCCTTTAAGAAAAAAAATAAAAATCTGGCCAGGCTTGGTGGCTCATGCCTATAATCCCAGCACTTTGGGAGGCCAAGGTGGGCGAATCATGAGGTCAGGAGTTCGAGACCAGCTTGGCCAACATGGTGAAACCCTGTCTCTACTAAAAATAAAAAAAATTAGCTGGGTGCAGTGGCGGGAGCCTGTAATCCCAGTTACTCGGGAGGTTGAGGCAGGAGAATCGCTTGAACCTGGGAGGCAGAGGTTGCAGTGAGCTGAGATCATGCCACTGTACTCCAGCCCAGGCAACAGAGTACGACTGTCTCAACAACAACAGCAACAACAACAACAACATCTTTCACAAAAGCTTATTTCAAGGAAAAACACAAAGAAATTTCACAATGAATTAAATTAACAGCCTTGGTAGCTAGGTTAAAAAATTTAAAGCAAAGAAATAAAAGTTGATACCAGGTTAGCAAAGACAAGGTAAAAAATAGTACTAAGACACTTCAGGACCTTTAAGGATATTTGAAGAGGTTTCAATATTTAGTATCTAAGGTAAAAAGAGTTGATGCAGTATTTTCAGGTAAAGGAAATCCTTGCAAAATCAGACTGATTTGATAATATTAGGGGAAAAACAGAGATGTCTTTCCCCTGGTTTTATCATTTCATAAATCTTTTGTTAGCATGATCTGTTTTATAAAAGATTAGGTTTGTTTCCTCAATTTTTAATAATACGAATTTTTAAGATTTCCAATTCTAGGTTTATTAAACAGATAAGCTAATATTATTATTTAAACATTTAAAAAGGTTAACGAGTGTTCAGCTAGATTGAATTGTAATAACTGCTGTTTCATGAAGGAGTCGCTCTTCTTCACCTTAGGGAATTCCACAACAATCTGTTACTGAGTTACTCCACCAAATTCCTCTGAGTAAAATTCTTAGTGTCCTCTTTTTGAAAAAACACTGTCCACTAAACACATAGGCACACACATATATGCGCTTCAAATATCTGCAAATGTACAAATGTCCTGGACTTGTTCATGTTGCTAATTCATGAAATACAAAAACAATATATCAGACTGTTGGAGGAAGGACATTGTGAGGAGTCACAGGCAGCTTTCTGGAATCTCAGCTGATCTCAAGTGCACACAGGCAACTGTCTCCTAGCCTTCTCTATGTCTGTGAGGAAACAACTCAGTTACATGGTTTCAAAGTTATAACTCATGAAAAGTAGATGCTGCATGTGTTAGTTTTCTTCTTTTTTTTTTAATGTGATCTTTGTCATTTTTTATTGTGTTTATTGGGATCTTGTTTTTTTTGTTAAGCTAACTACTAGTGGTCTGTTGATCTTTTTTTTGCCTCTTTTTTAAATTTATTATTATTATACTTTAAGTTTTAGGGTACATGTGCACAGTGTGCAGGTTAGTTACATATGTATACATGTGCCATGCTGGTGCGCTGCACCCACTAACTCGTCATCTAGCATTAGGTATATCTCCCAATGCTATCCCTCCCCCCTCCCCCCACCCCACAGCAGTCCCCAGAGTGTGATGTTCCCCTTCCTGTGTCCATGTGTTCTCATTGTTCAATTCCCACCTATGAGTGAGAATATGCGGTGTTTGGTTTTCTAATGCTGCTGTAACAAATCACCACAGGTTCAGTGCTTTAAAACTAGATACATTTATTATTTCACAGTTCTGCAGGTTAGAAGTACAACACTGGTCTTACTAGGCTTCAATTAGGGTGTGGGTAGATTACGGTGTGGGAAGGACTGCATTCTGGGAGCTCTAGGAGAGAATCATTTTCTTGCCTTTTCCAGTTCCTAGAGGCCACCTGATTTCCTTGGCATGTAACCCTCTGTTTCTACCTTTAAAACTAGCAACAATGGGCCTTTCTTGTGTCACATCGCTCTGACCCTTTCATTTGCCTCCAGCTGCTCCCTTTTCCACTTTTAAGGACCTTTGTGATTACATTGGGCCCACTGGGATAATCCAGGGTCTTCTTCCTATCTCAAGGTTAGCTGATTATAAACCTTAATTCCCCTTGGCCACGTAAGGTGGCACAGCCACAGGTCTGGGGGAATAGGCTCTGGACATCTTTGGGAGGACATTATTCTGCCTACTACACTGTACTAGGTACAATAGTTGTAAAATAATATGAATGTGTCTGTAAGATAATGGAATGCATTTTTGTTTATCGAGGAAGAAAGTGTGTCTAAGGTTAAAAAATCTGGCTGTGTGTTAATATGTAAAATTAAGACATATTTGAGGATGTGCAATAAGTTATGGAAAGGTTGAGAAGAAGTGAACCTTATTTGTCTTGGTTTATAATGCCTGGAAATAATGAACTTGAAAAAAAAAAACAATGAAAGGTGTCACAGTCTTTTATAAAGTTTGTGTAATTTTGATGAGTTTACTTACAAGATAGAGAAAAGGCCTGTGAACTTTCTACTGCAAATGTTACATGAGTAGGGTACAAAAATAATGAAGTTAGTGTTGGGTTTTCTCTCTGATTATATTTGAGTATATACTCTGTTTTCAGTAAGAAATTGTGAAGAATAGTCTGTGCCCAAAGAACAAGAGCTTCTTTTGTCACTAAAATCCTCCTACTTGATATCGTGTTAATTTTTTTTTTGCGCTTTTGTTACTCTCGAGTCACTTTTAGCAAAATTTCCTCACTTGTGGAAATGCTAGAGTTCAATCTTTTAAATTAATATTTAGCAAAAGATCCTTGCTTATGAAAATGCTAGAGTTCCTAATAACTTCTTTAACCGTTTTATTATAAATATTATCATTCTGAGCCAAGCTGAAGTTACGTCTTGTCTTCAGCCACTCCAGATTTACACTCATATCTTGCATCCCAGATAACTCTTTTTGAAATTGCCTTCCACAAATCTGCACCCCCACAGTCAAACTAATACAACTTTTTTTTTTTGGACAGAGTTTCACTCTTGTTACCCAGGCTGGAGTGCAATGGCACGATCTTGGCTCGCTGCAACCTCTGCCTCCTGCGTTCAAACAATTCTCCTGCCTCATCCTCCCAAGTAGCTGGGATTACAGGTGCCCACCACCAAGCCTGGCTAATTTTTTGTATTTTTTGGTAGAAATGGGATTTCACCACGTTGGCCACACACCTCGGCCTCCCAAAGTGCTGGGACTACAGGCATGAGCCACTGCGCCTGGCCTCAAACTAATACAACTTTTAGAAGTATCTTCTACATCTAAACCATCTTTGCGGTTTCTCAGAAAACTTCCGGTGACACTAAAGATTTTTCTTCTTCACTTTATGAGAAAAGGGATCCTAGAAATAATTGGCTATGTTCAGCATTTCGTAGATTTTTATTTGGTTTAATACTATGTTGAGAGCTGTCCTGTTCATCAAGAATCCAATACAAAAAGACCTGCCAAGACATGAAAAAATGAAAAGCTCAACCACCACTTAATTATGATGAGTAAAATATGAGCATTATGATTATGCTTCAGCAGTGATGACCTTTTCATTGTGGAGAGAGGCACACTCTCCTTCATGTTAAAGAATGGCACAATAATGGTCAACAATTTTTTAAAAGAAGATCCCATTTCCACATTTAAAATAGCCTTTTCAGTTGGTGGTAATCCAAACACACATTGGATGGAATAAATTAAAAGGCCATGGAGATTGTTCTGTGCCCTCACCACTCTCATGGCCGTCACTGACTAATTATTTATGAAACTAAACTGGCCTCAATTTGGATATTAGTGGTTATAATGAGTAAACAACCAGACCTATTCAGCCTTAGCACCAACAGGTGGTTTCTGATTTTTTGTCACACGATCCTAAATACCCCTGCCAAAACCATGCGTCAGTATTGATGGCTGCTGGAAGAAACATCACAACAGCTCGATTAAAGGACTCTAACAAGTTCTTTCGACACTTCATAGAATAGAAAATTGGATCTTAGTTACACGCATCCCTATATCAGCTGATATCACCACCACATATGAAGACTACCAAGGGACTGAGTCAGGAGTTCCAGAACTTGTTTGCACTGGAGGCAGAAAACTTTGAGAAAGTGGAGTGCCTACTAATCCAAGATCAACAAAACAAGGATTAATTACCTCAACAAAATGATACAAATTTCGCTGTGATTACTGTTCTGATTTGAATCGGGCATGTTATAGAAGCCTTCTGTCTATTTCCTCTGTCTCCAGTGCTTGATCTAACAGGTTATGCTTATAAAGACTAGAATAAAACATTCCTTAAATGGTATCTTCTAATTAATCCTTCAAAACTCATTTTTAAAATCCTTTAAAAATTTTAAAACAGATGATGATAATAAATTATCAGGAAAAGCTAATAACTATAATAGTCCTGCAAATATCATGACATATATTGATTGGTCTGAAACTATACAACAACTGAAAGCAATAGTTACATTATTATTTAACTATTATTATTACTAATCTGGGTGTTTTTCTTTAGCCATAGGCCTTCATATTTACCTAGAATCTGTCCTCCTTCCTACCAGAATGTAATTGAGTAAATCAAATCTGTGATAATGACCATGCCAGAGATGTTACATTTAAAGGGAAATATAATGTAATTAGACATGACAAGCTCATTTAAAATGAGTGCATTTCATATGTGGGGTTAATGCCTACACCATCCTCCCAGGACACTGGCTTGGTTCATGTTGTGTAGCTTAGGGCAGGGGTCCCCAAGCCCTGGGCCATGGAACAATACTGGTCCATGGCCTGTTAGGAACCAGGCCACACAGCAGGAGGTGAGCAGCAGGTGAGCGAGAATTACAGCCTGAGCTTCGCCTTCTGTCAGATCAGTGGTGTCATTAGATTCTTACAGGAGTGTGAGCCCTATTGTGAACAATGCATGTGAAGGAGCTAGGTTGCACACGCCTTATGAGAATCTAATTAATGCCAGATGATCTGAGGTGGACACTTTCATCCTGAAACCATCTTCCCCACCGACCTCAGTCCATGGAAAAATGGTCTTCCATGAAACTGGTCCCTGCTGCCACAAAGGTTGGGGAACGTTGGCTTAGGGAATCCCAACTCTACAGGCAGTATGGCCAGGAGCACTGAAAACTTGGAGCTCAGAGAGATGGAATAATCTTTGAGACCTAGGTAGTGGATGTGAAACCTGGAAGAGGTGAACTTTGAATCTGAAAGTTCTGGATTACTGATTTCAGCAATCCAGAATCAAATATTTCTGCCACAGATATAAAAGTGACCACAAAACAAAAGTTAACCCTCAAGATTTAACATCATATAGCTCTCATTTTTATAACCATGCTAAGGGGTCTTTGTGAATGAATCAACACTGCTTGCTATACCTATGTCTATACAGCTGGTTCAATAAGACAACATATCAAATTAATGATCACAAATAGGAAAACTGCTAACCAAACACCTGTGGTTAAATCTATTTTAGGGGCAGAACGTCAGCATTATAACTGTAAAGGCAAACCAGTACCCAGCTCTGCACCTGTCATGGCAGCGTGCACATCATGTGCTTGTCACAGTCCTCATTCAGGGAAACAGGACAAAGCCAAGCTCAGGGAAACAATCCCAAAGCAAGCAAGCAAGCAAGCAAGCAAACAAACAAACAAAACACACAATCGCCTTTCTACTGTAGTCCCAAATAATGAATCTTTGACCCATTTCCTAACAGTTGCAGACTCCCCAATCAACATCATCTCTGACATTGGCAATACCAATCTGTGACAATGTGATTACCTTGTGAGAAAACTGCTGTTTGCCCAGCATGACCTGACTAAATGTAACCTTACAAACCAAGGTAATTTTGTACTTAGTTTTAAATGTAGACGGCTGGTCTTAATTCTGGCTCCCCTGCAACAATCCATAAGAAAACCCCTTTCTCATCTTGATGCTTTTTCTTTCTGTCTTCCTTTCACACAGTGGACGATGGCTGTGGCAACACCAACCCTCTGGATTGATCATACCAGTCCCCTTTTCCCAGAAAGGGACCTGTTCATCTCCACATCTGCCCCTTTGCTCTTGCTAGATTCAAATAAATATTTCAAGAGATGCCTTGATTTTTTTAAAAAATGAATCTTCTTTTATAATCTGCCTGTTGTTTTAATTGATTAGAGATTTATTCAAATAGAAAAAGAGAGAGAGAAGGAATATTAAGAAGAGACCAGCTGGAGCCAGGGGATCAAATAGTTGCAATGGGCAGAGGATAAGACAAATTCTAGAAGGTACACTAAAGTTCCTTATGTTTTTTTCTAATAACCATTATTTTAAAAAACAAGTACAGGCCAGGCACAGTAGCTCACACCTGTAATCCCAGCACTTTGGGAGGCCGAGGCTGGTAGATTGCATGAGGTCAGGAGTTCGAGACCAGCTTGGCCAACATGACGAAACCCCATCTCTACTAAAAATGCAAAAATTAGCCAGGCATGGTGACACGTGCCTGTAGTCCCAGCTACTTGGGAGGCTGAGGCAGAAGAATCAGTTGGACCTGGGAGGCAGAGGTTGCAATGAGCTGAGATCACACCACTGCACTCCAGCCTGGGTTAACAGAGTGAACTCTGTCTCAAAAAAGCAAACAAACAAAAAAAACTCCGAAAAAATTAGCTGGGCATGGTGGCGGGTGCCTGTAATCCCAGCTACTCAGGAGGCTGAGGCAGGAGAATTGTTTGAACCCGGGAGGTGGAGGTTGCAGTGAGCTGAGATCACGCCATTGCACTCTAGCCTGGGTGACAGGGTAAGACTCAGTCTCAAAAAAACAAAAACAAAAACAAAAAGCACAGACCTGTAGCACATATAAGATCCTATTTCACATGCCCGAATTGGTAAGCAGTTAGTCTGAGAAAATGATTCAAAGAGTAACTCAATCCTCTGAAAAGAAATAACATTGAATGAGGCAGAATCTTACAGGTTTATGGCATACGGTATGCATTTCTTTCAAGAGTTGTTATACTCAAATAAATAACCTATTCCATCTGTTTGGAAGACAAAAGGAATTGTATGTTTCAGCACCTTGTCTCATCCAGGGGAATTCACTGAATTAGATTCTGAGAAATTCTCACACTGTTGAAGTGTGAAGAACTAAGAAAATGAGTAGAACTGTGGGCAAGAAGGTGGCTGAGATATGCATATTTAACTAGTATAAGAATGGTTCTAAAAATAAAAATGGCAGTTAATTAACAAGAGATTTGCTGAAGTTCCTTTTTGAACTAGAAATAAATTGATTTTTGAGAAATACTGAAAATGAGGCAAGCAACTAATATGATACATTTTAACAGGATTTAAATAATTTGATTAACTATTAAGCATGATAACCATAAAAATAATTATCTCAATTCATTGACTAATTTTAGCAGAAAGGAATGATGAAAATTTAAACTTACTGATTCTAGCTTCAGGAGAGAAACCTATGAAGGGTGTTTTATTTTTAGGTCAAGATTGCTATCTAGCAAAGACCCAAGAACTCTCCTAAGATGAAAATTTCAGAAGACAATTGTCTGTCTGAGACAGATGAGATCAGTGTTTCTCTGAAGAAAAGTTTGTTTTCAGGAATAGAGTCTGAAATTAGTCCTCCAACCTGAGCGACATTGGAATAGCAGTAATTCATTGATTACTGCAATGGCTTAATGATTAATTATATAATCACATTCCCTCATTCTTGCTTTTCCAAATTGATTTACACCTCTGCCAAAATAAAAATCAGACCCAATTAAGGATATGGAGAGAGGGAATCATCTGTTGGTTTTCTTCATATGCTGTTACTCATAGATGACATTATGTAGTGTTCTAACTTTTTTAAGAACATTCATATTCATTATTTCCATTTGTGTCTTACATTACCCTAGGGATATAAAAATGGCAGGTATAATTTCCAATTTATCTAGAAGACAAATAGAAGTTAAATGGTATGGGAAAGGTCACAGAGCTGTCTCCTGAGCTTTGGTGACCATAAGTCTCTTAGGCAGAAGCTCTTTTCTCCAGCCTAACCCTCCTGACTCCTTCCTCTGAGCTCTTTTCACAGGGATAGACTGCCTTTACCACCTGTGTGACACCTTCCCTGTCATGCATTTATTCAGCCAGTCATTCCAAAAACATTCATTGAAGTTGCATCTAGTTTGCTGATGTATATAATTTATCCTTCTATCATATAAACTGAGGATAGGATGATAGCTAACAAACCTATGTCTACTGATAATAAACAAATTGCATGAGGCTTTTGACCACACAAGGTAAGAAGGTACAACAGCACTTTGATCACTGAAAATTGCATTCATATTTATCCTGTTGCAGTTGTTATTTACTTCTATGCAGGTCTGGGGAATACTAGTTTTAAAAGGTGCTATGTTATAAATAGGGTTTCACTGCAACATAAATGCAGGAAATACTGTACTTGATACTCATCTCAGAGATTTATAATGTATTAGCAAATTTACTTTGAATTAGCAAAGTAAAGGCTCTGAGCAGACCAACAGACACAATGAAGCCAACTGTTCAACTTTGTTTAAGCACAGGTTTTGCCAAACTTATCAGAATAGAGAAACTTATGAGAATAGAGAAACTTATCAGAATAGAGAAAGCAGTCTTGGGCATGGCATCCATTCCATTTCCAGAGAAGTGGGGGTCTGAGGACTCAGTCTGGGGCCCTGCTGCTACTGTTCTTGTTCCTTTGATTAAGTTTTCATGTCACCAAGTGCACACAGATCTTTACACCACAGAAGCTGTAATTTCACAACTTAAATTAATGTTGATGAAAACTAGAACTAAAAGAAAAACTCTTACTATGAAAAAGGGATGGTCAGAGAAGACGTATGTTAGTCTGTTTTTAGTGTTGGCTGATAGGAGCAGCTCACCCCAATACACTTTATTCCTAAATGCATCTGTCTTGTTCTTATGTTATACACGCACACCTTGTTCACAGAGGACTTCGTAAACTAGAGAGATATGTGGCATTAAAGAAGGATATGTAATTATTTGCTTAAAATTTCATCTTCCTTATTAACCAATGAGATGTTTATGGATGAATTCCAAGATGGTTCTCAAACAGAGGAAGTTCACTGTACGAAACTCATGTAATTTTGTTGCCCAAGTCAATTTTTGTCCTGGGACTTACCAGCCAAGCCAAGTGCTGGTTTCCACATGGCAATTCTACTTCTAATGTAAATTATAGAATTGAGCTTTGGATACCGGGAAGTCTTTGGTGGCTTTAGGTCACTGGTTCACCAGGGTCTGATTTGGCTTATAAAAAACCTGTACATCTAGGATTTCCTCCAGAGCTGAAATAGACCCAAGAAGGCAGCAAGCCTGGTGTGGCTTGGGGTGGTTGGACCATCACTTCATCTCTTTTCCTAACACATATAATGGGGCCCTAATTTCATGCCAGGTGCCTGAACTTTTCCAGATCTTACAAAAGCCTTGTCCCCCTTATGTTTAGGAGGTAATCTTCTTTCTTAGATGCAAGATAGTTTAGATGGTTCTTACCAACAAAAGAGATAGTATCCTTTCTCAAAAAATACTTCCAATCACTTGTCTTCACTTCGAGATTGGTCTTTAATAGTGTTAGCTTATAAAATTTTTTATATCTAGGTCAGAGCTTATTTTTTTTTTTTTAGGATAAAGGAATTGGGCCTCTTTTGTATTTTTATAGTACACAGAATTTCTATTTCAAGAGAAATAACATGAGAACCCAAAGATACTTAAATGTATTTTAGTAAAATTGGTTTGTGCTTTAGATATTTCTCCAAGTGTCCTAGCTAGTGAAAACACTATTCCTATGAACTGTAAGAATGTCTCAGGCTATATAATATTGACTGTATGTTTGTTAGTTAACCACAGTAGACATTTTTAATGAAACTGTTAGCATTATTATTACTCTACCCAGGATTCCAGCATTCATATTGTAGGCTTATGTCGTATGCATAAAACATACAGGATTTACATGTGATGAGTTTAAAACTTTGGTAGTTGTATTTGCGCTATACTAAAAAAAATCAGTAACTGTATGTTGTAATTGTATGAACTGTTCACAAGTAGATAGGTAGAAAAAACATAAGGTATGATGAAATGAATAAAAAGAGACCAAGTAGATATAAAAACAGAAGCAAAAAATGAGCTTAGAAGACCAAAAATGGACCAAAGTTTATTTTAACTAATTTCACTCAATTAAAATGACTTATTGTTATATCTGAGCCAAGTGATGACCCACTTTTTACAAGCAATATTAATATGGTAAAATTTCAGGAAAAGAAAAGAAGCTGCAGTGCTGTGGCAATTTCTTTATTGAGATGGGATTTCACTTGTAGCAAAGGAGAAAGATTTGATGAGTAAAAGAGATTGCATGGAAGATTAAAAAAGCAGGAAAATACTAGACACAGAGCTTCTGTAAATCACTTGGCTCAAACCTCAGGAAAGTGTTCAGTGTTTGAGTTTTCTCTTCTGAAATTGCAATTTTTGGAAAAGTTTAAGTATCTATTTGTCTCCCTCACTAGGGAGCCCAGGCAGGGGATAGAGGCTGTCATTCACACTTGGCTGAGAGTAACTGGCCCACAGGCACAGGCCCTGCATCTTCCAGCAGGTTGTACAGCGGGGTAGCAGCCTCTGCCCGGCAGGACTCTGATGGTCCTGCCTGTCTGCTCTCATTCTGCAATGAGGTACCGTGACAGGAGGTCCTTTCCCTTGGTAAGAATGACTTCCTAGCAGTGTCACCTTCTGAAATGCAGACACCAAACATGCCCTGCACACTGCCCTGCCACTCTGTCAAGCCCGTTTGGCATGATCTGACAGACGACAGGGAGGTGAGTGATCATCTGCTAGGATTGCAGGAGCCTACACATTGGTAGACAAGTAGCTTAACTATTATTACACAGTGACTATGGTCAGCCTCATCAAACCAAACCAAACCATGCAAATCCATACATCCATCCAGCAAAAATAGAGGTCTTCATATTATAGAACGATATTTTCTATGTACATTTCATAATCCGATATAAGCAGTCCCTCCTACCCTATTTTCAAAGTGAGTAGAAACAACACATGCTTGCAAAAAAAAAAAATACATATATATATATATATATAAATGGGTTGTTGGCTTCTTTTTAAGTCTGAAGATTCAGTGATGTTTGTTTGGTTTTACAAAATTCCATTAGTTAAACAGAGCTTATGCAGCATCTGTTTTCCTTCCAGTGTCACATTGCTAAGGTCAAGTTCAGGTGAGCATGTGCCTGAATACAGATCCAGGAGCAGAGTGGTGGACAGGGACAGGGAAAGATGGTGGTGCTCAAAGGAAACTGTCACTGGAGACTACAGCACAGGATCAGCTGGTGGTTCTGCTATTCCTCATGTGAGTCAGGCCAGAGCAGAGCTGGAGAAAAATGTAGGACTTCAGGGGTTTCAGGGTAGTGCCCCCTTGGGCCACCACTGGGGACCCTGAGGGCCCCTGAAAATGGTACTTCTTTCTTTTCCTTTCCATTAGTTTCCTGTGACTGCTTCAGTGGATTATTACAAACAGGGTGACATAAAAAATCAGAAATGTATCCCTCACAGTTCTGGAAGTCACAAGTCTGAAATCAAGGTATCAGCAGACAGGGCCATGCTCCCGCCTAAGGCTCTAGGGGAGGCCTGGCATTTATTCTGGTGGCTCCTGACATTTACTGGATTGGGGCTGTGTCTTAGTCCATTTGTACTGCTATAAAAGAATACCTGAGACTGGGTAATTCGTAAAGAAAATAAGTTTATTTGGATCATGGTTCTGCAGGCTGTACATAAAGCATGGTGCCAGCATCTGCTTTTGGTAAGGGCTTCAGAAAGCTTCCACCCACAGCAGAAGGTGAAGGGAAGCCAGTGTGTGCAGAGATCGTACGGGGAGAGAAGGATGCAAGAGGGAGGGGGGGAAGGTGCCAGGCTCTGTTTATAACAATCAGATCTTGCAATATCGAACAGAGTGATACTCACTCATTAAGGCACCAAGCCATTACTGAGGGATCTGTCCCTGTGACCCACATACCTCCCACAAGGCCCCATCTCCAACACTGGGGACTGCATTCTAGCATGAGATTTTGAGGGGACAAACATCCAAACCAAATCAGGCTGCATCGCTCCCATCTCTGCCTCCACCCTCACATGGCCTTCTCCTCTGCGTCTGTGTCATCTCCTCTTGTGTCTCTTACAAGGACACTTAGCTTTGGATTTATAGCCCACTTGGATAATCTAGGATGATCTCATCTCAAGACCCTTAACTTAATTGTATCTGCAAATACTCTTTTTCCAAATAAGGTCACACTCACAGATTCTGGGGACTTAGACTTGGACAGATTTTTGGGGGGCCACCATCTCACCCACTACACTTTCCTTATCTCCTCTCCCATCCCTCCTTTATCTTAAAGAATGTTCCCTTCCCTTCTCTGTCCTCTCTTCCTGTCTTCCACTGATAAGTTGGAGACTCAGGACCTTCCTCCTTGGTGGTTTTAACCAGAAATATTAAGTGGCTGGTCCCCTGTCTGTGCTGCAGGGCAGGGTGGCTGCTGGCTCAGCAGCTGTTGGGGCTACTTGGTGTGGGATGGGGTGGAAACGGGTATGCTGCCGGTTCTGGGTTGAATTGTTACCCCCTCACCAAAATTCTTATGTTGATATCCTAACCCCCAGTCCCTCAGAATGCGGCCTTATGTAGCAACAGGGTCATTGCTGATGTAATTAGTTAAGAGGTCATACTGGAGTGGGGTGGGCTCCTAATCCAATATGACAGAGATCCTTACAGAAAGGGGAAATTTGGATCCAGAGATAGATGCACACAAGGAAAGCACCATGTGAAGATGAAGCAGAGATTGAGGCGATGCTTCTACAAGCCAAGGAACGCCATCTATTGACAGCAAATCAGCAGAAGCGAGGGCGGCAGCCTAGGACAGATTGTCCCTCACAGCCTTCCAAGGCAATCGACCCTGTGACACGCTAATCTGAAACTTCCTGCCTCCAGCACATTTAACCCATGCAGTTAGGGGCACTTTGTTATAGGAACCCTATTAAACCAACACACTGCTTGACTTTTGGGTTTAGGTACGTTTCAGAGCTGCTACTTTGAAGAAGAGACCACAAAGAACAGTTCTATTTTGCTTTATTTGACAAATAATCATGTCTCATCAGTCATATGGAATCCCACGGAATTTGCCATTTCACTTTTAACGCTGTCTGAAATCTCATTGAATGATATCTCAACTTGGTATTTAAGACCAAATAAGCAAAAGCAAATAAATAAAATAAATAAAAATGATGCTTCAGTTAATCACATTGGCTGCCATCATCACTGTCACTACCACTGGATTCTGTTTTGTCCAAATCTGTTAAAACAAAACAAAACAAAACAAAACAAACAACAACAAAAAAACAGGCTTCAAGCTCCCTGGAGTTAACAAAGCACAGAGCCAGCACTGACGAAATGGCAAGCTCAAGACCAATTTCTCTAGAAAGTCCTTGACAGCCACAGAAAGCCCATGCGTTTTCATGGGCATAATCACCAACATTATTGGGGACAGAAAATAAAGTTTAAAATTCTGTCATCAGTGACTCTTCTCAGCAGAGCCTCCTCATGAATTTCCGGAGGGTTAATGAGCTGAGTTTCATGACCGTGAGTGCCTCTGTGAAAGCCATGCTTCTCTCAGAGAGATGAGTGTGCACACAGGCTCTTCATCTTGGAAATGAAAGATTACTTGCACATGGCACTCCGGCTGCTTCAGAAAGCAGGGAAAGCTGCCAGTACACACCTCTGCCTGTCCAGGAGGATGATGTCACAGGAAGCGGGACTGGGCAACTGGTTCTACAGGAACGCAGGGACCCAATCACATCACATACAGTTCCCCACCAACAGCGATGGCAAAAATGCCTTTTGTATTGTTTTCCCACGTAAAAGGCATTGTTTTGGGGTCTGAGTTTAAACCAAAGAGACACAATTATCCACCAAGGGGTGTGCTGGCTAGGGAAGGGACGGAGAGAGGGACAGGATATGTGTATATTTAGGGGTATAAAGAGTATGGCTCCATGTCTACATACACACAGATGCACAGATACATGCATACATATGTGCCGTGACTTTCGTTTATCAGCAGGTCAATAAAAACATAGAAAGATCAGTGTATTCCATTGCTTGCTGCTCTGGTATAGGTCCAGCGTCACCCTAATAAATACAAATCACATACTTCAATCCTAGCAGAAGTAGGCTGGGGGCACAAGACTGTGAGTGCCATTTTTTCTGTTGACCATGTCATGTCGCTAGCTCCCTCTTGCTTACCAGGTAAAATACCAGCTCTTGGGACTGGCCAACAGGACCCCTGCAGGGCTGGGGAGCTGCTGTGTTCCTAGCAGGTGACCCTGCTTGTAATTTTGTAAATATGCTCCAGGAGATGGGACTCTCAGGTTTAAGTCCTGTTGTTTTCGCTTCCTGCATTGTTTGCTCCTTTGTCTGGTTAACTTCAACTTCTCCGGGCTCAATTCAGGGGTTCCACCATTTAGGGAGGCTTTCCTAAATCGCTCCTCCCAAAGCTGCTTCTGCTGGCCGCTTCACCATCCCCAAATCCTGGCATTCCTCTAGCACAGCACAAGGGTCCATTCACTTCAGTACCCTCCTTGAGGCAAGGAAATACAGGCTCTTTATCACCTGAGCTCCCAGAACCTGGAACTGGCCTGGATCAAGGTCCATGTTCTACAAACACTGCCCTGAATGAAGTGTCATCCAATCTCTGCATCTACTTAGCCATGAACAAATAAAACAGGACCCCACCCAAACCAAACCATGGCAAACAGTCAGGTATCCCAAGGTAGTTTCTAAGACTGAAGCATAAGCTATTCCCTGAGTGAGGGTAGCTGCCTTCAGAGATTTACATGATCTCAAATATTAGTCCTAAATTTAATGTGATATTGTTTTATTTCCCCATAAAAATCTTGCATGCATATATTTTTAGGTACTGCATTTAGTTGCCTGGGAAACAGCAGGGTCTGTGCAGAGAGAAGGAAATGTTTCAGAGAGCGTTAGCCACAGAAGAGTTTCTGGAATATTCTCTAATGGTGCAACCATCCACCCCATGGATGCATAACTTAAACAGTTGAGCCATGTAACATCCCTGCCCCACACTGCCCCTGTGTTGAGCTGACAGGTAGAGTCATCTATGGCAACTCAAGCACAGATTTGTAGAGGGTCACAGCAGTGCTATATCCAGCTAGTGTCATTTGGCTGGATTGCATACTAGACTTGTGATTTTCACATATGTGTAGACATAATCTATGCCTACTGAAAAAGATTGGAAGGAATAGTTCTTTTGGAGAAAGACAGAATTTGCCAGGTTTCCAGGTCTCCTTGAGAGACGTCTGTACAAGATCTGGAGCCGGGTTCCTCCAGCTTGGCACTGTTGATATTTTGGGCTGGACCATGCTGTGTTGTGAGGCTGTCCCATAGCCTGCAGGACAGACAGCAGCAGCTCTGGCCTCCACCCACTAGGTGCCAGTAGCACCCTCCCATCCACACCAGTTGTGACAACAAAAAATGTTTTCTGATATTGCTAAATATCTCCTGGGGGACAAAATTGCCCCATGTTGAAAGCTATTGCTCTAGAGATTCCGAGGTAAGACGAGGTCACTGCTGGAAATGGGGGAAGGTAAGTCACCTTCTGAAAGTCAAGGGATGGGCATTTCAAGGAGCTAAAGGGAGGATCCTTTTTGCTAAAGCCTCCTGATATCTATTCCATACTTCTCACCTGCCTCAATAACCTCCTAAGCTCCTGGAACGTCATGCCTCATGGGCTTTTGGAGGCTTTTGTGTGATTAGAGGGGAGGACAAGGGTGTGATTTGGTAAAACTGACATAATACAAATTGCTTGTCAAATTTCCTCTCACTTGTCTGTGGAGTGCAATAGTAGGAACATTTGCACAGAGAAAAATAAATGTCTAAACATGCATTGGCACAGACAGTACACTAACTTTCAACCTAATGAAAGAAACCTAATGAATGAAAATGTAAGGCTTGCCAAATGTGTTATGATAACTCTCCAGTGCCAAGGAAATATCACCCTCCCCACGGATACCCTGGCAAGCCTGCGAGTTTACCCCAGTCAGCAGGTGCACCAACCATCTCCCCTGCATTGTAGGTGAGTGTATCTATCCCTCATTACAAGGCTTCTTGAAATTCCTTCTGAACTTTCTTTCTGGAAATGCTATCCATTATCCAGGCACCCAAACCCACCCCTTTGTGCATGGAATGTGTCCAATAAATAACTGGGTTTCATACCACTTGTGCAAAAGCAACATAAAAAGTGCTTTTTCCTTAAGGGGAAATATCTCACCATTTATACCTCCTGGGAGTTAGTAGTTTCATTTAAATACTAACTTTGTAAGCCACAAGCAATTCGCTGTCTTAGTGGAGGGAAATACTCTTCTGTCCATGTTGCTACATACAGACTACTGTTAACAAATAAGAATGGAGATATTTCCAGTGCCAGGCTCATAGTAGTGCCCAACCAATTTCAGTGAAGGAGTCTAGCAAGTTGAACAAAGTGCTACTTCAATAATCTATTCCTGAAAACTTGTTTTTAATGTGGTTTAGAGGATACAATTGTGCATGTATATTTTAGCCTATGGAATTTTAACTGGATGCTCTTTCTTCTTCCCTTTCTACCAATTTCTGGTAGATTTCTTTCTACTTTCAAGCCATGTTCTTTTTCCACCCAGGTCTATTGGTCCCTAGGCCTTGAGACCCAGAGTCAATAACACCTTCCCTACAAGAAACACACCCAGAAGTGTCCACCACCTCAGGTCCCAGTGAAAAGAGGTCCAAGGAGATACTAAGCTACGTTCAATGTTTCCCTTTGGTTAACTGCCTGCTTCTTACATTTCCACAATGATTTCCTTTACAATTTGTATCTACTGCTACAAATGGCTTATAGATGTAGTACCAGAAGGAGAAAAACTAATAATAGATAATTTTCTCAAAATTACCTGGCTATATTTAGTTTCATGACAATTAACTAAAAACTAATTTAAAATAAAGTATAATTTGGAACCAGAGCTCTATTACGTTATAACTCTCACATATGTCCCCATGGAGAGACTGAATATGCAAATGGACAATGGTCAGACAATGCATAAAAACAGAACTTTGACCCACAACCTGAGCATCCTGCCCAGGAAACCAACTCCTTACCTGTAATAAGCAACTCAGGAAGCAAGCCTGCTATTAGTTTCACAGAAAGACAGATTGCCATCTCTATTCAGAACTTGTGCAACATTTGGCCCCAGATGGCCAGGACGTGATTCATAAATGAAAGCTTCCCTAGTTTTTGTCTCTGCTTCCAACTGAGGACCAACCAGAGAAGGCCAGGCATACACCCCAACCAATCACCAGGGGTGCTCCACTTCTGGTTGGCTCATAACATCTCCGTGCTATCAGCTTCCAATTAGGGCACAACTGAAGCTTCCCTTTTCTCCACTATAATATTTACCACTCTTCTGCCTTTAAGTCTCTGCCAAAACACAAGTGATAATGGCCAGCCCCCTTGCTATAGGAAGCTCAGAATAGACAGCCTTTGCTTTTCTCCTTTGGTTGTTTATTTCCACAAAGCCTGCCCTACCAGAACAAAAGCGCATTCATTCTTAGTAAATTGCTAGTGAATTTCCTTCTCAAGGGTCTCAAAAAGGCTCTTTATTAACATATACTGCCATCTCTAGGATGCAGTACATTTGCCCAATGGCCAGAGCTCTAGTGGGTATGGGTACCTATGAAGCTTAGATCATGCAGAGAGATATGAGTTAACCAAAATAGAAGAGAATTTTGGGTGGGGGACAAGCAATTAGCTATATCAGAATTTGGCTGGGGCAATAAGAATATAAAAATGGAGACACAGCTCCCTGGTTAATTTTAGTAGCCTTGTAGAAATTTGAGATAAACTGACAAGAACCCTGGCCTTCATTGACAAGAGCTTTAGCTGCATTGTAAGCCACTGGTTCAAGCTCATGCATTTGGAACTTCTCTTGATTGTATCTACATCTCTTAGGAAAGAAGTGAGGAATAGAAAAATACAAATGTTTGAGACTAATAAAGAAGTATGTAAGATATGAAAATTCATCTAATAACTGAGAAATCAGAATTGCAAAAGATTTTTCATGAGAGTTGAGTCATTTCCTCTAATTTTTAGAATTAGGTTTCTTTTTTTAAAGCTATAGATCTTGTAATACCTGTTCTCTATGAAATTAGAGCATGAATATCCACCAACTATTCATTAAACAAATATGTATTGATAGTCTGATATTTTGTTGGCCTTGGACTTAATCAAAAGGCAAGTAAGAGTGGCATGATCAGATCTTGTGTCCCAAAGCAACTGAGAATAAACTTCAAAATAAAATTTGATTTTAAAAATACTAAATTTTTGTTTATTGCTTCTTCACTACGTAACGTTGTGCGTTTAATAAGCACTGTCTGCCTGCCATGTTTATCTTCTATGAGTTCCCACAGCACTTAAAGCATGCACGGTAATCCCAGTGTTTGTGACTATGTAAATGTGGTTTCAAGCGGGCCGGGGCTTGGTCCTTGAGAGCAGAGAGTCCATCATGCTTTCCATATCAAGCTGGGGTGGAGGAATTGAAGAGGGTGTACAGGTGTGGACTCAGGAGCCAAAGGGCTGTTAGATGGAAATACATTTTAGATCATTGATGGTTTTGTACTACCTGTGCTTCTATTTCTTCTCAATATCATCTGGCTTTTTTTTCCATGATGAAACAGAGCAATTTTTGAGATGTGTATATACTTTCAGTTCATGGAGAACTAAAACTATGTACCCTCCTAAAACTTCTGCCCAATACTCCCCTGACACACATACAGCTAGACAACAAATCTACATGCAGATAGAAATGGTTTTATTACCATCACTTAATTACCCCTGTCCTCATTAACGTCACTTACTATTCCAGGAGATTCTTGCCAATGCAAATAACTTGATTGTTCAATCCAGAAACTTGTAGAAAAACCTACTGACTCTTCCATGGAAAGTATCAAAAGACAGTTTGTGCCCTAAGACATACTGAATTCCTGTTTCTACCAATCCTGAATGGTGGCAAGTCTTAGCATTGGGAGATTCACCTTAAACCAGAATTCAAATTCTCCACAAAATCTCATCTCCCTCCTCCCAGGCACTGCCAAAGCTCCCTTGAGTGCTGTCCCCCTTACCACAGTAAGAAATAAATTCAGCTTTGTTTCAGCAACAGGTTGTGTTGATGATCTTTAGGGCGGCGGCCCTGGGCACCATGGAGGACCACTTTTTCACTAGAAACTCAAGCAGATAAGGGCATCTGAGGCAGCTGCTAGTTGGCAACACTTAAGTAACACTAGAAAAATTACCGAATAACACTTCGGGTTTGTATATTTTCATTAGTGAGGCTTATTTTTGGTCTGTGTTCATAATGCTTTTTTTTCCCCATGAGTCAATTTATTTCTTTGTATTAGAACAAATAAGACTTATATAGGGCAGTGGCTAGTTCAGCTTTAGATTTAATCAGTCTCTTAAAGATATGACTTAATGTAGGCAATTTACTGAAAGTTTCAAAGAGATATATTACAATAAGAAAAGGATGACAGATGTGATTTGCTGTAAGCTCACTGCTAGGCTGAGTTAATCTCAGATGACTAATCAATTTGGTCTCATTTGAAGCTTAAACTAAAGGTGCTTTTCTCTTTTCTTTTCTAATAATTTTTCACCACAGGCTTTGATGTTTTTGTATGCAGAGGCAAGCTTATCAGAGAAGTTTGAGACAAAAATAAAAAGTTTACGTGGTGCTATGAATGAAACAGATGAATTTCAATGTCTATAGGAAGAGGTTGAGCTCTTTGGAATAAAGCAAAGCATATTCAATACTGAAGAGGGAATTCAACTACATTGCATAATGCACTAAAATCCTTCCTGAGAATCCTCATCTCAAAGGATTTGCTGAAAAATATATTAATACATTTTCCCTGAGATTTTTCATGGTTCATTGAGACACCTAGAGACGGCTCTTTTCTGGCGTGCACCATTTAGACAGTGCAGCGCTAATGGGTATTAAAGACGCAGCACTGTTACCTTGAAGATACAAGCTCATGGAAGATATATGTGCATGGGGCCACAAAATGCATTTGATCTTCTACTTTGTGTTCATGTGTTTGAATTTGTTTAAGGCAAGCTTATTTTGGTAATTAAAGCTTAGGAGTTCTTGGCAGTTTTTTCCTCTTAAAGGAATAATAAAACTGGCTCTCTCTTTTTATCAAACTCTGCACATGTGTAGGAGAATATAATGACAGGTACTTGGGATTCCAGCTTCTGTGTGGTTGCAGATTACTCTTTAGTGGCGACACTGCTTCATTGTTCCATTATTTACCAGTGGGCTTCTTGGAAGAATGCAGATGTGATGACCAAATAGAAAACCTTGTTGAAAGGAGTAAGTTGCTTTTTGGGAAAAATTAAGCATCTGCATTAGAAAGATTTGTGCCTACAATAAAACGAAAATAAAAAAGGGTTTTGGAGAAAAGGCATCATCACAATAGGCTGGAGATAACTTTAAATATACTGAAAATGCTTAATCTCTTTTTCACAGAACAGAGGTGCTGAAAAACCTTTGCTTGGGAGCCTCCAAGGAACCGAAAGAAGCCCATGAAAGAACTGAGGCTAAGAGCAGCAACACGGCTACTGCTATGAAGCACGAGGACAATGATGGCAGTGAATTAACTCAGGGCCTGCCAAGTTCCAACTATTATTCTAAGTATTCTCTGTGTCTTCAATGGCTTCTAACAACAGCCCTAGGAGGTCAACACTGCAGTTCTTTCCATCTTAAACATGAAGACACAAAGGCACAGAGACAGAAAGTAACTTGCCCAAGGGAGTCAAGCTAGAAAATGTACAACAATGCCCAACACTTAGCCAGAAATAAAAGGTATGCAAGAGGAAAAGAACTAAGAGGAGTATTAGAGAAGACAAGGGAGCAGTAAGAAGCACATTTCCTACTACCTTCAGCAGAGGCTCCCTGCAAGCCCCAACTTGTAGTTTGGGTCCACTGGGATCCCCTCAGCTGCTCCCGCCTTCCCGCCAGTCCCCACGCTTGCCTCCCATCGTTCATCATCTCCCAGCTCCTCCTTGAAGACCGCACTTGCCCTTTGCTGGGCACTGCTGAAACTGAAGTTTTTGAGCATTTTCTCTGCGAAAGTTGAAGGCTTGCTATAGAGTCAGGGTGATTTAACATTTTCTGAATGACTCCAGGACTCTTTGGGGAGCATCATTTATTTTTCTATATTATAATAATATTCTCACAAAGAGCTTCTGCCCTACACTAAGTGGTCCTAGATAGTTCCACGCTTGTGTTTATATAAAGAGCCTTTACATTTCCATCCTCTCCTATTGCCTATTTATTTCTCATTACTTTTTAAATATTCTCTACTGTTCAATGTTTGACTGAGAGCCTTAATGTGTTTTCTGAGAGCAATGCATGGGCTCTCTGGCAGCTCTGTCCCTGGCTGAAGCTGAGCAATGCCAAGGGTCCCATTTTCCACCTGGCATAGGAATGCTGGCTTGAAGTGTGGCAGGACTGATTTCTTTTCTTGACACCACAGGCTTGATTGAGGAATGAATAACGGTTGGAGAAGGTAGAGTTAAGGACGTAGGTACTGAATGAACCAGGGTTAAGGACGTAGGTACTGAATGAACCAGGCTACCTAAACAAGTTGTGTGGAAGTCTTAAAGAACCCATCAGAATGGCATAAAGGTTACTTTAAACTTAAAAGAAGCCTTTTCTGAGCTTCCTTCATTGACTAAAGGCTGAGCTTTCTGAGAATGCAGCTGCCATAAGTCCCCTCTGAGGAGGCTCCAGCCAAGAAGGAGAGACTGACTCTTAGCCCTGGGGTGAGACATGGCATAAACCAAACTTTATCAGAACTGCCATACCCCCATTTATTTCCCCTCGAAGCCCATTTGTTTCAACAGAAGCCCTATCTATCCACCCTTCCCCTATTAAGCTGGAATATAAACTACTACCCATACCCGTTCAGTGAGTTACTCATTACTGAGTACTTCCACACACAGGTGAATAAACCTTGTCTTTTCTCCTGTTAATGTGTCTATTGTCAAATTATTTGCAGTCTCCCACCTCCATCTCCCCAGTTAGGACCTAAGTTAGTAGAGGGATGGCCTGGAGTCTGGAGCTGGGTGTGCTGGGGCATGTGCTATCTAAAGTAGCCAGTGCTGTGGAGGTTGGCTGTGATTGGGGGTACTGGGCTAGGTGATCTTTGGCTCATGTAGGGAGGAGCAAGAGACAGAGAGAATGAGCTGCTACTGGCCTACACCCTAGGTCCTTGTGGATGGCAGGTACTGCCACAAGCCACAGGCAGGGTTGGCTCACGGTGGGATGTCTCTGTGTGCTGAGGACACAGAAAGCCAACCTGCAATAAAGTTGGGCTTGAGCTGATTTCCTGGCTGCAGAACAAAATCCCATGGTCACGGCACACATGGTAGTGCAGGTTCTCAGATACACTGACCCATGAGTACTGAATTCCAACATGAGTAGTTGCAACATGCAGTGACCTGGATCACGGAGATGGGGCGGAGTGTCTCCCACCATCAGGCTTTTGCTAAGTACATGCTTGAATAAAAATTAGAAGTTTAAACAATGACTTTTGTTTCTGAGAATAAATGTTTCACATTTCAATACTATTAGTGAATCTTTCTGAAATGGAGAATCTAAATAAATGCCTAGCCTTGAGTCACAATACGTAGTGATGCCTTGAACATAGAATCACTTTGTTAATGTTCATTGACTGATTATCTTGGATTTCTGCTAAGGAAATATTGAAAAATGAGATGTAGAAAACAAATGGAAATGAATCTGGGAAAAAGTTTTAGTGTTTAGTATATATTAAAACCTGATGTGATACATATAGCTCATTTCAAAATAATGACATATTTGCCCCTCCAATTTGCTAAGGTATTTTAAAAATTATTATTTTGTTATTATAATTTCTAGAAACAGGGGTCTCACTGTCTTTCCCAGGCTGGTCTCCAACTCTTGGGCTCAAGCGATCCTTCTGCCTTAGCCTCCCGAGCAGCTGGGACTACAGGCATGTGTTATTGTGCCCAGCTTGCTTAAGTATTTTAAATTCATGGGCTCATTGCACAATCTTAATAGCACTTGACTTGAGTTTTGAAGGTCCTAAGAACTTTTGTAAGTAATAATTTAGAGCTCAGTGAGAAGCAGCTTCATATGAATGGAAAGGGCAGTGCCATTCATAAGAGGAAATGGCTGAACTAGCTAGGGCTAACACTGCAATGCAGATATGTGATGCTCAGCCTGGGCTGTGTATCAGAATCCCCTGGAGGGCTTCTATAGATAGAGAGAAGCTCAGGCCGCATGCCAGAGACTCAGATTCAGGAGCCTTCAGGTCTGGTCAGGGCCAGTGTCACTCTTCATGTCTGAAGGTGATTTCACACTGAGTACCTTTCATTTAATCATTTGTGTGTGGAATCCAGTCTTGTGCTGCATTGGTGTGACATCCATCTATCTACCACTATCATTGTCCCTTGATCTGCACTATAGAAAATCACATGCTTTTGCCAAAATCTCTCCTCCAGCTCAGGTCTCCAAGTATAGGACAGCTATCTCAAGACCAACATTCTGGATTGTCAAAACCAGAAAATGGTTTCATTGATAAAGTAAGCAGGAAACAAGAGAAAACAGGAAGTTTAATGAGGAGTATATTCATCTAATGGGGTGGGTTGTTGATATGGTTTGGCTGTGTCCCCACCCAAATCTCATCTTGAATTGTAACTCCCACAATTCCCACGTGTTGTTGGAGGGACCCAGTGGGAAGTAATTGAATCATGGGGACAGGTCTTTCTCGTGCTGTTCTCACGACAGTGAATAAGTCTTATGAGATCTCATCATTTTAAAAATGGGAGTTCCCCTGCACAAACTCTCTCTTTTTGCCTGCTGCCATCCACGTAAGATGTGACTTGCTCCTCCTTGCCTTCCACCATGATTGTCAGGCCTCCCCAGCCATGTGGAGCTGTAAATCCAATAAACCTCTTTCTTTTGTAAATTGCCCAGTCTTGGGTATGTCTTTATCAGCAGTGAGAAAATGGATTAATACAATACATTGGTACCAGTAGAGTGGGGTGCTACTGAAAAGTTACCTGAAAATGTGGAAGTGGCTTTGGAACTTGGTAACAAGTAGAGGTTGGAACAATTTGAAGGGCTCAGAATAAGATAGAAAAATATGGGAAAGTTTGGAACTTCCTAGAGACTTGTTGAATGTTTTTGCCCACAATAATGACAGTGATATGGACAATAAAGTCCAGGCTGAGGTGGTCTCAGATGGAAATGAGGAACTTCTTGGGAACTAGAGCAAAGGTAACTCTTGTTATATTTTAAAAAAGAGACTGGCAGGAATTTGCCCCTGCCCTAGAGATTTGTGGAACTTTGAACATAAGAGAGATGATTTAAGGTATCTGGTGGAAGAAATTTCTAAGCAGCAAAGCATTCAAAAGGTGACTTGGGTACTGTTAAAAGCATTTGGTTTTATAAGGGAAGCAGAGCATAAAAGTTTGGAAAACTTGCAGTCTGACAACGTGATAGAAAATAAAATTCTATTTTCTGGGGAGAAATTCAAGCCAGCTGCAGAAATTTGCATACGTAATGAGGAGCTGAATGTTAATCCCCAAGACAATGGGGAAAATGTCTCCAGGGCATGTCAGAGGTCTTCACAGCAGCACCTCCCACCACAGGCCTGGAGGCCTAGGAGGAAAAAGTGATTTCCTGGGCTGGGTCCAGGGTCCTCATGCTTTGTGCAGCCTAGGGACTTGGTGTCCTGCATCCCAGCTGCTCCAGCCATGGCTTAAAGGGGCCAATGGAGACCTCAGGCCATGGCTTCAGAGGGTGCAAGCCCCAAGCCTTGGCAGCTCTCATGTGGTGTTGAGACTGCAGGTGCACAGAAGTCAAGAACTGAGGTTTGGGAACCTCTGCCTAGATTTCAGAAGATGCATGGAAACGCCTGGATGTCCAGGCAGAAGGGACAGGGTCCTCATGGAGAACCTCTGCTCGGGCAGTGCGAAGGGAAATGTGGGATGGGAGCCCACACACAGAGTCCCTACTGGGGCACCACCTAGCGGAGCTGTGAGAAGAGGGCTACCATCCTCCAGACACCAGAATGGTAGATCCAATGACCTCTTGCATCGTGAAGCTGGAAAAGTCACAGACACTCAATACTAGCCCATGAAGGCAGCTGGGAGGGAGGCTATCCCCTGCAAAGCCACAGGGGTGAAGCTGCCCAAGACTATGGAAACCTACCTCTCACATCAGGATGACCTGGATGTTAGACATGGAATCAAAGCAGGTCATTTTGGAGCTTCAAGATTTGACTTCCACACTGGATTTCAGACTTGCATGGGTCCTGTAGCCCCTTTGTTTTGGCCAATTTCTCACATTTGGAATGGCTGTATTTACCCAATATCTCTACCCCATTGTATCTAGGAAGTAACTAGCTTGCTTTTGATTTTACAGGCTCATAGGCAGAAGGGACTTGCCTTGTCTCAGATGAGACTTTGGACTGTGGACTTTTGAGTTAATGCTGAAATGAGTTAAGACTTTGGGGGACTCTTGGGAAGGCATGATTGGTTTTGAAATGTGAGGATATGAGATTTAGGAGGGGCCAGTCACAGAATGATATGGTTTGGCTGTGTCCACACCCAAATCTCATCTAGAATTGTAACTCCCACAATTCCCACATGTCATGGGAAGAACCTAGTGGGAGGTAACTGAATCATGGGGGCAGGTCTTTCTTGTTCTGTTCTCACAACAGTGAATAAGTCTCATGAGATCTGATGGTTTTAAAAGGAGGAGCTCCCCTGCACAAACTCTCTCTCTTTGCCTGCTGCCATCCACATAAGATATGACTTGCTCCTCCTTGCCTTCCACCATGATTGTTAGGCCTCCCCAGTCATGTGGAACTGTAAGTCCAATAAACCTCTTTCTTTTCTAAATTGCCCAGTCTCAGGTATGTCTTTATCAGCAGCGTGAAAACGAACTAATACAGTCTTGTACATCATCCGTACTACAGAGCTGGGTTTTAGCTATGAGCACAGAAGCATCATGAATCTGTTGGAAATTTGAAGGCAGAATCACCATGATTTCCCATTTCATGTCAGTCACAGACATTTCTGAAAATAGCTTGGGACAAAAATCATGTTGTTTATAAAAACTCCTGTGGCATACAGAGCTACATATAAGATTAAAAAATCATTCACCTACCACCAAGATTCAATTGAATGAAAAAAAGTATTCAATTTATAAGAAAAAGTATCACAGAAACTCTTTTTGAAATATATGTGTATATATATAGATATACCCATACACATGAATATATACATTCATACCATATTTATATAAAAAATGGTAATTTTGTTGAGGCTTATCTAGGATTTGAAGAAAAAGGAAGAAGTAAAATATTTTTTCCTGCAAAATAAGGAGAGCTTGACTACAAGGTGTCTAATGGTCCTCTATCAATTAGATTTATAACTTCTGGGAGCATTTGCCTCCCTGCAGGCTATTCTCACTTCTAAATGTTTGACAGAGTCTCCTGCCAAGCCATGCACACAGCTGAAAAATGGAAGATAAGTTCACAACCACAGCATTTGCAGGGACGGCTCAAGGGGTGGGAGCTACCCCCACTGCATTTATAAAGGTACTAGCAAAGAAGCATTTCCATTCATTTTCATTATAATATATTCCATGGATAAATAACTTGGCACTGCACCTATGGGCCCCTAAAACAATTTCCTCCACATGGAAAACTGATCAAGACAGAATGACTAGGTACGTGGTCCTGTGCACAGGGATTCATCAAGTCCCAGAAGCCATATAGTAAAGGATGACTACACACACACACACAAATTACCTGACAGATAAAAATTTCAGGAGTAAGATGTGACCATTCGGAATAATAAGCCTAAAGAAATAAAAGTAAGACAGATAATACCCAACACGAGAGTCTAGACTCGTGGATGGAAATTCAGACTTCTGATCAGTCTCAACTGATTGGCCTTTTCCTCATGTCCCATATTTTTTCCTGGGGTGGATAAACAGCCAAGATGCCTCAACAGTAGTGGCATGAATAAATCTGTTTAAGTTTTGTTCTTAAACAAGTAAGAGGAACTTAAAATGGCTTCACGTGATGACCTACAGTCAACCTAAAATAATCTGAACATGTGTGGTCTTATAATTTTCAGTATCATCCACACAAGGAAACATTACCTCTTGTCTTCTTTATTCCAAAGTAAAAATGAAGACAATTATGTAAGAAACCTGTCTTGGGTTAATGAGCCAAGAAATGCTTATCTACCTGTGGATGGGCATTTTATTTTAAGATGAGACTTCCTGTAGATGTTTCTGTACTTAGAGATTAACATAATTGGACCATGACTTTAACTATCTTTTTTTTTCTTTTTCACACTGATGACACACAGATTAATATCTCAGTCCTGAGCTCTAAATGAATATTGTCGGCTTTCTACGTGGCATGTCCCCTTTCATGTCTCACAGATATTTCAAACTTTCAGTCCAAAATCAAAGTTGTGATCTACCATCCCCTCCCCTCCTCTGTCTTTTTTTGCCACTTACGGCATTTTGTATTTCATCCATCAGCAAACCTTGCTGGTTCCACCTTCAAAATACTTTTTCTACCCCTGTGCTACAACTCTGGTCCTGGACAGCATGAGCTCTTTCCCAGACTCCTGAATCCAAGTCCTCACTGCTCTTCCATCTTATCTACTGTCTAGTGTTCAACCAGCAGCCGGAGAGGACTTTTAGTAATAAACATCTGATCATGCTTTCATGAGCCAAAACTCTCAGAGAAAAATCCAACTTCCTTATCCAGGCTGAAAGGTATCCCGCACTCACCATCAGCATCTCTGACCTTTCCCTGCCTCGTTTTCCAGCTACAACAACATTGACCTTGTTCCTGTTTTTGCCACCTGCGAACCTCTCTCCTGCACCAGGGGTTTTGCTCTTGCTGCTCCCTTGCCCAGATGGTGTAAGGTCTGGCTCCTGTCCATCTCTTAGGATTTACCTCTTCATAGACTTCTTTCCTGACCACCCCATTCAACATTCCCTTCCCCTTGTCACTCTCTAAACCCTTACCCTATTTTACTCATGTCTGAAGTGGAAAGTAGATATTGTTTTCTTTCTCTTTTTTTTTTAGACAAAGTTTTGTTCTTGTCACCTAGGCTGGAGTACAGTGGTGCAATCTCGGCTCACTGCAGCCTCCTCCTCCTGGATTCAAGTGATTTTCCTGCCTCAGCCTCTGGAGTAGCTGGGACTATGGGCACCCACTACCACACCCGGCTAATTTTTATATTTTTAGTAGAGATGGGGTTTCACCATGTTGGGCAGGCTGCTCTCGAACTCCTGACCTCAGGTGATCTGTCTGCCTCGGCCTCCCAAAGAGCTGAGATTACAGGCGTGAGCCACTGCACAGGGCCTGTTTGCTTATTTTTGAGACTATTTTCACCACTAGGCTGTAAGCTCCACAAAGCAGAAACTTTGATGTGCTATGACTGGTACATAGTAGGCACTCAAAAAATATTGGTCAAATGAATGAATGAGGAGATAAATTAATTCCACATCTTGGAAGTTAGTACACAAGGATAAAATTACACTAAACCCTTGAAATATCCAACTATGTATTAGCATATTTTGCCAACTGTATTAAATAATCACATTAGACTTTCATGGTATGAACAATGAATTGTGGCACTTCTATTTTGAAAGCTGGACTTGTTTATATTTAATTAGTCCCTGGGAATTTTTAAATACTGTACTCATTGTCCCAATAATGATACTCTATATGAAGATAAGAAATTATGATCTAGCATAAAATTCTCACTGTAGTCTTAATTAGCTTCAAATGCAACCCCTAAATCTTGCCTGGTGTTTCATACCACACAGTTGGCTGCTTTTCTCTTTACGTGAGCTCCCTCTGGGGAACTGCAGCTCAAAAATGGCATTTGTGGAAATGACTTGGGAAAGCCCGAGCTAATTCATCAGACAAGCACATTCTTCTAATGTTAACCCTTGACTACATGGGAACAACGCCAAGCTCATAGCTATAGTTCCACTGGGGGCAGGCTCCCCTGGGGCAGACTCCAAAAGGAGCCCTGTGTGCTGTCGGGGACCGCGTAAAGGCTTGCCAGGGGGATACAGGGTTTGGGGTTTTAAGGGAATCCATTTTCAGATTCTCGACCTCCTTATGCACTCTGAACAAAACTGATCTGCCTGAAAAACGTGCTTGCATGTTCTTTCACACGTTCCCTTCTCTTGTTTTACAAAACCAGGTCAATTTTCTCCCTGCTGCAATGGCAAACATTCTCTGAGATGAAGCCAAGGGTATTGCTTAATGCCAGTGTCTGGGTTAAGGAGGAACAACCATGATGATGGACAATTCATCGTTTTCTTCAACGGGGCAGTTTCCAGTTCTTTACCTTCAACAAGATTGAAGGAAGACTGAACAAAGTTGACAGTTAACAGATCATTAAAAATAACTTGATGACGGATCCCAATGAGATATTTAAACATCAATGCATAAGAAGTTCAAAGAATCAAGTAGCATTACTATAAGGAAAGACCATCTATTCTCTTTACCTTATATATATGAGTAATGTTTCTCGGTATTTAAATCTATAAAAACAACAAAAAAGAGAATAAAATGAGACAACCTTGTTCAATCAAGCAATAAGTTATATTATTTTTGAATATATGAATGGATAGGGAAAAAAGGCTCATCCATCTGGTGAATGCATTTCCAATACAATTTTACATTTTATATTGAATAACTTTAATCAAGATAAATGATATATTATTTTGATCAATTTTATTCTGCTAATAACTACAGTAATAATCTGTAAGAAAGTTTTAATTTAAAGCCTAATACCATAAGAAATATTTACAATATATCTTAATTTGTATAAATTTTGTTTGCAAAGAGAATGAGCAATAAGACACTTTAAAGCATAAAATACATTAATCAGGGTAAAATTTTCGGGGGAGGTAGAAAGCTTATATGTTTGAGGAGCAAAAGGAATGACGTAGAATTTCTAATATTGATAAATAATCTGCTCACATATTGTTGAAGAAGATGATGTTGGGTACTAAACCACTGTGGTATCCAGATTTTTAAAGACATATTTAAAAGAGGGATGTGTCAGTTTTATTTTTAAAATGCCACCCGGGAAACTAAACTATATTCCTGGCAACAATTTAAATCTAAAAATGTGAGGGGGGTGGGGTTGGGGGGCATAGCTTTCCAAAAGTCTTTTAGAGAGTTAACAAGGAAAAATAAATTGCATACCCCTACTCTTAAACATTCTGTTAATGATTTGCAATCATTAATTCTATCAATACGCTGACACAGGCATCCTCCAGCCTGTGTGTGGTCAGGCCATGCTGGGGAAGCACAGAGATCCTCCGAAAGAACAGGGCATCTTCTCTCAAGGAGATTACCAGCATGGGTCAGCCAGACCCAGGAGATGCCAGCAACAGGATAAGATGACTTTAGAACTTCAGGGAACTTGGGGGTGGGGAGGGCTGGAAGAAATGGAGTCCTCTTAGGCATTTATAGGAAGGTCAAGGTGAAGGCAAGGTGTGTTCCCTTCCATTTCTTTCCATTTCTTTTCTCCAAGTAAAGATACCAGCTTGTTTCAGCCAAGTTGTCGGGCTATTTTTATGCACATATTTGAGCTCCCTCTTTTCTGTGTTTAAAATAAGGAATCTCACACGCCTTGGAATTTAGAAAGAAAACTAGGCAGAGACTAGCATCTAGTCACCGCATAACTGAGCAGAGACTAGATAACAATCATATAGACTGTGAAAAGTCCTGAACCTGGAGACTTCATAACCAATCAGAGGCTGATTCCCACCATCCGGGAGGAAGAACAGGGCTCAGAGTGGAAGGATGAGAAGAGAGGAGTCTGCAGAAGATGTGCCTTCGAGATAGAGAACATTCCATGCGCTCCCTCCCCTCCTTCTCCGGTAACTGTCCCCACTCTTCACATGCAGTAAGGGTCACTTGGGATTGCTTATCTATTCTGCAGAAGACAAGACCAAAGTTGGCCTACAGCTGTTTAAACCCCCTACCTCATGCCTGGGTCTACCAGCCCTGTCAGCTCTACCATCTAAACTCATCCCTTTGTCTCTTGCCAAAGCAAAACGGAGATATAGTTATTTTTCCTAAAAGTTCATCAGAATGCTTAAAGGAAAGTTATAAAGTAAACAAATTTATAGGAAAGTCTGTGTACCTGTCAATCACACTGTTACTATCTAGACTGATTCCTTATCTAATTAGACTAACTGGGATTTTAGGCAGTGGTGATTTGTTTTTTCTGCACCCAGTTCAAGCTGGTCGCTCAGCTTCCTTCAAGCCACCTAGGAGCTGGTGGGTTACAGATTAACCAGTTGGAGGGGTGGTTGTGGTTGTTCTTGTTACTGCTAGTTATTGTCTAAGCTGCAGTTTTCCTGCATTTCATTTTTATTCTAAACATTTCTACATCTTCCACTCCATCTCTGCTTTGAGTTAACGAGGGGTGGAGGTGGCCTTTGGAGACAACTGGGAAGCTAAAATGCAGGTTTGCTAGAAGTCCTGCTTTAAGCCAAGCTGGAAGGATTTTATAACCTGATTCAGTCACCTGGGCCTTTCCCACGGGTGCCTAATAACTGTGGATGCAGCCATGATTATAAGTATGAGGTCACTCACCTACTTAAGATAGTTCTTTTGGAAACTGTACTTAGTTATGCAATGCTCAGTATTGTTTGTTGCTCACAGAACTTTACTGCTTGATCCAGTAGCACAGTCACACATATGTGTATACTTTAAATATTTATCCCCAGGAGCCCTGATACTTTGTCATTCAAATTCTTTTAGCGAGTGCTAGTCCTTTGCCTATCAGAAAGAAGCTCACTGAATAATTCCTCTATTTTCCCCTATGGAGATGCTTTAGAAAAAAAATACTCCCTTTTCTTCAACAAACATCCTTGCCAATATTCATCACCCACTCTATCTCTTTTTATCTGTTACCTCTTCCCTCTGAGGACTAAACTCTGATTTTTTTAACATGCCCAAATTCCTATCTAAAGGATTTGGGGAGTCATGCCCTACAAACCATAAATTCTCATCAGATGGGTTTATTTAATCCTATATATCGTGATTTACTTTCCAATTTGACTCTGGCATAACATTATGTGACAAAGAAGAAAGTCAAAATATTTTACCCCAAAACATGTTTCTTTGCCATATTTTGAAATGGTCCTGCAGAGCTGTCCTTTGTGAGGGAAAATTTGCATCTGTAAAGAATCTCTGCTAACATAACTAGATCTTTTTATCGCAGGCCCTCCCCATCCTGAAGAGATTAACTGAGAGTCTAGCACCCTTTAAAGGTCTGAATAGGAAACATTTGTCATCTATTGTCTCTAAGGGCAGCCATTATAAGACTTCAAAAGAACCTTGGTCTCCACAATCTTTTATCTTTTTTTTTTTTTTTCAGATGGGGTCTCACTCTGTCACCAGGCTGGAGTGCAGTGGTGTGATCTCAGCTCACTGCAACCTCCGTCTCCTGGGTTTAAGAGATTCTCCTGCCTCAGCCTCCCAAGTAGCTGGGACTACAGGTGCACGCCACCATACCCAGATAATTTTTGTATTTTTAGTAGAGATGGGGTTCCACCATGTTGGCCAGGATGGTCTCAATCTCTTGACCTCGTTATCCACCCACTTCAGCCTCCCAAAGTGCTGGGATTACAGGCATGCGCCACCGCGCCCAGCCTTCCACAATCTTTTAACTTAACCTGAGCATTTCCTTCCTATTGATCCCAGGCCTTTAGACAAGCTCAATCAATTGTCAACCAGAAAATGTTTAAATTTACCTACAGCCCCCCTCACTCCCTCCTCCCCCACCCTGACCCCTGCCATCCCCAACCACCCCCTGCACTTTGAGTTGTTCCACCTTTCTGGACCAAACCAATGTATTTAATTGATGTCTCATGCCTCTCTAAACTGTATAAAACCAAGTGCACCCTGACCACTTTGGGCACATATTCTGAAGACCTCCTGAGGGCTGTGTCATGGGCCATGGTCACTCATATTTGGCTCAGAATAAATCTCTTCAAATATTCTGCAGAGTTTGACTCTTTTCGTTGACACCTCCAAGACCAACAGCGAGACTCAGTGAGAGTGAAATACAATTGCAATCGTGTTCTGATGGGCTAAGCAAGCTGTCACAGAAGAAGGCAATGCTAATGCCAGAATGTGGTCTCAGGTCAATTTAGGAATATTCAAGGCAGACCAGAGAATTACTCCTTGGGTCTCCCACTGTCTATGTTTCCTTAGTTCAGCAGATTAGCAATCTGACCAAAAAGCAAGACCAAAGGTTTGATCTTCAAGGGGACTGATTAGCTCCTCCCAGTGCCTGATGCAGCCATATACCAACCCCAGAGTTATTCTGCACACAACACATGCTGTCAGTCAGGGCCTGGGGAAGGGACAGGGCCTGGGGAAGGGACAAGAGGGAAGAGCTTATGAAAAATCCTGTTGCCATGATTCAAAAGCAATTCAAAGCAAACACTGCCTCACATCCCCTCTATATATCAAAGAGAACACATTTTAAAAATCGTCCAGGTATTGATATAAGGTAGAGGAGAGTATAAGCAGAGAATAGTGTTTAAGAAGTGATACGTAGCTTTAATTCAAGAAAAGTAGTTCACCAAAATGCAGTGGTAATACTCTAGCATTTTTGGAGAATGGTCAAGGCAGGGTTATAGCTCTAAGTATTAAATTACATATTTTCTGTTTATTTTTCTTCTCCTTTGCTTGCTCACTGAAATGCTGAAGAAATACTTTCCTTACTCAACCCACACCTAAACAGAGACACAGCTTCAAAGAAACCATGGGCCAAAGCGCAAGAGGGAATAACCAGATGCTGCCTGAAGGATCAGGTTCTTAGGTCCCAGAGGTTAGCCAAGACTGGAGCTGGGAAAAGGTGCTGCCAGGAAAAGCAGCACCTCCAACCCTGTGGTCTAACCACCTTGGTCACGTGTAGGCATCCTGAATGGTGAGAAACTTAGACACCTTGAGTGGGGCAGGAAACCCTGCCCTCATTGAAGAATTGAGAGACTCCCTGGAGCCTTCCCAGACCCCTCTACAATTGTCAGTGTTATATTTGCATTTTAATGTTTACAATGAGCTCTTTAAACCCATCCTCTTGATTAAATTGGTCTTCAAACATAAGGGGCTTTATTAAGTGGAAAGGTAGAGACTTTTGCTGAACTGAAGAGGCTCATGATGTCTTCATCAAAGTGTGTGTTGTGAAAGATTATATTAAAATATAATATTCCTACTCTCTCTATATATAGTATTTGCAACAATTTAAGCTGGTTTTGACTCTAGGGATCAATGACATTAGTGGCAATGTTGGCTGAAGTTGGCTATTCCATTAGAAGCAACTATCCATTACATAAATAATATAAAGTTTGGATCAGCAATTTCTGGAACAAATTTTTTTGTCTTTTCTAATCAGAGAAATGGGATATCTCAGAGGAAAAATACTCTTAAGTTTAAACTTTAATAATTATAAAATATTTCCAAATTGGAAGAACACAGTTTTCCAAAAGATTAGCAGGCAATTTTTATTTATGATGGATCTTACAGACTCAACTCAGTAGTTCTCAACCTTGGCAAACTTCAGCATCCCTCAGGGAGCCTTGAAACAAGTACTCATATCTAGGTGGCTCTGGGTCAGGCTCAGGTGATTCCACCGTGCATCCAACTTTAAGAATGGTGTTCTTTAGAAAGGACTTTTTGTCTGCTTTGGTTTGCAGAGTAAAAATAAAGCATGTAGTTCTATTTTTATAAGTTTGTGGTGGTGATGTGTTCAAGTTAAGGAAAGAGAGTAGAGGGTAAGTAGGTCTCAGTTATAAAAGATGCTCTGGTATAGGTTATAATGGCAAACTGATTTAAATTACTTAGGAAATCTATGTATGACAATAAAAATTTGGTTTATAAAACCACAATATTATGACTTCAACCTATTATGCATTACAACACAACTTAATAAGAATCTACTAGGCCAGGCGCGGTGGCTCACGCCTGTAATCCCAGCACTTTGGGAAGCCGAGGCGGGCGGATCACGAGGTCAGGAGATCGAGACCATCCTGGCTAACACGGTGAAACCCCGTCTCTACTAAAAAATGTAAACAAATTATCCGGGCGTGGTGGCGGGCGCCTGTAGTCCCAGCTATGTGGGGGGCTGGGGCAGGAGAATGGCGTGAACCTGGGAGGCGAAGCTTGCAGTGAGCCGAGATCGCACCACTGCACTCCAGCCTGGGCGACAGAGCGAGACTCCGTCTCAAAAATAAAAACAACAACAAAAAAATAAGAATCTGCTAGACGACAGAACAGATCCGTTCTGGGGGTTATAGTAGCAAAGAAGGAAGACACTGTCCGTGTCCGTGTTCCCACAGAGCTCATATTCTAGCAGAACAGTAACTACGCAACGTGTATCTTCATCACAACATTAATACAATGCTAGGCATATTGGGGCTTTCAAAAGAAGCACAAAAAGTAAAAATAGAGAAAGGTATTGTTCTTATTCCTAAAGAGTGATCAGGTTAGAGGAGGAGATGACACTACTCTACTTGAGTCATCATGAACTTATGGTGTTGTACACAGCATTCCTTAAATTCCTTAAGTGCCAAACTCGGGGGGTATACAGATTAACACAAAGAAGTGTAAATAGGGCAAAAATAAATCTAGAGCACTCACAGAAGCTTGTAAAAAGGGTAGGGCCTGAATTTGTCTTGGAATATGGGTTAGGAGTAGATAGAAAAGGAGGTGAAAGAGCCATCAGGGTAGGAAAATGGCTGCCATGAGCCATCTAAGTGAGTTATAATGAAAATGTTATCCGTAGGGACAGAGGAGAGAGTGTCCAACTGGAAAGGAGGCTGTGAACTCAGAAATGGTACATATTGAGGATGGATAGAGACAGTGGATGTAAAATTATACAAGGCCTGAAAAATATAGGTAGTACAATGATCCAAAAAGCTGGCAGCTGAGCTTCACAGCAGACAGGGAAACAAAGGAAAGAGAGAGAGAGAGACAGACAGACAGACAGAGAGACAGAGAGACAGAGAGAGAGAGAAGAGACAGAGAGACAGAGAAAGAGATCTTATATGGCTCAGAAAACTGATAACTGGGCAATAGTATACGGAGTATAGAGAAATCTTTGGAATCTACAGGTGCTCAACTTCTGAGCCTAATGGTAGATTAAATACTGATCATGCTCTTGAAACATTTGCACTCAGTGGTAAACTGAATTTAACTGGGCTGCAGCTGGGCTGAATTTAACTAAAGCCCAGATATAGTTAAAGCATGCATTAGATTATCTCAGCCCTCTACCTTAGCAACCCCGTAGATGAAATGAGGTGCTTTTTAGGAGGAAAGAATTACCAACTTCAGTCTATTCAAATCTTTCAACATAAAACGTCCGGCATACAATAACAAATCACAAGACTTGCAAAGAAGTAAGACAATATGACCGAAAATTAAGAGAAAATAAAGTTATCATAGGCAAATCCACAATAATATAGATGTTAGAATATGTAGATAAGGACTTTATCTGTGATATATTTGTTAAATTATCTAGTGAGATAATGGACAACATGCATGAAAAAAATTGGTTAAATTCAGCAGAGAAATGGAAACTATAAGACATAACCAAATTGAAATTCTAGAATTGGAAAATACAATATCAGACAGGAAGGATTTATATAATGCCTTTATAAAGGATTGAAAATAGCACATGGAAGGACCAGTGAGTTTAAAGATAGATTACTAGAAATTATCAAAACTAAAGCACAAAGTGAAAAAGAACAATAAAAAAATCTTAAACTGAAGATCTAAGACCTACCTACAGGACAATATCATGTAGTGTAATATACATGTAATTGAATTCCCAGAAGGACAGGAAAGTGAGATGGGGTAGAGGAAATATAATAATCAATAATGACCAAGCATCTTGAAAGCAGGTAGTATAAAAATACATACTCAGGGAACAACAGTAACAACTGACTTCTCATCAAAAGCAATGGAAGCCATAAGACAACAGAATAATATCTTTGAAGTGCTGAAAAAAATTATTCTCAGAATTCTAAGGAGAGGTATCCTTTGTGGATGGAGGCAACTAAAGACATTTTCAAAATGACACAAAGCTGAGAGAATTTATCTTCATCAGACTTGCACTATAAAAAGTGCTAAAGGAGTTTCTTCAGGCAGAAGGGAAATTATATCAGATTTATACAAGTTTATTGCAGGAAGAAATGAAGAGGACGTGAAATAAAATGGAGGAGAGGTCTTAGATATAGTGTGTATATGGAGAGGGAAGAGGAGGAGTGCGTAGGGGAGGGGAGGGAGGAGGAAGGGAGGAGAGGAGAGGGGGAGAGGACAAAAAGGCCCAGGACACAGCAGTGACGTAAAGTGGAGAAGAAAAGGCCAAAGAGGGGAGAAAAATGGAGAAGGAAAAGAGTAGGAAGAACACTAGGAAAGTTTTATCTTAGGAACAAAGGTACGTGAATATGCCAAATGCTGCCGGAAGGTTCCAGCAAGTTTGGAAGAGAGACATATCTACTGCACTAAGAAGCACAAAGGCTCTTGGGGGCCTCAATAAAAATTTTTACTAAGAAAAAAATCAGGGCTGGGCACAGTGGCTCATGCCTGTAATCCCAGCACTCTGGGAGGTTGAGGCGGGCAGATGGCTTAAGGCCGGGAGTTCAAGACCAGTCTGGCCAGCTTGGCAACACCTTGTCTCTACTATGAATACAAAAATTAGTCAGGCATGGTGGCGTCTGCACCTGTAATCCCAGATACCCAGGTGCCCGAGGCATGAGAATCGTTTGAACCTCGGAGGCTGAGGTTGTAGTGAGCTGAGATTGTACCACTGTACTCCTGAGTGACAGAGCCTGAGTGACAAAGTGAGACCCTGTCTTCAAAAATTTTTTTTTCAAAAAACGAAAAAAAAAAATGAGGCAGCAGAGTTCACTTTGTGTCATTCACATCAGGAAACACTGACTAGTCTGTAACTGGAGTACCTTGCAAAGGTAAGCGTGGCAGCAGTGATGTGGGAGGGGGGAGTGCAGACTGGGTAAGAAGGGGCAGAGGGCAGGAACCCCCACAGAGTGCGCGTGTGTCCTGGGCTTGTCATGCTATGGGCTGAAACTGAAAAGTAAAATGCTGAGGGGTAGTAAAGAGAACTCAAGAAACTCCCTGGCAAAGTATCAATAAGATATCACACTTGGTTTACTCACTTGGGATAAAGAAAAGGAAGAAAAGAAAACAAGGAAAGTTTCTGTTCATTTCTATCACTGGGAAAAGAAGGCCAAGTAAAAACTGGGGTTTATGTTCGAATCTGAGGAAGAAAGGAGATGGTGACTGGAAAATTAAACCTAGTGAGTTTCTAACATTTTAAGAGGAATAAGGTCACTCCCATAGACACTGGGGGTATTAGTCTGTGGAGGTAATAGTCAATTAAAATGTAATACCACCAGTTTCCATTTCATCACTATAACTTTCCTTTCTGACCAATAAATTAAACTGTTCAAGTCTCAAGGTGAGGACCACAGGGATTTGTATCTTTTGATCTCTCTTGAGCACTGAATAACCTCTAATGTTAATGTTGCAGTCTTAGTGAGCCTTAATTGAAAGTAACACACTGCACATTAACATATATGTGCATCAGCCCAGGCTATACTGCCTGAAGTTCAGTAGCCTACATCAAATGATAAGAAACATACACTCACTTTGGGATTGAAGGCTATTATATGCTTAGGAAATAAGCCACTCTATGCTTCAAATCCATTCATTTTACCTGACATTGCTTAAGTACATTATAATACACGAAATTGAATAGGAAAATTTTGTTTTAACTTTAAAAAACCAAGTTTCCCAAATGGACAGTATATTGTTACGAACTTTCTGGTTATGAGAGAAACAATGTCCGAATTTCAACTAATTTTCTTGAATGAACTTTCAGGACATTTTCATGAGGAGCTGTTGGGAATTGCTTGATTCTCTCACTCAATGTCCCTTTGACTGGAGTCTGGCAGGATGAACAACACGAGCTTTTTTCTTCTTCAGGCAATTGGTTTAGGAGCAGAATCTGTGGTTGCTGCTCATGCCAGGTCACAGACCAGCATCCCATATCCGGCCTCAGGCTGCCCAGACACTGGGACACTGGCGGGGCTGCATCTCCAGGCTTCTGTCTCCTTCCTGGTCCCCTGGTGTATGCCCGGGGGCTTGCGGTGCCCTTCCTGCTAGGCTGGCTGTCCCCTCCCTGCTGTCTGCCTCCTTCTCTTCTAACTGCCTTATGCCCCCAAGGGCAGCACCACTGGCCCATCTGATTGATGGCACCAGCCTGGAGCCTTCCTTTTAGCTGAAACCCAATTACAGCTGTCCTTGCCTGCTCCGTAATTTTTTGAGATCCAGTATAATAAATATAATCAAACATCAGCCAGGATGGTTTAAAAAGAATTCATCTTTAAACGTTTAAACTCATTTCTAATCCATTAATTTTTAGTATTCAAGAGTAAAAATAATAATTTCTTTCCACCTGATTGAGACTTTTGTTTTTAACAAGGAGAGAAGATAGCAGTCCACACATAGAAGGGAATACAATGTAAAAACATTATCCTGCAAACGTCTATTTTCTGTTTTTATATTCTCAAGATTTGGCTGTGGTATTTGAGGAGAGCCATTTCATTTCTCATGCATCCTCTTTTCTAAAGCTTTTCTTCGGAAACTGTTTGGCCAGACATAAAATGAACACCTAAACAGTCCAAATAAAGTTAGGTCGGCTCTCCGTCTCTTGCTCTCTCTTTGAGGTCTCTAAGCCTTTGGGCAGAAGTCCTGAATTTGAATCAACTGGAAATGTTTCAGTTTTGTCTTTTTCCCCACATGGAGTATTTCCAAGGGACAAATCATTAATTCTTATTTAATAGAATAATGATTGGCTCTTCAATTTATTTATAACTTCCCTTTTAAGGAATTCTTATCTTCCCGACCCAGCTGCCAAAATTCCCCAAAAGGTGTCCCAAGTTAATTAACAAAGAACCCATGGCTTCACCGAAAAGGGAGGCAGCATTCATGAAATTAGGTTCTGGGGTTTAGGAGATGGGAGCTGTAACATAGGCACCTAATCTGAAGATACAAAGTTCCAGCCAAGGTACAGAGCTTGCCTTCTGTCTAAAATGTGGCTTGTGAAATCAAGTTATTAAAACAAACCAGCAGAGAGTGCTCCAACAAATCACTTTGTCTAAGAAATAAGGTTTCTTTTTAAAATACTAATTGAAATTCCAAGTGTTCTAATAAAAACGACATCTGTCTGGGTCTGAAGAAACATATTTTGAAAAGCAGAGAAGATATGTCTCTAAAATTTCCTCAGATCAACGTAATAAAGTGAACTTACATATTTCCAGTACTAAAAACAGCACGTTGCCTTCCTGGGTTGCACTGGACTTTCCACAGCCTTGTATCTTTCCCTGGACGGAGGTGGGATTCGTCAGGGCCAAGAGCACAAGTAAAGAAGGTGCCTACAGTGCCACGTGATCAGTGACCCTCAAGAGGTCTGTTTCCCAGAATGGAGCACCCATATCCCAGAACGTTCTGTCACGTGCCAGCCATTAGCATGAGACGCAAAAATAAGAAAACACATGGGTATCTATTTTAACTGATAGGACTCTAAATGTTTCTTAGAGCCCTCTGTTTCTCAGTTTCGCCAGCAGACAGTGGGGGTGCAATATGATACTCTGAGCATGGAGAGGATACTGACTCAGGTGCGTTTCAATCCTAGACTGTGGAATTTAGACGGACTTTGAGGAATGATGTCCTGAGTATCATTTGTAACCATTTGTCATTGAAGTGGAGACACAGCTGCAGGGATCTGTTCATTCCCCAGTTCATGCTCTCATCATTGAGGGTTTGGTTAAAAAGGTATCTCAAAGCTTCCATGAAGAGCAGTATTTCCAGGTTTAGAATTCCTAGATTCCATTATAAAGCTTTATATGTAACATTCAGGACAGTATTGATATAACGAAGATTTTCCCTGTTCTCACCACCCCTCACTCCAGTTCTCCAAAGGAAAAAACATTTCTCACTAAGTAAAGACCTGGCATGGAGGAAGGAGTATTGTAATTCTATGGGCATCACCGTTTTCTTTATTCAGTCTTTATTTTCACTCAAAGACAGAACATTTTTATGTCGTCCTTTAAATATCACCAGGAATCTTTGTCCGGAAACAGTCTTTACAATGTGCAGATCAAATCTATTATTTGAATATTTAAAACATTGTGGTAAGTAAAGGAAGCTTGAAAGGATGGCCCTAATTCCCCCTGCCCACCCCCCACCTCCTTAACCCCCAGAATGAATGAAAAGGATGATCTAAAGATCCATGTGGGGAAAGGAATAGCAATGATTTTTACTACTTAAAAAATAATAAACTCCCAGGCAAGAAACCACCCTTATTTTGTTCCTGATTTTGTTCACGTGGGAAAACATGAGTTGTGTAATGCTCACTACACAGGGGGGCGCTGTGTAGCGCCCTTCCCTTCCATCTTGGTTGGTGGATGCCTGTGTTTGAGAAGCAGCAGATTCCCCCTAGGAAATGGCCCTATTCTGACCCCAGAGAAAGTCAGATCCCATCTTGTGCTCCTTTTGAGGTTGGAATGGGGAGAGAAGGCATTGGCTGGACAGAAGCTCAGCTAGTTGGTAAAGTGAAAAGAAAGCCCAGCGTGAAAAGTGGATTATAGAATAGGAACATATGGGGGCGTCAGTCAAAGGAAGATTCTTACACAGCCTCCCCAATGTGGTGAAGCAGCCATCCAAATGGGAGCAGAATGTAGGGAAACAGTCCTGCAAAGCACAGAAGGATGAGGCCAAAGGATGATGGCAAACTGGGAAAGGGCCAGGCTCATGACACGGAGGATAGGTCCTTCTCTTCAGCCTCAGGAGGGTGCAGGGAGCTAGGAGGATGCTTGCAGCATCCCAGCCCTGGTTCGCCTGCTGGAAACTGTGGCAAGTTGCCACCACCCGGGGCAGCCAGTGGAGGGGCTCTGTGAGCTCCGCCAGTACCCGCAGGGATGCGGTGGCCCCGCCAACAGGAACCTTTGGCAGTGATTGAATCACACACAGAAAGCATTACTATTTCCTTTCCAATCTCAAGCCTCTTCCACAGTGGCAGCAGAATGAGTTTGATTAGAGTCTGGATTTGAGAGAGCATCTAAGCTTTATTTCTTTCCTCTGTTCTCTGGACACCGTAGAAAGAGACAGACACAGACATCCCTCTACCCCTTCCTCTCTCTATTTGGATTCCCCAAACCTCCTCCAGATCTGCTCTTTGAATAAATACGCTGTGTTATTTATCCACCAGTTAATTCATTCAGCAACTACATACCGAGTTCTTGTTATGAGCATAGCAAAGTGCTAGACACTGTCAGACATAAAAGTAAATACATCACCTGATGCTTGCTTATTATTTCATTTGGGGAAGACATACGCATACACAAAAAACATAAGAGACAATGTGAGGATAAAATTACACAATGGAAATCTAAAACAAGTGAGAAGGTTTCTTATCAAATAGGTGCTGCCCACTTCAGCTCTGGGTGCAGGGAGTAGCCTTTATCAGGAAAGGCCACTGCAAGGTGGGCTTTGAATGGTGGTGGCAGGTAGTAAATGCAAGCTCATGTTATGCTTTAAATGTTTGGTTTGAGTTTGTTTTGTTGGCAGAGAGGATGGGATTTGCCTAAAATAAGTGTCTGCCATCTACACCAGGAACTGTCCATGTGCCGAAATGGGTGGCATTTTGCTAAACTTTCTGTTGAAGCAATACAATATTGTTTGCTCTTTTCACTGATGCTAATTATTACCATTCCTTTTTTAAACCTTCCATACTCAGAAGGATAATTAACATTTTTTGAAGGTTGCAAAGAAATGTATGGATGTGCATTAACCTCGGCTACTATTCTATGCCAGTAGGAAGAACACAAAGATCTATCTATAGCATACTTATTGCTGTTTCCCAGAGACATACACATAACTATGGAAACAACCCAAATGGAAAGCCAAGGGAGAGGCAAAGCGTGTTTCATTCTGCTAGTGCTACTGTATGATTCTCATTAGACCTCATGGGATAGGGTGATTATTGTTCAATAGCCTATTTAGAGTTTCCCCGATAATGGAGTCTAAGAAAGATGAATGATTCCTTAGCTGCAATTGTGGAGTCTGCTTCCCCCAACCTCTCATTAAAAGAATGATCTACGAAGAATTCTATTTTAAACTGAAAATCCAGAACCAATGATGGAAAAGAAAGGGATTCTTTCTGAAATCCTGAGTGTCTGCATGCATCTAGTAAATTTATAGAGAAAAGAAACTGGCTGTTTGATTCTTGGCTTTTTTAATAGAAAACCCCCCTTTTTTAAGTTAATGTTTTATTTAATTTCCTTAATGTTTTGCTGACTTGGAGGTCATTTTAAGATGACGACAAGCAGGAAATATTCGGTTCAGTCATTTTTTTTCTGGCAAATATTTATTAAGTCCCTACTACAGATTGGGCATTGTTCTAGGTACATGGGATATGCCAGCAAGGAAATAAGAGAACTCTCTGCTCTTAACAGGCTTACCTTACAGTGGGGAAAGATGGAAATAAAACAAGATGAATAAGTAATACATTATATATTAGAAGGTAATTGGGGCTGTGGAGAAAATTAAGCAGGGAAAGGAGCTGAGGGTAAGATTTTAAGTACGGTGGCCTGAAAAGCTTCTCTGGGAAAGACGTGAGTGAGGTGAGGACTGAGCTGCATGAATGCCAAGAGGAAGAGACTCCAGGAAGCAGCAAGTTCAAATTCCCTGAGGCAGGATCTCAGAGCATGTAATATAGGAATCACAGTCAACCAGTGGCCTCAGAAAATTTATTAATTTCCAGAGGACTAGGTGGGGTTGGAGAGGTCATAGGGAGCTTCCACATCTGCCCTGCAAAGACTTGATTTTACACTGAGATGAGGAGGGTTTGGTGTGAAGGAGTGACGTGCTCTGACTAAGGTTTCAACAGGATAACTCTGGTTGCCACTGCAATAGGAGACCATCTAGGGTGAAGGAAGCACAGGGAGACTAGGTAAGGGGGTGCTCAGGAATAAGCCAGGAGAGGGATGATGAGAGTTTTGGACCAGAGAGAAAGCAATGAAGATGAAGAGAAGTGTTAAAGTCTGCGAAAATTCAGAAGGACAACCAGATTTGTTGATAGATTAGGTATGAGGTGGATTGCATACGAGTCAAAGAAGACGCCAAGGTGTCTGTCCCAGGTCTCTGCAAGAATAACTGGTCATTTTCTGGGGGAATACTATGGAAGGGTCAGGTCTGGGAGAGACCTTGGTTGTGGACATGCTATATTTGAGACACTCATAAGACATCCAGTGGAGAGGATAGAGCAGACAGTTGGACACAGGATCTGAGGTTCATGCTGGAGATACCTGTTTGGAGTCACCAGAATACAGATGATCTTCAATGCCATGAAACCATATGATGTCACCCTAGCCTTCTGTGAGAGGTGATGGAGAGGAGAGGAGGTCCAAGATTAACCTTTCATTGTTCTTCACTCAAAGTCACTGCAGCTTTCTTCTGTGTATAAAGTTCTGTATAGCATTTTCCTACAAAAACCACTTGGGTACAGTATTTAAAGTAAAATAGTTAGCAAAAGTCGCATTTCCTCTCTCTTAAATACAATCCAATGTTGTTCTTGTCAAATTCTGCTATTCTCAGTCAAGAAAAAAATATTGATTTCATAAAGCCTGTGACTTAGATATTTTCCCTTCTACTTTCAAATGACTGGCTTCATTTCCCATCTGGTGACATTTGATAGTAAAGGTTTCGTTGAACACAGGCAGTATAGTGGTCTAAATATTCCTGTCTCCGAGAGAAGACTAGATAACTGGCTTTTGAGAAAGAAGAGATGCCTAGGAGCTGTCAAACCAATCAATAGTTCACTATTTTGTTATATTTTAATCCACCAAAAGAAAAAAAACACACATACAAACACACAATACCAAGTAGTTAGTATCCAGGCAGTAGACTGATTAGCTATTGATTTTTTTCTCCATTTTTCAGAGAAGGGATAGGATTTTATTGGGAATCCCAGTGCTGTCCTGTCTGAAACAACTGTGCAACGAAAAAAAGAAAAGAGTATATGGGAAGAGTACCTTGACCTTTGGAGCTAACGACCTACTTTAGATATACCAGATCTACACAATTCACAGATAACCCTTAAATTAAATGCAAACTAAGTGTAAATAGCAAGTTGCAAGCTTATTTCCCGCTGTATAATGAATTACAAGTATGGTGAATCTGTTAGACACAGATTTGCAGCCTGGCCTTGCAGTGAATAAATAAATGGCTGAAGAGCTGCAAATATTATGGTTTTTCTTGGAGGATATGATGGCTATTGTGAAATGGCAGGAGAAAAAGTGGCTGCTTCCCAGGTCATAAAAGGCTTAATATACCACTATCTGTAATTTGGATAGGGGAAAAAGAACCATGTAACTATAAAAACATTTTGTCTGCAATTTGGAGTCACACTTGGTCTTCCAGTTGCCCCAGGAATGGAATCTTGAGCTCTTTGCCTATTGTCACCTAATTTCTCCCAGTTCCCAAGATCACCTGCACCCTTGCCACGGGGGTTGGTCCAGCTCCCTTCTGCTGAGCCTCTGGATGCTACCTACTGACTTCTGTTCCCTGCATTCAGGCTGCCAGATTTCATGCTGTCATTGGACTAGTGACCCTACAGAAATGATATCCCTAACACCAGATGCCTACCAGCCAGACCAATGGCCTGTGGGGACTGTGTCATCCTCTGAGAGGTTTCAGTAGATTCATCTTTCTCCAGGAGATCAATCAGCCTTGGCCTTGGCATCTTCCCACCTACAGAGGGAGGCATCAGAAGGCCTCTCTGACCTTGGCTCCCAACACTCGCCCTGCCAGGTACACAAGGTCCCTTGAAGGCCTGGAGCCCACTGGCCTGCTCCCAGTTCCCTCTCCAGGGCCTTTTCCCTGGATTCTTTTCCCCCCAAATACCTGCATGGCTTCCTGTCTCATCTCCTTTGAGTCTCTAGTGTTACTTTTCCAACCACCCCTATCTTGACCTCGCATTGAAAATCACAACCCTAAACTGGATATCCACATATGGAAGAATGAAACTAGACTTTTACATAGAAAAATCAACTAAAAATGGACTCAAGACTTAAATGTAAGACCTAAACTATAAAAATTCTAGGAGAAAACAGGGGAAAAGCTATACGACACTGGTCTGGGCAATAATGTTTTTGGATTTGACTCCAAAAGCTCATGCAACAAAATAAAAGATAGACAAATGGGATTGCATCAAACTAAAAAGCTTCTGCACAGAAAAAAAATAATGGAATGAAGAGACAACCTACAGATTGGGAGAAAATATTATTAGTAACCAAAAATATAATTATGGGTTGATATCAAAAATATATAAAGAATTCAAACAATTCAACAGCAAGAAAACAAATAACCTGATTAAAAAATGGACAAAGGATATGAATAGACATTACTTAAAAGAAGAAATACAAATGGCTAGCACATATATGAAGAAAGGTTCAATATCACTAAGCAATGCAAATTCAAACCACAATAAGTTATCACCTCACACCTATCAGAACAGTAATTATCAAAAAGATAAAAACCAGTGTTGGTGAGGATGCAGAGAAAGAGAAACCCTTGTACTTTATTAGCGGGAATGTATATTAGTACAGCCACTACTGTACTGATTAGAAAAACTGTATATAGGTTCTACAAAAAGCTAAATATAGAATTACTATATGATCCAGTAATCCCACTTCTGGGTATATATCCAGAGGATCTGGTATCAGTATGTCACAGAACCATTTATAACTCTCATGTTCATTCCAGCATTATTCACAATAGTTAATGTATAGAAGCAATCTAAGTGTCCATCAATGGATAAATGAATAAATAAAATACGGTATATATACACAAAGGAATACTACTCAGCCACAGAAAGGAAGGGAATCCTGTCCTTTACAACAACATGGATGAACCTGGAGGACATTATGCTAAGTGAAATGAGCCACTTACATATGTACACATACCACATGATCTCACTTAAATGTAGAATCTAAAACAAATGAATTTATAGAAGCATAGGCTGGGTGCCGATGGCTCATGCCTGTAATTCCAGCACTTTGGGAGGCCGAGGTGGGTGGATTACCTGAGGTCAGGAGTTCGAGACCATCCTGGCCAACATGGTGAGGCCCCACCTCCACTAAAAAATACACAAATTAGTTGGGCATGGTGGCACGTGTCTGTAGTCCCAGCTACTCGAGAGGCTGAGGCAGGAGAACTGTTTGAACTTGGGAGGTGGAGGTTGCAGTAAGTCAAGATTATGCCACTGCACTCCAGCCTGAGCAACACATGAGACCCTGTCACACACACACACACACACACACACACACACACACTCACACACACACACAAACATGCTTTGTAGAAGCAGAAGGTAGAATGGTGGTTATGAGAGACTGAAGGTAAGAGGAATGGGGAGATGTTGGTGGAAGGGTGCAAAGTTTCACTTGAGAAGAACAGATTTTTTGAGATTTATTATGCAACAAGGTGACTACAGTTAATAATAATGTATTTTATATTTCAAAATTGCTAAGAGTAAATTTTCAAATGTTCCCACCAAAGATAAGATAATTATTTGAAGAGATGAAATGTTAATCAGCTTGATTTAATCAGTTCACATTGTATGCATTCAGGTTGAGAACCCCTTATCCAAAAATGCTTAGGACCAGAAGTGTTTTCGGATTTTAGATGTTTTCGGATTTGGGAATATTGGCAGAATACATACCAGTTAAGCATCTCTAATTTAAAAATTCAAAATTGGAAATGCTCATTGGAGCATCATGTTGGCACTCAAAAAATTACGGATTCGGCAGCATTTCAGGATTTTGGACTTCTGGATTAGGGACCCTCAACCTGTATATCATAACATCACTTTGTGTCCCATGAATGTCTATGATTATAACTTACTAGTTTACCATTAAAGAAACATAATCCTTATGCTAAGTGAAAAAAGTCAGACACAAAGGTCATATGTTCTATGATTCCATTTATACCAAATACCCAGAATAGGAAAATCCATAGACAGAGAGCAGATTGATGGTTGCCAGGGGCTGGAGAAGGGGGATGGAGAGTGATTGCTAATGGGAACAGTGTTTGCCTTTGGGGTGATGAAAATGTTTTAAAACTTGATACAGGTGGTGATTGTACAACATTATGAATATACTAAATGCCACTAAAATGGTAGACTTTAAAGTGGTCAATTTTATGTTATGTGGATATCTCAATTAAAAAGAAATTTGCAATCTCACTAATTACCCTTTACTCAGCTCCATTTTGTGATTCATTTGTTTAGTTTGCTTCTTGAACATCTCCTTCTCTTGAATGTAAACTCCACAAGGGCAGGGCTTTCTGTCTGTTTTGCTTATTGATTTAATCTCTGGGCCTAGAACAGGCCTGGAACAAAGCAGGCCATGAGTTTTGTTGAATAGACAGGTGAATGTATTACCTCTTTTGTGCCTTATTAATAAAAGATCCTCTGTATTTCTTGAATACCAAATTAAAGAGAGATAATTTCTTAAAAGAATAGGATTAAAGGGCTAGTGGTCTCATCCAAAATAAATTTAAAATAGAGAGGGGAAGAAAAGTAATCCTATCAGAATTCCTCAGTTCACTGCATGGGAAACAAACAAACAGCCTGTCAGAGATTCAGAGGATTGAGACAACGGTATCCTGTGCCGAGCATTGAGGTTCTTTTTAATTTGCAAGGATTAGAAATGTCAACGAGCATCACATTTTCCTCTAAATTCTAAAAGATGACTCAGTGCAGTGGATTTAAATCAGAAGGACAGCAGAAAAAATGAGGCTGCTAATAAATGCACGGCTTCTGTGTAAGCATAGGCTATGCATACGGGTTCAACCACACCTACCCCTAGAGAAAATATTTTCACTTAACACTTGAGACACTGTGAATCAGGGAGAACATACCGATGAGCTCCTTATTTCTGACGTCCAAGGCCATGTTCCGCAGCGCAGTGGCCACCGCGCACACCACACGGTCATTGTCTATTCGGAGCAGCTCCACGAGGATGGGCAGGCCTTTCTCTTTTCGGACAGCGGCTCGGATATATACTGACCACTGCAAAAACAGGGAAGGCGAAGGGCGTTAGAAACAGGAAGAAACCCTGCATGCAAATAGTACATTTGCGTTTTCAGGCGGCTGCTTACAGGAGCCAAAAAGGTTGAATTACCAAGACCTAGTTGTAGAATGGGTTGAATACGTTAGACATGCATTTAAACTTTTTAACTGTATTTTTTGCCTTCAACTTGGGGACAAAGATTTCAGGGTTAATCAGTGAACCACATTAGGTTTCTTTTGTGACACTGTTTTCAGTACTTGAAGTTGAAAGCCATTTGCGTGATGCGTATACTTGATGCTTCAAGATACAGAGGTTTGGGACAAGCGGATGTGGCCAGTGGCATTAAAGAGAAATAAAACAAGAACCCTGAAAAAGTAGAAAATGAGAATGGGTTGTGTGGGAGTGATTTCTCAAGACAGCTTTGAATTTGGAGATGGGGCACACAGGTGAGTTGCTGAACGTGCTGTCAATAAGTCGTTTGCTGAACAATAAAGAGTCAACTAGTCAGAAATAGGCAGGGGTGGATAAATGTAAATATGACATTGAAAAGCAAGAGTGCACATGGTAAAATGTTTTTTAAAAAACATTAAGGTTAAACTGTATAATGTTCAGGGCCATAATTCAATGTCTTCTTTATAAAGTAGGACATGAAATTTGTTTTGGGTTGGTGGTCGTCAGCCTTAATGGAACACAGGTAATGCGTCATATTAAAATGTCCTTGCAATATCAGGATGATAAAGCATTCCCATTCACTTAACAGAATGCAGGCCCACGTTTTCAGACATTTGTATGTATGATGTATACTCTTCTACAGTGTCCTGGAGAAGAGAGTACAATATAAAAATTCACAAATGTAAGGGTTTTACCTGTTGCAATTTCATTTTGATTTAAGAAAATTACATTCACGCAATGAGGCTGTGGATTCTGTGGTAGGGTCCTCCTGGGGACCAGTCCTTTCCCACCCAGTCCCCCCACCAGGCCACCTCCACCCCCCTTCCCCCATGGGGGCAGGCACCCCAGAGCTGGCTCTCACCTGTGGCAGGCAGGGAGCCCCCTCTGGCAGTGAACGTAGGGCATATGCCATGCCTGCCACATCCTCAGCCCAGCCCTGCATGAAATATGAAATCAAAAAAACAACTTCATCCTGTCCTACATTAGAAATCACATTCACACAGTTTCTTATCACCATCAACCCACACTGTATGCTTTTGTCTCACCTCTACTTTGTATCTCAAGCTCTAGGAAGCCTTGAGGGGGTAGGGAGCAGGTAAAGCTCACTAAAGCATCTCTTGGCTGCAGTGAACTATTTGACAGCTCCACTTTCAGGGAGCAAAGAAGTGGAAGGTTAGGAAGTGTCAGACATGACAAAACATTGAGGTTTGCAAACTGCTTCTTGGGATGTGGGAATCCGGAACTGATATCCCCTCCCAGGGAGGAAGCCCTTTCTCCTGGTACAATGCCAATTTCCATCGATGCATTTAACCGACATGCTGAAACATGACTTCCTGTGGACACATCTGCCTCCCCTACTCCTTGTGCCCTGCTGAGTCTCCAGTCCCCAGCTTGGAAAAGCCTGGAAATCTGAGCTTATGCAGCCCACTTAATCCTGGGATCTTCCCTAAAACTAAGGAGAGAAGCTAGAAAAAGGAAGAGAATGCAAATCAGGGTGTGGGGTCAACAATGACATATTGCAAAAGGAACATCAACAATAACTTGCAACATCGGGGAGATATTCTTGACCTTCTGGGAGATGGCAGGGGTACTCCTGGCAACTTAGGCAGGCTGATGCAAGTGCCCTCAGCCTGGTGGGGAAGAGATGAACTGGGGAAGATGAGTTCATCTCTTCCACCATACCACTTCTTTGCAGGCCCCATGCGACTGGCTTATATATTTGAGATCTCTTCTAATTCTTGAAACTCCAGGGAGGTCAGCATTTTTATTTTATACAGGGGGAAATTTAGGCACAAAGATATTCAATAACCTGCCCACAGGAGACACCTGTGCCCTTGACTCTGGGTCCTGTTACTTCATATCTGTCTTTTTTTATGCTGCTGACATTATACCCCCTCTACCATCATCTCATCCCCTCTCCTTTAATCCTCCATGCTCAGTCTCCCAGATATGACCTAGCCTTTCCCTCCATCCTTCCAGACACAGACAGAGGAGAACCTGGCCACATCTGAAATGAGCCAAGAATAAATGGACATAACTTTGTCCTTAGAAGTCCAGGTACTAGCCACACCCCCCAATGCTGGATGAAAAGGTGATTTGGTATTTGGAGAATAATGGGAATCCTTCAGCTTTGCTGGGAATTGATTTGAGAGCAACAATAACAAAAAAGGCTACTTAGGACCAAAAATGTGGATGATATAGAAACACATTTTTGATACGAGAAACTGGTGAGCAGTGATGTGTTTTCCCTAAGAAAGAAAGGATAACCAGACAATAGATTTGATATTTTTATTATTGAGACATAGAAAATAGCTTTCATTTTGAAAGGTTAGTTATGTGTATGTTTGTGTGTATATAGAAGATTTCCAATGTTATCACAGTAAATGAGACCAATTTGTCCAGATTTAGTAGGTCCAATACAAGAAGTCATGTCTAATTGGAATTTCTCGCTTGTGTCAGGAAAGGATCCCTTCCTGCAGGTGATGGGACAAAGCTTTTGCACTCCTCTTCCTGGGGAGAGGCTCAGGCCATTATTTGACCCAAAGAAGTGTTGTCAGCATGGGACAGAGAAGCAGCAAACATGTATTGTCTAAGGCTAGAGGGCACAGATCCAGGTAAAAGATGGAATATATTTGAAAGAGAATTGGAACAGGGAGAAAATAATTTGCCCTCTCCCTAGTCAATACAGAGCCTCCATGCTGGGGAAAGAAAGGATGCAGTTTGGAGAGGAAGCAAGAGATGCGGCAGCACTGTGGGGGCTGCCAGCTGATCCCTGGAGTCCTCCTGGACAAGCCCCCCTCCATGGATAAGGGGGACTGAGGATGACATCCCCCTTGAAGATGGGAGAATGGAAACTCCACAGTTTGGCTGCTCTTCTAGGATGACTGCAGTGGCTGAGCAAGACTCAGTGAAGTCTCCTGTACCATCCCAGAATGGCAGCCACAGGGCAGGAACAGTGACATGGCTTGCTGGGCTGGGGAGGGCTGGGAGGATTCGTGTAGCCCCAGTGTGGCAAGGGGTAGCTGCTGAGGGTGTTCTTGAATGGGTGGGGTGTGTAGGTTAGCTGAGGAGGAGAAACGAAGGACCCAGGGCTGCAGAGGGGTTACTTGGCCAGAAGGGAGGAGACACATCAGTGGAGCACATGGTGGGAGCAGACGGTGCCTCTCTGGATTAAGGAGAGGAGGTGGTTGGATTTCAGGGGAGCTCAAAAGGGATGGAGGCAGGTGTGGGCCAAGACAGGACCCTGGACCGGAGATGGTCCAATCACCAATCACCACGTCCATGTGTGTCCTGGAGAAGAGGCTGCATAGAACAGAGTTGATTCTACACTGAGAAATGGACACCACACCCCCATCCTCTGTGCGGGACTATACCTGTAAGACCCCCAAGTTTAGCACCAACTGCAGGGGCAGGAGAGGATGAAGGTGAGGAACGTAAAATGTGGCCACGCTTGCAGACTGACGGGACTGGGAAACAGCTGAATTTGACTGGGTTTGCCTAGAAATGTTGAGATTCACATTTCTTTCCTTTCTATTTGTTGGCATCAGGCAAATGAGGGCTCAGAGATGAACCTGAAGTAAATTAACAAAGATACTTGCACACAAGTTTGTGTCCCATGAAATTCCTAGTTGTATGTATTGAGAATTTGGTAACAAGGAGAAGTCAGTATCTTTTAACCCTTTAAGGCCAGACTGTCTCATTCTAATGTGGATTTCCAGGGATTTGACTTTTACAAATCCCAGCCCAGCTATAAATACAACTGATGGTCATAATTTTTCCAAAAAGTTCCCCCTTGCTGAAACTGAGGTGATTCTGTGAAGGCCTATTTGTTCCTGAAAGGAGATTAATACTATAATTTAACTAGCTTTTCCTCATTGAAATCCTAATAATTTGCTAAATTACAATGACAGTGTTTTCCTTTAAGTACTAAATATTCTCTTCTGAGGCTGAATCCATTATAGTGCTAAAATTCTGAATTTGTTGAATAATTCTCTATATTCTAAAAGTACTCTTGTGTTAGAAGTATAGTCTGCAATTAAATGATTTTCAGTTAAATAATCATTTGTGCATTAATTTTCTTTATCAAATTAGCCATATCCTCAGTTTTTCTTTTAACAAGGTAAAGTCAAATTTTAAAACCAAACTCTTCCAATGAAAAATACATACAATGAATTTGGTACAAATGGCATGTGATTCCTAAATTTGTTTCTGAATTTATTTACAATACCAGGGTGTCTCATTCCCATGACAAGAGGGTAGGAAACACCTCCTGCACTGAAAAGCTTATTTAGTTAGTCTTATTTTTACCAGTAGTTTATTATAAAAACAATGCATAAAATATTAGGAAACGGCATGGCTTTTGCTGTATGCCCCAGATTATTCTGTCTAGAATGGATTATTATTTGAATTACCAGATTCTCCCAGCTGGAAAGGAACTGTGCTTGGTTCCTGCTCTAGGATTTATGAAATAATGGGGTGGTATTAGCACAAGGTCCTTCAAATGATGGGGTTACTCTGCAATGGATATAGAAGTCAGGTGTTGGCTCTTCACATCCAGAGTTATGTTATGGATTTACATAACTTTGTTTTCAAAATTTCTAAATCTATTTTGAAAACTGGTATCTCTAGTCAAGATGACTAGTGAAGAATTCCATTCTGTTAGTAAAGAAATAAATCAATTTAATAAGCACAAATTTTGGTTAAGGCAATGGCAACTATTGCATGTTTAGTGTTTTTTGTTGCTGTTGTTTCTTTGTCTGAATTTTAAAAATCTAAGTCAAGTTAGGGCAAAGACTGAATTTTAGCCCATATGTTTATGCAATGCTCAAAATATTAATGTACAGGCAAGATAATTTCCTGGGGGGAAAACATTTAGATGTGTTTTTGTAGTAAGAACAAACAAAGAAGGTCAAGCTCAAGTAAAAGTGACCCAGAGGAAGCATTCACTGAAGAGATTGGAAGAAGCATACTCATTCCCCAACTCTCAAGCTATCTCAAGGATTAGTAATTTTCAATTAAAAAATTTCTTTAAAAAAGGAAACTTTCTGAACATGAAAAGGTTTTTTGTTTGTTTTTACTGTGGATGTAATCAAATATTAGAGATGTCATCCTTGTGTGCAACTGGTATCTAGAAATGCCTTCTGGGGAACTAAATACAACCCTGTTAAATGATAGACAGTGCATGGTATGAGACTCAGGCTGCCTCAGATCTTATTCTGAGACCCCTGTGTGTTCCTTAGTAACAGTGATGCATGAATACACCATTGAGAAGGGGAAACTGACCACAGTGGAGGTCCAAAATGAAACTGCTCACACTACTACCCTCTAAACAAGAGTGGTGGTTGAGAGGTGCAGGCTCTGAGCCACTACATTCACAGACATGGAAGATTTGGTGATATTTTTATCCAATTTAGGAAAATAAAATTAATTCAGTTGTTTCTTGTTCTAAGTTAATAGGCACTAAGTCAGAAAACTTTTCATCTACATATTTTTTTTTCTCTTTAAACATAGTGCCTCATGGGTGGAAGTGATCTGGACTTCATGTTTTTCTTTTGGAACCAGAAAACATGCCATTTTTGGAATATTAAGCAATTTCTTTCTTTTGGATATGGGGAGGGAGAAATCTGAAATGTATCTTTAGGGCACAGTTTGGAGGGGCCCTATTGATAAGCCCTTTCAGTCTTGCAACTATAAGGCAAAGTTTTTGCTGAAGTCTTAGGTAGTAAGTTAACTACAGTGCAATTATATTTTACTAAGATAGTGTGTTTTATTTTCTAATAGTCTAGTATAAATCTAATATATTAGCAAATTCTTCAGAAGACAGAATCTTATTTTTCTTGGATCTGGATTTAGATGACCTTACTGCAAATTATTATTGATTGCTGGTAGGGGATGAGTTTATGAAGACATCTGTGTACTAGAGGCTAGGAGCTGAGCCCAGCCTATGAGAAGGGACATAGAGCTGTGATCTTGACTTTCATAAGAGAACATATGTTGTTATGAACTTGTGTTTTTGCTGCTGTTGTTTTTGCTTCCTGCTGGTGGATAGTGATGACAACAGCAGTCCTCTAAGTCACACATTGAAGATGGCAGAACAGCTATCAGCCTGGGTGAATTAATTCGTGGAGGGGAACTTCTGCCTTAACCTGCTCTTAACTGTGACATCAGGAGAAAATAACTTATCTCGCTTGGGTATTTGCCTATGTGGGGGTCTCTTTGTTATAGCAGTTAGCACTCTCCTAAATACTATGCTAGTGTACTAAAATAAACTCTCAATCATGGAACCCTAGCCCTAAGGCTTTAACAAGCAATGCTGGAAGTGTGCTTCCTCACCTCCTCCACTTCATTGCAAAAACAACCTCATGGATGGCCCTGTGCCGGCACATACTGCTATAGCAGCATCTGTAATGGATTTTGTAGACACTTTGTTTACATGTTTACCATATTGTAAGGGAAGAGACCGAGTCATATTCATCTATTTATCTCAATTGTCTTGTCTTTTTTGGCCCACAGTTGGAGATTTTAAACTGTTTAATTGATGAAAAAAGATGTCAGGTTGATTTACAGCATCAAGTCTGATGATTTAACAACAGCATTCTGCACAGAGGGGAACTATGCAAAAAGGATCAAAGCCACTGAAATTACTAACAGGGCCAAAAAATTCTAACCACTTCCACAAAACGACTGCTAGGGTTTAAAATGGTTACACAGCTGGGCACAGTGGCTCACGCCTGTAATCCGAGCACTTTCGGAGGCCAAGGAGGGCGGATCACTTGAGGCCAGGAGTTCGAGACCAGCCTGGCCAATATAGTGAAACTCCATCTCTACTAAAAATACAAAAATTAGCTGGGCTTGGCCCAGGCTCCTGTAATACCAGCTCCTCGGGAGACTGAGGCAGGAGAATCCCTTGAACCAGGGAGGCAGAGGTTGCAGTGAGCCAAGATCCCACCACTGCACACCAGCCTGGGTGACAGAACGAAACTCTGTCTCAAAAAAAATAAATAGATAGATAGATAAATAAAATGGTTACATGCTCCTTTGGGAGTGTGTTCTAAAGCCAAACAAATCCCTTCATTCTGAGGCCCCTGGTGTGGTGCTGGAACCTTTGACTCAGGGCTTATGAATACTTGTTTGTCTCCAGGACTGAAGAACAGAATACTGAGGTGGCATGTCCGGAGCCACCATAGCGCTGTGATCATGCTGTGTCAATTTCATCTAAGTTTTTGTGTTAGAATTCCTCTGTGAAGTTGACTGCTCAGGTGACAGGTTAGCCCATGTCTTAAACTGGGCTGAAAATGGGTTTCATGTACAGGTAGTTTTACAAGTGCTCTCAGTGCAATTGGTGGACTAGGACTTCCCATTAGGGCAGAAGGCCCCAACCCCCGGGCCGCAGACCAGTATTGTGGCCTGTTAGGAACTGGGCCGTACAGCAGGAGTTGAGTGGTAGGTGAGTGAGCATTACCGCCTGAGTTCTGCCTCCTGTCAGATCGGCAGCAGCATTTGATTCTCATAGGAGCACAAACCCTATTGTGAACTGTGCATGTGAGGGATCTAGGTTGCATGCTCCTCATGAGACTTTAATTCCTGATGATCTGAGGTGGAACAGTTTCATTCCAAAACTATTCCTCGCCCCATTGGATCCACGGAAAAATTGTCTTCCACGAAACTGGTTCCTGGTGCCAAAAATGTTGGGGACCACTGCTTTAGGGATAGGCTGTGTCTGCTAGACACCAAACTAAAAGTCAATTTAATATATGATTGAGCCCAGTAAGTTCAGCCTTTTTTTTCTTTTTTTTTTAGTGCTTTATAGATGCTGCCTCCCTGTCTTCTCACTGGCGTTGTTGCTGATAAGAAATCTGCGGTCTTCCTTATCTTGTATGGAACATGTCTTTTCTTCCTCTGGATGCTTTGAAGATTTTCTTTTTATTGCTGACTTTGAGCAGTTTGATTTTGATGCACCTTGGTTTTATTTCTTCATGTTCCTTGTGCTTGAGGCTGTTTAAGCTGCTTTGATCTGTGAGTGTATGAGTTTCATTAAATTTGGGAAATTTTCAGTCATTATTTTTTCAAAAATTTTTTCCTATTCTCTTCCTCCTTTCTCTGTCCTCTCATTAGGGTACTCTGTCTACATATAGCGGGTGCCACTTGACACCCACAGATGATCTGTACCTTTCTTTTTTCTTTCTGTGTTTCATGCTGGATAGCTTCTATTGTCTTCAAGTTCACTGATCTTTTCCTCTGCAATGTCTAAACTGCTGTTAATCACACCCCATGTATTTTTCATTTCAGACACTGCATTTCAGACTCTAGAGGTTTTATTTGAGTCTTTTATACATTTTCCATGTGTAACTTTTAAAATGTTTTGAACACATGGAATACTGTTATAATAATTGCTTATTTGATAATTTTAACATCTGTCAGTTCTTAGTTTTCATTTATTTATTTTTCTCCTTATTATGGATTGCATTTTCTATTTACTTGCAGGATAGTTTTTAGTTGTATGCCAGACATTCTCAATTTTAATTTGTTGGGTGCTGAATATTTTTGTATTCCTACGGGTATCTTAAAGCTTTGTTCTAGGATGCAGTTAATTTACTTGGAAACTGTTGATCCTTTTGGGTCTAATTTAAGATTTGATAGGAAAGACTAGAGCATGGTTAGTCCAGGGCTAATTATTCCTCTGTACTGAGGCAAGACCCTACTGACTATTCTCCCCAGTGGCCCATGGATTATGAGATTTTCTTCTCTGGCTCTTGAGAACATGCACTATATGCACCCCCACATGAGTGTCCGATTTCATTCTCCCTAATAATTTCAGGTGTTTCTTTCCCAGCCTTGGGTATTTGCCTCAGACACATGTGCTGAGAGTTCTCTGTTGAATATTTAAGGGGAGTCCTCTGCACATCTCTAGGGTTCTATGTGTGGCTCTCTCCTCTTTGATATTTTGTCCTATGAACTCTGATCACTTTGATATCTCCCGATTCCCCGATCCATCTCCTGAACACAGTGAGTCTACCGAGATCCCCCTGGTCCCTCAATCTTCATACCATGGCTTGGAAACTCTCTCTCAAGGTGGTGAGCTGAGACAATCAGAGGACTCACCTTCTTTTGTTTCCTGTCTTTCAGAGATCATTGTCCTTTGCTGACTAATGTCTAGTGTCTTACTAAAAAACCCCAATGTTTCACATATGTCTTTTCTTTGTTGCTGTTGTTTTTCCTTGAAGAAAGGTAAATTTGAACCTTGTCATTCCATCTTGGCATCTTGGCTGGAAGTGGAAATCCCTCTGGTTCAGCTGTTTCTACAACTTTAAAGTTCTGTAATTTAGAACTTTAGAAATCAGATCATCCAATGACAGTACTAAAATTAATGCAAAACTATTAAAAATGGGTTTTCTCCATTTATCGATTTGGATGCATGTGGCATTTGCAACACAGATGTGGTCTTTGCTATCCGTGCTGCTTCCCGGGTCTTGCAGGGAAGAAATCACTGAGTCCTGTGATTAGGACCAATGACCTGGTTGTGGCCATGCTCCTCCCATCTCCTGCTCCACAGAGTGGGTCTGTTCTTGTCCTGCAACAGACTGGTCATTGCCTGTGTCTGAGTGTACCATCTCCAGGACACTGCTGACTAGACAGGGTGCTCTGATCACCTCTGTGTTTATACTGGCCTAGTTTCTAATTGATGAGGCACGATGCTTCGCGTTGTATTTTCATCACAGTCTTTCAAAACTCTGTTTCTTTACATTTAAATCTAAAGCTTGGCATCACACCATTAACTAGAACAAAGACAAGTCACTTTGTCTTAGACAATAAACCATGATTCTTAACTTGCGTTTGATAGACTCCACTAATCTGCCCTGGTTCACTTTTACATGATACACTACCTACTAAGCTATGCTAAAGTCAGTCTTTCTCAAGGCTGTTATCTCTCTCTCTAAGGACAAGTCTCTAATTTCCCAGTTCTCTTGCATTTTTTATTCATTTGGGGCACACGGCCAGAGATTCTGTTTCCTTCTTCACTAAGTCCATGTTGCTATTACGTTAGCTCATTAAATATTAATAGATTAACATCCAAGTCTCTCTTTGTTCTGTCTTATTTTTAAAATAAATGGCAAATAACAGATGCTTTGAAAAGAGTCACACTTTAGGAGGAAAACTGAGTGTACAAAGATTTTAAAATGTTTGACTTCATAGCAAGTACAGATATATTTCTACAGTTCAAATCCTGGGTTTTCAGAAAGCTCAAGTACAATAGAAATAATCCATAAACGGGAGTTAAAAGAACATTCGTTCACATTTTGGAAATCTTCAAAGCACTATACCCAATTGTTTTAATAGTCTGCAACAAACAAAATCACTGTACTATAAATGAGAAAAAGGTAACTGAAGTCCATGTTGGCAATGAAAAACATTTATCACTTTGCTTCTGCCATAATAACATTATGTTTTTCTGATGCTCATAAACCAAGTAATGAGTGTTTTAAAGTTTAAAAAGTGTTTAGGGCCATTATGAATATCTAGTTTGCTAGTCAATTTGTCACAGAAAAAGAGTGTGCATGATCTTCCTATAAAGAGAATTTATTGTTTTAGATGATGAGGTCTATAAAAAGCTGTCTCCATGCAAAATTATAGTATTTTACCTCTACATTTCTGTTTTTGTTGGGTCATAAAAAGTTAAGAACACTAAAGAAATACCACTAAATTTTAACAGTTGCTATAAAAATGCATTCTTTGAATTCTAGATTTCAGATGGTAACACTATATGCTGTTGTGTATCCTAACTCAATCTTTTAATAATTCAATACTTTTTTCTGAAATCATCTTTTTAAAAGTAAGGATTTATCTGTTTGGTTTCTGGACAACTCATCCTTTGTCTTCTTGAAATTATAATAATTCATCATTGCTTGGCTTCATGATAATCTTCTGAAATCTTCCCTAAGAATTGTCCACTTGCTCTTCCCATGAAACATGGCAAAATAGTATATTATACAAAAGATGATGATAATGTGACTGATCCCTATATGTGTACTTGTATTTTGATAAGAAATGTTTATATATGTATGTACATATTTATAATTACTCCCAAATATTACTTATCAGCCTCTCGTCATGCCTGAGAACTATCCCATTATCTAGAATTATTAGGGAAGCAGCGCTTCTCATAAGCAAGACTGACATCCTAAGAGGCAAAATCCTACTTTAACCATTGGGATGGAAATCTTTTGCAAATGCTTTCTGTCTTCTAAAATTACTAGTAATAACATTTTCTTGATGACAGAGGGCCAACTTTATGACTCGCAGAGTAGATGGAACAGCCATGACATTAAATGGTCTCTGACAGTTTTTCTTTCTTGCATTCTTATATTCAGTTTTCCTAACTCCTCTGTCTTTTCTCTTTGCCACCACAGTATCTACTCTCCCTCCTTATGATGGTCTATGTGTCTGCTTACAAGAGTTCTTGCTTTTTTTTTTTTTTTTTTGAGATGGAGTCTCACTCTGTCACCAGGCTGGAGTGCAGTGGCGTGATCCTGGCTCACTGCAATCTCCGCCTCCCAGGTTCAAGGGATTCTCCTGCCTCAGCCTCCTGAGTAGCTGGGACTACAGGCACACGCCACCATGCCCAGCTAATTTTTGTATTTTTAATAGAGACAGGGCCAGGATGATCTTGATCTCTTGACCTCATGATCCATCCACCTCAGCCTCCCAAAGTGTTGGGATTACAGGCGTGAGCCACAACACCTGGCCAGTTCTTGCATTTTTTAACATGTTGATTTCCGATAAGGACAGGGAAATCTATGGTCGTCATTGTTAAGCTTTGTCTAAAACAGAACAGCTTCTGTTATGCTGACTTTGGCTATTCTAGACCTTTCTGCCATTTTCCTATTATTCTCTACTCGCTTAGCAGTAGAGAAATTTACCAAAGAAATGCGCTCTGGATATGTGGAATAACTGTGCTGAACTAATGCACAGATTTATTGTGCTGGAAACAGTAAGAGGCTATTGCCAGAAAATATTAAGAATAATTATCATACTTCTTCCATAATTCCCATTATGTAAAGTAGAAGAGACTCTTAAAATATAAAAATAGTAAATGCTTTTTAAACTTGTCATTTTCTTACTCTACACACCTAAAGATCCACACATATCTAAGCAGTTCTTGCAGCTGATCTGGTTGCCCCTGAGATACGGAACCTGCAAACTTACACGGAAATCTCAGCACAGTAGGAACCGCAGAACTGGCCCTTTGCTACTGAGCTCTGCAACCTGCAAAACATTGTTCAGTCTGAACACTGAAAAGAAAATGGTTCTCTCATAACTTCTTTCTATCAATTTTACATTGTATTGACAGTATATTGCCAGCTGAACCAAAGAATCAAAATATCATAAAATGTGACCATCTGAGGATGGCCTGGAACATAATATGTGCTACCAAATTCTTATTGACTAGTAGACATTAATAAATAGAAAACACTGCAACCCTCAAGGAAGACATATAGACATGGATAGTAATTGAGAAAAATAATCACATTTGAATTTTTTCGCTCAGCCAATCACAGGGGTAGTCAGTGGGACAGAAAGATAAATGGGGCTTGGTCTGCCCATAAGGGGCGTACAGACTAAATTCTCTTCTAGAGGACAGTCTTAGCAGCTCAGAAGGAATCATTGTATGAATGAATGATTAGTGCCACTGATCCTTAAATTTGGTGTTTAGATGTGGCGCAGTTCTTTGTACTTTAACATGTCTTTTTTATCTGTCCGCTTTTAGGATTTTTTTTCTTTGTTACTAATTTTGAGCAATCTGATTAAAATATACCTTGGTATTTTTTCTTCCTGTTTTCTGTGCCTGGGGCTCCTTGAGCTGCTTAGATCTGTGAGTTTATAGTTTTCATTAAATTTGGAAAATTTTCAACCATTATTTTTTAAAATATTTTTTTCTGTTCTCTTTCTTCTCTCATTTGGGGACTCCGTTTACACATATATGAGGTCACTTGAAGCTCACTGATGCACTGTTCATTTTTTCTTCTTTTTTCTTTGTGTTTCATTTTGGATCATTCCTATTGCTGTCTTCAAGTTCACTAATCTTTTATTCTGTAATCTTATAATCTGCTGTTAATCCCATTCCACATAATTTTTGTTCAGGCATTATATTATATTATATTTATTATACTTTAAGTTCTGGGATACACGTGCAGAATGTGCAGGTTTGTTACACAGGTATACACATACCATGGTGGTTTGCTGCACCCATCAACCGTTATCTACATTAGGTATTTCTCCTAATGCTATCCCTCTCCTAGCCCCCCACCCCTGCCAGGCCCCGGTGTGTGATGTTCTCCTCCCTGTTTCCATGTGTTCTCATTGTTCAATTCCCACTTACGAGTGAGAACATGTGGTATTTGGTTTTCTGTTCCTGTTTTAGTTTGCTGAGAATGATGGTTTCCAGCTCCATCCATGTCCCTGCTAAGGACATGAACTCATCCTTTTTTATGGATGCATAGTATTCCATGGTGTAAATGAGGCATTATATTTTAATTCTAGAAGCTTGAGTTTGTTCTTTTACATATTTTTCCTATTTCTACTTTTTGAACATATGGAATATAGAGTTGAAAGGTTGAAGTCTTACATTCAAAATCTTCTAGAGGCCAAAGATATTTCTCCACTTTTAAGTTGTTATTATTACATGATAATGAAATAAGTATTTCTCAAGGAAAATGATAATTGATAAAAATAAAGGAAGAGAGAAAGAAGAGAGAGACAGAGGGAGGGAGGAAGAGAGAGAGAGACAGAGAGAGAGAGAGAGAGAGAAACAACATCTTAAGATGGCACACCTGATTTGCCACAATCTAGATCTTTGTGTCTTAGTCAGGCTGATGCCTGAAGCCCAGAGCCCATTTTCCTGTACCCATCTAGTTAGTGCTGCAAGGCAGGGGAGCTGGGTAGGGTCTTTTAGCTCATGAGCACGTGAGTGGTCATGGGCACATACAGTGTCTTGGCCTATCACATCTTGCTACCATCCTTGCATCCAGCGTTGTGACTGATGTGCATGATGTAGAGTGAGGCAGCCCTGATTTTCTCTGCAGATGACACATCTGAGACACAGTGATATGCTGTAGTTTGCCCAGGCTCACCATGCTCAGAAAAGGTGGAGCCTCGGTTTGAACTGTGATTTGAGTCAAAGCTTCCTAGATCACGCTAAATTTAGAGAGACATAAGATGTAAGTCCTCATTCCAGGAAGTGATTTCCATTAGTATCTCTTTCCTGCTCCTGTAAGACTATGCTTGGGATGTCTACCTGGTGCAACTCTGCTTTTGAAGCTTTTCTCTACCAATCTCTGGTTGCAAGCAAGAGATGTGTACAACTCTAGGGCTGTCTATGGGCAGGGTGTAGAAAAGGGCTAATTATGCCCATTCCTAAGACTCTTAGGAGAAGAAGTGGGTCTGGCATGGGGCAGCGGCTAGCTCTGTAGGAAGAATTGTCAGGGCCTGGCACCCATGAGCTGGGATGGCACACTTGAGAAAGAAGGAAGTTCTGTAGCTTGGACTGTAGTAATGGAAACAAAGGATGACAGAGAGAATGACAAGAAGGCAGACATCCAAAGGAATAAGCAAAGGGGAGGGTGTAGTTACATAATGTTGAGGCCAGGGTGTGGTGAGTGTGTGACATCTATGGCCTTGAGCTTCTGATGTCCGTGTGTATATGTTAACATGGTTTGGATGAAAATAAATGTAAAGGAAAGGAGTGATTGATGAATATCCCACACCCCAGGATTTGATATGAGATTAATGGAACATGCATGGCAGAAGTGCAAACTTTCTCTCTTGGTATTCTCCCCACCTGCCCTCATTCTTCTAATAGGTCAAACTTTTTTATGCAACAAAGCAAATTAGCGCATTGGTGACCAGACTCAGGAATGAATTACTATGGTGAATCTCTTTTTGCCCAAAATGAGTGTTATGAAAATCAATCAGGAACAGTGTTAGTTTATAAGGACTCAGAAAAAGGCTGTTCTAATCTCCTCTCCAATCATAAATTTACTTTAACATGTTTGCCAAAGTCAACTAACAATACTATTCTTCTCTGTAAGCCCATGCTTTAAAAACATAAGGGGTTCTTTTCTTTTCTTTTCTTTTCTTTTGGGGCTGGGACCCGGTACATTTTAAGTGTTCACATGGGATTTTACACAGGTATTTGAGCATTAACTCTCTTACCAGTTAATGATAGTGCTTTGAAAAAATATCAACCTGTCACAATCTGCACTGAAAACAAAGTAGCTCAGCTACAAGAATAGAATGAAAAACATTTCACAGCATTTTCAGTGACTATAACCACATCTAGTCCTCTCTGTTTGTAGTGATCTTCAAGGACTCCTGAGCCTTTAAGATCAATTTTTAAAAGGAATACATTTCCAAGTAAAACAGTTCAATATAATTTTTTTTTCTCTAACATCCTAGAAATCTTTATTAGAGTTGCATTTCTCAAAACTGGACTTATATTGTTTTCTGAGGAGTTGCTCATAACTCCAGATTTCTTTTTATTGTAATGAACTGGCCATACCTTCCAGCTCCCTGCAGCCAAGTTCTGCAGGGCGCCTGCCGCCCCTTCCAGCGTGTCTGGATTTGAGCACTCAGAGAGCAGTGTGAGGTAGGGTTTGACTATTGATGGGTGCCACAGCATCTGGATCCCTTTTGGTGGTTCAGCACAGTCTGGAAGAGGTCCTACTCCATCCCACTGGCGGAAGAAAAACAAGAGAGCAAACATCTTTAACATCTTTATGCTTCCCAACTTTGCCTTCCTCAAACATTACAGGCGAAAACAAAAGCAGAGTGCTATCACATTTGCTGAACATAGACTGCACGGAGGCTATTGCATCAGCAGTCCAGGGATCACTAAAAGTGGAAGCCATTCCTGCCCAGCGAGAGCTTGGGATCGAGGGTGGAGGGTGGGTTGGTGTATGCACGCAAGAGAATGTAACTGGCAGAAGAAGTGGATAAGCTCTCCAAGAACGACTCTAACATGTTGCTGTAGGAAGGAAGGGGAAGAGATGAATTAATTTTGATTGAGCAGTTTGGAAGAAGGATAAAGATCAAGGTAGCATATTTTATAGTAAGCATACTACCAGTGTTGCATAATAGTTACCAACAACAAATGCCCTCACTTCTTATGCATCATTATTAATGTGATAAACTCCTATATAATTTGTTACATGTATACAAATTGGGTTCTATTGTTGCATCTAACAAATGACAGAATCGATAAAAGAGAGAAAACTGCTATAGTCTATTAGACACAATGACATGAGCTACAGGCAAATCTAGATCTTGGAGCAATCATGATAGTTAAGTTTGCTTTGAATTGAATCTAATGAATAATAGGATAATGTGTAATTCAAAATTAATTACCCATAATTTAGAAATTATGGCTTACACGCACAAAGGAATACCAGTCAACCATTAGGAATGATACTTATGAAGACTATGTAGCAACTTGGACAAATTATAACAATAAAAGTTAAATGAGCAAAGCAGGATGCAAAGTAGTATGGGATTTGCACATTATTCCAACTAAAATGCATCATAAAATACCTGTAATTATCATAAAAATTTACTAATACAATGTCTTTTTTTTCTACATTTCAAACTTCCTGTTCTATTACTCTTAACAATTTAAAAAACACTAAAAATTAAAATAATGATTCTGATCTTTGATTACACAAAGGCTTTGTCTTTTGTGAAAATAATGACTATAATAAAGTTAGAAATGAAAGATGCTATGCTTTTAGAAAAAAATACACATATTCAGTTCTGAGAAAAATCACAGTAAAATAAACAATTTCTTTATAATTTTAGTGTGAGAACATGAAGGTATTTAGCTTATTAGTGTTTATTAATGATTACTTAAAAATACAGTGTAAATGACATATGCTAAATGTACTTACAGATATTTTATGTACATACATATATGTGCATGTATATAAATGTGTGTGTGTATAAATATGAAAAACAAAACCATATTTCTGAATGTAAGTTCCTTAATTCTGAAAGTTTTACTGCAAGAAAATACATGCTTACTTTTTATCCTTGCAACATAAAAATAGAAAAGTAGACAGAGATGGCTGCTGTCACAAATAATTTCAAAAACTTCATTATTTATTTCTTGAAATAAGCTAAACTGCATGTCTTCTTTTCCTCAATAATGACACAGCTTAGTTTAAGTCAAGGGTAAAGCTCAGAGATGAATGACATCCCATTAAAGGTCATTTTCAATGAACATGTCACTCAATTTTAACTTTATAACAAGGACACTCAGTGTGGGAAGCTTCCTGTCCTTTTAACCAAAGCCACTTCCTAACTATTCAAAGATGACTTTGCACCTGTGAACTGCCTATCAATAAAACCAATACATCTCCTTTAAATTAAAAAAAGAAGGAAGTGAACTAGCCCCGTCACATTGCTCCTAGTTCATTATTTGATCCTGGCTTGCTGCACTGAATAGAAAGTGGGCACTAGAAAAAGACAGTAGTCATTCTGTAGGTTTGCCAGTTTCAATGACAAAGCAGTAGCAATATTGGCCTCTCAAAGGAGACCAGCTTGGGGTAGTGAATCTATCTGCTAGAGTAACAAGAAATGGCAAATTATTTCTTTTATTTCATTTTATATCTTGTCTCCTTAAAAATTTAAAGCAATTATTTTCATATAAAAATGGATAAAATTCAGAAAAATAAAAATGTGAAACTTCCAACTCAACATGGATAGATTTTCCTTTTATGTAAGAGCTAACCTAACAGCAAGAGGTACAGAGAAGTAATATTTGCATGCTCGTTACAAAAAAGAGGAAAAAGTAGCCATGTTATCTTTTGCTGGGTTTCATCTTGTTCTCCTTTTCTAACTTCTGTGCAATAAAGCAGGATAAATGGTTAAGTCCGTAGAAAATTTTCCTCAGGCTCTGACATGTCATCTATGTAGCTCTCAAATATCTTTTATTACAATCCTTTCTTAATGGCTACAGAGAGAATCTGAAGGAATAAAAGGACAACTGATGTGAACACAGATAATCTTTGATGGCAACTGGAGATGGAGTTCAAAGGGGATTCTTGGCTATTTTAGCACGTTGATATTGAAGAAAAAGGACTATTTCAAAGCCAGTAAATGTATCTGCCAGACCTTTATCTGGGTACTTTATTCAAACTTTTATTAAGTTAATAGGGAGAAAAGTATCATAAGTTAATAGGGGGAAAAGCCCATTAAAAATAGATTTCCATCAGCTGTAACATGACTGGACGTATTCTGTAAGACTTGGGTTAACATGCTTGATATTATTTTGTCTAGCTCATCAACATCAACAAGGTAGTAGGGCAATGGTGAAGTTAGGATCAGACTGATGTAGGTGAGACAATTCTGCACATGCAAACTTTTGAGGCTCGAATGTGAAGATTCAAGAAAAATCATGGGATATACAACTCTTGCACCAAAGTAGAAATACTTGATTTACAAATTTAAATATAAGGTGCTTCTATCCTAAAATATCTACAAAAATGGGACATTATCAGAAGGCAAGCAAGTGGCTTAATCTGTAACATAATTGAAGCAGTGACCACACAGTGATTCAGCCCTGAAGAACACAAGACTAAACTTACAAATCTTGTGCAAACTGTGTTCGTTTTGGACTATATCTTGAGAACCTACTACCAAAAACTCTTTAAGAGCTTGAAATATGCAAAGAATACATAAAGAAGTAAAATGTCATCAAGTCAGGAGAGAGAATTTTCTATATAATAAAGAGCACATGAAGACAAAGTATTTCCAGGACAGCAGTGGTGGCAATGCCAGAAAAGGACTTTTTATTATGTTATCTGCATGACGACCACATATGTGTGTGTGTGTGTGTGTGTGTGTGTGTGTGTGTGTTTACATCTTCACTCCTCAGGTTGCAGTTTAAAAATTAAGCAGAATAGAGAAAGTGAGAGAAATAGCACGAAGACAGAGGCATTTGTGGTTTTAAAAAAGCTTTTTTGCTGGGTTTCATCTTGTTCCAGCTTGGGGGAAATTTTCAATGAAAATATCCCTTCCTCCTCAGAATTTTACTCCTTATGTTTGAGAGTTACATAAATGTTCCACAATTCTGTGCAACATGTTAATTTTCATCTGTTATATTTTAACGAATAAAATTTGCAAAAGTTCTAGTATCCCTTGAGTCTTACAGATATTACTTCAATGTTCAAATTACACTTTGTGCAAGTCATTCACATGCTGTTGAACAGGAAAACAGACCAAAGGATATATCACTAGTGTAATACTGAACCTCCTCTTATGAATTGTCTTGTTCATAGAAATTTCTAATTTTACACACATATTTAGAGTTCATAAAGCTAAGGATTAAGGTGGCTATAACCAGAGTGTTTGAAAACTGAGTAATTGAGAATTAGAGCTCTGTTGGAGACAGGCTGGTAGCAAAGCAGTGAGTGTACATAGATCATAGAACAAACCAATAGATTGATTTTTTGCCACTCCAAATAGTGCTTCACCCAATAATGTATCAGCACTTTTCTTTACTGGCTTCAAATATACAACTGCATGACTAATATCCATAAAAAATCAGCCAACAGTTTCTGTCATTCCATTTCTAAAACTGTATAGAATTGAAAATATGTATTCTTTCATTAAGAAGGTAATGCTCAAAAATTTTTGGAAAAAAAAGAGGATATCAAGCTTCCCAAGATAGAAGGTTAAGGGACTGCTGAAATTTAGACATGATGCTTTTTGATATGGTCACCATCGGCACAGAGCATACATAATGGCCCCTGTAAAAAAAGGTCTGCTTAGGAAGGAAATAACATATGCGTGGGGCTGTGCTCAATGTGTATGTTACAAAGAAAGAAAAGGAAAAAAGCCTTTCTTTGGATTTGCTTTAAATACTTTTGCTTCCATGCAGGGCTTAAATTCTATTTAAAAGATTTTTTTTTTTTTTTTTTTTTTTTTTTTTGAGACAGAGTCTCACTCTGTCACCCAGGCTGGAGTGCAGTGGCACAATCTTGGCTCACTGCAACCTCTGCCTCCTGGGTTGGAGCAATTCTCCTGCCTCAGCCTCCTGAGTAGCTGGGATTACAGGTGTGCTCCATCACACCCAGCTAATTTTTGTATTTTTAGTAGAGACGGGGTTTCGCCATGTTGGCCTGGCTGGTCTTGAACTCCTGACCTCAAGTGATCCACCCACCTCGGCCTCCCAGAGTGCTGGGATTACAGGCATGAGCCACCGCACCCGGTCTATTTAAAAGAGTTCTATCTCAGTTGGGTTTGAGAATGAAAGAGTGGAAGCCATTTGCTCCTTATATGAAGAGAAAGACGTAACTTAGGGATAAAAACCTGAAAGTAGGCTGGGCACAGTGGCTCATGCCCATAATCCGAGCACTTTGGGAGGCTGAGGCAGGCAGATCGCTTGAGGTCAGGAGTTTGAGACCAGCCTGGCCAACGTGGTGAAACCCCACCTCTACAAAAATACAAAAATCAGCTGGGTGTGGTGGCGCACACCTGTAATTCCAGCTACTCAGGAGACTGAGGCAGGAGAATCACTTGAATCCAGGAGGTGGAGTTTGCAGTGGGCCAAGATGGCGCCATTGCACTCCAGCCTGTGTGACAGAGCAAGACTGTCTCAAAAGCAAAAAACAAAACAAAAAAACCCCTGAAAGTAAAGATGTCAACATACTATATTAAAAAAAAAAAAGACTTTGTAAACATGGGGTTCTTTAAGTTATAGAGAGTCACAGGAGTACTCTAATTATCACATTCATAAAAGCCCCCTAATGAATGAGAAGAATTACAGGACAATTTACAAGACTCTTCTCTGTGAGCCATCCTGCAACTGCCCTAGTCTCTGATCTCCAATGCACTGGGCTGGGTACTGAGGAGACACCAACAAGGAGCAGTCAGGGAGTATGGAGAAGGATTTCCATTTCAGGAGAAGTGCTAAAATACACAGCTCCTCTTTCCACCTGTCACAGGCTTCATACAGTCTCCGCCAATCAAGTTTGTGTGCAGAAAAGACCTTTTACTGCTGAGTCGTATCTTCAGAACATAAACAGAAAAGGCTGGCTTCACCAGCGGAATGCACCTCTATCACCTAGATTTCTCTACTAATTAGGGAGCATCACAGTCATTACATATGTGCAGGCTCACTTTCATTTTTTAAGATATTTCAGTGAAATAAACAACAGACCAGAGATGCTGCAAGATAAAGGTAGCAGATCTGCAGCATCAGGGAAACATTCTGATTTTAAGATCCCACTCTTTCCTCTCAGGGGAAGTCACACATTGCAAAATGTAGGAAGAGAAGATGGCTCTAAGTAGGTAAACTGTCAGAGAATGTTCTCTCAAGCAGGGTTTGGTTTAATTAAGCTGCAGCCAGCACTATGTACTTTAAAAAGCAACAATAAAAACCCAAGTCCATCCACCGTCTGCCACTCTTGCTTGGCTTGCTTTGAACAGCAGAGTTATTACATAATTTGCCTTTACAGTGTTTCATGGCCACTTCCAGCTTTTGGGGGGTTAAAGGTGGAAGGATAGAGGTGATGGGTATTCAAAAACTCCAGTTAACTGTAAAAAGCCAGCGAGAAATGATTCTTTGTGTTGATTCTTAGGAATTTCAAAGAAAACGGTAGTGCGGGTGTCTGAATCCCCCAGGAGCTGTTCAGAAGACTTCGGCTGCAGCTGAGGCTGAGGCTGTGCAAAGAGGGGATAGAGTTGATGGCTAATTAGCTGTATTTATGTGGCACTGCATTGTCTCCAGGCTCTCCTTGCAAAAGACAGGAGGGACTTTGCATTTGAGAGATTAGAAACCCGCATTAAAGAGGCAGGATGAGGTGCTGTCTGAACAAAGCGTTAGGGCAAAAGAGATTCAGGAATAGCCTTGCTGATGCACCTCCTCCTGTGGGGGGCCACGGGGCCCGGTGAGCACACATCCCTCAGGAGTGAAGCTGGTGATGCTGCCTACTCCACAGACTGGCATCACGAGGCCGGCCACTGTGCTGTGCCCCACAGAAGACAGCTGTCAAGGCTGCTCCATATGACTGGGCCTGCCTGTCCCTTCCCAAAGTCACTGTGATGGAACCAACTGGGGCATCACTGATGCTCATCTAGAATTCTCTCTGCTCCTAATTTGCCATCCACATCTAGGGAAACCTGGGACATGGCCGTCCCTGTTACTGCCTTCTAAAGGGGCTTTGTCCCTGACGTGCCAACCTCCTTCAGATAATCCTGTGGTCTTGGTTTATATGTTTGGTAATATGTCCTTCGAAGGACAATCTAGTCCAATGGTCTCAACCAGGGCAATTTTAACACCCAGGGGGACAAGCGGCAATGTCTGGGGACATTTTTGGTTGTCATGGCTGTGGCAGAAGGTGCTACTGGCATCCAGTGGGTAGAGTCCAGGGAGGCTGGCAAATACCCTGCAATGCACAGGCCGGCTCCCTGGAACAGAGAGGTATGCTGCCCCACATGTGACCAGTGCCGAAGCCGAGAGGCCCTGGTGAAGTTGTAAAAGACAGTATTGATGGTGTGGAAGGCTGAGAGATAAAATACAATTAAGAAAACTAAACGAGACACCTGAAACAGAGTTTTAAGTCTATAAACTCACTGAAACTAAAATAGCAGCACTTTTAGGTGATGGGCTATATCTTCCACTAGAGGTGAGAAAGAAGTAGAAGAATATGGTTCATCCATGGATAATGGCAGACGAGAGTTGCTGCGCAAAAATGCACAGCCGTGATCTTTGCAGGCTCATGAGATATGTTGCTTCCAGGACATGAAATATCATGCCTTGAGTCAACAAGCTCCCAGCATATGGTGAGGTGAAGGCCGAGGGAGACTGTACTCGAACCAGCCAAGAGGAACGGGCGGCAGCTGAAAGAAGCAGATGGTTAGAAAGGAAATGATATTAAGCGGCAAAAGAAAGAGTATGGTTACTAATGAGAAAATGAAAACTGTCTGGAAGAAAAAGAAAAACAACCTGTGATATTAGGAAATGAAAGCCTAGGAGCATCCAAATGTCATGAGGAGCAGATGCATGAAGTGATAATAAAAAATCAAGTCCACGAACAGAAACTGTCACTGACATTTAGAGTGATTAAGATAAATTCTGGTTTGCGTATTGAGAGTCTTAAAAGCATGCATTTGGTCTAGCTATTTCACTTCTAAGAATGCACTCTCAAGAAGTGATTAAGGGGGTAGGTGAGATTTAACTACACAGATGTTCATTACAGTTTACATTAGTACAAACTTGGAAGCAACCTGATTTTCTAGGAATAGGGGATTGGTTCGCCACGTCATGGTATTCCTCTACCATGGAATTCACAGTAGCTCCTCCTCATTCCAGTGTGAAGAACTGCTTACTGGCAAGGAAAAAAGTCAGTCTGTGTCAAATGATAAGCTGTCATAAAGTGGTCAGCAAAGTGACATAGAGCAGACTTGTGCCTACACCTTCCCGCCCATCAGTGGTGTGCCAAAGTGGGCAGTGGGGGCTGTCACCTGGGGGCAGGTAATAAGAGGCTGCACTCTTTGCAGGGAATGTACAGGTAATGAAATGAATACAAGTTGGGTTTTTGTTCACTACCATGTGCAGACAATGCTACACGATTTCACTGGTAAGAGACTCCTCCTCACAAGGAGAGCCCCCTACTCACTGCACACCCTGAATGGGCCACTACATGCCTTTTTTTCTTTATTAAGAGAATGCCCAAGGTTCACCTAGGGTCATAGTTGTCACAAAAGACTACAATCCCCAGCCTCCCTCGCAGCTCTGGTGCCACTACGAGCCAGTCTAGGCCACAGGGATGTAACAGTGATGTGTGCAACTTCTGGGTGGGGTCCTAAAGGAAAGGATACTCCTGTCTTCTTTCCCCCATTTCTGCTCCTGAACTGTGGATGTGAAGAGCCAGAATCGTGACCATGGGGAGGAAGGCAGCACCCTGAAGATGAGAGCCCCATAAAATACAAGGAGCCCACCTCTGAAGACTCAAGAGACCGGAGTTCTACATCAGTGGAAATACACTTACTAACTATAAGACCTTATGAATTTTGCTGTCTGATATGGCCTCTAACAGAAAAACATCTGAAAGGATATATGCCCAGATGTAAGTTGTAACTATGAATCTCTCTAGAAGGAGGCACGCTGAAGGTGTGGGTATTATTTTCTTCTTGGAGGTTAGTGCTATTTTACTCACATATTATTTACATGTTAACTATGTAAATGTATACCTAGATATTTATCATTAATATCTACTTTGTCTGAAATGAGAAGAAACTGTTAAAGTTCAAATCTCCATTGTGGTCATTTTAACTACTAATAAAATTCATGTTTGTGCTTTGGGATATGCATGCTGTTTATTTAGCCCTAGAGTCTCACTTTTGGGTCAAGAGCATCCGAATGACATAGCAGGCAACGTGTGAGGCTCTTGAAGAAGTGGTGGCCAATACCGATATCCTGAAAATCCAAGAAAACCTTGTAGGTGGTGGGATTTCATGATTTCTCATAACACCTTCAGTGCAAAGAATTTGTTTAGTCTGGCAGGATCAAAAGTCCTGCTTCTCCAGGGATACTTTTTGACACATACACATATACCTTTGTTGCATATAAACTTAAGTTCTTAGATGATAACAGTAATTTAGATGGTGCATTTGTTTTGGTGGTGATTGCAGATTCAGAATACTGACTAACAGTGAGATAAATGCAGCACTGTCATGAGAGGCTGGGGAACAGCTCAAAACACAGGGAGGGAAGACTGCGGAAGACGCTTGGCTCACAGCAGCCCTTGGGGCAAAGTCTCACCAGGAAAGAAACAGATGAGTCTGGGAAAAGTCACAGCTATGAGCATCCACCCACAATTAAACCCACAGCAAGAGCTAGGGGCCACCATAGGCCACAGTGTAATTGGGGCCAGGCATTGGGCTAGAAGTCACAGACCGAAATAAGACCCACAGAGTCCTTTGCCCCAGAAAATTCGCTCTCTTTGGGGATCAATTGCTATACTTAACCCATAATATGATAATAACTAGCAGAGAAGTTTAAATAAAATTATGGAGAAGTAGATTAGGGAGTAATTGTTTACTTGAAAGAAGTCTTGGAAAGATAGAGGGGATGTTTTATTTGCTCTTGAATGATTATTCTCCAAGTAGTGAGTGGGGAAAGGGAGGGCCAGGCAGTGGAACAGCATGAACAGAAGCGTAGAGGCTGGTCTGCGGGATCCTAAGACAGGCCAGGAAAGAGTGCGGGCAAGAAGCCTTGAAAGTTCTTCCAAGACATCTCTTTCATTGTGGGAAAAATAAGGGGGCATTGAAGTTTTACACAGAGGCCCATTCCTACTGCTTTTATGCATAAAACAGCACCGTGTATATCACAGGTGAATCTTCCAGTCATTTATGCATTTGGCATCTACAACTTAACAAAGAGGTGAAAAAGAGCAAAAATATTTACTGTTAAATTGACTACAGTGCACTCAGTTGTGAAACAAAGATGATCATGAAAGAAGACCTACCAGATAAAAATAGTGGATCAGAATCCTGTTTGAATTGATAGGTTTGTCTCCTCACCCATGCAGACAGACATATATTTTTTACCCATTTAAATTAAATAACTTTAAATTGATTTATAAGCTAAAAAGGGAGGTTTTGGATTCCATCAGGTCCTGCTTATTTAGTTTTTGTTTTTCTCAGTGGCCCTCTGCCCATGGTCAATCTCACACCAACAGCGCCTTGAAGAAGGTCTGACCTGACCAGCAGCTGGTGGAGGACAATGTCCCGTCACCTCCAAACCACGCTGAAACAGTACCCACCTCAGGACACCATCACAGGATCGTTGGCCATAGACCAAGGTGAAAACAAACCAAAAAATGCTGATTGCTACAAAAGGTGCAAAAAGTAAATGAATCCATTTTGTCTCCTCCTATTTCCCTGGACCCCAATCTTCGGATTCCCTCCACCAACCATGCAGTGACAGTCTGCTGTCATAAAGCCCTGCTGAGGGCAGAGAGGGTCCTTCTGGGGGAGACGCGCCTTCTTGGCAGATGACATGCTGACTGTTTCATGGGAGGTTTTGTCCAAAACGGACTAGAGAAACTAGCAATTCCTTAGAACTCAGCAACAGGCACACAGCAGATGCAAAAATGGATGAGTTTGCAAGGACCTCTTAGACCAGAAAGTGATGCATAGAGTGTCAAACACTTCTGCACACAGGAGCTCGTAGTCTGGTGCTTCTAGACTAGAATGGCCTAGAAGTCTGATACTTCTAGTATGGTTCAATAGCAACCATTTCTTGAACTAACAGCATGCATGCATCATATTTTTGTATCATATATTTTCTAGAATTATCCCTACAGGGATTTTTTTTTAAAGTTTCTGAGATTTTTCTTATAGCTAAATTTGACATGCAGAATATTATAGTGTCTTTTTAAGGTCAAGAACACCAATGCCAAAGGTAAGGGTCAACATAAATTTCTGGACTAGAAAAAGTTCTAGAGGCCATCATTAAACCAATTATTATTTGTATCACTTTTACTCCTGTTATAATATTTGGCTCCTCTGTCCTGGAAGGTCTGTGTTGTAGACTAGATAACCTTTCATTTTACATAATGTCTTACACCTTTCAGTGAGGTATAAATTTCTCTGAAAAAAACCATACACTTTTATAAGCATACATTAACTTAGTGCCTTTATGAACATTATTTTTTAAAGGCCATTTGCAAAGATTACAAATGTAATTTTCATTGTAGAAGATTTATAAATACAGAAGTACAAAAGGAATCAATCATTATCTTCTCTTGGATCTTACTCTGCTTTTTCAAGAAACACATATATTTTGTACAGGCAAATAGCATTTTGTATTTGCATATGACATATTATACAAAACTGGCCAGATTGTATCTGTATCATCTATACCTATATCTATGTACGCACCTGTTTTTATATTGCTTTTTTTCACTTTACTTGTGAAACTCTCTGTAAGCTCCTTGATGAGATAAATCAGTTTCCAGGCCCTGAAGTTAACCGCTGTTCCAGTGTTAGCAAAGGTGGGGATGCTTTGTCCTCCCATCGCTCCCTGTCCTGGTGGGGCCTGTGGTGAGGGGTTTGGTCTCTCATGGGCTCCCCAAGACAGGAGCAGAGACTGTTCTGATGCATCAGGGTTGTGAGTTGCTGCCTAGCGGCCTTCGTTTTGCTGCAGGGGAACCTACTTCCCGCTGCAGCAGGTGAGGGCCATTCTGTTCTCAAGAGGCCTCCAGCTCCAGCTCAACATTGTTCTGAATTCACCTGAATTGTTCCCCACGGCCAAGCTTCTAATGCCATCCTGTGGAAGGGCTGTGAATTCTCTGTTACCCCATTTCCAATGGAAAGTGTGAGACTGAAAATCTAAATGCTTCGAAACCAGCGATTAAATACATGATGGATCTTTGGCCTCCCTCTGTCTCTCTCTGTTTCCCTTCTTATACCACATCTCCTGTTCCACCCATCCCTGTCACCTGGATGGCATCAAATCCAGCTCCGACAATGCCCTAAGTAAATGTGTGAATTAACACAGCGCCTGCTCAGAGGTGGAATGTCAGAGCTTGCTAGGGCCTCAGGTGTCTTTTTTTCTTTTTTAAGTAATTTCCTATCCTGGCTCAACTGCGAGACGTGAGGGAAATCATTTCATGTCCCACCGTCTCAGCTGTGAAATTCCCACAGGAAAATTGTGCAGATGCATTAGTGATTTTACCTCCTGATGAAAATGCAGGGCTCATTCTCTATATATTGAGGATATATTACAGTTGCAATTAGGAAGGGGATAATTGCATGCAGCTGCAAGCAGCCTGCATCACCTGATCTTGGGATTTCTTTTTCTTCTTCTTCTTGCCCCAGCACCCAGAGCTCTCAGCATCCTTGCCATTGGCCTCGCCACAGAGTAGCCCGTCCAGCTCGTCCGTGCCCATGTGCTGTCCCTGAGACGTTTCTGCCGCCAGCCGGTACGAGAGGTTCCTTAAAATGCACACACAGTTTTCAACGGTCTGCAGAAAAGGGGGAAACAGAGGAAAGAATGAGTAAAACTAGCACTCAGCACTCCATTCTTCCACCTGGAAAGGCCTCTTTCTCCATGGACACATTTCTCTTTGGAAGTGTTTAGCTGCCAGCTTCTGAAAGCTCCCCTGATGGCCACAGTGGAAAACAATTGGAGAAACTTAGAAAGGTCTTAGGACCTTTTATCCCCCACAAATAAATGACTTATCAGCAATAGTTACTTCTATAAACATCTGTTATTGTTGATTGAAATTCACTTGTGAGAAGGGAAGAATGTACAACCACGAGAGATCCCAAATATCATCCACTAACAGACAGCGCCCCACCTCTGACTCCCTGGCTGGGGATTGGGGATCGGGTAATGAGGAATCAAAGACTTAGAATTTCGGTCAGCTCTGGTGGGGGGCATATTTACTGCCCACCGGAGCATTTTCCGAGTGTCAAGGAGGCTACAGGTGCAAACCAGGGTTGTCCCAGGAAAGTGAGGGGCTGTGATCACCTGGGGTGCATAAATATTTTTAGTCTACATTTTTTTGAGATGCCTGACACTCATGTTTTCTTAGCCAAAAGGTTAAACAGTGGTTAAGGACACATGTTGTGGAGCCAGACACCTGTAGAACCCTAGGTGTCCGATTTAGCTGTGGGACTTTGGACAATGCACTTGACATCTCTGGGACATGGTGTACCCCTCTGTAAAATGGTCATAACAGGTCCCACATCTTAGGTTCTTGTGCATTAGTTGAGCTAAAACATGTGTGTGGTACGCAGAATAATGGCCCTCCCAGAAGGTCTACATTTTTTTTTTTTTTTTGAGACGGAGTCTCGCTTTGTCGCCCAGGCTGGAGTGCAGTGGCGCGATCTCGGCTCACTGCAAGCTCCGCCTCCCAGGTTCAGACCATTCTCCTGCCTCAGCCTCCCAAGTAGCTGGGACTACAGGCACCCGCCACTACGCCCAGCTAATTTTTTTTTGTATTTTTAGTAGAGATGGGGTTTCACTGTGTTAGCCAGGATGGTCTCGATCTCCTGACTTTGTGATCCACTTGCTTAGGCCTCCCAAAGTGCTGGGATTACAGTCGTGAGCCACCGCACCCAGCAGGTCTACATCTTAATCTCTGGAACCTGCGCGTATGTTAGGTCACGTGGCTGGCAGGAGGTGGGAATTGTTAAGCTAATCAGCTGCTTGTCAGATGGGGAGGTTATCTGGATTGTTCGGGTGGGCCTGTGTCCTCACAAGGGGCCTGTACGTCAAAGAGGAAGTCAGGAGAGTCACAGTGATGTGATGTGAGAAGGACATGGCTGACCATGGCCGGATCTGAAGATGGTGGAAGGGGCCACAAGCCGAGGTATGTGGGCAGGGTCTAGATGCTGGAATAGGGAAGGGAACAAATTCTCCCCAAGAGCCTCAAGAAGGTAAGCCTCAGACCTTACCACATTTTAATTTTATCCCAGTGAGACCCACTTCAGACTGCTGGTCTCTAGAGCTATAAGATCATAAATGTGTGTTGGGTTCAGCCACCAAGTTTGTGGTCATTGGTTATGACAGCAACAGGAAAGTAACACAGCGTGCAAGTACTGGGAAGAAAGCTGGGGCACAGTAAATGCTCTTCAAATGTTCATATCATTAACAGTGGCAGGAGATGGCACAGTGCGGAGCTCCAGAGGATGGGATCTAGGGCTAGCCGGCTTGGCTTCCAATCCTGGGCCTACCATTTCACAAGCTGTGGGGCCTTGGGCAAAGTGCTTAATCTTTCTGTACTTCTATTTCCTCATTTGTAAAGGGAGGGTCATATTAACAGTATCATGTACAGGCTGGGCGCGGTGGCTCATGCCTGTAATCCCAGCACTTTGGGAGGCCGAGGTGGGTGGATCATGAGGTCAGGAGATTGAGATCATCCTGGCTAACAAGGTGAAACCCCGTCTCTACTAAAAATTCAAAAATTAGCCAAGCATGGTGGCGGGCACCTGTAGTCCCAGCTACTCAGGAGGCTAAGGCAGGAGAATGGTGTGAACCCGGAAAGCGGAGCTTGCAGTGAGCCAAGATTGCGCCACTGCACTCCAGCCTGGGCAACACAGTGAGACTCCATCTCAAAAAGAAAAACAAAAAAACAAGCAAAAAAAACACCAGTATCATGTACAGAGCCACAGTGAGGGTTAATAAGCTCACAGATACAGCTCTTTGAATAGTGTCTGCTCAAAACTATTTGCTAAAATACTAGTTGTAATAACTTCTGATTGTTGAGAAGAGGGGTGAGCAAACTGCCGCCCAGGGGTCCGATCCAGCCCACAGCCGGTTGTGCATAATTGGTGTTTTCCTGGAGGACACCCAGGCCCATTTGTTTATGAATGGTCTGTAGCTGCTTTCATGGTACAATGCAGAATTACATGGCTGTGACTGAGACAGTATGGCCCGCAACACCGGGAATATTTATTCTCTGACCTTTTGCAGAAAACGTTTGCTGGTTAAGACAAAGCTGACCTTTTGACTACAGGAACCATGGAAAGCGGAGAAAAATATCCAATTTTAGAAGGGGTGAAACAATGATGGAAAAAAAAATAAACTGAGCCAAGTTTTATTTGAAGAATCTTACCAAGCTGGCTATCATTTTTTCAGGCACCTGCTACGTAACAGCCACTGTGATGGCACATAATACAATTCCATTGTATGGGTGAAAGGAGGACAGCTAAAGCTGTGAGTACCTCCCACCAGACTGAGCTGCTTCTCTGCAGTCCTGGGGTGGGACTGGAATGGGCAGGGGCTGCTGGGATCACAATCCTGCACTGCTTCCCTCCACTGGCTGGAATCTGGTGAAAGGTAGCAGGTGCCCTGTACTTATTACCGAGGGCATGAAAACTTACGAGGAAAACCAGTTTTCAGGAAATATCTCTGGAGCCTTTGTCATTCCAGACCTTTCTTGTCAGCTTTTCAAGGTGTCATGGGCTGCTAATCCCACAGGCTCTGAGTCAACCTGATTTTCTATTCCAAGCATCCTCTGCATCAAAAAGTGGACTGGCACGAAAGCAGGTAAACTCAGGGCGATGCATGAAAGAGAGAAACGACTCTCATTGAAAGGAAAATGTTATGGCATAAGTCAGAATGATCTTTAAATCAGCTCAAACTTATTTTTCTTACATCAAAGACTTGGGAGAATAAACTTCTTTCTCATCCCACTGTTCGTCTTCCCTGGAGGCATCACTGTTCCTCTGTTTAACAAATGACTCCTGGGGAATAAATCTGCAGTTGGGAAAAATGCTTTATAATCGAGCTGCAGCTGGGGAGATGATTTGGGAAGAAGCTAGAAGAAGAAGAGAAAGTAGGGATGGGGGCGGATGGGGAGGGAGGAATGGGGGAAAGAAGATCACAGGGACCACATTTATCTGTCATTTAAGCCTCCAGGAGTTCTGCAGTCTGGGTTGGTTTGGGAGAGTTACTTAATTCAAGAGCTTTTCTCTAAGGGGATAAGGAGAAAGAGAAGACAAAAGACTTGGGATCCTAGCAGGAGGGTGGCAGCCGGTAGCTTTGCTTGGGACATCCATTGCTGTCAGCAGTGCTTTCAGCAGTTGCTTTTGGTTACCAGGGTCATTTTGATTCCTTATTTTCTATTAGAAAGGGTTAATCTGGAAGTTGTAGAGTGCTCCACTATATGTTATCCAGTCAACACACTGGCCCAATTATAGGACCAGAGTCACAAGCTTGTATGGAATCCACGCTCTTTTATGTATTAACTTCTCAGGCCTTAAAAAGAAGGTGTACTCATTCAAACCCCTCACCCTCAATTTGTCATTGTGAAAGCTCAAAAGCGGCCAAGCAGAGGGCTGAGTGGAAAATGATGGTACAATAATAATACATTAAAACCCAATAGCACAATCCAGCCAGTGAAGCACCTGCTGAGTAACATCACATCTGATCCTTTCAACAGCCTTGGCATTCAGCTATGATTATGCTCCTTGTCACAGAGTTGAGGTCAGTTGGATATGGTGCTCCAGCCAGTGGGAGGTGGAGATGGCACAGTCCACTGGCACTGTCTTGATGCCAGCTCAGGGCTCTTCTTACTCCACCAGGGATATCTGGGTTTTCTGACTCCAGCCCTGAATACTCCCAATTATTTCAACTTCCTCTTTTGGGGAAAATGTGGACATTAGAAAAGATGATCTACCAAGTCTCCCAGGTTTTAGGAATCTGGTCATCTGACAGAAAGAAGATGTTTGTGCCATGTTGGTTCTTGAACCATGGCTCCTGAAAGATGCCTTAATCTTTGGTGCTGGTGGCTGCACTTAGCCAAAGCATGAGGCTGTTGACTCTTATTTTATTTTCAGCTGTAAGGTCCAGCTAGTATCAAAGCTCTTTTCGTAGCCATCACAGTAAAAGGTATAGTCTCCCAGTGCCTCACTCACCACTCTGAATATGACGATGCTGAGCATTGCCGCTTCAGTGATTTACCTTCAGGAGCCCTTTGAAAACACACGTGTCTATTACGCTAACAAGCACTTGTAAATATTCAAGACATCTTGACTGGTCACTTGTTTAGGAATTTAATTTTCCTGTCGATGATACTAAATGGTCTAAAATGGTCACTTAAGGCCTTCTGTGAAAGGGGAATGCTTACTCTTTGTTACATTATGTTCATCTTTGAAACTAAAAACACACAGTCAGTGAATGGATGTGAACCTAACTGAGCAGAAGTTAAAAGATGACAAGTGGTGCTCATAATTGGGGTGAACTAGTACTCAAAGGGCTGACGTCCCAGAGGTACCTTGCATTCAGATCTCTGGGGAGTAAGGCTCAGGCATCAGTGATTTTCTAAATTTCTTGGTAACCCTAATATGTAGTCAGGGTTGAGAAGTGCTATGCTAACTTATACACACAGCCAATTAATGACTACATGGATAGAAACACTTTTATTTGTTCTTTATCTAACTTTGTAACTAAATTACATTTTACCAGATTCCCAATTAGAGAGTCATATTAAAGCTCTATCTACTATGGCAGGTTCTTAATCTAAGATGTACATCAAATTACCTGATGAACTTTTAAAGGTACACAAACTTGTGACCAGAGTTAGACAGTTGGGTTAGGAGGACTGCAATAGGGTCTGTGCAGATGTATTTACATGAACACTCCAAAGGCAATTCTAATAAAGAGTCAGAATGAAAACCATAGGATTAAGGTCACGGTTCATAACCAGGGCCAATTTTGCTCCCTGCAGGACATGTGGCAATGTCTGGAGACACTGTTGTTTGTTACTGGGGTGGGGATGGGGGCTGCTACTGGTATCCAGTGGGCGGAAGCCAGGGAGGTTGCTAAGCATCCTGCAATGCACAAGACAGTCACATGACAAAGAATAATTCACCCCAAAATGTCAATAAGGGTGGCTCTTGAGAAATCCTTATTAAGAAATCACATTTATTACCTGCATTACTTTATGACTATTGGTAAAGTTTGTGTTTATAACAGGATATTATGAAATTACAAACATATGAATGAATCAAACTTATTTAAGACTAAATAAAATAGCTCAAACACTGGAAAAGCCCACCCAATTCTATTCTGGCTTGTGAACTAAGACACTGAATAGACTTTGCTGATTTATTTTGTTGGGAAGCCCCATTTATTTAGCATTGTGACATTTATTTAGATCTTGCAGGCCTTTTAAAATGGCACTTAGTGTAATCAACAGTTGTTAAAAAGCAAGTTTATAAGAATATGGGATTATTCAAATCGCAAATCTGGGTGTGGTGGCTCATGCCTGTAATCCCAGCACTTTGGGAGTCTGAGGTGGGCGGATCACTTGAGGTCAGGTGTTTGAGACCAGCCTGGCCAATGTGGTAAAACCCGATCTCTACTAAAAATACAAAAAAATAGCCGGGTGTGGTGGTGCACGCCTGTAATCTTAGCTACTCAGGAGGCTGAAGCAGGAGAATCACTTGATCCCAGGAGGTGGAGGTTGCAGTGAGCCTTCATTGCACCACTGCACTCCTGGGTGACAGAGCCTGGGTGACAGAGCGAGACTCTGTCTCAAAAAATAAAAAAAAAAAGCAGGTAGTTTTAACATCTTGTCTTTTCTGTTGAAAGTGGATTACATTAAAAAAAAAAAACTAGAAGCTTGTGAGCAACGTGGTATTCAAGTTTATACACTCAACTGGAACACCTGTGGTTTGAGTAACTTAGAACAATCTGCATATTTACTCACAGCTAATCAGAAGTTAGGTTATATATCTAGATCCATGCTAGAATTAGAAGCCCAGTCTAAAAGTGTTGGATTCTTATAAGGAAACCAGGAGAGAGTTCAGAAGGAAAGTCTGAAATACTGCATTGGCTCTCCAGGGTTGTTAGCTATTGTTGAGTCCCGTGGGAGTCTTTATTCTCAAACATGTTTAATCTATGCCAGCACAACCAACCTTGCTATCGATCTCACTGCTCCCCAGCGCAGACTGGATCACGTACAGCAAGGCATCCGTAAGCCCATCACACTCTCTCATCCTTCTGCGGGCCTCCTCTCCGGCCGAACTAACATTCCTGCAAAGCAAAAGGACACGTCAGCGATCTTCACGGTTGTCACCAAAAGAATGTCTTTCCATGCCCAGCTGCTCTCATAGTTTGAAAGTAAATGCATTTTTCCCCACTTTTTCAGAATGCTTATCAAGAATATATCTTTAATGAAAAGGGATGGCTTCCACAAAACACATCCCAGAGTTGGGTAAGTCACAGATGTCTGTAATGCAACTCCTGGAATAGACAATGAAGAACTCCTAATACGGGATCTGTGAGTCCCATGACCGTGGAGGGTGGGGGACCTTCAGAAAGTCTTCTAGGTTTACTCCATGTACAATCAGAAGCTTTTTGATTCAAAGGATTCCTCTTTGAGAGGTCCGAAACACTTTCAAAGACAGAACTTGTAACTTCTGAAATATTTTAGACATCTAAATTTGTCTGCCACAAAAGATACCTACCTTGGCCCAGCCAGAAGTAGACTTCTAGGACTTCATTCTAAGGACATAGTTAGAGGTTTCTGTGACAATTTAGTCATTGGGATGTGCATGATACCTCTTATGAGAAGGGGCTGCTCCAAGCTCTTTTCTGTACTAGCACATGCTGAGCTAATGGCAACAGATGGGGTCTACTGTAATGAAATGTGTGGCTACGAAGCAGAGAGATCTTCTAGTCCTACAAGAGACAGAGATAATCCGAAGGAAAATCTTGGGGTGCTTTTAGTTACTCTACCACCTGAGCATATGTTGTTCTTCTCCTACCCACAGTTAGCATATGGTTCCAGTAGAGAATTTCTGCAATGACTTACTACAGACAACACAACCTGTAAAAGGGAGGCTGCAGGAGATGACTTAGTGGGTGGTACAAAGGGATTGAAAGAATTTAAGGACCTTGGGAACAGTGGTAGAAAAAGAAGGACGATTCTCAAACTTTGGGAGCATCGGAATCCTCTGGAGGTGTGTGCAGTACAGACTGCTGGCTCCATGCTGGAGTCTCTGACTCAGAATGTCTGGGGTAGAGTCAGATAACTTGCATATCCTTGGTGATGCTGATGTTGAGAACTCAGACCCCAGCTCTCTAGGGAGGGTCTGGCTGGGAGGAGGGTGGTGTTCTTTGCTGAGTGCTGGGGCAGCCATGAGGCAGATCCCAAGGATCAGTAAGCCTGGACGGAGTCTGGAGAAGTTGAATGAAATGAATCTCCAGCCCGCTATAATTGACCCAGGTAGTCTCATTTCATATTCACAACATCTTTTGCTGTTGTAATAAATTCTGTTTTACAGATGATAAAACCGAGCCTCAGAGGTTGTCCAAGGCCACACAGTAAGTGTGTCTCTGCTTCAGATGGCCAAGATACTGGAGATCAAACCCAGAGAGGACCAAGGAATGAGATTTTGAGGAATCAATCTATTTGCAATTAGCCTCCCCCTTCACACTCTCTTGGCTCTTTGAACCTCCTTTACTGATCACCATTGATTTTGTATTGGAATTATTTGGCTGTGACCTCATTACTGCACCGAGACTTTCTGGAGGGTAGAAGGCATGTCAGTCTTACGTCTCTACCTAGCATTCAGCTGAGGAGGAGCTGGAACAAAACCTGTGAAGATGGGAAAGAAAGGGCTTCAGGCCTGTTGTCAAATATGAATGCAGAATATGATTTTTTAAGAATTAAAATAAAATAAAACAGGTTTCATGTTAAAATGCTACTGAACATGAAGAGTTTTTTGATACCTAAAAAGTTCCACAGACGTGTTAAGATAGGCTCTATCAGCAGCATTTTTGTGTAACACTGGGAAAGGTTATACAATTCAAATTAGTATTTTTGGCATTTGCTGATCTTCGAATATAAACAAAATTTCTCAGCTTCCTAGATAATATAACTAGGCAAATACTGACAGCATTTTTATGTAAAATTTTATAAATTCCATCCTGTGATGGCCAACCTTTGTTTCTGACACAATCCGTGGTGGTGGCCAGAGAGGAACTAACTTTCTGCTAGGGAAAAGGTGGTGACAGGCATTTGGATATTATTTTAAACTAAAAGAATGGCCCTTTTAAAGGAGCATTTTAGATCATTCCTTCTTGAAATGATTTTCACCAGGTTGAGCTGTGAAGCTGTTAAAATAATAAGTTTGTCAAAGATTCTGAATCAGACCTCTTTGGCCAGAAGAACTTTGCATGGCAATGTGTGATTATGTTTCGCTCTTTAGCGTGGCAAGTTAGCATTTCCAAATAGAATTAATGAAATTCAGGCTGGAAAGCAACTTAGGGTAGCGTGTGTACACCCTGATCTGAAAAAAACCCTCTGCAGCTCTTCTTTGACTAATGTGCTCAGTCTTTCCTTCGAGTATCCTTTTTTTGGAGGCAGGCTGCCTCCCAATTCACCAATAAACTTCCTAATAATCAGCCCTAATTTCACTGGTAATCATTAAATGCGCAGGACCAACCAATAGGAAATAATCAAAATGAACAACTTAACATCAGAAGTTGTCAATACTAATCTTAGCGTTTTTCTTTATTCTAGTTTCTATTCCATTCTAGTCCAGTCTCCTCCAAAATTTAAAAAGTTATTAATTGGCTACTATATTACAATGTGTAAGATATTGAAAAATGAGAAAGATTAATAACTTAAGGTCTCAGCAGAGAAGGGGAGTGACTGAGATACGCCTACACCCACACAGCACCTATGATATAGACTTCAAGAGGGGGTTATCATGCTGTCTGCAGGGGTGATGAGGCTCAGTATACATATAGACTTCAAGAGGGGGTTATCATACTGTCTGAAGGGGTGATGAGGCTCAGTATACATATAGACTTCAAGAGGGGGTTATTATACTGTCTGCAGGCATGGTGAGGCTCAGTATACATACGGACTTCAAGAGGGGGTTATCATACTGTCTGCAGGGGTGATGAGGCTCAGTATACATATAGACTTCAAGAGGGGGTTATCATGCTGTCCGCAGGGGTAATGAGGCTCAGTATACATATAGACTTCAAGAGGGGGTTATCATACTGTCCGCAGGGGTGATGAGGCTCAGTATACACATAGACTTCAAGAGGGGGTTATCATGCTGTCTGCAGGGGTGATGAGGCTCAGTTTACATATAGACTTCAAGAGGGGGTTATTATACTGTCTGCAGGCAACATGAGGCTCAGTATACATACAGACTTCAAGAGGTGGTTATCATACTGTCTGCAGGCATGATGAGGCTCAGTATACATACAGACTTGAAGAGGGCGTTATCATACTGTCCGCAGGCATGATGAGGCTCAGTATACATTTTTATATAAACTGTCTCTTTTCAATGGGCAATGATTTCCTATAGGCCTCTGGGCTTGGGTTTCCACTTTTAATCAACTATGCCTCAGTGCATGAAACATATCTTAAGAGAATATTTGATTTTCACATTGGTGGTAAGGAGGGTTTCCTGTTCCTCCGTCTTCCCCACAGACACAAGTTCTACTCTTTCAACCACAAATTTCAGCTTTTTATTGTTGTTGGTTAAGACTTTTGATCAACATGTTAAGGTGAAGTCATGTCAGCTTATGATTGAAATAGCATAAGCTTGTTAGTACATGATACAGCTATAAGCATCACGACTTGAACACAGCTCAAATTTTTGTCTCAACACCTTTACTATGAAACTTAACAAGATGTTTCACTGTTTAAAAATAAACACCCTGATAACCTTCCGCGATGCTCACTAAATGGTTAGTTGTAATCATGGTCCTTAGTGTTTGACAATTAATCAATGTTCAATCTAGAAAGTTCCTCCCTCCCATTGTACTTAAACCATCTTCTGCCCATCATGAGGAAGGTGACTTCTATGTCTGGTTAGAAATGGGTATGGAAAAATTCTATGCATAAACATAGTATTAAATACCTGTAGATTATTTGTTAGAAGCACAAAAATGTGCATAATATCTCATCCTTATTAGTAACCTTTACAATCGTGACTGAATTGTCAGTTGCTATGTCATTGGGAAGTTCCTGCTAAAAGTGGATTCTATAATCTTTTTATCTAATAGATAAAAAATGAAACAATTCATTTTTATGTCTTCCAAATTAAAAGACCAATCTATTTTTTATTTTAATGCAACTAAACTGCTTCCTTTCCCCTGTCTTCTGTGCTGCTTGAAATCTCATTTCTTTGAATCTCCATCACTCAGTGCTCTCCTAGGACCCAACGTGGAACTCAGACCATATGTTCACCTGTATGACTACGGCATTTTCCATGAAAGATGTGTCTCTGCTTCAGATGGCCAGGATACTGAAGATCAAACCACAGGGAAAACCAAGGAATGAGATATTGGGTAATCAATGTATTTGTAATTAGCCTCTCCCTTCACACACTCTTAGCTCTTTGAACCTCCTTTACTGATCATCATTTATTTTGTATTGGTATTATTTAGGCTGTGACCTTATTACTGCACTGGGACTTTCTGGAGAGTAGAAAGCGTGTCATTCTCATGTTTATACCTAGCATTCAGCTGAGTGTGTGACACATAGTTGGCTCTTATTGAGAATTCAGCCCTTCCATCGGATTGGAATTCAGGAAAGCAGGGGCACATTTACTCTGTGACTGACTGTGCTCTATGCTTACAGAATAAATATCAGATGTTTGTTCCAGCATTTGAATACTGGCTTCTTAAACTGTACCTTGTGTTACAAGCCTCATCTTGAGTTATTCGAGGCAGTTTCAACTTGCAAAAAAAAAAAAAATAGAAGATGCAATTGAAGATAGCATACAGCATCGCAAGTAAAATTAGTTCAAGATATAAACTTTCTTATGATTGTTCACAAGTTTGTGGCCTGGAGCCAGTCAGATATTTCCCAGTTTCTCACCCGTCTACAACCTCAGGCTTGGAGGAAGAGCTTTCACAGCCTGGCTCAAGGCTAGGTTGTCTTCCTATGTCTGTTTCCTCCTCTCCTCTCTCCCTCACCTTCTCCTTGGCCTTCAGGGTCTGGACTCCACTGGAGTTGTCTCATACCCAGCCTACTTACATGTCCTTGAGCCCTGGGTCCAGCCCTGCTATAATCACCGTCCATCAGGTGGCCCAGCCCTTCACATCCCTGGGCAGGCGCTCCCTGAGCTCCTACATCTCATCTTCCAATTTATAACCATCAGAGCCCAGATGCTGGGTCTCTGCAGGATCTGGCCTGGGTTCCTGAGACCATATACTAGTTTGAGGAGTGGGGTGGGCTGTCTGGAGGGTGTTAGAGAACAGAACTAGGTTTAAGTGATACAGAGAGTCCCAAGGCACCGTCCCGTCGAAAAATGAAGTCACATACTTAGTACAGCCTTGATGCAACCCAGCAAGGCAGGCCGGGGAGGCAGAAGACACCAGAGATGATGGCATGGACCAGAGACCAGACCCGACCCTGGGGATACCTGCGACCCCTCAGGGCAGAGCTGAGGGCCTCTGGACGCTTGACCAAGGATAAGGAGAGGCTGTCTGGGGTTCCCAGGCCCACTGATCCCTCCCCCTGGAATGTTCTTCCTTCCACCTTGAAGCCATCAACTCTGACAGTCGCAGTTGCCAGGGCTCAATCCAAGCACTGCCTTTTCTACCTTCTAAGCCTTGCCTCAGCCCCGCTACTCCTTCCTTCATAGCTCCAGGCACAAGCTTCTCTTAGAGCACCTGTAACACACGATGTTTGAGTCTGGTCCCACAAGGCGTTAGGAGGTAGGGGGGAGCATCATCTTATTTGGTTGTTTGTGCTCCCCACTGTGCAGGACACAGTAGGAACTCACTGGATATCGACTGGATGAAAGAGCATATGGTTCTTTTCAGGACTCTTTCTAGACCAGTGGTTCCTAACTAGGATGACTGTGCCACCAGGGAATATTTTTGGTTGTCACCGCTGGGTGAGTGTTGGGGACATTACAGGCATCTCATGGGTAGAGGCAGCCAGGGCTGCTGCTAACCATCCCACAATGCTCAGGACTGCCCCCACCACAAGGCACACCAACTGTTTCGAGGCTGAGAGGTCTGCTCTGGATAGCTGGGCTCCATGAGGATCTAATCTACATGTGTGCTTCCCCAGCACCTAACCTGTGTTCAGCCCTGTGGCTTCTCAAACCTATGCTCCTCTGCTGCATCAGAATCAGCTTTGGAGCTTGATTAAAATACAAAGGCGCAGGCCCTTCCCCTATACTTCGATTAGCCCCATTCTCAGTGTGTTTCACTGGTCTCCAGCTGATGAGAACGCATTCCAAAGGTGAGAACCACGGCCTTAGCCCACGGTAGGAAATTCAATGTGGAAAGGTAGAGTACTTCTTGAATGGCCATGAAGCCATGTGGCTGTCTGCCGTGTGCTATGTGATGTATAGACTCTGAACAACACTCCCCAGGCTCTTCCTAACAGGATGGGACCATGGCCCCCACACACACCAGTTATGGCCTTTAGACCAATGGCCATCAGCTTCTAACAGTCAACCAGCAAATGATGGGAAATAACACTAAACTTGTGAGGGGGGATCTCACAAGTAGAACATAAATATGGAGCATCTTAATTTTTTGACCATGTAATTACCTGCTCAGAAATTGATGGAAATTTTTTAACTCATGACAATCTTTTAATTCAACAACACAGGCACCCCCAGTAACAAGATCTCCAGAACTCCCAGCCTCTCCTGCCTGCTCTCTCTTGCTTAGGCTAAGCAGAGACTGAACAGACCTAATAGCTACCCCTTCAAAGAGCCATATTATTAGCAGCCAAATCGATTATCAAGTATTAATTACACGTAAAAATGCAAAAAATTGGCTCTTTGGAGTTTGATGCCTATAATTAGCTCCTTTCTGTGGAGAACATCCTTACATCCTCGATGGCTTGAATTTATCATAAATTACCTGATCTGAGTAAGTGTGAGAATGGGAAATTATGCCAATCATACTTTTCTCGATTCCACGAAGCACACTTGCTTTTGCTTCAAAAACATTAAATTTTAAAGAGATCTTCTATCCGTGAACACCTAGATCAGGAGTTAAAAACTCTCTGTAAAGGATCAGAGAATAAATATTTCAGGCTTTGCGGGCCACACAGGGTTTCTGCCACTTTTTCTTCTCTCCTCCTCTTTCTCCTTCTTTCAACAACCTTTTAAAAAATGTAAAACCTGTTCTTACTTGAAGCCATACAGAAACGGGTCACTGGCACGATCAACCCCTGACCGAGATTCTCATCTGAAGCTCAGATATAGGATTCAGGAGGGTGTCTGTGAACTCCTGATATTTTGTTCCAAGTTTTGTATATTTTTATATGCACGTTATGCATGGTTTTTTGTTTTTATTTTCTGTGCTAGAGGTACAGAACTTTCAGCATATTCTGAGGCTGGGATCCTAAACTGTCTAAAAACATCTCACCAAAATAAGTGGTTTGAGCAGCCCCTGCTTGGAGCAGCACGCTGCTCTCCTAAATCTAGAGTCTGGGTTTCAGGAATCAAATGTATTTGCCTCCTCGGGGAAACGGCAGCTCTGCCTTGTGTCCTCCCACAAGGCCTTGGGAAACTTTGTCTGTGGTTTCCAAAATCATTGTCCAAAAAGCCCATCCTTTTCTTCCGTGCAGGAAGATTGTCCTCTTTGTTGAGTGCCCAGGGGTGGGGAAGGAAGGGGTGTCTTCGCCCAGCCACTGGGTCTGCTGACTCCACCTGGCCTTTACTGGAGTGACAGTAATCCAGCCACAGCCTCTCTCTCTAGGTGCAGAGGTTGCAGGGCTAGGGGGGCAGCATGAGACCCTCCAAGTCTGTCCATCCCCTTCATTCTTCCACGAGGGCTCATCCCTTTGATTTGTAGCTTCTTTGAAAAAAGGGAGTGGCTGGCTTCCTTATTATTCAAAATGTTCACAAAAGTGGCTTCTCCTGTACCTGCTGCGGTGCACATAGCTGCGCTACTTAGCTGTGAAGGCGCTTTCTTTGCTTTGGCCTCCTCATCCGGGAGGTGCTGCTGGGAATGGTGTGGACATCACAGGGGATCTGCAGTGACACAGGGCAGCTGCTCAGCGCCGGGCTGGTTTCTTCTCAGTAAACGTTAGCTGAGCAGCTGCTCCACCAGAGACCTCCCAGCCCAGAGGGGAGAAACATGCCAGGCGGGTTACCAGCACCCCACAGGAAAAGTGTCTCCCGCAAATGTGTGAGAGGAAAGAACAGAAGGTTTCACAGTAGCATTGGCAATTTTAGTCATTTATTTTTTAAAAATCAAAAACTAATGTAAAAATATTAAGACAGCGGGGGAAATGTAGAACTAAAAGTGATGTCCACACTCTTCGCTTTCCCTTAAGGAAATCACTGTGACCATTTGGTGTTTATCATTCAAGATTATTTTCCACTCGTATTAATGAACCATGTAGGTAAGATTCTGTTTTTTACCATAACAATTCCTCAGGCAACTGGCTTTTACCCCTCAAAAGTTTATCTCTGTCTCTGTTCATGATGGTAGCTACAGTTATTGAATGACTTTTGGTATCTCATGGTATAAATAGATCGGCTGGGCACAGTGGCTCACACCTATAATCCCAGCACTTTGGGAGGCCGAGGCAGGCGGATCACCTGAGGTCGGGAGTTCGAGACCAGCCTGACCAACATGGAGAATCCCTGTCTCTACTAAAAATACAAAATTAGCTGGGCGTGGTGGCACATGCCTGCAATCCCAGCTACTTGGGAGGCTGAGGCAGGAGAATTGCTTGAACCCGGGATGCGGAGGTTGCGGTGAGCTGAGATCACGCCATTGCACTCCAGCCTGGGCAACAAGAGTGAAACTCTGTCTCAAAAAAAAAGAAAATAGATCACAATTCATAATTTTTTAAATTAATACCCTGTTAATGAATATCCAGATTATTTCTAATTTTTTACTGTATTATGTAATGTTTGGTTCAATTTTGGAGGAGATATGGGCTTTAGAGGAATCATTCTAGGAAGATAAAATAGCAGAGATAAATAATTTCAAATCAACAAAGCAGCCAACCTTGACTGGGTGCCTGCTTTCTTCCATACGCAATGCTAAGTCCTGGGATAAACTGATGAGAGTACCTGGCTTGTGACCTTTAGAAGGTCACCGTCCAGCAAGGTAAACAGACATTATATTTGATGTGAGTAACCACGATATCATCAGTATGTAACTAGCAGTGTGAAGAATTTGGGAACCCATCTTCTTTGGAAGTGACATCTAGATATACAACAGAAAACAAATATAGGCTGAAATGGATGAAAATTTTACTCTTCATCTGTTTTAGTAAAATATTTCCTTAAGTTGTAATTCTGTAAATGTAGATATCAGTTATTTTCCTTCACACTTACAGCAGCAAGTCATGGGTGGTAACTTAAAAAATAAGGACACGGAACATAATAAACATGTTTCCAGCAAAAAAGCAGCTCATGCAATGTAAATGGAAAGTATTAAAAATGCGTACTTTTAGATGCAAAGGGCAAGGCTTAAAGTACAGGCACAGGTTTGGGCTAAGTTCCAGGTGAACAGCCTGTGCAAATACCATCCACGCACATCCGTGCAGGGGTGGGGTCTGCAGGCTCCAACCAAGGACAGGACCTGGCAGGGAGCCATGGCATTCTGTGGCAAATGTTAATTTTGGCATATAATTCTCCATTTTTACTAAGCCTGGCATCCTCAGCCAGTGCAATATGTCTACTAAAACTGTGGCTGGCTCATGGTGGACCAAGGGCAAATCTTGTTAATGGCCTTTTACTCAACCACATTCTCTGTGCTAAGTGCTTCCTGAGATCTGGCCACAGGACAGCCCAGGTGGATTGCTGCAAATCCTGGGCCATCCCTCACCAGAGGTACCACTCCTGCCTCTTGTAGTTCCACGGCAGGTGGAAATGCAGTTCTGTCCTTGTCGTTCTGTGCAGGTGGAAATGTGTGACGTTTGCACGATACTCAAAAGTGGACTGAAGCAGGGCTTCTTCCCCCACCAGCCTGATGCATTCAAGTCCCTTACAAGAGGCATTTCCACTGTCATCTTTTTCTGACATCTGACCCGGAGGGCAAAGCTGAGGCTGACGTTCGATAAGCTCTGGCCTGGAAACCCAATGGCATTGGCTGGGCTGGGTTTCCAGGCTGCTTTGGAGCAGCAACTCCATTTTATTTTCAATTCCCCCTTTTAGAACTGGAGTGTCTATAATTGTTACTATGTCGTCCCATCACTGCATGTTGGGAGCAGATATGTTGCTTCCTTATTTTCACAGGTTCACAGACGGAGAGAAGTTCTTCCCCAGGAGCTGTACTTAACAGATTACTCATCCAGCTCGGATTTGGATGATTCAGATTTTGGACTTTTGAGCTGAAGAGATTTAAGACTTTGAGATGATGCTGTAATGGGATGAAACCTTTGGGGACTGTGGATGGAATGAAAGTATGTGGCATGAATGTGACTCTTTGGAGGCCAGAGGGTGGACTGTGGTAGGCCAGAGAACAGCCCCTCCAAGAGGTCTATAACTTAATTCTTGGAGTCTGTGAACAGGTTACTTTATATGGAAAAAAGAAAAAAAAAAGACGTTGCAGATGGAATTAAGGTTACAATGTTTAAAATAGGGAGACTTTCCCTATTTTGTCCCTGGAAAATCTCCCTATTTTATTCTCTGCTTTCCCTGGCTGGAGTCAGAGAGGTGCAGCAGAAGGGATGGCAGAGATCCCAAGAGTAAAGGTTCAGCTCCCAGCTGCTAGCTTCAACATATGGGGTAGCCACAGGCAAAGGGGAGGGAGAGGCCATTAGGAGTGCAGGAGCTGAGGGCAGCTCTCAACTGGCCACCACCAAGCAAGTGGAGACCTCAGTCTCATGGCCATAAGGAACAAGGTTCTGCTAACAACCTGCAGTAGCTTGGATTCTTCCCCAGAGCTGCTAGTAAGGAGAACGATCCCACCAGCACCTTGATTTTAAACCAGTGAGTCCAGTGTCTGAAGTTCTGGCCCAGAGAAGCTGTGGGCTAATGTATTTTGTTTTTTTAAGTCATGGAATTTGTGGCAATTTGTTACAGCAGCAAGAGGAAACTCACAGGGAGGCTGCAGCTCGTTTTGCTCCAGGGTAAACGGATTCTTCTCAGCACCGTCTCCGATGCCTCATGTCCCATTCCCTCCCAGGAAAACTGCTCAGCCTGCAGTGGGCACATGCAAGTTTCAAGAAGAGTTTTCTAGATAATCAAACAACTGGATTGCTTTGCTCAAGACCAAAATGCCATATATATAATATATATATTTATATATATTATATATAAATATATATATTATATATAAAATATATAAATATATATTATATATATACAATATATATAATATATATTATATATTATATTAAGTATATAATATATATAATATATATAATATATAAATATATAATACATAAATATATATTACATATATAAATATATATAATATATAATACATAAATATATATATTATATATAATATATAAATATATATAATATATAATATATAAATATATATAATATATAATATATAAATATATATTATATATAAATAAAAAATATAAATATATATTATATATAAATAAAATATATATTTTATATATAAATAAAATATATATATTATATATAAATAAAATATATATATTATATATAATATATATTTATATATATTATATATAAAATATACATATATTATATATTATATATTTTATATATAATATATAATATATATTATATATTTATATATTATATATAAATATATATTATATATTATATATTATATAAAAATATAAATATATAAATATATATTATATAAAAATATATAATATATATTATATATATAAATATATATAATATATATATATGCATCAAAATTCTTCCTCGGAGCATGTGGAAGGGCGTGAGGTGGTGGCATAGAAAATACCTGCTCTCAATGCCGTGAGGCCAGGCCACTGTTCGATGGGACTCAGGGCATGCCAAGGCCCTCTGCATGAGCAACACTGATGTGATGTTGGGATGACGCACTTTCTGAGGCTGAACTACGTGCTTCAATATATTCTGCCCTATCTCTGATCTCATCAGCTACAAGAATGCCACCAAATTTGCAGCCATCAGCTTGGTCCAGACTGCTCTTTTGCCTGGTTGGTATCTTCCACTTCTGCCAGAAAAGTCCCCTGAAAACTGGAGTTTTCAGAGCTTGCAGAGAACCAATAGTGCTACAGTTGGCATTCTGTATCTGTCTAGGACATGAGTACACTGGATTATAAGAGAGAGAAATGAGGCAGCTTCCTAGCCCTGCTTAAGTGAAGTCTGCAGTGCAGCCTCGTTATTTTAAATGAATTCCCATAACATTATGTGAAGCACCAACCATAAGTACCAGGCAGTATTACCCGCATTAGGATTAGCCACACCTCCATAAACTTTTATTGGTTGCAAATAATGTAAGGTTAAATTTACTTGAAAAGCTCTTGACTTCTCTCTCTCCATATGTGTTTTGAAAGCTGGTCTCTTATCACAGCCAAGTCAGAATAATTCCCAAAAAAACAAGTTTCCCTAATTTTTTTTTAAAGATTAGCACAGTCTTGCTGTTCGAATTACTATGCACCTTACTGTCTTCTCCCAAGGAAGGCAATTTCTTTATAAATCAGGACAATGATGGCTTGGTAATTGCTTTGCTGAGCTGCAGAGACAGAATGCTTCAGTGGCTAAAGACCAACTACCTATTGGGGCTGGCCGCGAACACCACTGTTGTTCTGTGCCCAAAGCGGTGGTTGCTAGGTTCATACCACACCCCCCCCATCCACCCATAAACGTAAGCCATCAGAAAGGGACGGAGGGCCCCTCTTTTGATGACGATTAAACACTGCACCGTTTTAAGACTGCCTGGATCCGTGCCTTCTGGAGTTAGCCATGCATCAGGGAACATTGTTCCAGAGAAGCCCAGAGCGGAACCAGAAATACCTGAATTAAAAGACACCCTCTTGCTGTCAAGTACTACCTAGGGTTTTAGCTACATGATTCCAATTAAAACTGATGGTCGCCACAGAGTTAACTGCTCTATGAAATGTCTGCTGAAAGTTTCCCATTGGGCTAAATTACAAGGAAATCAGAGGGAAGAAAGGTGTGGATGCTGTGTGGCTAAAACCATTAACTGTGAGCCTAATTGTGCGGGTGGCCCTTTGTGCTCCACAAACACTCACGTGCCGCTCACAGTTGTTCTTTCCTAACTTGCAGTACTTGGGGAATGAGCTGTACTCACTAGGCATTGATTTTTTCATGACCGGACGACGTCTCAAGCTTGGAGTAACGCCATATGGTCCATCCCCCGGGTCAGTGCCCGCCCTCCCTGTATTCTACCAACTCCCACAATGTTTTACTCTGGCACATTCATGGTAGGCTCAGAAAATCAGGGTGTACTATATATTGAAAGCCGCCCATATCTAACCTTAATTCTGGCACCTTGACTTCCCATCAAGAGGACCTCTGTTAAGTCCACCCACCACACGCCACTGCAGCAAGCATTACCATGCTTGCTAAATGATTTGCCAGCCATGGCCAGTTACAAAGTTACAAACACAGCGAAAAGAAAATGTCATGGGTCAAAACACAAATTAGATTAAAAAATGAATACTAGCTAGTTGTTTTCTTCTTTCTTTGTTAAACAAAATTATTTCTGCTCAACCAGGTGTGATTTATATGACAAGTCACAGAACCTAAGCCTTAAAATGTATATAATAAATGAATATGCTAGGAAACATTGCAGAAGAGAGATGCAATATTCACTTCACCAAGCAGTTGGCTTCCAGGAAAATAAATACCATGTGACTAAATAAATAATGAGCAATACCAATGTGATCCAATTCCTTGCATTTTGAGTCCCCTATCTTCTAAGAAGTAGGGGAACAGAACTTGACTAATAAGGGTTTATAGATTATTGGCTACCTGGCTTTTAAATGTCAGACTGTGGGCGTTAAGATTTTCAAGATCTGGCATTATGTTCTGGATTATTAACAGCTATTATTAAAACAGCCTTTCCGGCTGGGCACAGTGGCTCACGCCTGCAATCCCAGCACTTTGGGAGGCCAAGGCTGGCGGATAACGAGGTCAGGAGATCGAGACCATCCTGGCTAACATGGTGAAATCCCGTCTCTACTAAAAAAATAAAAAAAATTAGCCAGGCGTGGTGGCGGGCGCCTGTAGTCCCAGCTACTCGGGAGGCTGAGGCAGGAGAATGGCATGAACCCGGGAGGCGGAGCTTGCAGTGAGCTGAGATGGCACCATTGCACTCCAGCCTGGGCGATAGAGCGAGACTGCGTCTCAAAAAAAAAAACAAAAAACTTCCAACTTTCATTTCAATTCATCCCCTAATTCCACATATGCAGTCATGTAATCTTTTAATTTATTTACTTGCAGGATATTTTAACAAATCGTACTTCAAAGACTTATTAAAGCTGAGAATAAATGTGATTTTTAAAAGCTCACTTATCTAGATGGTAAAGTTTTCCTTGAGGTCTATTTCTTGTTTTTGTGATTGCTTTGATCACTGACTGATAGCTTACTGAATACCAATAACCATCATCAAAAAACTGAAAGAGGCAAAGAACTGCATATACTCTCACATACTCTTGGGTCTTAACCCTTTGTTTTGTGCAATTCTCCAGCCCCTCTAAAATATTGTTTTATTGTGGGGAGTCACCCCAGTATTTCTGTAAGCTGACTGCTCACTGGGGGGCTAAGTACTTAGAAGAGGGAGTCACTCAGTAGGGAAGAAAGGGCAGAAGCCGCTGTTATTCTGTGGGGTCCAGGCCTACCACCTGCGGGTATCCGGCCCTCTCTGCTTTTTATGGTCTTTGTTATAGACTGAATGTTTGTGTCCTCCAACAAATCATATTTTGAGATTCTAACCCCCATGTCACAGTGTTACTGAGGACTTTGGGAGATGATTAGGTCATAAGGATGAGAACCTTCTTGAATGAAATCAATGCCCTTATAAAAGGGGACTCCGAGACTCTTTGCCCTCTTTCCGCTGTGTGAAGACACAGGAGTTGGCTGTCTGCAACCCAGGAGAGAGTCCTCACTAGAACCCAACCGTGAAGGCACCCTGATCTTAGACTTCCAGCTCCCAGAATGTGAGAAATACATTTCTGCTGTTTGTAAGCTATCTTGTCTCTCGTATTTCACTATGGCAGGCCAGACTGACTAAGACAGTCTTCTTACATATTTTCCCTGGAAACCAACTCCTTAATTTGTGGCAAAAATGCTAATAGAAAAGGAGACTCCAAGAGCTCTTGGATCAAAACATTCCTTGGATCAAAATAGCTTAATCCCCATAAGTTTAAATTGGAAGGAAGTGATTGAAAATAAAACCCACCCTTCCTATAACCTCTTAGAAATTTACCCATCTCTGCTAACTGCTATCTCATAAACTGAGAAGTTTTGACAACTTATTTAGTAGTTTTTTACTTGAGGCAAAGAACAAGACAAATGTTAGAAAATCCGGACTCCAGTTAACTCGGCCAGAGATTACTGTATAGCTCTAGCTAGGTGAATACTGTATTAAAAACAGACAAACCATGTTTTTGGCTAATGGTTACTTAAGACTGCCAAGAAGTCTAAGGACCACTCGCCTTGTTTCAGAATGAAAATATCGCATATGGAGGTAATGGGAGATGGGGATAAGAAAGATTATAAGAACACATATATATTTCATATAAGAAAAAATATACAGAAAACAGTAAAACTTAAGATTATTTAGCCTTTTTTTTTCCTGAAAGGGAAATATTAGCACAGTCTTGCTGTTTAAATTATTATGCACCTTACTGTCTTCTCCCAGTAACTAGTAATTTAATCTTAATTACTAAAATATATTCTTAAATTTCTTTTTTCTTTTTCTTTTTTTTGAGACGCAGTTTCACTCTTGTTGCCCAGGCTGGAGTGCAATGATGCGATCTTGGCTCACTGCAACCTCTGCCTCGCGGGTTCAAGCAATTCTCCAACCTCAGCCTCCCAAGCAGCTGGGATTACAGGCATGCACCACCACGCCTGGCTAATTTTGTATTCTTAGTAGTGATAAGGTTTCTCCATGTTGGTCAGGCTGGTTCCGAATTCCTGGCCTCAGGTGATTCACCTGCCTTGGCCTCCCAAAGTGTTGGGATTACAGGCATGAGCCACCACGCCTGGCCTATTCTTAAATTTCTGAAAGAAATTTCTGGAAGGCTTATTAAAAGAAAGCAGGAGTTATTTCTGTAAAGAGAAGTACCAATGAGGTCTTGCAAGTTTATGCACAGGTCTTAATCACTAGTTAGGAATAATGTTGGAAAATGCGTTAACAGGGCAGCTCGAAGATTCTGCATTTTAAAAGCAAGGCTGCCATAGTACCGATATAGTCTGTCTGCTTCCATTATTGTCATGATTGCACTTTTCCCCTTCACTGTGGTAGGGAGAATTCTAAAGACATCTCTCCAAGATTCCTACCCTTTGGTCGCTCAACCAAATACTAACTGGGGAAGGGGCTTTGCAGGTGGAATCAAGGTTGCTAATCAGCTGACCTTAGGATAGGGAAATGATCCTGGATTATCCTGCTGGGCTCAGTGTAATCACAGGAACTCTTCAAATCAGAAGAGGAAGGCACAAGGGTCAGACTGAGAGATGTGGCTGAGGAGGGAGCAGGAGAAAGGGGGAAAGATAGAGGTAGTGGGGCTACTCAGGTGGCTTTAAGGATGAAGGAAGGGAGCAATGAGCCAAGGAATATCATGCCCTCTAGAATCTGAGAACAACTCCTGGCTGACACCCCACAAGGAAATGCAGCCCTTAGTCTACTTCATGGGTCTGAATTTAGCCAGCAACCTGAACGATCCTGGATACAGGCTCTTCTGTGCAAAAAGAGCCCAATGGCCAATGCCTTGATTTCAGACTCGAGAGGCTCCAAACAGAGAAACCAGCCAAGACCCCTGCATTTCTAGAGTGCAGGACTCTGCAGTAATCAATTAGTAATGTTCTCAGCCATTACGTTTGTGGTAATTTGTTATGGTAGCAATGGAAAACTACTATATTCACATAAGATAAAACAAAAGGAAACCCACCATAGTAATTTTCACAAATGTTCATTTTAACATTTCTGCTAACGTATTTCAAAAGTTTTAGATAAACATCGTTTCTTCAGATGGGGGCATTTCACAGGCTCTGAATGACAAGACGAGATGTAGTCATTAAGATTTTTAGATGTCTCTTGTTGCAGGAAGAACAGTAAGCTAAATGAGTTTCTCACCAACTCTAGGTAGCACCTAAGAATGACTTTTCTTGCTTTACTACTACCAGATGGCTTGCACACAATATGAGTGTAGGATAATGGCACCACTGGGTGCACAATTTCCTTTTACTGCTTCAGTTGTGAAAGGAGTAATGCTTCAAAAATCCAAGAATTATAAAGCTGCACAGAAAGGTCAAATAGCAATGACACTTTGAGGAGCCACAGAGCATCATTAAAAACAGGTCACAAGTTGGCCATGAAGAGTTTAGTTCCATTGTCTATCTTCACTGCGCTAAGTGCTGCAATCAAAGGACTTTTAATCTTTTACAGTACATGTGTCAGTCTTTTGAGCAAGTGTTAAGGTCTGATTTAAAAATTGTGCACTTAACCAGCTTGGTGGCCACCCTGGGAATAACTAGAAAACAAAAGAGAAGGCTCGTGCCCTCCACCATCAGCCCAGGGCACATTTGTCATTCAGGTTTTACTGCTTTTCGTAAATAATAATGGTTCTTAGAACTCTGGCACAAACTATATATAATGACTTCATGGGGGAAAATGTCAAGGCAACAGTACTCCATAGAAATAATCTAGAAAACAGAATCTAGAAACTCAAGGTTTTTCTAAAGTTCATCTTAATATAATTACTCTTATTATCCATCATTTTATATGTGCTGAAATGAAAAGGTTTTAGAGATCTGTCAATTAGTAAAGAAAAAAGTTACAGAAGAAACAGTGGATTCAACTTTTGACAAAACACATGCAGAGAGAGGATCCTTCTATATCACACAAATGTACATCGGTAGATTCAGTGATTGAATGACTTCATTTAATCCAATAATTTGCTAAAATTCTCTAAGACATACACTGTATTATTTTAATTTGAATCACAAATACTCATCATGGAATATTTTTACAGACTATGCTGAAAATCAAATACATAGTGTTAGGTGATTCCAACTCCAAAGAAAATTAGGATCGCTGAAGTCTCTGAGTAGTGGTTTCCCATCTTTATTTTCCACATGGACACACCTCAAAGATAGTGTGCCCATGACTGACACTCTCCTACATGCACTGGCCCCTTACCATGCAGCGAGATGCAGTGGGCTGTGGGTTACATGAAGTTGCAAACAAGCTAGCCACAACTTTGCCCTTGCTCTCCATCTGGTTCATATCATGGTGGTAGGTGGAGATATCCACTTCTAAATTAGCATTGGCTACTGCTATCATCTGAATATCTGTGTCCCTCCTAAAATTTATATGTTGAAACCTAACCCCCAAGGTGATGGTATTAAGTGAGACACTCATGAATAGGATGAGTGGCCTTATAAAAGATGCCTGAGGGAGTCTGTTAGCCTCTTCCACCATCTGAGGATGCAGGAAGGTATTATCTGTGAAGCAGAAAGCAGCCCTCAGCAGATCTTGAAGCCGCTGATGCCTTGATCTTGGACTTCCCAGCCTCTAGAACTGTCAGAAATACATTTCTGTTGTTTGTGAATTACCTGGTCTAAGCTGTTTTGTTACAGTAGACTGAACAGAGACTGCCAGCCTTTTTAGCTTGTTTTTTGTTTGTTTTTTAGTTCTGAATTTTCTTCATCTTAGAGGTCATGAATTAAATTAGTGATGAATAAAATAGAAATAATAAGAGTGAAAAAGGACTTTATAAAGTATATTTGTTGCCACAGTGATCAAGAGACACGAAAGAAGATAAAATGAAAAAGGCAAGAATGAAAAAAGGAGATAAAAATGAAATGGGGAAAAAGAACAATGGTGCTAACTGGGGCCTATTTTGAGGGTTTTCTTAATGCTTATGTTGTTATGCACCAGCAGTGCTACGCTTGTGGAATAGATATGTGTGTCACTCATCTCTGACTCTCCTCTTTCCCACACACCTACATTCAATCAGGCAGCATATCAAGTCAGCTCTAACTTCAAAGCATTTCCAGAATTGTTCTCTAAGGCCACCATGTATCTCTTATATGTTCTCTCTGCTTCTGTCCTCATCTTCTCTACCTTCTAGGGAAGTCTCATGTAGCAGCTGCAGGGATTCTTCAAAAATATATATCGAAGCACAAGTCCTCCAGTCCAGGGTCATTTCACTGAGTAAAACTCAAAGGCACATGCCTGAATACTCTCTCCTCTTCTAACTCCTACTCATCATTCAAGTCTTTTCCTTAGGAGGGCTTTCCCTGATCCCCTGACCAGGCTAAATTCATTGGTTCTATGTTCATTCAAGGCTCTCTTTCACAATTCCCACCCCACTGATGTTACCTGCTTACTGCCTCCTTCCTGCAAAGCCCATGAAAATAGGGCCTGTGCCTTTCTTGTCACTCATATATCACCAGCAGCTAGTACAGTGTCTGGCATCAAGTAGGCACTCAATAAATAGTTGTTGAATTGAAAAGACATACTATTGTATCTCTAATCCAATTCCATAAATAACATACTTATTCCAGATTGGTCTGGAGGAGCTGAATGACAGAAAAGCCATATGAGGAATTAATCCATTCATTAGTTCATTTCTTATTTATTAATATAAGACATCCCAATTTTATTGGGAGCATGTTGATCTAAAGGCAGGAATTTTATTAATTTTCCTATTCAGAGTCCGGAAATTTGATTTTTTTCATGCCAGTTTAGTCAAGAAGCTGTATCTAGTCGTCTAGAGCAAATTATGATTTGGAAAATACTATAAATAGTACATACACCCCAACGTGTCCAGGAATTTCCTTGTTTTTTCCTTGCTTGTTATATTCAAGAACAAGGTTAATCCTCATAAACTTAATAGGGTAATACTCTAAGCCTTGGTTTACTATTTCCATGTAGTTGTAGATAAGCTCTTACAAAATAACTTGGGAAGAAGACAACTAGCAGCAGGTCTAACTTGGGTGTAGGGAGGAAGAATGCTTTTGGAAAAGAAAGCAGGTGACTGATGACTGCCAGGTCTTCTTGCAAACATGCAAAACACAGACCTCCTAGCAAACAAAACAATAATGTTTACTAGCAGGCAAATCCTTATTTATGGAATGTTTTCTTCAGAATATTCCTGATGTCTAGGAGTGCTCATGGGAAATATTTAAGTTAGGTATCCATCTGGATATGAAATTAGAGGTATTTAATGACCAAAATGACCCTGTATTAGCTTTTTGCTACTGCCACAAGTTACCTCTAATTTACCAGACTAAAGTAACATAAATTTATTACCTTACAGTTCTCTCTTATTACAGGTTGAAAGTCCAGTATGGGTCTCCAGAGCTAACATCAAGGTATCAGCAGGGCTGCATTACTTTTTGGAGGTGCTAGGGGAAAATCTGTTTCCTTGCTTATTCAGCTTACTTGCAGAATTTAGTTTGTTATGGTTGTAGGACTGAAGTCCTGTTTCCTGACTGGTTGTCAGCTGAGGATCTTTCCCAGCTTCTAGCAACTGTGTGTATTTCTTGGCGTGTGGCCTCCTTTCTCCATCCTCAAAGCCAGCCGTGATCTCTCATTCTGCTGCATCTCCCTGACTCCAGCCAGAGAACATTCTCTGCTTTTAAGGGCTCATGTGATTAGACTGGGCCCACTGGGAAAATCACAACAATCTCCCCTTCTCATGGTTCTTAACCCTATTCACGTCTGCAAAGTGTCTTTTGCCAGGTAACAGTCTCAGGTTGCTGGGATTAGGATGTAGACATCTTTGGGGGCCACTATTCTGTCAATCCCAGGCTCCCTATTTGTAAGTGTTGTAAATGCACACCATTCTGCGAGGACACGTGTTAAACTGGGTCAGTGCGTGTCCTGACACAGCAGGAAGGACCTGGTAGTGGCACTGGTGGTGCCATCCTCTCCCTGCCCAACCTGTGCCCTGTGGTTACCTGTGTCTCTGATATTATTAGAAAAGCTTGATACCTTGTCGGGTCTGTGATTGGTGTGAGTTCGGCTCAATATTCTAAACCTTGTTACATCACACAGATTTAATGGGTGGTCCAGATTCTGTTCTATTTGTAGTTACTGATTAATTATTTTTTCTAGAAAAGTTAGCTTTGCTAGGAGCTACACAACAGGACCAAGGTTGGTGTCTTGGCTTATAATTTAGGTCATGAGAGCTCTGCTCCATACATATCTCCAGTGGGGAGTGAATGAAGTGGTACTGCTGCATTGATTAGTCATGAGGAGGTTCCTTCCTGCATGTCCATGCAGAACTAAAGCATTGGAATCATCTCCCCAAGAAGCTGGCACTGAGTATTCTTTCCCTGTCTTCAGAGGAGTCACAGAGTAAAAGGAAACTTTTTTTTTTTTTTCTTTTCTGAGGCTGGAGTAAAATGGCACGATCTTGGCTCAATGCAACCTCTGCCTCCGGGATTCAAGTGATTCCCATGCTTCAGCCTCCTGAGTAGCTGGGATTACAGCTGCACACCACCATGCCAGGCTAATTTTTGTATTTTTACTAGAGACAGTGTTTTGCTATGTTGCCCAGGCTGGTCTCAAACTCCTGGCCTCAAGTGATCCACTCACCTCGGCCTCCCAAAGTGCTGGGATTACAGGCATGAGCGACCACACCCGGCCAGAAACCATTTTTGATCTGGAAACCAAAAGAGGGAGAAAGCATCTTGTTACCCAAGAAGCCTGTCTGCATCCCAGCATACTGCGTGTTAGAGTTCAGGACTGTGTGAAAGCACGCTGACAGTGGCTGGATTTCATTTCACATTTGTTTTCTCACACCTAGAACGGGACCAGCTGATGAATCCCTGTCTTACTTGAATCTTTGCTCACCTCCCTGGGGTAACCACTGCATCATCATGGGTGTGATGTTTATGGAATCTTGGATGATAGAAGAGCCTGGGTTGAAAGGGAGAAAGAAAAACAAATCCCATTTTCTCTCTGTTTGCTGCTAGACCTCGTGTCCTGCTGGCCAGCTGCTCGTGCAGCTCTGCTCCCTGAGTGCTGAGTGCTTGCGACCTGCCTGGCTGTGTGGCTTCCTGGTGCTCCACAGGAATGCAACAGCTGCCTGAAGGCATCTGCTAGGTTCCTCCTGCTGCTGTAACAAATTAACACAAACTTAGGGGCATAAACTGCCGATTTATTCTTATACATCTGGAGAACAGAAGTCAGCAATGGGCCCACAGGCTGAAATCAAGGTGTTGGCTGTGTTCCTTCTGGGGGCTCCAGGGGAGAATGTTTCCCTGCCTTTCCCAGCTTCTACATGCACATCTTGGCTCATGGCTGCTTCCTCTGTCTTCAGAGCCAGGGGAGACTTTCTTATGTGGTATCACTCTGATACTCTTCTGCCTCCCTCTTTCACATGTAAGAATCCTTGAGATTATAGGGATCCACGCAAATAATCCAGCATAATCGCCCTATTTTAAGGTCAGGTGTTAGCAACCTTAATTCCATCTGCAACCTTAATTTTCCCTTGCCATGTAATTTAAGGTCTTCACAGGTTTTTGGTGATTAGCACAGGGACATCATTGGGGGTCTGGCCTACCACTGAAGGTCAGACTATTTTTTCATTACAGTTGGGCATACATTGGTACCCAAAGAAAACATGACAATCTCCTGCCTCCTTCAACCTGTCCAGGGCAAAGGAACAGGTTCAGGAAGTGTATTCACAAGACTGTCCTCAAAGTACTCCTAGGCTCTTCTTTTAATAATTTTATCTCAAAAGGAAAAACAGGTAAAAACATTATCTGGTCAATTTATTGGTCTTCTATTGATTAATTGGAATGCAATGCTATCTGATTACATTCAAACGATTGTTTTTGCAAGCCAAGGGCTAAAGTTGTTTTCAAACACTATGTATGCTAATAAAGTTCAAGCTTACCTGTAATAATCTAATAATAATGATTCTCTATAACTACCTATTGAGAAGACATCTGTATCTATATTTACCAATGCTACCAGTTCCTACTGTGATGTCAAACACATGGGAAGAGAGGGAAGAAGGAGAGCCCATTCACCCCCAGCTACAAAACAGTTACTGAGGCCATTCAGGATGTGCAATGGAAAGAAGGATCTGGGAAAACACAGTCTTTACCAAAAGTTCATCCAATGTATAGGAGAAGCCATCTGTGTATAGTATTGGAGAGAAAATGTACACGTATTTAAGTTGTTATATTCTAGATTTATTAAAAAAACAATTTATATAAATATATATGGAGAATAATTAACTGGTTTGGCTCTGGGTTGGAAGGTAAGAGACAATTACTAATACTATTTTTATTCCTTTTGTATTGTCTGATTGCTTTAAAAATTATTTTTATTTTTATTTTTATTTTTTTGAGACAGGGTCTCATTCTGTTGCCCAGGCTGGAATGCAGTGGCATAATCAGGGCTCAATGCAGCCTCTACCTCCCAGGCTCAAGCGATCCTCTGACCTCAGACTTCCAAGTAGCTGGAACTACAGGTGCATGTCACTGAACCCAACTAATTTTTTATTTTTTGTAGAGACAGGGTCTCCCTATGTTGCCTGGGCTGGTCTTGAGCTCTTGGACTCAAGCAATCCTTTTGTCTTGGCCTCCCAAAGTGCTGGGATTACAGGCATGGGACATCATGCCCAGCTGTTTGATTACTTTTTAAAACAAATGCATATAAGACCGTCATTTTTTTTTTTAATTTTGTAAATTGTTGGTGAACACAATAATAGAAAAGGTCAGAGTAATTAGTGACAATTGCATGCTTAAAGTGATTGGCTTTACCTGTTTTCTATGTGGCCAGAGTACCCTCCTGATGGCTCTTGGTGAATAAAGGAGCCAAAGCTAAAAGTTAGAGGCTCCAGTCTTTGGAAGGCGTCTTCAGTAAAAATATCCTTTGGGGATGCTTAGTTATTCTAAGAATAGTTATAGATCTAATAAATATTGCCTTTGAACGGTTAAGTTTGGATATGCAAGAAGGCCAGCTGTGAGAAGAACAGGCAGCCGTGCAAGCTGGCAAAGGGAGAAAAAACTGTTTAGGGATAGGAGAAAACAGATGGATGCCTTAGGCCAGCTGTGTCTGCACTCAGGAGCCCAGGTTGGCAGCAGACAGCCCTTGAAGGTTCTGCATCTTCATCTATGGCCAATTTTGGTCTGCAGATGAATATGAATGGCTGCTTGTGATTGATTTCTTTGCCTGTTGCTATAGTTTGAAGGTGTTCTCCAAATTCATGTGTTGGAAACTTAATCCCAATGTAACAGTGTTGAGAAGTGGGAACTTGAGGAGGCGATTAGATCCTGAGGGCTCTCAATGGATTAACATTTTTATGGGAGTGGGTTCCTTATTGCAAGAGTGAGTTTGTTATAAAACTGAGCCTGGCCTCCACTCACCCTCTGGCTCTCTCTTGCCCTTCCACCTTCTGCCCTCAACCATGATGCAGCAAGAAGGCCCTCACCATATGCCAGCCCCCTGACCTTGTACTTCCCAGCCTCCAGATACGTAAGAAATAAATCTCTGTTCTTTATAAATTACCCAGACTGTGGTATTCTGTTATAGCAGCATAAAATGGACTAAGACACCTGTCAAATAGATGATAACTTGCTCAAATGAAAAGGAGACAGAAGGACTAAATGATGCCAATACTAATGTACTCTAGCCACAGAAAGCAAATAAAATTAAAAGCCAGCAAGAGAGCTGCTTCCTAGTGCCTGCTTCTTCTTTAGCCCTATTCCACAGAGAAATTAGAAACGGATCAGATAATATTCTTATCTCAAACATGTTAAAGGAATTTCAAGCAAGAGAGTGTGAAGTTGAATGCAAGGGGGATTCTTGAAGAGCCAGGGAGAAGGGTGTGAACAGTGAGAGGAACACACCAGGAATACTTCCATACCCCTACCTTGGCAGGTCCTCATTTTTATAGTTCACTTATAAGAAATAGAAGTATTTTGTTTTCCATAAGACAGGCTGTGGTACTGGAAAAGGTTTGGTGTCAAATTTAAACTCTTTTTTTTTTTTTTTTTTTGTTTGAGGCAGAGTTTCGCTCTGTCACCCAGGCTGGAGTGCAGTGGCGCGATCTCGACTCACTGCAAGCTCCGCCTCCCGGGTTCACGCCATTCTCCTGCCTCAGCCTCCCGTGTAGCTGGGACTACAGGCGCGCGCCACCATGCCCGGCTAATTTTTGTATTTTTAGTAGAGACGGGGTTTCACCGTGTTAGCCAGGATGGTCTCGATCTCCTGACCTCGTGATCCGCCCGTCTCGGCCTCCCAAAGTGCTGGGATTACAAAATTTAAACTCTTTTATTAGCCAACTGGTCTTGGGCAACACACTTAACATCATACCCTCAGTTTATTCATCTATAAAGTGGGCTGATGTTTTAGAAGGATTAGATGAGGCAGTGTGTGATGCATGCAGGAGCCAGACCTATTTCCTCCTTCCCCCTTGACTTCTGCTCACTCAGGCATATGTGCCCGAGCAAAGGGCAGAGGAACCCATTTAACAAAGAGAAAATAAGAACAATATGTGTAAAGCACCTAATGTCATGCACAGAGGGCTATCCTATTATTCAGCTAATACCCCATTAGCTCTGGGAAAGGTGAACCTCTTTTCCTAGCTTTATTTTCCTAGAAACTCTCCATGACTTCCCCTACCCTTCCTATACACTTGCACCCCTGTACTAGTTTGCTAGAGCTGCTGTAAAACATTACCACAAGCTGGGTGGCTTAAGCAACAGAAATGTATTGTTTCACAGTTCAAGATCAAGGTGTCTGCAGGGTTGGTTCTTTCCAAGGGTTGTGAAAAAAAACTCGTTCTGGGCCTCTCTCTTAGCTTCTGGTGGTTTGCTGGCAGTCTTTGATGCTCTATTGGCTTGTAGGAGCAGGACCCTGATCTCTGCCTTCATCTTCACGTGGATGTTCTCCCTGGGAGTGTGTGTCTTTGTGTCCAAATTTCCCATTTTTGTAATGATCAGTCACATTGGATTGGAGCCCATCCTAATGACTTCATCTAAACTAACTTTATCAGCAATGAACTTATTTCCAAATAAGGTCACATTCTTCAGTAGTTGGGGTTAGGACTGCAAAATGTGAATCTTGGAGGGAGGTATAATTTTACTCAAAACAGCCCCTAATAAGGAGAGTGAATCATTTGACTGGTGGGTGATGAAGCTCTGGCATTGGCTGAGATTTTTGCACTTGTTGGAGCTAAGCTATAATACAGGACCAGGGACTGTGGGAGTCAGTGATGTTGGGTGGGTTTGTCAGCTTTTCAAATCCCAGGTTTTCCATAGGGGCAGTCGCCAGGTCTACACCAGCTAGGGGTTTCTACCATAGGGGCTTGTCCCCAGGTCTGCACCAGCTAGGGGTTCCTACCATAGGGGCAGTCCCCAGGTCTACACCAGCTAGGGGTTTCTACCATAGGGGCTTGTCCCCAGGTCTGCACCAGCTAGGGGTTTCTACCATAGGGGCAGTCCCCAGGTCTGCACCAGCTAGGGGTTTCTACCATAGGGGCAGTCCCCAGGTCTGCACCAGCTAGGGGTTTCTATGAGCAGATCCTTAGTCTGCCACTTGGCGGGTTAGAAAGTCATGCTGTCAGCCCAGTGTTGTCACCAGTAAACAGACTATTTAAGTTCCATTTGTCTGTTTTCATTGTCTTATTTTTCAATTAGTCCTAAACTTGGGAGAAGAAAAGGGTGCATTTATTGGGCCCCTCAGTCCTAAAATACGGATTTTAAGGAGGCATCAAGGAGGCATCAGGGAGGCAACGGAGGGTCGGGGAGCTCGGGAAGGTTTGGGAAGTGGCTTGAGCTCCCACTGCCTCCGGTCCACCTGCAGGCTACCCGACCAGAGCCTGGTCTCCCCACTTGGACTCACCTGTGCTTCCTCTGAGGATCTGTCACATGCTCTCCTTGTCTCCTGGGGCACAAAGGGCTGAGTGAGTCAGGGTAAGGGTTACTGTGACCACCAGCAGAGGAGATGTCAAGGCCTTGGGGGTCTACCTTTTGGTCCACAGAAATGGAAGCAGAGAATGAGGTCTTAGGGGACAACAGGTATCCTTTGAGTTGGTGGGAAGAAGCTGTATTTCTCTCAAGGGACCGCCGTCTCACCCCTTTTCTGGAGGAAGGGCCTCCACCCAAGCTGAGATGATCTAGGAGACAAATGTTGTTTTACGGAGTGAGGTTCCTAGCTCCTGTTGGTGGACACATTTTCCTAAGGAAATAGATGTGTGTAGGATGCTATGCCCAAGATGCATAAGACGACCCAGTGCTCAGCCCCTGAGTCTCCCCTTATCGTTCCCAACAGCTCCCAAGACAGACTTTCATTACAATTGCACGATGGCTGCCTCAGCAGAGACAGTGGTCTTGAGCCAGCAGCCATCCGTTTCTGATTGGTCAGACCCTATGCCAAGCAATTTATGTGCATGACTGCAGGGCCAGGAATGGGTGAGGGATGTGAGGCTGTCACCTCGGTGCAACATTTAAGGGGGTGCTGAAATAACTTACTAATTATGATAAACAACGTACACATTTTTATAATAAAATATATATTATATAAAATTACCATCTTAACCATTTTTAAACGTTCAGTAGGACTAAGTACATTCACATTGTTGTGCCGAAGAATATTTTAATGCAATATTTTTTCATCTAAATCAAAGCAAAAAAATACAGGATGAAAATATTACCAAAAATTTAAACTAAAGGTGGGATCTGGCCCTGCACAGCTCAGCCTCCCTTGCCTCCCCCTGTCCCAGCCCTACATGACTGGCCAATCCCTCTTTACAGAGGGAGAAACTGAGGCTCAGAGAGGCTACCTCAGTGGCCCAAGATTACACAACCTGTAGTTTCTATTCAGATGCAGATGAGGATGCCTGCTCCTCTGAGCTTGGATTTTACACCTGTCCATATCACACTCATCTCAAAGACAGTGGCAACTAACTGAGGTTCCTAGAGCAACACCTAGGACAGAGTCTAGGATCTGCAAATGGGGCCAGTGCTATCATGGGTCCTCTCATCCTTCTGCCAGCTCCACCCTCTTCTCCTCCTTGTCCCTGCCCCACCTCTCTAATCCTCTCTCCACCCTGTGGGAATGGCTGCATTTGTATAGCAAGAGGAGCCCCGTGTCTCTTCCAATCACACTTCCATGGTTCCACGCAGTCTACGAAAATCAAGACACCTCCTCCAAATGACGCTCCTTCACAGACAGTCTTAACAATCAGCTCCCAATAGGCCTTTCCCCTCTCTGTCCCTCCCTACCAACCGCGCCCTGGCTGGCCACACTGAGCCACCTGTCTGTCCCCAGACATGCATCATCTTCCTCCTACAGGTGGATCTTCTGGCCTGGAGCATCTCTCTGCGCCTTCACCGGCAAACTCTCCTTCTTCCCCCGGACAGACTCTGGGGTGGGTTCCTAGAGTTCTTCAGGTGGAGTCCATGGTTCCATCCCCAGGAGCTCTCTGGCAGTTTGCCATGGACTGTTTTAATGACATTAAGTATCCCCATGATGCACCACAGTTCAGATTTCCTCCTCTTCTGTTAAAACACAACTGTCACTTCCTCATCTTTGTTCCTATGGTGCCTAGCAAAGTCCTGGGCACATACTAGAAATTCAAGATATGTTTGTGTGCAATAAGAGATGTGATCCATTTTATCTAAGCTGTTGATTTAACACTGGGCCAACAAGGAGAGGATGAGATGGCTACGGCTGCTCCAATTATCTAGGGGAGGGGGCAGACTGGCTGCAGAGTTCAGTGCTGACAGGCTGACCACAAGGCAGCAGCATCATGGGAAAAGCATTCCGTCCAGATTCAGAAAGCCCAGCTTCGAATTTTGGTTTGTGGCTTTCTACCAAGGGCTCCAGGGTAAACTGCTAAACCTCTCTAAGCTTCAGTTTTTTCTTATTTAAAATTGGAAAAAAAGACATAATATATCATTTATGATGCTATCCTGAGAATTACGTGATGATTAGAGGTATTAAAGAGTTATCTTGTCCACAAAGCACTAGAGTGATATTATTTATTGATTTCTTAACGGTGCTGATAAGCACAGTCTAATGGCTTCCTTCAGATGAGGTGGTTGAGGAATTCAGAATCATAAAAACCAAGGGCAACATGAGCACATCGTGAGGACAAAATGTACTAAGCAAGTCAGTGAGGCCACCCAAAGGAAAATATATTCTGTTTGATAAAACAAATTGATGCGGTGGTTTCATTTAGCAGAATTATCAGCAACACACACACTGGAAAACAAGCAGTTACATGGCTCTACCCAAGAAATTAATCTCAACATGTGGAAACTGGGAAGGATAAATGTGAAGTTAGTTATCTCTCCAACTGGGAAGATTTTATGAACAACCAGGAGAGTGAAAAGTTTCCTTGCTTGGTGCTGATTAGTACAGGACAGTTATTAGGCAGCTGGCACAGCAGAAAAAGAAGGGCCATTCATCAATTCAGTCATTCACTCAGTCATTCAGGTAGGAGCTATTTATTCAGGATCTACAAGGTGCCAGATGTTGTTTTGGGGAAAGACAAAACTGATACTGATCAAAGACATGATCGTCATGTACGTGAGAATGTCACTTGTGAAGTGATGGGCCTTAAATACCCAAGCACACAGGCAAGAATATCCCTCCAAATTGTGAGAAGTTCTGGATCAAAAGCCCAGAATGCTTTGACAAGGCCATAGAGAAGGCCGAATATATACGGAATGAACGTGTCAAGGAGTGTCTCTTACAACAAGAGACATTTAAGTTGGGATACAAAGGTGGAAAGTCCTCCAGGTGTTGGTAGTCACATGTAAAGGTCCTGAGGTAGAAAAGACCTCAACGTATAGAACAACGGAAAAGAGGCTAGTATTGCAAACATGGTGAATGAAGAGCAGAGGGGCCCCACATGAGGCTGGAGACTTGCAGGCCCAGGCCAGCTATGTCCACACAGCTGAGACGGGCTGATACCAGTTCTGAGATGCTTAAAATAAAATGGTGAAATCTGTGTAGAGCCTTTCTCCTAAGGACTCAAGAAGAGTGATACAAAGACAGATGGCCATAATAATTCAGCAGTTGAAAAAAAAAAAAAAAACTTTTTCAGAATGAGGCGACAACATGAAACGAAGGTAATGTGAGAAAAAGAGAATAGGCCCAGATAATGTAATGGAGGTGAACATACAGAAAAAAAAGGAAGAGCTGTGAAAAGCAGTTGGCGGTTTTCAAAAAGTGATACAGAGTTACCATACAATCCATCAATTCTGCTTCTAGGTATATACCCAAAATAATTGAAATGGGTATGTAAACAAATACAATAGCCGAAGAGTGAACACAGCTCACATGTCCATCAATGGATAAGTGGATACACAAAATGTGCTATATCCATGCAGGGGAATATTATTCAGCCACATAAAGGACTGAAGTTCTAAAACATGCTACAACAATGATGAACCTTGAACACATCATGCTAAGTGAAGGAAGCCAGTCATAAAAGTCATCTATTGTAGGATCCTATTTATATGAAATATGCAGAAGAGATAGATTCATAGAGAAAGAGCACAGACTGGTAATTGCCAGGGCCTGGGCAAGGCAGAATGGGAGTAACTGCTTAATGAATATGGGGTTTTCTTTTAGGGTGATGAAAATATTTTGGAACTAGGTAGATGTCATTTTCAACACACTTTGAACGTACCAAATGCTGCCGAGTTGTTCACTTTTAAATGGCTAATTTGATGTTATGTAAATTTATTCTGAATTAGTTTGAATGAAAGGGATAGAAAGGATAGGGGAGGAAATGCCTGGGAGGTGGAGGGTCATAATCTGGTCATAACAGAAGGTGTTGCCGGGTGGAAGGGCTCGTTTCTGCTGCTAGTTCGATCTGCCTGCAGGCAGGTGCATCTGGGCTTGGTGGTCTATGGCACTCCTTGGCCTTTGTCTTCACCTGAATTAAAGTCTTCATAGCTCAGTAAGTTTTAAAGACAGTGGAGGGAGCTTCCAGGTCCAGTGAGGTGAGAAGTGAGGGGAGCCCTTTCTCCAGCAGCGTCCCTGCCTCATGGTGCTTTGGTGCTGTCTTTCTGGGCTGCTGTCCCCTTCTGTCCCCGTGGGAGTGGGAAGCTGCTCAGACAGGCAGCTCTACCTTCCCAAGGCCTCTGTGTTAGCTCTGGGGATCCCGGCTGGGTGCTTGGGAGGAAACAGGAGGCTATTCTGCCTCAATGATTTCCCCTCAAACAGGAATGCTCCCTGGGAAATCCTAAGAAGCCCTGGCATTGGTTTCTTTGTGAGCCTGTTACCGCAGGAGCTGGCAGAGGATGCTCTGCTTCATCTGACTCTTAATCTATTTCAGCTGCTTAGGAGTGACAGGGGTCAAGGACAAATGACATTTAATCATGTGTGGTAGCCAGTGCTGCCTGCAGAGGAGAAATCAGTAAAGTTCCTTTGTGTTCTAGGAAGAAACTCAGCGCTGCTTCCGTGCACATTAAGGAGAAACGCTGCCCTTCAAGCCCCATCAGGTTCTGAGCAATGCGACAGGCCACACACCACGCCTCCTGGCAGGCCTCAAAAGGACACGATGCTTTTGCTTACCTGAAACCATTATTTTTTGCAGTAAGCTTCATTTCCTCCAACCACCTGACTCTAACTTGTGCAAAATAGCTCCGTGAGCAGTCAGCACCCATCACGGTGACGCTTTCCTTTGGCAGAACCCTCATGTGTTTATATAAATTAGTCCACAATTGGCAATTACATTGTTGTTCCAAAATAAGGGCAGGCAACATGTAACCCCGGGAAGAACAATGGTCTGGACACGGAAGTCCAGACAGGACTATTATGGAAAATTATGGGGGATGATTCATCAGCTGGCCTCTCCCTGGGCACGGCCATCCTCACATACAATCTTTGTGCTAACGCAGCTACTTTCTGGTAATAAGTTACCATAAGAGAAGTGTAATTAGCTGTTGGGATTCATTAGCTCCAGTCAGTGCATCACTGGTACAACATCTTCCTTGCCAGTTTACTGCTTGTTAATGGGGAGCGATGATGTATTTGTACCTCTACGGAAAGACAGTGAAGGACGCAGGACTAATCTGAAGTCCTGGCGGTCTGTCCTTTTATGTAGCAGACTGAAAAACTGAAAATGAGTGTATGACACAGAGGAAGAGCCCAGGGTCCTAAAAAGCCAGTGTGGAAGGCTATCAGCCCATTCACACATATTATTACTAAATATTGCTTCTTCGGTTAAACCTGTTGGAGGCAAGAACATGCTGACCAAGCATGAAACCTGGACAGGGCTGTCTTCCCTTTAGCTTTTCCCTGCTTTAGAAAATTTTGTAGTGGGTACTTCTAGAAGCTTCTGTCAGTTTAGAACAAGAACTTACAAGACTTAAGGAGTAATGACTTTTACTTTCAATTGCTTCTCAATTCTGTTTCCAGAATAAGCAATTGGCTTTCTGTGACACAATGAAGATCCCATCCCAGAGAGGCAGACAGGGGCCCCACGGGGCTGTGCAGGAAGGCAAGTGCTAATTCTCTCTGCTCACCCCAAAGGCACCTCTGCTTCCTATGAGACCCCCACACTACTGTTGAGTCAGTGTTCAGAGACCCCACCTCTCACTCTTCCATAGCACAGCTGCACAGGGCAATGGAAAAGAACCCAGGGAACCAGACCTCCCGCTGAGCCTCCACCGCCCCCGCCTACTCCTGCAGTGATTGTCAAACATCCCTGAGTAAATCCGGTGGACTTCTCTACTGGCCCGCACAGTGACGGGACAAAGTCGTTATCCTAGGAAAGGGGGCCAGAGAGCATAGAATGGCACATGGAGACTTTTCTACTCACTTACTTGAAATAGTCTTGGTCAATTAGAGGGAAACTAAATTTGATTTCAAATATTCTTGGTTAATTAAGGACCAACCAGACTCAAGAAAAAGAGGATGTGGGGCCAGCAGAATGTGGAGAAGCGCAGTGCAGCACAGATAGCATCCAGCTCTGCATGCTGACATCAGGTGGTGGCAGGTGGTGAGGCCTCTGAACTGCTGCCTTCTTTTTTTTTTTTTTTTTTTTTTTTTTTGACGGGGAGTTTTGCTCTTGTCGCCCAGGCTGGAGTGCAGTAGCATGATCTCGGCTCACTGCAACCTCTGCCTCTGGGTTCAAGCAATTCTCCTGCCTCAGACTCCTGAGTAGCTGGGATTACAGGTGCCCGCCAGCTCACCCGGCTAATTTTTTATTTTTAGTAGAGATGGGGTTTCACCATGTTGGTCAGGCTGGTCTGGAACTCCTGACCTCAGGTGATCCACCCGCCTTGGCCTCTCAAAGTGCTGAGATGACAGGCGTGAGCCACCGCGTCCAGCCTGAACTGCTGCCTTCTGAGTGCCTTTCATGCCTCTCATTGCTGATGTTTTCCTTCCTCCAACAGGATCACATCTACAAGCTGGAGATCTTCACTTAAGGTTCATCAACAGGGGCATGGCCCCACGTGGACTCTGCTTGTTCTGTGAGCTGTACTAACTCACGGGTTGTTTGGCCCAACTTTGGTAAATGTCAGTTTTATTTATTTTCAAATAATGCCACTTTGAAATGGGAAAGAATAAACAGCATGAAAATCGATGTGTTACAGTGCTGGAGAGGCTGGGTACGTAAGCAGTACATGAAAGCGTTTGGTGTGCTCTTTCTTCTTCAATTTATGGTTAATAGATTTGTTTGCTTCTCCTCCAGGGAAGTTACTTCTTATGCAATGTAATGTAATTTGGGAGGCAGCAGGAAGAAAAATTACATTTTTAATGTCAAGAAGTTATGAAGGATTTAAAGAATGAACCAGCTTTTTATTTATCAGGGAGCTAATACCCTGTACTAATGTTTTATAGAAATATCTATTAAACATCATTTTAAACCAATTGATAATTCACTAAACTTTTTCATTGAATTTCTTTTAAAGTGAGTAATTTGTTCATATTAATGGAAAAATCCAAATATTCATGTCTTCATAGGAATAATGACTATTCATTCACGCTGAAAAGATAAATTAAATATTTGCTTGTCCTTTTAAAAGAAGCCCATATTTGCAACCAAATTACAGGATACATAATTTAAAACAAATCTCAGTTGGAGTGTGCAAATTTTCATAATTAAGTAGATCAAAGTTTGCAGAAATAAGTGATGAAAACTTTAAAAGGGAATAGCATGATGGGGGATTTTATATTAATCATTTATATTCAAGGAGAAATCATTATACTCTCACTTTTTCTAGCTTAGGAAAACAAAATAGTGTTTGGGAAGAAATTATCCCCAATACTATTTCAGGGAACAAAAATGCCAGGAAGAACTTTGGACAATGATACTCCTTTTGGGGAAGAAAGGCCATCTGAAAGAAATGAAAAATGAAGCTTTTTCGAACTTTTCCTAATGGAAAAGACAGGGCACATACAAAATTCCTAACAGATACAAAGCTCAAGGGCTACAAGATAGAAACTTTAAGCCAGCTTCAAGTAAAAAGCTTTTATACGTAAAGAAAGAATGTGTTAGTAAGAGAGAGGTGGATCAGCCACGGAGATACTGAAAAAAGGAATATTGTCTTCTGAGGCATTAATTAGGGAAAACATATCCCAGCTTGTCCAGTCTGGGGCATATAATGATGACCTAAATGCATCAGGCTGTCTTATCTTAATGATATTATGCAGTAATTTCAACTGCAAACTCCAAGGATTCTTCTATTTGCCACTAAGTGCAAAGTATTACCTTTTCTATGTATGGATACGTTTAGATAGACACATACTTACCATTTGTGTTACAACTGTCTGCAGTATTCAGGACAGTGTTGTGCTATACAGGCCTGTAACCTAGGAGCAATAGACATATCATACAGCCTAGGCTGTGTCATAAGCTATAACGTCTAGGTTTGTGTAAGTGCGCCCTATGGTGTTTACGGCGTTTCCATAAGAATGAAATGGACTCAAGATGCATTTCTCAGAACACGTTCCTGTTGTTATGCCATGCATGACTGTATAAAGCACACCTCCTTCTGACTGGGTGGGAGGAAGTGATCTGGAAATGTTGGGGTTGCACCACAGGAGACCCGAGCCCTCGTCACTGGTGGAGCTGCTGAGATGGGCAGCCAACTGTCTTTTCTGAGGAGCTCCTAAGATCACCTTACTCCTCCTCACTCCACTGAACTCTGTCCCCTCCCATCGAAGAGGACTGTCACTGCTGAGAACTGACTCAATAAAATCACTTCACATCTTTACTAGACACACTGATCAGGACTAAGCTGCCCGGCCAGGAGCTTCCTCTGCTCTAGGACCAGGTGTGGGAAAATGGGGTGGAGTGGGGTGAGTGGTGTGTCTCATCTGTTCCCATGTCCACACAGAGTCCTTCTCATTTTCAAGAACCTGGATTAAGAGTGCTGAATTCAGGCTGGGTGCATTGGCTCATTCCTGTAATCCCAGCACTTTGGGAGGTTGAGGCGGGAGGATCACTTGAGGTCAGGAGTTCAGGACTAGCCTGGCCAACACGGTGAAACCCCATCTCTACTAAAAATACAAAAATTAGCTGGGTGTGGTGGTATGTATGTAGTCCCAGGCACTCGGGAGGCTGAGGCAGGAGAATCGCTTGAACCCAGGAGGCAGAGGTTGCAGTGAGCCGAGATCATGCCACTGCACTCTAGCCTGGGCAACAGAGCAAGACTCCATCTCAAAAGAATAAAAAAAAAGGGTGCTGAATTCAGCTGACACATGCCCCTCATCTCTGGCCAAGACTGGGATGAGCTAGTTTGGGGCTCATGATACAACACTTTAAAAACACTTTCTCAAAAAGATTCTTTTTAACAGATGAATAATATTGGCAGACAACTGAACTTAACATAAAAATAATAATAATTCCTCTTCTTACCTGTGGCTAATGCAAGAGTAAGCCACAGAAAATAAACGTCCTTGGAGCTTTGTAGCCAGAGTGTGATTATCATTAACATTACTTTGTGAAGGGGCGTTTCTCAAGGTCACTCTAGAATTAGAGGCACCGTGGGACCAAGCACTCATCCATTTTATGGGTTAAAATGACTAATTGAGGGTCTGAGTTTAATTACAATCGTAAGCAAAGGCACAGTGCAGATACTTTGACGGGCTTAATAACATTCTTATGTACACAAAGATAGATGGAAAAAATTAGGGTTGTATATTGTTGTCCTTTAGGACAAGATACTGAAGTGGGAATAGAATAATAAAAATAAATAAACGACTCAGCGGCACCGGGAAATGAGCTGTGGAAGTTAGCCAGCCAGCCTTATGCACATACTTCAGCTGGAGATAAAGTCCTAAGTATCCATGACTAAATATAATGCGACTATACAGGAGTGCAGATCACAGTTGTTTTATTGAGCTAGCTGCTAGATTAAAAGGTAAAAAAGTATGCTCTGCAAGCTTCTACCCATAGTTCACCCTGAAATGATGATAACAGCCACAGCGGGATCTTTAGGATATGCATCGGTGATATTTTAAATGGGAAATGCAGTCATGTTTCACAGAAAATCCACAAAGCATCAGGTCTGTACACAGCTGCTAGAGTCGACATCCTTAAATGACACTGATATGGTGTCACATCCCCTGCGTAAGAACCTCAAATGACTTCTGGCTGTCCATAGTGTCAGAAAAATCCATGCAATGTTCAGAAGCTAGTTCAATGTCGGGAGGAAAAGGAAAGGTTGGCTCATAAATAAGAGCAGAACACACAGAAATCAGATCCGTGTGTGGGGAGACCCTCATTTCATGGCCATCCAGTCAAGAGGTTGGATATGAACCTTCTTTGGCCGAGACAGCCACATCTTGACTTGTAGAACTCAATCCTGCTACAGGTAGTGTTTGGTTTTGTAGCTAAGCTACAGAGGGGAATGGCCTTGTGCACAAAGAAAAACAGAAAAACATCTTTGATCTGGGTTGTTTGTTGAGTGTGTGGGCACTGTTTGGGGACAGGCAGCATCTCTGAGTTGTCTATCTCCTCCTCTTCTCAGTGCTGCATCCTCAGGCGGCTCCTTGGCTTCCTAGCTTAGCAGCCCCTCTCTTATTTTCTTACTGGAGTGACCATAATAGATTCCCAGGGCTGTCAGAACCGAGTACCACAAACTGGGTGGCTTAAAACAACCGAAACTTATTATCTCACGTTCTGGACGCCAGAAATCTAAAATCAAGGTGCCAGCAGGGCCGTGCTCTCTCTGAAGGCTCTTGGGAAAATTCCTTCCCTGCCTCTTCCTAGCTGCTGGTGTTGCAGCAATTCTTAGTTATCCCTGAATTGTGGCTGCAACACTCCAATCTCTGCCTTTGTCTTCACAAGGCCTTCTTCCCTGTGTGTCTCTCTGTGCATATGTCCTCTTTTTATAAGATGCCATTCATTGGATTTAGGGCCCACTCTTACCTAGTATGACCTGATCTTCATGAACTAATTGTATCTGCAAAGACCTTATTTCCAAATAAGATCACATTCTGAAGTTCTGGGTAGACAAGAATTTTGGGGGAAGATTTATTCAACACACCGCAGTGACTTCAGCCAACATGAGCTTGTCCAGAGAGAGCGGAGCCAGCTCAATGTTCCCTGGTTAGCGTTCAGACCATGGTCCCTCAACACATGTTTTTGGTTGAAGGTGATGATTATAGCGGCCACAGGTTAAGAGATGGATTTGATCACACGATGTGCAAGGAAACAACAATGAGTGCAAAACTGAATTGATTTCAAGGTCTGAACCTCACTCTATATGAAATTCATTTCCCTGGAGGACTCCTTCATCATAAAACAAAACAGAGAAGACTAACAAAATAACCTCATTTATTCTTACATCCTAAGCCTCTCCAACATTTTGCCACATTTGTTTGGGGCCATATTTTAAAATGTTTTTTGTTAAAAATGGATGCTTGAATCTGGCAGAATTGGAGCAAAAGGAACAACTAGCAAAGGGGAAGAAATGAAGAAGGGAGCATTAGTGTGCCTGGGATTAGGGGTGGTGGGGAAGAGGTAGCGGAGGCAGAGCGTAGAAATGAAGCCCTTCCCTTCTGATCACCCACAGCTCTAACCCCCGCAACCCCACCTCCCCATGCCGCTTGGCCTCTCACAATCTAGCTGCCATCATCCTTATCAACTCAGGCCTCCAACAAAATTTAAGGCTTTTTTTTCCCCACTTCTATCCTTTTTCCTCAGTGACAGACAGATACTCCAGGAACACAAAGATAGATCTGCTTTTTAAAAATTCAATTTCTTGTCCCCAAATGAATTTCAAACGAAAAAGGACTAAGGGCATTAACTTTTCATTTTACATTTCATATGTGCTTAAATTTTTGCTATGTCAACATGATATAGCTTCCCATGAAGATTCTCCATTCCTTTCTAGAGAAGGCAAAGCAAGTGTCTCCTCTCTTTAGAATGCTCCCTGTAAATGTGCCTCCTTCAGTAGTCTACGACCTGGAGGTGGTAGGGAATGGGGTGGCGTTAGGGCATGAAGTGGGGACAGCCACTGATATTGGTACAATATCCACTGCCTAGAGGAAAGCTTGAGAAACTGGACAGAGCCTATTAAGCCTGCATGAAATTGTCTAAAGACAGAATAGTGTCACATTGTCAGGTTCTGGCTAAGCCTTAGGCAGATTTTACTGACTTAAATTTATCTCTAATAAGCTTTTGGACATTTAAGAGCAATATAATTTGCATTCATAGATTATTTTTTTCCAAAAAATGAAAAGGTGACCTCTTTAAAAACACTAATTCCTTAAATTCTTAACCTTGGCTCCCCACCCTGAAATCACATAAACAAGTCTGAATCCTGCTAGGAAGAAAAATCAAGAGTAATGATTTTCAATAATGACCAGATGAATTTACTTTTACCTACCACATGCTCCTTCTGCTGGATTTCCAAGCTATACTAGTTTAGGAAATAGTATTCTAGGAAAAGAGTTTTATTTTCTTGGATGTTTTATTTTCTTTATATATTCCTGAAACAATAGCTACAGAAGCAAACCAAAAATATCAACTCATCTTAAAGTCATTGGCAAAAGAAGAAAGGAGTACTGGAAAAACAATGTCAACATTATTATCTAAAATATGCCTTAAAATATAGTCTTATTTTAAAACACAAAAAGGCACCCACAGTTCTAGTTGTCTACATGAACATCAAAGGTGGAGGTCAAGAGACTACTTGCACTTGGCTGAGTGGCTAATGCTGTCCCAGGTAGCTACACACTCCGTAGGTCCTAGCAGGGAAGAATTTGAAGTAAGAAAGAAGGGAGAGGGAGAAGACCACTGGCATTTAAAAGCCAAATGATGTTGGCCACATGGATGCCACTCCGTTTATCTCTGGAAGCAAATTTAAGGAACCAACAGAGAGGAAAGTGTTGCCCCGTCAGCAGGTGGTGGTTGTGTATTGTTTTAAGCACAGATCTGTTAGCAGTCTCCTATCCCATAACTTTGAATTTCCTCTCTGTGTGATAGGGTGGGGATGGTCTGAAACCAGAGTCAGGATGTGGCTCAAGTCCTGGCTTCACGACTTAACTACACATGAGCTCATTGGGCTACGATGCATGTGAGAATCAACAACATATCTGAAGTGGAACTTTCAGGCCCCTGGAAGACAGAGATTTTATGAATAATAACACTTACTTTAATTTTATTTAAAAATCTAATCTCTATTGATGGTGCATCTCAAACTCCTCTAGAGTCCTTTCAACGCTGGGTAGCGAGTGCTGGCCTCTGCTGCCCTCCATGATGCTTTCCCATTGCATCATTTCTATGTTTAGCCCAATCTCACCTGACTCTTCAAGCCTTTTTTGGCCACACCTAGCTGTCAGTCACTTTCTCACCAGTTTTTCCTCCTGTACTGCCATGATCATAACACTAAATTGCCACTAGGCTGTTGTGCTGGGGCTCACCGGCTGAGTGCCATTTCTTCCACTCAGTCATGAGTTTCTGCAGGGCAGAGTCTGCCCTCTCTCAGCCTCCTTAGCCCTCCCCAACACAAAGCAGGTGGTCAGCAAATGCTCCTGGGATAAAACTGCTGCATAGCAGAAGCAGCACAGGAAGTCATTTCTTTAATGTGAATAGTGATCTTGGCTTTGTTGGAAAAATGAAGAATGTAAATACACTTGCATACTAAAATCTAAAGCCTTCTGTCATGATATGGACGACTGTGACTGTTCTGGTGTCACAGATGTCTGCATGACAAACTGAATCAAATGGCATCATTTTTTGCTTCCTATTATGTGGTCACTCCTGGCCAGCAGCAGAAGCAGCAGCAAGTGTCGAGCTGCTGTATGTGTGAATAGACAGGGATGGGGAGTCATTCTGGTCTCACCAAACTGTGCTCCAGCAACACAACCCAGACCCTAAACTTAGCCAGATGATGTGTAAAGGGGACCCGTGAGCCTACACTGGTCTAGCTTCTTCATCTACTTTTTCATCAAAGGATGTCAAATGTACTTTAATAAAGGTGGTAGCCTATATCCTTTCAAACACCACGAAGACATACTTATGCTACTATATTAATCAGAGAGCATTTTAACAGACAGAGCTAGCCAGGTCCTTATTGATTACACTTCTACAATTGCTTCTGAGACAGTTCCTTCTGCAGTCTTCACTAGGGACCCTGACACTGTGAAAGTAGGGAATGCTAGCAAGGGAAAAACACTTTTAAATAGTTGTGAATAAGTGAAATAGAAAAAAATCAGGCATGGGAGTTCAGAAGAGCCTACAATTTTAGCTTTGGAGGAGTTATATTTCTTCTGGTGGGACAGATGTTTGCCCAAGGATAACAGAATTTAAGGGGTTATGAAATGGATGCCTCAGTAGGGGGTTTCAGAGTACTGTATATTTGCCATATGGTAGCACCTATCCAGAGAAATCACGTCAGATGTTCATGATTTCGTGACTCAGACGAAAAGCAGAATTGTCAGAGGATTCCCATTCCTGCCCATGAACGCATGTAGATATTCGTGGAGGCAGGCTCTTATCTTGCTCTGTGCACACACATTTCACACAAACACATACCGCCTCTCAAGACTGGAGGCTGAGAGCATTGGGATGAATACTCATGAGATGACGATTATTAATGCCACTGAGGTGGATTTTGTTCCTTCTCAGTAGAGACTGGTTGTTATACCTAGAAACTGATCAACTGTAGGAGAAATGGCAGCTTTGAACCATTTCAACTAAAACAATCCTGTATGTTTCACTTTCAAAATATAGATTATTTGGCTAGGTGTTTTCAATCACCCCTTTTGCCCCTATCCCAGCAATTTCATCCAGCAGAGATTTGCAACTTTGGTACAAAATACAACACTTTTGGGAGCACAGTTTCTAGAGTTTAGAAGAATCATATCTTGGTAACTACTTTCCTTCCTAAGAGCAAAAATTAAACAAGACATAAAGTTGATTCTAAGAAATCTCAATAGATTCCTGATGATTTTTGTGAAAAACGCATCAGGAGAGAATCACAAGACATTTGCTACTTTCATTATTTAAAAAACCATTTAATACAACAGGCCTTATTAAAGAGCTATTTCTAAGAATTATAGAATCTTACAGTCAAACAGAGAATTTTTAAAATGAGAATTTTTAAAAAATGGCTACTTGTGACAGTTAACCAGATCCCTATGTATCTGTTATGAACTCTGCCCAACCAGTCAGCCTGCCTGGTTGTGCTATATGCATGATATAATGTGAAATTACCAAGAACTATTGTTTTCGGCCAAAGAAAATGACTTATTTTGGGTTGGAATAAAAATGTTTGTTTTTCACCTTAGACCTAAGAAATCATGTGAAGTAAGTCTAACATTAATTAGGTAGAGAAAGATACCTATATGTCTTTATTACCTGGTTAGAAAATTTAAAATTAACTTCTTATACTCCGTTGCCACATCAACATTCATGTTTTCAGAATGGTCTGATCCTCAGTAAAAGAGCCACTAAAGTTATGGAAAGAGACAGTGTCTGGCCAGGGGAAGATGGTGGGAGGAGGCACTCGTGACACAGGACTGACCTTAGGCACCCGGTGGCGTTACGCAGCACCTGTGATGAATGCAGCTGTATTTTCCGATCATCCTGAAGAGGCGAATTTTCCCAGCCTGAGTGGGGGATAATCACCGCGTTGGTCAGTACTGCTAGGGCATCCTGGATGATTGGCATTTTGAGTGCATCGCATGAGGAGAGGTTCCAAAGGACTCCTGCAAGAGACACACAAAAAGAGGTTTTGGGTGGCCACAAGTTTTTCTCATCTCCAAAACTGTCTTCCTTATTTGAGTTAACGGAACTGGCAGGAAGGATGAAAATACTGTGGACACACATCCTAGAGTGTGTCCTTAATTTTAGAACATTCGTGTGAACCCATTAAAAGCATTCTGTGAAAAATCTGATGAGTGAGCAGAGGAACTGTGACATGATTATCTTTATTTCCTCAGGGAGCATAATCAAGGTTGCGAGGTCTGATTGAACTGAGGCTACCAACAACGCTTCTGTTCCATTTTAATACAATGGACCCAAATTGCTAAATTCTAACCAAGACCAAAGAGATGTGAAAGTTATTTGAAATGGACTAGTAGAGCATCTTTGTCTTACCCAAGACCTCAGTGTGCACATGTGGTTGCCATGAAAGCTAAGTGCTTTCATAAACAACCAGCTACCATGGGTAGGACCCTTATGAGAATCCAGCATCAGGTCAGATGACAACTGGCTCAACAAGCAATTTAAACTGTTGCCCCTTGTGACTGTTTTGTCAGCTTTTCTCTGAAAGCAATGCTCATGGAGGACCTACAGAATGTTCCTCCTTAAATAATGACAAAGGGAGAGGTGAGAAGAAGAGGGCATGTCCACAATGGACAGAGCGTCACAGTAATTCATGCAGGCAGAGCAATGCAAAATGTTAACGACAAATAGAATGCTTTAGGCTTTTAAATATTTTTTAAAAGGAGATGTTCTAGAAAAGGTCATAAACATTGCATATATATTATAACATCATTTGAAAATGCTTTTAAATAATTATTCTTTTTTTGTTAGGACAGTCTACATAAAGAAAAAAAGGAACAGAGAATAACATTCTATTTTTCTTTGAAAGAAAGCCTGTATACACCCTGAACCTAAACACGTACCATCACTGCAGATATTGGAAATAAAACACTATAGTTGTCTTTGGAAATAGAACTTGTAGCTTATGTTTTTAATGAGCTTTCGATATATTTTAACGAAATGCGATTTTGTTCCATCTACTGTGTTATGAATAGAACAAACAGAACATGTTTATTTCCAAAATTTGTTTTATTGGTTCCTTGCGTTGCACATGTTGAACTATCCAAGGACATTAATAATACAAATCTGACTGTTAATAACTAAATAAGTGACTATAAAAATAAAGCAACTATAAAGTTCAATAAAAATGTGACTACAGAGGCAAACTCAACTGTCTTTAGAAATACCATTTACTGGAAATTTTATTGAAGTGAATGCAAAGGAAACAAAATGTTTTTAGTGCCCAGCATGCATAAAATAATCCTTCAGTACAGGGGGTTAACCTGAAGGCAAATCTAGCTTCTCTTCTTTTATGAATAAAGTTTTATTGAAGCACAGCCATGTCGGTTCATTTCTAAATTTTTTACATCTGCTTTTGTCCTATGAAGGAATAGCTGGGTATTAGTGACAGAGACTGTACAGCCCACAAACCATAAACAATTTACAAACTGTCCCCTTACAGAAAAATTTTGTCCAACTGTGCTTTAGTGAATTTGACCATTTTATATACACTTTCATTTGTGCTTGTATTGCCATTAGTATCCTAAATTGAGTACACAAAAAGTGCTCAATGGTACACAGAAGGTGCTCAGAATATATTCTGATTTGGACTGATTTGAAATACTAGGAATATTAACATATGCATCTATCTTGTTTTAAATAAAACACAAAGCTGCTTATTCATCCATTGAGAAATGTTTTGCCAAAGTTTGGTAATCTAAATAATCAAAATGACTTCATTCATTTCCAGCCTCACAAAAATGTTAATTTTTAGAGTAAAATAATTGATTTTGCAGTTTTAAATAGTATATTAAAAAGAAATTAGTATCTACCCCAGTATTTGAGGATAACTTTCAGGAATACCATGTTAAGACATTTGTGTCTGCTCTTCAAAGTATACAATGCGAAAATATAGGAACAAAATGTGCATTTTTTTCATTCCCAAATCCAGACTCAAAATACCAATATCTAAAAATTGAGGCTTATAAATGTTTTAAAATATGGGTGACATATTTTGCTGTATGGTATATATCCTTTAAAAACTAAATAGCAGGCAGGGTGCAATGGCTCACACCTGTAATATCAGCACTTTGGGAGGCTGAGGCAGGTGGATCACGAGGTCAGGAGCTCGAGACCAGCCTGGGCAACATGGCAAAACCCCATCTCTACTAAAAATACAAAAAGTAGCTGGGTGTGGTGGCGTGTGCTTATAATCCCAGCTACTTGGGAGTCTGGGGCAGGAGAATTGCTTGAACCTGGGAGTGGGGGGGGGTTGCAGTGAGCTGAGATCGTGCCACTGTACTCCAGCCTGGGTGACAGAGCAAGGTTCCATCTCGGGAAAGCAAGCAAGCAAACAAACAAACAAAATAGCAGAGAGAAACCTTTGCATTTTTTTACATGCAGTGAGTATGAAAATCTCAAGGCTTTCTATGAGAATACAGCTATTTTTACTGTTTTCTTACAAACAGAAAAGAAATAGGGAAAGGGAGGAAGGAAATCAAAGAAAACCTAAAGGCCAAATCTAGTACCTGACAAGAAGTGAAAGAATGGAAAGGCAGATGCAGTCTGGAATATCTTTTTATAGGCTGTTCTATCTCCTTCACTTTTCCTTAATTAGTTAATTAGTGTAACCTAATTCAGAATCACGAACAAACAGAAGTTCACATTCATTCCACCCTTCCAGGCTGTCTCCATCTGCGAGTCACATTCCAGTGAACTGATCACAGTACTTGATCCATATCTCTGAACCATCTATCTCAATTTATAACTGCAATGCACAATGCTTCCTGGACTTATTACAACTGCAATGAATCTCTATCAAGCAACTTTATCACCTCTTGATGAAGTCTTGGTAAAGTGGATGGAACGCGGCAGATTTTCTTGAGGGGGAATTCAGCAAACCAGCTGCATGGGGTCGTCAAAATTTTGAGTTTTGGTTAGATTACCTGGACATGAGACAGGTTTAAGCATAGAAGCAGCAGTTTCTGGAGACAACTGAGATGAAGATTTATATCATCTGGCAGGAGTTCAAGTGGGAAACAACTGGGAATTCCACATCTTTCCTGCTACACACACACACACACACACACACACACATACAGACACACACACACACATGTCTTGACTGACGGAAGAGAGATTAGTGGAGAGAACTGGACGTATCTAGGCATCCTCTGAACAAATGGAAAATAAATTTTTTCCTCAAACTTTTACTTCACTCCTCCCTCCCCTTTTCCATAGTGGTTTAAAATATGTCCACAAATTCTTGGACATTTCCTTCAAATGGTGGAGCCTAATTCTTCTCTCCATGAGTGGGGATTTGATTTAGTGACTCATTTGTGACCAATGAAACATGGTGGAAGTGACTGTGACTTGAGACTATGTCATTAAAAAGGCTTTGTGGCTCCCTCCAAACCCTCTCTCAGATTGTTATTTGAGGGGAAGCCAATTGTCATGCCATCATGAGGATCCTCAGGCAGCCTTATAGAGAGACCAGCATGGCAACGAACTAGGGCTTTCAGCCGAAATTTTGGAAGTGGATTTTCCAACCCCAACCAAGCCTTCGAATGACTGCAGCCTCATGACAGACCCTGAGCCAGGACCACCCAAATCTGTGGCTCCTACTTGTACTCCCTCACACTTAGACAGTGGGTGACATAAATGTTGGTTGTTTTAAGCTGCTAAATTGTGGAGTAATTTGTTATGCAGCAATAGACAATATACCTTTCCTTTCCTATGAAGCTCCCACTCTCTCTGTTGCTTTCTTCTCTCTGCTTCACTTTCCTATCCCTTTGCCTTTCTACAATGGATGGACTCATTTTTCCCTCTCGCCTTCCCAGGACACTTTAATTCTTACTCCTCTCTTACCTAAATCCACTTGTTCCCTTATTCCTTCCAAATTCCAATGTGAGAGTATACAAGATATAGCAAGGATGATCCAGCTACACTTTGTAACTAAATTTAAAATGCATTTTAAGTGACAAGTATTTAATTTAAAAATATGTATCATTCTTCACGTTTGCAATTCAATAAGTGACCCAACACTTTCTTTAATTTGGAATAATCCTGCTCTTATTTCCAACTGCTGCCTTAACAAATCACCACACAGGGGCTTGAAAAACACAAATTTATAGGTTTGTGTTTGGAGGGCTGGAGTCTGAAATGGGCTGGCAAGGCTGGCTCCTTCCAGAGGATCCCGGGGAAGATGTGTTTCCTCATCTTGTCAACCTCCTGGGGGCTGCCTGCATCGCATTCCTTGGCTTGAGATCTTACATCCCTCTGATTTTGGCTTCCATCATCATATCTCCTTCCTGGACTCTGACCCTCCTACCTCCCTCTCATAAGGGCACTCTGATCACATTGAGCCCACCTGGATAATCCAGGATAATCTCCCCATTTGAAGCCCTCCTACCTTAGTCATACCTGCAAAGTCCCTTTCATCATGAAAAGTAACATTTACAGGCTCTGGAAATTAGGGGGTGGGCTTTTTTTGCAGGGTAGGGACATTATTCAGTCTACTACGTATCCCTTCAAAAATAACCTGTTATGCTTAAAATAAAATTAAACTTCCTATGGTAGCCTCATGATCAGGCCTTTCTCTAAATCTCTAAATTCATCTTGATCACATTCATTCATTCATTTATCCATTCCATAATATTAAGGACCTAGTACATGCATGGTTCTGTTTGACGTGGAGTGGAGACATCAGTGAAGAAAACAAAAAATCCCTGTGCTGGTGGGCCAGGTACCATATAGCTCTAGTCACTGTGCTCCAGCCAAAATGGCCTGTTTCTTCTTGAACACACAAGCTCCTTTGTGTCGCAGATCCCTGGACTTGCTGCTGCCTCATTCTGGAACATTGTTTCCTAGATCTTTTCATGGCCAATACTTCTTCCATTCACGTCAACTTAAATGTGCTAAACTCAGAGAGGCTTTCCTGGATCAGTCTAGTCTACCTTCCCAGATGCTTGCTGTCAGATCTCCTATTTAATTTCAGCAGAAACCTCAACACTAACTCATTCTGTCATTTGATCACTGTTCCATCCTCCAACAGGGTCCCAGGCATAAAATGAAAGCAGACACTTGTCTGAATGCCCATCGTATGCAGAACACAGAGCTACAGAATCCCTGGCATACAGAATATGCCCTGACAAACATGAACCAAACAAGCACTAAAGAAAAATAAAAAATAACAGCTGGATGGTATGATCTTATAGGATGCCATGTGCTGTAAGCATCGAAACTTCTGTAAGTATTATAGCGTTAGCAAAATGACGTCATGCCTAGAGAAAATAAAACAGCAGCTGCAAGATGTAATTTCACAAATAATAAATCCAAACAAGAATAGAAAAATGTTATTTAAGTGGGATTATTTACTTTGAATCTACAGAAATTCCATTTTTAGCTAGTAGAGAAAAATTTATAGCACTGAAACATATTAATCTGCTTTGTATTAAAAGGCTTATCTCTGGTGCTTCATTTGGGTAATTTTCTTATATTAACTCCCTGATAATTCTAAATTAGCCCAGGTAATACTAAAATTTCAATCTGAGGAAAAACTATAAAACTGATGGGATTCACACCAATTTTCAGCATTCATAACAAATTACCCTGTTTGTTTATATCTGAGGATAACATGAAAAATGGTTTAATATTTTGGTTGATGGTCACTAGAAAATTTAAATTTCCCTGATGAAAATATGCTAATTCCTTCCAGATTATAATCTGTGACAAATTTGTTTTATTAGCATCTTTCTTTTATTATTTCCATCCAATAGCTTTCCTTTATCAGTGTAAAATTATTGCTGTTCCAAATATAATTTTGAAAGTTTAATTGCGAAGACATTTACGTATACTAAAGATATTTAAAAATATAGTTTATTTTTATTTCAGGCACAGAATGGCTCTTTTCCTTGATATTATCCATATTCATGAGCAATGATTGGTTTAATAAAAATTCCTTAATAAAACCTTAATTACTTTCATTTGCTTCTTTATAATGCTTTAATACAGGGTAATTGTAGTTTCTTTTTACTGAAAGAGATGAAGACTATCTTGGTTAAAAAAACCCCAGATGAACAAAAAGAATGTTTTAATAAAAGCAAGTTTTAAATGATGGTAGAATCAAACACTGCCTGGTGGCTATGCAGGACTTTACGACAGCCCACTGGCTTGCTTTCAGCTCTTTAGACGTAGCATGAATCCTCTCATGTGGGTGAGGCTCAAACCAAGCCCAAAGGAAAGCTGGGCTTCATTCATTTTAAATAAATGTTTATAAAAATGTATTTACAATTAATTAGTGAATTAAGGCATCTACTTAGTGTATTTATGAGGATTTATTTTAAACAAATTTGTCATTTCTTTTGGGAGTGACAGTTTGTGTACCTGGGGGGAGGGGGAGGAAAAAGGAGAAGAATGGGGACAAAAAAGTTCTTTTTTTTTTTTTTTTTGAGATGGAGTCTTGCTCTGTCACCCAGGCTGGAGTGCAGTGGTGTGATCTCGGCTCACTGCAAGCTCTGCCTCCTGGATTCACGTCATTCTCCTGCCCCAGCCTCCCAAGTAGCTGGGACTACAGGCGTGCACCACCACGCCCGGCTAAATTTTTTGTATTTTTAGTAGAGACGGGGTTTCACCATCTTAGCCAGGATGGTCTCGATCTCCTGACCTCATGATCCACCCGCTTTGGCCTCCCAAAGTGCTGGGATTACAGGCCCGCCACCACGCCCGGCCAAAAAAAGTTCATTTTTTAAAAAAACCAGAGTTAGGCTTGGTTGATGGTGGGAGTGGGAGGGGGAGGGGTATAAAGGGGCTGTCACCACTACCTCCTCCACCCACACCCATTCACACTTTGAGTCCCTAGTGTGTGGAGGTTGAATGATTAAAATATAGAGGCCCAGGACGCCCTGAAGTCCTGTTATACTATTGTGTGTGTGCATCTGCTATACAAACGAGTATTTGGATGCATATAAACTCTCAATATGGCCCCGAGAAGCAATAACCCTCTGGAGTGGCTGCTAATGGAGATCATTTTGAGAGTCCTTCTAGATGGAAAACATTCCTATACCACACTCACTGAATGCTTTTAAAAAATTAAAGCGTTTATCTTGAGTCGATGTTAGATAGAGTTTACCAAATGTTGCTGTAATAACAGCTCCTTAGGCCAAGGCTTCTTGTAGGAGTCCCAGGGGTTGGTTGGCCACAACAAATGACCTCTACGTTTTCCTCTTTAATATTCCAGAAGAGGAACCTGCTGTTGCCTTTGCAGTGGGGATTACACAAAGGTCGATTCTTTTAGAATTTCAACAGGCTGAATCATCATTCTAGGCTGAGTCTCAGAGAGCCGGCAATGGGAAGAAAGGGCCTCTGAGGCTGATAGGCGTGGGAGGTGAAGAGAGAGAATTGGAGTGCCATGGTCCATAACACCGTAAACTCTCATTCTACAGTTGCCACATAACGCTTCAGGTCCAAATACAGAATTTTTTAAACAGAATCACTTAGGCACAAATATTGAGAATTAGGTAGAATTATTCTTGCTCATTTTCAAAATACATACAAAATTTATTTAGCCCCAGAATGGATGAAGAATGAGTTGTCCTTGACATTTGAAAGTAATTCAGATCTTTGCTGTTGCATACAAGGCAAATTCTGGCTTAAACTGACTAAATTTACCTGGGTCTCCATGCAATGTTTTAAATCTGCAGATTCTAAAACAATTTTGTTATAAGATACAGCCATCAATACTAAGGTACTGTCTTGTTCGAAGCCAAAACTGATCCCAGCAACATTCTGATGTTCAAATTTCAGTACCAGCAGCAAACATTAAAAGTTTAGATCAAGATGATAAACATTTAGATGGCAAGAAGCCAGAAGTCATATTCACTTTTTTTTTTTTTTTTTCAGACAGAGTCTCACTCTGTTGCCCAGGTTAGAGTGCAGCGGCGTGATCATGGCTCACATGGCTCACTGTAGCCTCAACCTCCTGAGCCCAAGTGATCCTCCCACCTCCGCCACTTGAGTAGCTAGGACTTCATGCACGTGCTACCATACCTGACTTTTTTTTTTTTTTTTTGGTAGAGACAAGGTCTTACTATGTTGTTCAGCCAGGTCTAGAATTCCTGGACTCAAGTGATCCTGCCGCCTCAGCCTCCCAAAGTGCTGGGATTACAGGCAGGAGCCACTATGCCTGACCCTCACCTAAATTTTTGATTAGTTTAAAAAATAACCTTCACTTTTGTTTTCAGAGCCTGAATTAATTTTATTTAAAATCAGTTAATATTACAGACAAAAGACTATAATTGACTGATTTTTTTAAAAATGAAAATCAAAACTCAGATGTATCTATGATCTCTCTTTTCATTCTAAAATGGAGTATACATATCCTAGTTTCTTTAGAATTCTTCTATTAGATGTTTACCAAAAAGGCACAACAGATCAGGCTCTATTAATGGAAAATGATGCCTGTCCCAAACTGGATGCCTATCTGCAACTGGCAATGCAGCTACTACAAGAAGTAGAAAGCTCTTCACACAGTAGTTTTTTTAAGTAATTATAATTGAAAATAATTTGTATGTCAGTGTTTGGTAGTGGCCATCTGTAAAAGTCATGGGTTCATCTTTGATCACAGCATTTTATAAATGAACCATAGAATTTCATATTTCTCAGGCCCCAAGAGATCAACAGTTAGGAATACAAAATTAGGCTTGCTTAGAACTATAGCCTTCCTCAATGACCTTGGGTGTGCAAGAACTTTGAAAAAATGTCACCAAAGCACCAAGGCTGAGTTGTATAATCTCTGGAAAGTGGTCCTGGAACTTTTTTCCTAAAAGTTATGACAGTTAAAGACTATACTCTTTTATCTGACAGCTGTCATATTCTTCTATGTGTAAAATGATTTCTTATACTTTGTTGTGTTTCTTGGTAGTTTTGTGCCCTGAATTACATACATTAAATAAAGTAACTTAAGTTTGACTTTTCAATAAATAGCATAATGAGGAAGAGGAGAGAGAGAAAGTGAAAGAGAGAGAGAGAGAGATTTAAAGACAAAATACCCCCACTATCTGATTAAAAAAAAGTAAATGCAGGAGGTGAAATCACCATAATTTTTGGCCCTGGGTTAAACGATACTGGGACAGATACATTTTCCTATCCCTGTGTTAGACCATGCTGAGACTGATCAAAAATAATTTAAGTGCTTGCTCTAGGAAACACTCGCCTGTGAATGTTTAGGCTGTGAACTAGAGAGCTGGCTTATCAAGAGTAATAGTTTGCTCATCATGACCCATTTCAAGACCCTCCCCTCACTGTGCTACTAGTTAAAACTCTGCCCAATCCCCATGGTTCCCCACCTTGCAATACCCACCTTAAAATCTCCCAGCCAAGGACCTACAGCCTTATAAATACCCTGCCTTCATTTTCCCTTTTGACACTAAGACTCTTTCAAGGGAGCATTTTAGATCCACTGCAGTGAGGGAGGATACTTACTGCAGTATGTCTAACAAACCCAGCTTTGCTGATCAATGGGTTTTTATGGTAGTCTTTGGGGAGCTGACAGCTGACAAACCATATAAATTACTGAAAATGGGTGGATGGCTAATGTCATCTTTGGTAAAAAATAGAGTCTGGCAAATTCTTGAATATTCAGGGGATCCATTATCCATAAATTCATCACCTTATCTCTATGCATGGAACAAAGGGTATTGAGCTGTTTACAGTTCCATTAAGTACTATAACCCAGAAGTTACACAGCCAGCACACATCTTGGCAAGGCCCCTAGCTGCCATTCCAAACTCTCTGGGTCTCGAGTGAGCATGCATATATAACCTCTTACAAAGATAGAGACGGCTATTGCCTTGGGGTTTCTTTTTTTATAATATAGGTAGCACATCTACCTCATAGGTCCTGTTGATGTCAACATAAGCGCGCTAATTGAATTCGTGGACGCTTGCTTATCCAAGAGTCCCCGGATTGGAGACCCTGTTATGCACTGGGGCCACTTTAAAGAGCATCTTGGGTTCTACGGCTTTCAAAGAAAAGCAAAGCAACCTTGATGAAGATATGGTGGCAGAGTAAAAAGAGCAACAGCTTTTTCACAGAGCATCACTGAACTACATGTCCAAAACAAGACCACATTGAAAAAAACACAACACAAATTGTAGCCGAAAATATCTAACATCTTTGAGTTCTTGTCATGCACTAGGATTTTTGTTAATCACCTGCATGTATTAACTTGTGTAAACCTTCAACCAAGTCCATTTTACAGATGAGGAAACTGAGACACAGAAAAGTTGAGTTACCTGTCAAAGTCATTCAACTTTTGGGGAAAATGAAGGTCAGATAAGAGTCTGACTGTGATGCATATGAACAATCAGACAAACGTCAGACACATAAATTTGCTATTTGAATTGGAGGGAAGAGATGTGGCGTGCTATCCTTTCAAGCAGAATATATGAACACAAGAGAATGTTCTGCTTTTCATCTTTTGCCAGTTCCCTTTTCGCCCAGGTAATGTAGCTTGAGAAATTTAAAGAAGGCATTTGAGTTCACAGAAGGAAGAACATTCAGTTTTATATGTTTTTAACTGACAGATACAATTGTATGTATGTATCTTCATACAACATGATATTTTGAAGTATATACACGTTGTGTAATGATTAACCATAGTTAATTAAAAAGAACTTTCAGCTTTGAAACTACTTTTACAACTAATTTTTCTTGCAAGCATTTAATTCTGCCGACCTCTACTAAAACACACATACACACACATACACACACACATACACACACACACAGCTACAACCTTCTGTGGGAAGCATGGAAGAAACATCAGATTGAGATTTGGGGTAATCAAAAAACCCAATTGTTCATCTATTCACCACACTAATTTCATGACTAGATCTTTTTTTCAGTTACATCAAAATTGTCTGATACTGTATTAGTCCATTTTCATACTGCTATGAAGAAATACCTGAGACTGGGTAATTTATAAAGAAACAGAGATTTAATGGACTTACAATTCCACGTGGCTGAGGAGGCCTCACAACCATGGGAGAAGACGAAGGAGGAGCAAAGGGTCGTATAACATGGTGGCAGGCAAGAGAATCACGTGCAGGGGAACTGCCCTTTATAAAACCATCAGCTCTTGGGAGACTTATTCACTATCATGAGAACAGTATGGGAAAAACCTGCTCCCACGATTCAATTACCTCCCATGGGGTCCCTCCCATGACATGTGGGGATTCTGGGAGCTACAATTCAAGAAGAGATTTGGGTGGGGACAGAGCCAAACTATATCAGATACTGTTGCTCTATCATAATAATGTCACTGATGATCATGAGCCCTCATTTCCTGAGACATTACCATGTCACATGCACTATTTAATTAAATCCTGACCACAACCTTAGAAGAGGGGTACTGATCTGTGAAGGAAACCAAAGGCTAAAGTGGTTACAGAAATCTCCCATGGACAGGTAATGAATGAGAGAGAGAGCTGGGGTATAAACACAGGCTCTCACACTTCCAATTATATTGTTTCTTACAGACATTCTAATAAGAGATTATTTTTCATGGAAAATATGCTATCACTGGATAATAATATTAACACTCATCTTTAATTTCTGCTGATCATGCTCAAATTTATATTTCTGAGTTTCATTTCTATAATTCTGAATGTGAACATTTATTACTGCATATTTTCCTCCAAACATATTCTCTTCTTCCTTTTGGTTTTTCAGCAGGTATTTTGTGAATGCCTGTTGAGACAAGACATTGCTAGGTACTCTAAGGAATACGCAGTAAATTAGTAAGAGTCCACTTGGGGAGACCAAATTACACTTGCCCAGGGAAAAATAAAACACATTTTATAGAGTTGTAGATGCTAAAGTCCATCAACTGTCAGAGGTGGTGTGTCATGAAAATTCTGACAGTGAAAAGTCACCATGGGAGGGCATCACGGAAGGTTCTATGGGAGAGGGAGGTCTTCACTGGCCCCTGAAGAACGAGCAGAATTAGCCAGAATGAGAGAAAACATTCAGGTATCAAGAAAAAGTGAGCAAAGGCTTACAGATAAGAAAGGGTGATGGATAACAATCCTAAAGACCGTGGGCCTAATTGTAGAGTAGATGCCACCTAAAATATTAATTGAGTAAAAAAGTTCAACAACAAAATTATACTTACATTCGGACAATTGTGGTCTTACACTAGAATAGTATTAGGTCGGTGCAAAAGTAATTAAAAACAATGACAAAAATGGCAATTACTTTCGCGCCATAATATTTCTCATGTGATCCACCTGGGGGGCATTAAGAAAGATACCGATGCACTAGCTTCACCTCTGGAAAATCTGGAAAGTGATCTGGGGTGGGTCCTGCTACCTAAGAATTTTTTTTAAAAAGTAGCCAGAGTGAGGGACCACTGGGGCTGGGAGTTATTTTATCTTAGTCCTGGTGACTTTAACTGACTTCACCAACATCAGCTTCCTCCTGAGAAACAGGAAAAAAAACTCTAAGTTATGACTATGGGAAAGTGACTACTGAGTTTCATATGTGAGATCTTCATACTTTAGCCTAATCATGACTGAACAACTTCATTCATTTATTTATTTGTTCATTTGTCTCATTATCCATCCTTTCAGTTGACAAAATCTTCTTTGGGTCCAGAACTGTTTCAAGCCTTAGGGCAAGCAAACCACTAAAGAATTCAATCTCACAAACATTCAGCAATTTTGGTTCAGTTCCTCTGCAGAGCTGGGAAGACAATGATAGGAAAATGAAAGAAGTGGTCTCAAGCCTCAAGGAGCTTCAGTGGGTGATAGAGGATAAAACAAGAAAGCAAACACATGTGGTATGTGGTTAAGGATGGAGAGCGCCAATGGGGAGGAAATAACAAAGGTTGACGTTAAGAGAAGATGCAGCGTGGAGCTTCCTGGCACTACCAAGAACAGGATGTCACAAAACTCATAATATCAATTAGGCAGAGAGAACGTCCTCCTTGGAAATAAAAGGAAGGTCTGCGTGGAGAGAGAGTGTTGGAGAAGGTATGATGGACACTGAATTCACTCCCTGTGCACACAGCTAGGTTTCCAGCAAGGACTATACAGTGGAAGTGAGGACTCCAGGAAGAGAGTGGGACATAGGTATTGTATGTTTTGGACCTAAGGGAAATCACTGTGCTTTTGTTTTTTAGTGTCTGGATGGCGAAACTGATGTTCAATGATCAAATTCAAGGCATTTAATTTTCAGCTTCCTACCAGCTCCATATATACAACACTGTAATGTCTGGCACTGTATACAGTCAGGACTCACATTGTCATAAAAAATGTCAACTTTGCCCACATGCCGAACTTCCCGGGTACCCGTGCCCTCTGGCTTGCAGCCAACCACAGGGTTCAGCTAATGGAAGAATAAGTAGGCAGTCAGAGGGCAGGAGGAGAGAGAGCTGGGGAATGTTATGCCCACTCCTCTGCTGTGCCCCTAGGGCTGGGAAGCCTTGTGGCTAGAGCAGCCTCTCTTCACGGCTCCCAATTTTCCCAAGTTCTGGAGACTGTGTTTGCTTCCACTGCTTCCCGCTGCTGACCACCCTCTAGATCAGTATACTAACCCTGTCGACTCCTCGGAAGAGTCCCTGCATTGGATTCTGTAGAGAATCCCAGCTGAGTGTTCTTTTCATGTCCTGTGGAAACCTTGATGAGAGCTGATGTGCAGGGGGCACTTTCTAAAAAGGACCTCAGAGGCCACTATAAGAAGTTTCAATTTTATCCACCAAGTGCAGTGGGAGGGATACCATTAAGCAGGTAACTGTCATAATTGGGTTTTTGTGTTTGTTTTATAATGTTTCATTCCTTCTTGGTGGATCAATAGCATTAAATAACAAAGTACAAGATAAATTCCCAATTGGAGCTATAAGGTTAGGCTTTGAAAAATCTTTTATTAAAACTTAAGATGAAATTCCCATAACATACAGTTAATAGCTTTAACATGCACAATTCAGGGTTGTTTAGTGCATTCACAGCGATGTGCAGCCATTACCTCTACCTACTTCCCAAACATTTCTGTCACCCCAAAAGGATGGTTGGTTTTTAAACACCATTCTGGAGGCATGCAGCAGAGAACAGGCTGAAGTGCGGTGAAAAGAAGTGGGCAGGCAAGGTAGGAGGCCACTTCAGAACCCTAAGGGAGAAATGGCCAGCAGAGATGGACGTGGTCAAGTCTGAGACGTAATTCAGACGTAACACTGGCTGGCTGGCAGCTCGGCTGGATGTGGGGGTGCAGGGAGATGGAGACGTTCTGGCCTTGAGCACAGAGGTGAGGAACACTGGAGGAGGGAGAGGCCTGGCAGGAAGTTGTGGGCTCCAGTTTGGGATGTGTTAACGTTTGAGATTCCAATCAGACATCACTATCAAGAGGCAGCTGGGTGCATGAGTTGAGTGCTGCACAAAGGTAGAAATGTAGAGCCTTCAGCATTTAAATGGTATTTAAAGCCAAGGGACTGGATGAAGTCACAGAAGTAAAGAAATAAAGGGTTCAAATTAAGAACCAGCAGCCCAGGGCTGGTCTTGCATTGAAGAGTCTGGTGGTGAAGGTAATTTGGTATAAAGAAGAAAAAGCAGTGTAAAAAAATGTAGTTGCACAAACTGTTAATCTTGGGATGGTTTGCTACTCTTGAATGTCAGTGGAAACCTTCTTCTGTTAGTTGCTGACTTATTTTTTTTTTAAATATCACAAGTAATTTGAAACTGTTTCTCTTTTATTGTGCATATTTGTAAAAAATACTGAGCCGCAGTTCCCATTTAAAAGCATCTGTTTCAGGACTATCAGAGGGTTGATTGAGGACAAATAAAAATGCGTTAGCCAGTTGATCATTATGGCACGTATTCAGTGATTATACGCAGAGCACGTCACAAGAGGGGATAAAAATCACTTATTTTAGGAATTTCCTGAGTCAAGGCAGGAGCAACATCAGCAGAGCGTGGCAAAGCACGCAGAACGGTGCAGCCTCTATTATGATTGGAATGTAAAGTGTAATAGGATTTTCAGAAAACAATTTAGAAAAAGTGACAATCTTGCTTATTTAAATGCTATGTGACATTCAGCACTACTCCTTGAGGTAAAATTACAAAACTGATAAACTGGCTTTTCAAGATATTATTGAATATGCTGAACACAGGTAATGCATTTATCTATTAACTAACCCTTAGGTTAGTATAAAGCTACATTGTTTCCTGAGAATGGAAGGTGACTTTCCTGAGTTGTGATACCAAAACTTTGGAATTTCTATGCTTGTGTATTTCAAACCAAATTTTAGATTGCTTCTATTTTTTTTTACATAGTAATTTCTCTGTATGGATATATATGGTATAAAATAAATTCCATTTTATATTATAATTAATCTTTATCAAATCTTAGGTTCAGAAAAAGTGCATGTTTTTGGTATATATTCTCAAGTTTTCTAGATGAACATAATAGTATTATTTTCTATGATTATAAAATACACATGGTAATATTAAAATCTTCAGCCTATTAAAAAGGGATAAAGAATAAAGTAAGAATAAAATCACCCAGAGATAATGAGATTTGGGAGACAAGCTCTTGTTTATCGCTCTATTCTTATCATATACTCACATGTCACTTTACAGAAATAGAATCCCAGCACGCACGCTGTTCGTTAACTTGACTTTTGCATTCAACACATGTTACGGATATATTTTGATATCAACATCTAGCCACATCTTAATTTTTAATGCCTGGTAATGCTCTATTTGATGGTCCATTTTTATCTGATTGTGTATTGATGGACATTTAAGTTGTTTCTTTCTTTTTTTATTTATTTATTTTTTTTGCTGACATTGGCTCTTACTATGTACTAGAGTGTTTGAAATGCTTTCCATATATTAACTCATCTGCTCTAAAGATGCTTCTTAATAGTCTCTCAATATGAATTCCTAAAACTTGGATCGCTGGGTAGAGTCTACACATTTTAAATACTGAGGTATATTGCCAAAATGCTCTCCAGAAAGATCACCCTCTTGACACTGTCACCCAATAGTGTGTGTTGCTGCCCCTCAGCAACCCTGGGTGCCAGCAATCATTCTCATCTTTGGAGATCTACTAGCAGACATGGCATCTCCTTCCCATGCGCATTCCTTTTAATTAACCTTCTTCTTATGAGTGTAGTAGCTGGTTGCATGTTGTTTTTTGAAATGCCAATTCATTTCTTTTGTTATTTTATTTCCCAGTTGGGTCATGCATGGGAATGAACACATAAGTTAAGCTACTAAAAGTTGCAGAGCTGTAGAGACGCTAAAGAACTGAGAAGTTATCAGAACTAGTACTGATGCCCAATATCATTATTTTTCCTTCTTCTTATCATTTTTGTGACCCTTAGTCTATTGACACCTGTATTTCTCTTTTCATGGTATCATTTAATTCATTTGTTTTCTACAGTGAATCCTCTATTTAAAAATCCAGGGGACATTTATTTTTGCTGTTTCCCACTGACATGATTCCCCCATCTTCTGTCTTGGTGAGAGCAAGCTTTGACGATTTATAAACACAAGGTGTAAAAAGGCTTTGGAAACATGTAGCCACCGACATGTTCATTGTTGACAATGGACATTAATATTCACACACTGTTTCCATGGCAAACTCTTGTCTCTGTTGCTAGTCTAAGGATGCAAAGCTCTAGTCATTCACTTTACCAAGTTTATCCATTTTACTGTGTTTGGAGGTTGAGAATGTAAGCACTGATACAGTTGAAAACAAGATGAATTCCTTCATGGAGTGAGATCCTATTGAACTATCTAGTAGCTTCTACCTCTTTCTCCAAACCACCTTACTCTGTGAAGACTGGTTTCCTTATCCTAACTTGCAATAATGGGAACTCAAGATCCAGCAAAATCTGAATTGGGCTCTACTGTCATGACTGATTCATAATTTCTAGCTAAAAATCCAACCATAACCTGACTGTGCTCACCCCCTCTGTTTATCTCAACTGGCTATTTATTCCAATCTATCATGTCATTGCTCTCAGATTAATGTTCCTACCCTGCAGGAGGGATTCATGGCACTGCCCTACTCAACAACCATCTGTTTGTCCCATCCTCCACAGATTTAGCAACAAATGACATAACAGCATCTAAAAGTCCAAGTTTGTAGGATTTGCTGACTTGTTTTTCATATAAGTTTCTTACATAAACTCTTAATAAGAGTAAGAGTAATAACATTAAAATATGACCTCTCTTCTGGGAGCTGAGCTAATGAGGTCCAGGTACATAATCTTGTGATTGAATGTTATGAACAGATGGAGTTTATAAATTCCTGCAAAGATGCATGAGTATTACATCCCTTATTTCACGTCAACAATTTCCAATGCACTCAGGTTCTCAGCAGGGACTATATAAGTTGATGGTAAGGCCCCAAGAAGAGAGTGAGGTTTAGACATTCTGTGTTTTACCCTCAGGGGAAATCCTGGTGCTTTTGTTTCTAGGTGTCTAGATAGGAAAATTGATATTCAATTATAAAATTCAAGGCATTTGGTTTTCAGTTTCTTACTATGTATCTACAACATGGTGATACCTAACACTGTCTATAGTCAGGACACCCATTGTTCTTAGACAGAAAGAAAGGACAAAAAACAGCTAAAAAATTATTGGCCTATACAAGACTCTAAGGCACTCCTTATTTGTGATTCCAGAATTTTTTAATATAGAAAAATTAATCAAAATATATGTATAAAATATATGTATTATAAGTTATTAAGAGAAGCTTTTACCTATCACCTCCTGGAGACTAAAAAAATATTTAAAGGAAGTGAAATTTTGAGGAACTTTTTTTTGGTCTTGTTCACAGATAATTAGATCTACAAAATGCTCTCATTAAACTACATGGATCAAGTTAGATGGAAATTTATATCATCCATCTAAATTCTGAATAATATATTGCAAAAACAACCTTTGTCATTTTGATATTAAGTTGTTCTTTATGGCAATAATTAGATAGAAGTGCCATTTATTTCCTTAGGTGAATTATGATTTGTGATGATAAAATCATATCATCAGATAAAAAGTATCCTCAATTCCATCGCAAGAAAACATGCATCAATTAATTTAAATACTATAGCAAGTTGTTTATACCAGAGGAATGTATATAAGATGATACTTGTTGGTTCCTGGTAGCTACTGATATTCTGGCAGTGGTGTTGGCGAAGGCAAAGAAATAGAAAAGGAAGACTTGAAGAAGACACAAAGTTGGCTTAGGATTCAAGCTGGTTTTATATTGTTTAGGATAGAAATGGGATCTCTCAATGCCCATTTCTATTCCTGCAATAGTGTTCAAGTATTCTTTATAGATGTGTTAACATACTGTCACCCATGATGACTCACACATTAAGCAAGTCTTACTATGAAATCAAAGATGGATGAGCATCAGTGAATACCAATAAGTCTGCTACTGACCTAAGCCTTTTTCTCAGTAGGTTAAAAGGAGAACACAACAGTGGTTATTAGTTGAGGAATACTCTTGAAGCCTGGGAATGCAGCTCAATGTGGGGAAAATTGGAATATAGTTTCCACCAAATTAGTCCAAGAGGGATTTATTGAACTCCTATGATATGCTGGGTTGAACATCATGGAAACAATCATGACTATGAAACTTCCCCTACTCTTAAGGAGCTTATAGGTTAATGTAGGTGATAGAGAGGCAGAGATGATACAACTTGAATGGAAAACCTGTGATATGAGTCCTGGTAGGAGGAGTATGATTAACAATGCGTCATAATGGAAGATGATGCTAACAAAATGAGGCAAATGCTGGTTATGGAGGTCTGAGAAATTTGAGATGTAAGACATCAGTAGAGCCTAGCAGAATTTTACTCTTTAAAAAGTATATATATAATTGGAAATTTATGGTATATAAATGGTTTTGTTAAAATTAATTAGACTCAGGGCACTCACAACATTGAATCATTTTAAGTTGGCAAAGAATGTAATGATGATTATCAATTTAGTGTACCAGGAAGACATATACAATACATTCTTCGCCTTATATTGAAATTTAACTCTTAGAAAGACATATGTCCTACTGATCTTTATGATACTGTGGAACTACAATAGCTTATAGCTAGAAAACTCTTATTTAAAATTACCCCACTGAGATGACAGTGCATATATTTTACAACTATTTCTTAATTATGAAGATGGTATGTTCAACAATGAGCAGATAATTTTTCATAGCTTGACTAACTTTTCTCAATTTCAGTTGCCTACAGTCTCTTGGATGGACACATTTCAAGGCAAATCACATGGGCCTTTATTCTTAAAGATACAGCAGAGCAATTAGTCCAGCGTGGTGGCAGGTGCCCTGTAGTCTCAGCTACTCGGGAGGCTGAGGTAGGAGAATCGCTTGAACCCAGGAGATGGAGGTTGCGGTGAACCGAAATTGCACCACTGCACTCCAGCCTGGGTGACAGAGCGAGACTCCATCTCAAAAAAAAGCACAAAAAACAAAAAAACAAAAAAACAAAAACAAAAACAAAAAACAAAAAAACATAAAACAGAGCACTGTACTATATTCCTAAAACAAGGTTATCACAGAAAATATGAACCATGCCTTTAAATATACATATTTATCTCGAACTCCTGACCTCAGATGATCCACCCACCTCAGCCTCCCAAAGTGCTGGGATTACAGGCATAAGCCACTATGCCTGGACTAAATATACATATTTATCTGTACCTAACCCTGACATTCTATAATGTCTCCATTTTTAGTTATCTTCACAAAGGAGATAGGAGATATATTTGTTATAAGAGATATGGTTTTAAAAAATCATTTTCTGACCTCCACTTCTAAAAGTTAGTAAATTTGAGGGCTGAGGACCTATTGACACCTCAACCCTCTTATTAAAGGCTTAAATGACTCTCAGAATAGATAACCCTGGATATTATATAATATTTAAAAAAATATGTAATTGGCTTGGAGAAAGCAGGTATTTGTATTCCAAAATGATGCTGCGTAAACATGGAAGAACTTTTGGTTTGGTGCTTATTACATTAACCTTTTAATATTTCCTTCTCAACCTAACATGGGGATAACAATGACACACATTTTATTTGCTGGAAATAATAAACTAAAGGCTCTGCTCATTGAAGAAATAACTCACAGCAATGACCTTCATTGAGGGATCGCTGAGGCTAGAGCACTAATTCTGTAACTAGCAATAAAAACAGGGTTGATATGGTTTGCTCTGGGTCCCCACCCAAATCTCATCTCGAATTGTAAGCCCCATGTGTTGAGGGAGGGACCTGGTGGGAGGTGACTGCATCATGGGGGGTGGTTTCCCCCATGCTGTTCTTGTGATAGTGAGTGAATTCTCATGAGATCCAGTGGTTTTAAAGTGGGGCACTTCCCCCGCATCGCTCTCTCTCTCTCTCCTCCACTATGCTTCCTTTTGGCCTTCCGCTACGATTGTAAGTTTCCTGAGGACTACTCAGCCATGTGGAACTGTGAGTTAATTAAACTTCTTTCCTTTATAAATTACCCAGTCTCAGGAAGTTCTTTATAGCAGTGTGAAAACAGACTAATACAAGGGTCATGTGGCCTTAAATGTAATATGTTATTTTGGAAGCAGAGTCCTAGGTTAATATTTAAAGCATTTAAAGAAAGAAACATAATAGCGATTGGTTGAGAACTCACTTTTAAGTTTCACACACTGAAAGCACAAGCAAGGCTTATGTGCCTCACATATTGTAGAGTCTCAGCATCATGGTCCCTGCAAGCAGATGGGCTCCTCTGTTCATGTCCCTGACCCCCAAGGCAGGATGTAGAGTGAAGAAGGACCTCACTTATCCTGCTGGGGACAGGGTCTGTAACACTGATCTCTTTTCCATATTTGCCCTAGGGCTTAGCTGAGCAACACACTCTAGATCCTGCTACCTCGTAGAAAACAGTGAAAATGTGATCTGGCTCTTTAGAGAACCAAACTGAAATACATCACTCCTAACGATGCCAACTGGCAACTCCTATAAAGAGTTCCCATGTAGCAGGGATGCTGGCTCCCATCTGAGTTGATGTCTCTGTCCTCTTCAGAGTTCAGACAGGGCTGAGCACTCCCGGTTGCCTGAGGATGTGGAGCTGACAGAGTCTACTAGTATGTGGGCCCGGAGGTTCTGGGGAAGAACCAAGTCTGTGCACTTGAGGTCTGGGATGTGTTTGGGCAGGTTAGGCAGGCTGGGCAGAGGCTGACTGGTGGGGCAGGAAAAGCTCCTAGGAGGGAACTGATGTGAATGCAAACCAGCCAGCGGGTACCAGGAGCAGGGTGCAGTGGCGGGGAGGGTGGACCCAATGACTGGAGTGGGAGCCATTATTTGACTCGCCCTTAGCCCAGCAACAGAGAGGCAAGTCTCAATTCCCGGGAAAGAGGCTAAGGTGGGAAAAGCTCTTTCTGTAATGCCTGGGGTATAAGAAGTGCTCTTCAGGGATTCTAGTACAAATTGTAATGCAAGGGGCAGTGAGCCATTCTTTCTCTCTGGCTTACCTACTACCTCATAGCTGCAGTCTCCTGGGGGCTCAGGGTAGACACATGTGGGGCCACTTTGCCCGGGAAGCAGCAGGTGAGATGGCGACAACCAGCAGAGCACACAGGCTGTGCCCCGGGGAGCCATGGTGACCAGCTGAGAGAACTGCAAGCTCTAAAAGCACTGTGGAAGCTTCTGCCAAGCCCAGTGTATAGAACAGATACACAAAGAAGTCGGGGATAGTAGTGCTTCCAGTGTGGAACTGCGTCTGGTAGAGCAGGATGGTAGGGAGGGCTGTGTGATAGCCAAAAACCCAGGAGGCTCCGTGTGTATGTGTGTGTGTGTGTCTGTGTGTGTGTCTGTGTGGTGTGTGTGTGGTGTATGCGTGTGGTGTGTGTGTGTGTTATGTGTGGCATGTGTGTGTGGATGTGTGTATGTGTGTGTGTGTGTGTCTGTGTGTGTGTCTGTGTGGTGTGTGTGTGGTGAATGCGTGTGGTGTGTGTGTGTATGTGTGGCATGTGTGTGTGGATGTGTGTGTGTGTTATGTGTGGCGTGTGTGCATGGATGTGTGTGGTGTGTATGTGTGGTGTGTGTGGAGGCTATGTGTGTGGTGTGTGTGTGGGGGGGTGCGTGGTATCTGTGTAGTATGTGTGTGGTGTGTGTGTAGTATGTGTGTGGTGTGTGGGTGTGTGTGGCGTGTGTGATGTATGTGTGGTGTGTGTGGGGTGTGTGTGGGGGGTGTGTGTGGTGTGTGTGGTATGTGTGGGGTGTGTGTGGATGGAGTGTGTGTGTGGTGTGTGTGTGGATGGGGTGTGTGTGTGTGGATGGGGTGTGTGTGTGGTGTGAGTGGGCGTGTGGTGTGTGTGGGGTATGTGTGTGTGGGTGTGTGTGTAGTGTGTGTGTGGTATATGTGTGTGGTGTGTACGTGTGTAGTGTGTGCATGCACACACCCGGGCATGTATGTTCATGCCTGCATGTGCTGGTCTGTGTGGGTATGCCTACATTGCACAGGTATGTTTGCATGCACCCACCTTCGTGTGCACATCTAAGAGTGTGCACACCTGTATATATATGTCTGTGTGTGCAAGTAAAGTTAGTGACTTAGTTTTTGGAGGAGAGGGATGGATGTGAGACACTTGGTTTTAAGTAAATTTGCCTCAACTTCAACCTCTCTCTTCCCCCATCCATGTCTAGGTAGCTTTTCCACTGCCCACGATGGCTTCAAAACTCTTAATTGCAGGTGATTGCCCTCAACTTCCCGCCCTCAACTTCCCACCCGCAACTCTTACTACTAGCCATGTCCCCCAAGGATTGGGTAATACTATCTTTGTATAAAAGAGATACAGCAAAAGAAACTGGCAACAGTCAATGGGGAGAAGCAATGCCAAGGGTAGCTGTGGGCTGTTGTCCTTGCAAATTTCATATGACTGACAGACTTTCTGTGGCCTAATGATTTTTTAAAAGGTAATTTGCATAGATATAGCTGTTTCCATAGCAACTCAGATTGTGTTTCATTACACTGCAGCCCTAATGGCAAGCAGCTTTAGGAAAGCTACCTAGAGATGGTGAGGGAGCCCCCTGGAGGTAAAGGGAATTTTAGTAAGATCCTGGTATTTGGAGTTTGGATCAGCAAATTTTAGAGATATTCCTTTCCATTCACTAAGCATGTGGCTTATCTAATCAGACATAGTGTTTGCTTTTGGGAGAGTTGCCCTTCTGAGATCACCTGATCATTTCCTTCTTTTCAATCCCATTTTCATTAGATTCAAATTATAAATACCTAGCCATGCTCAATGTGAAGTTTATACATGACAAAAAAATTTCACATCTGTGTTTATACACTTCAATAACTAAGTTAATAGCAAGGGCAGTTTTGCAGAAAATTATTAAATTGATAGACTGCTTGAAAATCCTAAATGATCCATGTTCATCTCATAACTACAACTGTATGTTAAATACAAATTTCTATCTCCTGTTAATTTAACGAAGCCTTAGGAAGTCTCCTGAAAAAGGCATGGAAAGTAAGGCATATTAACATGCCCCTCCACCCATACGTGTCCTTAATAAAGGATGCACGTGATTGGCTGTGCATAAGTGATTACACAGATCAGAAAATGCCCCAAGGTCAAAAGTAGAGAGGATGGCATCGACACTCTCCAGCTAGCGGGTACAGATACCCAGCAGCTAAGGCCCCACTGCTAAAGAAGAGCAAATCAATTTAGTTTCTTTTTTTTTTGGTTTTTTTTTTTTTGAGACCAAGTTTTGCTCCTGTTGCCCAGGCTAGAGTGCAGTGGTGCAATCTCAGCTCACTGCAACCTCCGCCTCCTGGGTTCAAGTGATTCTCCTGCCTCAGCCTCCTGACTAGCTGAGATTACAGGTGCCTGCCACCGTGCCTGGCTAATTTTTTGTATTTTTAGTAGAGACAGGGTTTTATCATGTTGGCCAGGCTGGTCTCGAACCCCTGACCTCAAGTGATCCAATTGCCTCGGCCTCCCAAAGTGCTGGGATTACAGGCTTGAGCCACCGCGCCTGGCCTAGTTTTGTGTACTCTCTCTCTTTCTCACTCGCTCATGCTGTCTCTCTCTGTCCCTCCCTCTTTCTCTTTCTCTCAAACTCTTTTCTTTCATTACCACAAGCATGCGTAGAACCAATATAAAATTAAACATCTGCTTCAAAACTGCAAACTCACTTAAAAGGCAAAGACTGAAACATAACAAAAACCGCTAAAGTTAATGTCCAAGACTTCTTTTGGTTAATAAAAGTGTTTCTGAATGCTTTGAAATCAGTATCTCGCAGTCTTAGATTTCCATGCATATTACTGCCTCTCACTAACGATGGAGGGGAATAATTTTTAAGAATAAAGGATGGGGGATGGTTCTTTCTAATCTAAAAAGAATCATTTGACATAAAATGTGAGAAATGAAAGTAGCCTTTTTTCTACTGATACCTGTGAATGCAAATGTGGTTCACTGTTAAGTATATCTGGAAACCAGATAAGAGCGCATGTTTATGTTTGCTTTTAATTAACTGCACAGATAAGCCTCAGAAAATAAATTTGTGAACAGAGCAGGTATGCCACTTGAAAACAGAATTGCACTTATGAATTAAAATCCATTTTCTCAAAAAAAAATCCAACATGCATGAAAGCCAAATACTATGTAGGGCAAGCAGCTCTTTTAACTAATATGTATCATAATTTTAAGTGCTAACTGTGTTTGCTATAGACTGCTGTACTTGAAGTACTGAATGCTTTTATGCTCAAGGTTCCATGGTTTTTAAATTGCCTGAAAATATGTCCTAACTTTTAAGTTGGCCGACTGTCATTTGCATAGTAGATTAATCCTTGTTCACTATTGTGAATTAATAGTCTGTGGAATTATTTTGTCTCATCAACGAGGACACAGCTGACTCTGGGTGTGTCCCTAGCAATTTTTGTGTGAAGTGAATCAAGTTATGTAGAAACTTATCAAGCACGTTCCTCATTATTCCTTCCACCCAAAGGCCCTTAACTTCTAGAAGAATTGTAGATTAAAAGGCAAATATGGATGGAAGGAGAAGACCAGACTGTTTGAACCCGCAGCACTCGGACTCAATGCAAGGAGAGTGGCAAGCAGATATGCAGAAGGAAGCTGCTTTGCGCAGGAGTGCTTGTGCCTTAGTCTGAGCAGGTGTGCAAGAACACACATGCCCACCCCTGCATGCACACGGATGACTCAGTTCTCAATCCATTCTTATTAAAGAAGCATGCAAAGAGAGTTTGCCCCTGTAACCTTCGTGGCCCATGTTTTATTCTCCTGCTCCCATTACCTGCACGCCAAACCCATATGCATCTTTAAAACCCATTTCAAATGTTGCTTTCTTCATAAAGTCTTCCTTGATCTCTTCAACTGAAGTTTCTCTTTCCTCCTCTAAGCTCCTCTGGCCCTCTCTCCATGCTTTTCTTATAGAACAGTTCTCTATCTCCCTCTCCCTAACTCAGTGGACTGCTCCTGGAGAACAGAGCTCACATCTACATCATTTCCATATGCTCTTGTCTACCCTGACTGAGCAACCTTGTAGTGCTGCTCAGGCATCTATTGTGAACTGGAGAAGAAAGAAGGAAGACAAGAAGGTCACCTTCTAAGCAGTCCCATTTCCTGACTTCTCTGGGATTACAGGCCTCATGATACAGGCTCCTATTTTAGGAAACCACTTCACAGAGATTCTTCTTCTGGGCATTCCCTGGGGATGGCACACAGTTGATGTACACAGCTGCCATGATGGCAACGACAACAGCCGTCATGATGGAAGAGCGAGTTGCTAAGTGAAAAGAGTTTTGCATGTGCAAAACTGAAGCTTCTCCTCCTCTAGGCTGAGTTTCATCCTCTAACGGATAACCAAAAAGGAAGTTTATTTCAAACGTTTCATCAGGAATGACAAACAAAAACATCTGTTGGAAAGGAAACCAGGTGTTGGGCAAGGGATGTAGACGTTATATAATTTGGTGTTCTCCTCCAGGATCCAGTGGGGATTGCTATGTTGTGTTCGTTAACACTAGTTAATGTAATTTTTGTGATAATTGTAGAGCAAATAGAGCAAACTCTCAAATATAATTAGGGAAAAGTGTTTCTAATTAACTTGTAACTCGTGAGTTGCAAAGTAAAGCCACAAATCAGTTATGCATTGTCAGACCTAACAAATGGAAATGCGCTGTACATTTCAATCTCGGCAAATACAAAACAAAGCACAAAGACCCAGAAAAACTTTCCTTTAAGCCTTTATACAATTTTGGCATGCTCTGAAATGTAATTAGAGATAAGCACAGATACATCTCACGTCACCAGCCCTAATGATCACGGAGGTGAAAACTGAAGGCAACTTCAGACGGTTCAAGAACATCCAACATTTTACTGCTGCAGAATGTAAAATGGATCATGCTCACAAAACACTCTCTGATCGGTGTACAGAAGGTTCTGATGAAACTTCACAAGGTTTCATAGGGAAGTAAAGGACTATAATATATGCAAGCTCCACCCCAGTTAACACTGCCATCAGTAACAGTTGCTTACTGCTGGCTGTAAGTCAGAGGGGGATACAGGAAATTTCTTCTATATCCAGTGGAAGCGATTCCACTTATTTTCTCTCTCACTTGAGGAAGCACACTGTAATATGAGGTAACCTCAAATTCATTCTAATTTGAAAAAAGTGATAAACGGGCCATATATTTTCATTGGATAGTGTAGTTACCATTAGCGTCAAATTATTTTGGCGTCTCTCAAAACACATCCATGTCTCCTAATCCTCCACCCCTCTGCAGTCCACTGTAATTGTTGGTCCTGTTAAAGTAGAAAGTGGTGTTTCTCAAACATGCATGATCCTAAGAACCTCGAGAGGGTATTGCTAAATGTGTGGATTCCCAAGCTATTATCGTGAAAATCTAGGGTCCAGAAATATGTATTGTTTTATCAAGTGCCTCCAAAGAAACTCTTATGATTGGAGAAACTGGAAAATCACTGGTGTAAAGCAGACTGGCTTTGGAAATCAAGGACTACACTAGTACCACAGACCAGCTGTGACTTTAAGCATGCCCCTTACATCCAACCTCACAGGACCTCAGGAGTATTCAAGGCAATGATAGACTGGACGGTACGTAGCACTATGACCGGTAAGTGTGGGTGTTCGTAAATGTATGCTTATCTCTTCTTGGTCCACAAGAAAGAAATGCAGAGAATACCTGGATTCTCAGGTTAGGCACATTGGACAACAATAAGAATGTAAAACACAGGAAATAATGTGACATATTGGCTCTAGAGGCATCTGCAAAGTCCTACTCTGTGACAAAGGTAATAAAGAAGGGGTATTAAGCTTGACTTACCCATATATAAATGTTAGCAGTCTAATCTTACCATAGCACAACTAACTACAACTCCCTTAAAAAGACTGTTTATGAGAAACAGAGACAAATGGGACAGAATAGAGAACTCAGAAAGAAGACTGCACATCTACAACCATCTGATCTTTGACAAACCTAACAAAAACAAGCAACAGGGAAAGGACTCCCTATTTAATAAATGGTGCTGGGAGAACTGGCTAGACATATGCAGAAAATTGAAACTGGACCGCTTCCTTACACCTTACACAAAAATTAACTCAGGATGGATTAAAGACTTAAATGTAAAACCCAAAACTATAAAAAACCCTAGAAGAAAACCTAGGCAATACCATTCAGGACATAGGCACGGGTAAAGATTTCATGACGAATACATCAAAAGCAATTGCCACAAAAGCAAAAATTGACAAATGGGATCTAATTAAGCTAAAGAGCTTCTGCACAGCAAAAGAAACTATCATCAGAGTGAACAGGCAACCTACAGAATGGGAGAAAATTTTTGCAGTCTATCTATCTGCAAAGGTCTAGTATCCAGAGTTTACAAAAATACTTAAACACATTTATAAGAAAAAAACCAACCCCATTAAAAAGTGGGCAAAGTACATGAACAGACACTTCTCAAAAGAAGACATTCATGCAGCCAACAAACCTATGAAAAAAGCTCAACATCACTGATCACTAGAGAAATGCACATCAAAACCACAATGAGACACCTTCTCATACCAGTTAGAATGGTGATTATTAAAAAGTCAAGAAACAACAGATGCTGGCGAGGCTGCGGAGAAACAGGAATGCTTTTACACTGCTGGTGGGAATGTAAATTACTTCAATCATTGTGGAAGAAAATGTGGTGATTCCATGAAGACCTGGAACCAGAAATATCATTTGACCCAGCAATCCCATTACTAAGTATATACTCAAAGGAATAAAAATCATTCTATTATAAAAATACATCCACATGTATGTTCACTGCAGTACTAGTCACAATAGCAAAGACATGAAATCAACTCAAATGCCCATCAGTGATAGACTGGATAAAGAAAATGTGGTATATATATATACCATAGAATACTATACAGCCATAAAAAGGAGTGAGATCATTTCTTTGCAGAAACATGGATGGAGCTGGAAGCCACTATCCTCAGCAAACTAACACAAGAACAGAAAACCAAACACTGCATGTTCTCACTTAACTTAAAAGTAGGAGCTAAACAATGGGAGCACATGGACACAGGGAGGGGAACAACCCACACTGGGGCCAGTCAGGGAGTTGGGTGAGGGAGAGCATCAGGAAAAATAGCTAATGCATGCTGGGCTTAATACCTAGATGATGGGTTGCTAGGTGTAGCAAGCCACCATGGCACACATTTACCTGTTTAACAAACTGCACATCCTGTACACGTACCCTGGAACTTTAAAATAAATAAAATTTAAAAATTAAAAACAAATACTGTATATGGAAATGTCTTGTTCACTGAGACACTGGTGCCACCATCCTGGTCACTGGTAAGAGAGCCATCCCATAAGGAAGGGGGAGCTATGGCTGGAAGAAGCCATATGGCTAGAAGGGTTTCTGAAGACTCTATGGGATACAGCTGCGTTATCACCTTGGAACACTTAACTCCAGATTTCACGTATGGGAGACAAAACTTCCTCTAGTTTAACAGATCATTATCCGGGGCTTTTCCTTTCTTCAAACTTCATTCTAAGTAGTAAATTTCTATCCCTTTCTAATCTCCTTAGCCTGCTTGATTTTTCTTCACAGCACTTGTCACATGCTGAAATTACAGATTTATTTGTCTCAGTTTATTGTCTGTCTTGTCCACTACGACACAAGCGTTAGGAGGGCAGGTCTACGAGTTCCAGCTTCTAATAGCCCACAATGGTTCTGTTAATAGATTATGAAATTTCACTTATTGTCTTGACACAGTTCACTCCTCTACATATGAATCAATGGAAATACCAAGACTCCTCTCAATGCTGCTCCTTCTTTTCTCCCTTCCTCCATGTGGCTCCTTGAAAAACAGGTGCCATGATCTTGACCATTAGGAAGAAAGCCATATCATAAGGAAGGCTGGTCTATGGCTGTAAGGTGCCTGGGTCCTTACTCCTTGTATCCCAAGCACCTAAACTTCACTTCCATATACATTTGACTTTGAACAACATGGTTTGAACTGCGCAGGTACACTTATATACAGATTTTCTTCCACTTCTGCCACCCCTGAGACAGCAAGACCAACCTCTCTGCTTCCTCCTCCTCAGCCTACTCAATACAAAGATGATGAGAATGAAGACCTTATGAGGATCCACTCTTACTTAATAAAGTGCATACATATTTTCTCTTCCTTATAATTTTCTTAATAACATTTTATTTTCTCTAGCTTACACTGTTGTAAAAATAGAGTATATAATATGTACATAAAATATATGTAAATTGACTTTTTATGTTACTGGTAAGGTGTCCAGTCAACAGTAAGCTATTTGTAATTAAGTTTTGGGGAGCCAAATTGTATGCAAATTTTCAGCTCTAGGGGTTGTCAGCACCCCTAACTCTTGGGTCGTTCAAGGGTTAACTATAGTAGGCACTCAGCAGCAATTTGTTTAATGAATGAATGAATGAGACTCACAGTCTACAGAATGGCTTCTGTCTCTAGGACTGAGGGTGGAGTATACAGAAAGTTAAAGGTGTGGATTTCCTAATTGGATTACAGTCAGTCTGTTTGGGGAAGCAATTAGGAATCAGAACAGTGCTGAGGGTTGTAAGTTTTTGCCCTCTGCCTGTGCATATGATTTGGGCTTGCCTCTGTGAAGAGATAATCCTAAAATGTTCAAAATGACAGGAGACAAGAATGGGCAATGTCTCAGCATAGAAGGCATGAGATACAAAGCTGGTTAGGAGATGACTTGCCATCAAAAGGTAGACCAAATACTTATCTCCTCTGCCCATCATTGATCCATCAGAATTAACAGCAATGTACTGGGAAGGATTCTTCCCCAGGCCTGATGTTTCCTTACTGCGAATGGAGCACAATTATGTAACACTGGACTCTCCCAGCCCCTCACTTGCTCTTCCCCTGAGAGGTAGAGGAACTTGTCCAAGGCACTAGTAAGCGTGCAGGGCTTGGCCCAGCTCTGAGCTTCTTCCACTTTGGGATGAAAGGCCATGAGGAACTCTGCTTCCCCTGGTCTCCATAAGATGTGCCCTAGTGGCTGGCAGAGGAGAAGGGAAGCTGCCCTGATCCAACGGCTGCCTGTGCCATGGTAGATAAGTCTAACTAATTCTGGCATCTGGCATTCTGTGTGAGCAAACCAATGTGGCTAAAAGGCCTGGAGTCTGGCCTCCAACCCAACCCCTAGCAGTAATGAGGTGACAATGTGGCCTTCTTCTTTATTCTGTTAGAACTTGGTTGCAGAAGACAGTATGAAATAGAAGGTTCTATAAACTATGGCCTGAGCTACCTGCTTGCATAAATACAGTTTAATACACAGCCATACACATTTGTTGATGTATTATCTATGGTGCTTTCATCCAGCACAGGTAGAGTTGAGTAGTTGTAACAGAGACCTAGGGCCTACAAGCTAAAATATTTTCTATCTGTCCTTTTACTGAAAAAGCTTGCCAAGTCCTGTTCTAGAATCTAGAAGAGAATGGTAGAAAAGCATATTGCCTCTAGTGCAATGCTTTCAGGTTCACGAACAACGGAAAAGTAGAAGGCAGGCAGGATTCAATTTCAGCAAACACTGCTACACTTCCAAGTGCTGAAAAGCAAAGTGTCCAACTTAGGAAGCAGGTTCAAGAGAACTGAGCCTTCCTGAGATCTGCAGAAGGAAAGCAGAGGAAAATGAATCCCAGAAGGACATCCCATCCCAGCAGTAAAAAGAAGTGCTGGAAAAATGCATTTCTCAGGGCCTAGAGCAGGAGCAAGCAGAGACAGTGGCCTGCAGTGCACACAGCAGAGGTCTGGGCTTGAAGGCGCAGCAGGTTCCCCCAATGGCAAGAGCAGCTTCAATTCAGGAGTCTGTTGAGGGTGATTTTGCAATCTTCGTAGGGATAGGGGAGCAAATCAATTCCATCATAAAAAGCAGAGAAATCACTGTTGCCCCATAGGATTGAGGAAAACCTGCTAACAAACCACAGGACAGTGGAAGGCTTGTCACGGGACAGAACACACTCATGGGACACTGGACCAAAACACCTGACTCCCATAGAGGAAATCCAAAATCAAAGGTTTCCATTATGTAGGAAGGGAAAGAAACCACCTCATATAAGACCTGGAGTGGTGGGTTTGTGCTGTGTCACCCCAGCTGAACTGCAACTATGCTTCCCAGGATTTCCCTCCCTGCTTGGTTGCAGGTTGAGACTGTCCATGGAGACATCTGCGGGATGCCTGGCAGGTCCAAGTGAAGCACAGTGCTGAGCTCTGAGGGCTGCGGGCAGAGGGCATCAGGGCTGCTGCAGTGTGTGCACGTACCCCCTGCTGCTGCTCCACCTTTTAGGCCACAGCTCTGACAGCTCCCACCACATCCCCTCTTTCCACTTCCCTAGGTCCTGGCCAGGAATAATCATGCAGAGTTCCGTGGCAAAGAGCGGCAGCTTTGTGTATCACTCATGTGGCAGATTTGCAGCCAGCGAGAGGCAAAAGAGGGGTGCCATTTGTCCCCATGAGTGGCAGCTGGCTCTGGCTTCCCCTGCTTCACATCCTGCTGTTCTTTCTGACTGCTGCCTGCTGGCCCGTGTCAACTGCAGGCCCATCACCAGACACAGCGGCAAAGCCTTCCACAGGCGTTTTCACCAGCTCTCACCGTGGTGTCAGGTCTAATCCTGATAACAAGTCCCCCTTTCCATGTCATCTACAGTGCTTCTGCCTCCCTGGTCAAACCATGATGCACCTGGAGACAGGCGCTGCCTCTGCTGCCAGTATCTAAATGTTGCAAGGTGGCAACAATTCCTGTGATTCCAGTTTCCTAAAGAAGAGACAATGGGAATCGAGGAATCTCCCTTCGAGTGGGAAATGCATCATGCCAGAATGAACCTTTGCCTGGACTTATTTCTCCCAATTCAGGTTAAGTCCACAGATGATGGACTCTCAAAGCCACACAACACCAGGCTGGCATCCCCCGACTAAATCCAAGGGGTCTCCATGTGCTCACTTCCCTCAGACACTGTGGGGAGCAGAATAATCATTCTCCAAAGGTGTCCACATTTGACTCCTCAGGACCTATGAATGGGCTCCTTTACATGGCAAAAGGGGCTTGCAGATGGGATGAAGGTAAAGAATCTAAAATGGGGAGACTAACATGGAGAGAATCCTGGATCAGCCCGGTGGGCGCAATCTAATCACACGGGGCTTTAAAAGTAGAGAATCATTTCTGGCAGTGATCAGAGGAAAATGTGACCATGGAGGACTCATCAGGGATGCAATGCTACTGGCTTTGAAGGCAGTGGAAAGGGGTCATGAGCCAAAGAATGTGGGCAGCTTTGGAAGCTGGAAAAGGCGAGGAAATGGACTGTCCCCTAGAGCGTCCTGAAAGCAACACAGCCCCGGTGACAGCTGGATTGTAGCCAGGTGAGTCTGTGTCAGGCCTGTAACCTCCAGAACCGTAAGAAAATCAATCTTCCTTGTGTTAAGCTGCTAAATGTGTGGTGAACTGTCACAGCAGCCACAGATGACCAATACAAACTCCACTGACACCCTAGGCAAACCTGGTGAGGGCTGGCTTCTGGGAACATGCCTGTGCCTGGGATACTTTCCCTTAGGGGGTCACAATGACTTGCTTGCTACATTTGATGGGCAGGGACCATTGTTCACACCTTTGAACAGTGAGAGGAGGGAGAACTGACAATGCAATCTTGCATCCTCTGAGGTCCTGAAAGTATGTGGCCAATTCCAGCGTGAGGCAGCCCCGAATTCAGGCTGCTAAAGGACCCAGGCCCCATAGAGGCACAAGAATCCCCCTGGCTGAGACTGTGCAGAATAAAAAATTGGGAGAAGATGATTTTTACACATCAGCTAACTTAAGAATTGTGGATTTTGAACTTTAACACACAATGGCAAGAGGTATTGATTCTTTGACTTTAATTCCTTTGAACCTTAATGTCTTCGGACTTCAACATGAAAGTGGATTTAAACTTTGATTTTTAATTTCTCCATGGGAATTTGATATTTGGTAGGGTTTATATTAAAATTTGAAGCATCTCTACATTGCTGGCATTTCATTATTGAAATGTCTGTATTCATTTTTATCTTTGGGATGTTGTTTAATCTTCTCATAGAACCTCTAATTTGCTAGGTTGGACAATGTACCTGGACATTATTTGGAATAAGAAATAAAACTGGACTTAATTTTAAATCTTGGGAACATAGTAACCCTGAATTTGGTTTAAATAATTTGCTCCTCTGACCCCTTTTGGTGCCTCTTGGTGTAATATATGAATTGCCCACCAAGAATTCCAGGTGATCCCCAAAAAGTGCCATCAAGATAGAAGAAGAGCTTTCTTGACAAATTACTTAGCTCCTGCTCTGGGGAGAGGGGCTATGCCTCTGGGTGATCATAACAAAGAGGGTGAAGGAAAAATAGGCTGGGGATGTTAGTGGGATAAATGCATCCTCTCTGTTCCAGTGTCTCCTTTCATGCAGGGTGCTTCATTAATGCTATACCTGAACTTCTATTAAATTAGCAAGGTCACTTGGCTGACCTTAAAGAAGGCCTCCAGCCTGGCTTCTGTCAGCAACAGAGATAATATCTGTAAACATATTTATACTTTGTTTAATATTCAAAACTGTTCAGAGTTCACTGTATGAGTTCTGAACTCATACAGGACAGAAGATGTTATTTACCATGGACATAATGGAATAGAGAAGAGAATGGAAGGAGTAATTCAGACAAGAAATTTCATCACATTTCTGTAAGATACAAAACAGCCAGAGGTGAGCTGACAGATGGAGCTCAGGGAGAAGCCAGCATAGCCCAGGATACACACAGAGGGGACCCTATCCCAGGGAGGTGGCTAACTTTCCTGGTGGAACACTAGGAAAGATTTATACTCAAGAGATGGCAGGCACCTGGGGTGCAGAAATGGGAAGACAAGCTAGAAAGGGGTGATTGAAAGGAAGTAGTCACCTCTCATTCTCCACTTTCACCTAGGTTGAAAGAATACCCAGCAGACAGGAAAGTACTGTCCCCTTCCTCCAGGCCAACAAACAAAATAAACAACTCAGAAGAATCTCCACAGAGATGGATTGTGATGGGGAGAACCAAAAAGGTACTGAGGATATTTGGGCCTTAGAGAAAAACCCTCCTGATTAAGACACTTAAAAGACTCCCCACTACAACAGTTCCCTCCCACCCATTCGCCCTGAAGTGAAGCTTCACTGTGAACAAGCTTCACCGACATGCAGAGAGCTCAGAAAAACTCCATTCCACTATTTTAAAAATAAGCAGAAAACTTGAAGACCACCACAGATTTGAAGTAAGCCTGCAAAATCAGTGAAAAAGCCCACCATAAAAAAAGAAAAGCTGACAATGAAAAAAATTGAGATAATTCATGCCAAAGAGATAAAAACAAACTTCAGTTCTAACTAATATCCTTAGAGAAATTCAAAAATATCTTACATTCATAAAACAAAAATAGGAGCTATTAAAAAACACAAAAGAGAATTCTTAGAATTTTTCTTTTAAAGAGATGATATTCTCTTGGGCCCCTGGTAGTGGGAGCATGGAAGTCACAGAAAAATTGGGGGAAAATAAATGTTGGATATCAGTGAATTCTTTCAGAACATATGATAAAAAGGCAAAGGGCTCCAAATTACATAAGAAAATACAAGAGAAATAATCCAAGAGGCTCAAAATCTGACTAATTTCAGAAAGAGAGGACAGAGGAAATGGAGACAAAAGAATTATTTTAAAAGAGAAGAAGAAAATTTTCTGGCACTGAAGAAGGTCATGACTCTTTAAATTGAAAATGTTCAACGATTTTTTTAAAGGCACACACCTAGATATATCACAAGAGAATTTAATAGTATTAAGGTTAAAATTAAATTATAGAAAATATTCCTGAGAAAAAGAATTTTCCATCTAGAATTGTGTATCTAGTAAACATCACTCATGTGTGAGGGTTAAAGACTTATTTTTTTAGAATTTAATGTCCTAAGCATCCCTTTTCAGGAACTTATGAGAGAGAAAAACAAGAGAGAAGAGGGCATAGGATCTTGGAAACAGAAGTTCTAATCCAGGATTGCTGTGCAGGTCTGGAGAGCAATATCCAAATCCGTCCTGAAGACAGAAGATTCTGGAAGGGACTTCTATGGAGAAAGGAGGGAATTAATGATGCCCGAAATGAAGGACAAGGTTAAGTCCTCAGCCCGACTCCTTAACTAAAAGGAAAGGCCATCTGGATATGCGAAGCATCAGACGGATGGACACTGTGCTCCTGGAGAAGCAGAGCTCTCAAGACACGTGCTTTCACCAAAATGAAACCTATTTACTAAGTTCTATAGTTTAATAAAAACCATTTTATTATAATTTGTAAAGCATTCTGAAATCTTTAGTTGGGCATACTCAAAATTTTGGTCAATTATTTCCATATTTAGAGAGAGAAAAATTATATTAGTCAGGCCCAAAGGACGTGCAGCATTTCTAATCAAAGTTTATTTGCTTCGGAGCTTTTCAAGCAATGGCTAGCATACAATAGCTTCGATTGGATTTAAATAAAATTATCATCATCATCTCATAGTAATTATTGCATAGGAAGAAAATTATTTATTGCAAGACATAGCAGGCAGCAAAATATATTCTGCTGTGAAGAGATATTGCCGTGCAAACAGGGAGCTGTTTTTTTCAGCATGCATGTTTATGCGCTGAATGTAAATGCATGTAAATATCTCAATTTTAACTCTTTATCATTGTTCAAATTGTTTGCCAAGCAATATTCAATACATAATTTAAAACTCTGCAAGATCATTTCTTTCTTATTTATAATTTGGCACTCTTGACATCATAGGTTCTTCTGGATATACAGCTAGGTCTAATCTAAAATCTGGTTTATAAACTGTGCTTTAGTTTTTTAAAAATCACTAAAATTGTTCTTTTGAATATTTGTTTATAATATATCCTAGTCTACAAATAAGTAAGAAATTCAAAGGGAGACCTCACCCTGCCTTCCCCTGTAATTTTTTGTTCAACATTTGCTCTCATCCATGAGATAATAGGTAGGAAAGTGATCAGAAAAAACTCCCCTGTACTGGTGGGGCTCCTGTAACGTACTAAGTCATTTTTCTTTGCTGAGCTCTGTATTAGATCCACGGGAGAATTGCAAAGGAAGTAAGGGGTATAGTTCTTACACTTAGATCTTTGTTTTGTTTAATTCATGCATGGATACCTGACCTAATTCCTAAACAGATTTGCAGTGGCTCCTTGCGACAAAAGACGTGAAGCCAGCCTTTCTTCTTGTACCCTACTCCACCTCTTGGAGTCATCCACTCCCTTGCGGCTCATCTAGCAAGTTCCCAAAATGTGGACATGTTTGTCAGGCCTATCGCTTTAAATATTTAGCAGCCAGTGCTGCACACTCCTGACCATTCAGAGCAGAGCCTCACCACTGTAGGGGGCACTGGTGTAGACATCTCCGTGGCTGCACTGTGTGGTCAACTGAGGGCATCCAAGGCTTGGTCAACAGAATCCAAGCTTTCTCTGAGGTGAATTCCTTTTGCCTCATTTTAGGTTTGCTTTGTGCAGTGAAGCTGGCTTTGGCTTGCTTTACATCATTGAGGCAATGACTGTGCAGATGTCAGCTGAGTCCTGCAGGTTTCCAGGCCCCCTCAGGTTTCTGTCAGTAAGGAAACTCAGAAGGCTTTGTCTAGAGCCAATCACTAGACTGGCTTACAGTAGCAATTCTTTTCACACTAGAATGTTCTCCTAGATGCTCTCTTCCAATTTCCTTTACTAGAGTGGAAGCTTGGCCAAGTGGCTTGTGGATTTTCTAAAGAATCCATGATGGCAACTTCAGAAACCATGAAGTTCAGCTTGTCAACATGTTCTGATATGTTTTTCTTTGAGAAAGGTGAAACTGATGGCTGAAGTTCAGCCAAGCACAACATGAAAATGCTCTAGAAAGGCAGAAAACATCTATTGAAGTAACAACCACTGTCCATCTTAACGGATGTGGCTATCACGGCAAAAGACAGCATTTCGTCTAGGAGGAGACAGACAGAGAGCCTCAAACCCCCAGCACATGCTGATGAAAACACAGTGGGTCAAGACATGACAGTGGGTGCAAACCTCCTTCTTCTTAAAAGAAGTGGAATAAGAGTGTATCCTCTCCATACATCAAGCAAGCATCCTTCCTACAGCCTGCGTTTCACCAGGAAAAGAAACAAGAGGTTATGCCTTTGGTTTTCCAAATGGGGCTCACATAGGAATTTCTGATGTTGCCCAGGCACACGTGAACGGCCGACACCCAGAAGCTGTTGGAAGCAATGTCGAAGGCAATGGAGTAGACTGCGGTCAGTTCCTTTACAGCTGCTTCAAATGGCAGCACAGGATAAGACACATGCTGCAGAAGATGTCATGTGTCAGGGGTATGGGATTTCCATTCTGTTTTAAGCCATCATTCATCTCAACCTTTGGCACGTGGCTGAGTTTTTCTGGCAATCAGGGAAGCCACAACAGAGGGGTTCTTCTACACAATGAATTTTGTATTGGAGCAAATTCAAATTGTAGTCAAATCCAATTCTTTTCAAATCATAAATGAATCCATACGGTGTACACAGAAGGTGCTCTGCTGGTCTTCCTTTCTCGTGGCTTCATGTATCTGTTGGTGGAGTCTTACTGCACGGAAGCCTCCTGTCCCCATCACATGCACTGAGCTCTTTCTTTTGCAGGCAGTTCCAACTTAAGCACAACCCACAAATATAAGGATGGGTGTTCCTAACCATAATGGTAGGAAATATTTTCAGTTACATAACTCACCCCTAAACTATCATAGATATCATACTGTGTAGATAAAAGTACTTTTACTTTCCCTGACTCATGTCTCCCCACATTAGTTTGGTGTGAAACATTGCTTTAGTAGCACGGCAATTTTAACAATTATTATTTTTTCCACAAAGATGATTTTCTAGTTATAGAAAGAAAAAACAAAAGAAAAAAACCAATTTACATCTAGTTCTAATACAACCAAGAGTGAGAAAGAAATGTGACAATAATCTCAAAGAGTGTACATTTAAGAAAATATACGAAAGTTGGGAGTCTTGACCCGGGACTGGACAAATATTTATGACTCTCTAGCTTGAATAATGTATTTTCTTTAAAAACACATTTTCATCTACTTCATCAGCATAGCTACAAGGAAATTTTAGAGTTAAGACAGAAGGTCGACGGAATCACAGATGATTAAAAGATCTTTTTAGACAGTCAACTATGCAATCCATTTGCTAAATACTTGCTGATGGGGTACTTTTTGATGAACTGAAAACCAAATATCACCTAGAATGGCAGTGAGCCTGATTAAGATGAGTAAGCAGCAGAGTTATTTGAAATGCTGTATTGAGGCCACCTGGGCCATTAGTACTCCAAGTAACACTGCACATTTTAAAAGGGAGGGATGACAGCTTATGGCTAACACGGACTGTGTTTACATGTATTCCATATATGTGCCAAATGTTTTACAGAGTCTCATTTATGAAACCTTCACGACTATGGTGTGGCTACTATAATTATCTCCATTTTACTAAGCCCAAAAGTTCTACAATCATGAAAAAGCTTTAATGTTCCCTTTTTGAAAATTCCTTAATATGTAATAATTGTGACTTTTAATAGACATGAATATTTCATTTAAAAAATTAACTGCTAAGTAGGATAAGCCGTCTGTTGTTAAACACACTAGAAACCAGAATATATACCTTATTAGCAAAAACTGACACACCTTGTCCTTTGATCAATTATTATTAATGCTATTCTAATAAAGAGCCCTGGGTATTGTACGATGCTCAACTACTACTTCATCCACTGACAAAAACTGTTCATGATCACAGAATTTTAGTGAGGATTACATTTACTGGATTATTGAATATGAATCCATGCATGTCACATCTGATACCATTTTCTTCAGTTGTTTACTCATTTGAAAACACATATTGAGACCGCCTATGTTATTAGAACACCACAATATTTATTTGATTAGTACATTTGCCTCTGTGTTGGATAATGGAAAGTTTATCTTGAGATATAATATAATAATTTAATAATGATTCTAACCTGTGACCAGCTCCCGGATCTCCAGGTCAGTCGTCTTGCGGAGTAACCTCACCAGTGCTGGGATGCCACCACAGTTTTTCAGGGCAATTTTGTTATCATCGTTGGCCTTCCCATACACCAGGTTTCTCAGAGCTCCACAGGCACTACGGTGGACTTCGGTCATCCGATGATCCAACAGGTCCACCAGGAGCTGGATGCCTCCTTGTCTCCTTATCTGAAAGAGCAAAGGACACCACTTTTGCTTTACAGTGTAAGGTTTCCCTACCTACACCAAAACATGTTTTTCATATAAAGTATCTGCTAACAATTAATCGCACCAAACTGAATTAAGGCATACAAAAGGAAACAAGAAAAAAATAAGTGTTTGCTTTATATTTGATTGCCGGTATTTGCTTTAATATCCTACCAATAAAAATCCAAATGTATTTCTTTCGAACTATAGAATTTTGGAAAGGTGATTTTAACTTCATATTGAGTGCCTTAGACATTTCTCTCCATAAAATATGCCACAACCTCATGGATGAAGCACATGAAGAAATAAAAGGCATTAGAGTGATCCTCATTCCCTAGACTTATTAAATTTAACCATTGTCTTAAAGGGCTGCAGGAATGATACACAAAATGTTAAAATTATGCTTAATAGGGATATGCTCTAAACATTTCAAAGGAATCAGAAGCGAAACGAGAGACTGGAAGAATTGACACAAGGAGTTTTATCTCAGAAGACCCGCGGAAATAAGAACGTCTCTTACATGAGAGACAGAAGGTGTGAGGCCAAGGCACGTTATGCTTAATTTAGGTATTTGATTCAACAACAACAAAACCACTCTACATTTTACTCTTCTTTTTATCAAAAGAAAATTTTAATCTTTTATAAGTAAATGCAAAATATTTTTGCTGTGTATTTTGAGATGCATGTTCTCCTGGCTGCCCTTTGATTTGGGGAACAATTTTAAAATTTAAATTAGAAACAAAATAAAGTGGCTACTTAACACACAGGCTATATTAGCAAAGCTGCATCTGAAAACTTTTGCATGTATATGGACAAAGAGCATGATTCGTGCAGGAATACCCTTCTTTTACACTTTATGCTTCACCGTTCTTCAGGGATCGAAGGATTAGCATCTTCTCTACTTAATTTTTTGATTACAGAAAAACTCATTCATGTCACAGATGTGCTGGGACACCTGGCTACATCCCCAGCCTCTTTCTTTTCTCTTTCTTTCTTTTCTTTTTTCTTTTTCTTTTTGAGACAGAGTCTCGCTCTGTCACCCAGGCTGGAGTGCAGTGGCGCCATCTCGGCTCACTGCCAGCTCCGCCTCCCGGGTTCACGCCATTCTCCTGCCTCAGCCTCCCGAGTAACTGGGACTATAGGCGTCCGCCACCACGCCCGGCTATTTTTTTTGTATTTTTAGTAGAGACAGGGTTTCACCGTATTAACCAGGATGGTCTCGATCTCCTGACCTCGTGATCCGCCCGCCTCAGCCTCCCAAAGTGTTGGGATTACAGGCGTGAGCCACCGTGCCAGGCCATCCCCAGGCTCTTTCAGTAGTGCCCAAGTGCTGCTCTGTGAGGTGACTCTAACCACACCGTTTAAAACTGCACTTAGAACCACACCCTCACCCCAAGCCAGCATTCTTGTTTATCTTCAAGTGCTATTGAATTCTTCATAGGATTTGTCATGTTCTAACTTATTTGTTATGTTTATCATTATTGTCCGTCTTCTCCTGTTAGGATGTGTGTTCTGGGAGGAAATGTCTCTGTTATATATCCCTATCCCTAAACCCAGTGCAATGCCAGACACCTCATAAATGTTCAGGAAATATTTGTCAAATGAATGGAGAGGGTTAATTAATATATTACTTGCTACGTTGGTGTTGCTCAGCTTTGCTAAAATAGTGTTTTCAAAATGAAGAAATATCCCTCTTTAAAGACAACAAACAAACAAACAAACAAACAAACACCTCTTTTGTGAACAGCCAAGGATGTATCCAGAGGCCTCAGCCCTGCAGCTCTTCCAATCCGGCTTACAAACAAAATAGAGCATGCTTCATTCATACAGGGTGGCCTCTGATGATTCCGAATATGCCTACGGGAATTATTTTCATTCATCAGCAAATGAAAGCAGAAAAAGTGGAAATCTTCAGAGCACTCTTGGACTCTAAATCCCTAAGTTGGAAACCATGAATGCAGCGTTTCACATATGGTGCCTCCAAGGGAACATGACAGGGAAGGAAGAGGGAGGGATGTAGAGGGACAGTGTGGTTGAGGGGGTTATGGTTGCCCAGCCTGAGGGTGGTCACAGCACCTGGGTAAGGGAGACTCAAGGATCTTTTGGGTCAAATAAGGAAAGAGAAAAAGAAGTGGGAAACAACTTTACCCAACTTACAGTTCTACCCAGGGCTTGCTTGGCACCCACCCAAGAGAGATGATGTTTGTATTCCTATATAGGTGTCTTGTTCATGTACCCAGATTATAAGCACATCCACTTTATTATAGTGCTTGAGAAGGGATATTCCACGTGTACAAAAAAGGTTAAACTATGAGTATCACTTTCTCTATGAGTGTATATTTGCCCATGTGTGATTTAGTTCAAAGTTCTCTGAATTTAGTTATTTAAATAATGATGAAACCATTGAAAAGAGATAATAAATCCATTCTTGCAGTGAATCTATTGGTTATGTACTAAAAACAGATGGCATCATCAATCAATCTATGCATTTTATTCATATGTATATATTTTAGCTATATTGGATGTTATAATTAATATTCCTAATTTATTATAATACATTTCCAATTCATATGATTTAATGAATTAAATGATTAAAATATATTAAAAGGGAAAATGAATTCAAACTGAATGCAGCATGAATTCTAAATGCTAAAATGAAAACACAATGTTTTCAGTATGGCCCTAATTAATGCCATATACCCAAATTTATAGTGAGATTTTCAATTTGATTTTAATCTATTTAGATAAACATAAGTAAGTCAATTAACCTTTTTCTTTTGCTCTTATTTGGGGTCACCAGATCCTCTATATTAAAACTTGTTTTCTTGGGGTTTAATTTTATCTAAGAATGTGAGAACCCTACTTCTGTTTTCTGAAGCCAAACATTACTCAGAATTAAAATGTAAATGGCCACATGTGTGAAATGGGATGGCCAGGTCCTTGGTTCTCCCTCCTCCCCCTGCAGCCTCCCCTCTCCCATCAGGACCAGAAGGGAGGCCCTGACATGGACTCCAGTCCTCTTGCTTCTGGTGGCTGTGCGTGGCTCTGATGCTGTCCTTTTCACTTTCCCTCTATTTTGCTTTTCTCCAGGATCCTTCCTTTCTCCAATTTCTTTTTTTTCTTTTTCTTTTTCTTTTTTTCTGAGATGGAGTTTCGCTCTGGTTGCCCAGGCTGGAGTGCAATGGCACGATCTCAGCTCACTAAAACCTCCTCCTCCCGGGTTCAAGCAATTCTCCTTTCTCAGCCTCCCGAGTAGCTGGGATTACAGGCACATGCCATCACGTCTGGCTAATTTTTGTATTTTCAGTAGAGACGGGATTTCATCATACTGGTCAGGCTGGTCTCAAACTCCTGACCTCAGGTGATCTGCCTGCCTCGGCCTCCCAAAGTGCTGGGATTACAGGCATGAGCCACCGCACCTGGCCCCTTCCTCCAATTTCTTGCACCCAATCCATCTACCAGTTTCTTCTGGTACCTAACATGCAATCTTTCCAAGCTTCCAAACAAACCTATTTTAAACACTTAAAATGTACAACTTTCTGAAAACCTATCAGAAGAAACTTGTCTTCTTTGAAATGGCACCTTTATTTATTCTCCCCCAAAACGACAAGTTGTCTAGTTCCAATTTATCCCCCTAGTCGATCACTCCACATCCAGCAAGCTGAGCCCAGGTTTTTGTTAACATATGATCATTGCAGGTCAGTTTACCCTCTCCTCACATTATTACTTTAATCATCTTCATGCAAAATTGTTTTTGTTTTGTTTTGTTTTGTTTTGTTTTTAGACAGAGTTGCGCTCTGTCACCCAGGCTGGAGTGCAGTGGCGCGATCTTGGCTCACTGCAACCTCCGCCTCCAGGGTTCAAGCGATTCGCTTAGAAGACATGAGGTTTCGCCATGTTGCCCAGGCTGGTCTTCAACTCCTAGGCTCAAGCGATTTATCCGCCTCGGTCTCCCAAATTGCTGGGATTACAGGCGTGAGCCACTGTGCCAGGCCTCATGCAGAATTCTTTAAAAGTCAAATCTTGAAAGATTTTAGGTTTCATAGCATTAAAATAAAGTCAATAAAATGCTAGTTAATGTATATCTTGTTATTTATATATAATTCAACAATAAAATAAAATGCATACAAATGATTAAAATGGAAACAATGAATGTTGAATTACATACGGGGAAATGATAGCTTCATTTGAATCTAGACTGAACAATTCTCATATCTGCTACTTTCCTGGACCTAATAGAATTGGACAGTGACCAGAAGGGACTTTTCATACTTGACCTGAATAGACAGTCTTAAACTCACTTATTGAGTTTAAGTGAGTAAAGTGGTTCTTTGACAAATGATTGACCTTAGTCAGTTGTTCCTGTGTCAATGGCTCACATTTATTTTTCTGCTTAGCTGTGCACTTCAGGAATCTAGATGTCGAGAGTAATCTACAAGGAGTAAGGGAGGTGGAGGCTGGTAAACCCCATCCCCAGGGGAAACAAAAGATGAATTAACCAATCAAATAAAGCAAAACTATGCCCTGCCTGTCTTTTGTTTTGTTTTTGGGTTGTTTACAGTGAGGGCATTCTTGAACCTGATGCAGATAATCTCTGGGGAATGAACACTAGAATGTATTCCCAGTTTGCACCAGGGGAGAATAAAAATGGTTTTCATACCCTTTGCCCTAAAATCCGCTGCTTTGAAGTATGTTTACAGTTTAAACTCTAGAACTGAGAGTATCTAAAAATCATGCAAAAGAAGGATGCAGTGGGTATCTTCCTTGTTTTTTCCTTAAAAGGTAGAATATATCTAAGCCTTTCAAATCAGAAAACAAATGGATAGGTAATTAAATTATACACAAGAGATATGCAAGTAATGCAATAGCACCTATTGCAAAAATAGGGCCCCATTTGTTACTCTTAACATAATCTGCATATATTGACAATAGCATATATTTGCCAATGAATTAGCTATCATCATTAAACTGATATCAACATCAATGAGTAATTTATAGCATATTCAATTACAGCAGTGTTCAGATATTTATGACAGTCTTCATAAAAATGTAATGATAATGATGATGTATAGTGGATAAAAAAATACTTTAAACAGCTTGCAATAGAATTCCTCTCGGGAGGTATCTGTCTTTATTTAAAAAAAAAATACTATGACAAGTTGCTTAGAGGATAGTGAGACCCCGAGGGCGTGGCCTCCCAGGCATTCAGGGCAACAGAAGATATCGCTCACCTGCTCTGCATTTGCAAAAGGGAGGGATTTGGAGCTGGGAAGAGAAGACAGAAAAGGTTGGAGTAGCTTTTGTCAACCTATTATTTGGTGATACAAGGACCTCAAAACAGGTAAGGACCTGGGTGTGTGCTGCTATTCCTCTCAGGAATCTTTCATTTTAATAAAATGGATATATCTTTAGGCTTCTGGGTTCATGCTGAAAGAAACTAGGCTGTGCCTGAGACTCAAAGTAAATTTTAATAATAGTGTGCAAGACTATCGCTACATACTATATATATATGTATAGCATATCATATATACACACATACACATATATAGTATACACACACACACAAACTATGGATACTATGTACTATAGTAATTACTTTCTTCAGATACTTATGAAAACTCAAGTCCCAATGTCTGAGAACTGGTTTATAGAAAGAGCTGATTAAAAAGAAGATAAGGGAATGCGGTGATTTTTTTGCTAAATTTTCAATTAACTGTTATTTTTCAATGGTACTGGCTTTGAAAAAGCTTTTTAAAATGATATAATTATTACACATTCTTTTTTAATATTACAAAATTCCAATAATTTTCTCTGCTTATAAGCTACTGGAAGATACAAATTTTATAGATCCCAAACTAGATGACTAAGCAGATGTATGTAGAAATTGCAAGGTTATCAGTTTGTAAAACACACAATTTACCTCACTGAATTTCAAGCCTTACTCTTATTGAAAAGCCAGTTAAACCATCAGTTTCCATAAAATATGAACTGAGGTAAGTCCATGTAGTTGCCTCTGAGTAATACAGAAGTATATTTCATAAAGGTCATAATTTTTTAGTAGAAATTATTTTTGAGAATCTCTCTCCTTCCAATTGTATGAAATGGCCTGCGTTCTCCATTCGATAGGTGAACCAAGATGAGCTATGTTTCTTTCTCAATTGTGTTTTCGAGAGAAAGCACATTGCAGTGACTGGAGGTGCTGCCTCAGACCTAGGTTCAAATCAAATCTTAAAACCGGTTTCCCCCAGGCAAGTTACTTAAATGCCTGTAAAGCATGAACAAAGTGTGAACCTACCTCATAGGTTGTTTTCAGGACTGAATGAGATTTCAAAAGTGAATTGTTTAACAAAGTACTCAGTAAACATTATGTGTCACAGAACCATCCACTGTATCAACTTTTTAAAGGATATTCTTAATTGCTTTCTTACCCGGCCAAAATACAAATTAATTTAATAAAATGTTGATATGTGATAGTGAAAGGAATACAATTTAGGGTTTAACTTTATAAACTGGATTTAGGATGTACGGTATATATCGAATAGATCTCTTGCTAACTGTGAGACGAGCAGTGAAGTTTTCTGAGAATGAAGCAGGCTTGGAGGTCAAATGCACCTCAAAGCTGTTTTTTTCTGGCAACTGTTTTTCTGAGAGCAGACACCCTCCACAAACACACTTGTGAGTCCTCAGAATTGCTGAACACCGTAAATGAGTTTCAACTTTACTCATTAAGTGCACCCAAGAAAGGCCTCTCCATTTTTTTTAAACACAAAAAATTTCAAGCGATTCCTCAAGTTTCTTTTCTAAAGACACCACTCAGGAAATGTGATCTTGATAAGTCTAATGGTTTCTATCACTTCGTGTAAATTTTGAGCTGTCCTTGCAGATACTGAATGCAAAAATCACAAAGCATTGACAATTACAAAGAATGCCTCCAGTAAGTCTTAGTGCATTCTGACTAAACTCAAATGTGAATTTTTATTTCCACATTTAGATATTTCATGATGCTAAAATCCCATGATTTTCTCTAAATTACAAAGTGTTGATGAACCCAGACTAGAAAGTACCTAAGAAATTCTAGGGCCTGGAATAACTTGAATAACTGCTTTCCCTGAATAACTTCATAACATCATCAGTCAGAGGCAAATATCGTGTGGTGAGTGCAGGGTGGATTTCTCCTCCCAAGACCATGTTCCCAGGTTTAAAGGCTACACTTACACTTACTCTCTCTCTCTCTCTGACTACTATCCTATCTCTGCAGATCTGTACATACAATCTGTTCAAGCAGATATATGCTCTACTTCACAGTAGGAGATTTAATCTATTGGATGTTTCATAAGAATACATGCTACATATATACCATGGACTACTATGCAGCCATATAAAAGGATGAGTTCGTGTCCTTTGCAGGGACATGGATGAAGCTGGAAACCATCATTCTCAGCAAACTAACACAGGAACAGAAAACCAAACACTGCATGTTCTCACTCATAAGTGGGAGTTGAACGATGAGAACACATCGACACAGGGAGGGGAACATCACACACTGGGGCCTGTTGGGGGGTGTGGGGCTTGCGGAGGGATAGCATTAGGAGAAATACCTAACGTACATGACGGGTTGATGGGTGCAGAAAACCAACATGGCATGTGTATATCTATGTAACAGACATGCAAGTTCTGCACACGTATCCCAGAACTTCAAGTATTTAAAAAAAAAAAAAAAGAATACATTCAAGGCCTCATGTTATTTAACTTTATTATATCAATTACATATAGTTAGTACCATACCCTAAAACAAATATTCACTGTCTATAAAGATGGACATTGTTTAAAATATTTAAAGATGGATGGTGAGGGCTGACACATTCTTTCTCTCTCACTTCTCTGAATTCTGATCTTTCGGCTTTTTTTGTGTGCTGCTGGACAGCTCTCATCCTCCCCACCTGATTAAGCAGAGGTCTCTCCTTAGGGGCCTGGATTAGATTTCCTTGCCTGGACTCCAAACCCACCACTCGCCTTTGTTATTGGCTTTAGCTTTGTAAGTCCTTGCTTCACAGCTAACTGAGCAGACTATTTGAACTTGAACTTGACTCTGAGAAAACCTGCCACTACTATGGCATTTAAGCAATTTTTAATCCATAATAAAGTGAAGACACCGGTTACCAGCCTTATCATTTAACCTTGTTGTGGGTGTGATGGTCAATAGAGTAAAACTAAAAAACTGAAATAAGGAGGTGAGTCATTTGGAAAAAAGACTCAGATTATCAAGATTGATGAAAAAACCTTTTGGAATTAATTAGAAAATTCAGTAAAATACAAACTTAAAATTTTAAAAATGAAAGCTTCCTCATGGATATATATAAAAATTCATAATTTTCTTATATACTAAAAATAATTGGTCAGAATATTAACAGAAAATTATTCCATTCAGAAAAGCAACATGGTATAGAAAATACTTAGGAAATAAATATGTTATGAATTGGGAAATTTCTGTATGAAGAAAACGACATGTATTTACTGAAATACATAAAAGCAGATGTGAATAAAGGTAAATGGACTACCACATTCCTTCAGTGTTATAAAGATTTCCACTGGTCTCCAGATTAATTTAAATATTTAAGCAGTTCAAATCCAAAGCCCAGTAAATTTTAAGTTGTTTTTGGACACAGTGACACTAAAGTTCATCTGGAAGAATGAACATAGGAAAAAAATCACAAGAAAAATAGAGAATTATGGAAAGATGAACATATTCTAAAGCACCAATATACAGAACAATATGAAATGACCCCAGAATCAATAGATAACAATGGGAGAGAAGAAAAAAACTCCAGAAAAGATACACATGTTTACAAGACTTTAGGATTTCATCATGAAGCAGTATGGATTCGATACCTAGAATTAGTAATAACAGGCTCACCACATAAGGGATGACACAGCATTTGATTTCTTCACAATGACAAAAAGTAAATTCCAGATGGATTAGAAATGTAAATGTAAAACATAAAACAAAAAAGCACTAGGGGGATCTACAAATGGATATTTATATACTACTGGGAAGACCTAAGGTTGATACAAAAGCCAGGAGCCATAATGAAAAGGACCGATGCACACACATTATAAACAAACTTAAAGTCGGGTGGAAAGAACTAAACAAAATATTGGCTACGAACATGATAGATAAGAAGTTTAGATACTTAGCATTGCTAAATTCTTCCTTGAATTTAACCCATCTATTGGCTGTAAAGTGATATCTCTTTTTAGTTTTAATTTGTGTTTTCCTAATTACCAGTGACGTTGAGTCTTTGAATAAATTCTTTACCAAAGAGGTAAAGAATCAACATGAATAAAATTAAAGTACTTTACTGAACAATATAAATACAAACATTAATAAGTATAAAGAAATGCTCTGTTCATGAATGAAAAGAGTGGATATTGAAAAGGCTATAAATTCCCCAAAATTTATTTATACTTTTAACACAATTTCAATCAAAATTCAAGGGATTTTCTAGAACATGACAAAATGATTCTAACTTTCATCTGGAATATTAAGCAAGCAATAAAAAGTAAGACTATTTCAATAAGGAGGAATACAAGGGAGACATTATTTTATCTCATTTATAAATGCTACATAAAGCCTCAATAGTTAAAACGTTGTGATACTGATGTAGTAGTCAAGATGGCTTAGTGGAACAGAATGGATAACCAGGAAATAGAGCCCAGTGTACTTAGGAGCTAACGTGTGATAAAAAGAATTACAAGCCAATGTTAAAGGCCTGAATCACACCTAAAGGTCTTAGAGAAGTTGACTATAGATCATGTACATTCCAAGAATTTAAGAACTAAATGAACCAAATAAGGGCAAAAATAAGTTAAAGGAAATCTATGAGATTTCAAGAATGAATGAGGAGTCCTGAACACAAACAAGAATGGAATCAATTTAATTCCAAAAGTAATAACTGTATGCAGATATAAGATACTGCTTCAGCTTTAGTATCCTAGTGATACAGAGGCCGAGGTGGGCAGATCACGAGGTCAGGAGATTGAGACCATCCTGGCTAACATGGTGAAACCCCGTCTCTACTAAAAATACAAAAAATTAGCCGGGCATGGTGGCAGGTGCCTGTAGTCCCAGCTACTTGGGAGGCTGAGGCAGGAGAATGGCATGAACCCAAAAGGTGGAGCTTGCAGTGAGCCGAGATCGCACCACTGCACTCCAGCCTGGGAGACAGCGAGACTCTGTCTCAAACAAACAACAACAAAAAAAGTGTAAATATAATTTTAATATATCCTTATAGGGAAGCATACTATCCATACTGAAGTTAGGATACATCTTTAGATGGTTCAGGTATTCACTTCCTTTTCTTTCTCCTCCTCCACTCCCTCAATACAATAAGGATAGAGTGTGACACTGGGTAGTTTTATAGAGATAATTTAAATAAAGATATAAGATTGGGCGTGGTGGCTCACATCAGTACTTTGGGAGGCCAAGATGTGCAGATCACTTGAGGTCAGGAGTTTGAGACCAGCCTGGCCAACTTGGCAAAACCCTGTCTCTACTAAAAATACCAAAAATTAGCCAGGCGTGGTGGTGCACACCTGTAATCCCAGCTACTCAGGAGGCTGAGGAATGGGGATCATTTGAGCCCAGGGGGCAGAGGCTGCAGTGAGCCTAGATCTTGCCACTGTACTCCAGCCTGGATGACAGAGGAAGACTCTGTCTAAAAATAAATAAATAAAAATAAAATAAACAAGAAATAAAGATCTAAGACTGACTGATAACAAATACTCTTCAAATGCCGGTCTTACTTTTTAAAAGAAATAGTCATCTCCCTTGAGCATAAATATCTACTTTTTAGGTGAATGGTTACTAATCTAATTATCTCTTCATTTGGAGAGGATAAGATCTAACATATTTATTTGTATGTGGCAAAGCTAAAGTCACAGATTGTTCAACATCTCAAAGAGAATTTTGGATGACCTCACATAAATTTTGAAAACACACACCCCAAAAGGTAGATAGGTAACTTAATTATTTGAAAATCATTAAAACATCTAAGAATGTGATTATAAGAGGCCCACAAATACTGCCCACAAAGCTTTCATTTTATAAGGACTGGACAGTTGCTTGTTTGGCAAATGTTTCCTGTGGGCCTTGTCTGCTCAAGGTGCTGGGGCTTAGAGGAGGTGAGATGGGCCATGGTCCCTGCTGGAAGGAGTCAAGGAACCTGTGGAGTCAGGAATTAAGTAAGGAAACCAACAAGGGAGCAAATATGACCTTTGCAATAATGAAAACTGGAGGCGGCTTTACTGAAAGAGGATCTCGCAATTTTCTAGTCATTATTTTGTAATCTTCTGCTTAAAGAAGATCCACTAAACGGACAAGTTTTAGGTCCATCAACAACTGGGTTCTTCTGGGTGATAAGAACCAAAAAGAAGTCAGAGAAGGAAGAAAGGATAAATAGGGTGTGATGGTGTTGCCGGGGAGTGGGTCAGCGCACACTAGAGCAAAGACTCAGTGACATGAAGTGACAGAGGCCCCAAGGAGAGGGAGACCTGGAAGGCCTGTGTGCTAGTGATGAGCAAAAGAGAGGCAGTGGGGCTGGGGGAGGCGAGATGAGGTTGCAGGGCCCTGGGTTTACTCTGAGGAAGACAGGAATTTAAGTTGCCCTAACTCATTGCTTTTAAAGACCATGTGCCATGTGAGGACAGACTGACCATCAGCTAGGGCCACTGCCCTTGTCCAGGTAAGAGAACCACAGCAGCTTTTGACTGATTGACAGGAGTACAAGCACTAAAAAATGGCCAAATTCTAGGTCTGTTTTACAGGTAGGGTGGTAAATATCAAGTCTGACTGAAAGAAAGGAATCATGCGTGACTACGATTTGGGGCCTTGGGCTTTTAATAAATGAGTGTGTTGATAATCATCACAGCAGTAGTTTTTGGTTGACTGACAGATGGCAAAGCAGTTCAGAAAGACACAGCCCTTCATTTAAATTTCTATGTTACTGGCATGACAAAAGCACACATTTTAAAAACTGCTATTCTTTTGTTCATGCAAAATGGAAAATAACATCTTTCTAAAATATAGAGTTATGCTAAGTATACATGCAGAAATAATAGAGAAATTGTTTTGTGTCTTAGCCTATGGTTGTAACAAATGAGGAGTATTAAATTAAAAGTAATATATTCCACCAAAAGAATTTATGATAGAAATGTCGAGAAAATTTTCTTACATATTTATTTTAATTTTAAATTAAAAATATACTGACTTTAAAAAAATTTAAGTCATCTCAAGACTTTCATTAAACCGGTAAAAATTGTATAGAATATAATTTGCTTTATTATATGTATTACATGATGGAAAGTATTTTTTGTTATGCACATATTTTTTTTTCTTTCTATTTTAGGTGACGGAGTCTCTCATATGTTTTGAAGATATATTTTTGTAGTAGTAAAAGCCAATGCTTAACCACACTAAACTGTGGTTGAGAAAATAATTCCAGTTTTGTTCAGTTCAGCTGATATTTATTAAGCATTGGTCCACATTCCCTGGGGTTGTCATGGTTTAGTGAAGGGGATACACACAGGAACAAATACAGTGTATGAAGCCCACAGGAAAGTCACAAAACCAGCCTCCTTAGGAAATGGGGTGGGGTAATTGTTTCTGGAAGAAATACCAGCTGAACTGACTTCTTGGGAGTTGAAAAACTGGTGACCTATACAATGTAGTACACGATTAAACTCTCAAATGCTTGGAGTGCAGTAGGTCCACGCTTTTTAAAGTTGAGAGCACATATGGTAGGGTTCAGGGAAAGGACAGGCATCAGTATGCCAGACAATGGTGCCTCTTCTTGGCCCTTAAATTCACCCAAAGATTGGGGGCCATTATTTTTCATACTAATAAAGACTTGGAGACTTTACGAAGTAGAACACAAGATGTATGGGAATTTTAAAGCCAAAGTACAGAATGTAAGAGCGTGGCACGTTTCTAGAGAGCTGCTCTGGTCAACAGGCCCTGATTCCTGGAGCCCACATGGCTGAGGCCTGGCTCCACAGAGAGACCAGCAGTGGAAGGCTGGAGAGTGGGAGCTGGTCTCGGTAAGGGCCTGGGCCTGGGCCTGCACGGAGCCCCTCCCAGAGGTAAGAGACAGGGAGCGTGGGGGATGCTGGGAGGAGACTAGACTGGAGCTGGCACTGAAAACCACATAAATGAGGAAATAAACACATAAATGAGGTGATAGGACCCACACATGGTTTCTGGGCAGGAATGACAAGGGAGGTTGTGGCCAGGAAGACATGAGAACAAATTTGAGAGCTGGTTCAAAAGAAGGAATTATCCATCATGTAAAAGTGTATCTTAGCTATTCAATGGTTTGACCATTTTCCTGACACCTAGAAATTTATAAGAAATTTATAGCATAACACACACAGGGGTTTCTACATCTCTCAACCATTTTTGTTTCAATCAACTTAAATGTTTTTACTCCAATAGCTCTGTGTTCTGAGCCCCAGCAAGGTAACTGGTGGAGCCATCTTGTGTTTCTGTGTTTAGCTCGGCCTCCACAATCAGAGGGTGGAGGCCGCTGGGATCCCAGAGGCTGAGCAAAAAGGAAAAGCTTAAGTTCCACCACTCAGAGCTCCCCGGAGCTCCCCGAGGAGTCTGCTGGATTTGACCACTATGACCCGCTCTTTCGAGACTCCACAAACTGAACCATGTCAACCTTATTTTTTCACATTTCTATTGAACACAAAGAAAGCTGTTACCAGGGAAATCTGTCCGCAACAAGGCAAATTGAAATATGATTTATTTAATGGTGCTGCTCAGCTGATTAAATATTATTCACTCTTCATTTTGTCCTTCAGCCCAAGCAGAACATTGATATGACACTTGGATCTTGGTATAAGAAAATACACATTTGGTGCATCTGTGACCCTTGAAATTTACAAAATTATGTACCAAAAAATCCCATCAAGTGCAATGCAGTGCATCCCACACTGATGTGTCATCCTAATGGAGAAGGAGACCTTCTCCCAGGCATTCCATGGAAGGCCACTGCAGAAATTCTGAAGGCTCACAACTCTCCTAGCAGTTTGGGGGTTAGTACTGCTATGTTACACGCATGCCGATAATTTTATATGCACATATATATATATATAGTATAATGTCATACATATATAACAATGTAAACATATATGTCCATAAGTAAATGTATACATTTAAAAGTGAAAATCGTTCAGAAAGGTCTTCTCCTCCTTCCCTCACCAAAATGGGATTCATTCAGTTCTTTATACTATTTTATTCCAATTTAAAGCTTGTAGCGTTAATTTTCTTTTTTTCTTGTAACCCACCACTTGTGGGTTCAGAGGGCCTGCCTGTAGGTACTCTCCTTTCCAATAATTCAAATAGCTACAGATGTTGAGAAGGCTGTTATTTCTTTAATAATTTCTGTTCAAAGATTTTCAGTTCTGGAGTGTACCAGATTCAATGGCTATAACCTCAATAATAAATAGTAAAATGCTCTGATTTTAATCTACTTTCAGAGGTTAGTTCTTATCAGTGAACTCTTTTAAAATCTTTCATGCATGAAATGTCAGGTTTATAAAAATCAAGTTTCTTTGTTCTCTGTTTTATTTACTGATTTTCTAATTTTGCATTTAAAAGAATACAGGCTATATAAATACCTTTGTTTGTATTTTTAATACTTTAAAAATTTTCAGATGAGTTATTTGTTTATTGCATACAATTTTTCTCCAGACTGGAAGGAAGGCAATGATTATACTCTCAGATTTCAATAGACCGGTAGATGCTGAGGACTAATAACGAAGCAGGGCCTTTAGGGGAGGGTTTTTTGTCTTTTATTTCTACATTCTGCACACACAGTAGTCAAAGTCATATTTTCAAAAAACATACGTAACCAATCAGATCATGTTGATCACTGCTCAAAATCCTCTAATGATTCCTGCCACATTTAGAAGATCATTAACCTTGGCCTTCAGTCCTGCCTGACCTGCCTTGTCTTCTCTCTGCTTCCATCTCTCATTATTGTTTCTTACTCACTTCGGCTTCCATTGCCTTGGGCTTCTGGAAATTCCTGAGCAGGTTGTTCTCCCAGAGTCTGCAGAGTAGCTTCTCTTCCATCATGCAGGTGTCCCCTAAACCTGATTAGCCATCAAGAATGATGGTATGACCACCCCTTCCCCCTTCATCCTCAATCTTCCCCTTCTCTAGGTTCCATCTTAGCTCCATTTACCACCTGACATATTTCACATACTTATTGGTTCATTTTCCGCTTCCATCCTCACCCAGAGAGATGTCAGTGCTGTGAGAGCAGAGATCTTGCCCGACTTGCTCAATGCTGTGTCCACAGGGCTGAGAGGAGTGCCTGGCAGCCAGCAGACATTCCATATATCCATGTCATCTTTAGACTGAGCGCAGTTTTGACTACTGACTTTGAACTTCTGCAATATGTCTGATTGGAACGTCTGTCTGTCAGGAGAAGTATCATATATCAAGCAGATTCACACTTGGGAACAAGGACTTCCAGTGCCTAAGAAGATATCTCGGAAACTCAGAATATTATACAATCATGAATATCATGACACTGGTCTGGCAAACATCATGCACCTCTAAAAATGTTTTTCTTACAGCTTTATCTTTTTATTTCATGAAGTGAGAGTAATTTTCCCACAAGTACACGACAGCACTATGTATAAAATGCCTCTGCCCTATGTACACCTGCATCTTGTTTGTGGGAGCCAGTGCTGAATATATTAGCTAATTATAGATATGCAGATGCCTTGTTTTCTTTAATGCAAAAATATGTAAAAGCATGTGAAATAGTGTAGCACTCAGGTCCATGGTTGAATATCCAATTTCCATTAAATGAACTTGGGTTAAATAGTAAAGAGACAGATAAAGTCGGAACAATAAGGAAGATTATTCATAATTCAAAATCTTCACATTCTGCTGTCACTCTTTAGGCTTTAAGACACTAAAATGGGGAAAAATCTAAATTGCAAAACAAATTATCATCCATTGATTCATTTCTTAGGATGTTCATCACAGAGAAATTAAACACACAGCCTGGAAGACTACCAAAAGGGGGAAAATGTTACCTTTGGGAACTCTCAGAGATAATATGGAAAACTGTTAGGTATTTACTAATATAGATATGCTTACAGGGGTGAGGGAAATAGTGATTTTGAATGACAAATTAAAGAAATTGTGGTTTACATTGAAATTTTCAAAAGGGGATTTTCATAACGAGAGTTGGGACTTATTCAACATATAATCGACACATTTGCTTTCAAGACCATGTGGTCATTAATATGGAATGGATTGATGTGACCAGCCAACCAACTAGTCAAAGGAATAATGCTCTGTTAAGTGGTAAAAAATCCTGAATCTTATCTGAAGGAAGATAGCTCCACAGAGCAGGATGTAATGTGGCATCCTGCAGGCAGACGTGCAGCTGTGCAGGGTTCCTCTAAGAGCTGAGAGAGCATTTTCCGCACTCTAATACACGGTGGTAGGCAGAACAATGCCCCCCCACCGCCACCCTATAAGATGTCAATGTCCCGATGCCTGAAACCTGTGAATACATCATGTTACACGGAAAAGAGGAATTAAGGTTGAAGATGGAATGAAGGCTGCTAATTAGCTGATCTTAAAGAGTCTAACATTAACTATCTGGGTGAGCTCCATGCAACCAAAAAGTTCCTTTCAAAGCCGAAGAGAGTGGCAGGAGAGTCAGAACAGAAGAACAACAGTGTGAGACAGACTCAACCAGCCATTGCTGGCTTTGAAGAGTGAAGGGGCCATAGACCAAGGAATGCAAGAAGCCTCTAGAAGCTGGAAAATGAGAGAAAACAGACTTCACCCTAGAGGCTCCAGAAAGGAACACAAACCTGCCAACACTGGGATGTTAGCCCAGTGAGACCAATTTTGCATTCTGAGCCCCAGAGCTACCAGATAGTAAGTGTATGTCGTATGAAGTCACTAAGGGTGTGGAAATTTGTTACAGCAGCAATACAGTGCTCATACATAGGTGGAAAATCTGCTGCAAAGTTATGTGCTCATGAGGAGCACTTCAGGCTCGCTGGATAAGAAGTGGCTGCTTTGATCAGCACACCTGCAAACAGCAGAGGGTTGCTGTGCCCACTCATTCCCAAAGTCCAAGCTGCTCCCTCCAGGAGGTTGTAACCAATAGATCATCCTCCTGCTATAACCACCAGGGCTCATTCTTTGGCTGCTGGAGGAGGTGCCTACTGAAGGAGGTGGATCTATATTGCCCGCCTAAATATAAGTCTGATAGGACCAAGGCAATCTCAATGTGTGCTGTGCACACATTGCACTTCTATGTACCAAGAAGTACCAAGTGTGAAGTACTCTTTGTCCATTTTCTTGACTCAATGGTCAACTCACTGGCCATTGTCCACAAACCACTGTTAAATGACTCTCTTTTCAGATAATTTCAATGACGGAAGACAGAAAAAGTCTTCCCAAGGTGGCAGATTGCACAATGGATGGCTAATCCTGTCTACACAAGTAAGAAATCGTTCATTATAACTAGCATCTTTTCAGATGAGTCATTCAAGAGAATACAGCCTGGTCAACTGGGAAGATGTGCTCTGGTATTTTGGTTTTGCTTTTTGTCCTGTTAACATTAACTTTCCCACAAACCAGGGAGGAAGGAGGTGGCTTTTCAAAAGTGTTCTCCATCATCTTGTGCTCTTGTCTGCAACTCCTGTTAATATTTATCACTGGCCTTGTTCTGATAAAGAGTCATAGGCAGTGCCTATGATTTCATTGTGGAAAAGAATGAAGCATCAGAAAGGATGCAGAGAGACCTGAATTCTGAGGCTTCCTGCTCATGCATTTAGTGGACATCTCTGGCATAACATAGGAATTTATTAAGGAAATCCTTACATTTAATTAGAGAGTTTTCAAGGCAGACCCTTTTTATGTCTGTATTTGAAATTTTCCAGGGTCTAACAGGAATTTCAGGCCGAAATGTCTCCTAGGGATGCAAGCATTCTCTACCAGTGCCTAAGAGCAAGCCACTAATCACTTTTCAAAAGGTAAGTATTTAATGGTGGACTCTGGTGGTCAGTATGTTCAAAAGCTTAAGGTTGTCTTTCTGTTGCCCCTACTAGCTTTTGCCATGAACTCCAATCTCTTTGGGTGTTTGTTGCTATTTGGGTAAAGCAGTTTGTGGATCTTAGGCATCCAAGGTTGCGGCTCATATTATTATCCACTGAAGACCTTGAGAGCTTCTTGTTGTTTGGGACCACCTTAAAAAATAAATCCCTCCCTCCCTCCCTTCATTTCTTCCTTCTTTCCTCCCTTCCTCCCTCCCTTCTTCCTCCTTCCTCCTTCCCTTCTTCCTCCTTCCTTCCTTTTCCTCTTCATCTGTCTTTTTTCTTTTTTCTCTTTTTTTTCTAATGGGACTTAACAATATCCCTGAATATAAGATAGGATTTCTTCAGGATCCAAGGAGTTGTACCAAGTGTTATATTTCTTACTCATTTCAGGGTAGCATCAGGGAAATATTTTTTCGTCAGTTGACAAATATCCCTGATTCTTCAAATTTTCCCCGTTGAGTCATCCTCATAATTCTCCAGAATTGACAAGCCAGCATCATCTTGTCATCGGAGTCATGCTGGTGCCAACTCTGACAGTCTTCTCATTTGTAAGCCCGATAATCATTATACCAGTAAAGTTGCATATCAGAGTATCTTTTATCATTAGTAAGTCTGGATCCCTACATAAAAGTTTTGGGCCATGGGTAAGGGAATGAGCATATCTTTGTGTGAAAACTGTTAAAATAGATTGTGTGTGTTCTCTCAAATAAAGGCAAATTGAGATTGGCTTTTTCTCAGAAACTAGGATTGAAAAAAAAGGCATTTTTCATATGGATGACAGTACTGTAAGCCCCTGGTGCCTACCAAGCTTCCTTTTTAGCTTGAACTACGTTGAATACTGTCAAAGCCACATGGAGCACCACTTTATTTAGACCTTAATAATCTATAAAGTCAACCCAGAAAAGCTGACTGCTTTGGTCCAATAAGCCATCTGTATAGAGAGGTGTTGCGAGCCAGGAGACCAGCCTCTGTGACATCCTTAGTTAATACAGATGTCACCAGTCCCTTCCCAGAAAATCCATCTTGTTTTCGTTTGGGGATTGCTGGGTCTTTCTGGCAGAGAGGCACTCAGTCAATGTGCACAATTACAACAGGTATACCCACCATTTTCACCACAGCTGTCCCCTCATGTGGAAGCTCACCCTGGCCTGCACATAGGGTGTGGCTGGATATGAGATGAGACCTTTCATTTTAAACAGCCACCATTCCTTTCTCTCTCTGAGCAGCCTCCAGTTCTTTAGTATGATGGCCAGGTATAATTACACTGATCAAGCTCAGTGTAAAATGTGGTTTCCCAACCAATGGCCATAAAAGTAGCCTCAGCATGTGGTCCCAGATCTCTCGCTAGAAGTGGTGGAAGAGTAGACCAGCCATCCCCATGCAGTGGGGGTCACCTGGCTGGTCCTCCTCACCCACTTCAACTATTAATCCTCCCACCATCACAAGAATCAAATGGAGTTAAAATCTTTCTTCAAGATCACCATGTTTCCTCCCTTCCTGAAACTCCAGCAGGGAATTTTTCAAATCAGCTAACTTAAGCATAAATACTCTAAATTTCCTAGAATCTTACAGAGGAGAGAAGAACATCAGTTTTTATTTCTTTTTTCTTCCAAGGTATTTAGGTTTTACTTATCAGTGGACAAGTACTTCTATGATAGGCTGAGTAATTCTCCTCCCTGAAGATGTCCAGGCCTTAATCCCTGTGAATATATGACCTTACATAGCAAAAGGGACTTTGCTGCTGTGATTAAGAAACTTGAGATGGGACATTTGTTCTGGATTATCTGGATGGTCCCAGTGTCATCACAAGAGTCCTTATAAGAAGAAAGCAGAGAGAGGGGATGTGATGTTAGAGTCAGAGGTCAGAATGATGAAATCTGAAGACGAAGGAAGAGACCACAAGCTAAGGAATGCAGCCAGCCTTCAGAAGCTGAAAAAGTCAAAGGATCAGAATCTCCCCTCAGGACACCATGACTTTGGCCCAGGAAAAGAACTTTGGAAATTATTCAGCTCTGAAATTTTAGATCTCTGTTGACAGAGTTCTTTCTTCTGTGGTCCAATTTCAGTATCTCTTAGAATAGGGTAGAGTTGTTCTAGCCTGTGAATAGGGGGCCTACTTCTCACTCCACCTCCCCAACTCCACTCACCAATCATTGCCAAACAGCTCCATCTTGAAAGGGGAGCTCTGTAAGACAACTGAAGGGAAGCGTTCTGCTCAACTGTCCATGTCACTATTTTATCATTTGTAAACGATATTATTATTAGTGTCTTCACAACATGAGAGAAAAACAGAAGAGGGACATATAGGAGGGAAACATTTAACTCCTGGTATGCTTCTCCATCACCTGTGAAGATGGTAAAAATCCATAAAAAAAAAAATTTAGAGTGTGTTTGCATTACATAGAAAAGAATAAAGAACAGCTGGGAGGTTGTGTCTCATTCCCCAGTGAAGAGGAAAGAAGGAAACTGGCTTAAAAGCCCCATAGATGGTGGCAACAGAAAAAATATTAGTTAGGTTAAGCAAAATTAAATGAAGGGAGTGCCAGGCAGTCGGTGAAGTCTGAGAAGATCCCCTGGGATTTAAGGGAAATGCAGACAGGAGCTTCTACTCCTCACATCTCCTTCATTCGGTCCATACTTGGGGTTCCAAAGCTCACCCAGCCCTCCTAACAATGGCACTGTCATTGTCTCTGTGCTCCTTTTCATTTGTCTCCATTTTCCCTGGACCCCTGCCCAGACAACAGATTTGATCACCTGGGGTCAGTAGCAACGATAATCCCCACTTCCATTCCAAAGCTTGAAAGGAAACTGTGCAGCGAACATACCCTTCTATGCGAGGGTGTGCTGGGATGAGTCCCAGGCATGCTACTGGAACGCTCTTTGCCCGTCTCCATAAATACTTAGAGATTGGATATGCCAGTATTATTCACCCACTGCTACAGTTCAGAGACGTTTTGGCTTAACAAAGCTTGTGTGGGCCTAATCTCCTAATATATCACACCGTTTCCAGGGGACATACATTTCAATTGCAAGATTCTTTCAAACAATCTTTGGAAGTTGAAGAGAGCCTGTATAGATCCACAGGAAACACAGAAATCATCCCATAAGTACAATTAAATGCAAATAACAAAAGAGTTAATGCCAACTCAGTGTTCTACTTGTCATGCAAGAGGCAAATTAATTAAGAAGGATTGTAAGTACAGAAGAGCAATGTGAATTTTGAAGAGCTCTTAGCAAAGCAGATTTTTTTTTCTTATGTTTGGAGCATGGTTAAAAAGTGCACTAGGGCTAACAAACTAGAGTAGTCATATAATGAGCACCTATAGCTTTTCTTGAAACATTTAAAAAATATTTGTAATGCTGAAGTGCATCTAATAGGAAGACACAGCTCTTCCAATCAGCGTCTGATACGAAATGACTGAAACATGGTCAAGCCAGAAATTTGCATACATTTAAAGTCAGCCAACTGGGGCACCTGTTCAAGTCAGGGAGGCTCTTCCCCTCCATTGTGTTAACTATTTCCAAGATGGCACATGTAGGTGCCCACAGAGCAGGGTTATTATGCATTTGTAGTTCCACCAGGTTGAGGAGGTCTAAATCTTTAGATTTAGAATGAACTGGAACAATAAACTTGGAAGATAAGGTTGGAAGAGTGATCAGAGGCTCAAAAGCAGTAAGTCTAAGATCATTTGCATAGGGTGGATTAATGAAACAGAGATTGCAAAAACATAGGAAAGCTCATAACTGCAATGAAATCTTAGGAGATGACGGCGCCTTATAATCTATGCATGGACATCACATGATACGAAGCCTTCTTGTATTGTTTCTCTCAGTATTTTCACAAAATGTTCTCTCCAGTTCTGTGAGCCAGAAAAACCTGGAGAACGTCTGGAAGGGAAAAATCAAGAAAATGACAGATAAACAAGGTGTGTCTTCCTTGGTTCAACGATTTAGAGATTTTTACTTGGAAACAAGGCCTGAGCGTGCTGAGTCGGTAGCAATAAGAAGCCAAGTGTCACCAGGAGGAGAAAGGCCAAGGTTTTGCTGCCACTTCCCCTACAGACTAAAGCAAAAGAAATGACCAGAATGCCAGATGAAGAAGTTTATGGTGGATATAAAGTTAAACTATGTCCCTGAAAAAGCAACTAGTTCTTCAGGTACAGGTCTTCTTCTCTAAACGATGACATATCAGAAATGCATCAAAACGGCAAAGCACAGTGAGAAATCCCTCAGTGAGTGCCGGCTCCTTCACCTGTGATGCAAATGCGAATGGACTGACATTCACACAGGTCATCTGTTTCTTCTGCTCACCATTGCAAAGACTACAAACCTTTTGTGGGTGGGTGGAGAGGCGGGGGGAAGATAAAAAGAAGACCCATTAAAATAGAAGGGAAGCATGGCCCAAAGAAGAAATGGAGTTAAAATAACCCAAAGTGATATTTAGCAAACCCAGAAAGGAAACTTCAAAGAGATCTGAAAAATACCTGCTGCATCATTGTTCGCAAGTCATGACCCAGTTTCAGAGACTGCTGTCTGACTCACGTCTGTTTTGCAAAGAGAACTTTGTGTACCTGGTGGTTTTAATCAGGAGTCTTGCCTCGCTGCAGGGTAGCTACATTTCATCACAATATTGGTCTGATTCCTTAACTTCATTCACTTTGGGCTATTAAAATGGTCTCCTTCTGGTTATAAAGAAAAAGCCTTGTGGGGTGTGTTGGCTCACGCCTGTATTCTCAGCACTTTGGGAGGCAAAGGCTGGAGGATCACTTGAGTCTGGGAGTTCAAGATCATCCTGGGTAACATAGGGAGACCCTGTCTCTACAAAAAATAAAAAAATTAGTATGGCATGGTGGCCATTGTCTGTAGTCCCAGCTCCTTGGATGGCCAAAGCAGGAGGATTTCTTGAGTTCAGGAGGTCAAGGCTGCAGTGAACCCTGATCACACCACTGCACTCCAGCCTGGGAGATAGTGAGACCCTGTCTCAAAAAAATAAAAAGGAATAAGCCTGTCCATTTTACCACTTCCATCCTTTCCCCCTCCCCATCTCCAACATCCCACCTCCTGAAGCAGGCTGGACGTGAGCTCCAGCCCCCTGGTGTGCCCTTCCCACCCATCTCCTTCCATCCTGTTCTTTCTCCTTTCTCATTGGAGGTGGGAGGGAGAAGGAAGAGGTGTTTCCTTACATAAAGGCAGGCTAGAGGCCACCAGGCCACTGCCTATGTCTGTGGGCCATCTCTGCCAAGGTGACTCCTGGGCTTTAGCAGGGGCCAGTTAGGTGGCTGAAGCTCTCTGCCACCCCATATCTTTGCATCTTTGGCCCTACATCTTTGATGCCTACACCTTGCTTCACCCCTTCTGCCATGCTCCTGCAGGAACACGTCTAAATCCCTCCATCACTAGTCTCTTCTCTCCCCTGTGACCCTGCCCTTGTCCATCTTCCTTGAAGGGACCTTTAAGCATAAAGGAATACAGTCCTTGCTCAAAGTCTGGCTGAATCCCTGTGTGATCTCCCCACTGTACTCCAGCAGCCCAAGGCAAGTCACCAGCTCAGAAGCTGAGTTGACAGCCAGTTGGGGAAGAAGATGCCAGTTTTCCTTTCTTGCTGCCTCCTACAAACTTTAAGGGCTATTCCCATCCTTAGGCCCCATCTTCCCCCAGTGTAGCTTCCTTTCCTCTCCTAGTTCTCCTGTTAAACTTCTAAATGGAAAAGATCATCAAACCAGTGAGGTCTCTACTGCCCCTAGAGAGATTAGCTCTTCTATCAAGAGCTGGGCCCTTGAACTTGGTCCTGGGGGAGCCATATCTACTGAAGTCTCTACTCAGTGACCTCTAGAGCCAGGAGAGGTGCTCATTTGGCACCTCACACAGAACTGTCACGCTGACATCTGATGCGTCCCTGACATTTGGGAGGAGAGGCCTTTGTTGGAGGAGCCCTAAAATCTCTTTAGCCTGCAGGGAAAATCTCCAAGGCCAAGACAAGCCTCTTGATGGCTACAGGATGCTAGAATCAGCTTAGGTTTAGGAGGAAAAGGAGGAGAAAGGAGAGTTAAAAGGAGCAGGCAGTGGAGATAGGAGGGTAGAGAGGTATACAATGTGCAAAAAATAGATGCATATGGCAGCTAGTAGCAGTGGCCCACCTGGCCTGGGATCCCCTGCTTCTCATCTGTCCCATCTATTGGTAAGTAAAAACACGACTGAATCACCATGGTTTGGTGTCTCTGGAGTCCTTCTTACTCGGCTTTTCCCCCTGTATTCTGAGTCCATGATTCTGCCTTACCCTCCAAGTTGATCTATACCTCCACGCAGCGGTATTTGTCCTCTTTAGTTGTAATTCTGTCCCAGGCTGTTAGCAATATTGCCTTCTTATTATCTCCTCCACTGAGGATGACTCATGGTCCTTTCCACTCAAAGCACTGGCCCAATAATTCCTGAGTGTGCCTCGTCCATCATCCTTCATGTGTGAAGGACCAAGCCTTCATGAAAATGGAAAAATATATTGGCCTCTGGCTGCAATAGTGCTCACTGTGGATCACATATCACATCTCTCTTGTGTTCACAAAGGTTGTAGACCCTGAGAAGCTTTAACTTCTCCACAGAGCAAACCCCTCCACCGAGGCCTGGTACACTGACCCTCAGCACATTCCTTGCTCTCTTCTTCCTCCTTCCCTGGCTGTATTTAAACATGACAAGATTCCATATCTTTTTGAAATAGGAATTATAGCTCTGTTTGTTAAAGTCACTGCCTTCCTTCTTTTTCTTTGTGCTGACCTAACTTGTCACATGTCACCCAGCTGTTTCCTGCAGGCTGTGTGCATGACCGCTAGTATCCTGGTGGCCAACCTCACAGGAGAGCTTCATCTTGCCTTGTGGCTCCTGGACTCTTCCACAGTGCTGTTCTGGAAGGTTCTTAGTCAAATGCCCCTCCAGTTTCTCCCACTTACTAACATTCTCTTATTTCTGAGTCTTTCTGGTTTACTTCCTAATTATGGATTACATGTCCTATCATAAATCATTCACATCTCCTTCAGATCCAATAAGTCACTTTGTTTTTATGACACTTTCTTTGTTTTTATCATACTTTCTCAGTCATTTTTGGATTATTACAAGAGGCTACTGTAGGTTACTGGGCAGCCCTTTTTGGCTTCTTTTACATCTTCCTGCTGTGAAGTGTGATATATGAAATGGTGTCTCTGTGGTTCAGAGCTCTAAATTGGAGTCAGAAAGTCATTGTGAGAAAGACTGCCTGTGTGTCTTGCTAACTGGCAACAGCAACAACAAAAAAAACCAGGAACTTGTCTTGACCTTTGAAGTGGGTCAAACTGCAGTGACCACCACATTCTGGAAAACAGCTGAATTTCTCCAGTATTGCAACCCCTGAACAGCGACCACCAGTAAACTATGGACGCATGTTCTAAGTCAGCCACCTCTACCAATGATAATTCTCCAAAACAACTTGTGTAATCACTCTGAGCTTCCTTTTGGTTTTCTCTTAAAATCCTCTACTCCCCTCTGTCTCTTCAGAAGCCAAATTGTTTCCTGAATTATAATTCCTAACATTAAGACCCCTATAAACACCACCTTGTCTTCTTGAACTGCAGTTTGGTCTTTCACCTGTTCTTGGTTGACACTACCCAGTGAATTTACCCATTTCCCATCTTCTTCAGAGATTCTCTTCCTCTTCTTTTATATCACCAGCTACCCCTCCTTTGACCATTTCATAGATTCCACAACCTGGTGAAGCACTGTTTCTTAAGATGTATTTCTTTCCAAACCACCCTGCCAAAAAGCACTCCCAGCTCCTTCTCCTCTGATATTAATAATAAGGCACTGGCCTACGTGGTTTATGTGATCCAACCCTGGGATATTACCTGTCTGATCTCACCTCCTACCCCTCGCCACCTCACTTGCTAGGTTCCAGCCACACTCTTTGTTACTCCTTGTTATAGGTTGAATATCGTCCCCCACAAAAGATATATTGAAACCCTAGTACCTGGGACCTACAAACGTGACCTTGTTTGGAAATAGGGTCTACATAGATGTAATCAAGTTAAGATAGGCTAGGTCCTAATCCAGTACAACATAAGCCCTTATAAGAAGAGGAGAAGAGATACAGAAAGAAACACGCCTAGAGGAGATGGCCATGTGAAGACAGAGGCAGAGATTAGAGATAAAGCCAAAGAATGCTGAGTACTGGCGGCCACCAGCAGAAGCCAGGCAGAGGCAAGGAAGGATTCCACCCTGAGTTTCAGAGTGACCATGGCCCTGCCCCTTCTCAATCTTGGACTTGTAGCCTCCAGCATCGTGAGAGAACAGATTTCCATTGTTCCACATCTCTCAGTTTGTGGCACTTGGTTCCCACAGCCCTTGGAAGCAAGCACAAATGAGCACATGCCTTAGAGATCTAGCTCTGAGGTACTCTCTCTGACTGCCTTCAAGCTCTGCTCCGAGGCTACTTCTCAGAGATGGCTTTCCTGACCATTTTCTACAGAATGGCAGCTGCCTCTCTTCACCCACTCCTTATTGCTGTCCACCCGCTTTACTGTGTTGTATTTCCTCCATAGCCCACATCACCATCTCACCCATGATGAATGTATGCCTGTGTATTAGTCCTTTTTCACATGTCTGATAAAGACACACTCGAGACTAGATAATTTATAAAGGAAAGAGGTTTAATTGACTCACAGTTCCACATGACTGGGGAGGCCTCACAATCATGGCGGAAGATGAAGAAAGAGCAAAGGGACATCTTACATGGCGTCCAACAAAGAGAGAATTTGTTCAGGGAAACTCCCCTTTATAAAACCATCAAATCTTATGAGACTTATTTACTATCACAAGAACAGCACAAGAAAGACCTATCCTCATGATTCAATTACCTCCCACTGGGTCCCTCCCATGACATGTGGGAATTATGGGAACTACAATTCGAGATTTGTATGGGGACATGGCCAAACAATATCAGCCTGTATGTGTTTATTGTTGCTTCCCCCTACTCATGGGGGTCTATTTTGTTCACTGCTGGATTATTGAGGTCAAAAACAGAGCCTGCAACTTTATAGCTGCTCAGTGATTATCTGTTGAATATGAATTAGTTCCACTTTCACATATCAATATATCAAGTACTTGGGTCTATATGTTGCTTTATGTTGGTATGTGCAGATGGCTTTTTGATTCTAACTTCCTAAAGGGCAGTAGTTGAATCTAGTTGTGTAAACAGTGGCTTAGCACAGAGCCACACACCGTGTGTGTGTGTTCAATTTCCTTTGCTGACAATAGCAGATCTCAAAACGTGGATGATGAACAATACAAGTATTCTGTCTATAAAACTATGGAATTGGTTTTACATTTAACTGTTGGAAAGAGATTTCCTTATTTATTTTGCAGCACATGCTAAAAATAACTCATACTCCTTTGCCACCTGCTCTGTGCTGGCAGTCTACCTGTGTTCTCTCTGCCATGATATGGAGTCTCAACGCAGTTTCATAGTCTGGGAGACTGAGTCTCAGAGAGGTAAAGAAACTTGCTCAAGGTCATGGAGCTAGAAAGTAGTACAGCAGCCAGGGTTCAAATGCAGGCAGCCTGGCTCCAAAGCCGTTGCTATAAGCTCAGTGGTATCCTCTCTACTGATATTTAATCAAAGAAATACAGGCTCTTTTCCAAAAATGTGAAACAATTTATGATGAAAGAAAGAGAAGAAATGATTCAAAGGTAGTTGACTGAAAAGATGAATAGCACATTCCCTCGAACTATATGAGGTAGAAAGAACTAAGAATAAAGTAGAAATTATGAAGCACTTTAAGTCTAGTAGACAGGAACCAGTCTCAATTTTTTTAACAGATGAAATGTTCTAAATTTGTTGGAATAAAAAGTTATGGGGGAGGGGAAAGGTATGCATATTTTATGCACAGAAATCAATTTCTATGTTCCATACTTAAAGGTAATCTGAATTTAGCCAAAATATTATTATAAATGATATAAGTATATTGCAACTATCTAGTCTAGACACACAGACACACAAACAGACAACTGCAAATATGAGCTGTCTTCCATGAGTTCTAAGTGGGTATGCCTTAGGTTATATTTTTCTGGCAACTTCTAATTTAAGACTTAGCATGGCCATCAGTGTAGGAAGCAGGCTGTTTTCCCTGACTCCACAAGGCTGGGATGTAAGCTGGACTCTCGCCAGCTGTGGCTTCATCTCTTCATCATGCCTAACACATGGTATTAGAATGCCCTGTTGGCTGGGCGTGATGGTTCATGCCTGTAATCCCAGCTCTTTGGGAGGGCAAGGCTGGTGGATCTCCTGAGGTCAGGGGTTCATGACCAGCCTGGCCAACATGGTGAAAACCCGTCTCTACTAAAAATACAAAAATTTTTAGCCAGGCGTGGTGGTGAATGCCTGTAATTCTAGCTGCTTGGGAGGCTGAGGCAGGAGAATCACTTGTACCCAGGGGGCAGAGGTTGCAGTGAGCCAATATCGTGCCACTGCACTCCAGCCTAGGCAACAGAGGAGACTCTGTCTCTCTCTCTCTCAAAAAAAAAAAAAAAAAAAAAAAAAACAAAGAATGTGAATGCTCATTTTACTGCTGTGGCTTCACCTCTCCATCATGCCTAACACATGCTATTAGAATGTCCTGTTTACTTATTTTCTGTCCTGCAGGTTATGGATTTTTTTTTTTTTTTGAGACAGAGTCTTACTCTGTCACCCAGGCTGGAGTGCAGTGGCATGATCTCCACTTACTACAGCCTCGTCCTCCCAGGCTCAAGAGATCCTCCTGCCTCAGCCTGCCAAGTAGCAGGGACTACAGTGGGGCACCACCATGCCCAGCTAATTTTTGCATTTTTTGTAGAGACAGGGTCTGGCTATGTTGCTGATGCCGGTCTCCTGAGCTTAAGCAATCCTCCCACCTCAGCCTCCAAAAGTGCTAGGATTACAGGCATGAGCCACCACACCCGGCCAGATTCCTTAAAGACAGGATCTATATGCTATTGATATTTGGACCCTCCCACTAACACAAAGCAAGCTATCAGTACACTCTTTTGCTTTCCACTAGGACTGAAAATTTCATTTCTTTAAAAACAAAAATGTTTTATAGCAGTTAGGATGATAAGGTAATTGGAAAGATTGTTAGGAGTTAAAAAAATAAAATCAATATTGATTTCCTAGAGCAAGAATTCTTACCTTGGGCCTGTGTAAGTTTACTATATAAGATCTGTAAACACTTCATATATAAGACAGCTGAAGCTACTTTTTGATATAACAAAAAGTAATCAGGTCGAAACCTTAAATTACATCTTTATCAGTGCTGGTCACCGGACATTTCTATCAAAAAGAAAGGAGTACAAGTCAATCCTTCTCACATATAAAGTCACATAATAAAGTTTGAATTTTTGAAATAAGGCATGTTTAAAAATGAGGCATGTTAATAGGGATGGTCTATGTTTAAAAGAAAATACATTTTCCAATTATTTGAACATTTATAATTTTTGTTAGATTAACTTAAAGTTTTAAAAAGTTAATTGATTTATTAACTTATAACAAAATAAAATATTTAGCTGGGCATGGTGGTGCACACCTATAATCCCAGCTACTTGAGAGGTTAAGGCTGAGGACCACTTGTGCCCAGGAGTTCAAGGCTACAGCACGCTATGATTGCACACCACTGCACTCCAGCCTGGGTGACAGAAACAGGCCTTGTCTCTAAAAATAAATAAATCAATAGAAATATTTAAACATTTAAAAATAATCCCTATATGCCACTTGAAAATGTGCAAACACTTTTAAACCACTAAGATACATATTACCTTGAATGCAGCCATATTGCGTGTGTGTGTGTGTGTGTGTGTGTGTGTATATATATAACTGTGTATATATACACATATATATACATATATATACAACTGTGTATATATACACACATATATACATATATATACTGTATAACTGCTTTCATGTATAACTCTTTTTGTATAACTGTGTACATACACACATATATATACATATATATACTCCTCTTTTTGTATAACTGTCTGTATATGAAAGGGGGTGCCACCTGCATGCCAACTCTGGTGTGTGCATTGGAAGAAATGGGGGAAAGTACAGGCAGGAGGAACATAAATAAACTGCAATCCTCACTACCCATGAAATGCACTTAGTATCCCCAAATCAATGGGATACTCATAATATTCTTAGCTGAGGTGAGTTTCCAAAAGAATGAAGAAAGGATTCATTAAAAATCCGCAAAAGGGACATGGATGAAATTGGAAACCATCATTCTCAGTAAACTATCGCAAGAACAAAAAACCAAACACCACATATTCTCACTCATAGGTGGGAATTGAACAATGAGATCACATGGACACAGGAAGGGGAATATCACACTCTGGGGACTGTGGTGGGGAGGGGGGAGGGGGGAGGGATAGCATTGGGAGATATACCTAATGCTAGATGACGAGTTAGTGGGTGCAGCGCACCAGCATGGCACATGTATACATATGTAACTAACCTGTACAATGTGCACATGTACCCTAAAACTTAAAGTATAATTAAAAAAAAAATCCGCAAAAGTTAGCAACATTTAGTCACCTCCTAAAAGATGCTTATAGTCCATACACCTGAGGAAGTGTCCATGTTTAATAATTCCTCTGTCTAAAGGCTTAATTTATGGTGACTTTCCCAACAATCTAGGAGACAGTGTAGATGACAGACACAGTTCAAGGAGCACTGCCATCCATCCACACTAATCATGCCTGCGCCCTTTAAAGTGGGAGGATCCACCTCCATCTCAGATATTCATTCACCCATGAATACGGACCACACTAACTTACTGTGTTTGCAGCAATCACCTGAACCCTCACTTTATTCCTTCTCCTTCTCCCATCCTCTTTAATTTTTCCTTGACTGCTTTTCTTCTGATCTTATCTCAGTCTGGCTCTGACTACTGCCTATGTGACTACACTTCTATCTCAGTTTTTAAAAACTTGCTGATCTACAAAGTATTTAAAGCTAATGTCCTACCCTGGATCAGAGAACTCAGTGGAATTCAAACTCTGCCTTAGTCACTGGAGATTGCTGAGCTAGATCCCACCCAGCCCTCCCTCCTCAGTTCACCTCACTGCTGGGAGGGTGATATGGTTTGGTTCTGTGTCCCCACCCAAATCTCACTTTGAATTGTAAAAATCCCCATGTGTCAAGGGCAGGACCAGGTGAAGGTAATCAGACCATGGGGGTGGTTTCCTCCATGGTGTTCTCGTGATAATGAGTGAGTCTCACGAGATCTGAGCATCTGACATTTCCCCTGCTTGAATACATTCTTTCTCCTGCCCCCGTGAAAAGGTGCCTTCTGCCATGATTGTAAGTTTTCTGAGGCATCTCCAGTCCTGTGAGTCCATTAAACCTCTTTTTTTAATAAATAACCCAGTCTTGAGTAGATTGGTACCAGGAGTGGGCTGTTGTTGTAAACAGACTTGAAAACATGGAAGCGTCTTTGAAACTAGGTAATGGGCAGAGGTTGGAACAGTTTGGAGGGCTCAGAAGAAGATATATAGAAGTACAAAAGTTTGGAAGTTCCTAGAGACTTGTTGAATGGCTTTGACCAAAATGCTGATAGTGATATGGACAAGGAAGTCCAGGCTGAGGTGGTCTCAGATAGATATGCGGAACTTCTTGGGAACTGGAGCAAAGATGACTCTTGCTATGCTTTAGAAAAGAGACTGGCAGCATTTTGCTCCTGCTCTAGAGATCTGTGGAGCTTTGAAACTGAGAGAGATGATTTAGGTTATGTGGCAGAAGAAATTTCTAGGCCACAAACCATCCAAGAGGAAGCAAAGCATAAAAGTTTGAAAAATTTGAGGCCCGATAATGTGATAGAAAAGGAAAACTCATTTTCCGGGGATAAATTCAAGCTTGCTGCAGAAATTTGCATAAGTAACAAGAAGCCAAATGAACGTTAATCACCAAGACAATGGGAAAAATGTCTCCAGGGCATGTCATAGACCTTCAGGGTATCCCCTCCCTTCACAGGCATGGAGGCCTGTGGGAGGGAAAAATGGTTTTGTGGGCTTGGCCCAGGGCCTCTCTGCTCTGTGCAGCCTCAGGACATGGTGCCCTGCGTCCCAGATGCTTTGGCTCCAGCCATGGCTAATAGGGGCCAAGGTACAGCTCAGGCCATTGCTTCAGAGGGTGTGAGCCCCAAGCCTTGGTGGCTTCCATGTTGTGTTGAGTCCGTGGGTGCACAAAAGTCAAGAATTGAGGTTTGAGAACCTCTGCCTAGATTTCACAGGATGTGTGGAAACACCCTGAATGTCCAGGCAGAGGTTTGTTGCAGGGGTGGAGCCCTCATAGAGAACCTCTGCTAGTGCAGTGAGGAAGAGAAACAAGGGGTTGGAGCCCCCACACAGAGTCCCCACTGGGGCACTGCCTAGTGGAGCTGTGAGAAGAGGGTCACCATCCTCCAGGACCCAGAATGGTAGATCCACTGACAGCTTGCACCATGTGCCTGGAAAAGCTGCAGACACTCAACATCAGACTGTGAAAGCAGCTGGGAGTGGGGCTGTACCCTGCAAAGCCATAGGGCAGAGCTGCTCAAGGCCATGGGAGCCCATCTCTTGCATCAGCGTGACCTGCGAGTGAGACATGAAGTCAAAGGAGATCATTTTGGAACTTTAAGGATTAATGATTGCCCTATTGGATTTCGAGCTTGCATGGGGCCTGTAGCCCCCTTGTTTTGGCCAATTTCTCCCACTTGGAAAAGATGTATTTACCCAATGCCTGTACCCCATTGTATCTTGGAAGGAACTAACTTGTGTTTGATTTTACAGGCTTATAGGTAGAAGAGACTTGCCTTGTCTCAGATGAGACTTTGGACTTGGACTTTTGGGTTAATGCTGAAATGAGTTAAGACTTTGGGGATTGTTGGGAAAGCATGATTGCGTTTTAAAATGTCAGGACATGAGACTTGGGAGGGACCAGGCATGGAATGATATCGTTTGGCTCTGTGTCCCCACCCAAATCTCATTTTGAATTGTAATAATCCCCAGATGTCAAGGGTAGGACCAGGTGGAGGTAATTGGATCATGTGGGCGGTTCCCCCTACTGCTGTTCTCATGATAGTGAGTGAGTTCTCACAAGATCTGATGGTTTTATAAGTGTCTGGCATTTCCCCTGCTTGTACTCAATCTCTCTTTTGTAGAAGGTACCTGAAGAGGTACCTTCTGCCATGATTATAAGTTTCCTGAGGCCTCCCCAGCCATGCAGAACCGTGAGTCCATTAAACCTCTCTTCTTTATAAACTGCTCAGTCTTGGGTATTTCTTCATAGCAGCATGAGAATGGACTAATACAGAGGGGAACTGAGGAGATGGTCTTAAATCCAAGTTCACTAGAGCAGCAGGAAAAGCCAGGGATGAGGATTTTATCTGCTGACTTACGGAAGCAAATTCTCAAAATTGCACATATAAGATCTGGTATCATTTTGAAAAAAAATTGATGTTCTTGGCTTTATTATATGAAAACCGTACAAATCACAGGAATAAGGAACAAGAAAGGCATGATTTATGACCCTCTGCATATAGAAGATGTAGTTCTGCCCTTCGTTCAATGGCCTACCCATTGTGTGAGCAAAGTCAATATGAATGATGAAATGTAGACTGAAGGGCTAAATCAGTTCAATAAAATGCAGTAGAAAGACTAGAGGACTGAGTAAATTTGGAAAGGCTAGTGCCTGCAAAATTAGTATTTGGACAACAGGTAATTACAAAATTCAATGTCTGTGTATGAAAACACGACAGGCAGCCATCTGTCACAAAGGTAGAACCAATTACTAACAGTTTGATCTTGGAGTGAGGATGAGAGAACAAAATAGATCTGTGTAGAATCCTTATTAGAGTTTACGTGTCTGTGTGTGTGTGTGTGTGTGTGTGTGTGTGTATGTGTATATGCACATATGCACGCCTCCCTATGTGACTGAATGGGAGAAAGAAAGGGAAACTCTGGAAGCTTCCTCTGTGTTTTATTTAAGCCTTTTGCACTTCCCATGTTCCTTTGGCTAACACTTACTAACTTCAATCTCATTTTGTCAACTCAGGATCAGGGTGCGCACTCAGTCATATACCACCCTTCCCTTCCTTCTCATCCCAGCCTCCCAGGTCCCCTGGGAACATTATCATGGGGCCTGGAAGTGTTTGCAGCCTTTAGAAGGTAGCATGGAGGGCTGCCATCAATAACATGAACTGCTGCTAGGAGTGCCAGCTGCTGGGGGCCACCCCAAACAGTGAGAAGTGATACAGGCAACCTTGATGGCACCCACAGCAAAATTAAAAAATAAACAGAAGCACACATATGTACACACACGCAGAGACAGACACACACACATATGCACACAGAGACACAGGCACACACACAGACACATGTACACACAGAGACACATATATACACACTGACACTTAGAAATATACATAAAATAAAACAATAACTTTAGTGTCTTAACCGTTCCTGGCCAAAAAGAAGGTGGATGAATGCACATTTCGCTACTAAGCAGTTTGTATATGTTAAGTCATTTAATTCTTGCAAAGATTCTACAGAGAAGGTATCAGTATCTTCATTTTAAAGATTAGAAAAGAGGCCCCAGGATAATCAGGTAGTTCAAGGTGACTGAGCTGGTAAGCAGGAAAGCCAGCCCGGGAAGCTCATCCATCTGCCATGACTCATGTGCTGGTTGCCCCTTCACTGGAAGGCCTGTGTTCACCACAGTGCACTGGGGGTCATTCTGATGTAGCCGGAAACAAGTCTACAGCTGCTGTCACTACAGCTCTTATCAGGTGGCATTGCCACTGAGAGGCCCCAAGGCTGGCCCATGGATCACGTTTACAGAGCCAGTTAGACCATGACTTCAGACTTCCCTGGGCCATGAAGCCTGCATTGCCTGGCCGGGTGACTCCTTGTAATAGAGTCTGACTCTATCTCTTGATGTTTGACTTCTGACAGCTTTGAAGCCTCACCCTTCCTTCCTCTGCCCCACATCTGAGCAAGCTGATAAAACTCAAGAGCTTCCTTTTTTGGTATCCGCAGGAGTTTCAACCCGTACAAGGCCCAGTCTGCATGTGAGAACCCACTTCCCACAACCATAAAAACTCCACGACAGTTTCCTTTCCATAAGCTTTCTCAAGACAATTTTGGACATGCCTGGGAGCCACTGTGCTTGGCCTGGAAAGCCTCACTGTGTAAGTGACACCTTTTCAGGCCCTCTTGGTGTGTGAGTCATGCCAGCAACCTTGGCATCAGAACAACCAAATTTTGGGTGGGAGTCCATCCCACTTCGGCGGGGCACTACAACACTCTTGAATCAATTCATGCTAACGATGAAATGAAATGCTTTCATGACCTTCAGAGAAACCCTCAAAGTTATAGTCTTCAAAAAAGAAGACTGAAAGAAAAGTTATAGTCTTCAAAAAAGAGAAAAGTTATGGTCTTCAAAAAAAGACAACATATGATGATGGTATGTGATCCCCCAGTCAGAAATCTGTCCTTTATTTTGCATGGCCATTGTTTTTTCTATTAAAAATAGAGAATGACTAAGTTAACATATGTTTGGGACAGGAGTCACGTAACTTTAATGCATTTTTAGGTCACTTTAACAGTTGGTATTTTTTCACATTTAAAATTTTTCTTAGATGGACAATATTTCTCTATATCTAAACTTTGGCACTGCTGACATTTGGGGCTGGGTGATTCTCTTGAGGGGGCTGCCCTGCACTTTCTGGGATGTTTGGCAGTATCCCTGATCTCTACAAGGGATACCCACAGCCTCCTCCAGCTGTGACAACCAAAGATGTCTCCAGATATCAAATGTACCTTGGGACAAAATCACACCTGGTTGAGAACCATTGCTCTATATTCATTCCACAAAGAAACAGGACTTTCCTGATAAGAACAAACATGGACCATGTTCTTTGCAGTCCCAGGGGAAGAGAGATGGAAAAAATAAAAAGCCATGAGGCTATGTATATCCCAATGCAAGCAAGCAAAATCTATAATAAATTGCAATTTTATCTTCAAATCTCTCTTTCCACTCTTAAACTAATTTAGACTCATCCTCAGAATTGCTTACACGCCATAAAGATGACTCGTTATAGTTTATAAAATCTTTTTGAAAAAAATGACTACTCAGTTCCTTATACGCAAATGCTTGTCCCTTGTCTAAAAAACTTAGATTTGGCTGCAGTGACCACTGTGATTTTCCAAAAATATCACACAGCATAATATATGCACTTCATGTATCCCAAAAACACAGAGCATGTTAACAGTTGTTTACATGATGGACATGGACAATAGTCTCCTTAATGGAACACATATCCACATTTAATCCATTATTCGTTTGTAAATAGCACCAAACACTTGGTTATAACACAAAGCCAATTTAGTGCCTAGAGTCCTTATCCTGTCAATGAGTTCTTCAGGAAGGACAGGTCATAGCTTATACTGACTATAACAATTTTATTGTAATTTGGAGATAACAATTGATGTTTAGTATGTCTTTAGGATTTAGGGGCAGAGAAAACTCCCAGAGTCGGAATTGGGAAGAGAAAGACAAATCACGTTCCAAGTATGGCATTTGACAATCCAGCCTCTATTAATAACTAGCATACACTATTGGTCCTCTGTTCCTCGGTATTCAAATACTAAAAAACGAAGAATGCATGAACAGGCATGCTAATCAATTAGATGAAACATGCTATGTTCTAGTCATAAATATAGATCTAAATTTTAAAAGCATAACTTCAGTTCTCCTAATTCTTTTCCCCATCAACATTAAGAAGATCTAAGTGCTTATGAATCTGACACCAATCATTTCAGAATCCAAGGAGCACTGACCTCGGCTTTAATTTTGTTGTCTCCAAAACAGAGGTGTTGCAAGTAGGCTGCCGCGTTAGACTGGACCGAGGGAAACTGGTGCTGCAACATCTGAATCACTTCCGGCAGTTCCGGGTCTCTCCATCCAAATTCTCTGAACAAAAGGAAAGAAGCGGGGAGAATATGAGAGAGAAATCCTACCACACTGTTAACACATGGTTAGCTCGTGTATGAAATGTACCTGACTCTAAAAGAAAATATTTCATAAATGACTGTTCTGGTTTTCTTACATGCAGACCCATTTAAGGGGATTTGGAAGAGATTCCCTTGAGTAAATAGTTTTCTTTCTTTTCTTTTTTTTTTTTTTTTAGACAGAATCTCACTCTGTCGCCCAGGCTGGAGTGCAGTGGAGCGATCTCAGCTCACTGCAAGCTCCGCCTCCCGGGTTCACGCCATTCTCCTGCCACAGCCTCCCAAGTAGCTGGGACTACAGGCACCCACCACCACGCCTGGCCAATTTTTTGTATTTTTAGTAGAGATGCAGTTTCACTGTGTTAGCCAGGATGATCTCGATCTCCTGACCTCGTGATCCGCCCACCTCGGCCTCCCAAAGTGCTGGGATTACAGGCGTGAGCCAGCGCGCCCAGCCTAGTAAATAGTTTTCAAGTGCAAACGTGTATACTACATATATTGGTTTTATAGATTATATATACAGATCAATCTATCAACTGAAGTTACATGTTAATAAAGATTATGAAAAAATAACCTAAAATAGCATATGATTTTAATATACACATTTTCATTTAAGCTTGAGTGGATTATTCATTTATTTATTTTTAACTTTTTTAAGAGATGGGGTCTTACTGTGTCACCCAGGCTGGAGTGCAGTGGCATAATTATAGCTCACCGCAGCCTCAAACTCCTGGGCTCAAGCGATCCTCCCACCTCAGCCTCCCAAATAGCTGGGGTTACAGGCATGTGTCACCACGTCCGTCTTAAATGGATCAGGTATAGAGGTCATATCTATTCTAGTATATTGTTTCAATAGTCTGATTCAGGCACAGGATTAAGCTAAATTATCAGACAAGAGAAAACAGAATTGGATGAGTCCAATCCAAAATGTTGTGATAGCAGCCAATGTTTATATCATTATTATTTTTATTACTGTTGTTATTTTCACAATCTCTTCTTTAAAAATAGACAGGGGCCTACATGATTCTCTGGGGATAAAAATGTAATAACATAATGACTTTATAATAGGAAATTATTTATTTAAGAAGCTAGAATTATTTGCAGAATGTTAATACATTTTATGCATTGCACTTTCTTTTTCCTGTCTCCTCCTTTTTACATCTGAGCTACTCCAAGAAGCTGGTTGTCATCTTAAGCAATATGGTTTAAAATATTTAAGTCCATTCTAAAACATTATCTTGATTGTACTGTCATACAAAGAAATATTCTTTTATTAAATCTCTCCACTCAACCAGTTAGACCATGCTGCTAACAGGACGAACTGTATGAATTCTATCCCTGCAGCAGGGAACCAATTTTTAACAGAGAAATAAAATAGCAACCTCCAAGACCACAGGTAAAAACTTGACCCCACAAGCCACCAAAGGGCACTATTTATCCAAAGAACAGGCTGGAAGAGAAATGAGTCAGTTCTGCAACCACCTCTATTCCTCATGAAACAACTCAAAAGCATACATCCTATCAATGCCAGGTCGATGCTGTCATCTGGGAAGAGAAGACATGAAAAATGGGACAGAGAAGGAACAGACAAAGGTTAAAAGTGTCCTCAAAGATTTTAACCTCTTCTCTTTATCTTTCCTTTATCACAGTTGGTAGAGGTTGTCAAGTAAACCTTGAAACATGTTGGTGCTTCCTTTACAGCAAGTGAATAAAATATGAAATAGAATACCTCTTGAAATGGCTTCGTTTTTATTGGAAAGATAAAGCATTCTATTTAATGTGCACTGAGCATTTTATAAATTTACATACAGTCAGACAGATTATATATACACACACAGATATATATACACATTATATATATACACACAGATATACATACACACTATATATATACACACACACACATACTCAGAAAGACATACAGTATAATAATATACTTGTGAAGAAACCTACTCAAGTGATTGCTGATAATGAACAAACTATTGAATCCTTCTTGGCTATGTGATCACAGTAGAAAACAATCATAGAATTAAAAATGTAAAGCCTGTTTTTCTCTCAAATTTAATTTCTTTTGTTTTATAATTCTAAACCACGTCTGCAAGGCTCAGATAGCACAGTCCTTCTTATAAAAGTAGCCCTCTAGAATTATATTCTTTATGCAAATTAATTCGAAATCTACTAAATACCTGTAAATTAAAATTAGGAGTGTGGAGACACTGGATGGCTAAGATGAATTCAGGTAAACCTATGCTTTTGGAAAGTGATTAATAAAGGATTCATTTTAATCTGTTTTATTAACCAGTCAGGAATTGCTCTATTAGGTGATGGCTTACACGGCATATGCCAAGTGCACCTTTTGAACAAGAACCCTAGGGAACAGGTTTAGGGGCTCTTTGCACACATGCGTGCACCTGTGCACATGTGCTTGCACACACCCTCAAACTCAGACAGGAAGGATGGACATTCCAAAGACTCATGAGTGCAGAAGGGATCCACGTCCCTCACACTAGGTCAAAAGAAAGGCTGCTGCCAGCTCTGCCCTGTCCCCAAGCCCAAAACCTCTGGAATCCCAAGCATCCCTTCCCTCCCCACTTCTGTTCTCCCAGACCTCACCTTCACTCTGCTGATCTGCAAATCTCCTCCCACCTCCCAATCACCACTCTTCCCACCTGAGGCATTTAAATACATTTAAATACGCAGATACGCACACGTGATTGTGCTACTTTCCTGCTCCACACCCTACTATGGCTCCCACCATCCTTGAGAGTCTAAGACACTCCCATGACCTTGGAGGCCCTGCTGGGCTCGCCCACTCCTGCCTCACAGGCTTCTGCCTGGCCCTGGCCTGCCTCTGCTCCTGTCCTCCTGTCCCCTGGCCTGCCTGGCCCAGTGGCCTCCCACTCAAATGCGGGGCCTCAGGCTCTTTACAACTTCCTCGGGGAATCCCGTCCCAACTCCTACCCACGCAATGCCCAGTGGAGGATGACACCGTCATGCTGTGGGCCATGAGGTGACCATCTCTCGCTTCACTCTGGTAGGCTCTGAGGCCAGGGCCCCAACTCTGTTGGTCATCTTTGTCAGCTGGCTCCTACAGTTCTCCCTGACACCAGATGGACTCCACATAAACGTGTTTTGAAAGAATGAAGGTGCTAACGAATGAAGAAAGGGCTTGGACATGGACAGTGTTTCCACAGTTCTACCAGTGACTCTCAGAAGAGCAAGAGTCATTCCTAGATTAGCCACACAACACACACACACACACCCCCAACACACACACCCAACACACACACACATTCACACACACACCAACACACACACTCACACACCCAACACACACACACACACCCCCAACACACACACCCAACACACACACACCAACACACACACTCACACACCCAACACACACACACCCAACACACACACACTCAAACACACACCCAACACACATACACCCAACACACACACACCCAACACACATACACCCAACACACACACATTCACACACACCCAACACACACATACACTCACACACCCAACACACACACCCACAACACACACTGACACACACTCACACACACCCAACATACACACACCCCCCAACACACACACTCACATACACTCAAACACACACCCAACACACACACCCAACACACACACACCCAACACACACACCCAACACACACACCCAACACACACACTCAAAACACACACCCAACACACACATACTCAGCACACACACCCAACACACACACCCCAACACAGACGTACATACACACCAAACATACCCAACACCCAACACACTCACCCAATACACACATCCAACATGCACACAGACACCCAACACACACACACCCAAAACACACACTCAGCACACACACACCCAACACACACACATCCAACAGACAAATACATTCAGCACACACACCCCCAACCCCCACACACCCAACACACACATACACTCAGCACACACACCCCCCAACACACACCCAACACATACACTCAGCACACACACCCCAACCCACACACACCCAAAACACATACACTCAGCACACACATCCCCAACACACACCCAACACACACACTGAGCACACACACCCAATACATATACACCCACATCATGCACACACACCCAACACACACACCAAACACACACACCCAACACACACACCCACCCCAACACACATGCACACACACCACACACACCTAACACCCAACACACACACACCCAATACACACACCCAACATGTACACACACACATCCAACACGCTCAAACACACCCAACATACACTCACACACCCAACACACACAGACACACACAGAGGAGTCCTTCTCCATGCTGCTAACCTGAGCAGCCTTCTCTATGCCTCCATCGCATCTCACAACTCTGTGGCTTAAGATTCTCCAGTGGCTTCCCACTGCACTTAGACAACAATCTGTGAGGGTGACGTGAAGGTGCAACATTTATGGGGAGCAACTCTGGGGCACAGTGAAAGGGAGTGAAGGAGAAAAAGCCCCGATCATTAAGCCAGACAAGACTGGAAGGTGAACGTAAGTTAGCATTCAGATCCTCTGGCCTTAAACCAGCTTCCCAGAAATTGGGTTGGAGTTGATTGTGTCTCCAGGCAGTTGACTTCTGGTTTATTCTAATTGGCAGTCCCTCAGGACTCAGTCACTGCAGCAGTTACCCACTAAGAAAAGACTAATCTTTTCAAATGTTCTCCTCAATTTCACAAAATAGATGCTAAAAGAGCACCCTCCAGCAGAAAGTCTGGGGGAATGATTTATCTCCAAGGCTCTTTTTCTATAACAGTTTTGTTTCGCTTAGATGAGATTCCGTTTGGTTTTCTTTTTGCTGATCATGGAGATATACCCCAGAGAAATAGCAGCAGGCCTGCAGAAAATAGTCTGTCTGGATCATTTCGGCCAGAATTCAGTGTATAGTATGGTTTCTTCACATAAGGTCTTAATCCTTAAGGACAAAGAGGATCCTGTAAGACAAAAAAGTTCTGGAAAGAACAAATACCAGAGGAGGGAACAGCACCTGCCAAGGTGTGGAGTCACCGGGGGTGGGGGGTCGGTTATTTGGGAAAGGGGAGCCATTCAGCATGTCTGGGGCATGGCTCTGAAGGGGATGGGGGCCTCCAGAGAGGACGGCTGTCTGGGAACAGGGGGAGTTGGAGCAGGGGCTGGAAAGCAAGTTTGAGATGAGATCATGAAAGATCATTCATTCAAATACAAAAAAATCTGAACCTGGTCTGTGGATACTGTTGTGAAAAAGAAATCGAGTAAGATTTGTTTAGAATTACACAACAGGAAGATAATAATCTCCAGTAATAACGTGAGCGCATACTAAAAGTCAGTTGCCAAGGTTCTCTGGTCACACACTTTAATGTTCTAAACCTTAACGAACATTGTGTGGTTTATTTTCATCTTACAGAAGAGGCAACTTAAGGTGTTATTGAACTTAAGTGATGAAGCTGGAATAAAATTCTAGTTGTCTCCTCTCGAATCCATAAATATAGCCATAAAACTATGTTGCCTGCTATAATCATTCTCTTGAAATAATGTCTAAAACAGTGATTTTTAAAAGACAATGTCTAAAGAATAAATAGCGTCTAAAACAGTGCCCCTCCGAGGACATTTAGCAAAGCCTGAAGACAGTTTTGGATGGCACCCGTGGAAGGCGCTGCTGGCATCCAGTGGGTAGAGGCCAGGGAAGCAGCCAACCTTATGCAGTGCACAGGACAGTCCCCACAACAAAGAATTATTGGTCCCCAAATGCCACCAGAGCCCGAGTTGAGAAGCTCTGGTCTCAACATGTACTGTATTTGATTAGTTTTGTTGAGCAAGGATGTTGTAAATCTTTCCCTCCTTGACTGTTGTACTAGAATGAGCACAGGATTTGGCATCAGAATACCTGTCAAGAAGTTCAGAATTTGAACATCTGGCTCTGTCCCTTTTATCCCATAAATACAGGACAGTCCCTTAGATCTTGCTGGCCTTGGTTTCCATGGATCAATATATAAAGAATAATACCACCTATTTTACTGCATTTCTCTTAAAATGCCAAAATAAAATAATATATATGAAAGTGCTTGATCAACTACTAAGAGCTAGATATTTTCTAGTAATTTTTACTTTAAGACTGCCAAAAGGGATACATTTCTCTTAAAATCTATGTAATACCGCTGAAGGTTTTATAAACCTTATAACCTTTCACTGATACGTATTCATTTAGACATTATACTTATTTGAAGAACTCTTAGTGTAAAGGGAGACACTGCTTCAGCTAGCAGTACAATTTGCCCTTTCAAAATAATTTCCTTTCTTCCTAACTCCCCTTGGGAGGCAGTGTGCTAGAGTGGGAAATGGTCTTTGGATGCAACCAGACTTGGTTCGAATCCTGCTCCACCATTAACTGTCTCTGCAGCCTTGGGCTTGGGTCTGAGTCTTGCTGGCTGGCAGGGAGGTGCTCACTGTGTAGATGAACATCGAGTCCATCTGTCCCACTGAGATAAAAATTCCTACCTGGGAGTATTATTGGGATGATTAGAAATAATATATGTGAACCCCTTAGAGCAGTGGCTGGCACCCAGCATGGGCTCTCTAGAAATGTCAGGTATTGTATATAACTAAGAAGAGGAGAAATGAGAACCCTCTACAATTTCCCACAGTAGCCAAACTCGTAACTCTCATTTGTGACTGGGCTTCACTTTAGAAATGTTAATGGAAATGGGGATATGCAAATGTAACCTTTTCTCCATTAAAACTTGTCACACAGGCCCACAATATTGTGAGTAAATCCTCACTCTTACATGGGCTATCTGAGTTGTTAAAATCAAAACGCTCAGCACAGCTAAACAGCCAACAGTTCATGACTATGTTCAACAGTTCATGACTGTTCTGCTGGTACGGAAACCAAAAAGTTGATGCATTGTCACAATATCTTATCAAGCTTCCCCATTGAAAAGAGTCCCAGGACAACTAGAATCCTCACAATTTCACACTATTTTCAGCAAAGCTTTATGGTGGCAGACATGGCTCACTTTGATTGCAATCTAAACTATTTCTATTGAGGGCAGGGCTGTGTGGACATTATTAAAATGTATGATAATTTTAATCCTTTAGAAACTCTAAACTCAAAATGTTTTAAAGACTGTACCGATTTTGACTTTCATATTTAGAGTCAAGAGGAAGTAGGTGATTTTGTTTTTCATTTGGGCTTATTGATGTAGTTAGGAAGGGTGCAGGGGTGATGGTCATAAGTTAGATAGATTTTTTTAAAGAACAAAATGGAGATATTTACATTCTTGTTGACCAAAGAGAACTTATTCAACAATTAACATATAAAAGTATTAATATCTTAATCCTCATTCCTGGATAGTTTGTAACTAAAAACAAAAAGCTGTCCTATACAATTTTTTTTTTTTTTTTTTTTTTTTGAGACAGTCTTACTCTGTTGCCCAGGCTGGAGTGCAGTGGCGCAATCTCGGCTCACTGCAACCTCCACCTCCCAAGTTCAAGTGATTCTCCTGCCTCAGCCTCCTGAGTAGCTTGGATTACAGGCACCCACCACCACACCTGGCTAATTTTTGTATTTTTAGTAGAGACAAGGTTTTGCCATATTGGCCAGGCTGGTCTTGAACTCCTGACCTCAAGTGATCCACCCACCTTGGCCTCGCAAAGTGCTGCGATTACAGGCATGAACCACGGCGCCCGGCCTGTCCTATAAAATTAATCACATTTTTTCAAAACACCAACATGGCTTTTATATAAACAATAGCACTAGAATTATGACTATCTGGAAAGTAAGCTCAACGGTTATACCATTTTTAAGGAAGAAATGGCCTTCTCCAAGCATATGCTAAGGAAAATTAATTCCCCAAACTGTATCATAAACATTAATTCATTCAACCATGATTTCTGGTCCTGGCCTCATGATGGAGCAGCCACAGATCTCCCTGGAGAAGTGCTCAGCTCATGGGGGACTAGAAGGTGCTCCACCCAGCCAGCAGCTCCTCCTTCCAATCAGATATTCCCTTCTCATATAAAATTTGTATTATTAATTATACCCAAGTTTTCACAAAAGATTGAGGCAACTCAGACAAATTATATATGAGATAAGATGACAAAACGGAAATGAAAAATCAAGTACACAAAAGAGAGAGAATTCAAATGTTATAAACACAGGGTCAGCATTCATGCCTGATTTGCATCAAATTTGATTATTTCCTTACAAGTAGCCCTGACAACAGGAGAGAAATGAACAAAGGCGAAAAGGGGCTATTCTTGTTCGTTCAGTGAAAGGACAGAATCCCCACTGGGAATTTAGGGGGCAGGGATCTGAGACCTTTTCTACCTGTCCCTATATTTGTGATAAAGACTCTGGTTAGGACACTGGGAAAGACTGAAGAGTGGCCCCCAACGTTATCCAGGTCCTAGTCCCTAGAATCTGCTAATGCTGCCTTCTATGGCCAAATGGACTTTGCAGATGTGATTCAGTATCCTGAGATGGGAGATGATCCTCGGTTAGCCAGTGGGCCCTAAATGCCATCATAAGTGTCCTAAGAAGAGGGACGCAGAGGGAGACTGGACGCAGAAGAGGGCAATGTAACACTGACGCACGAGGCCATGCTGCTGTGCTGAGCATGGAGGAGGGGTCCACGAGCCAAGGGGTGCAAGGAATGCAGCTCTACAAGCTGGAAAAGGCCAGGACAGTTTCCCCTAGAACCTCTAAAGGGAGCCTGGCAGTACAGACACCTTGACTGCAACACAATGAATTTCTGTTGGATTTCTGGCCTCCAAAACTGTACGAGAATAAATGTGTGTTGTTTTAAGCCACCAGTTTTGTGTTAATCTGTATTAGCAGCAGCAGGAATCTAACACAGAAGCCCATCTGACCCCAGGACACGGCCCTTTTAAGCCTGGAAAGAGACCACCCCATTAGGGCAAGAAGGTGAGAGAGGCCAAGAAGCACCACCTCTGATTCCAATTTGGAGAGTCTTCGATGTGACTTTTGATTATGAGGCCGACTCTTCCATTGATTTACTCTGACTTTCTGACCACCTCTCGTTCATCTAAGAGTTGGAAATGCAATTTCCCTGAGCTTCGGCTTATTTCAGTAGGGCCCAGTAGCTTTCACCTCTTGCCATGTTCCTGCAGGCTGCCTGCCTGCTTTGTCTAAGGATTCAGTCAGGAACCCTCTCACTCCTCCAAACAATGTTTAATGGCCACTGCGTGTTTGTCCAATGGAATACAGTGTTGAATGGAGCAAAGGTTCCTATTCTTGGGGAGCTGACTTTCGATTGGTCACTGGTCATTAAAATTATTAAAAGAGCAGAATGTACTATTTGTCAGATAGTGATACATGTGTAGTGGGTTGAAGAGTGTCTCCCAGAATTCATGTCCTCCTGGAACCTTAGAACGTGACCTTATTTGGAAATAGGATCTTTGCAGATGTAATTGAGGTAAGGATGGAAATGAGATCAGACTGGATTGGGGTGGCCCCTGAGTCAAAAGAGAGTGCCCTCATAAGAGACAAAGGAAGACACAGACACAGAGAGAGGCAATGTGAAGAGGAAGGCAGGGGCTGGAGTGATGCAGCCACAAGCCCAGGGACACCGAGGATTCCGGGCACCACCAGAAGCGAGAAGAGGGGCAGGACTCTCCCTCAGCACCTCTGGAGAGACGCTACACTGCTCACACCATGATTTTGGTCTGGCAGAATCAATTTCTGTTGTTTTGGGCCACCCAGTTGGTGGTGCTTTGCTATGGCCACCACCAGGAAACTCATACAAGTTGGATGGGAAAGTAAAGCCAAGTAGAGACAGGGACACGACAGTCTGTGTGTCTGTAGGTGGGTGGGGGGGTGGGGGGTGGTTATTATAAATACAGAGGCCAGGGGAGACTGCTCCGAGAAGGTGACACCGGAGCTGAGTGGAGGGAACATTCCAGAACAGGAAAACGGAAGTAACAAGCCTCTGAGGCAGGAGTGTGCCTGGCATGTCAGACAAGAGGTAAGAAGGTCACGGGGTGAAGAGAAGTGAGTCCCGGGCCCTACTGGGAGACCAACAGGGGGCCCTGATGTGTCCGACATCGCAGGCCTCTGGCTTCTGCTCCAAGACATAGGGAAGCCACTGGAACGCTGGGATCTGACTCACATTCTTAAAAGATCCCTTTGACGGTGGCTGCCTGGATGTGTGCATCTATTGACTCTCATAAACTGCAGGCCTAAAATCTTGCATTTCTTGGGTATCAATTACACCTGGATGATGCTGAGTTCTGGAAAAGGCCCCCGCTGGATGCTAGGTTAAGAACAGATTCTGAGGGGTGGGGCAGGAGCTGAGAGCAGTTGGGGGCAGATGGTGGCTCAGCCCCAGCAGGGACAGAGGGTGTTGAGAAGCACGGGCAGTCTGGATGCCCTTTGAAGGTAGAGCCTGCAGGAATTCCTGGAGGGGTGCATTTGAGTGTGAGAAAAGAAAGAGGCCCTCTGTGAGACCCTATGCAAAGCCTACTCCACGCCTCCCACCCATATCACTGGGGGCCTGGGCCCACTACGCAGGTTAGTCAAGGAAGGCCACCTTGTGGGGACTGTGGGGACTGGGATCTCTTGTTTCACAATTAGAAGGAACAATTTCAACTAGCAAGTTTTCTCCTGGCTGGTAAAGTGAAGAGAGAAAACAGTAAAATGATGAGAAAATTGGCTATTTCTGAACTATTATGGACACTAAGTGCCTTACATTAATCTTAGTCAAGCAATGGGCTTCTTCTCTGAATTCAATTTATTAGAAGTTAGGGGTGAGGAATGATGTAAAATGATTAGCCCCAATTTATGCTAATAGTTATCAAATTTAATTACATGTAGCTTAAATATTAACAAATTTCTGCTTCTATATAGAATATTTAGGTCCTTTAGAAGACATAAATATTCTCAAAGACCATTAGATTACAATGGATATCATCAATTATGTCATAATACCTATGCAATATCCAATTAACTTTAAAACAGCATTTATTCATTCATTAATGCAACTAGACTTTTTCAATAAAAATATGCTACAAAATGGAAAAAATAACCTCAAACATGTAAGAATTTAGTTGCCCTGGAAATTCTAACAGGTTCTGTCTGGTGGTAACAGCCCAAGGGAAAAAATACAAATTAGTGTCCATAAACTTTACCTTGTAAAGCATGATGACTTTATAGAAAATGTTTATGTTCACCACTATGTATCTATTTTAAAATTAACAGCCCGTGATGTTTCTTAGAAAATCACCTGGAGCTGTGAACCTGGAGTGTAAATAAGAGGGAAGGGATTTGATGCCCAAAATACTCGGATCAGGAGATTTAAGAACATTTGAGCAGTGTTTTTTACTTTGTTGATATCAGGGTAAGATCAGAATTTTGCCTCAGGATTAGATTAAGAATTTGAGAAAACCACAAAGGCCTTGGTCACCCTCAAAATGTTTTATTATACATACATATATATATATATATGTGCATGTGGGCACATGTGTATGTATATGTGCAGATCTGTGTGTATAATATATAGTGTGTAGATATTATATATGTATAATACATATAGTATGTGTGTGTTTGTACTTATGCACACATATAATGCATATATACACATATAATATACATGTTACAGGAAACTTGATACATAGACTTAAAATACATTGTGTATAAACCATAGACTAGAGCACACTTTCTTATAAATTAGGTAACCATACCACTTGACAATTGTCCCTGAGAAAAATATAAATGGTGCACTTGATGAATCTCTTTATGAAAACTTAACTTCTGATAGAAGCCACAATGATACAGGTAGATGCATTCTAATAACAAGAACACCATCTCTTGAGATTCCACACTAAGCTCTGTGTTTCTGGAAGTGAGAACGTGTCCTGAAGTACCTGTCACAGTGTCTTTACAATGTGAACCATGAACACATACTTTGGGGCTGACGGTTTACCGGAGTCTAGTCTTGGCTAGAACATGATTTAACAATATCCATTTTTGGTTTTCATCATCATCACCTTATCTTAGTTCTTCGAAGAATGCCAACTTAATTTATCTCAGATAATATTGAGCAGAGATACTTCCTCTAAAGAAAATCTTAATAGAATCTAACAAAATGTGGTCTAATTTGGCCTAACATTTGGTCGCTGTGCTCTCCAAAGCTGTCAGCCTCTAGTACCAAACACTGGTTCCTGCCCTCAGATTGTAGTGGGCAACACAGTGGGAGCAGAATTATCTACCAGAAAAAGCCTGTTATCTAAGAAGGAAGAGCGTACTCCTTGTTCTTGTTTTATGGGTTCATTTCCTGATAGGCCATGTGGTGTGGCATTCAGGAAGAGTGTACTTCAGAAACAAGCTGCTAGCAATGTCACTGCCATCCAACCGAGGGCATCAGGATCACACCTGTGTTTGAACCAAGTTGGGCTTATTGCTCGTAATAAGAAAGGACTCACACCATGGGAAACCATGGGACATATCAGTAAGAGGGCGTTGAATAGACTGACAAAATTTGACTTGTTTTGTGTGTCTTGGGAAGATTCAAAGGAGCAAGGCTTTGTTCTGGATTGGGTGCTACGAGGATGTAGGGGAAATTTCATGGTCAGGGGGCTTGAATAATCTTATCTAGAAGGAGAAAAAACAGAGTAATGTTCAACCTGTGATTGGCCAAGAATGAGCAGTCATTCATATCAGCCAGGCTACTGTGAGTTGTGTGGTCATTTTTGTGGTTTAGGGACCATCATATTTTCTATTCATATTTACCATTCGTATTCATATTTGACACTTCAGTATAATTTTTGAGGAATGACTTCATGGATTACATTAGATTGTTTTAACCTGAAATACATTAGGAATGGGAGGAAAGCTTTTGAGTGTGGTTATTTAGCCGCTAGAATAGTACAAAAACAAACAAAAAAAAAACCAAAAATCTAAAGCCATTTAATTAGATCTACAGTCATTAGTGTCCATGTCAAAAAAAAAAACCAAAACACACTCATCTATGTGTATTGCTTCACTTTGTCCTTAAAGAAATCCTAAAGAACATATGAATATTTGGGCATATTCTTAATATGAGGATATAAAGGGCTGCAGTGTCCAAGTGTCCATTCATAATTATTTCTCATTACTAGACATTAAAAGCAAAGCAATTCCATAGGGATTTTCTTTGATCATATTTCAGAGTACTTTGCTATAAAACTTTTAACTTACCTCCATTTCCAGAGTCTGCATTTCTTTAAATATAAAATGTGGAGAATATTTTCACCCTTCAGTTTGAATAAAATAACCAACAGTGGACCATGGGTGAAAAGGCTGTTGAAAGGCCCAACTATAGGTCATTGTCTTGGATGATTCTGTATCTGTACAACTGAATACATAAGCAAGTTTTGTTTTCAAGTGCAACAATAATAAAAAATAACGTTGATTTCAATATAATGGTACCCAATTACCTTTCATTTCTACCCATTGATAAAGTCTTAGACTAGCCTTTTTCTTACTTCTGTGTCTGCTCAACTCTAAGTAGAATGTGTGTAATTAATTTGAAAATTAATTGAAAGTTTGCGGTGAATTTAAAGGGTGCTCTCTCTCTCTCTCTCTCTCTCTCTCTCTCTCTCTATATATATATATATATATATACATATATTTTTTTTTTTTTTTAGAGACAGGGTCTTGCTCTGTTGCCTAGGTTGGGGTGTGGTGGTGGATCGTAGCTCACTGTAGCCTTGAATTCCTGAGCTCAAGTGATCCTCCTGTCTCAGCCTCCAAAGTAGCTAGTACTACAGGCACGCACCAACACACTCAGCTAGTTTTTAAATTTTTTCTACAGACAGGGTCTCACTAGGTTGCTCAGGCTGGTCTCCAACTCCAAGGCTCAAGTGATCCTTCTGCCTCAGCCTCCCAAAGTGCTGGGATTACAAGCGTGAGCTACCGCACCCAGCCCATAGACCTTTATAATTTAAAATGAGGTAGAGGGGTACACAGGGCAGATGGAAGACGTTTGACTACACCATAAAGACTAAGTGGCAGAGACACATAGTTTTGTTCGTGCAAATAATAAATGCATCTATGATCTTTTTCACTAATTAAGAACGATGGTTTCTTTATTAAGCATTTTAAAAGGTCTATTTCCATAGCAGCAAACTGAAGCCACTAGGAAAAAAAAGAACTTGGGTCTTTAAGAATGTTGGTTTATTATTTAAGTGTTGTACAGATTTATTTTTTATAAATCAAATATTTTTTATTTGTGAGAAGTGACTGAACACAATTATTGGCCGGAGTGTTTCGGCTGCTTGACTTTATAGAACTTGAGTTTCCTGAACTTTATGGGTTCACAAACCTCTTCATGTTTCACAGGGTGCCCCCCAGGCCAAAATAAATGCCTGACAGTTCCATTTAGTAAGTTCTTAGGTCTGAACAGCTTGAATCATCTACATCCTAACATGTCCGTGCTTTGGGGCACTGCACAACTTCTCAAAACTTGGAAGCAGACAATGCCATCTTCACATCCTCTCCTATGCTGATTGTCACTAGCACTTGCTTCATATCACAGAAACCTCTGAAAATCCTGGTATGCAAAGTGATGACATCATTGAAAGGAATGTGGCACAGCTGGATTTTGAAACTGAACTAATGGGAGCTCATGTTTCAACCTGGTTTCAAGATACCGTATTTATCTTGAAAATTTAAAATATCCCTCGGAATCCCTCGAATTTCCTATGTTGCCCTGGGACACCTTGGCATATAGTTTGGAAACAGAGCAAACGAATCGTCCTCACGACAGCTGTGACCTAACCATTAATGAAAAACTTCAGCAAAATGAACAATTATTGGGAGAAGGGCAAATTATGTGTATATGAATAGGAAGTTCGTCTTGTAAAAGTTTATACTCAGAATTTCAGAATTTCAATTAAGTGACACAGTAGCTAAGTAAAATAAATAAAAACTTGTAGTTTGGGAAAATAGACTTACACTCAATTTCTAAAAATTTGCTTATGTAAATGTTTTGAAATGTATCGTTTTATGACTTTGAAAGTCCTAAATCACAGCTTTCCTTAACAATTATTTATATATTTAAAAATACTATAAATTTTGGGGAAAACATCAGCATTTAGAATTGCTTTATCTTTTTTTACATTAGCAAGAGTACAGTAGAATGAGATCTTGCAATGTTCATGACAAAAACACCATTTTAGTGGCAGTAGCATTACTGAAAATGCTTTATTATATTCAGCTTGTTCTTCACTGCATCAAATTGCTCTTAATGTCTTCAAACTTGTACGTGAACTTAAGGGACCTCCTTCACACCCATTTGTTGCCCTTTCCCCAGATCCTTTGTTGGGCTGATATGGACTTAGACTGCAGAATGAGAAATCAATGAGAGACTTGACAGCCAGAGAAAGCAAACAAACTCAGTGATGTGAAAACTGCTGTCAGGTCAGTGTAACAAGCAGCTCTTTCTAGATTTCACTGCACTGCAGTGATCAGAAACTGGGGTGGGGGGGAGATTATACCTTAGTTCTATGTCTATAGACAACTACAGATTCAATAATCAGAGAGATTATCTCCTGTACATAACAATATTCTACAATAAGCACTGGCATAAGTTCATTTCTTACAAGTAGAAGTCAACATAATGTAAGCTCACATTTAAGGAGCATGTTCTGTGTTGCTAAGAACTGCTCTTATGCCTTCCTCACTTAATGTTCATCACATTCCCATCAGGGTGGTGCCATAAATATTCCATTTTATAGATGTAACATTTGCAGTATAGAGAGCTTCAGCCACTTGCTAGGAGTCTCAGAGATGATCAGGTGATGGAGGCAGAATTAACCACAGGCTCTCTTCAGAGCCCACAGTCTTACCCAGGTGGCTCACTCTCTCATCAAACACTTTTTGTTACTATTTTTATAAGCCACTGCAAGTTGGGCACCAAAATGAATGTGTACTCCTCAGTAATTTCATGAGGATAAAGTAAAATTCATCTACTGTAGGACTAACACCATGTTTCTTATGGCTCTTTCAATTATGATTGCCTTCTCCCCTCTAAATCAAGAGTTGTGTAATCTAAAAATAGCAGTATCTCACACAGAGATATTTTATGTTGCTGACTTTTATAAAGCAATGAACTGTTTGCAAATAAATATCTCTGCTATGCTTTCTCCATTTATAATCTCAGGCAACCTCAGTCTGAGGTTATTCCAGGGCCCAGGGTCAGGAGATGGAACAGAGAATAAAAGGTCATACCTGAAGAAAAAAATCATCAGTGCTCTCAACCAGTTCTTACACCTCTCCTTTTCTTTTCTTTCATGATCTGTCTCTAAATTTTACTTGGCTTCTCACTGGGCCCCATTTGTTCAAATTCCTCCCAGATTTGTCATGTCCTGCCTTTCTCTGGCTTTTGTGAGTTACCTGTGATTTATTCAATTAAGGACTATTGATATGGTTTGGCTGTGTCCTCACTCAAATCTTATCTTGAATTGTAGCTCCCATAATTCCCAAGTTTGTGGGATGGATCTGGTGGAAGATAATTGAATCATGGGGCTGTTTCCCCCATACTATTTTCATGCTAGTGAATAAGTCTCACAAGATCTGATGATTTTGTAGCAGTTTTCCCCTTTTGCTTGGCTCTCATTCTCTCTTGCCTGCTGCCATGTAAGACATGCCTTTCACCTTCCACCATGATTGTGAGGCCTCCCCAGCCACATGGAACTGTGAGTCCATTAAACCTCTTTTTCTTTATAAATTACCCAGTCTTGGGTATGTCTTTATCAGCAGTGTGAAAACAGAATAATATAACGATGATGTAAAAATACAATAGACCATCTAGATATCTATGTCCATAAAGAGTTATGCTATTTGTTGATGCAATAAATAAAACCTTCTGGATAAAATATTTTTCCTAATCTGTATTATTCTGCTCACCTTAGTGTTCTCCTGCCTTAAATCTCCCAAAAGGGAGTTGCTAAGCCAATCAAAATCTACTGGTTTGATTTGAAACAGATATTTTCTTTAAATAAGGTCTGATACAAAACACCTATCTTTCTGTACACTCAGTATATTTAATTTTTTATGTTTACTTACTTGGTGTAATCTATTGCCTTGACCCAAAACTATTTGTTATTTTTTATTACAATCCATTATGACTAAAAAAATGCTTTACATCAAACGGGTATTTAGAAAATGATGACCTTCTAGTCATCAAATTTAGTTAGTTGAAACATTGGATTTTTAAAATTTACATAATTTACTGCAATTTTAACACACTCAGTTTAGCAGAGTGATGGGATTTACTAGTTGCTCAATAAACATTAGTAGTCAATCCACTTTTCTTCCCAGAGCCTGATTTTCAGACATCTTAAATGACTTGTGCAAAGTTGGTAAAAGAAGCTCCCATCACTTCAAGTTTCCCTGAATACATACCCTCTGCTCAATGCATAAAGCAAAGCCCACCCTATCCTGGCTGTGGTTCTCAGGAACCACACATCCAGGTAAAGGAAGCTGGATATGATACCTGAATGTGTCTGGGCACAAAAGAATAATTTAATCATAGGTAGAGCAAAGAACATGGTTCCTACCTTGCACAATAGAACTGGGAACTCTCAAATTTTCTGGTGCTCTTTAGGGAATGTTTTTGACTCCATTTGAATAGGTATCAGAGGTGCAGGCTGTGGTCAGAGGCAACATCTCCAAGAAGGCTTTCTTCTACTAGGTCAGAGGAAATGCCCATTTCCTAGGTTCTGAGAACATTCAGATTCACCATACAACAGTGCATGTCAAAATTACAAAGTGGAAGACGGTCTAGAAATGTTTTTTACACTTCAAGAAGTATGAAATGTATAAAATACTTTTCTGAGCTAGGAGAAACAGGTGTCACCCTTACTTTTAGACTTGCAAATTATAATGCAGGGCAGCCTCCCTTCCCAACTAAGAATTATCTGGCCCAAAATCTCAGTAGTGCTGAGGCTGAGAAACCGTGGTGTATACTATATTATGCACATTTTGATAGCCCAGAACATAAACTGTAAGAGGCACTACATTAGGTCAAAACACTGTCAGTTCAGACCAACATCTTTCTCTGAATAGGACCAAGGATTTGGGTTGCTGTTGTAATTTAAAATTTGTCTTTGGAGTCATGCCAGAGCTACAGGTTTAGGGATGCATTTCAAAACATTTTCCCTCCATCTTCTATTATGTTTGTGTCATCTATGAGTTTTTTTCCTAAATATCCCTTGACTTGTTTATGTTTCAAGTCTTTACAACACACGAGACTTTAAATTTACTGCCTATTGTATGATTTAATACTTCCTTGTGGTAAATAGAAGAAGGGAAAAAGGACTGAATTAACAATTCCTGGGGAAAAAAAACTCACTTCATGAAAAATGTCCATGCATCTCAGTTGCAGTGAGGACTTGTCACATCGGCCCATTTCTGCAACAGTTGGGCCTCCAGCTGTCTCTACACATCATTTCTGGAGAGCAGACTTTGCGCTGGTTTTGCACAGAGGCCGACTAGAACTTTCGACAGGCAAGTGTGTGACACAGAAGCATCTTGAAATCCTAGCATTTTTTCCTGTTCATTTAACAGCTAGGGAGGTTTCAAACATCTTTCAAAAAATACTTTCTTAGAACTAAAATCACCATAATATTGTGACATAAAGAAAAATTCAATCTTGTCTCATGCTCTCATTTTCTTTGAAACACAAAATCCATACTTGGCTGCGACCACAAAGGTTACGCATTCTATCTAGTAGGATGCAGATGAAGGAAGGCACAGGCACGGTTATCATGGAGGAACACAAATCTTTATCAGGTCTGTTTCTTCAGTAACTGTTGGGGAAAAAATAGTGGGAATAAAAGTTTGGTTTCTAAGCTCCTCCCAGCATCAATCAGTCACGAGAGCTGGAAACTCACTTTCCATAATACTCCCATTGCTGGAGCCATGGCCCAGGGCCTCATTACGTCTTGCTTTGGAAACTGTGATGGTTTCCTAATGGGCTCTGTTGCTCCAGGCTGTAGCCTCTCCATTTTATCCTGCACAACTCCGTCCCTGTGAGGCTTCTAAAGGCAAACCCCAGCATTTTACTGACCTTCCAGCAACCCTCCATTGCACTCCATCACGGGACTTTGTTCCAGAACAGCCCTGCGTTCCGGCCACTGCCTCCTCCCTGGCTATACTCCTTGTGCCTGTGTGCTCTTTGGTGCATGCCCTGTGCTCAGGCCGAACTGTCTGTAGTTCCCTACTCATGCCAAACTGTGTCACTTCCTCCTCGGCTAACTTGGCCCCATCTCCTACCTGGCAATGCTGGTTCTGCTCCAGCATTAGCACCTGTAAAACTCCTTTCCTAATGACAAAAAAGTTGATAATATGCCTAGGTCATATTTGTGTGTTGACATAGATACATAAAACCCATTTGTGGGTCACACCACTCTGAAAAAAATACTGTCTGGTTTTTGACCCCATGAAAATTTCCCCAGCCTCTCTGTGGCAACCAAGGAGAATGTGTAGCACTTGTCACGTTGAAACTTGACACTTATTTGTGTAATTTTGTAATGATAATTTCCTCTACTCAACAGTAAACTCCAGAGAGCAGGGTTCATGCTAAGTTTAACTCATCATTATCTTCGCAGTACCTGGCATACTTCTTTGCATATAGTAGATATTCAATGAACAAATGAAACTATTCCAAGATAAAGTCATCTCAAAGATAAAAATAAGAATGATGACAGAAAGAGTATATATGCAATATTACATATGTACTAACTTATCAGTGGCTTGCTCTCTGGCTTACCATAGCTCCTCCTTAACCCCATTCATTAATTCAGCAAACATTTACGGGATACCAATGAGGCATAGTGAATAATATCCACTGGCCCCAGGGGCTACGGATGAGGAGGTCAAGGTGGGATAAAAGAGTGGGCAACATCAGTGTACGCCAGGGTTTCTCAACCTCAGCACTACTAAGATTTGGGGCCAGGTAATTCTTGGTTGGGAAGGGAGGCTGCCCTGCCTTATAACATATTTATGCAACATGCCTGGCCTCTACCAATTAAATGCTAATAGCACCCTTTTCCCCCAAGCTGTGACAACTAAAAAAAGTCCAGACATTGTCAAATGTCCCCTGGGGAGCAAAATTATCTCTGGTTGAGAATTACTGATGTAAGGTAATATTTCTGATACAGCAAGAGAAAGGTCACAGGAAATTAATCTCTGTATGACCTCTAGTCATATTACATAGACCTTTGTTGGCTTATTTCTTGCTAATAATATTGCCAAATGGTGTAGCAGTAGGTTTTCTCCACTGAATCTCAGTGATTTTTGGTCCAGAATTGTGTTGTGAAGGAAAGAAAGAATGGGAAAGGGTGTGCAGCAATTACCTCTTGTTTCCTTGGTTCAAGCACCTAAGTGAATGATTAGCCATTGGCACATGTGATAAGACTGCAGGAGTCATGGGAATATTCTCAGAGTTCATCACCATGCACCAATTTACTGTATTAGTCCATTCTCATGCTGCTATGAAGAAATAACCAAGACTGGGTAATTTACAAAGAAAAGAGGTTTAAGAGCCAGTTCTGCATCGCCGGGGAGGCCTCAGGAAACGTACAGTCATGGCAGAAGGCACCCCTTCATAGGGCAGCAGGAGAGAGAATAAGTGCCAGCAGGAGAAATGCCAGACGCTTATAAAACCATCAGATCTCCTGAGAACTCACTCATTATCAATGAGAACAGCATGGGAGAAACCACCCTTATGATTCAATTACCTCCCACTAGGTTTCTCCCAAGACACATGAGGAATATGGGGTTACAATTCGAGATGAGATTCAGGTGGGAACACAAAGCCAAACCTTATCACCCACCCTAACAGGAGCCTGATGGTTGATGGGCTTTCTACAGCATGTCCTGCCTCTCAGTGTCCCATGAACCTTGCCAGGCAAACGAATGACTATTTTCTGCTGGCTCCTCACTTATAGCTCTGCAATACTGCACTTATTTAGATGGTAAGGCACCTGACAGTCTCCATGCTAAGTAACTCTCCTCATGCATTTCAACATCGCCATCATTCTCCTATTACTCCTCCAAGCCCTCTTCCATCGGGGAATAGAGCTGGTGCAGCGCTTTCAGTTCATTGTACTCCTGGGGGAGAATAATGCTCTTCAACTGATCTGGTGTCTCAGTCAAACTTAGATCCCTCTGAAAGTCAGATCCTTTCAGCGTAGCATCCCTGAGTGCCGTGTTGGCAGGAAGCGAGACTCGTACCTTAGGCTGAATGGATTTCTTCTAACCAATCCCAGATATCAGAGTAGTGCAAAGTCCTGCCCATCAGGGAACCAACATATGCTGCATCTTCACAATGTCCACAGGCCAGGGAGGCAGCCGACATATGGCCCAAAGAGGGAATGGAGAGCTGACCAGGCCCAAAGCATTTGGAGGGGCTGGATGGGCCCCTGCTCTCCTTTCTTTTCTCTCCCTGGCAGCATCATGGCTTCCATCTGGTCATCTAAAAATCTTTTAAAACACTCACTCATCAACATTGCTATTACTGTTCACAAGCTTATGCTCAGGCACCAATCCGTTCAGTGAATTTTTCAGGGTCACACAGAAACACCTTACAAAAGCTGAAAAAGACTTCCATGCCCCTCAAAGGCAAGCGAACCTGGTCATCACTTCATCCTTATTAGATTAAAATGATCTAATCTTGGTAAGTTTCGCTTTGTCTACTCTTTTCATTTTTGCACAGAAAAGGATTATGTGTGCGTTTTTTTCAATGTGGCAGGTTATGAAAAACACTCATGAGCAGTTTCTTCACCTCTGAAGTGGAAGAAAGTGAGTTTTTCTGAGATTGCAGAATTTAAAAAATAATCAAAACCTGAGGATTTTAGGTCATTATTAACAGAACTCCTATGTTTAGATTTCATAAAGTCTTGTCAGAGGTGCATTTCAACAGAAAAATTCTGTACATTCTCCATATCTTTTTTCTTTCTTACTTCTCATTTCCCTCTGCACAGAAAAGATCAGCTAATTAGGAGATTCTTATGTCTCCTTCCTATTCTTCATCTATCCCCAATACATGAATCAGTGTATCCTTTTTGTAGGTCATGCTCTGTTTGGCTAGGCTACAGTTCCCGTGATTTAATCAAACACAAATCCACAAGTTGCCCTGAAGGTATTTTGTAGCTAGGATTACCATCTACAATCAGTTGACTTCAAGTCTAGGAGGTTACCCTTAATAATATGGGTGAGCCTTGTACCATCAGTTGAAAAACGAAAACTCAAGACTTCAGTAGTAACTCCTGCCTGAGTTTCCAGCCTGATGGTCTGCCCTGCAGATTTCAGACTTGCTAACTCCCACAAATGCATGAGCCAATTCTTTAAAATCAATCTCTCTCTTTCTCCCTCTCTGTGTGTATATGTGGGTCTCTTGGGATGTTTATTCCTGGGATATACCCTTTTAGATCCCAGCCACCACGCCAAAAAAAAAGATGGCACCATGTAGAGAAGATGCTAGGTCAATTGCCCCTGCTGAGCTCCCAGTTGACAGCAGTTTCACCTGCCTGCACCAGATTGTGCCATCCTGGACATCCAGCCCTGTGGGACCATTACATGATGCAGCCCACTGACATCTCACTGCATGCTCATGAGACTGCCCAAGTCAGAACTGTCCAGCTAAGCCCAGTCTACACAGAGAATCATGAGAGGTGAAGATTCACTGTTCTTTTAGACACTACGGGTTGGGGTGGTTGGTTATGCAGCAAATGGCAATGACATATAGGAAGAGCTTTTGCTATGTTGTTCTCGAGTCATGTTTGTATTTGAAAAAGAGCTTCTTCAAATGAGTCAAGAAGATAATGCAATGTGTCCAAATAGCACCTGGATTTTGCTGAATTCTTTCTCTTCAGACAGGAATAAAAGATCTGAAAAGAACCGCTTTGTTGAGGCCATCAGTTTGTTGTTAACAACCCTCAAAGTCAGCCTGGAATGGATTTAGCTCACTGTATCAAGACTGTGGACCCAGAGAGCTGTTCATCTGCTGTGCTTTTTCACTAATATTTTTTAAAGGGATAAACACGTTTTAAGCCACTCAGAAATTGTCCTAAAATGGAGATATTGCAACTACTACTTAATTTTTCCAACTCATTTATGACTTTCCTATGCAGCTCTGCATATGGTGAGTGAAATAATCTATCAGTCTGTTTCATTACATCCGAGATGGCCCTTCCTTGAATGATGTGTTCATATCTAATATTTGCTGCTGTGAAGTGATGGAGATAGGAAGGAGGAGTAGAACAGACCATAGGAATGAGAAGAAACATAGCAGGCAGGCAAATATATTTTAAATAGACAAAGACTCATGCTGAGAGGATAAATGGACAGAATGTTGTTTCCTGGTGTTTAGACCTCTTTGGAAGATCCTGTCTATATGATGCTATTAAATTACAAATTGCCACTGTAATGTATAAAATAACGACATATTTTAAATTTGTTGCTTCTTCCGAAGAGCTTTATTTACACACTAAGAAAAAAGGCTTAAAAGCACAAGGTCTCACACGAAAACCCAATGAAAAAAAACCAGTAAAATTATCTTTTACAATATCAAAATATTTAAAAATTTCATGTAATATATGTAAAAAGAGGACAATCAATGTCCTAATCTGTTTTATATGGCTATAACAGAAAATTCATCTGTGAGGGCCTTCTTGCTACCTCATCCCACAGTCGAAGGGGAAAAGGCAAGAGAGCACACACAAGTGAGAACCCACTCTCACAATAATATACCTGCTCCTGACATAATGACATTAATCTATAAGCCAGTCACCACTCAAAGGTCCCACCTCTCAACAAGATAGTACTGGGGATTAAGTTTCCAACACAGGAATTTTGAGGGACACATTCAAACCTTAGCAATCAACAATTTGAAAAAAATTCAAGGTGACAAGGACAACCATCTTATTGGCAATCATTAAGGGGGTAACATAAAATTTACTATTATAGGGAAGTATAATAGATGAGTTGGTGAGTAAAGACTGAATCCATACAAAGGTTATTAAATTAATTCTGACATATCCGTAATTATGACGGGCCTGAGAGCAGGACTCTCAAGGTTTTAGCTGTCGAATTGGCTCACACATCTTGGAGGGATGGGTCTGGCTCGGTGCATGCAGGTTGATCCCAGGCAGGGTGCTAACATTTTCAAGATGATACCCAGCCACAGTCACGCGAATGCTTGTGTGAATTTATACTTCACCTTGGCCCAGAAAGGACTTGGTGGGGGTTTCCTCTACTCTAACAAAAACTAAAAAATTAAAATTATGGCTCTTCACACAGAGGCAAATGACACAGGTAGCATTAGTGACAGTGATATTGGGCTGGCCGTTTGTCCCAGCCTCTCATCGGTCTAGGCCAGATCTCTTGGTCTTGCCCCAAGACAAGGGGCATGGGCTTGAGCCTCTTTATATTCTGGGAGTTCCTTCCTCCAGAACTCGCTGAGAGAATACTTTATTTGTTATTTGTTGCACACTGACACTGTGCTTAGGATCTGGCAAGCTACCCAATGTCCTCCCGGGTGCTTTGCAATCGAGACTGACAAATACCCAATTATAAAATCCACCAGCTGAAAAGGCAGTTAACTCTCCAAAGGACAGAGTCACTTAGCATTTTTATTTGGCCTCCATCTCAGACACTAAAGCAGCCTCTCAGTATCCTGCTGAACAAACCAAGGGTCATGTGTTTCTCTAGCTCTGGATGGTGGGATGCCCCGAGGGCAAAACATCCTCGTGTCTCACCCACCCCAAGATGGATATAGGGGATCTTCCACCACTGCAAACCTTGGTCTTTCTAACCTAAGTTAGAATACTATAGTATAACCAACTAGTATTGGTAAATAGGAAAGAAAGGGAGAGCATGAGAAATAATGGATTTTGCAGCTTTTATTTGTGAGTGAATGGGCCCACAATTTTCCCTTCCTGAAAGTCAACTTGAAGTTGAAATAATGGGGTGATACACCGTGAAACAACTCAATGACTACTCAGCCCAGTGGTGTTAGATAAATATTTAAAGTTAAGTATCTCGTGTAGAAAGTCTAAGTTAATCATAAAATCAAGGTGAGTCAAAACATATCTACGCCTTAGTTATTTATTTCATAATTTATCTATTATAGAGATCAAGAGTTTCATAGGCACCTGTTAAAAAAGATAGGAGGCCCCAGGTGGAGTCACTCATGCTAAAGTTCCACGTTACCAATCGAGACGTAAGTTGTTTACGTGTAAGATCTGACCTTCCCAGAAGCCAAGAGAGAAATGATGGCCACATTTCCAAGCAAACCTTTCAAAACAAAACCCAGGAGATTTCACAGTAACTGACCCACCAAAAGGGCCCAGTCAACCTGAGCAACATAATAGGGAAGTCCCCTCTGCTTAAACCCACACCATACTGAAGGTAACCAATGTGCTTTTTGCACTCTGCTGTCTCCTTGTTCCTACTAAAGCTGCCTTACTGAAGACAATTGTTCTGAGATACCTGGTGGAGCTCCATACTATTTTCTAGACTGGATGTTGCCCAGTTCATGAATCATTAATAAAAGCCAATTTGATCTTTGAAACTAAATGTGTTGGCCGGGCGCAGTGGCTCACGCCTGTAATTCCAGCACTTTGGGAGGCCGAGGCGGGTGGATCACGAGGTCAGGAGATCAAGACCATCCTGGCTAACATGGTGAAACCCCGTCTCTACTAAAAATACAAAAAATTAGCTGGGCGTGGTGGCGGGCACCTGTAGTCCCAGCTACTCGGGAGGCTGAAGCAGGAGAATGGCGTGAACCCAGGAGGCAGAGGTTGCAGTGAGTCGAGACCGCACCACTGCACTCCAGCCTGGGTGACAGAGTAAGACTCTGTCTCAAAAAAAAAAAAAAAAAAAAAAAAAAAGAAAGAAAGAAAGAAACGAAATTTGTTGAAATTGTGTTCTTTGCCACACATTTTCCATTCACAGGCTGAACTTCTGATTTCCCTGATCCCCCTAACTCCTTTCAACAACATAGGCTTTTAGAAACTTCAAAAAAGACTTTTCCTGCCGAGAATCGTTTAATTTATTTACATACAGCCTGACATGCTCTAGAACGAATTTCCGATGGCTCTCACAAAAGCATAACATTTCAGAGGTGAAAGAAAACTTGATGCCCACATAAGTGCAACTTTCACCTGAAATGTGACCTTGGATTGCAGAGCCATCATCTGTGTGTATGACAAGAGAACACCTCTTCTAGCTGGCCCACCTCCATTCAAAGATGACTTGATTCTAAATTTTCTTTTTCCATTGACCCAGCATCGATATCTCAACCTGCTTGACTTTATTGCTGACTTCTGAAACCTTTCAAGATAACTAAAAATCTCTTTTGTATAATGGCCCATTTCGTATTTCAAATATGAAATGCATCTCAGTATTTAATTTAAGTGTATTTTAAATAGAGCAACCAAGGAAATGATTAAAGAATACCATAACTCTAGAGTAGAATATTTAAAGCCAGTAAAAATGATGTGTTGAAAGTATACTTAATAACATGC